>NC_000001.11:193184587-194434587 GCF_000001405.40 Homo sapiens
TAAAAGTGTTGATCTCTTTAGTCTGTTGGTGATGGTTTAATAGAAAAACTTACACTTTTGTTTTGAGATGTATAGCTTATAAAACTGCTTAATTGGTGACTTCAATATTGAGAGATTAAGGTACCAAGAGGGACTTGAAATTTTTACAACCATATTTTTTAGTACTATTTATTATTAGTCTTTATTAGAATAAAAATTCATGGGTGAGAGTGATGTTGAGGTGTAATAGAGTCTGGTAAACTTGTTTAATCTTCATTTTGGAATGCAGTACTTACATATTTTTAAAAAATGTTTGCCTTTTGTGATTATTAGATAATTACTGAGTTGTGTTGTGAAATTGAGGAAAAATCAGGATCTTTGATAGATTTGTAGAATTTTAGAAATATCTTTAAGTTCTTGAGCCCTGAGTTGCTGTTCTATGATTGTTGCTAAAATAGTTTATTTGGTTTATCTGTGCCCTGCACACACATATAGTGGCGGTAGTTCATTACTGCATATTAATATAGCCTGGAAGCATAGTAGCTACATTTATATTTAATTTTTTGACCTTGTATTGCCATTTGTGGATATTTTTGTATCAAAGTATTTCCATATTATGTTTTTGAATTTCACTTCTGAAATGATAATCAGAGACAACGTTAAATTTGATCATTTGGAATCAGTCTTTTACATAAAATGTAAGCTATTTAAAATAGTTAATTTTTAAAGCCACTATTGATGTCCCTTTGTTTAAAGTTCTATTCATGGTCACTATAATAACACGAGGCTCTATTGTGGGGTTATGCATAAACTCACACTACCTTATGTGATCTTATGTTAATGCTTTCCTTTTAGTATCTTCTTGTAGCTTGGTAATATTTAAAATTTGTTGATACTCTCTTTGGTTGTGTTCATTATCTTCATTTAGGGAGATGTTGGGGAAGATTTTGTTACTAAAAGCTGTTACATATTAAGGTTTTGTTTTAAAAGGACTTTGAAAAAAAAACTCTTAAGGTTTTCCTTGCTACTATTTAATGAAATTTCACTGCATTGTGTCTTTTGATAGCCATTTTTAAGAGAGCATTTAATTTACTAGATAAGGATTCAGTTTGACCTAATTTGATAGAATATTGCTGTGTTTTTTGTAAAGGGCTACAGATTTTTTTTTAAGTTTAATTTCTTAAGGAATCCTTTAAACACATCTTCTTCTTATTTGCCTTTTCCCTCTGATGTCTATTACCCAGAATTACTCCAAGCTACATATTTAGCTGCATAAAGCAGTGACAGCTTGTCTTCTAAACAATGACAAATTTTAAAATCAGATATTAAGAAACCTTTTCATAGTTTCAAGGGCAGTGAGCTGTATGAACTTGCTTATCAGGTATTAGTGCCTCCAGGGCTATAAAAAGGTAACACATTTAAATGACTATCATACACAAGATATTGACATACCTTCCTTGGTCAGGCCATTTATGTGAAGAGGATTATGCCCACTGAAAATACTTTTGGCACGCCATCACTTCAGCAAAAAAGATGCTATCGAACATGCGCACATCCCCCAACAGTCTGCCTCCTGCGATTGCTTTTCACAGTATCCAAAGTGTCCATCTGTCTGCTTGTCTTCGAGTTACCCTCCTTGTTCATATGGGTCCTAGTCTTCTGAAATTTTCCCTTTCTTTCATTTTCTCTCTTTCGTTAAACAAAAGAGCTGTAGTTGCCCGTTCTGCTTGTAGCACTGTTGACTCTTCCCGACAGTTGATGCATTGAAGCTTTTTACATCTGCTATTTTCCTGGCTGGACAATGCAGTGCTGTGTTCTCGTCTCAGTATCCATATTTCTACTAATAACACTGAGCTGCAATGTAAAGCAGCCAGAGCTAAAATGTAGTGCTTCAGTTGTATTGGAAAAGAATAGGATTTACCTCTCTTCTTTCGTTGTTGCCTGGCAGCTGCAGGAAGGATTTTGAGCAGTTTTAATGGGGTTTTAGTCTATAATATGAAATCCACGGTTCCTCAGCTGCTGCACAGGCAGGCAGCAGTTTAAATGTGGGCTTGACAGATGCTCTCTCTGACAGAGCAGAATTTAACGTCACTGCTTGGCTGAATCCCACGTGATTGTTTGCATTCATTTTGACTAAAAACCTAAGGTAGGGAGAAGCTTAGAGATTTTGCTTTTATGTGATAAATTATATATGTTGAATGCAAGTGTAGTGATGAGTGAATAATTTGAAAATGTGATGATTATGAAATGGTTATGATTTTATTTTTTCCAGCTTACTTCCTTTTTTAACTTTATTCTTAAGTACAGGCTTTCTAAGTGTTTTCTGTGTTAGATGTTGGTTTTCATGTTTCTTACATGCTTTTGTAGGGTGTAAGCAGTATAAGCTTTTGTGTGTAAGTTGGTGTAATTTAACCCCTTCAGTGCATTCTCTTCTTGAAGTTTTTTTTCTCTGCTTTCAAATTGCTCTTGATTTTTTACTAATATGTAGTTAAGACCTATGGTTTCTATTGAAACCATGTATCTTTGTAATTTAGATCCCCCCCCCCGTTTTCTGGGGTTTGTATAAATAAGCTGTCTTGGATTACTTTACTAATGCATGATGTGATACAGCCCACTTCTTTTTTGCTCTTATGTGGTTTTTGGTGTTCTTGATGGCAGAAAACTTTATTTTAAATCACTTTTTAATGTTGTCATTTATTTTTTATTTATTTTTCCTTCCCTTTAAAATTACATGTATCGTAGAATTCAGTAAAATGATGTAATAGATATAGCACACTTGTACAGGATCTGGGGGTAATGAGATTTTACTAATTATGTTTACTTATTCTAATGTTTCAGAAAGATTTAATAACTTGCCATGAGGCAGATTTTATTAACACTACACACTCACTGAGATTTTTCTAATATGGTTAGTTTCTGGGGCTGGCACCTTCTTTTCTTACTGCAGAGCAGTAGGGAAGGTTTTTTTAAATTTTTTGTTGTAGTAAAAAGCCTTTATTATCAGTTTTTCCTCTGTGACTCTAGGGACAGTAATTCAGTCCTAGAAAGTTATAGTTTTGGAGCTTAAGCTAAAGGTTAACAGTTATATACATATTCTTCATCTCACTGCCTCCACCATTAATATATGCTATTTCAAATGAATATGAATTTGTTTTCTCTGATATTAAAAAAAATTTTGTCCACATATTTTTGAGCTTTGCTGATGAAATGTGCTTTGTAGTTTTAAGAACCCCACTGTATTAGAAATGTTAGAAGGATCGTTAAAGAAAAAAAAGAATTTTATAAATAGGAAACCTAAAGCCTAGACTGAGCTTTGACTTTTCCTAGTTAAGTTTGAAGGAGAGGACTAAAACCCAACTTCCTTGTAGTCTATATCCACCCATACTGCAATTCTCACTCACTACCGTTTTGTTTTTAAAATTAGTTTACTAGTTAACAGAGTAATGCTTAAGAACTTACTTAAAATAACTTATTTTCCAGAAGTACAGATGTGTTTTTGTAGATCAGTATTTATTTATCAGTGATTCTTTACATAGGATTTGACTATGAAGCTAGCCACAATGACCATTTATGGAGTATTTACTGAAAATCAGATTGCGTGCTAAGCTTACTTGAGCTGTTATGCAAATGGCTCTTTTCTAATAATTTTATTATTGTAATACCCACTTAAAAGATGCAGAACCAGTGCCTGGAGTTGTAAAATAGTCCAAATGTCAGATAAATACTGATAAGAATAGAGGCCAAGCTGGGAATTGAAGCAAGATTATCTAAATTCTTATCCTCTGTGTTTTTGTTTTCTTTTTAAATCTATCTAGTACTATCATTATTCTCTGTTCTTAAACTTTTTATTACATGGCACTGCTAGAGAAATTGTGGGATTTTTTTTTTTTCTGAACACTGGCGCAGCATACCCAGGAATCATTAATAGAATAATAAATGAATGTTTATATTTTCACTTTTTCAACAGGTACATATTGATTAACTACTGTGTACCAACATGTGCATTTAGGCATAGCTTATTAAGTATAGGGGATACAAAGTTGATTTAGAGACATTCCCTACCCCTTTCTCCAGGAAAGGACTAAATAATTATTATTCTTTTGCCAGTTCTTTTGATTGGATTTTTTTAATGTCTCCCTGGATTATTATAGATTTTGATTATTAAGAGAGTTATATGGGTAACGTATTCATTAGTGGGTCCCTCCAGTATCGGATTGAGTCCCTGAATTTCCAGTGGGACCCCCCCGCCCCGAACTGCTTGTTATGGGACAAGTATTTAAACAGCAAGAAACTTCCAAATATTACTAACAAAAGGTGCCTATGTACTTAACTGGAATTTACTTCATACTTTAAAAGTACAGCTGCAACCTCTTTCTTTCTGTCTGTCTGTTTTTTTTTTTTTTTGGAGACAGAGTTTTGCTCTATTGCCCAGGCTGGGGTACAGTGGCACGATCTTGTCTCACTGCAACCTCTGCTTCCCAGGTTCAAGAGATTCTCGTGCTTCAGCCTGCCGAGTACCTGGGATTACAGGCGTGTGCCACCACACCCGGCTAATTGTTGTATTTTTACTAGAAGTGAGGTTTTACTATGTTGCCCAGGCCAGTCTCAAACTCCTGACCTCAGGTGATCCACCTGCCTTGGCCTCCCAAAGTGCTAGGATTACAGACGTGAGCCACAGTGCCCAGCCAACCTGTTTGTTAAATTTAAGTTAAGCTAGTTAAGAACTTTACGTAAAGTTCAGGAAAACAGGGCAGATGTGAGATAAAAGTTCCTTTAGTAACTTTTTGTAGCAACCTACATGTTTCCAGTCAAGAGAAACTGTAAAAATCTTATGACAGGAGAGCTTGTAGAAGTTCTTCCTTTAGTCTAGTTTCTTTTAACATCTGAATTCTATGGTTAAACTAATTCAGTAAATGTGACAGGTTTCTTTTTCAGATTCAGCAAACTGGCAGCTATTTTGTTAAGTTTTATAGTTATAAATGGCTTGTAATTGTCACTTGCATAAGTCTATTTTTAATCCTACAACACATCCGTGATGGCAAAATAGGTGGCCGTTACTATGTGCATCATGGCCAGAGCTGTCCAGGCCGGTTTTAGCATTTTCCTGGGCATGTCTAGTATAGACTTCAAGGAGTCAGAATTTAAAGACAGGAATTGTAATGCCTCCTAATTGTCAGTTTTTACTGGGTATAGGAATAATTATTTTTGTATTCATGTAGTTAATGGTTTTGAATGATTATTACATGTTGAATCAGATGTAAATCTGCTGTTCAAGTGGCTACTAAATAGTAACTCATGGAGTTACATCATCTGTTTATCTATGTATGTACATTCAACAATATGTCCTTGGTAAAAAGATTAAAAGAGAAAGGTAGGGGGAGAGCACTTCAACCAGGGTGGATGATTTTCATCTAATGGGAATGAGCAAAATCCTTGAGTAACATTAGAAGGGAGACATGAATCTGGTCTTCTTATATTGGTCTCCTTTCCTGTTTGTGCTTTATTATGAGTGGTTGGTCCCTGAATTCAAGGAATTAATTTCAGCTAGGACTTACCAGAAATACCAGCTATTTTTTCCCATGTTGGACAAAAATCTTAATGTTTTAGATCAGGTATAATTTCCACCATACCACTCTGAAAACTGTCACTTGACACAATTATTTAGAGACCAATTTTAGTTTTATTGAGATGACTAGACAATTTTGCATGATGTTTGCTTGGAGTTTATTTCTCTTGACTGTTTTTATTTATAATCAGATGCAGTCTTTTTCATTACATAAGGGATTTGGACAAATGGCTTGTTTTTGGTTATTTAATATTAGTATAGGTAGTTTCCCCTTTTTGAAGAGAAGTCAAATGTTTATTAAAAGCTTGTAATTTTCCTCTAAAGTCAGTGGATGATTTATGAACCAGCTTTACTTTCCTTGAACTCACAAAGCAAGAATTAGCCTGATTGCAAATAAGCAATCTCAGAATGACCACAAGTGTCAGTGTTTGCCTGCCTTATTTTTCTCCTTCAGTTTTCTTGTGCAGCAGATAGGCATGTTGTTTAAGAATTTCTTTTGACTTGAAAACAAAGCTAAATTTAAGTGTCTCTTTCAGAACTAATTATAGACACCTTTATCTGTTTTAATTCATGCAAACTATTAACAATGAGCATTTACAATCAGCAGTGATTTGGCAAATACTTTATTATGCTTGTGTATTCCTTGGTTTTTCTGAGGCACAGCTGTTTCAGTCAGGAATAATACTCTTAGAGCTGTGGTTCTCAAGGGGGCAGTGGTAGGGGTAGTACTGATTTCTACGAGGTGTTCTAGAAGTTTGTGAGGATGTTTCTAGTTAACAGAATGATTTTTAAGGGCATTTTAGGGCCAGGGTAGGTAGTAGTCCAGTAGTGTGTGGGACAGTCTTTGTAAACAGCAAAGACTAGCTCTGTGTTCTGCAGGACTTCTGAGTGTTTCATTGGCTATCTGTGTAGGTGAAACACTTTTTTATAATTAAGTAAATTTAAAACATTGTTGGAACATAAAGTATATTTTGTTCAGTTTTAACGTGCACTGAATTATCTAGAAATGTAACTACAGTGTACAGTGAGGGAAGCTTGTACTTTGCTTTGTTCTAAACTTGGCCAATGGTTCACCATATCAAAAAATGAAATTGTGTTCATGGCATTTGAGTCACCAATATACCAGTCTATGGGCATTTGTAATTGTTACATTCACTATGACTTTATGTATAGGTATTAGCATCTGGTTAGTATATCTTCTGGTATAATCATGTCTGAGACTTACATACTGAAATGCATATTTTTATCATAAATCTCTCTTTTTGTTTGTTTTTTGAGACAGTCTCGCTCTGTTGCCCAGGCTGGAGTGCAGTGGCGTGATCTTGGCTCACTGCAACTTCCACCTCCCAGTTTCAAGTGATTCTCCTTCGTCAGCCACCCGAGTAGCTGGGATTACAGGCGTGTGCCACCACACTTGGCTAATTTTTGTATTTTTAGTAGAGTCGCGGTTTCGTCATGTTGCAGGCTGGTCTCAAACTCCTAACCTCAAGTGATCTGCCCACCTCGTCCTCCCAAAGTGCGGGGGATTATAGGCCTGAGCCACCACACCTGGCCTCTATCATTAATGTCTTTAAAAATTTTATTTGTATTAGTGTATTAATTTTTAAAATATATATGTAGATTGGTTGTATTACCTGTGCATTTCATTTCAGGTAGTTAAGAGGGGTCATTGTAAAGTATTTCTTATATAAATACTTGTTCCATGTAAAGTAAATATAAAGGGCATGTGTTGAATTTGATAGAACTGTGACATCCACTGGGTCAGCACCTTTGAATAAATTATTTCAGGCAGCTTACTCTCCATTCTCTGCAAACCCAGCATATTCTTGATATTTAAAATTATTAACACTATTAATTTATTTAAAGTATAACAAACAATTTGTAAATTCAAGTATATGTAAAATATCGAAACTTAAAATTCTACTAAAACTTTGCAAAGAGGCATAGTTACCCTAATATAAATTATTAGTATCAGAAAGTATTTATTTTAATGGCTGTAGTAGATACGAATAGAAAGCAAGTGTTGGGAGCCAAGCATGGTAGCTCATGCCTGTAATTCCAGCACTTTGGGAGGCCGAGATGAGCGAATCACCTGAGATTGTGAGTTCAAGACCAGCCTGGCTGACATGGCAAAACCCCATCTCTACTAAAAATACAAAAATCAGCCAGACGTGGTGGTACATGCCTGTAATCCCAGCTACCTGGGAGGCTGAGGCACGAGAATCACTTGGACCTGGGAGGCGGAAATTGCAGTGAGCCGAGATCGCGCCACTGCACTCCAGCCTGGGCGACAGAGTGAGACACTGTCTCATAAAAGACAAAACAAGAAAGCAAGTGTTGGAAGTAAGTAAATAGAATTTTTTTTTCCTAAAGGGCTTTTTTGAAGAAAGAAGGGAACATTGAACATGCTTGATTCATGTAGCCATCTTCAGTATGATTGGTTATGGCCCGATTAGAAATAGGGACTTCAGTGTAAAGGAACTTTGCGAAGTGCCGGGGTCTGACCTACAGAACCAGGCTGCACGATGGATGAATAACGTACTCAGACACTGATATTCAGTGAAAGAGCAGGGGGCCACTCACAGAAGGAGTTGTGGCAGCCACGTGCCAACTAACTGGCCTTGCCGGCATTTATTCAGCACAGATTTAATGACAAAGGCATTGAGTCAACACGTGTGTGGTTAATTAATCTGGTCACCCTCCGCTGGAGAGAGCAGTCCTATGAATGATCAAAAGCCAGTCTTAGGACCACATGTGTAAACAAGCTCTTTAGATAAACTCCCTTACATTCCTTTTTACCTACTCTGAGCTGTTAACTCAAGGTAAGAGAATTAGGCTGCTTTCAGCCATAACCCTATCCAGAGGCTTTTGCAAAACCTTCCGGCCTTCCAAGAAGGTTTGCTTTTTTCCTGTAATTTTATAATTTCTCCCACCACCCTGACCAAGCCCCTACAGCAAACCCTTACAGCAAAGCAGACAAGAGACATGCCAAGTTTATAGGATTACAGACCAAGAGATAATGTTTGACTTTTAGGGTTTGATTCTGTGCCCTGCCCCCAACTTCTTAGGCTGTATAAGGGGTTTGCTAACCTTTGGCAAATACATTAAGCATTTTTTATATGCAAGCTACAAGGGGTTGTGAGATGCATCAATAGGTTCCTTTCTTTGAAGAAACTGATAGCCTTGATGGATACATAGATCATTATAAAGATAGCAAGATAATTGGAAATAAGTGGTATTTAAATTTTGTCTTTCATATATAAACTCTTAATTGAAATTCATATGGTGTCACTCATTTTCACTGTGTTTTGATACTTTTGTGTTCCCAATTGAACTTGGTTTGTATTATGTTGTTATTCTTTTGATTTCTCATGCATTTCCTGTATTTTCACCCATTTTAAATAAGATGTGGTCTCATAGAAAATAGAATTGCTGAGTTTTAGTGAGCCAAAAAAAGAAAAATGTAGTATTTCTGTTTATATCCTCCATTTATCCTTAATTATTTGCTAATGAACATATTGTATATTTCTTTTTCACTGATTTTCTCTCACCTTTGAGTTTTATATACCCTTTTCTAACTTTTCACAGAATTTATTACTGTCTCCAGAATTTATAACGTTCCAGAACATTTCAGCTGTCTTACTTGTAGTGTGTGTGTGTGTGTGTGTGTGTGTGTGTGTGTGTGTGTGTGTGTGTGTTGTGGGGCAGTGATGGGTTTCAGGTAGTTAAGTATACATACAGATTTGTTTCAGTGTAGCTTCCTCAGTCAGTTTATTGAATCATACTAAATGTTTTCTTTTAAAGCTTGTAATGTTGTTACTTATCTTTCTACATGTATGCCAGTAACTATAATTCTGTGATTCCCAAAACAGCTAAACTAATAACTGATTACAAAGATATACCCTGTGATAGAAGGAACTAGGCAGGAGAATATGTTTTAATTTACATGGAACAAAAGAAGAGCAAATTTATATGGTATACCATTCTTCTACCTTTGAAGAAACCCATTTTGCATTATGTCTTCAAACTTAAATCAGTTAATTGCACATTCAAGGTTGTACTACAGTGGCATTGTTTCTAGTGAAAAGGTATTATTTACATTAGAAAAATGAAATTTCAGAGCAGAATTGGACCTTTGAGGTCATCTAAAAATTTATTTTTCTCACTTTATAGGTGAAGTAACTAAGACCCTGAGAGGCAGTGATTTTCTCAAAGTTCCTCACTTTGTGGCAAGTCAAAGCTGGAACATAGCTCTTAAGACTTACAGATCAACTTTTTTCACGCTGATTAACACTTCTGGTTATTTGGTATATTCTTTTAGTTCATGGACCCATATGTTACACAAATGATTATGTGTACCATCTACCTTATCCATGTTTCTCTGCCACTATAAAAATAATTCTGCCAGTTTTAAATGAACATAGTGGTTTTATTAAACCTCAGAGAGACTTATGACAGAATCATTCATCTGTGCCCTAAGATATGAGATCATTATAGACTTTGATATTAATCCAAGCATTATAGACATGCTTGGATTTTTGCTAATTGCAGTTCTGTGATAAAACATTTCAACTACATTCACATGGATGTCATTTTTTAATCAGTAGGTACGTAAATGAAAAAAGTTTTTCTAATATGCAAGAGTACCCCTTTTAAAGATTTTGTGATTTGTATCACCTTTTATCTCTTTTGATTCCAATTTGAATTGCTATATTAGTCTGGGTTCTCTAGAGAAATGAAGCCAATAGAATCTGTTTCTATATCTGTTTATAATTTGTGAAATAAATCTCTATATGTGTATGTACATATACACACATATAGATTTAGTATATTAGTTATTAGTATTTATTTTACTGGTGGTTTAACACACAAAACATAAGCACACATATGTATATATGGAGATTGTTACAATGAATTGACTCACACAGGTATGGAGTCTAAGAAGTCTCAGGATCTGTGTCAGCCAGCTGAGAGTGCATTCTCTTCTAACTCTGCCCTTTTGTAATATTCAGACCATCATTGAATTTGATGAAGCCTACTCACATTAGGAATGGGAATCTGCTTTACTCAATCTTCCTATTCAAACATTAATCTCATCCAGAAACACCGTCACAAACCCACACAGAATTTTTTTTTTGTCCAGCCTATTTCGTTTAGCGTAATGTTTTCAAGGTTCATTTGTGTTGTAGCACGTATTACAATTCCATTCCTTTTTAAGGCTAAATGACATCCCATTGTGTATATATATAATTTATCTGTTCATGTGTTGACGTTCATTAGAGTTATTCCTACTTTTTGCCTATTGTGAATAATGCTGCTATGAACTTGGGTGTAAAAATATCTGTTTAAGTCCGTGATTTCAAATTTTTTTGGATATATATACTCAAACAGAATTGTTGGATCATATGTTAATTCTTTGTTTAATTTTTGGAGTACCATCATACACTTTTCACAATAGCTGTGCCATTTTATATTCCTGCCAGTCATATGTAAGAATTCCAATTTCTCCATCTTCTCATTTATACTTGTTACTTTCTTATTTTGTTACTGGATTTTGATAATAACCATTCAAATGTATTTGAAGTAATGTCTTATGGTATTTGATTTGCTGTTCCCTAACGATTAGTGATGTCTGGTGTATTTTCATGCACTTATTAGCCATCTGTATCTCTGGAGAAATACCTATTCAAATCCTTTGCCCATATTTAAATTGGCTGGTTTGTGTTTTGTTGTTGTTGAGTTGCAGGAGTTCTTTATATAGTCTGGATATTAATTTCTTATATGTGTGACTTGCAAATATTTTTTCCCTTCCTGTAGGTTGCCTTTTCACTGTGTTGATATCCTTTGCACAAAAGTTTTAAATTTTGATGGAATCCAGTTTGTTTCTTTTTCCGTTGTCTGTACTTTTGGTTTCATATCCAAGACATCAGTGCTAAATTCAGTTTCATGAAGCTTTTCCTCTGTTTTCTTCTAAGAGTTTTATAGTTTTCACTCTTAAGTTTAGTCTTTTGATCCTTTTTGAGTTAAATTTGTATATAGTTTAAAGTAATGGTCCAACTTCGTCCTTTTGCGTGTGGCTATCCAGTTTCCCCAGCACCATTTGTTGAAAAGGCTGTCCTTTCCTTATTGAATGGTCTGGACACCCTTGTCAAAAATTAGTTGACCATATACGTGTGAGGTTATTTCTGGGTATTCTAGTCCATTAATCTGTATGTCTGTCTTTATGCCTCTTCTGTTTACTGTTGCTTTGCAGTAAGTTTTGAAATCTGGAAGTTTGAGTCCTCCAACTTTGATCTTTTTCACAATGAGTTTGGCTAAGTATTTGAGGTCCCGTGAGATTCCATGTGACTTTTAGGATGAGTTTTTCTATTTCTGCAAAAATGTTGAGTTTTGATAGGGATTGTGTTGTGCATCTGATAGTATAGAAATCTTAATATTTTTCTAGTCCCTGAATACAAATGTCTTTCCATTTGTTTGTGTCTTTAATTCTTTTAGCAATATTTTATAGTTTCAGTGTACAAGTCTTTTGTTTCCTTGGTTAAGTTTATTCCTAAGTATTTCATTCTTTTTAATGCTATTGTAAGTGGAATTGTTTTCTTAATTTACTTTTTGGACCATCTATTGTTAGTGTATAGAAACACAACTAATTTTTGTGTGTTGATTTTGTATTCTGCAACTTTGCAGAACTTGTCTATTATTAATATAACTTTTTTGGTGTCATTTCTAGGTTATTTAACATACAAATCTTGTCATCTGCAAACATATTTTACCTCTTCCTTTCCAATTTGAATGCCTTCTGTTTTTCTTGCCTAATTTCTCTGGCTGGAACTTTCAGTATTATGTTGAATAGAAGTGATGAAAGTGGGCATCCTTGTCTTGTTCCTGATCTTAGGGACAAAGCTTTGTCTTTTACCATTGAGTAAGATGTTAGCTGTGGGTTTTTCATATGTATCTTTATTATGTGGAGGACATTGCCTTCCATTCCTAGTTGAATTTTTAAATGTTTTAATGAAAGAGTATTAATTTTTGTCTTTTTTTTCTACATCATTTGAGATGACCATGAGGGTTTTTCACCTTTATCTGTTAATGTGGTGTATTATTAAATATTAATACATTGATTTTTCATATGTTGAACCACCTTTGCATTCCAAGAATGAATCCCATTAGGTCATGGTATATAATACTTTTAATTTGCTGCTGAATTCAGTTTGCTAGGTCGTGACTTATCCTTACATAAAGAGTGTTAAAAGAAAATTGTTTAACAGTTATTAGTCCAACTTTATTTTGGGCAGTGAGCTGAAAATACACAGACAGAAACACATATGCATATTGCAAGTAACTAAATACATATGTAATTGTATTAATAATTTTTTCATTTCATGTATTTATTATCGAGCTCCTTCATTAGATTGCAAGCACCATGAGGGTAGGGACCTCGTGCTCTTGTTTATATTTCTGCATTTCTGTTTTCTTATCTGGCACTTACTATGCTTTCAGTAAGTGTATGTAGAGGCCAGGTGCGGTGGCTCGTGCCTGTAATCCCAGCACTTTGGGAGGCTGAGGTGGGTGGATCACTTGAGGTCAGGAGTTCAAGACCAGCCCGGCCAACATGGTGAAACCCCGTCTCTACTAAAAATAGAAAAATTAGCCAGGTTTGATGGTGCACGCCTGCACTCCCAGCTACTCAGGAGGCTGAGGCACAAGAATCGCTTGAACTGGGAGGTGGAGGTTGCAGTGAGCTGAGATTGCGCCACTGCACTCCAGCCTGGGCAACAAAGTGAGATACCATCTCACCAAAAAAAAAAAAAAAAAAAAGTGTATGTGCAAAGAATGAATGTTGTTTAATTCTCTTAATAATCCTGTGTGACAGTTATTTTTGCCATATTCATTTAATAGATAAAGCAGTTTTTACTCAATGTAATACTCATGAATCAGTAATCCTAAGGCAAATATATTTGTTTTAATTAGTCAGTGTATAGTGATTAAACACCTGCCATGCACCTGGCTGTATCAAGATTGGAGGAGTAGTAGTTTCTGATGGGAAGTAAAGTACCTTGCAGTCTGATTGGGGGAAGCAGACAAATAATTAGGGAATTATATAGTATAATGAGGTGTTATGGTCTGAATGCCTCCCAAAATTTGTGTGTTGAAAATTAATCCCCACTGTGGTGATATTAAGAAGTAGGACCATTTGGAAAGTGATTAAGTCATGAGGGCATGGTCTTTACAAATGAATTAATGCCCTGTAAAAGGGCTGGAGGGAATTAGCTTAAATTCTTTTTTGCCCTTCCACCTTCCACCATGTGAAGACACTGTCTGTCCCCTCCAGAGGATGCAACAATAAGACATCATTTTGGAAGCAGAGAGACACAAAACCTGCAGGTGCCTTGATCTTGGATTTTCCAGCCTTCAGAATTTTGAGAAATATGTTTCTGTTATTTACAAATTGCCCAGTGTGTGGTATTTTGGTATAGTAGCACAAATGTCCTAAGACATGATAAAGGTATCCAGAAAATGCCAAAAGGTCAAAACAAGGGAACATTGGAATTAAGGGAAGAGAGAGAATGAGGAAAGAGAGAAAAAGTTTGTGAAGGGAAGTCTTCAAATCAGAGGTTACAAGGTATTAGTAGTTAGAAAGCATAGGCTTTGGATTCAAAAAGGCCCAGATCTGTTCTGCTTACTAGGCATGTGACCTGGGCAAGTAACTGGTTTTTGCTTGTTTGTTTGTTGTAGTTTAATTTTCTCATCGTACAATAGATACAACATCTACCTTAATCAGTTTGTTTAGAGGTTGGGTGATGAGAGAGAACATGTCTCAGCCGTTTAAGTGGTTACTTCTCTGGAGAGAGTTTCTGGGCTTAGGGAAAGAAAGATAAATTTATTTTTAAATTTTATAGCCCTTTATCTGTATATTTAAAGGGAGGGAAGTACTATGCTTTATAAGTATGTTAATTGTTTTCTATGTTAGCAACATATCGTATACATATACCTCAAGGTTATAAGAAGTCTTAAAAAAATTGTGCTTATTATTTATGT
Source organism: Homo sapiens (assembly GCF_000001405.40). Lineage (NCBI taxonomy): Eukaryota > Metazoa > Chordata > Mammalia > Primates > Hominidae > Homo > Homo sapiens. The sequence continues at coordinate 193,199,169 of NC_000001.11, forward strand.
TGAAATGTTTTGCTTCTAAAATCCTTTATGTTTTTTAGCCTCATTGTAATTTGTCCCCAGAATTGCTGTTTCCTTTTTCTACAACAGGTTTCTCAAAACACTCTTTTAAAAGACTAGCTGGACATGGTGGCTCTCTCCTGCAATCCCAGCGCTTTAGGAGGCCAAGGCAGGAGGTTTGCTTGAAGTTTGAGACCAACTTGTGCAACAAAATGAGGCCTGATCCCTTAAAAAAAAGACTCATTCAATGTGTTTAGAAGTTCAGGCCGGGCACGATGGCTCATGCCTGTAATCCCAGCACTTTGGGAGGCAGAGGCGGGTGGGTCACTTGAGGTCAGGAATTTGAGACCAGCCTGGCCAACATGGTGAAACTCTGTTTCTACTAAAAATACAAACATTAGCCGGACATTGATGGTGCGCACCTGTAGCCCCAGCTACTTGAGTGGCTCAAGCAGGAGACTCTCGAGCTTGGGAGGCAGAGGTTGCAGTGAGCCGAGATCACACCACTGCACTCCAGCCTGGGTGACAGAGCAAGACTCCATCTCAAAAAAAAAAAAAAAGAAATTCACACACATATTTAAACATTCTAATCTTTGGGAATTCTAATTATCCAGAATTCATAGGAATAAGTTACTTTTTAAAATAAAGGTAAAAGCATTCAAGGGTATGACTATTATTTAAATAATTTTTAAAACATATGTGACTTTTGCCCTTATTAATACAACAGAAAAGTAGATAGGAAACTCCTGGAGTCTGCATATATGTTCTATATATGTTTTCTTCATAAAAACTTTCAGGCCAAGCGTGGTGGTACACACCTGTAATCCTAGCACTTTGGGAGACTTGAGCTCAGGAGTTTGATACCAGCCTGGGCAACATGGCGAAACCCTGTCTCCACCAAAAAAAAAAAAAACAAAAAACAAAAACTAGCCTGGCATGGTGGTGCGTGCCTGGAGGCTGAGGTGAGAAAACTGCTTAAGCCCCAGAGGTCAAGGCTGCAGTGAGCCAAGATTGCACCACTGCACTGCAACCTGGGTGAGATCCTGTTTTTTTAAAAAAAAGTTTTCAATATTTCACTGTTTCAGGTAACATTTTAAAATTAAATATAATGTATATAGTGTGTTCTTTTTCACTTGCAACAAATATTTTTTTCTGATGGTATTATATATTACGATATCTGTTCCACTTGTTTAAGCAGCACATACTGGTACTTTGCAAATATCAGAAGATTTTAGATGATCTCATTTGCTAAAATAATGAAAGCAAGGATTGCTTGTAAACAGCATACTTTGTTTTGTATTTTTATTCTTCGCAAATGTGGTTCTCTCACTGTTTTTCCCTTCTGTGTTAATTCAGTTATTACTTTTCTAGAATGCCTCAAGTCTTGGTGAAATTATAATGCTTCTGACTTTTCAAGAGAAAGCAGGTTTTCCTCTCCACTTAGCACAACTTGTCAGCTCTTTTGTTTTTGTGCCGATACCTTTCTTTTCCCCGCTGGGTAGTGTTTTTTCTTCCAATCCAAATCTTTAAAAATATGGAATTGTCAGTCTGTTCCATATTCCAGATTATTTTTTCTGTTTCTTAATACATTCCGTGTGTGTGTGTGTGTGCGCGCGTGCGTATAGCCTTTGAAAAATGACTTCACCTTTGTCTCTTCATCTTTAGGGTGGAGGGTGGTGGGGTTGATTTCTGCATTCCGTTATGCAGTGACTACTCCACCTTTACTTAAAAATAATGGAAATCAGAGTAGAATGTGCTTTTAGCCTCTTGGGTGGTGTTGGCTGGGGAGTCCTAGAAATGGCTATAAATTCATGACATGATTTGCAAAGAACTTCCCAGTTTTGTTCCAAGAAGGTCATATTCTACTGTTTTGTCATTAGTCTGTTGTGTGTCACAACTGTATAACTCTTTGTATGTGTATTGGCGGGGGTGGGTGTGTATACCAACTCAAAAATTAAAGTTGTACTGTACTGACCTTGGCAACTGAAATTTTCAGTAAGCCTTGAGAAGACAAAATTAGGTAACATTTTTTTTCTATTGCAACAGACAGGACTTTGATTCAACTGAGGCAAATGAAAGTGTGTGTGGGGTTTGTAGAGTGCTGAGATGGGAGATTTGACTCATGTAATCAAGAATGGTTAAGGGTAAAGTAGGTCTTGCAGGCCACTAGAAATAGATAGTAGATATTATAAAGTGTATTATATTCTACCTCTTTTCTTGCGTTATAGCTTAATTCTCTCTTTCTGCCAATGCATTTTCTCCATGAGTCAAGGGTCATCATCATCAGTGATTTTAGGCTTATTTCCTTGTAGCTAGTGGTTTTAACAGCTAGCTCTAGTCTGTAAAAAATAATCCCAGAGAAGGACTTTTGATTGATGTAGTCTAGGATATAAACCTTTCCTAGTGACCAGGGGATAGAGCTTATTGCCAAAAGGGAGTGATTGGGTCATCAAACAAGGATTATTACTAGGGAAACAGAAAATACCCATTATTGGTATTTAAAAGGATCAAGTTTTGAGCTTATTCAAAAATAGACAAAAATTCCTAAGGGTTACAATTTATAGTGGAAAAGGTTTTTTTTTCCATATTATTTACATATGCTTATACCTTTTGCCTGACCCATGTTGTAAAATTCGTACTCTTTGTTATATAATACAGGTGTACAACTAATTCAGTAGTTAATTGGATCACTTTCGGTTTGTGTAGTTATCTTTATATGCACATAATTTTTATTCTGGTGATTTTGAACTTAGGCCACTCTATTCCAAAAAAAAAGAAGGGCTTTGATTTGAATCTAGCCAGACTCATGGTTAAATGTGGACAGAAGATGTCTGCATATATGCCTGCTCATTGTTTTTCTGTCTCATTTTCTATGTATTTCCTCTTAAATCACATCCCCACGAGTCAGTATTTACATACTAGAATAGGTAAGTAATATGATTAGTTTACTCTTATTATATAATGTCTAGTTGATTCTTTATATAGGGGCTAATGTTCCTTTTAATGGATTCCTATTTAATGATTATCCGCTGGCTTCTGATTTTTTTAAAAATCTAGGTGCAGTTCAGTTCAACTAGCTGCAGTGCCCAGAGCCTATTATGCTCCAGGTACTGGAATTACAAAGAATAATAAAAACAGTTATGTCCCCTAACATGAACTTAGAGACAAATATAATCAGAAGGTTCCCCCACATCATAATGATGTTAAATATTTGATATGCTCTCCACCTTATGACTCACTTTTTTTTTTACATTTAAAGTTTTACCTGAATGTAATATAACTGGAGGAAAACCATATCATAAGTATGCTTGATAAATTTTTACAAACAATACATCTATGAAACCAGCACCCAGAATGACTCAGTAGTAAATACACCAATATATATTAATAACTAAATGCGCAATAGTGAGAATGTTGGAAAAAGGATATTTTGCTGTCCTCAGGTGTCTTTTTTTTTTTTTTTTTTCCTTCTTGGAGTTTTTGCTACCTACCTGCTCCTGCGGCTGTTGTTTCTTGTAATAAAGAATGGTTTCTGTGATGTTCTAACTGAATGCTAGGAATACCACTGTATTGAAGTGAAAGTCTTTTTTCTCCTGTACTCATTTTTATAGTCATTTATTTTTTTAAAAATGCCATGGGATAGCCTGCTATTTCAAACAGTTTTACCACGTTTACCATCTCAAATTTTGAAGAAAATGTAATGTAATTATAATTAGTATTTAGCAGTATTTCTTTGGAAATGTTTTTTGTGATGCTAATATTGATTTTAATTTTTATATATTTATGTACCTCCCCTGATAATTTGTCAAATTTCCTTCTGTTATGTACCACTAGTGTAAAGTCTTTATGAATTCATAGTTATGAAATTTACACTTGCAACTTTCTATAAAGAAAAATGTATTATGAAATATCACTGTGAATATGATTGAAACTTGCACTAAAAACAGACATTTTAAGAATCTTAAGCATTTCAGAGGCATCTATCCTTGAGTATATAATTGATATACTTCAACACTTACCATATTTCCATGTACATCTTACATTTTCAGTAATTATTGAGATTTGTTGTTTAGTTTTTAAGATACTCTCATCTGCTCTTAATTCAAATGTAACATCTCTTCTTTATAAATGTGATTTTTCCTGAATATTTTAAAGGCATTTAATTATTTGAAATGTTTGTTTTTTAAATACATTCCAATATAACATATTTTAGGTTTTTCCAACAGGAGGGTATATATCATTTATTTATTTTGAGATTGTCTAGAGAAAAAAAGATTGACTTGATTTTAGAACAGGCAGTGACATTTCTGAGAATATTAAAATTGTCAGCAGTTAAGCAAATCATTTAAAAATATTACATGCTTACAGTAACTACTCTGTAGTAACTAAGTTTATTTTATGCTAAAGATGTTTATTATGATCTCATGACTTAATAGCATAAAAGATCAGGAGAGTTTTCATTTTTATTTTTTTCTTAAACTGTAGGTCATAACATGTTCAGTGGAGTAACCAACTGAGTGAGAAAAACAGAACAAGAGACAGAGAGATATGAGATTTCTTTGGAATAATTAAAGTGTTTATTATGTAAAGAAACTTTGATCTTATATATCAATTCTTATTCTTTTAAAGGAGGGTGCATCTGCCCGGAAGACTCAGACTCCTGCAGCCCAGCCAGTACCAAGACCAGGTAGAAATATAGAACTTTGCTTTTTGTTTTCTTTCAAAAGATCGTAACAGTGCAAGTTTTTAGTATGCGTATAATGCTTTGAACAAACTTAAATTTTACTTAAAATACATTGCAAAGTCATGTTTCTTTGAAGACTGTCGATACTGTTTAAGCAGATCTCAAAACTGTGATAATATACATAAAATGCTTGCTAAACTTCAGTCAGCATCATTAGTAAATCTTCATGTTTTTAGCAGAAAGACATAAATAAAGTGAAAGCATAGTAAATTATTTATTTTCCTATAGTGTATTAAGCAGCTGAACTGGATTTTGTTTTTTATATATATATATACACACACACACATATATATACGTGTATATATATGTATATATATGTATATATACACGTATATATATGTGTATGTGTGTGTGTGTGTGTGTGTGTGTATATATATATTTTTTTTTTTTCTTTTTTTGAGACAGAGTCTTGCTCTGTCACCCAGGCTGGAGTACACTGGCGCCATCTCATCTCACTGCAAGCTCCGCCTCCTGGGTTCATGCCATTCTCCTGCCTCAGCCTCCCAAGTAGCTGGGACTACAGGCGCCTGCCACCACGCCCGGCTAATTTTTTGTATTTTTAGTAGAGACGGGGTTTCACTGTGTTAGCCAGGATGGTCTTGATCTCCTGACCTCATGATCCGCCCGCCTCGGCCTCCCAAAGTGCTGGGATTACAGGCTTGAGCCACTGTGCCCGGCTGATATTCTTTACCGAAGTAATGTTTTCCCCAATTTGATTCAAAGGTCATTGATAAAATAGGTTATAAAACACTGTTTTTCAATAATGGATTTATACTATAGAACATTTACTTGAATAAATAGGTATAGAGAAGAGTTAAAGAAAATTTTTAAGAAAATGTTTTCATTTTGGTTAAGATTTTAGAAACATGTTTTAAAACATTTTTAAAAGTTTAAAAGCTATTTATGTATATCCATCCTTTCATCAGTTCTCTCATAGTTCCGTGGTAGTATGTACAGATGTGAATTTTTTTCCTGCAGCAGCACAGAATTATAATTTTAATAGAATCATATTCAGCTTTGATGCTTAGAACTTGAGATATCTGTGTTGAACACCTAAAATTCTGTATCATTTTTTTTTAAAATGTGTTAAGCAAAGCTGGTATTGAAGTTATTTTAGAAAAATTCTTCCCCCTATTCCTAGTAACTAAAAAGACTGATTTTTATAGATCATTTAGATACCAACCCTGTATTTATTTTTGGTCTTTTGGGTTTGTTTTTGGTGTTTGGTGTTTGTTTTATTTTTACATTTATTTAGCATAATTTCAGTGCTAGGCTATACCACCTGTCCCCCCCCCCCCCTTTTTTTTTAAACTCATCAGTGCTGTTGAAAGTGAGTATGAAGAAAGAAAATAAAGGATTGGAAAGGCACAGGCAAGAACTTAACTGAATCTTCTGCATGAATTTCACAGTATCAATAGTGCAGATTTGGATATCCTCATTCATAGTATGTACACAGGCTAATTCTAAAATTATGTAGATTATGAATATTAAATATTTTCTGGAGGCACATCAAAAGTATGGTACATGGGGCTTATATTGGGATGTTTTTGCAGTGTGATTTCCCTGTGTCTTGTATTCATACTCCTCTTAGATGTGGCTAGTATTTCCTTTTTTTGTTTTTGTTTTTTGTTTGACAGTAGGTTTGTTTGAAATTTTTGTCATTGCTGTTATTAAGTAGGTGTGGAAAAGAGGAGTGCTCTGTCAGCCTTGTTATACTTAGACTAGATTGGATGTAGTTAAGATGACATGACTAATTTTCAGTAGGGATGATCATACCAGAATCCATCGTGAGAGCATAAGAAGAACAATTAAATTCAACAAATATTATTTGAATTTCTATATAATAGGCTCTTGTCCAGAAACTAAGAGAAGCTAAAGGAGCTTTTTACAGGAAGGAAGAAAAAAGTGAAGGAAATAGGGATGGACAGATGGGGTTGGGCCCAAAGAATACTAAACATGAAGTATAGGAATATTGTGGAGGCAGTTGAACCACAGATAAGAGAATTGTTTGTTTTTCTTTGTAAGGTAGGGATGGGAGGTTATGGTATGTCAGAAATGGTATTATATAAAAGGGGAAAAGCCACCACCTGAGGATTGTAACTTAGTATCTGTGATGTAAAATTTTTTCTATTTTGCATTTTCATAAAAGAAGTTAGTATGTAAGGAAAGGGCTGGGAGAGGCACTGATACCTAAACAAACCATTTTGTTCATATGTGTCTTGTGATAAAATTAAAGGGACTGGATTTTACTAGCCAGGTATGTGGCTAGGGGAAGATCATATGTGTAAAGTAAGGGGTTCTAAGTCTTTCACCTCTTAATGTTCTAGCTTACTTTTTAGCTAAAGTGCCCTGGGGATTAAACCAATGGAAATTACTCTGAATGAGTGTCTCATCATACCTCAGATATTCTAATGCTCATCCATGTGAACTTTCTGCTTTCTACTTCCACTTAACTGCTTCACACCCATACATCCACATTTCCTACCCATCATTCTAAAATAATTAAGGTTTTTGCTCTCATTCAGCAATAAGACTTGATTGGAATGGATAGTAGTAGTTTGAAGTCTTTATTTGTCCTAATTAGTGTATTTTTATTTTGCTGCCAAAACTGTTAAATGCATCTGCTTATGGGGTGTAGCCCAGTTTTGAAGGGATATTGTTTAATATCTGACATGTACACTAGTATTATTTCTTTAAAATCTGAAAAATGTGAATGCCCAAAATATATATGGCCAGTGTAAGAAGGGGGATTATAGAAGTATAACTGTTATTTGTTGGGTAGAGTTTGCATAATTTGGAAATGAGAGACTGTCTCACCTATTCTCTCTTTGAGTGAGATACCTCAAGGGTGGAGTTCTGTTTTTTGAGCATTCACAAATTTTTATTTCTCATTTCATCAAATATTTATTTAGTGCTGTTGTGCCAGGCAAGTCTCTGGGTAAATTTAATGTTTTAAAGTGTTTACAGTTAAACACTTTAAACCTATAAAGCTCTAAAAATTTCCAACCTCTCAAAATTCATTTAGGGAATATAACTAACAAGAGGCACATGTTTTCCAGTGGATTCATAAATACAGGCAGTTGAAAGTATCGGGGGAACCAGCCCCCAATATTTAAATAGGTTCTTTTTATTTTCCCTAAGTGTCAGCCTGTCTGAGAAATAAAAAGAGTACAAAGAGAGGAATTTTACAGCTGGGCCTCCAGGGGTAACATCACATATTGGTAGGTCTGTGATGTCCCCTGAGCCACAAAGCCAGCAAGTTTTTATTAGGGATTTTAAAAAGGGAGGGGTTTTTATTAGGGATTTTAAAAGGGGTATACGAACAGGGAGTAGGTCACAAAGATCACATGCTTCAAAGGGCAATAAAGATCACAAGGCAAAGGCAAGATTAGAATTACTGATGAGGGTCTATGTCCCTCTCTGCACATATTGTCATGACAAACATCTTAACAGAAAACAGGGTTCGAGAGCAGAGAACCAATCTGACCAAAATTTACCAGGCTGGAATTTCCCAATCATAGTAAGCTTGAGGGTACTGCAGGAGTCCAGGGCGTATTTCAGTCCTTATCTCAACCACATAAGACAGACACTCCCAGAGCAGCCCTTTATAGACCTCCCCCCAGAAATGCATTCCTTCCCCGGGGTATTCCTTGCTGGGAAAAGAATTCAGCGATATCTCTCTTACTTGCATGCCCATTTTTAGGCTCTCTGCAAGAAGAAAAATATGGCTGTATTCTGCCTGACCCCACAGGCAGGCAGACCTTATGGTTATCTTCCCTTGTTCCCTGAAAATCGTTGTTATTCTCTTCTTTTTCAAGGTGCACTGATTTCATATTGTTCAAACACACATGTTTTACAATCAATTTGTACAATAGTGGTCCTGAGGTGACATACATTCTCAGTTTACGAAGATAATGGGATTAAGAGATTAAAGTAAAGACAGGCATAAGAAATTATAAGAGTATTATTAGGGAAGGAGTACTTCTCCTCTTATCCCATAGTTTTAAATCTATGTGCTGATGATTTCCAAATTTGTTATCTCCAATTCAAACCTCTGGTATCTTATATTAACTGTCTGTGTAACATTTGGATTTGCCGTAGGCATTTTAAAACTAATTAAGATAAATTTTTCCCTGCTATTTTCCCCAAGGTCTCTTACTCTATAGTCTTCTGCTTTTTCATAGAGTGACACCACAATCAACTTTGTTTCTTAAATCAAAAACTTGGAAGTTATTCTTTATTCATCACATTTCCTTACTCCTTTTCTGTTGGTGGGTTCTGTCAGATGTGCCTTTTCTGTATTCCAAATTTATCTATTTTTCTTTATCTCCACTACCACAACTCAAGTAGAAACCATCATCATCTCTCTAGACCAGTGGGTCTCAGTGTGGTCGGTTGCCTGGTGTCAACCTTTTTATTTCCGGTGGCACCTTTTTATTTCTGGTGCCAACAAAATAGACATAGAAATTGAGGGTAAAATAGTGTCATAGCATCTGAGTACATAACCATCTTTCTAGAAATTCATTGCTATTATATTTTATTCAGTTGGCTTTGAATTGGAATTTAAAACAAAAACTCAACCACACATAGTTTGAGTAGCACCATTGTTGACTGTTGTAATAGTCCTAACTGAGCTTTCTGCCTTCACACTTGTACTCTTTTCGATCCTTTGTCCAAATCCATTGTTTTTTTTCTTCCAGACTTGTGACATGAAAATAAAATCTTTTCACTTTCTGGCTTAATAGTTATAGGACTTGCCAGTGTCACTTAAATGTAAACTTAATATTGCTTAAAAAGCCCTACATGAATTGGTCTCTGCATATATTTGTAACCTCATCTCCTGCCATTCTTCCTTTCTTCTCTGTGGTCTACACATTTGTTTTGTTCAGTTCCCCAAGCGCAGCAGTTTCTTCCCGCCTATGGTATTTGCCCGTATTCCTACCTCTTATCTGAACTGTTCGCCTACTTGTTCTTGGCAAGTTGGCTTGTTTTCATCTTTCAAATTTCAGCTTAAATGCCACTTTCTTTGAGAAGCTGTTTGCATTATATCTAAAGGACACTTTTCTGCCAGTATACACTCATTTTGTTCCCTTAGTATGTGTTCCAATTAGATTATGTGTTTGGTTGCATTTTTGTTTATGGTCTGGGCTCCCGTACTCTGCTGAAAGCTCTTTGAGGGCAGGAATTACTTCTGTTTTATTTGCAATTTAATAATAACTTAGCAGTGATGCTTGTACATAGGCTCCAAATAAATGTTTCTTAAGAATCTAATTTATTTGAAATCAAACAGAGCAACAGTAATTTTTCTTATGGTTTATTCTCAGCTTGTAAATTGGCAATTAGCACACTTGCTTGAGTAGCGGTAGTAGTAGAAGTGGCAGCAGTTAGCATCTACTGTAGTTGCAGGATTCAGTAAATGGTAAGTATGTGCTAACACCTAATTAAGGACTTTAGCATGCATTATTATTTTTTAAATTCTCACAGCAGTATCAAGATATAGAAACTATTATCTCTTTTACGATTGAGGAAACTGAGGCCGAGCAAAGTTAATCAGCTTGCCTAGACAGTGGCAAAATAAGGATATGAACTAAAATAATCTGAGTACAGACCTTTGCTGTTGATCACTCTGTCATACAAACTCCTTATGTTTCTCTCCCCCTCCCCCGTTAAGATCAAGCTTCTCATTGACATGTTCATCACAGTGTCTCAGTCTGGGTCCTTACATACTAGGGAACTTGTTTATATTCTTTTGCAGTTATCTTTTTTAACTAAACCTCTAAACTTTATTTTTAACATTTGTGAGTTTTTTTATTTTGCCTTTTTCTTATATTGGGTCTTCTCAGCCTTGAGTTTAGTAAATGTTTGCCTAAATTCCTGAGGGCATTTGTGGATTTCCTTACCAAATCCAACAGTACTTCAGTCAGAGATTTCTCCCTTGCTCTCTCTTTCTTCTTCCCTCTCTTCCTCTCCCCCCTCTCTGCCTTCCTTCCATCTTTGTTTTTTTGTAGTTCCCTTTAGTCATAATAGCAACTCCTGTTTCCTGTTTATCCATCCTGTTACCCCTTTATCTCTCCAACAAATGCCAAATATTTACCGAGACTATATTATATTCCACATGACACTATGTAGCCAATGAGATTTATCCATGACCCTTCATTTCTCAAATTGATTTAAGAAAATTCTAGTATTTTTTCTCAGCAAGAAGAAAGATGAGAAAACTGTAATAGTAAAGGCATATGTCTCAGTATGTGTTTGTGTATATAGTTATCTGCTTTCTGTGGCTGGGAAGGTCATACTACTGAATCCTATGACAGTTTATCACAATGAGAGAGCTATATAAAGGATTACAAAGAATTAGTGAAAATGTAGCATTTTGTTGCTTTTTAAATAGAACATTTTCTGAAAGTGTGTGTGCTGTGTTATTCACTTTAAAGATGGTATCCATTTTTAAGAACTGACATTGAATTAGAATTTTAAGTCTCCTAAATTTTTCTTTATTTTTGTCATTTAAAAAACAAAACTCAAGCACAGCTTGTAGCACATTGAGTTATTGTATGGTCAAATACTGAAAATAGAACTTGCAGCACTTTTTATCCTAAGATGTATTCATCTTGTGTTAGGTTATTATTACCATTATGTCAACAAATATTTCTAAGCATTAAAAGTTCATTGTATATAAACAAAATACAAACATATGGGCCAGGCTCAGTGGCTCACCTGTGTAATCCCAGCACTTTGGGAGGCTGAGGTGGGAGGATAGCTTGAGCTCAGGAGTTCGAGATCAACCCTGGGTGACATTGCGAGACCCTGTTTTTGTTAAAAAGAAAGATAGGAAGATTTGTGTATGTATAACATGATCACAATCAATCATATGGTCATTTTCAGATAATATAGACCTTCACATATACATGACTGATTACCTGTAATGCTGTATTTCTCACCTAAAAAGAGACAAGAAACAATTTTTAAAAGAAAGAAAAAAAAATAAAAGGAATCTTTTAGCCTTAGATCTCAATAACTTCTTTCCTTTTCTTCCAAAATGGTTAAGCGTATTCGCACTTCGCACAGTAGTATTTGCTCGTATGCTCTCTTTTCACAGTTATTACAGTGGTAATCAGCTTATTATGAAATTATTTCTTGTCTCGCTCTTCTCTTTTTTGCTAGACCTGAACATCCATGAATGTAAGATACTCAGTGCCTGGCATTGTAATACAGTAGTCCCCACTTACTAGCAGGGCATACATTCCAAGACCCCCCAGCGGATACCTGAAACCAGGGAGGGATAGTACCAAACCAGATTCGGTCAACCAGAACATGTTTCTCTTATGTCTCCCATAAATTTAATGCCTTTTCCATCTTAACACTATCACTCACTGTGGCTGAAACTTTTGCAGTTTGAGGTACAAAGGCAAAAGTAGCACGAATTTCTTTTTCTTCTTCGCAGTTACACGGATGGTAGATTCAGTATTTTTATCGTAGATGTTAGCAACCTCGGGATGTGATTTTATTTTTTTCTCTTCAACTTAGTAGTAGAGATTTTCTTGTCTACTTAGTAGTAGAGATTTTCACCTTTTCACCTAAGGGAAACACTTAATGTCTTTTCTTTGGTAGTGGCATATCCAAATTGTCAGCCTTATCACTCTTACACTTTGAGGCCATTCGCAAGTAAAACAAGGGCTACTTGAAACAAGCACTGTGATAACAGTGAGGGAGATGACTACTGAGTGACTAAAGGGTGGGTAGTGTATAGAATGTGGATATGCTGGACAAAGAGCATTCACATCCTGGGTGGGGCAGTGTGAGATTTCATTATGCTCCTGAGAAAAATGTGCAGTTTCAGTCTTGTGAATTGTTTGTTTCTGGAATTTTCTATTTAATATTTTCAGACCACAGTGGACTGTGGTTAACTGAAACTGCAGAAAACAGAACTATGGATGTTGTATATTCACTTTCCTTTTGACTACAGATTGTTGAATAATGCATTTTAATATTTTTGTCAAACAGTGTTGAGAAGATAGTTGTAAAAAAAGTCTTCTGATTTACAGTTAGTCATATGGGAATACACATAATTTAAAAAATATCCCTTATTTGTAAGTTTGAAAATAAGAATATGGTTTTTATGACACAGAGTTGTGATTTTTTTTCTTTTTCACAGTTTCTCAAGCAAGACCTCCCCCAAATCAGAAGAAAGGTGAGGTTGTGCATATGATTTTAAACTTAACTTTAAAAAGTAAATGATTGCAAAACCAGGCCTGATAATTTTCTTGTGCAGCTGTATCACATGTTTGTGCTTGGTATCCATTCTGATTTATTAGTGCCCAAGCCACACTGATTATTAAATATTTTTTAATATCCACTGGCTTAAAATATTTTTTAGATCAAAAGTTAAAGTTACAATTTATAATCTTTTAACTTTTAGTAGAGAAAGTAAGTATAATTTCTAATAATATATTTTCTACCTGTAAATTTTGTCTTTATAGGATCTCGAACACCCATTATCATAATTCCTGCAGCTACCACCTCTTTAATAACCATGCTTAATGCAAAAGACCTTCTACAGGACCTGAAGTAAGTAATTTATTAAACTATCCTGTACGTAGGATATTGAGATACCATTGGAAAATAGTAGTTACTGAATCAGTATTACTTATTTGGAAAAAACAAAATTTCGGTTTCTGTGCTATAGGCCTTACACATAGTATGAAGCATACATTTTCAAAACAGAATATATTCTTTTATATTTGGATCCTTTAGGGAAAGTTACAGAAACTTCTGGCTAAAGTCCTAATGAAAAAAGGTACTATCGTATTAACTTTTAATATGAATTGTTTTCTTTTGATGATTTTCTCTGAGAGAGCTTGAGGAAGTTCTAAAGCAAATTCAGGTTCTCTCTGAATATTAGATGTTATACCCTAGTGGGAGTAAGTGGGCGGGTAGGTGGGGGCATAGTTATTTAACCTAGATAGCAGTGAAAGTTAAAGAAGTGAAAATGAAACCTATAAATGATGATAAAATTTCCAAATGCTTAACTTTTCAAAAATTTTAATGTCTATTTTCCTTCCTCATTTCCTTATTAAAATGAATACAGTCACACTTGTACCCAGTTTGTTCTAATAAACATGCATCACGGTTATTGGGCACAAAATAAATCTCTTCCATCCCCAACCACTTTCAGATTTAAAATTTAAGTAGTTTACGTATATTTTCCCATAGCATTTCTTCTATTAATGAATATGAGTAGACATACCACTTTTAAATATTGTGACTATTTTTAAATCTGTATACTACTTCTTGGATTGGCTATAGTTTACAGAAGAAAGATGGCAATATAAAAATTGTTTTAAATAATCTTCAATGATATAGACATTAACAAGGTTTAAAATGAGCCATGTTTAAGTGATTTTCAGAATGCTATCAAGTTTTTTAGACACAGTGTTGCAAATTTTTTCCTCAGTAGATTTTTTTTTTTTTTAGTCATACTCATTGTTAAAATGGGTAAATATTTTATATATTCAGCTAAATACCATTGCCTGATGTGGGATTTTAAGATAGTTCCTTCTGTCAGAATGCGTTTTATGAAATAGGGGATAGAAAATGGAGGAATTCAAAAATTGTAATACATACTCTTTCAGAGGATAAGAGAGATGTTGTGATCACTAGTTGGAGCGAAGGTGGTTAACTGTATTCTGCTTTAATATTTTCGTAGTGTTTGTTGCATTCTCATGGTACTTCTTATTAAACAGAAGCTGTCAAATTGTCCTGTTGTGTTACATACATACCTGATTATTTAATTTTGGTATTTGTTAGGAATTTGGACTGTTGCTCACTAATCTTAATATGGTATTATTTGAAGTGCTACTGGCTTGAAGTTACGTCCTTCCAGAGTGATTTTGTGATTGCTTTGCCAGGTGCTTCAAGAATATCTCAAGCCTTGAGTTGATTTTTGTGTTAAATTCTTAACATAAGGATTTCTAGTCCATCTGGGTAGTATAAATTCAAATTTGAATCAGACCTGAGTGACATTGGAACCTGGCTGACAAATTATCCAGGAGCCCCTTTTCTTCCCCTGCTCCAGAGGTAGAGCAAGATGGATATGCTTCCCCGACATTTGATTGGAAACAGTTTTTCCCTCTACTTTAACCTTTTGTTGATCATGTGACTCTTCTGTGGCTCTAGTTCCAGTTCCTCTGTGTCCTTTCCCTATGTAGTTGGTAAAAGCCAATTCTTAGTACTGCCTACACTTTCCTCATGGGCAACACCAGTGCACTTTATTGGTCGTCAGCATTTTCTTCATTTGTAGCCGATGACTATTTTCTTTCTAGCTCAGCATTTCAGGTATATGTTACATTGTATTTAGCATTTCCAGGTGTTTATGTATAAAGTTCCCGTTCCAATAATGCAGTGTACCAGATAGTATAACCCATTTTAGTAGGAACTTATTAGTCTGCCAAATGTAGCAAATTTCTTAATTCATGTTTCATAATTGTTTGAGTTGTACCTGAGGGGAATTAAAAATGCAGATTATTGGCTGGGCACGGTGGCTCACGCCTGTGATCACAGCACTTTGGGAGGCCGAGGTGGGTGGATCATGAGGTCAGGAGATCAAGACCATCCTGGCTAACACAGTGAAACCCCGTCTCTACTAAAAATACAAAAAAAATTAGCCGGGCATGGTGGCAGGTGCCTGTAGTCCCAGCTACATGGGAGGCTGAGGCAGGAGAATGGCGTGAACCTGGGAGGCGGAGCTTGCAGTGAGCTGAGATGCCGCCACTGCACTCCAGCCTGGGCGACAGAGCGAGACTCCTCAGAAAATAAGAAAAAAATAGATTATTTTATAAGCTATTTGGCCACTTAGATTGTTTGCAGTTGGGATACACTTGACATTAGAAATAAGTTTTAATGTTTTTCTAATCAGTGATGTTGATGCCTTAACTATGAGACAGATTCAGATGAATTTAGTGATAACTCTCATTTGGGGAGATTGATGTGTATATTGGGTTTGTTGTTTCAACTAACATCTACAGAGCAATAACTAAAAAGTAAATTACTCTAGATGAATATACAACACGCCCAACCTTCTAGGAGCTCACATGAGAGTGGTACTGGTTTGTCACTAGTTGCAGCTGCTGAGAAATGTGTTTAGCACTTGGTGTAAAACTCAGTTTCAATGCCTTATTCTAAGTACAGTGAAAAATATACTGTCTTTTGACTCTCTGCAAACTTGAATCACATTCTGAAGATAGGTTCAGAAACAAATTAGACCTCAACAGTTAGCCTTTAAAAGCTTTATCTAGCTTCTCTCAAATTATGTGCTGTTAGTGAGAATGTATATAATAGTGATTTTTCATAGTATATAAACAACTTGAAATGTATTGTTTTCTACAACTTGAGACCTAAAAATGATATACAGTATATCTAGTTTGACCCACTCTTATTCCTAAACAAAAATACTGATATATAAAAGAAACTTAAAGTCTATTTTAGCCTTTTACCTCTGCCATTTAGTTGCAGAGCAGGAAATACAACCAGATCTCCTGATGATCAATTTAGTAGTCTTATTATTTGTACTGTGGAGATACCTAACAAACATTCAGATTAAGAAATTAAGTTTTTATACAGTTACATAGAAATTAAACAGCCTGGTCCTAAATCGCTTTTGGGCAAAGAATGAAATTAACACAGGTTTTTTTTTTTTTTTGAGACAGGGTCTTTCTCTGTCACACAGGCTGGAGTGCAGTGGTGTGATCTCGGCTCTCTGCAACCTCTGCCTCCTGGGCTCAAGCAATCCTCTTGCCTCAGCCTTCTGAGTAGCTGGGACTACAGGTGTGCACTACCACACCTGGCAAATTTTTGTATTTTTTGTAGAGACTGGGCTTAGCCATGTTGCCCAGGCTGGTCTCGAACTCCTGGGCCCAAGTGAGCTGCCTGCCTTGGCCTCCCGAAGGGCTGGGATTACAGGGATGAGCCACCATGCCCAGCCTCAAAAAATTCTTTGAAACAAATGAAAACAAAGATACAATGTACCGGAATCCCTGGGACATAGCTAAAGCAGTATTAAGAGGAAAGTTCATAGTGCTAAATGCCTATATCACGAAGTTAGATCTCAAATTAACCACCTAACGTCACACCTGTAAGAACTAGAAGAACAAGAGCAAACCAGTCCCAAAGGTAGCAGAAGAAAATAACCAAAATCAGAGCTGAACTAAATTGATATGTGAAAATCCATGCAAAAGATCAATAAAACCAAAATTTGGTTCTTTGAAATAATACGATTAATAGACTGCTAGCTAGATTAATAGAGAAAAACAGAGAAAAGATCCCAATAAACACAATCAGAAATGACAAAGGGACATTACCACCAACTCCACAGAAATACAGAAAACCCTCAGAGACTATGAACACCCCTGTGCACACAAACTAGAATACCTAAAAGAAATGGATAAACTCCTAGAAACATATAATCTCTCAAGATTGATTTAGGAAGGAATTGAAATCCTTAACAGACCAATAATGAGTTCCGAATTTGAATCAGTAGAAAAGAATCCTACCAACCGGAAGCCCCCCAACCCCAAACCAGACAGATTAACAGCTGAATTCTACCAGATGTATAAAGGAGAGCTGGTACCAGTCCTACTGAAATCGCCCCAAAAAATCAAGGAGGAGGGGCTTCCCTAACTCATTCTGTGAAGCCAGCATCATTCTAATACCAAAACCTGGCAGAGAGACAATTAAAAAAAAAAAAAACCTGCTGGCCAGTATCCCTGATGAGCACAGATGCAAAAATCAACAAAGTATTAGAAAATCGAATCCAGCAGCACATCAAAAAACTAAAACACCCTCATCAAATAGGCTTTATCCCTGGGATGCAGGGTTCGTTCAACAAATGCAAATCAGTAAACATGATTCGTCACATAAACAGAACTAAAAAAATTACATGGTCATCTCAGTAGATGCAGAAAAGGCTTTCAGTAAATCCTAAAATCCCTTCATGTTAACCCTCAACAAACTACCCATCAAAGGAACATACCTCAAACTAATGAGAGCCGTCTATGACAGTCCTACAGCCAACATCATACTGAATAGGCAAAAGCTGGAAGCATTCCCCCTGAGAACCAGAACAAACCAAGGATGTCCACTCTCACCACCCCTATTCAACGTAGTACTGAAACAGGAAATGTTCCTTTGTCTCCCTCCCAGGGCTTGCGGTGGGGGTGTGGCTTGCTTCTTCAATACCCAGCTGCTGCTGAAACCTCTAGGGGAGCACACCGACGGGCAGGCTGTGGAGCTCAGACTCCACGGCATTGTCTAGGGGTGAATGTTTACAGCTGAAGCCCCAGTGGACGTGTGTTACAGGGTGCTCTTTTGGTTTACCCTATAGGCGGCTTGTGTTAACCAGCTCAGACCCTCTACCTTATCACAAGGACAAGATACTCTGCTCTATCGCAGAGTTTCTTGTCTTGGTGTACTGGAAGAATCGGATCACATGTAGGCTTGGAGAATGAGTGCAAGGTTTTATTGAGTAGAAGTAGGGGAGCCAGAAAGGGGATGGTTTTCCCCTGGAGTCCAGCCGCTGTGGCCAGACCCTGCGTCATTCTGATGGCCTGTCAGCCTGCTGGTGCCTGTTGGTGTGCTCTTGACCACCAAGAGCTTGCTTGCTGTGTCTTCTTCCGCCAATGTGTTCCTCACATCCAGCTGCTTGTGTCTTCTTCTGCTGATATGCTCCTTTTGACGTCTGGCCACCTGTGTGTGTGCCCACTAGGGTCTTGGGTTTTTATAGGCCCTGGGTGGGGGCATGGCGAGCTAGGGTGGTCTTGGAAAATGGAACATTTGGGCTTGAAAGCAGAAGTGCCTGTCCTCACGTAGGTTCATGAGGGTGGAGCCCTAGCCAGGGACCAGGCCCTCCTCTACCCAGCACTTGCCTTCCCCCATTCCATATCATTTAAAGGGACCATGCTCTTGCCTTCCCAGTACTCCTGTATCAGTACTGGAAGTACTAGCCAGGGGACTCAGGCAAGACAAAGAAAGAAATAAAAGGCATCCAAATAGAGATGCCTTCTATCTTTGTAGACAATATGATTCCATACCTAGAAAACCCCATAGTCTCTACCTAAAGATTCCTAGCACTGATAAACAAGTTTAGTGAAATTTCAGATACAAAATCACTGTACAAAAATAAGTAGAATTTCTATACACTAGTAATGTCCAAGCTGAGAACCAACTCAAGAATTCAGTCCTATTCACAGTAGCCACACACTCACACATGCACACACAAAACACCTGGGAATACAGCTAAACCAGGGAGGTGAAAGATCTCTACAATGAGAATTACAAAACACTGTGAAAGAAATTAGAGAAGACACAAACAAATCGAAAAACATTTCATGTGCATGGATAGGAAGAATCAATATTGTTAAAGTGGCCATAACTGCCCAAAACAACTTACAGATTCACTGCTATTCCTAGCAAACTACCAGATTTCATTTTTCTCAGAAATTCGAACAAACTATTCTAAAATCCATATGGAACCAAAAAGGAGGCAGAATAGCCAAAGCATCCTAAGCAAAAAGACCAAAGTTGGAGGCATCACACTACACAATTTCAAACTATACAACAAGACTAGAGTAACCAAAACTGTAGTACTGGTACAAAAACAGGCACACAGACCAATGGAACAAGTTAGAGAATCCACAAATAAAGCTGCCCAGCAGCAACCATCTGCTTTTTGACAAAGTCGACAGGAACAAGCAGTGGGGAAAGTGCTCATTATTCAGTGATGCTGGGATAACTGGCTAGCCAAATGCAGAAGATTGAAACCGAACCCCTTCCTTTCACCATATGCAAAAATCAACTCAAGATGGATTAAAAGACTTAATTGTAGGACCTGAAACTATAAAAACCCTAGGAAAAAAACAGGGCATGCCATTCTGGACATAGGCCTTGGTAAACATTTTATGACAAAGTCTTCAAAAGCAAATGCAGCAAAAACAAAAATAGACAAATGGGAGCTAAACCAAAAAGCTTCTGCCCAGCAAAAGACATTGTCAACAGAGTAAACAGACAACATACAGAATGGGAGAGAATATTTGCAAGGTATGCATCTGACAAAGATCTAATACCCAGAATGTATAAGGACCTTAAGCATAAAACAAACAGTCCTGAGCAAAGGACACGAACAGACACTTCTCAAAAGAAGATATACACATGGCCAACAAACATAGGAAAGAAATGTTTAACATCACTAATCATTAGAGAAATGCAAATCAAAACTGCAATGAGATATCATCTCACATCACACCAGTCAAAATGGCTATTATGAAAACATCAGAAAATAATAGATCTTGGTGAGGTTGTGGAGAAAAGGGAATGCTTATGTGCTCCTGGTGGGAATGTAATTTAGTTCAGCCACCATGGAAAGCAGTTTGCAGATTTCTCAAAAAACTTAAAACAGAACTACCATCTGACCCAGCAATCTGATTACTGGATATATACCTAGAGGAATATAAATCTTTCTACCAAAAAGACACATGCACTCTTTAAGTTCATTGTGGCACGTTTTACAATATTAAAGACATGGAATCAACCAAAATTTCCATCAGTGGTGGATTGGATAAAGAAATCTGGTACATACATGCCACGGAATACTATGCAGCCATAAAAAACAAAACCATGTCCTTTGCAGCAACATGGATGCAGCTGGAAGCCATTATCCTAACAAATTAACAGAGAAACAGAAATCCAAATACCACATGTTCTACGTGGGAGCTAGACATCGAGTACATGTTGGACACAAAGAGGGAAACAAAAGACACCAGGGCCTACTTGAGGGTGGAAGCTGGGAAGAGGGAGAGGATCAAAAATACCTGTTGTGTACTGTGCATATTACCCTGGGTCATGAAATAATTTGTACACCATACCCCAGTGACATGCAATATACCCATGTAACAAACCTGCACGTGTACCTCTTGACCATAAAAGGAAAGAACAGCAAAATAAAGAAATTGGGTTTTATTCTGGTCTTGATAGTAGTGTGATAATAATCCAGAACAAAGCAAAGTCTTCTACAAGAGTCAAGGCCTAAGTCAGTGTTAGAATAATTATATTTTGTAATCTGAATGCTCTAATGTTGAAAATTTCCTGTTAAAAATTTTACTGATCACTGGGAAACAGTTTTATTCAGCAACATAATAAATACCCAGAAGGGGAATGTGAATGCTCTGGCTTCTTTCTCAGTAAAGTAACAATGATAACTTTTTTTTTTTTTTTTTTTTTTTTTTTGAGACGGAGTCTCGCCGTGTCACCCAGGCTGGAGTGCAGTGGTGCGATCTTGGCTCACTGTAACCTCCACCTCCCGGGTTCAAGCGATTCTCCTTCAGCCTCCTGAGTAGCTGGGATTACAGGCGTGCGGCACAACACCTGGTTAATTTTTGTATTTTTAGTAGAGACGGGGTTTCACCATGTTGGTCAGGCTGGTCTCAAACTCTGCCTGCCTCGGCCTCCCAAACTGCTGAGATTACAGACATGAGCCACTGTGCCTGGCCTAATGATAACTTTTAAAGAAAAGCCCCTTCACATCTAAAAAAACCATACTGCTTTTAACTGATTCAAAGTGAGAAGCCAATTTGCAATATATGTGGATTTCAGGTTTCACTAAATGTAGAATTGAATTTTAAGTGCCTCCAACTTAAGTAGCTTTCTTTACAAAATCTAGGTATCCCGGCACATACAAGTATATTCATACCTGAATTCTTTTTTTAAAAAATTTTTAGTACTTTTGAATGACAAAATATTCATTGAGCTGTTTTTTCATTAATAGTGTGGCTTTTATAGTAAAGTTTTAGTATTCTGGCAGATGTGAGTTTTTTGATTGCATATGTCATCTGATGAGATTCCTCAAGTAATTTACAATTGTGTGAACAAGATATACTTTTGGTCCTTGAAATAGATATGATAATATAACAGAAACTGTCAGACTCACAGAAATGGATCACATTAACTGCTTCTAAAAATTGTTTAGTTTTTGTATGAGCTTTCCACCTTTTAGTCAATATATATATGGCTTTTCATGATTTATAATCTGAAATACATGTATTTTTTGGTGATAGTTTCTGTGTCTTGCAGTCTGTCTGTAGTCTTTCCAACTAAATTATGATTTCTTCAGAGACAAGGGCTTGTTATTTTATTGTTATTTGTAGCTACATTGTTTAAAACAGTGTTAGCCAAATAATGAGTACTAAGTAAATAAAGAAAAAGAAAAGGATGAGGGAGCACATTGAGAAGAGAAGATTGGAGGATGGGGGACTTGTATACCTGAAATTTAAAGTTTGATTTTATGTATGTGTGTTTGTGCAACCCGTGAATTAATTTATTGCATTTATCTCCAAATTGAAATACCTTTTTTGATACATAGTAGTCATATCCACGCCTGGGACTCGATTTTAGTTCCCATGATGCTTCATTACACTTGGTATTGTGTTGTTTTTTTGTTTTTTGTTTTTTTTGGCATTTACTGTATTTTTTTAACCAATTTTATGATTTGTGAATTTGGTGTTATCCAATCTCACAAATTTTAGTAATTGACAACTTTTAAAAAAATAAATATATCTAACTGGTTATACAAAATTTACAGTAAGTTTGTGGAATGTTAAAAAAAAGAAATTGTCTTTTCATTCTCCACTCTCAAGAACCTTTGCAGTGTTCATCTGAATGTATTACAAATCTAATACTTAAACACTGTTTTATAGCAGAAAATAGTGAATAGTGAAAGAAATCACAAAGTAAATTTTAGTGTCATTCTCTTTAGTCTTGTTTACTACAGAGAAACCAGACAATTAAACAGACCACATTCTTAGGATAGACCATGCCTAATGTTTCTTCCAAGTTTAAAACACTCCCTTCATTGTTTAACACCTCATTGCAACTGACATCTCCCCTACAGTTTGAGTCAGCTGGAGGCTTTGCTATGTAATTAATGCATAATTGAAACCTCCTCCACACAATTATGGTACTGGCTGTAACTCATAGCTCAAGTTGGATAGAAATATCCAACTTGCAAATAGCATAGATTCTATTTAGTTTTATGTACAACTGAGGATTCTTTAGTTTTGTATATCCCTTCAATAAGTAAATGAAACAAAAAAAAATAATAAAACCCTTTAACATGCTAACAAACAAAATTGAGATTGTATTATGGAAGTATTTTAAAAAATACACTTTACATCTATAAACATGATCATGAAAGTTGTTTATTGGAACTGTAAGGTTATTTAAAATAAACGATTGGGTGTAACTTCCTGATTTTGGCCATGTTGGCAGCCACATGGGGCCGAGTTCCAAAGAGGAAAGATTGTGCGCAGAAGGAGCTCAGACGCTATGTAGAGGGTTCTCCTTACATCCGCCAAATACTATTCAGCACATGTATGTGAGAAAACTACATGAGGCCTGGGAAAAAGTCACCGGGAAAGAAACAGGCAGAAAAATTACCAGAGCGTAGACTGGACTGAGAATAGTACTTGTTCCCAACAGCCCCAGGCAATGCAAAATGATCTAGCCACTTTGGAAAATAATATGGGAGTTTATTTTTTTCCCATCACATTGAAAATACTACTCTACTGTCTTCTAGCTTCCTTTGTTTTGATGATAAGTTAGTTGTTAGTGTGATAATCAGTCCTATGAGGGAAATCTGTTCCGTGTGGTTATTTTAAAGATCATTTTAAATTTATCTGCTGTAGCTAGATGCGGATTTCTTTTTTATATACCCCACTTGGAATTTGTCAGAATTAAATCTGCGTATTGGTGTTTTTCATCAGTTCTCAAAGTCTTGGTCGTTTTGATAATCCATGAAATAAGCTTTTTTTTTTTTTTTTGCATATGTTCTGTTCCCCATCCCCCCTTTTTTCTCACCTCTTTTTGGAACTTAAATGAGACATACTTTAGACCTTCTCATTCTATCTTCCATGTTTCTTAAATGATTCCATTTTCTGTCTCATTTTCTCTGTTGCCTGCATTTTTCATTATTTCGTTACTTTTAATTTATAGTTGTCCATTTCTTTGGCCACACCTTAATCTGATCTTAAGCCTATCCATTGCACCTTAAACTTCAGATATTTTATATTTCAGTTTTTATGGTTCTGTTTAGTTATTTTTCAAACCATTATCTGTCTTTGTAATTCTTTTTTACTGTACATATTTGCAAGCTTGTTTTATTTTCTAAGCCTTGGTTTTTGGTAATTGTAGCATTTGGAGTCCTTAGTCATCTTCCTTTGAATGTTGTTTCATACATGATAACTTGTTTTCTTGTGGGTTTAGTTTTTTACTGTTCATTTTATTTTTTTTTTATTTTGTTAATTTACCAATTTACTGTTCATTTTCCTTGGAATTATTTTCTGTAGAAATTCTTTGATCTCCAAGTGAATATGACAGAACTCCAGAGAAGATGTGCATCTGTGTCTGTTAAGCACCTGGGAGCATTACCAATCTAGCATAACTTTAAATTAAATTCTCTATTGGAGGTTTTAAATATCTAGATACTGTTGTTCTTGCTGCAAATTCAAATGAGGTCAGTTTTACCATTTGAGATATTTGATTTTCCTTGCAGTTGTCAAAATAAGGGTAGGGTTAGGGTTGGGGTTGTTGGGGAAGAGGGTGAACAGTGAGTTTATTTCTAGTTTACCATTATGTTGAACTTAACCCCTGAGTCTCAGCTTTATAAGGGAAGGAACTCTTATTAGATTTTCTACCTTGAGCAGAATTTGGACTTATTTTCTATTTCAGGAGCCCAGTGAAATATAGTGAAAAACCAGGCTTAACTTTAATTGGTTTGCAAATCCAATGAATAGCAGTCTGCAGTGTTGTTCTTACTTCTTTGGGTTCCTCTCTTTTCACTTGGTCTTTGGTCTAAGTATTTTTTATACCTTGCGCTAGCTCAGATAGGCTTTTAAGATTTTTTTTCTTTTTTCCTTTTTTTTTTTGTATTGATACGTAATAGACCCACATATTTTGAGGTACATGTAATATTTTGACACATTTTTATAATATGTAATAAATCAGGGTAATTAAGATATATATTACCTTAAACATTTATCTTTATGTTGGAAATATTCAAATTATTCTTTGATAGCTATTTTGAAATATACTGTAAATTATTGTTTACTGTAGTCACTCTGCTGATTTATTGAAAACTAGGTCTTATTTCTTGTACCTGTATTTCTGTACCCATTAATCAACTTCTATCTCCTCCACTCCCCCACCCTTCCTGGTCTCTGATAACTACCAGACTACTCACTTCATGAGATTTACTGTTTACTTGTTTTTTTTTGGGAATTATTGTTGCAGTTACTTAGGGGATCTGTCATATTATACGAGAAACAGCATAAAGTCATAGTTTTTAAGGGTCATAATTTGTTAGTGTTTACTCAATGCCATTGTTCCATGTATATATATATATATATGAAATATGCATTCACATATACACATATATGAAATATGCATTCACATATACACATATGAAATATGCATTCACATATACACATATGAAATATGCATTCACATATGCACATACGAAATTTATGCATTCACATATACACATATATGAAATATGCATTCACATATACACATATATGAAATATGCATTCACATATACACATGTGAAATATGCATTCACATATACACATATATGAAATATGCATTCACATGTACACATATATGAAATATGCATTCACATACACACATATATGAAATCATTCGCATATACACATATATGAAATATGCATTCATATATGTACATATATGAGTACAAGTGCCATAATTTCCAAATGGTGGTCTCAGAGCACTTAGAAATCTTACATGGTTTTATCAAAATAATTATTTCAGACCAATTTTTTAGCTCAACCAATGTTTGAGGATGCTGAATGTGTTTTCTTTTTTTTTCTATTGTTTTAAAGATTTATTATGTTGCCTAAATTTATCTTCTTACCTTTTGTCTTTAAAAAAAAATTTATTTCCACAGGTTTTTGGGGAACAGGTGGTATTTGGTTACATGACTAAGTAGTTTGTGAGATTTTGGTGTGCCCATCACCCGAACCGTATATGCTGAACCTGATTTGTAGTCTTTTATCCCTCACCCCCCTCCCACAGTTTCCCCCTGCATCCCCAAAGTCAATTTCGTCATTCTCATGCCTTTGCATCCTCATAGCTTAGCTCCCACTTACAAATGAGATCATTCGATGTTTGGTTTTCCATTCCTGAGTTACTTCACTTAGGCTGATAGTCTCCAGTTCCATCCAGATTGCAGCAAATGGCATTAATGCCTTCCCTTTTATGGCTGAGTAGTATTCCATGATATATATATATATATATATATATATATCCACATACTACGGTTTCTTTATCCGCTAGTTGATTAATGGGCATTTAGGTTGGTTCCACATTTTTGCAATTGCGAATTGTGCTGCTGTAAACATGCGTGTGCAGGTATCTTTTTTGTATCATGACTTCTTTTCTTCTGGGTAGATACTCAGTAGTGGGATTGCTGAATCAAATGGCAGTTCTTCTTTTAGTTTTTTAAGGAATCTCCACACTGTTTTCCATAGTGGTTGTACTAGTTTACATTCCCACTAGCAATGTAGAAGTGTTCCCTTTTCACTTCATCAATGCCAACATCTATTGTTTTTTGATTTTTTGACTAGGGCCATTCTTGCAGAAGTAAGGCAGTATTGCATTTTGGTTTTGATTTGCATTTCCCTGATCATTAGTGATGTTGAGCATTTTTTTCATATTTCTTGGCCATTTGTTTATCTTCCTTTGAGAATTGTCTTTTCCTGCCCTTAGCCCACTTTTTCATGGGATTGTTTGTTTTTTTCTTGCTAATTTGAGTTTGAGGTAGATTCTGGATATTAGTCCTTTGTCAGAGGTATAGATTATGAAGATTTTTCTCCCACTCTGTGAGTTGACTGTTTACTCTGCTGACTGTTCCTTTTGCCGTGCAAAAGCTCTTTAGTTTAATTAGGTCTCAGCCATTTATATTTGTTTTTACTGCATCTGCTTTTTGGTTCGTGGTCATGAAATCCTTGCCTAAGCCGGTGTCTAGAAGGGTTTTTCCTGTGTTATCTTCTAGAATTTTTCTAGTTTCAGGTCTTTGTCCTTGATGTGTTTCAGGACTTAAGTCCTTGACCCATCTTGAGTTGATTTTTGTATAAGGTGAGAGATGATCCAGTTTCATTCTCCTACATGTGACTTGCCAATTATCCCAGCACCATATGTTGAATAGGTTGTCCTTTCCCCACTTTATGTTTTTGTTTGTTTTGCCAAAGATCAGTTGGCAAAATACTTACAGTTGGCTGTAAGTATTTGGGTTTATTTCTGGATTCTCTATTCTGTTCCGTTGGTCCTTGTGCCTATTTTATACCAGTGCCATGCTGTTTTGGTGACTGTGTCCTTATAGTGAAGAGAAGAGAATGAAATGAAGAGAGTGGATATCTTTGTCTTGTTCCAGTTTTCAGACAGAACGCTTTAAACTTTTCCCCATTCAGAACTACGTTAGCTGTGGGTTTGTCATAGATGACTTTTATTGCATTGAGGTATGTCTCTTGTCTGCCAATTTTGCTGAGAGTTTGAATCATAAAGGGATGCTAGATGTTGTCAGATGCTTTTTCTACATCTATTGAGATGATCATGTGATTTTTGTTTTTAATTCTGTTTATGTAGTGTATCACATTTATTGACTTGTGTATGTTAAACCATCCCTGCATCCTTGGTATGAAACCCATTTGATCATGGTGGATTATCTTTTTGATATGTTGTTGGATTTGGTTAGATGTATTTTGTTAAGAATCTTTGCATCTGTGTTCATCAGGGATGTTGGTCTGTAGTTTTCTTTTTTGGTTATATCCTTTCCTGGTTTTGGTCTTAGGGTATTACAGGCTTCATAGAATGATTTAGGGAGGATTCTCTTTCTCTATCTTGTGGAATAGCGTCAAAAGGATTGGTACCAATTCTTCTTCCAATGTCTGATACAATTCAGCTGTGAATCCTTCTGGTTCTGAACTTTTTTTTGTTGGTAATTTTTAAATTACCATTTTAATCTTGCTGCTTGTTATTGGTCTGTTTAGGGTATCCAGTTCTTCCTGATTTAAGCTAGGAGGTTTGAATCTTCCCAGGAATTTATCCATATATTCTAGGTTTTCTAGTTTTTGCATGTAAAGTTGTTCATAGTAGCCTTGAATGATATTTTGTCTTTCGGTGGTGTCAGGTGTAATAGCTCCCATTTTGTTTATCTTTTCAAAGAACCAGCTTTTTTTGTTTCATTTATCTTTTCTATTTTTTTATTTTTGTTTCAATTTCATTTAGTTCTGCTCTGATGAGAATGCTACATGTAAAGCAGCACACTGGTTGGTGTGCCATATATCTGAGCGATTGGCTTTGCCTTCAAGAAAACTGTTGTCCAGGTCTGGCGTGGTGCCTCATGTCTGTAATCTCAGCACTTTGGGAGGCTGAGGTGGGAAGATTGCTTGAGCCCAGGAGTTTGAAGTTTGAAACCAGCCTAGGCACTACAGCAAGACCTCGTTTCAAAAAAAAAAGAAAGAAAAGTTACAAGAATGGAAACCTGAAGTCTGTTAGGGAGATAACAGACTTTGTAGATTATCATAATAATAATTTTAAAAGCCCACTGTAAAATTGTAGAAAATTGAATTCTACTTTGAATAAAAAAGGTAAATTCATAGTGAAATACATATGGCTTAACTTTAGAATTAAATAAATGCCTAAATATATCCATAGAGATGTATTTAAAGTTCTATAGGCTAGGAAGCAAAAATTATAACATTCGTCATATTTGAATTTCAGATGCATTTTTACCTTTGGGATGCTACCTTATGGACAACTGTATTATTATATATTGATAGGCCAGAGGTGATTTGTTCAAATTTCTTGTGCAAGAGGAGGCATAGAAATAAAGTACTGTTGTTTGTTATTTAAGGCTTAAGTCTGGGTAGTACTTGATAGGCTTAAATTTTGCCCTCTTTAACATCCTAAGTTGTATTCCATCTGGTCATTGCTGCCATTAGCTGATGCTTCTAAGCTGAGAGTGGAGTTGTAGTGGAACAGGATACATTTGACAGTTGACCTAGGGTAGCTGAATTGATAGTGCTGTAATATATAGCACTTTGGTCACATTCTTTGTTAAGTTTAATTAGCTCTAGAGTATTATATACTTTACTAATTCCAATATATACAGTTATTTTTCATGATTTAATATCTCTGAAATTGTAATATGTCATATAATTGATGGTATCTTAGAGTTGCTGTGGCTAGGTGGCAGTCCTGACATAGTTTTTATTACTGGCACATGCACAAAATAGTGATGGCAATTCCTAGTTTCATCAGTTCTGTGAGATATGTGCATAGATGGTACTATATATGTTGAATTTAAATGTAGTGCAAAATATCTTCAAAAAAGATACGGTGCAATTTAGCATTGAAACAGTTATTACGGAGGAACAAAGAGAGAGGACTCACACTACCTGATTTCAAGACTTACTATCAAGTTGCAATAATCCACACAATGTACTAACGATGTAAAGATAGATAGATGAATGAAAATAATGGAGATTGCTTAAATGGGGCTATACTATTTTCGACAAAGACATCAATGCAATTCAATTAAGAAACAAATGCCTTAGCAATAAATGGTACTGGAACAATTGGATAAATATATGGGTGGAGAGGAATGACTGTCAGCCATTACCTAACACCATACACAAACATTTTTTAAGGTAGATTGTACACACAAACTTAAAAGCTGAAACTGTAAGGCTTCTAGAATAAAGCATAATAGAATGTTTTTGTGACTTTGAAATAGTTTTTTTTTTGAAGGGTGAACCATAAAAAGAAATTTTAAAACTTCTGTTCATCAAAAGACACCATTAAGAAAATAAAAAGGCCAGCCACATGCTGGGAGAAAATCTTTTCATTGCACATTTGTAACAGAAAATTTGTATCTAGAATCCTGTGTGTCAGTATTTTTAAAAATCCTATTAAAAATAAGCAAGAGATGTTGACACTCCACAAAACAAGGTATACAAATGGCCAATCAGCGCATGAAAAAAATTCTCAGTATCATCAGTTGTTGAGGAAGTAAAAATTAAAATGATGTTGAGATACTATTTCACATACCCATTAGAAAGACTAAAATTCAAAAGACTAGAAGTCTCATACATTTTTAGTGGAAGTATAAAATGGTTCAACTGCTTTGGAAAACTTCCTGGCAGTTTCTTATAAAGTTATACATACCCCATGATTCACTTGGAGGTATTTACATAAGAGAAATGAAAGCATGTGTTCACAAAAACACTTATACAGGAATTATTTATGTTAGCTTTACTTGTACGAACCCAGACCTTGAAACTACCCTGCTGTATACTGAACATTTGTGTCCCACAAAATTTATATGTTGAAACTTAGTCACTAATGCCCCAGGGTATTTGTGAAGTAATTAGGTCATAAGGGCTCTGCCCTCACAAATAGGATAAGCACCCTTATGAAAGTGATCCCAGAGAGCTTCCTTGCTCCTTCTGTGATAGGAGGACGCAGCAATAATACGGTTTACAAACCAGGAAGTGGGACCTCACTAGACACCAGACTTGCCAATATCTTGGTCTTGGCTTCGTAGCCTCCAGAACAGTGATAAAGAAATTCCTGTTGTTTACAAGCCACCCCAGTCTGTGCTATTTCTCTTACTGTATCCTGAACGTACTAAGACACACCGAAATGTCCACTAGCAGGAGAATGGTATTTTCTTACAATAGAATTCTAC
Organism: Homo sapiens; assembly: GCF_000001405.40. Lineage (NCBI taxonomy): Eukaryota > Metazoa > Chordata > Mammalia > Primates > Hominidae > Homo > Homo sapiens. Next base: position 193,229,717 of record NC_000001.11, read on the forward strand.
TTAACAATAAAAAATAATGAACTACTGATACATCCCACAGCAGGTATGATTATCAGAAACATTACATTGAATGAAAGAAGCCAGGTACAAAATAATACATCTGGTATATGAGTGTGTCTATATAAATTCCCAAAACAGGAAAAACTAATGGAAAGCAGAAGAGTGGTTGCTTGTTAGGAAGGGAATGGCATTTGACTGAAAGGTATATAAGGAAACTTTCTGGTTGACACAGATGTTCTTTATCTTGATTGGAATGGTGCTTATACTTAGTATACGTTCTTCAAAACTCATCTATTTATGCATTTCACTGTATGTAAATTTTATGTCAATAAAAATGTTGTATATTCAAAAATACACTAAAATGAAGCAGTGGAGTGCAGATTTGATGTTTGAATTCTTCCGCATTAGAGGAATGACATTCCCATTCTTTTTTTTTTTTTTTTTTCTCCTGAGGCAGAGTCTCACTCTGTCCCCCAGGCTGGAGGGCAGTGGTGTGATCTCGGCTTGCTGCAACCTCTGCCTTCTGAGATCAAGTGATTTTCCTGCCTCAGCTTCCAGAGTAGCTGGGATTACAAGCGCACGCCACCACACCTAGCCAATTTTTGTATATTTAGTAGAGACGGGATTTCACCATGTTGGCCAGACGTCTCGAACCCCTGACCTCAAATGATCCACCCACCTTGGCCCCCCAAAGTGCTGGGATTACAGGCATAAGCCACTGCACCTCGCCCTAATCCCGTATTTTTTTTTTTTTTTTTTTTTTTTTTTTGCAAAGCAACAACCAGGAGCTTTATGGAACCTAAAAATGGAAGATAGCAATAGTAGATGAACCTATTTTGCCTGAGATACATATGAAACAATTGCCTATCACACACCCAGCAGTGCAGCCCAAGCCAGAAGAAATAACCAGTTTTCTGGAGGGATGATGACTGTGATTTATGTAGAATATCATAGTTTAATTGGCAGTAGTTTTTTCCTTTCATAGTGGTACAATATAATGGTGTAGCTCACAATCATTGTGTCTTAGATTTGATGAACTGCAGTAGGGTGAACAGGTAAAATTATATTGACTCTGTGGAATACTAATCTTTTTAGTAGACTTAACTTTAGGGAAGAGGTCATAAGATCTATCCTTATGTTTTCAAATGAGATCCTTGCTGAAAAGCGTTTTGAAATAAAGCCTTTTTTATTGCTAATAGAGATGACTAATTCTAAGAAAATACGTAGATATAATCAGAAATTAACATGCTACAGCATCTAAAAATTCTAGGACGGTGGTTAATTGTAAAAACCACGTTAATGTTTCTGAGCTTTTATAAAACATATCAACCAATGTGTAGACCTGCAAAAGTTGAAATAGGTGTATAATAGACTTTTTATTAGTTTGGTATTGTAATAGATCACTCATTTGTATGTATTTTGCATTCTAGTCATATGATTATAAGTAATTTTGTTTATAAGTTTATAAGTAATTTTGTACAAGTAAATTTAAACTTTAACACCATGTTAAAATTTCAGAAGCCAGAAAAGAGGGAGATGCAGTCTTATATTTAACAACTTAAAACAGTTTAAATCCCATGTAGTTATAGACTGAGATAAAACAAAGCATTTCTCTTGGCAGTAGAATCCCTTTGTTCTGTGTGTGTGGAACATAAGTTCAAGAGGGCAGGGACTATGTTTTGTACAACTATGTATATTATAAAACTTATAGCACAATGTATTGCACATACTATTAAAACATTTTTGTTGTGGCTTTTTATTAGAATGCAATTTCAAACAATGCACACATATTAAATTTTCTAAATAATGTGTTTCATTATTCAAAGTATTAGTACTGTCTGGCATTTTCTAAGTGAGCTTGATTAATAAATAAACCAAATGCCATAGGAAGCAAATGATTATCTGGGGGAAATTTTTAAATGATATAGAAATCTTAACTTTTTAACCAAATGTAAAATGGATGTGAGAACAATCAGCTCAGAAGCAAAGTTCAGTATCATCATTATCACCATGAACTAAAAACTTTCTAGACAATAAAATTAGTATTATGTGATGAATCCAATATGTGTAATTGAAGTTTTTCAGAGAACTCTAATTAGTGCAAGTTCTCCTGTGCTTTTTGGTCCTTTCACCCTTTCATCTCTTTTAAACTTTAGAAGCAGAATGATACTCTCAATATATTGATTGTATTCCCTCCATTTTATTGGAGAGACTAGATCATAGTTAATAAAATATGTTATTGGACTGTTAGGATTATGTATATATTTAGAAAATAAGACTTTTAAAATACTTTGTGAACACTAGCAAATTTTACAGGTGGTAATAGCTATCCAGATTGCTAAGTTATTTTTAAGAATATCTGTCTTGAGAATGGATCCACATAAGTAAGTTGATAAATGCCACTAGTTGATAATAATAGCAGGTTATCAGCATGCACTGATTTAATTTTCATACTTTAAAATTTTCAAGGCTACTCTGAAGTTTGATGGTATTTTTGTAATTTTGCTGAAGCATAAAATCTTAAAAAAAAAAAAGTTTTATGAAGCTCCTGGATAGGCTAAGTCGTAAAGAAGCCTACTAGCCACAACAACTTTTTCATTTCAAATGACCTTTTGATTTCTAATAAAATTCCTCTTTATCATGAAGTTTTCCTCTAATAGAATTTGAGAAATTAAGTATTAGTGTGGAAAATGCTAAGTGCTAGTTGAATGAATATAAATTGTGTGGTGTTACACACACATACACACACACACACACACCCAACTTAGGGTCTGAGTGAGCTTGAGTTCTATTTGGTATACAGAGGAAAGACCTATACACTCCATGATCTGTACTTGCAGAGCAGGTTTATTTAAAAACAAACATCTTTAGTTTAAAACTAATTAATGTTTAAAAATTATTTCAGACCGGGCGTGGTGGCTCATGCCTGTAATCTCAGCACTTTGGGAGGCCGAGGCGGGTGGATCACAAGGTCAGCAGTTCGAGACCAGCCTGACCAACGTGGTGAAACCCCATCTCTACTAAAAATACAAAAAAATTAGCTGGGCGTGGTGGCGGTCACCTGTAATCTCAGCAACTTGGGAGGCTGAGGCAGGAGAATCGCTTGAAACCAGAAGGTGGAGGTTGCAGTGAGCCAAGATTGCACCACTGCACTCTAGCCTGGGCAATAAGAAAAAACTCTGTCTCAAAAAAAAAAAATATTTCAAATTATAGTTTATCTTCCCATTTTCATCACGTGGAATACATTGACTTTTTCTCATCTCTGTTTTTTCAAAGATTTGTCCCATCAGATGAAAAGAAGAAACAAGGTTGTCAACGAGAAAATGAAACTCTAATACAAAGAAGAAAAGACCAGATGCAACCAGGGGGCACTGCAATTAGTGTTACAGTACCTTATAGAGTAGTAGACCAGCCCCTTAAACTTATGCCTCAAGACTGGTAAGATAGTCTCTATATATATATCTTTTCACAGGTGTTGAACCCAAGAGAATGAATGTTGTTATTGCCGTTGATGACGTTGCTTTTTAAGAGATGGGGTCTCACTATGTTGCCTAGGCAGAACTTGAACTCCTGGGCTCTGTCAGTCCTCCTGCCTCAGGCTCCCAAATAGCTAGGACTACAGGTGCATGCCACTGCACCTGGCAGCCTATATTTTTTAAATATTCGTTTGTTTTCTGTATATTGTTGGTTGTTTTTTCTCATGTGAGCAATTATCAAATTTTATCATGGGTTCTAAATAGAAACTGTCTTTGAAAAGTGTGTTGATGTATATTTACTTTGGTCATCAATAATGTTAACATTCTAATAATTCCTCAATAACTTTATATTTTGGATAAGTAAACTTGATTTTACTTATAAGAAGAAACATTCCAACTTCTGGAAAACCCAGTGTAAAAAATTCTTTCCACTTGTTCATTTGTTCCGGATCAGCTTGTAGAACCCAGCAAATTAGGCTAATGTAAGGTATTCTATGTTTAGATTTTTGGTTTGGAGAATTTCAATTTTCTGGTAAGAAAAAAATGAAGGCATATTTTATTGTAAGGGAATAATGTAATAAAAATAGGAATAGCTCTTTTATCATGGTTTAACACTTTTATTGAATTTAAGTGTCCTTTAACAAAATATTAAGCTGTTTATAATATAAAGTGCCTATAAATTTAGACACACAAATTACCTTATTTCTTTAACCGGGAGTAAAAGTTGAGTATATATCCGTGATACAGAGAACGCAACACATGGCACATTAGATGAATTTACCTTTGAAGTACTTGTTAGTTTTCAGGCATTAAGAAGTCAAGGCATTGAGAATATTAATATTAAAAATTTTCTTAAGAAAATTGCAACCAGGGGGCACTGCAATTAATTAGTGTCACAGTATCTTATAGAGTAGTAGACCAGCCCCTTAAACTTATGCCTCAAGACTGGTAGGATAATTCTCTCTCTCTCTCTCTCTCTCTCTCACACACACACACACACACACACACACACACACACACACACACACATATATATATTTAAAATTTATATATTTATTTATATATATAATTTAATTATAATATATATAATATACATATTATATATATAATATAATTTAAAATATATATATATTTAAAACACACACATAAATATATATATATATATTTAAAATTATAATTCTTCTCTGGTACCTAATAGATACTTTGAGTAATATAGAAAATGAGTAAGATGAGAATTTCAGATATCAAGCTTAAAACCAAGTAGGAAAGTTATATCACTTGTATTTTATGTTTGCAGTGTATTTGCAGAAATAATACAGTGTATACAAATCTCATCACTATGCTGTAAAATACTGCTTGTGTGTATTAGTTAGGGTCTCCAGCCATTGAAGCCTCCAGCATTTTCCCTACTTCCTTATTTTCCTTTTCCTTTAATTGTCCTTCCAAGAATTCATGGGGAGTAACATTTTTATTCTGCTTCCGTGCTGATGCTATGAGACCCAGTAGAATATAAGTGACCTCTGTCCAGCAAATTCCCTTTGCTTTGGCAGGCATCTTGGGCTTTCAACTGTTGTAAGTTACATCATAAAACTGAAAGATTATTTAATAGTGTGCTGCATTGCCAAAGATGATTTTGACAGTTTGAGGCATGTATCCCATGAAAGGGGAAATTTTTTAACTTAAGATTTAATTTTAGTCTCAGAGATTTTTTTTAATTTTTTATTTTATTATTACTATACTTTAAGTTTTAGGGAGATTTTGAGCAGGTTGAGAACTTTAAGCTGGCAGTTTTTAATAGTTGTAGGTCTTTGCTTGAATAGAAGGTAACCCTGGTTTAATGTTTTTTTGTATGTCTGCAGTCGTCATTAATTGCAGTGGTTATCAAAGTGTGGTCTGCAGACCTCAGGTCATTCCTAAGACCCTTTCACAGAGTTGCAAGGTGAAAACTATTTTCATAATAATACTGAGATGGCTATTCTCATGATTTATCTGCCCTTAAATAGGAACAGTAGCATACCCAGTGCCCTAGCATAGTAATTTATTCTCCTCCTTCTCTTCTTCTCTTCTTCCTTTTCTCTGTACTTCTACCTTCCTCCTTTCTCTTCTCCAACATGCCCATGCACTTGTTTCTTCATTTATACAATGAGGTTTCTAATACAGTGAGGTCATTGGATTGTTTTGAAGATTAAATGTGTTAACATCATAAGTAACGCATAAAGTCCTTAAAATGGCACTTGACACATAGTAAATGCTCAATAAATGCTACTAATGTTAACCATTATTGCTGATAATGTTGTTGTTTTGTTCCCACCGCTTTAGTTATTGGCTTTAACTGTTTATGGCAGTACTTCTTATAATTTCTCAATTCAATTAAGTATTTTATAAAATAATGAAATTTGAGGGCCTACAAAGAAGTTTGTTCTTTCTAGGAAAACTGGGTTGTTTGGTTGGGAAAAAAATGCTTTAAAAACTACTTATAAATTTAGGGTGAATGAAACAGTTGTAAAACAATTGCAAAAATTATAAAAGTCTAAATGGTTTCTATACTCAGATTACTTCCTAAGTAATCACAAGAACTCAGATAAGGCCCTGGGACCTCGTAAAATGGTTGATGAGTTCCTATAATGTAATATTTTTAGTTAAAGTAAAATATTTAAGATGTGTTTGAATTTTAAATGATTTTTTAAACAACTTTTTTGATTAATAGTTATCAACCACTATTCCCTATTACATTGGAAAAGTGGGCCACTACTCTAATTAACAGAAGGGAACAGAAAGGGCAAACAAGATTACATACGAGTATTGTCCATTGAATTATGTTTAAAAGACTTAGGTGTAAAAACCAGATACATGAGAAGTATAGCAATCATTAATACATTCTAATGGCAATATCATATTGAAAAGGTGGTAAGTACTGTATTTGCTTCATGGAAGGATTGATAAGACTCTTTCACATGAATGTTTATGGGACTGTTGCCTAAGGGATTTATAGTAGCTAAAGCTCAAGTTTGAAATAATCTCCGTCTGTCCCCTACCTCCCCCCACCCACTTTTCTACTTGTAGGGACCGCGTTGTAGCCGTTTTTGTGCAGGGTCCTGCATGGCAGTTCAAAGGTTGGCCATGGCTTTTGCCTGATGGATCACCAGTTGATATATTTGCTAAAAGTAAGATTCTCTTTGTATTTACTGTATCCAGTATAGAAATGTTCTCACTTTATTTAAGAGAAACAGTCATATAGTTCTGCGCATATGATGTGTATGTCAAAAGATTGCTGTTAAGTAACATATGTTAATGTTTAAGCATCTGTGACATATTTTTAAAAGCTTTGTATATTAATACTTTCTGTGTAGGTATATCTGAAAGTGAATATTGCCTATCCCACAACATTACTAATTATTTTTAGATCACTTAAAAATCATTGGCCAGACACAGTGGCTCACACCTGTAATCTCAGCACTTTGGGAAGCTGAGGCAGGTGGATCACCTTAGGTCGGGAGGTCGAGACCAGCCTAACCAACATGATGAAACCCTGTCTCTACTAAAAATACAAAATTAGCCGGGCATGGTGGTGCACACCTGTAATCCCAGCTACTCGGGAGACTGAGGCAGGAGAATCGCTTGAACCCGGGAGGCGGAGGTTGCAGTGAGCCGAGATCACTTCAGCCTGGGCAACAAGAGCGAAACTCCGTCTCAATAGGAAAAAAAAATTAATACTGTTGCATGTCCATAGATTTTGATTAAAATTGATGCCAGTTTTTTTTTTTTTTTTTAGACGGAGTCTGGCTCTGTCGCCCAGGCTGGATTGCAGTGGCGCGATCTCAGCTCACTGCAAGCTCCGCCTCCCGGGTTCACGCCATTCTCCTGCCTCAACCTCCTGAGTAGCTAGGACTACAGGCGTCCGCCACCACGCCCGGCTAATTTTTTGTATTTTTAGTAGAGAGGGGGCTTCACAAGGTCTCAATCTCCTGACCTTGTGATCCACCCATTAGTTATTATGAATGTCAATTGTACAATTCTGAAATGTCTTATGTTTTTAGCAGCCCCAGTTTTTGTTAGTGGTACCATCATTTTTCCTTAGAAAATACCCAAGCTTGAAAGTTTTAGTCATTTGTTCTTCTGTTACCTTCATTCATTTAAAAAAAAAGAATTCTAATATTACTGACTGTAGGAAATTGGTCAGGGTGGTGGGAGAAATAGAAAAAAGATGCAAACCTTCTTGGAAGGCTGGGAGGTTTTGCAAAAGCTTTGAAAGATAATTTGGCTGAAGTCAACTGGATTCTCTTACCCGGAGCCTGATAGCAAAGATTAGATAACCTGGGGATGTAAAGAAATTGATCTAGATAAGTTAGTTTACTTAGGCCTCCCAGAACGTGGCCTTTAATCAACTGCAGGAGTCGGGAGGTAGGGGTGGCGGGTTGGAGGTGGTGTGGTGGGGTGGCGAGGCAGTGGTGACCACGTTAATTACCCACAAGTGTGTTGACTCAAAGCCTTTGTCATTAAATCTGTAATAAAAAGATGCTGGCATGTCAGGGCTGCGGCTGCTGTGACTCTTTACGGCATCCTCCTCGACGTCTGTGAGTGGCCCAGTCCCCTAGCTGCACGTCCAGGAAAAAACCTGTGTCTGCGTACATTTTCCTTCTGTCGTTCGGCCAGGATCTGCAGGTTGGGCCCGGCAACTGACATTATGATAGCTTTTTATGTTATTTCTGAAACTTGAGTGATACACAGAGTTGGTAAATGGGAAGTTAAATAAAAAGGGAATGAGAATTTTAATGAAAGTAAAATGTCAACGAGAATTCTTTTTTACCTACTTGCTTGCCTTGTTGAATAATGTTTCAACAAAAAATGATTAGGATGTCTTTAAGATATAAATGTTGTATGAAATTCATTAAGAATATAAAGTTTTAATTTTTGTTCAAATTTAGTCTTCTGAAATTTAGATAAGAATTTAGAGAATTTTAACAATCATCAGTGATTTACTTTCATGAACTGTTCTTTCTCTTTCACCTGTTCCTTCTATACTGACTCCTTTTTCTCAGCGTTTAAGAATACTCTTTCCCCTTCCTTCTTAAACAACAAAACAAAACCCTTACCGTTGACCTCACCCTTTCCCCTAGCTTCTTCTTTTTCCTTTTATAGCTGCACTTTGGAAAGAATTGTCTCTACCAACTCATTTTCTGTTCATATCCCCTGTAGTCTGGCTCTTGCTCTGTACTAAAGCTGTTTTCACTGAAGTCACCAGTGACTCAAATATTGGATACTGTTAACTTACCAGAATTTGATTCTGTTGACTCCTTTACTCCTTTTTAAGTTACTTTCCAAGTACCTGTTACACTTTGTCTCAGATTTTCTTGCTACTTTTCCTCTGGTTATCAACTGGAATGGACCCTTCAATATCATGCAGTTGAAAACTCCCATATAACTTTTGACTTATCCCAAACATACATACTAATAGCCTACTGTTGACTGGATGCCTTAACTGATAACATAAACAGTCGATTAACAAATATTTTACATGTTAGCATTGTATACTGTATTCTTATGATAAAGTAAGTAGAGAAAAAGAAAACGTTAAGAAAATCGTAAGAAAGAGAAAATACATTTACTGTTCATTAAGTGGGAGTGGGTTATCATAAAGGTCTTCATCTTCATTGTCTTCACATTGAGTAGGTTGAGGAGGAGGAAGGGTTAGTCTTGCTGTCCCAGGTGGCAGAGGCGGAAGAAAATCCATGTATAAATGAACCCACTCAATTGGAACTTGTATTGTTCAAGGATCAAATGTATATGGTTATGTCCCTATTTCTCTTCTCCCATAATTTTAAATACCCTCTCAAGAAGATCTCATAGCTTTCAATTACCATTTATATTCCCTCATTCTAAAAATTATGTCTTTAGCTCAATATTCTGGACCTATATACCTCACTCACTATGAGATAACTTCTCTGTGATATCTCATTGGTACATCAAACTCAACCTTTTCCAAATGGAATTGATGGTTTTACTCTCTTCCTTATTCCTCAAACTATTTCTTATTATCTGTTAGTCCTTTTCAGTAATTTGCCTAAGCCAGAAACTTGGGAGTATATTATCTTAGCTCTTGGTTGATCTTTCTGCTTTCACTCTTCTGGCTTCCAGTTGTTTTCTCCATCAGATTACACTGTACAGCATTGGGGGAAAACTGAGGGTATTTGGGAGCATCTCTGTGGGCCTTGATAGAAAATTATATTATATTTTGTTAATGTTGCATAATTATAATGAAATACATCGTTTGAGAGAAGATTAAATACTGATTTGCATAAAATTGCCAAATAAAATCTTTACAAATTTAGAATAAGTTTAAGCTGATATCTGGATATATTTTAGATATGTTATACTTGACGTGGCTATATTTATTTGTTGGTTGACATTTAAAATTTTTTTTTGTTGATACATAATATTTGTACATATTTATGGTGTACATGTGATATTTTGTTACATGGATAGAATGTGTAATGATCAAGTCAGTATTTAGGGTATGTATCACCTTGAGTGTTTATTATTTCTGTGTTTTGGGAACATTTCAAGTCATCTCTTCTAGCTGTTTAGAAATATATAATACATTATTGTTAAGTATAGCCTCCTACTCTGCTTTTGAACATTAGAATTTATTCCTTTGTGCAGCTGTTCACCATGGCATATGTTTAACTGTGTAACAGTCCTGCACATGTACCCCAGAACTTAAAAGTTAGAAATTAAAAAAAGAATTTATTTCTTCTACCTGTATGTTTGTACACATTAATCAACCACCTTTCATCCCTCTCCTTCCCTCCTGCCACACACATACACACACCCTTCCAACCCTCTAGTATCTTATCATTTTACTGTCTACCTCCATGAGATCAACTTTTAACGTTCCCACATAAAAGTGAGAACATAGGAAAATTTGTCTTTCTGTGCCTGGTTTCTTTCACTTAATAGAATGACCTTCCAGTTCTGTCCATGTCGCCTTGCCACAGATGACAGGATTTCATTCTTTTTTATGGCCACACAGTATTTCAGTGTGTATATATACTACATTTTCTTTATTCATCTGTTGATGGATTTAGGTTGATTCCAGATCTTGACTGTTGTGAATAGTGCTACAGTAAACAAGGGGTGCAAGTATCCCTTTGATAAACTGATTTTCTTTCCTTTTGAAAAATACCCAGTAGTAGGACTGCTGGATCATCCAGTAGTTCTGTTTTTAGTTTTGAGAAATCTTCATACTGTTTGCCATAGTGGCTCTACTAACTTATATTTCCACCAACAGTGTAGGAGTTCCCTTTTCTCTGCATCCTTGCCAGCATCTGTTACTCTGTTTTTAGTAATAACCCTTCTAATTGGGGTAAGATGATATTTCATCGTGGTTTTGATCTGCACTTCCCTGATGGTTAGTGATGTTGAACATTTTTTCATATATTTGTTTGCCATTTATTTGTATGTTACCTTTTGAGAAATTTCTGTTCATGTCCTTTGCCCACTTTTTAATGGGATTTTTTTTTAATTGTTGAGTTTCTTGCATATTAGTCCCTTGTTGGAAGAATAGTTTGCAGATATTTTCTCCCATTCAACAGGTTGTTCTTCACATTGTTTATTGTTTCCATTGCTGTACAGAAACTTTTTACTTTAATATAATCCCATCTATTTTTGTTGCCTGTGCTTTTGAGGTCTTAGCCATAAAGTCCTTGCCTCGACCAGTGTCCTGAAGCAGTTCTCCAGTGTTTTTCTGTGTTCTCTTGTATTCCACTCAGTTTCTGTGACATCATTATTTTGAATTCTTTTTCTGATATTTCCTAAGTTTATTTTTCATTGGGATCTGTAGCTGGAGAATTATTCTGTTTTTCTTTTTTTTGGAGGTATCATAATTTCTTACTTTTTCTGTTTCTTGTGTCCTATGTTGATATCTGCACATCTGGTATAAACATTGCTTCTTCTAGTTTTTTGAATTTGCTTTTTTAGGGGAGGACTTTTCCCCGAAGATGTACCTATGATTTTGATTGGGTGGGGCACTTTGGCTTTGGTTCTTCATACTGGCTGTGTAATTTCTAACCTATAAACAGCGTCAGTGGTGTCTGTGGTTTCCTCAGTGGCTTAAGGTTTGCTTGTTAGTGGAGGGTGTGGTGAAGTTTTGCTGGGGTCAGTGACATCAGGCAGGCTATTCCTTGGGCCCCAGTGGTGGCAGCAGCAGGCTGAGCCTGCCTGTTTTTGAGTCCCAAGGCCACGTATGCTGGCACCTGTGCTAGTAAGTCCAGACATCATCTTGGGTGCCAGCAGTGGCAGTGGTGAGCCTGGAGGGTGAGCAGGTCAAGTTTCTGGGCAGTGGGCAATGGCAGTAGCAGTGAAGGGGCAACCTCTGGCTCCCCAGAGGTCCACACTGTTACCAATTGTGGCTTTGATGGGCTGGACAGGACAGTGCGCAGGCCCACAGGGGGTGTGTGCGGGTGGGTAACAGTTGTGGTGGTAGTGGCAGGTTGGTTGGGCGTGTCTTCTGCCCCTGGGAAAAGTGCTCAGGTGCCAACAGTGGAGGATGTTGCAGGGCCACCCTCAGGCCCCAAAATGTGTGCTCAGGCACTGCTAGGGCGGCAGAAGGGGAGGACAGAGCCCAGCCAAGTTGGCCTGTCCTCAGGCCTCCAGGTCGCAGGCAGGGGTGGGGTGTTCTTCAGGTCCTTGGCAGTGTGCTACCAGCACTTGGGTCCTGCTGCTGGGGAGAGCAGCGTTGTTTTCAGTGGCAACGGCCAGTAAGCAGGCATCTGGGGCATGTGAGCTTCCGCCAGTTGGTGGCTGTGATTGGGAGAATCTGTCCTCAGGGTGCTTTTAAATACGTGACTGTTGGAGTTGTGGGGTCACTGCCAGTGGCTTGCACTTAGATATCATCATTGTCTGCAGGTTTGCAGGGGTTGGGGGGCTGTCTTCAGGTGCTTCCCCCACCCCGACTTAGGGTGTAAGGACTCTTGGGCCCCAGGGTAGGATGCAGTCTGGTGGGGGCCGAGCCCTCAAAATGGCGCTGTGCTGCATGCAGCTGCTTAGGGCATGTGTAGGACCCAAGCATGAACCTCCTATCTGGAGCATCTTGTGGTCTCTAGGCAGCTTTCTGTGTTGGTGTCAGGACCCCTGAGGGTCATGTGGCTCTCCCCTGGCTAGGATTGCAGGAGTCTGAGGTGGGAATGTGGACCATTAGGGGTCTCTCACCCTTATCTCACTGGTGAGCCCATCCTGGCTTCCCTTCTCCTTCCTTGCCTTAGGTGTTTCTGCTCACTTTATCTGTTGAATTCCAGTGCACTCTCTTAGATCATCTATTCAAAGTGTGATTATCTACTCACTGTTTTGGTTCTTTTTGTTTGTTGACCCTCCTGGTAACTTACAGAAGGTGGTTCTTCTTTTTGGAGGAGGCAGGTGCCAGATGCCTCTAGTTAGCTATCTTGAAGCCCCTCTCAAGATATTTTTAATGATAAATGTCTTCAAATTATTGCTAGCTACCATTGAAAAAATATTTTTATTTAATAATCTTCTGTATTATCCCTTTATCATTTGTCATGCGATCAGTATATCTAAATATTAAAAGGGCACCTCTTTGATCTCTTTTGCTTTGTTGCTTTCCCCAAAAAATGTTGGCAGCATTCATGAAGTTTGCAAAAACAAGCAATTCTGAGTTGTGTGAAATATTTTGCAGTTGTAATTCATTGTGCTGCGGTAAAACTGGCTTCTTACAAAAGAACTTTATTTCTTTTTCTTCTTCTTCTTCTTCTTTTTTTTTTTTTTGGAGATGGAGTCTTGCTCTGTTGCCCAGGCTGGAGTGCAGTGGTGCAATCTTGGCTCCCTGCAACCCCCAGGTTCAAGCAGTTCCCCTGCCTCAGCCTCCTGAGTAGCTGGGATTACAGGTGCACGCCACCATGCCTGGCTAATTTTTCTATTTGTAGTAGAGACGGGGTTTCATCATGTTGGTCTGGTCTCAAACTCCTGACCTCAGGATCCGCTCTCCTTGGCCTCCCAAAGTGCTGGGATTACAGGCGTGAGCCACCGTGCCCAGCTTACTTCTTGTTTTTAACTTCCAGAGGCTTAAAAACTTTTAATACTTTTTCTGAATAGGAAAGATTTTTTTTAATGATAATATGTTGGTGTAAGTTTGTTTCGCATCATTGCTTCATGCGAATAAAGTATGAGTGAAACTTTATATGTTTTTAAAAATTAGTGACTTACACTTTTTGGACTCTAGTATCCTAGCTTTAAATTTAAAAGTTGTCTATTCTGGTGGAAAAATAAATATCAATAAAGATGAAATCTGTTGAAATTATTAAAGAAGACTGTAGGCCATTATGGCTTCAGTTTGATCATTTTAAAAAATGTAACTTAGATGCATTCTGAAGAATGATTAGCAAATAGTTGAACAAGTTAGAAAAGCAACACCTAAGCAGAATGGAAATGATTAAAATGTTGATTTACACTGAATGCATGAGTTTTAAATTTTTTTTAATTGACAAATTTATTTTACACATGAATACTACTTTGAAAGTAAGTTTCTTGAATGTTATTACATGTAGCCCCTTTAATGAATTTGATTAAATTCAAAATGAATAATTTATGTCTGATGAAGAGACTTTTATTTATAAAAGCAAATAAATTAGAAATAAGTTTATTTTTCTGGGCACAAATTATTCATTTTAAATGTTTATTAAGAATTGAATCTTGATTAGTTGTTAACATCAAAAGCCAATATGCTAGCAAGCAATATGAAACAAGCAATCCATAAAATAGCTATCAGAAAAAACTTTAAAAGTCAATTGTTTTCTCTTTAAAACCTCTTATACCAGGTTGATACTGATCATAATCATATGCTAGTGAAAAAGTAAAAAATTGGGGGGAAAAAGCTTAACATTTGTACATGCACATGCAAAACAAAAGCTCCCTTGATAATAAAGGGATTGCAGATATAATGATAAACTAGCTGGGATGATTCAACTTGATTATTAAGGAGAGAAAAAGATTGTAAATCATTATTTTATAACCTACCTGTTTTTAGTACAACTAGTTGGGAAATTTTGCCCTAGATTATATCACCTGCCGAACAATCCAGAGTTGTCTTTTAAAAATGGCAATCATATAATTTCACCTTCTTCTTGTAAACTTTCCAGTGGCTTACTATCACATGTGGAATAAAAATCAGATTTTTTACACTGTAGCTGAGAATGTATATATAGGCTATTGCCTACAAAGAAAGTTAAACTGAAGCTGGTTGTGGTGGTATGTGCCTGCAGTCCCAGCTGCTGGAGAGGTTGGGCCAGGAGGGTCACTTGAGCCCAGAAGTTTGAGGCCCTGGCCTACATAGTGAGACCCTGTCTCAAACTGAACAACCAACCAAACAAACAAAGTAGCAAGTGTAACGTTTTTTAACATTTTTTAAAAAAATTATTCTTCAACATAGGACATTCCATGCTTGCTTCCATCTTGGAATCTTTGTGTCAGCTGTTCCTTCTGCCTAAAATCTTCCTCTCCCAAATCTTTGCAAGACTTGTTTTTTCAATTACCTGCTTCTAGATAATCTTGAGAACCCCTCTCTAAATACTATTGACAAAAACCTTCCACACGTGTATTATGTCCTTATTCTGCCTTATTTTTCCTCAGTAGCATTTATACTACCTGAGTGTTGTATATTTATCTGTTAAACTGTTGACTCTTAGAATATAAACTCCCTTAGGGTGGAGACTTTGTCTTGGTCACTATGTGTCTTTAGTGCCTACAATAATGCATAATGTGTAGTAGACAATGTATGTTAGATATATCTTTGATTATAATTTTTTAGTTTAACTTTTTAAATTGCCATATAATTGTACATATTTATGGGGTACATAGTGATATTTTGATACATACAATGTATAGTTATCAGGTTATCATAATTAGCATAGCTATCATCTCAAATGTTTATCATTCTTTGTTTTGGGAATAGTCAGTTTCCTCCTTCTAGCTATTTGAAACTATGTATTATTGTTAACTATAATCCTATAGTGGTGTGGAACACTCGAACTTATTTCTTCTATCCAGTCATAACAAATCTCTCTGTATTCCCCCTACCCCCTACTCTTCCCAGCCAATAGTATTTTCTGTTGCACTTTTTACTTCTATGAGTTCAACTTTTTTTTAGCTTCTACATATGAGAGAGAACTTGTGGTGTTTAACTTTATGTTTCTGGCTTGTTTCACTTAACATAATGTCCTCCATTTCCATCTATGTTGCCACAAATGACAGGATTTCATTTTTTTATGGCTGAATAGTATTTTATTGTGTACATGTATGCCACATTTTCTTTATCCATTTATCTGTTGTTGGACCCTTAGGTTGATTACATATCTTTGCTGTTGTTAATAGGACTGTGAATAGAATGCATTAAACATGGGGGTGCAGATATCTCTTCAGTATACTCATTTCCTTTCATTTGGATAAATGCCCATTAATGAGGTTGCTGGATCATATGGTAGTTCTCTTGGTAGTTTTTTGAGAACTCTAGACTATTCTCCATAGTGGCTCTACTAGTTTATATTCCCACCAACAATGTATAAGAGTTGCCCTTTCTCCACATCCTCTGGAGCATTTGGTATTTTCTTGTCTTTTGTATAATAGCCATCCTAACTGGAGTGAGATGATACCTCATTGTGGTTTTGATTTGGATTTCCTGACGATTAGTGACATTGAGCATATTTTAATATATTTGTTGACTATTTTTGTGTCTTCTTTTGAGAAATGTCTGTTTAGATCATTTCCACATTATAAAATCTGATTTTTTATGCTTTGAAATTTTTAAGTTTCTAGTATATTCTGATTATTAATCCCCTGTCAGATGAGTAATTTGCAGATATTTTCTCCCATTCTTTAGGTTGTCTTTTCACTCTGTTGGTTGTTTCCTTTACTGTGCAGAAGCTTTTTAGTTTGATATAATCTCATTTGTTTATTTTTGTTTTTGTTGTCAGTGCTTTTATTCATAAAGCCTTTTCCCAGACCAGTGTCCTGAAGTGTTTTCTCTATGTTTTCTTCTAGTAATTTTATAATTTGGGGTCTTATATTTAGGTCTTGAGTTGATTTTGTATGGGGTGAGAGGTAGGAATCTAGTTTCATTCTTCTGTATATAGAGATATACAGTTTTCCCTGCATCATTTATTGAAGACTGTCTTTTCCCCAGTGGAAGTTAAATTGTTCTTGTTTGCAGATGCCATGATCTTATATTTAGAAAAACCTGAAGACTTTACCAAAAATACTCTTAGAACTGGTAAATGAATTCAGTAAAATTGCAGGATACAAAATCATCATACAAAAACCACTAGCACTGTGGTACATGAACAGTGAACTAGCTGAAAAAGAAATCAAGAAGGCAATCCCATTTATAGTAGCTATCAAAAAAACCACCAAAATTCCTAGCAGTTTTTTTCTCTTCATCATTTCTTACCAAATTTTGTTAGTTTTCATTCCCCACTTTTCTCTTGCCACCCATATATATTCTGTTCTATTGAAGAAAAATCTCTTTATCCTCTAGCTTAATAAACTATAATTATTCTCTACTAAATACTTTGCAGTGATTGTCCATGTCACTTAAATATTATAAAAACTACTTAATATGGCCTGCAAGCCTAACATTTTTCTGAACCTCTGTGCTGTATATATCCCTTCCCTACATTATTTTGCACGATGCAGTTCTATTAACTTTCTCTAGTTTCTAGACTAATCCATTTTCTCTTTCAGCATGATCAGCTTATTCACTAGGTCACTTTTGTTCTGTGCTCGCTTAATTCGTACTTGGCCTTTAGATCTTAGGTTAGACATCAGTGCCTTTGCAAGGTTTTTGACTGAATTTGTGCGTGTAAGGTACAAGGCATAGCTTGTTTTGTGCTTTGCTTTATCAGGCTTTGCAGAATTTTTTTTTGTGAACAAATTGGTTTGTGGCAACCTTGTGTGTTGATAAGTCTATTGGCACCAATTGTCCAACAGTGTGTGTCCCTTTCGTATTGGTGATTTTTACAATATTTCAAACTTTCATTATTTTTGTATCTGTTATGGTGATATGGGACTAGTGATCTTTGATGTTACTATTAAAATTGTTTTGGGCACCACAAACCACACCCATATAAGATGGCAAACTTAGATTGATAACTGTTGTTCTGACTGCCCCACTGACCAATTAGTCCCTCATCTCTCTCTCTCTCTCTCTTCAGGCCTCTCTTTTTCCTGAGACACAGCAGTATTGAAATTAAGCCTATTAATAACCCTACAGTGACCTCCAAGTGTTTAAATGAAAGGAAGAGTTGCACATCTCTCATTTTAAACCAAAAGTTAGACATGATTAAGCTTAGTAAGGAAGGCATGTCAAAAGCTGAGACAGGCCAAAAGCTAGGTCTATTATGCCAAACAGCTAAGTTGTGAATGCAAAAGAAAACTTCTTCAGGGAAGTTAAAAGTGCTACTCCAGTCGACACACAAATAATAAGAAAGCAAAACAACCTTATTGCTGATATGGGGAAAGCTTGATTGGTATGGAAAGCAGATCAAACCAGCCATAATATTCTGCTAAGCCAGAGCCTGATCCTGAGCAGTGCCCTAACTCTCTTCAGTTCTGTGAAGGCTGAGAGAGGAGAGAATTCTGCAGAAGAAAAGTTGGAAGGTAGCAGTAGATGGTTCATGGATTTAAGGAAGTAAGCCATCTCTATAAAATAAAAGTGTAAGGTGAAGCAGCAAGTGCTGATAAAGAAGCTGCAGCAAGTTATCCAGAAGATACAGTGAATATTATTGATGAAGTTGACTACACTAAACAACACATTTTCATCGTAGATGAAACAGCCTGTTATTGGAAGAAGATCCATCTGGTACTTTTATAGTTGCAGAGAAGGCTGTGCTTTGGCTCCAAAACTTCAGAGGACAGACTGACTCTTTTGTTAGGGGCTAATACAGATGGGGACTTTGAGTTGCAACCAGTGGTCACTTAACATTCTAAATATCCTAGGGCCGCTAGGAATTATGCTAAGTCTACTCTGCCTGTGCTTTAGAAATTGAACAAAAAAGCGTGAATGACAACACTGTTTACAGCAGGGTTCAGTGAATATTTTAAGGCCACTGTTGAGACCTACTGCTCAGAAATAAAGATTCCTTTCAAAATATTAGTGCTGATTGACAATGTACCTAGTCATGCAAGAGCTTTGATGAAGGTGTTCAAGGAGATGAATGTTGTTTTCATGATTACTAACACATCTATTCCTCAGCCCATAGATCAAGGAGTGATTTAGACTTTTCAAGATTTATTATTTAAGAAATAAGTTTTGTAAGGCTTTAGCTGCTATAGATAGTGATTCCTCTGATGGATCAGGGAACAGTAAATTGAAACTTTTTAATTTAATAAGATTTACCATTCTAGATGCCATTAAGAACATTTGTGATTAATAGGAGGAAGTCAAAATATTAACATAACCAGAAGTTTAGAAGAAGTTGATTCCTACCTTCATGGTTCATAGATGACTTTGAGGGGTTCAAGACTTCAGTGGAGGAAATAAAGATAGGGTGTGGAAATAGCAAGTGAACTAGCATTAGAAGTGGAGCTTGAAGATGTGACTGAATTGCTGCACACTCATGCTGGAACTTGAATGGATGAGGAGTTCCTTCTTACAGATGAGCAAAGAAAGTGGTTTTTTTGAGATAGAATTCACTCCAGTGAGCACTTTCGTGAAGATGCCATAAACGTTGTTGAAATGACAACAAAGGATTTAGAACATGACATAAATATAGTAAAGCGGCAGAGTTTGAGAGGATTAACTCCAATTTTAAAGGAAGTTCTTCTGTAAGTAAAATGCTGTCAAATATTATCACATACTGTAGAGAAATCTTCTGTGAAAGGCAGAGTCAATCAGTGCAGCAAACTTCATTGTTGTCTTATTTTCAGAAATCGCTACAGCCACCCTAACCTTCATCAACCACCACACCCTGTTCAGTCAACAGCCATCAACATTGAGGCATAATCCTACACCAGCAAAAAAAATTAGGACTTGCTAAAGGCTCAGATGATTGTTAGCATTTTTTAGCAAGAAAGTACATTTTAATTAGGGGATGTACACTGTTTTTTAGACATAATGCTATTGCACACGTAATATAGACTGTGATACAGTGTTAACGTAACTACGTAACTTTTATAAAAATGCAATGAGGTACCAGGAAATATGCGTAACTCATTTTATTATGATACTTTATTGCGGTGGTCTGGAACTGAACCCACAATATCTCCAAGGTATGGTTGCACTCTTATGTTTCTGTGATAACGTACCAACCTTATAGTCTTTCTTACTGTCCTTCACTAGACTATATGCATTTTATCTTACCTTATTCCTCATTTTAGTGTCCAGTGGCTGGCGTGTATAAACCCTGAATGTTTTTAAAGATAATATTTTAAAAGATCACTTTAGTTATAATACGGCTTCAGTTGGTGGAATAAAGAAATTTTTTTCTTTTTTTTTATTTTGAGTAAAAATGATAACTTCTCTCCACCCTCTCTATAGTTAAAGCCTTCCATCTGAAGTATGATGAAGTTCGTCTGGATCCAAATGTTCAGAAATGGGATGTAACAGTATTAGAACTCAGCTATCACAAACGTCATTTGGATAGACCAGTGTTCTTACGGTTTTGGGAAACATTGGACAGGTAATTCCGATTCTAAAATATGCTTGTGTGTGTTTTATTGTAATTTTTCTGTCTCAGTTAAATTTTAAGTTCCATAGAGTTGTCAGTCTTATTCCCTAATTCCCTTCTTTCAACATTAACTTGATGCTTATCTTCAGTACATAATTAACAATTTTTTATTGTATAATTACTTTAGTTGGAGAATTTAGCCTGATAGAAGTAACACTAAACTGAGTCAGAAGACTTAGACTTTAGTCTTGGTTTTGTAATCTGTCTCTAATTATCTGTGTGACCTTTTTGAACCTTATTTTCTATCCAAGGAACTTTGGATTAAGAGAACCCTGTGTTTTTTGCAAGTACTGAAAGATCTATGATTCTGGATTTATTTGTGTTACGGATGGTTCACAAAAGGAAATGGTTTTTTAAAATTTATTTTAATTACTAGTATAGTGTTCATAAAGCCCTTTACATTAATAACAGTTTTGTAATCGGCAAATTTAAGAACAGCCTATAATCACAGTAAATACCACTGAATCGGTTCTCTTTGAGGTATGCTCCTTAAAATCTGTAACATTTTTGGTGCAAGTCTCTCATATCTGTGAAACATATATTATTTTAGCTAGAAGCTCTTAGATTATATTACTTAATAAGAGGAGTGTTATTTCTAGCTTATTCCAGAGTCTTTATATTTCCAGTTTTCTAGAAAACAGCATTTTATTCTGTTGATTTTAAGTTTTAAGAAATGTCAACTTGTTTTTACATGCATTATTCTAAAAATTCTAAAATTCCTATAGTCATTATAACCTACCATAATATTTTTTTCAGGTACATGGTAAAGCATAAATCGCACTTGAGATTCTGAATTATTTGGCTCCTCCATTTCTGGAAATTGAGACTCAAGCTTTATGAATTTATCAAGAACTTAAAAATGAAGAAGGTCACAGATTGATCTTTTATAAGACCTTATTTGATGCTTTGTGCTTCAAGGAGATGATACCTGTCATCCATATAAGCAAACTTTTTGGCTTACAACTATTTTTTTAATATTAGCCTTCTAGTCTGTAATGGAAATTGTATATTTTGATAGAAGTTTTTTCTCCATTGGTTAAATTAGCATTACTTAAAATTTGTTTCTTTAGAAAATAAATGCAGGTTATAAATGTGTGTATATTTAGAGATTATAAGGCTCTCTGAGCCATCTTCTGATTTTTCATTGCTCTATAATTCTTTTTACTGAAAATACTATGTTATGAATGGTATTAAATTTTAGTCTCTGGAACATCCAAAACCAAGCAAAGGGATGTGACTATTTTGAATGAATCAGAATGTCAACTTGTATGTACACTATATCTACACTTACTCATTATTTAAAAAGAATAATGAAAAATCTAGATCAATTCTTCAATTTGATTGAACTGTTCAGCCTTTTCAAGATTTCTTTATTTACAAATGATTACATTTAAATGAATGTACATTCTTCTCACTGACTTTGGTGATTTTGAAACCTAGAATGATGTGTTTCTATCTGTAATATCTTTCCATTTGAAAAAAATCTCAAAACACAGATTAAAACCACAATAGGCTGTAGTATTTTTTATTTTGGGAGCCAGAGTATGATTTGGGGGAAGAATATGTATCAGCCCTATTGCAGTATAACTTTAAGCTCCTTTTCTCTTTAGTCCACTTTTGATTGTAATTTTTATGGTATAGGATTTTGAATCTTCTATTTTAGGCTTGTCAGTCTTGGAGTTCTTATCTTCCATTATCCCTAAATATTGATAAACTCCCAGGCACCAAAGAAAACATTTGCTTAATTGTCTGAAAAGAAACAAGAGAAAAACACTGGTATTTTTATGTCTGTATTCAATATGGTATAAAATATAAAAACTATATTTTAACTTAGTGAAATATTTTACTATTTCTCTACTTCAGACAAAATGTTGCATCCAAGGTACATCAAGTGACCATTTGCCTTGAACCTTGATTTCACTTTGTTTTTTTTTTTTCCTTAAAGGCAACTAGGAAGCTTTACTTTCCTAAAGTGTTTTTGCCATTGGAATTTTTGCTGATCACAGTCTTATGTCATTTTTTTCTCTGTTTTTATTCCCAGCAATTTTCTCCTAGGTTAACATATTTTTGGTGAACGTTTAGGCCTTTCATAGGTATTAAGCTGACATTATCTAGCTTCTTAATGAAATTTAACACTGTCACAAAAATGAGAAGTTATTATTTTTTAAGTGATCACATAGTTCATACCACTAGTAACTAGAAAAGATATTTATTCACATGATATTTACAAGGCTCTTCAGAAGGGAACAGTCAGCATTTTAAATTACTAGATTTTAGCATACTTAACAAGGTTTGAACAGATTCTACCCCTATTTTCCTCCCTTTTTAGCGTCTTCTTTCCTTAAAGATAAAAGAAAACTCAAATTTGTTTACATTAGGCTTTCTTAGCATATAAATATATTTCCAAAATAAATTACATGTTGTGTAAACTTTCTCCATGATGAAATAGTCAAGGACCAGAATCTGTAATATTTTTATGTAAGATTACTTGTCAAGACTACTACAAGTCAGTATGAACTACCTTCCCATAAAGATTTTTGGTATTTGTACTTATTTATGAACTTTACTTGAGACAGAATATGGTTAAAATTAGGAACATCTACTTTGAATGAGGTTTATTTTTCTATTTTGAATTTGCCTTATGTATATTCAAAGGCTTATGGAAATACTGTAAAGGAACATTAGGAAAAGGACAAATAGGCTATAACCATCTATCTTAAAATCAGACCCTTAGTATAAGCACCTCTTTTTCTTTTCCTCTTTGACAATTTAGTCTCTTATTTAGGTCCATGTAATTAATTTCATTCCATTATTTTTTAGCTGTTTATTCTAAAAAACAAAAATTTTCAGCCACTCCCATTTATTCTCCCATGACATGGTCCTATATAGCAGTACTTAACACAGTGCCTTGCACATAGTAGGCATTCAGTAAATACTTACATGCATGAATGAATAATGTATTTTCAGTGTAACAAATTTATTATAAAAGTGTAGTTCGACTCTTCTTGGTCTTGGAGTTTGAGAGTACAGAATTACAGGGAATGAAGAGAGGTATAAGTAGATATTTTAATGGAAATGAAGTATAAATTAATAACTTGACTTACCCCTCCATAAGTTACTGCTAACTGGAGATACCCTTGTATGCCCAACCTGTAAAGGAAAAAGTTCTATTTCTATATTTATAGGACATTCTTCTCAGTCAAGGAACAGTAAGAAATATGTAGGTTTCAATCAGTTGCTCTCAACCCTGACTGCATTTTAGAATCATTTGGAGAGTTTTTAAAAATATCCATGCCTGAATCTTGATTCCCATTTTCATGTAATTTGAGACAAGACCTGGTCATCAGTATTTTTTTTAAAGTTCTCCAGGTAATTTGAATGTGCAGGAAGGATTCAGAATCACTGGTTTAATTTGTTATTGAAAACAGTACCAGTATTAAATGTGTTTCCTCTTCCTTCTTTTCTGTATGTATGTGTGGTTTTTGATTTTTTGTTGTTGTTGTTGTTTTGTGGCCACCCTTTGCACTAGACCATCCCTTTTATTGGTGGTATTGGCCTATATTCCCATTGACAAATGCAATTTTTAATTATTTATTTAATATAGGAGTATTTTACTGTTTAATATTTAAACAATGTTTAATGTATTTCATTATTAACTAGTATTATAGTTTGTTTTTTTCCCATGTCTCCATAACTTTTACTAACATTTGTTTTTAGCAGCACAACAGTAATCCATATAAAAACAACTAATTCATAATGAGGAAAATCTCATAATTTTTAAGGCAGAAAGAAGTATTAATTTTTGATCTGCCATGTAGAATGAGACAAATACAGTTTGCTTATGAAAGGAAAGTGGCATACTTTTAAATTGGTCTACACAGAAAAGTAAAAGTAAACTATTCATTTAAATAAGATTCATTATCTAATAAATATTGAGGGAATATTTTTCCTAAATAAAAATTTTTCTGACTGCTAACAAAAATTAAAGTGATTACATTGTTCTTTTTTGGAGGGGTGGGGAGGAATATTTGTTGAACTAAAGTATATAAAATTTTTTGAGACTAGCAGTATATTTTATAATATTACAAATACAACAATTATTTATAAAAGCTAGTCAAATTAATGGCTTAGAAAGTAGCTGTAAACTTTGTGTTTTGAAATTGCTTGTTTAAATGCAAAATTATGAGTAAGATAAGTCTTTTTAAATTTTTTATTTTTAATTTTTTTGGAAGTTTATTAAAGCCCTTCATATACACATACTTTTTAAAAAAAGATTCTTAATAAAGAAATTATTGGTTTGTCTGGTTAAAGTCCATATAGAATGCTGAGAAATAATTTATAAAATAAGAACTATAGAAATTTGTTCTCAGCTGAAAAGTTGGCAGCTGCTCTGTTTCTTTAAAAAAGTACAACATGAAAATTTAATTACATTAGCCTTAATATTACTTGACTGAATTTCTACTATTTATTCACTTGTGTTTGAGATTCACCCAGCTATTCTAATGATAGAAATAAAAAGTGGAGAAATGACTAAAGTTGACTTAAGTTAAGAATTGGAGTGGGAATTTTGAAATGCCATGTCCTATATATTCTGGCATATTTGTTGGCACATTTGCAAGTATGTTGATCCCAGCATTGTTTATATCTGTTGGAATAATAACTAAGGAAAAATTGAAAATGTATAATAGATGTATAAAGATTTATATTTAGTTAGTATATAATAGATAATACTTGCAGGTTTTTTATGTGTTTTGGGTTTCTGTGTATTATTTTAGGTAATCTTTATAAGGGCATCTTGGAAGTTATAAATATGTGCCATTTACTGAAAAGTGGGAAGCATTTTTATATGAGTAAAGCTAATGAAATAAAACTAGTTTTATTGCCAAAATTCAAAAAGTGGGGTTCATGCTATGTCGAATTTAAGCAAATGATCTGTCTGAGGATTTTGTTTGCCATTGAATTCCATTTCTGTCCACTTTAAATTTACTAAAAGCTATTTAACCTGAGTTTGATTATAATGCTTCATAAGTAATGCAGTTCATGTACATAGAGTAAGTGCTGTAAGTGATTTTTTAACCACCAGTTGGTGCTGTTTCTCAAAGTGGTTCTTAATTAGAGTTTAAGTTTGGGTGCCATGTGAACTCATAAAATATTCTACTCATTCTTTTTGTTTTTCTTTGTTTTGTTTTCTTTGTTTTATTTTTCATTCTGTTTGTTTTTCTTTGTTTGTTTTTGAGATGGAGTCTCACTCTGTCACCCAGGCTGGAGTGCAGTGCTGCGATCTTGGCTCACTGCAGCCTCCACCTCCTGGGTTCATGCAGTTCTCCTGCCTCAGCCTCCCGAGTAGCTGGGATTATGGGTGTGCACCACCACACCTGGCTATATTTGTATTTTTTAGTGGAGACAGAGTTTCACCATGTTAGCCAGGCTGGTCTTGAACTCCTGACCTCAGGTGATCCACCTGCCTCGGCTTCCCAAAATGTTGGGATTACAGGCGTGAGCCACCATGCCTGGCCTGTTCTGTTCATTCTGATTCCAGTTTGGTGGGCTCTTAAATTTTAGGTTCAATTGTAAATAAAACATGTTGCCCTATTTTGTTTTAAGAGCACTAGGGACATTTCCATTCTCCCTTTGTCCTCAATCCCCCAAAAACATTCATACGAAGAAGTTAGAAGCTGTATTGTGGGCTGGAATGCTATCTTTACATGAAAAGATTATTGGGATTTGTCAGGCATAGTATTTCTCTGAGGAATAAATGAAATATAAATTTCACTTTGGAAACTAATGAGTTAAAACCATTTACAGTTTCTGTTAACGAGTTAAATAATGTATAGAATCATAGTTCGTAATGGTAGCAAGTTCATGCTCTGCTGAACTTACTGTTTGATTATGGTCAAATTTTCTATGTTATTATTATAGTAGAATTAAGAGTGTGTCCTGGTAAATTACATTACCTTCACAGTTTGAGCATTCTGATTTTAACATTTTGTAGTTTCAAAACAAACTGTACTCATATAATCAGAGCATTAACAGCAGCATCATGTCAGTGGTACCAATAATTGTGAATCTTCTGCAACAAAATTTCTTTAATGATGAGTTTAATGGGCTATATTCAAACCTAATTTTTATTCAATTCATAAGTGCCCACTAAATATGTATTTTATTTCTGCTGTTCTGTTCCTTTGATTATCTGCTTTTCAGTGAGCATCTGCATAGCTAAAATAGATATAGCATGTGTTGTAAATGCTGTTGAATTTTTTTAAGGCTCAAAGGTGCTAGTATATAAATAACAGCACATTGCCAAATAAGCATTTTTTCTTTCATTTTCTGAAGTACTTTCATATTTACTCATGTAATTATCAGCATTTATGGTGAGTTGGAATAATTTTTCCTCTTTATTTTCTTAAATGACCCTAGAAAACAATGTAAAGTAGCTCTGAAGAAGGCTTTGTTGTTGAATCTGTCTCATAATTACTTGTGGATCCTTTGACACAGAATTATTTATAGTTTATAATTCACCCTCATCTAGAGAATGATGATTTCTATTACATAAGTAATGTAAATAGAGCTGAGACCATAGTGAAGCAGAAGACATTTGGGAGATACTTTTGATTACATTTGGATATTTTATTGGACTATGATTATTTTGCCAACAAAGTACAAGTCAAAACATTGGGTTATACAACATATTCACTTTAATAAAATATAGTAATGGATACTCACAGAAGAACTGCCTTCATGGAGTTCACAATGTTAATACTCTAAGTGTAATGGCCATCTATTTCTCTCTTTTTAATAATACAAACATTTTTCTTTAAAATGGAATAGTTTGAAAGTGTTTATCGAGTCAGTGTAAATGGGGGGAGATCAAGTGAACTTCCTTGTGGCTCATTCAGTTGTTTTAGCACAATTAAGCATCACTAATGTTTTTAAAGGGCTTGACTATATCACAATTTTAAAATATTTATATTTTTAGATAATATATTTTTATTCCATAATGCACTACTGAGGACAAAAAGGAAGTGTAAGGGTCACTGATGATGAAATAAATTTGAGATGCATTAAAGTAGTTTAAGGCTAAAGCAGTTTGATGTAGGAATTTGAGGAGAAGACGACTTCAGCTTAATGGGAAAATACTAATTTGGACAGCGTTATATGCTTCTGGGGTTGTCATGAATTTAAGAAAAGCTAGGCAAACCTAGTGTGATTTTTCTCCAGTGACATTTAGTTGCTTGATTTCAGGTATAGAGAATTGCAGTTAGATTTTTAAGCTATTTTGATGGCAGTAGAAGCAGGCCAGGGAGTTGGAGATATTTTCAAGGTAATAATTGTAGTACTGAAACATGGAATCTAAGCTGTTCAAGGAATACATGATAGAGGGAAGGTGGTGAATGGTGAGAAAGTGGTGCTGTCCTGTGAACTGATAACAACAATGAAGTGAGCCTGAAAGATAGGGGGAGGTGGTCAGAGGATGGGATGTGTGAAGTCAAGACTTCAGAGGTGATCTGATATTGATGAGAAAAAGTCAAGACCTTGGAAGTAACTGAGATAGAGAGGGTGAGGTATTCATTAAAATGAGGAGTCAAGGATCTATGGGGCTGCAATTACTCGTGTAAGTGTTGAAATGAGAATGACAAGCATAGGAGTGAGAAGAAAGATGGCAACAAGGAGAAGGTAACCGGTGACTGGTTGGCATTAGCTTTACAGGATCCATGCTTTAAAAACTTTGATTAGATATTTAAAGATGAATATTTAAAGATGAAAATATATTTAAAGATGAATTAATAAAATGTTAAAGGTATAGATCATTTCAGTGCCTTTCTCCAACATCCAAATTGTTAAAGAATTACATACTTGTCCCATTAGCCCAGATGATGAAGACTTTTACTAAGACACTATTGACAGCCTTCCCACCCTCTGAGTCTTGTTTTCTAAGTTTGCTCTCATGTGAGGCTAGTTCTTGTATTCTTTGCTACTTTTGTCGCTTAATGATACTGAAAGTGGTTAAAACCTTTGTTGGAAAATCTGAGCTATGCCCTCTAAGGTTTCATTAAGTGCTGGGGTCACTTGCCCCAGTTGGGGGGTCACTTCCCCCAGTTGTATGTGCAATTCATTACTAAGAGAGAATATCCTGAGCAGTTCCCAATGGTGGGTGGCTGGCTAAAAGGAATCCCTGGAGATTTTAGTGTGGTAGGAAAGCATTTTCATTCTTGAGGATTTTTCTTTGACTTTTCTATGGGCTGGCTGATTTCCTCAGTTTGCTTTGTTCTGGGTTTTAGGGGAGAATTCTTGGGAGGTTGTGAATTTTCTTTGCCTACAGTGAGATGGTTAGATGCTATTCTGAACTTTATCTAGATCTTACCCAAATCCATTTCCATGTTAGCAAGCATGAAGTTGTTTACCTTTTCTTTTTTGGCGATTGATGTTGAGTTTTTCGTTCTCACTCACTCCCTTGCCAGTTCCTTAGATGTTATGATCCAGCTATGACCCAGCTTTACACTTTCTTCACCCAGAAGTGACCTCACCTTTTCATGACAGAGGAAACAGAAGCCATGGACTTCTTAATGCTATATGTCACAAACCTGTATGCATGTAAGAATCTTTTATTTCCTCGTATTCCAGTGTTTTAAACATCCTGTCACCCATCAGGGACTTGTCCTTCATATGTATTTCTCCTACACCTTTCCTACTCTGTCATGCATTTTGCACTATTACTGTATCTCTTTCTTGTATTTTCATCTTGTCACCCTGTATTTATTTATTTTCCACCCACTTTTAAACTTAGTTACATCTTTCATGGTAAACAGGTTCTAGGGAGATGGTTTGATTATGTATCTTAAATTCCCTCCCCTCAATCTCTGTTTCCATCTGCCAACTACCCTGTCTTGAATAGAGCAGCTGCTGTGAGCCTGGAGCCTTTGGGCAAATAAGAGTGTATACAGTCCCTTGATTTTACCAGAAGATGGGAAAGAGAGCTTGCTTTGATTTTCTTCCTGTAATCCAGATGAAGGTTTAGAGACGGGCAGCTGTGAAGCCTTCAGCAAAGGTCTGAACGGAAAGAACCTTGCTTTCAAAGATACATGGATTTAGAGGAAAAGCGGTGCAGTTCATATGTATGGTACTAGGAAGACTAGCTTCAGAGTACCTGTTTGGTTGCTGCATGGTGGGCACAATTCCACATCTCCCTGTGAGGCTGGGGGAGGGGAAGTAAATAGCAAAAAAACAAAAAAGACATTGGAAGAGATTTTCCTCCTGTCATCTGTGATGAGGAGTGGCAACTTGCTGGTTAGTAGATAATCAGCCTACAGAAGAGAGCTGCCTTCTATTGCTCACAAGTTTGTTTCCGCTCAAGAGTATCCCACAATTTGATTTATGCTAAATGGGGAGTGAGTGGACAAAGAAGAATATCTAAGGAAACCTAAAGAAAAATAGCATCTAGAGAGAACAGGAACACAGAAGAAATGGATGGTGAAAAAGAATTGCTGGTGGAGATGAATGACAACTTTAATTTTGAAAAAGCACCTGAGAAAATTCAGTCAGTATAAAATAAACTTTCTAGCAATTAAACTACATTAAAATGTGGTAGAAAAAGAGAGGCATGGCCACTATTGGGGACTAAATAGTGGCCTTGGATATCATGTAGAAGTAGTTATCTTTGGAAAAGTAAAAATCCAAAGACACGGAGATTTCAAAAATCAAAACACCTAGAAGACGAGTCTAAGATATTTAATGTGAGTAAGTGAAGAACCACAAGGAGAAAAAGGGAAACGATACAGGAGGGCACAATTACTAAATACTATAGGAAACTTTAGTTCGAAAGGGCTCTCACTCTAATAGGTTCCAAGCAACATGGGTGGGGTTGGAGTGTGGGGACACACCTAGGCAGATAAATTTCATTCAAATATTTATTGTTACTTCCTGCAGTGACAAGTACTGTTTTAGTTGCTGGGAATACAGGGTGAACAAAGCAATGTTAGTTCCTTTATTGGGTGGAAGGAAGTAAATGAATAAATATGTCTCAGGTGGTAATAAGTAATACAAAAAAAAAAATAAAGCATAGTAGAGTGACTAGGCTATGTTGGGATAAGGTAGTGGCAGGATTTACTATTTTATATGGATGGTCAGAGACATCTCAGATAAGATATTTGATCAGCAATTTGAAGTGAGGTATCTAGTGTGGTAAATATGTGGTGGTGGGGGGAGAGCAAGGGCAGGGGGAGCAGCATTCCAGATAGGGAACAGGAGGTTTAAGGCAGGCAGGAACATACCTGCCATTTAAAGGACCATTAAGGAATCCACTTGGCTAGTGTGGAGGGAGCAAGAAGAGTGAGCAATGAGGGCAGAGGCAGTAGTGAACAAGATTACGGAGCTTTGTAGATGAATGGAAGCCTTTTTGGCTTTAATTTGCTGATACATATGGGAAGCCATTTGAGGAGCTGTAAGCAGAGGAGTGATACGTGATTTAAGAGTAATTGACTCAACCTTCTTGTTGGTAGCAAAGGCAGAAGCTAGGACACCAGATCATTGGATATTGCAACAATATAGACAAGAAATGACACAGGCTTGGACCCGTGTGGTATCAGTGGAGTAAAACAAATGGTGAGATTCTGTAAATATTTTGAAAGTAGATGGATAGGATTACAATGTGTGAGATACAAATCAAAAACACTTCTTTTTTTTTTTTTTCCCCTCAGTAACAGGATGGAGTTTCTGTTTATACTGTGATGGGGAGGATTGTGTAAGGATCAGATTTTGCAGTGGTAGCAGCTGGAGGAATCAATTTAGTTTCGGAATGTTGAGTTTGAGATGCTATTAAACATGGAGGAGATATTCAAATTCTTGAATTTCAGGGTAAAAAGAGGAATTTACAAAGGAAAAAGAAAATGACATCTCTAGACTTTAGAATGCAACCAAGAATCCCTTTTTCAGGTAAGATCATTCATCTTGAGGATATGTAATGATCCAAATGATATATCTGTATGTGTATAACTTCACATAAGGAAAATAACTTAAAAACTTTAAACAGACAGCAAATTATAACAAAGGCCTGTATTCTCTGATAGAGTGACTGGGTATTTATAACATAAGTGTTAAGTAATCTTCAAGCAGAAAAGATAATACATGGAAAAATCTCACACTAGTAACTATCAGTACTAAAGTAAGCTATCTTAGCAAAACTTAGAAGTGACAGCTGAGCCAGAGGAGTAGAGTGAGTGAAAGCATTCTAAATTTCACAACCCTAGTGACAACAAATGTTTGCCTTCATGGAAGAACAACATTTGTTCTTGCAACTAATCAGAACTTACATATTTTTAACAAGTAGCTTTCTAAAAGCCACTAAAGCCCTTTGGAATATTTTTTAAAACAACTTCTTTTGAGGTTATGGAGATTTTTAAATAGGTCAGGAAATTATTTCTAAGTTGTTATATTGTGAAGATAAAAAAGTTTTGGTAGGTAATATGTTTGCAGCCACAAAAGCACAAAATACAATGTTTTTAATATTCAAGATGTTTCAAAATGTTCTTTACGTGGCACAAACTTTTTTCTAAAAGTATTCACAGACTTCTGGTCATCTGATTTTATAATTTTTGTCCTTGTAATTTGGCAAAGAGCTAATACAGGTTTAGGGGAAGGGTTAACTCTGCCATTTCCTTGTTCCCATATGCTTGCATTATTACTGTTATCTTTTAATCTATTGATTTTTTTTTTCCTAGAAATCTTTTTGTGCCACTTTCCATTTTGTGTGGCATCTGTAAACTGTTATCTGTCATGGTATGCTGGATGCGAGGGGATAAGGCTTCACTGTCAGGTCTTATTCTCCCCTCACCTTATATACAGATCAGATGAAGCCATCTGTACCCATATATTAACTATTAATAAAGTTGAATTTAAATACAAATATGTATTTTAACATCTTCTTCTAGCATCCCACTGAATTATCTTGCATGTTCCCTGAGGTGTGTGTGCCTTACTTTGGAGACCTATAGTACTAAGTAAAAATCTTTTTATACAGTATTTGTCTTGTGTGGGTCATGAGCATTAGCATCCAATGGTAGGTGTGTGATTAAAATGCAGATTCCTTGGCCCCGTCCCAAATTTACTAAATAGGCCTTTGTGGGTTATAGCCTTGGGATCTACAAATTTAACAAGATTGAGAAAACCTAAGGCCTAATTATCTTTCAGCCTCATCTAATCCTTCCCTCCCAAAGACGTGAGCGCCACATACATTCTTTTGCAGCCTCTCAACACACCATTCCTTTTCGCATCTCCATACCTCTGTAAATGTTTCTTTCCCTGCCTGGAATGTGTTCTTACCCTTCAAGAGTCAGCTCAAATTCACATCTGTGAAATCTACCTTAGTTTGTACATATCAAATAACAGATGTGTGTTTTTGTGATTCTTCACATTATGAACAGCATAAGGTATTTGCCATTGTTAGTATTATCCCATATGAGAAAAAAAAATAGACCAGAATTAATGCTCTTAAAGCTAATTGAGCAAAGATGTGTTTACATCAATGTTATCCATGTTCTCATTGATTTATGAAAATCAGATATTTATTTTCCACACATATACTACAAAATCTTGAAATCTACTTGTATGGGGATGATCACAGATTGTATCTGAAGAAATGAACACACACACAAATATATATGGAAGACTAAGTAGTCATAGCAATATCTAGTAAGGAGTAATTAAAAATTCACTTTTTCCCTCTTCCATACTTTTATAACATCAGCACACCATTAAATTATAGTAATCACCGCACTGTAATTCATCTTCAAAATAGTGGGGTGTACCAGTTATCAATTTGTTATCTGTGAGCTCTAAGGTACACCTTGCTTTGCAGTGTTGAAACTCGATGCTTGTACAGGTTTCTCCTTTGTGAGCAGGTTCAGTGTTAGGCTTTTTCATTGGAGGGACACAGTAAGGCAATAGCAAGGGGAATAGGCTTCTCTTTCTGGTTCTGGTGTGCTGTTATTTGATTGGCTGCCAGCAGATTGGCCTGCAGAAGGTCAGTCTCACCTCAACAACCTTCGTAAGGGTGGCCCACACCTTCCTTTCAAGTTTCTCTGCTGCCTGGTAAAATGTCCCTACAGAACACCTTTGGCCTACCCAGAACCTCCAGTGATTCTTCTACCGGGTGAGGTGCTCTGATTCGATCAGCTCTGGCCTTTCCCCTTGGTAAATTTCTTCCATCTACAGCCCAAGTTCCTGTGGCAACTATGCCCTCTCCAAAGAGTTCTGAGTCTCAGCCCTGGAATAGTGCTGGGGAGTGACTCATGAGTTCTTAGTATTCTTTCTCCCTTTGTTATTTCCGTACCCGTTAGAATCTTCTTTATAACTTTTAGTAAACCATCTTTTATTAACAATTTTCTATATTTAATTTTCTCTATTCAAATTACTAGTTTGTGCAGAATCTAGATTTTATAGAAAAAAACAAACAAATGCCTAGTGATTTGTTTCTATCTCCCTCCTGTGTGGTTTCTATCTCCCTCCTGATTGGATCCTGACTGATACGTTGGGGTATGCTGCTCATGAGAGATTTCTTTCAGAGTGGTGAATAAACTATGTCCTAGAAGGCATATTGTATCAGGAAGGGTCACGTGTTAGAGCTGTGGTTTACATTAATATATACAGTGTTAGGAGGAGCATAAAGAGGAAAACACCATTGTGGCAAAGTAATCCTGTGGAAACCAGAGAGAGAGAGATTTGATAAAGTCTTG
Organism: Homo sapiens; assembly: GCF_000001405.40. Taxonomy (NCBI): domain Eukaryota; kingdom Metazoa; phylum Chordata; class Mammalia; order Primates; family Hominidae; genus Homo; species Homo sapiens. Next base: position 193,263,647 of record NC_000001.11, read on the forward strand.
GTGACTGACCTGAGTACGAAACCAGTGGTGGTGGTAGTGGGAATCTTTAGATTAATGAATATTGATTTATTCATAAGCTACAAAATTCAAAGGGCACCCAGTTTCTCTTTCTAGAGGTAATTACTATGTTCAGATTCCTGGGACCTTTCCAGGTATCTGATGTATAAATACCTCTCTCTCTTTCCCTCTCTTTCTAACACAGATATTAGTATTCCTCTGTGTCTTACTTTATCCCCTTAATAGTATATCTTGGAAATCATTGTTTTCTTTAAAAAAATGTTTTAATTGAGGTAAGCATTCATTATACAGTAAATGTCTTGTTCCTTTTAACTGGCTGCATACCCTGTCAACCTATGGCTGTGCCAACACTGGAGAGAGTCTGGGTTGAGTATAGTCTTTTTGCCATTATAAACAGGGTTGCAGTGAACATTCATGTGTATACTTCTTTGTACCTATGTATGAGTGTATCCTGGATAAATTCCTAAAAGTGACGCCACTGGATTGGAGGTCATTTTTTTTTAAACTTTTTATTTTGAAATAATTATAGATTCATAAGAAGTTGCAAAAACAGGACAGAGAGGCCCCAGTTGCCCTTCACCTAGTTTCTCCCAATGATAGCATCTTACATAACATGATACAGCATGGTATATCATATCAAAACCAGCACATTGGTACAATCTACAAACCTTATTCAGATTTCACCAGTTTTACATGCCCTTGTGTGCATGTGTGTCTGTGTCTTTGTGGTTTTATGTGCTTTTATCAGGAGTAGATTTGTATAACCTCAAACAAGATGCAGAACTGTTCTGTCAGCACAAAGATCCCTTGTGCTACCTCATAGTCACACCAAACCTCCTCTCCTCCTTTTGTCATCACGGCATTCCTAACTGTTGACAAGCAGCTAATCTGTTCTCCATCTCTGTAACTTTGTTATTTTGAGAATATAATTGAAATCGTATAGCATGTAACCATTGAGATGGGTTTTTTCACTCACCGTAATTCCCTTGAAGATCATCCAAGTTGTTGCATGTGTCAATGGTTGTTCCTTTTTATTTCTGAGTAATGTTCCATGATATGAATGTACCACAGTTTGTTTAACCATTCACCCACTGAAGGACGTTTGGATTGTTTCTAAGTTTTGACTGTGGCAAGTAAAGATGCTATGAACATTCATGTACACATGAATTTGTAGGCATATGTTTTTATTTTGCTGGGAGAAAAGCCCAAGAATGCAGTTGCTGGGTTGTATGGTATTGTATGATTGTTTTTCTTTTAAGAAACTGCCAAATTATTTTCCAGAATGACTGTACCACTGTACATTCTTATTAGCTATGTATGAGAGATGTAGTTTCTCCAAATCCTCACCAGCATTTAATATTGTCAGGATTAAAAAAATGTTTTTTACTTGTTCTAATGGGTGTTTAGTGATTTAGCATCATGGTCTTAATTCGTCTCTAACAGCTAAAGATGTTGAGCATATATTCAGGTATTAATTTGCTATCTATAACATATATCCTCTTTGGTGAAATGTCTGTTCATGTTTTTTGCCCACTGTAATGTGATTTTTTTTTTTTTTTTTTTTTTTTTTTTTGAGATGCAGTCTTGCTGTGTCACCAGGCTGAAGTGCAGTGATGTGATCTCGGCTCACTGCAACCTCCGCCTCCTGGGTTCAAGGGATTCTCCTGCCTCAGCCTCCTGAGTAGCTGAGACTACAGGCACGTGCCACCACAGCCAACTAATTTTTGTATTTTTAGTAGAGACAGGGTTTTACCATGTTGGCCAAGATGGTTTCAATATCTTGACCTCGTGATCTGCCCGCCTCGGCCTCCCAAAGTGCTGGGATTACAGGTGTGAGCCACCATGCCCAGCCTGATTTTTTTTTTTTTTTTACTATTGACTTTTGAGAGTTATTTATATAGGCAGCCCTCACTTTTGCACAATTTCAGTATGTATGACTTCCACTTGCCATGGCTTAAATGGTTCAAATTGAAGTTATGACATATTAACTGTGATTGCATGAAGTACTCCCTCTTACAGTCTACAAATCACAATATAACAAATGTGTATATGGTCATTGACCAATTACTTTTTTGAAAATTTGTTCATGACTGACCATTGCACATCTCTTATTAAGACAGACAGTAAATGTTTGGTTTTGTTGCCTCCTTGTCTCCCAGTAATAAAACCACTTGACATTTTACAAAAATGGATAAGTGAAAGAGAGACTTGGCCACAGACATGAAAGTACAGCACAGAAACAAAAAGTTACAACACTGGAAGTGAAATTTGAATTAACCATTTGTGGGGTTTTAGATGAAATGGTTGACTGAGAATGTTGATCCTGCTGCCATTCAAACGAGACTCTACATATGCATCCAGCCAGAGAAATTTAGTGACAGCAAAACTGTTGGCATAAATAAGGAAATAAGGAAGATGTCCCAGAGGAAGTGAAATATATCTTCACATTTAAGGAATTCTTAAAGATATCTCATGACATTGAAAATGCAAAAGGTAAAACGTCAAAAGCTGATCCAAACTTAGGAATATGACAATTCGCCAAGCAAAGAAAGGGTGCTTGCTCTATTGTGTTACATCATGAGAAGGCACTGCTTAAACTATTACTGATGTTTTTTTTACAAAGATATAAAGCACTTTAATTCTAAAAGTTTCTAATGCTTTAAATTACAATGTATTAAATAAATATTAGTTTTACTACTTTTAAAATTTACCTGTACATTTGTTGCCAATAATAAGAAAGTTTTAACAAATTTTTAAAGGTCATAGAACAATCATAACTTTTCCCACTGATTAAGATTTAAGATTGCGTTTTGGGGTTTCAGCTTGCATGGCCATTTTTATGGTCCTGCTATGCAAAGCAAGGAGTGAGTGCTTGTGTCTTCAAGATACAAGTCCTTTGTCGCACTTGTGTTTTGCAAATATTTTCTCTTGGCCTGTAGCTTGTCTTTTCATCCTCTTAACAGGGTCTTTCATAGAGTAAAGGCTTTAGTTGAGATGGAGTCTAATTTATCTGTTTTTAAAATTTTATAGATAGTGCCTTTTGTGTCACATCTAAGAACTTTTTTTGTTTTTTTTTTTTTTTTGAGACAAGGTCTCACTCTGTCGCTCAGGCTGGAGTGCGATGGCGTGATCTTGGCTCACTGCAACCTCCAGCTCCCAGGTTCAAGCGATTCTCCTGCCTCAGCTTCCTGAGTAGCTGGGATTACAGGTGCCCGCCACCACGCCCAGCTAATTTTTGTATTTTTTTTTAGTAGAGATGGGGTTTCACCATGTTGGTCAGGCTGGTCTCGAACTCCTGACCTCAGGTGATCCACCCGCCTTGGCCCCCCAAGTGCTGGGATTATAGGCATGAGCCACTGCGCCCGGCCAGAACTCTTTACCTAGTTATAGGTCCCAAAGATTTTCTTCTATGTTTTATTTAAAAAGTTTTATAGGTTTATGGTCTAGGTTTACTTACTCAAACCTATGTTCCATTATGAATTGATTTTTATATAAGATATGAGGCTTATATTGTTTTTTGGGGTTTTTTGTTTGTTTGCTTTTGCCTGTAGGTGTCCAGTTGCTTTAGCACCATTTGTTGAAAAGACAATCCTCCCTCTACTCACAATCCTTCCTTTGCACCTTTGTCAGAAATCAGCTATCCATCTATGTGTTGGTCTGTTTCTGGGTTCTCTATTCTGTTCCATTGATTTATGTATTTATCCTTTCAATACTATGCTGTCTTGATTACTGTAGCTATGTAGTAAAATATAATATTGGGTAGAATGTTTTCTCCCATTTCATTCTTTTTAAAAATTCTATTAGCTAGTCTAATTCCTTTGCCTTTCCATGTAAACTTTAAAATAAACTTCTTTATATTTTCCAAAATACCTTGCCAAGATTTGGATAGAAATTATGTTAAACTTATAGATCAGTTTGGGAAAAACTACCATCTTTACTATGTTGAGTCTTCTAATCCATGAATATAATTAGTACATCATCTCCACTTATTTAGGTTTTCTTTAGTTTCTTTCATCAGCATTTTATAGTTTTCAGCCGATGATTCTTTTCAAGTTCTGTTATATTTATACCTAAATATTTATTTTTTGAGCACTTGTAAATGACACTGTTCTTTAAATTTCAGTTTCCATATGTTTATTGCTAGTATATAGAAATCTAATTGATTTTTAATGTTGATTTTGTACCCTTGCTAAACTTGCTAAACTCATTTAATAGTTCTAGAAGTTATTTTCATTGATTTCTTACTATTTTCTGTACAGATCATTATGTCATCTACAAATAGATCCGGTTATATTTTTTCCTTTTTAATCTGTGTGCATTTTATTTATTTTTCATGCCTTATTGTGCTGGTTAGAAATTCTATTACTATGTTGAATTAGAGATGTACTACTTAAAAAAAATCACAAAAACCCACAGTCAAAATCTACACTAAGCATTGCAACTTGAAATATCCATACGGTCAGACAAGTAACATATGTGTAAATTGGGCTGATTAAAATAATAGGAAATGGTAGGAATGCAGAATACCGAAGAATATGTATACCTCCTAAAGGGAATCATATCCAAAGCTTTTAAAAGTACTGTTTGTTCACTGGCCAAACAAAATGTATTTTAAAACAAGATTTGGCTTTGGTGGTCTCTAAGTTTCTGTATAGAGTTGCATTCAAAGACAACACAGTTCCAACTTCACAACCCCGAAAGAATAATTTAGATTCTACATATACCAAGTATGGGCCTGTTTTGGGGGGATTACTATCAGAATCATGTTCTTAAGGGTTAAGACTAAGTTGGCAATGAATGTTACATTGCTTAGCTATTCATGCATAACATGCCATTCGCAAACCATTATTGCTTTTTGGTCTATGGGCAATAAATTTCTTCTGGGTTTGCTCTTAATCTGGGCTCTGTTTAGCTAGTCATGGCTGGTTTATGCATACATCTGCAGTAAGCTGGTAGGTTCTCTGCAGTCTGGCTACTCTAGAGTGGACTCAATTCTTATGTCTGGAGTTAGCTTGCTCATAACTAGAGCAATAGCAGGTAATTAGGCTACATGTCTCTTATTATCCAGTTGAAGAATGCAGGCATGTTCTCATGGCAAAGACTGAGGAACCAAGGGAGAGCAGAGGCCTGGGCTCAAAATTGCCACACTTTAGTTTTTCCCACTTTCTGTTGGCTGTAGCAAGTGACAAGTCCAGCCTGGATTTAAAAGGTGAAGAAATAAATTTTACTTCTTGATTGGAGGAGTTTCAAAATTATTATGAGGAGGGTAGATACAGGGAGGTCATTAATTTGGGCCATCAGTGTACTGCAAGCATGTAGGTTCTCCTTAAGGTTTGAGATTATTGTTCATCCTTTCATTTCTTTATCAGAAAAATGCCTTGCACATAGTAATATATACTTGTGTAATTATATGTATCTACTTATTAATTCTTATAACACCGATTGGTACTCTTACTCTCATGTTGCAGATAAGTAAGGCACAGAGAAGAAACTTGCTTGTGGTCACACAGCTAGGAATCACTACATTTTCCATGTATTATCCATAATTGTCAGACCTAGGAGTATTATAATACTATTGACAATAACTGTTTTTTTCCATTTCCAAATAGATGCCTTTTGACTGGAAGAGTTGTCAGTCTATTGTGAAAATATAAGAATTTAACTTGACTATTTGCTAGCTATAGCTTTGCATTTTTGCATGGAAATATCAACAGTGATACCACCAAATACAGTCTACGTTTTCCTCAAAAGATGTAGCTGTGAATCTGCTTAAGTACTTATATAAGTCCTTGGTTAAACCACATCATGGAAGTGGAATTACAGTTAGCTTAAACTATTTTAATGTAGATATTTAGAGCTGACCTTGTTACCTATACAGTAACTTCAATATGTATACTGCGAAATGAGTAAAACTTCTGGTAGAACTTCCTGAAACTAAAAACAGTATTCCCAAGTTAATGAGTTAATTTCTTTGGTGAATGAGTTTATGTAAGACAGTCCATTAAATGTTAGCTAATGCCTACAAAATACAATGATTTTGGTTTGGGTCAGTTATACCTTCTAACAGTAGCTATTTAACAAGTCTAATTGCATTTTAAAACCTTTTTCTCATCATAGACAAATCATATCAATAGTATAGAGAAATGAGGTTTCCTGCAGTAGTTAAACTTGCTTCCAAATTCACTAACTGTTCTGAGTTGTTTGCTGAAACACTTCAAACAAGTAGAAAGTAGACTGAATTAAAATACAAACCTACATCTTAATTCGGTATGATATCAAACCTAATTCCTCTGATACAGACGGGAACACAATTTCTAATCTATTTCCAGTGGGGGTATATTAATAATATACTCAAAAGCGGTTGTACATTGTATTGAAGCCTCATACCTGATTGATTAATATCATAGATGATTCCTGCCTATAGAATCAAGGGTGATGAAAAGTTTATGAATGCTCCAAAGAACCTTAAGTATTGTCTCAGAGAAAAGCATGCTACAGTAGTGATGAATACTAGAATTATTGTGCTTGAACCTGTATTTTATACTTGAGAGGGAAAGGAAGTTTATAATAGGTCAAGGGAAATTTTCAAAAATTAAATTGAACCTTACACAAATGTCCTGCAAATTACAAAATCCCTCTTCTCTTCCTAATTGTGTATAATGTTATTGGTTTGCTAGGGATGCCATTAAAAAGTGCTACAGACTGGGTGGCATAAACAACAGAAGCTTATTTTCTCATAGTTCTGGAGGCTGGAAGTCCGAGAGCAAGTTGTCACCAGGGTTGGCTGCTTTTGTGCCCTCTCTACTTGGCTTGTGGATGACCATCTTCTTCTTGTTCCTTCACATGGTCTTTCCTCTCCTAATGACCTCATTTTAAGTTAATTACCACTTGAAAACCCTGTCTTCAAATACAGTTACACTCTGAGGTACTGGGGTTAAGAACTTCAACATGCGGATTTTAGTCAGTCCATAAATATTAGGAAAAAGGCACTATACTACAGAATGTTAGAGCCTCTTCAAATTTAAATTTCTATAAGATGTATTTACATAATTGCAATCTATAAACTGAACATTATTAGTGTAATCAGTATGTTAAGCCAGCCTAGCTTGTGATGTGGTCCAATTGCAATTTTTCTTGTGTAATCTTTTATTTTTCTTCAATTTTATTTTTCTTCAGTTTCTTTATTCACTCATTGATTCATGGGCATTTGGGTTGGTTCCATGATTTTGCAGTTGTGAATTGTGCTGCTATAAACATGCATGTGCAGGTATCTTTTTCATATAATGACTTATTTTCCTCTAGGTAGATACCCAGTAGTGGGATTGCTGGATCAAATGGTAGCTCTCCTTTTAGTTCTTTAAGGAATCTCCATAGTGTTTTCCGTAGTGGCTGTACTAGTTTACATTCCCACCAGCAGTGTAGAAGCATTCCCTGATCACCACATCCACACCAACATCTGCTCTTCTTTGATTTTTTGAATTTTTCGAATATGGCCATTCTTGCATGAGTAAGGTGGTAGCACATTGTGGTTTTGATTTGCATTTCTGTGGTCATTCAGTGATGTTGAACATTTTTCATATGCTTGTTGGTCATGTGTATATCTCCTGTTGAGAATTGTCTATTCATGTCCTTAGCCCACTTTTTCATAAGATTGTTTTTTCTTGCTAATTTGAGTTTGTTTTAGATTCTGGATATTAGTCTTTTGTCAGAGGTATAGATTTGAAGATTTTTCTCCCACTCCGTGGGTTGACTGTTTACTCTGCTGACTGTTCCTTTTGCCTTGCAAAAGCTCTTTAGTTTAATTAAGTCCCAGCCATTTATCTTTGTTTTTATTGCATCTGCTTTTGGGTTCTTGGTCATGAAATCCTTGCCTAAGCCATTGTCTAGAAGGGTTTTTCCTGTGTTATCTTCTAGAATTTTTCTAGTTTCAGGTCTTAGTCCTTGATGTGTTTCAGGACTTAAGTCCTTGACCCATCTTGAGTTGATTTTTGTGTAAGGTGAGAGATGATCCAGTTTCATTCTCCTACATGTGACTTGCCAGTTATCCAGCACCATTTGTTGAATAGGGTGTCCTTTCCCCACTTTATGTTTTTGTTTGCTTTTTCAAAGATCAGTTGGCTGTAAGTATTTGGGTTTATTTCTGGATTCTTTATTCTGTTCCATTGGTCTATGTGCCTATTTTATACCAGCACTATGCTGTTTTGGTGACTGTGGCCATATAGTATAGTTTGAAATCAGGTAGTGTGATACCTCCAGATTTGTTCTTTTTGCTTAGTTTTGCTTTGGCTATGCAGGCTGTTTTTTGGTTCTATTTGAATTTTAGAATTGTTTTTCCCAATTCAGTAAAGAATGATGGTGGTATTTTGATGGGGATTGTGCCGAATTTATAGGTTGCTTTTGGCAGTATGGTCATTTTCACAATATTGATTCTTCCCATCCATGAGCATGGGATTTGTTTCCATTTGTTTGTGTCATCTATGATTTCTTTCAGCAGTGTTTTGTAGTTTTCCTTGGTAGAGGTCTTTCAACTCCTTGGTTAAGTGTATTCCTAAGTTTTTGTTTTGTTTTGTTTTGCAGCTATTGTAAAAGGAGTTGAGTTCTTGATTCTCCGCTTGGTCACTGTTGGTATATAGAAGAGCTACTGATTTGTGTACATTAATCTTGTATCCGAAAACTTTGCTGAATTCTTTTATCAGTTCTAGGAGCATTCCGGAGGAGTCTTTAGGGTTTTCAAGGTAAATGATCATAGCATCAGCAAACAGTTACAGTTTGACTTCCTCTTTACCAATTTGGATACCCTTTATTTCTTTCTCTTGTCTGATTGCTCTGGCTAGAACTTCCAGTACTGTGTTGAAGAGGAGTGGTGGGAGTGGGCATCCTTGTATTGTTCCGGTTCTCGGAGGGAATGCTTTCAACTTTTCCCCATTTAGTATTATGTTGGCTGTGGGTTTGTCATAGATGGCTTTTACTACATTGAGGTATGTCCCTTGTATGCTGATTTTGCTGAGATTTTTAATCATAAAGGGATGCTGGATTTTGTCAAATACTTTTTCTGCATTTATTGAGATGATCATGTGATTTTTGTTTTTAATTCTGTTTATGTGGTATACCACATTTATTGACTTGTGTATATTAAACCATCCCTGAATCCCTGGTATGAAACCCACTTGATCATGGTGGATTATCTTTTTGATATGTTGTTGGATTTGGTTAGCTAGTATTTTGTTAAGGATTTTAGCATCTATGTTCATCAAGGATATCTGTCTGTAGTTTTCTTTTTTGGTTATATCCTTTCCTGGTTTTGGTATTAGGGTGATGCTGGCTTCATAGAATGAATTAGGGAGGGTTCCATCATTCTCTACCTTGTGGGATAGTGTCAAAAGGATTGGTACCAATTCTTTTTTGAATATCTAGTAGAATTCTCCTGTGAATCCCTCTGGTGCTGGACTTTTTTTGTTGGTAATTTTTAAATTACCATTTCAATCTTGCTGCTTGTTATTGGTCTATTTAGGGTGTCTAATTTTTCCCAATTTAAGCTAGGAGGGTTGTATTTTACCAGGAACTTATTTATCTCTTCTAGGTTTTCTAGTTTATGCATGTAAAGGTGTTCTTAGTAGCCTTAAACGATCTTGATTTCAGTGGTGTCAGTTGTAATACCTCCTGTTTTTGTTGCTTAGTGAGGTTATTTGGATTTTCTCTTCTTCTTTTCTTGGTTAATCTTGCTAGTGGCCTATCAATTTTATTTATCTTTTCAAAGAATCAGCATTTTGTTTCATTTATCTTTTGTATTTTTTGGTGGTGGTGTTTCAATTTCATTTAGTTCTGCTCTGACCTTGGTTATTTTCTTTCTTCTGTTTCTTGTTTCTCTAGTTCCTTGAGGTGTGACCTTAGAATGTCAGTTTGTGCTCTTTCAGTCTTTTTGATGCAGGCGTTTAGGGCTATGAACTTTCCTCTTAGCACTGCTTTTGCTGTATCCCAGAGGTTTTTATAGGTTGTGTCATTATTGTTGTTCAGTTCGAATAATTTTTTAATTTCCATCTTGATTTCATTTTTGACCTAATGCTCATTCGGGAACAGGTTGTTTAATTTCCATGTATTTGCATAGTTTTGAAGGTTCCTTTTGGAGTTGACTTCCAGTTTTATTTTACTGTGATCTGAGAGAGTGCTTGATATAATTTCAATTGTCCCAAATTTATTGAGGCTCGTTTTATAGCCTATCATATGGTCTATCTTGGAGAAGGTTCCATGTGCTGTTGAATAGAATGTGTATTCTGTGGTTGTTGGATGAAATGTTCTGTATATATGTTAAGTCCATTTGTTCCAAGGTATAGTTTAAATCCATTGTTTCTTTGTTGATGTTCTGTCTTGATTACCTATCTAGTGCTGGTCAGTGGAGTACTAAAGTCCCCCACTATTATTGTGCTGCTGTCTATCCCATTTCTTAGGTCTATTAGTAATCGTTTTATAAATTTGGGAGCTCCAGTGTTAGGTGCATATAGATTTAGGATTGTGATATTTTCCTGTTGGGCAAGGCTTTTTACCATTATATAATGTCCCTTTTTCTCTTTTAACTGCTGTTGTTTTAAAGTTGTTTTGTCTGATATAAGACTAGCTACCCCTGCTTGCTTTTGCTGTCCATTTGCGTGAAATGCCTTTTCCCACCCCTTTACTTTAAGTTTATGTGAGTCCTTATGTGTTAGGTGAGTCTCCTGAAGGCAGCAGTTAGTTGGTTGCTGAGTTCTTACCCATTCTGTGGTTCTGTGTCTTTTAAGTGGAGGATTTAGGCCATTTACATTCAATGTTTGAGTAGTATTGAGATGTGAAGTACTGTTGCATTCATTGTGCTATTTGTTGCCTGTGTACTTTGTTTTTTGTTTTTGCTTTAACTTATATTTTTGTTTTATAGGTCCTGTGTGATTTATGCTTTAAAGAGGTGCTGTTTTGATGTGTTTCCAGTATTTGTTTAAAGATTTAGAGCCTCTTTTAGCAGTTCTTGTAGTGGTGGTGGCTTGGTAATGGCAAATTCCCTCAGCATTTGTTTGTTTGAAAAAGACTATGCCTTTCCTTCATATATGTTGCTTAGTTTTGCTGGATACAGAATTGTTCGCTGATAATTGTTTTGTTTGAGGAGGCTGAAGATAGGGCCCCAATCCTTTCTAGCTTGTAGGGTTTCTGCTGAGAAATCTGCTGTTAATCTGATAGGTTTTCCTTTATAGGTTACCTGGTGCTTGTGTCTCACAGCTCTTAAGATTCTTTCCTTTGTCTTAACTTTGGATAATCTGATGACAGTGGGCCTAGGTGATGATCTTTTTGTGATGGATTTCCCAGATGTTCTTTGTGCTTCTTGTATTTGCATGTCTAGGTCTCAAGGCCAGGGAAGTTTTCCTTGATTATTCCCCCAAATATGTTTTCCAAGCTTTTAGAATTCTCTTCTTCCTCAGGAACACTGACTATTCTTAGGTTTGATCGTTTAACATAATCCCAGACTTCTTGGAGGCTTTGTTCATTTTTTTTATTCTTTTTTCTTTGTCTCTGTTGGATTGGGTTAATTCAAAGACCTTGTCTTTAAGCTCTGAATTTCCTTCTTCTGCTTGTTCAGTTCTATTGCTGAGACTTTCCAGAGCATTTTGCATTTCTATAAGTGTGTCCAATGTTGCCTGAATTTTTTTATTGTTTTTTTCTTTAAGCTATCTATTTCCTTGAATATTTCTCCCTTCACTTCTTGTATCGCTTTTTGGATTTCCTTGCATTGGGCTTCACTTGGTGCCTCCCTGATTAGCTTAATGAGTAACCTCCTGAATTCCTTTTCAGGTAAATCAGGGATTTTTTCTTGGTTTGGATCCATTGTTGGTGAACTAGTGTAATTTTTTGGAGGGTGTTAAAGAGCCTTGCTTTGTCATATTACAGAGTTGGTTTTCTGGTTCCTTGTCATTTGGATGGGCTCTGTCAGAAGGAAGGTCTTCTGCTGAAGATTGTTGTTCAGATTCTTTTGTCCCACAGGGTGTTCCCTTGATGTAGTACTCTTCCCCTTTTCCTATGGATGTGGCTTCCCGTGAGCCGAACTGCAGTGATTATTGTCTCTCTTCTGGGTCTAGCCACCCAGCAAGTATACCCGGTTCTGGGCTGGTACTGGGGACTGTCTGCACAGAGTCCTGTGATGTGAACCGTCTATGGGTCCCTCAGCTGTGGATACCAGCGCCTGTTCTGGTGGAGGTGGTGGGGGGAGGGGAAGTGCAATGGACTGTATGAGGATTCTTAGCTGTGGTGGTTTAATGCTCAATTTTTGTGCTGGTTGGTCTCTTGCCAGGAGGTGGCGCCTTCCAGAGAGCATCAGCGGTGGTAGTATGAAAAGGATCCAGTGGTGGGCAGGGCCCTAGAACTCCCAAGATTGTATGCCCTTTGTCTTCTGCTACCAGGGTGGGTAGGGAAGAACCATTGGGTGGGAGCAGGGCTAGGCCTGTCAGAGCTCAGGGTCTCCTTTCCTTGGGTGGGTCTTGCTGCAGCTGAGTATCTAGGGTGTCTCCCGTGTCCTGCAGGAGCAGTGTGCTTCCTTCATAGAGTCTGTGGGTCCTCTCGGGATTGCTGATTTGTTCTTGCAAAAGTTCATGATGCGAGCCTCCGAATGCTCCTCTGTCCCAGTTGGAGCTGCAATCTAGTCCTGCCTCCCATTCACCTTGATGATCCAAAATCCATTTTAAATTGGATTTAAAGATAAAGGGAAAAGCCTTTGAGGGCCATGGGAGAGCTCACAGAATTGAAGGGAAGGGTAAAGAACTCGAATGAGAAAAGAGAAGCAGAGGAATTTGAATGGGTTTGGGTTGGTGTGTGTAGCAGATAGAATGCATTAATGGCTAGGATTCTTTCTCTCTCTATATCTGTGTACACCCTTGGTCGTGTAACTTTGCAGTGTTCTCCCACCACTCCAGATGTGCCTTTCTGTTCTACTCCTTCACTCTGAACTCAGTTATGAGACTTGTCTTAGTCAATGGGATGTTAGTTGATATGACATAAGGAGCTTGTTTGCTGTTACTATTTTGTCATCACATGCCAAACGTGGGTGAACTCAGCCCAAAGAAGAACCATTAAACAAAGCCCAGCCTAAATAACCGATCTGCAGATTTATGAGCCAAAAGAAATGCTGATTCTTTTAAGTCACTGAGTAGTTGGTTACATAATATTATTGTGGCAAAAAACATAATTGATATTGAAGAAGGCTAATGGATGCCTATTTTAGAAACATGGATTTTCAATCTTTTGTCTTCTGCTCAAGATTCAAATTAATAAAAAGGTAAATTGACCTAGACTGGGTCATGTGCCCATATGTTGGCTAGAAGAAAGCACACTGAAGCGGTATTGTTGTCTAGGGTAAATATCCAAGGTTTGTCATCTCACATCAGGGAAATTGAGGATATGGACACAAGAAGTGAGTTTAAGAGTGGAGGTTTAATAGGCAAAAGAAAGAGAAAAGAGAATAGTTCTCTTTCCTGCAGAGAGAGGGGCACCCAAGTTGGTGTTCTGGTTTCTCGGTGAAGTGCATGGGGTTTTATAGAGCATCTTGAGGAGGCAGGGTCTGATTTACATAGGGCCTGAGAGATTGGTCAGACCAGGTGTGACATTTGCCTAGTGCGTGAAGAAGCTGGCCACCCTACCTTAATCTTTTATATATGCACATGGGTTTTCTGCCTGGCCAGCGCCATGTTGTCTGTTCTTTACTGTACATAGGGTTGACAAAGAGAAGGGAAGATGGAGCTGCCATGTTGAACATGCCTGGCCCTCAGATAGCCTTTTCTTATTGGCACAGCTGCCAGCATTTACCTATGCAAGCTTCCAACTTGCTTATTTATGCTTGCAGCTTGATTTTACAGGCTGCTCTTTGTTAGAAAAGAAATGATTTTGTGGATGCTTTTTGTTAAAAGGGAAACCTTATCAAGGACTCTGTTACCCTCACTACCTGCCTAAATAATTTCTTTCTAGCTCCTGTATCAACATCACTTTTATTGTCATTCTTACCAGACTTTATTTGATGGAGGATGTGCTAATTCCCTTAAAAGAAAGCAAAATGAATATTGGTTTACCAAAAATAACTACAAGGGCCCTTATTGAATAACATTGAGTATATGTTTAAAAAGCATTTTTATGATATTGACAAATATTTAAATGCTAGAATGTTTAAAAAGAAAAAAAGATGATTTCTTATTTCTCTTAAGAGTCAACTTGATTAGGAATTCATTTACTTATTCAATAAGGATTTACTGATCTGCTACCATGTATGAGGCACTGTCCTAGGGCTAGAGATCCAGAAATACCAAATCTGTGATGTTTTTTATTTCTATCCTCAAGATCATCATCATTTGGAGAGATTAGCAATGAATCCTATGATTATATTGTAGAAGAGAGTGCTAAGTTGAAATACATATGGGGTGAGATGAGAAGGAGGTGGGTGGCTCCTACCTCAACCATGGGCTCTAAAGAATAAAAGAGAGGGTGATGCTTGGACTGATCTTGAAGGTGGATGAGAACAAAGATTGTACCAGGCAGAGGGTACTTTATGTGCAAAGACAGGAAGGAATGAGGGAAAATGATGAATGGAGGGATTTAATTTTATGTAATATAACCAGATCATAAAAGGTTCTTCTTGAAATGTTAGGGGTTTAGGCTTTGTTTGGAGGCACTAGAAAGCTGGTGAGGAATTTTAAATAAAAGAATTATATGCTCATTTTTTTATTATGCTAAAAAACACATAACATAAAATTTACCAACTTTAACCCACTGTTAAGTGTACAGTTCTATAATATGAAGTACATTCATATTTTGAAAGCTCTCCAGAACCTTTTCATCTTGTGACTCTGAAACTCTATATTCATTAAACAACTCTCTTTGCCCCCCTCCCCATGCCCCTGGTAACCATTCTATTTTCTATTTCTCTAAGTTGTACTATTGAAATACCTCGCGTAAGTGGAATCATATACTGTCTTTTGTAACTGGCTTATTTCACTTAAAATAATGTCCTCAAAGTTCATCCCTGTTGTAGCATATGGCAGGATTTCTTTCCTCTGTAGGATGGAATAGTATGTCATTCTAAGTATATGCCACATTTTGTCCATTCAATGGACATTTGGGTTGATTCTACCGCTTGGCTATTATGAAGAGTGCTGCTATGAACATGAGTGTGCAAATAGCATGCTCGTTTTGAGAAAACATTCTGGCAGCAATATAGTTGGAGGATAGAATGAAGGGTTTGTATCTCTTTGATGTATCAGATGATGTAGGTTTTTTATGCAAACAGTGGTAGCTGTGGGGATGGACATGCTGTGATAGATTTGAAAAAGAGGCTTATAGAGTTGAAAATAATTCCAGATTCACAATTGTATGTTGTGAGGGAGGAGGAAATGAGGAAAAAGGAGGGGTTACAGTTGGTTTATAGGTAGAGAATGAATAAAGACATTTGTATTGAAGACTATGTTTTCCTAGGGAAGGATTTGTGAGGAGACGCTGTGCTTGAATGGACAGGAAGAGGAAAACACTGGGAAGAAACAAGGGGATGCACAAATATTTCAACATCCAGACCTAATTTATATGCAGGGAAAAAATTCAGTCATGGAAACTGAGGGATTTCTTTGTGACCAATTTTGTGTGTTGTGTGTTGTGTGTGTGTGAACTTGCAGCATGAAAGAGCGCTAACAGAAGAAATGTCATAAGAGGCTTCCTTACTTTATGAAGCAATTTTTAGATAGCTAGGGTTTAAGTACCATTATTATAGGATCAAAGATTATATGTAATGCCAAAATGCTCAAGTTTATGCCGAGCTTTGAAGCCTGTGAACCTCAAATGCATGTGTGCACAGTATTGGAGTAATCCTGGGGACCATAAAATAAAGAGGCTGTGCAAATCAAAATTATTTCTGCTAAAGTTATACATGAATAATGATGTGATCCAGGACTTAGTTTATTTTCTTTTTATTTAGTGACGGGATCTTGCTCTGTCACCCAGGCTGAAGTGCAGTGGTATGATCATGGCTCACTGCAGCCTTGAACTCCTGGTCTCAAAGGATCCCACCTCAGCCTCCCTAAGTGCTGGGTTCACTGGCTGAGCCACCGCAACCAGCCTTAGTTTATATATAGTGCTTAGAGAATTAGCTAGCATCTTTAAAATGTGGGGTTTTTTTCAATGTTTAAAATTTTGCACTGTAAATCTTTTTCTATGTGTTTGGATTTGAAGTAAAGATTTAGAGTTTTTAAACCTTTTATCTGGAAATAATTTATGGAAAAGATGCAAGAAAAGTGCTAAGAAAAACTATCCTCTACTCAGATTACATAGTGTTAATACGGTATAACATTGTTAAAATTTATTTATTTACTTAGAGATGGAGTCCCACTCAGTTGCCCAGGCTGGAGTGCAGTGGCGTGATTTCAGCTCACTGCAACCTTCGCCTCCCGGGTTCAAGCAATTCTCTTGCCTCAGCCTCCTGAGTAGCAGGGATTACAAGCACACAGTACCATGCCCGGCTAATTTTTTTTTTTTTTTTTTTTTTTTTGAGATGGAGTCTCGCTCTGATGCCCAGGATGGAGTGCAGTGGCGCCATCTGGGCTCACTGCAAGCTCCGCCTCCCGGGTTCACGCCATTCTCCTGCATCAGCCTCCTGAGTAGCTGGAATTATAGGCACACACCACCAAGCCCAGCTAATTTTTGTATTTTTAGTAGAGACTGGGTTTCACCGTGTTGGCCAGGCTGGTCTCAAACTCCTGACCTCAGGTGATCCGCCCGCCTCGATCTCCCAAAGTGCTGGAATTACAGGCTGAGTTACCGCGCCCAGCCTAACATTGTTACCATTTAAATGCTTTAACATTTGTACTCATGTTCCCTCTCTCTCTCTTTTTTCTTTCTACAACCCCCTAAACACACACACACACACACACACACAGATTTTCATGTCATTTGAAAGTAAGTTGCATATACCATTGTCCTAGTATTCCGGTGTGTATTGGCTGAAAATAGGGATATTCTTTTATATAATCACAGTAAAGTTATCAATGTAAGTAAATTTAATATTGTTGCAATACTTTAATCCATATTCCAATTTTATCTGTTAACCCAATAATATTCTTTTTTATAGGATTTTTTTCCCTCCAGTACAGATCCAGTCTAGAATCGTACATTAATTTGTCACGACCCTTTAATCTGAAATAGTTTTTCAGTCTCTTATGACACTAACATTTTTAAAGAATATAGTCATCTTCCTTTAAATGAAATGTTCCTCCCTTTGGGTTTGTTAGATGTTTTCTCATGTCTAGTCTCAGATAGTGTTCCTGATAGAAATCTGATGTAAGTGACGTTGAGTCCTTCTTGAGGTACCACATCTGGATGCACACAATAACCATTTGCCCCTCTTTGGTGATGATGCTTCTGATCACTTGGTTCAGCTGTTGTCCAATCTTTCCACTATGTATTTACTATATTTTCCCTGTATATTTAGTAAGCAATTTGTGGGGAGATACTTTTATGACTGTGCAAATATCATGCTTCTCATCCAAATTTTCCTCCTAGATTTAGCATCCACTGACATTTCTTGCCTGAACTAATCTTTCCCATGATGATTACAAAATGATAGTTTTCCAATTCCAACACTGTCTCCACAGTTGGCAATCAGCAGTCTACTGTAAACAAGAGCCTTTCCTAATCTATTTCTATATTAATTTATTCATTATCAGTTTGGTCTCACAGATTCCTATTTTTTCAATGACTTATAATTCATTACTGTTCCATGTTTGGCCTGTGACATTCCCTTCAAGTTGTCTCCTGTATCTACAGGACATTCCCCCAACATATTTTTGAGCACTTTCTTACCTTCTGCCATAAGAAGTCTCACAAGATTTAGCTTTGATAATCTGAATCATGCAATGTCATAAGACTAACATAAAATCTAATATAAAATCTGATAATTTTTTTCACATAAGGAGTCATTATCTAGTCCTCACTAAATTTATTACAGAGCTGCCTACGTGTCACCACCGAAAGGTACACTATCATCTGATAAATCTATTGTTGATACCTTAAGCTTATATCAGTTGACAGAAAAATTGGCTATAAATCATAGAAAAATTTAAAGTATTTTAATAAAACCTTATTTTGGAAATGTTTCAAGTTTTCTTTTGGTGGCCAAGTTTAAATGATATATTGCCCATTTTAAAAAATCTTCATAGAAATATCATTAAATAAAGTTTTGACAGTAGAGTCTCTCTGGGAAAGAATGCTTAACTAGTGGGTCTCAACATAGAAAAGTTTTCACTTTGTTTTTTTTATTTTGTCATATCAGGATACTTTAAACAATGTACTTGAGATTTCTTGAGAACTTTTGCCCTAGATATTTCTTTTTGCATTTCTATAATTCAACATCATACCAATATTTCATGTTAATTGTCAGATTCTTCCATCTGTGTCTGTTTATTTTACGCTGATGCTTTTCTTATCCTAACATGTTTTCCTGTCCACTTTGTCTACAAGAAAGAGAAATCAAAGTTATAGAGATCAGAGACCCTTGTCAGAGGTCTTATTTTAATGGACATATTTCTAGTGCCAAATTATTTGAATGGTATTTGGAGTCAATTCTTCAGTGAAATATATCTTCCCTGTGTGTATTACTCTTTTTAACTTAGTCATAGTACCTTGAATAATTTTCTTTTTCCTTTTTTTTTTTTTTGGAGACAGAGTCTAGCTCTGTTACTCAGGCTGGAGTGCAGTGGCACAATCTCGGCTCACTGCAACCTCCGCCTCCCAGGCTCAAGCAATTCTCCTGCCTCAGCCTCCTGAGTAGCTGGGATTACAGGCATGCACCACCATGCCTGGCTAATTTTTGTACTTTAGTAGAGACTGGGTTTCACCTGTTGGCCAGGCTGGTCTTGAACTCCTGACCTCAGGCAATCACCAGCCTCGGCCTCCCAAAGTGGTAGAATTACAGGCGTGAGCCACTGCGCCCAGCCAGTACCTGGAATAATTTCTAACTGCATCAAGATGAACGAACATGCAATAGTATGCTCTGTTAAAATGCAGTTTGATTCAGTCCCATGAATTCTAGTTTAAAAAATGTAGTTTAAAAAATCAATTCAGGAAATATTTATAGAGTACTTACATGCACTTGGCACTGTGCTGTTTTAGGACATCAAAAAAGTTCATATAATCTTCCTTCCCATTAAAAGCTTAAGTCTTTTGGGTAATATAAGACAATCACAAATGGTAGATATTAATACCTCTGAGATCCACTGGATTAGGTGTTAAAGTAAGGCTACTCCTTTGATAGGGCCATGCCTTAAAATCACTCTCAGAGAGTACTATTTATTTATTGTTGTATAACAAAGTATCCTGAAACTTAGCTGCTTAAAACAACAATTATTGTCTCACAGTTTATGAGGGTCAGAAATCCAGGAGTGACTTAGCTGTGGTTCTGGCCCAGGGCCTCTCTTGTGGTTGCAGTCATCTCATGGCTTAACTGGGGCCAGAGATCCACTTTCAAACACACTCATGTCATTCTGAGCAGGCCTCAGTTATTTCATGCCTGTTGGCTGGAAGCTTCAGTTCATCTGCATGTAGGGCTGCTCACAGCAGGGTAGCTTGCTTTCCCCCGAGTCATGATCCAAAAGGGAAAGAGAGAGTCCCAGCCTTTTTTATTACCAAATCTTGTAAGTAACATATTCTGTTGGTCACACAAACCAATACTGGTAAATGTGGAGGGGACTACACAAATGTGAAACCCAGGAGGTGGGATTTATTGGGAGCCATCTCAGAGGCTAGTTGTCAAACAGAGGCAGGTGAGCTTCACCTAGGATGCACTTCTGGTCATCTAAGGCAGCTGGAGAAGTCAGTTCCTGTGTGTCCGCTGAAAGCCTAACTATCTTATCTGCGGGCAGCTGGGCCATTTACAGTGGTCTGCCTGGGACCTGGGTGCAGGGCTGGGTGAGATGGCCTAAATTTTGAGAATCTTGAGGAGGTGTGGAACACTTGCATTAGCAGGAAGTTGGAAACAATAAGATTTGAACCATCTCTTTGATCTTGCTTCTCTCTAGCTACAAAGCCTTGTTTGTTTTGAGTCAGGGTTTCACTCTGTTGCCCAAGCAGGAGTGCAGTGGTGTGATCTTGGCTCACTGCAACCTCTGCCTCCGGGGTCCAAGCGATTCTCCTGCCTCAGCCTCCTGAGTAGCTGGGACTACAGGTGCTTCCTACCATACCCGGATAATTTTTGTATTTTTAGTAGAGATGGGTTTTGCTATGTTGGCCAGGCTGGTCTCGAACTCCTGGCCTAAAGTGATCTGCCAACCTCGGCCTCCTAAAGTGCTGGGATTACAGGCGCAAGCCACCCTGGCCGGCCTACATAGCCTTTAATAAACCTATTTCATCTCAGCATATTTATTGAACCCTGGTGATTTGTTTACTTAGTGGTGAACAAACAAACGATTTTGACCTTTATAAAATTTTCAATGTGGTAGATGAGATACACCTTAAAGAACTAATTTCACACTCATGTAGTTACAGTTGTGATAATAACAGGTTTGTGTTTTTCTTTGTTTGTTTTAAGTTCATGGAAAGTGTGAGCTCCTCTCCTTCCAGGCAGGGACAAAAGGTTGGTTTGGAGCAGATCTTCAGAGGCCTTATAGTTAAACTACTACAAAATTAATGGACAACAGTTTCCTTGGTTTTAGAATATAATAAGGCCTTTTTTGGTGGAGGAGGGGCATTGCTTGCAAACTGCTGCCTTCTTGATGTGGTAAGTTCAGAGAAGCCAAACATCATTTCATATTACTAGATCTTTAGGTTCTCAGCTATATCTTTCAGCATGTTGAACAATAGTATTTCTGGGAAGATATAAAACTATAGAAATTTGTTTCTGTTCAGGACACATAATTTCTGCTGCAGTCAGTAGGCACATTAAAATAGATTAATCTACAAAAGATAATGATGCTTGGGCAATTAGTATATTTGTTTTGTTTTGCTTCTGAGACAGGGTCTTGCTCTGTTGCCCAGGGTGGAGTGCAGTAGTGTGATCTCAGCTTACCACAGCCTTGACCTCCTGAACTCAAGCAATCCTCCCACCTCAGCCTCTCGAGTAGCTAGAACCACAGGTGCTTACCACCATACCTGGCTAATTTTTTTGAGATGAGTTTTGCCCTGTTGCCTAGACTGGTCTTGAACTCCTGAGCTCAAGCAACCTGCCTGCCTCGGCCTTCCAAAGTGCTGGGATTATAGGCGTGAGCCACCATGCCTGGCCCAATTAGTATATTTAATATTTGATTTGCTTCATATCCTCTAGTTTATTAATATTAAAAACAGTTGAAGTTTTAGTTTTTTTTAGGGCATTTAGTTCACATCGCTTTTAGGTTTATTGGGCACAGTTCTTGCCTGGCTTCTATGATTGTGTCTTTATGGTGTCTTGCCTTCTTTTGATAGCAACACCCTTTTCTTGTAAGTACATAGGAATGTTTCTACATCCTCAAATGAACATGCTTTTCCCATTTTTCTTGAAACACAAGATACTTAGTCTATCATTTCCTCATGTCTGAGAGAAATATATATAAAGAAGTAGTTCACTTTTCTCTTGAAAGGAAAATTAACAGTGAATCTTCAGTGATAATGGCAACTGACATTTGGCTTGGAGTTATGGAGGCAACGGGATAGTAGGGACTGTGGCAAACTGGAGGGTGCATGCCTTGTTTAAGAGAACAAGTGCTGATTGATTTCAGCCCATTGTTGCCATTTTGGAATGTAGGCCCAGCGGTAGAGGATCTTCCAGATTTTCAAGAGAAGCAACAACTCCGGATTTTCATGTGATGTCTTCTGACAGTTAAAGGTCAATCTTAAACAAACAAAAAACACTGTTTGGAACAAAGAAAATATCTGCAAGCTGAATTTGATGTGTAGGCTGCCCCAAATTATAATTGTATATGAGGAAGACAAAAACACGTACCTGAGGTTCCAACATGATGTGGTGGTTTGGGAAATATGGCTGTGTAAGTGAAGGTGAAACAAGTTTGGGATACCACCAAAGTCTGCCCAGATAAAAATCTCTTTATCTGGATTAATAAGAATGAGGCAGCTGCTGTTCACCAATTTTGCCAATCAAGCTGTTTGGAACTAGTTCTGTGTGGTGACTCATGTGAGAAGTGAAGCAGTGGTGGGCTATACAGACTCCAGCTGCTCTTGATTTGGAAGCACATGCATTTTGGACTGATTGAACTCCAGCATACCTGCATCATTGAGGGGGAGACCTCAAGAGGGAGATAGTGGACTTCCTTCTTAATGCTACTTGTGGGCTTTTGGGTAATTGGAAAGAGAGGAAACTATGTTTCTGAATGAGACTGTTGAAGAGGTCATAAAGATTACAAGTGATGTGAAGAGAGAAGGCACAACAGGAGGACTTGACCCAGTCTAGGGTCAGGAAGCCTCCCCATGAAAAGTAGATTTAAGCCGAGATCTGAAAGATAAGTAGTAGTTAACTAGGTAAAGGGCAGGAAAAGAGACCTCCAGGTAGAGAGTGGCACATGAGCTGGCCGTGAAGTGGGAAGAATCATTGAGCATTTGAGGAAAGCGACAATTTGCAGAAAGGCAGGGTGATTCTCATGAAGCTGGAGCCATGTTGTAAAGGACTATCAAGGCTATGTTGATGGTGTTGAACTTTAATCTCAGGATTAATAATGTTAAATAGAAGCGTGGCATGATCAAACTAATTTGTTAAGTAGACTTTTTGTTGATGTATAATACATGTAGAGAAAAGAGCATACATCAAATGTGCAGCTTGATTTTCACCAAGTGAACATCCCATGTAACCAGTACCCGGATCAAGGGCGGAAGCCCCAGAGCCCCAGAATGCCCTCTTCTAGTCATTATCTCTCCTCAGGATGATCAGTATCTTGACTTCCAACATCACAAATTGATTTTGCCTAATTTTGAACTTTATACATATGAAATTATTAAAGTGTATTTCTTTGTGTTTGATTTACTTCACTCAATATGTTTGTGAGATTTGATTCAGCCATGTTGCTGCACATGGTTGTACCTCCTTCTACTTTCTACCACATAGAATTCTAGTGCACCCCCTCTATTGTTATGGGCACTTGAGTGTACCATTTAATGCTATTAAAGTAAGGGCCAGGAGTGGTGGCTCATGGCTGGGCTTGGTGGCTCACGCCTGTAATCCCAGCACTTTGGGAGGCCAAGGCAGGTGGATCACTTAAGGTCAGGAGTTTGAGGACAGCCTGAACAACAAACACAGTGAAACCCTGTCTCTACTAAAAATAGAAAAAAATTTAGCTGGGTGTGATGGTGTGTGGTGGTAGTCCTAGCTACTCATGAGGCTGAGGCAGGAGAATCGCTTGAACCCAGGAGGTGAAGGTTGCAGTGAGCTGAGATGGTGCCACTGCACCCCAGCATAGGCAACAGAGTGAGACCCTGTCTAAAAAAAAAAAAAAAAAAAAGGCTGCAGGATATTCTGCAGGATAAATATGCTTTTTTGCCTTTCTGGTGAAATATATATATATGGGTTTCTGTTGAGTACAGTTAATGTAAAAAGGTCATTGCAGCTTCTGTGAAAGAATGAAATGGAGGGAAGGAAGGCAAGAGTAGATGTGAGAGGCATGGTGAATCTATTGGAATACTCTAGGTACTGAGGTGACAGTGACCTGAACTGTCTAAGGTTTTAGCAGTGAAGATGACAACGTGATGGATCGTGGAGCTATTTAGGAGCATTGTCAGGTCTTAGGTACTGATTGGAATCTAGGGGATGAAAGACAGGCAAATGTGAATAAAACCTCAAAGATTTCTGACTTGTTCATTGTAGAAATTGATAATTTAGTCATTACTAGGATGTTCTGGTTTTACTGACTTGGAACCCATTTGTGGAAGTGTATGAGTTATCACTGATTCAGTTCAGAACTTTTAATTTAAAAAAGCAATGATTTTAGAAAGTCAACTAAAACAAAGTCTAATTATTTGGATACAATTTTTACAAAAACATGATTACTGTAATCTTAAGCTTAAAGAATCATATTATTTTAAATGTATTCTTTAGTGATATTCCAATTAAAACAGTATTCAAATAAAAACATGTAAGGAGATAGGAACTAGATTTCTATTCCTAAGATAATTCAAGCATTTTCATTTTTGTCATGGCTTCATAGAGATTGAATTATACCACTTGATGGCTGGATATTATATAAAATGAATTGTTTTCAATTCAATTTCTTATAGACCAATGCCTTCATCCCCCAAATTGCCATTGCAATAGCTACCTTACTGGCAGTTTTAGCAAGCAGGGGCTGAAGCTGAATGGGCAGAAACTCAACCCAGTGATTTGTCCCTGGGTGTGGATTCATGGATACAGGTTGAGATGCTTAAGTAGAAAGCAATGTGGGAACTTCTACTACCTCAGTTGTTAAAAAAAAGGATTTTGGGGCCGGGCGCTGTGGCTCATGCCTGTAATCCCAGCACTTTGGGAGGCCGAGGTGGGCGGATCACGAGGTCAGGAGATTGAGACCACGGTGAAACCCCGTCTCTAATAAAAATACAAAAAATTAGCTGGGTGCTGTGGCGGGCGCCTGTAATCCCAGCTACTCGGGAGGCTGAGGCAGGAGAATGGCGTGAACCCGGAAAGTGGAGCTTGCAGTGAGCCGAGATCGCACCACTGCACTCCAGCCTGGGCGACAGAGCGAGACTTTGTCTCAAAAAAAAAAAAAGGATTTTGTTTTTACAGCACCAAACTACATTTGGTCCTTCACTAAAACTCAGGTTAATAAGAAATGATGTGTTGCAAAAGATTCCTTGAATCCCATTTAATTGTGATCAAATTTCTTATTTTCATTTCTCTTTTTAAATAATAATAGTCTAGAAAAAGAAAATAGCTAAATTTAAATCCAGATGTAAGCAGTGTCTTAGATAGCAATGCTTTTATTCCTTTATTATAATATTGTCATTGAAAAAATTCTAATATTTCTCATCTTTAAGTCCTACTGCTAGTTGTGGGTTAATTAATTCCATGCCATATGTTGTTTTTCTTCAATTTCATTAGTAATCTGCTTTTTCATCTATGACACATCACTTCTGGCCCTTACTTTGTCCCAGAGAACTCTCTGCACCATTCTCTATGTTTTTTTGCCACTAACGTGACCCACTGGACAGAGTGCTGGGAGCAAAGAAAGACATGACTTATGGAAAATATGATCTGTGTCCTCATGTTCTCCAGTTTTAAATATACTTCATGTGGAAAATAAAAATAGTTTTTTGAAATGATTTATGTTGTATTCATTTGGCCTGACAAAATGTCCAATTTGCTATTGTTGTAGGTGTGATACAAGTTCACGCTCTACTCCAGGGTTGCAAAGAGGAAAGAGCATCAGAGTAAAATGCAGAAAACCTAAGTATTAATTCCAAGTGTGTCCGACTTCCTAACTGTGTAATCTTTTGACAGTTCTTAAAGTCTCTTTAAGCCTTGGTTTTCCCATCTATAAAATCAGGATAGTAATATCTATCCTACTGACTTGATGGAGTTGTGAACATCAAATAAGATACTGAGAAGTGTTTGAAAAACTGAAATAAGCTATATGAATGTACCATGAAATTGATTTGTTATATTAGTTAGTTGGATTAGGAAATTTATTGTTTTCACTGCTTATAACAGAGATGCAAATTAACAATGGCTTGAAAAATATTGAATTTTATGTCTCTCTCATCAAAATGTATGATCTTCACAGTCATAGAGGAGTCAGTCTTGACCTTATCTTGCTCTTCCATCTGTATGGTTTTGTTCTGATTTTTGAGGTCTAAGGTGGTACATCACTCTGTCCAAATTTTAG
This sequence comes from Homo sapiens, assembly GCF_000001405.40. Lineage (NCBI taxonomy): Eukaryota > Metazoa > Chordata > Mammalia > Primates > Hominidae > Homo > Homo sapiens. Next base: position 193,289,497 of record NC_000001.11, read on the forward strand.
CCAGTAGTGGCAAGAGAAATAGAAGCGGACATCCTTTCTCTTTCACAGGCATACATCGCTTCTTCTCATGTAGACATTATTACCAAAGGAAAAGGGGAAAACAGATATTTGGGTAGATCTCTAAATCTCTGCTACATAAATTGAGAAGAGTAAAAATAGGACTAAACTTGAAAAGGTGTATTTTAGGATAGCATGATCACATATATAATTTCTAATTTATCTGTAGCCACATTAAAATAGTAAAGAAAGGAAAAGTTAATGTTAATAATGTATTTTATTTAACTCAATCTATCCAAAAATATTATTTCAACATGTGATCCACATAGAAATTATTAATATAATATTTTACATTCTTTTGGGGGGTACTAAGTCTTTGATTCCAAATATGCAATATTCAGCTACATCATGTCTTAATTTAGATGAAACACTTTAAATGTTCCATAGCCACATGTGTCTAGTGGCTACTGTATTGGACAATACAGCTCCAGAAAAAAGCATTGACAAATACTAGATGACAGCAATGGAAGAGAAGAAACCTGCAATATTTCATGCTGTTTTTACATTTCATGAAATTTTCTGTTTGTTTATTCACTCAACAAATATTTCTTATGTATCTACTATATTCCCCACCATACTAGGCACTGGGAATGTAGCAGTGAACAAAACAAACAAAGTTTCTGTGCTAATGGAGCATATATCCTAGTAGGGGAGAGTCAGGCAATAAACAAATAAGTAAATATTTAGCGTTTCAGATGATAATAAGTGAAGAATAATATGGAGAAGGACAAAGCAGCGTAATAAATTAAGTGAAGGAAGGTCCATAGACATCTGGAAGAAAATTGTTCCAAGCAGGAAGAACAGCAAGGGCAAAGGCTCTGAGGCAAAGAGTGCTTGGAAATATGTAAGAAGGCTAATGTGGATAGGGCAGAACCAGAGAGAGGGAGAGTACAGGAGATGAAATCAGAGAGGGAGTAGGGAAATATGTTTTAAAAGGATGACTAGCTGCTCTGTTGAGAGTACACAGATAGAAGGGAGATCAGAAAGGAGGCTCTTGAAGCAATTTTGTCAAGTAATCCTGTTGCGGAAGTGATAAGAAAATGGTAGGATTCTGGATGTGTTTTGAAGTTAAAGTAGAATTTGTTAATGGTTTGTGAAAGAAAAAGGGAAGTCAAGAATACCTACAGGTTTTTGGTTAGAGAACTTAGAATATATAGTTACCTTTTATTGAAATGATAATGACTGTGGATGAGCAAGTTTATGGCTGGTTTGTGTGGGCAGGGCCAGCAGAGGCAGGAAGAGTTCAGTTTTAGATTTGCTAGATTTGCACTGTCTATTAGACACCCAAGTGGAGATGGCAAGCAGACAGTTGGTTATCTGAGGCTAGAGCTCAAGAGAGAGGCTGATCTCCAGCCCTAGAGGGATCAGGGCTGGAGGCATCACTGTATGTGTTTAAAGCTATCAAACTGGAAGATGATAGATGAGATCATTAGGAGATAATATAAGGGAAGAGGTGCAAGGACTGTACCCTGAGGCACTCTAATGTTTCTAGGTTGTGCTGTTGAAACGGAATCAGTAAAAGGGCAGAGAAGCAAGTGGGGTAAGAAAAGAACTAAGAGAGCATTGAGTACCAGAAGCCAGCAAAGAGAGTTTCAAAAAGTGATGTGATCGACTTTGATAGTGTGTACGAAGAGGGTGAAAGATCAGTATTGAATTTTGTAACATGGAAATTATTTATGGCCTTGACAAAAGTTGTTGAGTTATTGGATATTGGCTGGTTCAAGAATGCTGTTTCAAACAGTTCAAACTGCAATGAGTGTCCTGATATGTATTTGGTCAACCATTGAGTTTCCTTAGGACCCACTAATAAGTTGAATCACTGGATGAAAGGATATATGTACATGTTGTCACTGAGAAACATTTTAGAAAGATCACGTCATAGGTCATCATATCATAGGTAAGGGTATATATATATAGTTTTTCCCCCTTTTTTGACTACCTTGTTTCCTGCCCTCTCCTTCCACAAATATCTGTTGCTCCCTGCCCCAAGGTAAGCCATATTAAAAAGTTAGTATGTACTCTTTCCTGTTTATAATAGAAAATTAGAAACAGCAGAAAGAGTAAATATGATATATTCATTCTTTGGAGTAGTATGTGGTTATTCAGATTATGTAGACAAATAAATATTCCGTATATTCAAAGTGTGCAATGTAATGATGTGATACTCAAACATGTTATGAAATGATTATAACAATCAAGTTAATTAACACATCCATCACCATGCATATTGTGTGTGTACATGTGTGTGTGTTTGCGTGGTGAGCATACCTAACCTCTATTCTTAGCAAATTTCAAGTAATTACAAGTATTCAAATTTCAAGTAATTACAGTATTATTAACTATAGTCAGCATGCTATACATTAGATCCCTAGAACTTATTCATTTTGTATCTGAAATTTTGTACCCTTTGGCTAATATTATACCTCAATAAAGCTGGGGAAAAAAGATGATGCTAAAGAAAATATTTAATGGCATAGAAATTTTATATGTTATGGTGAATGAAAGGCAAATTATGAAACAGTACTTGTTAGAAATTTATTTAAAAATTGGAAAGATAAATAGTGGCTACTGTATTGGACAATATAATTTTTAAGTGATTATATTTGGATTGCAGAATTCTGAATTTTAATTTTCTTCATTGAGCTTATTTACATTTTCAGCATTTCTGTGTGAACACATACAACATTTGTAGTCAGAGAAAAAATCTTGAAAAAATATTAATTCTGTGAAAGAGGAAATAAAGTATAGTTCAGAATAAGGTAAGGGACTATTACATCATTAGTGAGTCAAATAGGGGGATGTCCTGCATCTGTGATTCTAGCTTCTTGGAATCTCTTAATGAAGTTTTCAAAGTCTTGCCTAAAATTTTTATTTGCCACGATGTTTCCCAATAAGACCACTTTACCTATGGAAGCATCAAGGAAAATTATTTTCTAATTTGTTTCATTTTATGACATGTTCTTACTTGTGAAAAGGAAGATTCCAAGGGAAGATAAAGATGGGCCAAGTAAAACGTTTGGGATTAATTCATAGATTATCAGACACAATGACATGAGTTCTAAATACTGTTTATTCCAAGATTTTTGCATGCAATATATTTTACAAGTGAAATATGCAATGCACATAAAATGAAACCAATATGATAAGAAATTGTTGATATTTTGCTTTGGCATAACTTTGGTCTACTTCATTCATTGAATCATTCAGTCCATCAGCCCTTGACTTACTTTTCCTTGTATCCTCAGCCCCTCACCTGTGCCAATCACTCTAATAATCCCTAGAAAAACAAAGATGAACAAGATTTTCCTTGCCCTAAAGAAGCTGGTAGAGAATTATTAAACAATATACAACAACAGTGAGAGAGATATACACAGAGTATTTAAGGTGGGACAGGAAAATCTGTAAAGGCTTCTTGGAGGAAATATCAGCTTTAGTCTCAAAGGGTAACTCGAAATTACTCTTGAAACTACAAGAGAGAAGGTCATTTCAGGCAAAGAAGAGAGAGAATTACCTTTTGAACTACTTTAGATTTAGGAAAAAAGAAATTGCTAAGCAGTTGGGTATTTGCACAGAGAAGTAATTTATGACTTCCCTCAGTATTGAAATCACATGAATTTATAGTACTATAGACAAAAATGGAGGCAGAAAGTTACTGTTCAAAAGTTATAGGTTTTGAGATGTGCTTTTTATTAATATATTTTATATATTTTTCTTCCTTTTGCTTTATGTACAGAATAGAGCTTTCTAGACCATTTCAGATATAGTTTAATAATAATAAATATTTATTGAGTGCTTACTACATGCAGGCTCTGTTCTGAGTAAAAGTATTAAGTAATTTAATCCCCATGATGAGATACGTGAGACACAGTCCAGCCATATAGTTTGTTCAAGGTCATCTATTAAGTAGAAAATCTAGAATTAGAACCATCAGGGAATTTTACTGCTGGCTGTCATTGACTGTCTTTATTAAAGTTCCCATGAAGAATAATAGAACATGATTCTAAAAGTATTAAAACATTGAGTTTTAATCTTCCTCTGTGTGATACTTTTGCCATTCATCTTTTCTGACAATGATAAATACATGGATAAAGCTTGATTGGGAAGGAAGTCTTCCGGTGGAAAAAAATTGAAGAAAAAGTACTTTCAAATTAATTTTGAAGTAGCATTTGAGAGAAGCTGAGAGGGGAGCCATCTCTTAGCACAATGCTCCTCAAACTGCCTGTCAAAAACTTCTAAAAGGGCTGTGTGGGGGTGGGCAGAGGAGACAGCGTAAAATCCATGGTCACTCTAACTTTTACAAGATAAGAAATGGATTTTGAGAGCTACAGCATATCAGATGCTTGTCAAAATATCAGCCCAAGAGGGAGGTTGCCAAGAAGGAACTTGACAGACTGTAAGCTGTAAGGAGCATGTGAACTAGATATTGTCATGCACGAGCATGCAGACAATTACAACAGAGGCTAAAACAAAGTGTTTCACTTGAAAAAAGCCCATGTGAAAAACCAACCAACCAACCAGCATGTGTCTTCACAGTACAGATCCCCAAAGGAAATAATGCTATCAAATATTAGACACCAATCAAACTGAATTCAGGAGAAGTTCTAAGTCATGTTACAAATTATTAGAAATAACATTTAGCCTAAATCCTATTTTGCTGCATCAGTTTGACATGGGTTTTAATTCGCTTCAAAAGACTTCAGTTTAGTTAAGAAAAAAGTGCATGGCTATAAAGGTTTACAGTCCCTCATCTGCAATTCTGAAATGTAAAATCCTCGGTGAACTGAACGTTTTTCATAAGTTTGGCACCAAAGTGCCCTTGGGTATGAAATCTGACCTGAACTGAAACGAGGTGATATATAAATATATATATCACTTAGTGTGAATATTCATATGTTTTGCTGCAAAAATCTTAATATGTTTCATTCTAGACTCCAATGTGGGCATTATATACTAAAGAGTATATGTATATGTACCGTATCACTTTTCTAAACTTAAAAAAAAATCTGAATTCCCAAATGCATCTGGTCCCAAGGCTTTCCAGTGAAGGATTGTGAACCTATATTGGCAAAGTGAATGAACAATAGACTTCCAAACTTCCAATTTCTAATTTAGATTATTTTCATGTTATATACCCTTAGTTGCTTTGGGAAGAAACATTATTTTTCAAGAGTTAAGGCCGGGCGCGGTGGTTCATGCCTGTAATCCCAGCACTTTGGGAGGCTGAGGTGGGCAGATCATGAGGTCAAGAGAGTATGACCATCCTGGTCAACTTGGTGAAACTTTGTCTCTACTAAAAATACAAAAATTAGCCAGGTGTGGTGGTGGGCACCTGTAGTCCTAGCTACTTGGGAGGCTGAGGCAGGAGCTTGAACCCAGGAGGCGGAGGTTGCAGTGAGCCAAGATCGTGCCACTGCACTCCAGGCTGGTGACAGAGCGAGTCTCCCTCTCAAAAAAAAAAAAAAAAAAAAAAAAGTTAAGACTTTATGGGGCAGCCAATATGCAATATTTATGGATCATTCATATTAATAGTGATGAGATAAAGTGCTGAACATTTTTGAAATATTATTTCAAAGAAAATTTGGCTTTTTTTTTGAGCATGTGAAGCTCTTCTGCAGAAGGAAGTTGAGTCGAAGCTAAGATGGTCTTCAAATGTTCAGTGGAATAGGTAACAAATGATTAGATACCTGTTAAAACAAATTTCTCAAACACAGATTTGAGGGCAAAGTTTAACCCTCAAAAAGGAAACCACTAGGCTGGGTGTGGTGGCTCACACCTGTAATCCCAGCACTTTGGGAGGCCGAGGAAGGTGGATCACATGAGGTCAGGAGTTCAGACCTTGGCAAACATGATGAAATCCTGTCTCTACTAAAAATACAAAAATTTAGTCAGGCATGGTGGTGGTCACCTGTAATCCCAGCTACTTGGGAGGCTGATGCAGGAGAATTGCCTGAACCCAGGAGGTGGAGGTTGCAGTGAGCTGAGATTGTGCCACTACACTCCAGCCTGGGCAACAAGAACAAAAAAAAAAAAAAAAAAAAAAAAAAAGGAAACCACTAGAAATACAGAAAAAAGAGAAAAACTATTTCAAAAGGTGTTTCAGCAATAGGTGTATACAGAGTTATCTGGGAAAAAAATAGCCTAATTGTTAAATTGCACACAAGATGATTGCTTCTAACAGATCTAATAAGCTATGATACCTTAAATATTAAGTTTCTTTAGGACTATAAAATTATATTAAATGTTTGTATAAGTTAAGCAGCCATTAACCTTGAGGGCTGTAATACCATTGTATACTTTACCCATTTTAGATTGTAGGTCAAATATATCAAGAAAAGGAATATAATTGTGAACTATGAACTCTCATATGGTACAAAAGACTTGTCCCAACACTGTGCTAAAAGATCTGACCAAACTTTAGTGTGGCTTCCACTTGCACTAGGCCACATTCATAAGGGTGATTCTAACTCCCATGCCTAGTTTCTACTCAAGAAAACACACTATTGCCAAACTGCAAAGTATACATTGTTCCAACACACCTTGACAAACCATTTTCAGTAATTCTCCACTTACCTTCCTTCTGTAATTTTCATTTCTCCCTAGTTCCCCAGTCCCTTTTCTTGTTCCCCGCTTTTCACTTCCTCATAACCCCTTTTTGTTCTCTTTTTGTTCTCTCTTTAATAACCTTGGTCACCTTTGTCTTAGTTGGAGCTGAGCTCAGTTTATATTGGAGTTTCTCTCCTCTTTTGCAGTAGTCTTCATAAAATCTGTCTTGCTACCTTTAACAAGTGTCTGGCAATGTTTTTCTTTGACACTGGTTTCTGGTTCAGCATGTAAGGAGCTTGGAAGTCATCACTCTGTCCTAACAAGTAAAAGGTCAAACAAATGGAAAATCAATAACTTCTTAGATCTGTTCAAGAATCAAGGTCATAATGCAAACTGTTGACTCAAACACTGGAGAGACAGATAGGTGGATACTGAGAATCACAACTTAATTGAAGCAGAAACCTTTGTATGAACCATTGCCAGAGTCGGAAAACCTGAACTGTGATTGATAAATTGCTAGAGGCTCAGTGTGGACAAGTCTAAGAGTTAAAAACACCATGGCGACCTAGTCATAGGGAGGCCCCAGACTTGTGAGTTTTACCTCTAGGAGCTCTGCTAGGTAAGGATTGAAGAAAAATCCCCTTGTGTTTCAAGAAGAAAAGAAAGGTAGTCATTTTGAAATATGCCCAGAGCATTCTGTTCTTCTTAACAAGGCCTGCTTTCAAGAGACAATATTTTACCCCTGCAAAGCCTAACCTCTTGGGGTTTTATTAGAGCCTAACCAACCCAGGGGAAAGGAAATACCCAACTCCACTCTGCTCTAGCCTTCCATGTAGGGAAAGAAAATAGCCAACTCCAGTCCCCTTCAGCTTTCTTGTCTTACCTAAGGGGGGGTTGGGAAACTGAGAAGCACTTGTGAAGTTTACAGTTTACAGGTACAAGCTCACTAAGACTGAGACCTACTCATAGACTATGGAATGCTACCCCTTTCTCCACACTTTACCACCACATCATTAACGGCCTATTTACCATAGTACCTTTTTCTCCAGTGCATCATGTCTAGCTTATAAAAAGTAATTACAATGCATATTGAAGGACAAACCTCCCACAGTTTAAAGAGACTGAGCAAGGATCAGAGCCAGACTCAGATATGACAGGGATATGGGAATTATCAGATTGCAAAGTTAAAACAATTATATTATTAATATGCTTCATGTACTTTAAATACTTTCATGGAAAAAGTAGAAAACATGCAAGAACAGATGGGTAATACAAACAATGAGATGGAAATTCTAAGAATCAAAAAGAAATGCTAGAAATAAAAACACTGTATTAGAAATAAGGAATATATTTGATGGGTTTAGCAGCAAAATGATCTTCGACAAAGGGGCAAGGTAATTCAATGGGGAAAAGATAAAGTCTTTTCAATAAATGGTGCTGGAACAACTGGATATCCACATGCAAAAACGAATCTGATTATAGACATTACACCCTTTGTAAAAATTAACTCAAAATATATCATAGACCTAAATGTAAAACACAAAACTATAAAACTTCTGGAAGATAACATAATATCTAGATAACCTTGGGTTTGGCAGTGACTTTTTAGATACAATACCAAAGACATAATCCATGAAATAAAGAATTAATTAGTTGGACTTTATTGAAATTAAAAACTTTTGTTCTATGAAAAGCACTGTCAAAAGAACAAGAAGATAAGCTGCAGACTGAGAGAAAGTATTTTCAAAATACAAAGTATTCAGTGAACTAAATTGGATAATAAATAACTGAATTTAAATAAGTCAAAGACCTTAACAGATACCTCATCAATGAAGATATGCAGATGGCAAATAAGCATATGAAAAGATACTCCACATAATATATCATCAGGGAAATGCAAATTAAAACAACAAAGTGGTATCACTACATACGTACCAGAATAGCTAAAATCGAGAACACTGACAGTGCCCAGTGCTGGTGAGGATATAGAGCAACAGGAACTCTCATTTATTACTGATGGGAATGCAAAGTGCTACAGCCAGTTTGGAAGACAGTTTGGCAGTTTAAAAAAAAAATGAAATACACTCTTACCATATGATCCAGTATGAAGTTATTTCTAGGTCTTAACTAGATATTAAAGGCTCACACCTGTAATCCCAGCACTTTGGGAGGCCAAGGTCGGCAGGTAGCTTGAGTCCAGGAGCTCAAGACCAGCTGGGCAACATGGAGAAACCCATCTCTACAAAAAATACAAAAAATTGCCCGGCATCATGGCATGTGCCTGTAGTCCCAGCTACTTGGGAGGCTGAGGTGGGAGGACCGATTGAGCTGGGGAGTTCAAAGCTTCACTGAGTCTTGATAGTGCCACTGCACTCCAGCCTGGGCTACAGAGCAAGACCCTGTCTCAAAAAAAAAAAAAAAACCTCAGTTTTTTAGTGGCCCTAGTCCCTGGCCTGTGACCTTCAGAAATGTTTCTCAGCGTTTTTCTTTCTTTCTTTCTCTCTTTCTTTCTCTCTTTCTTTCTTTCTTTTCTTTCTCTCTCTCTCTCTCTCTCTCTCTCTCTCTCTCCCTCCCTCCCTCTCTCTCTCTCTCTCTCTCTCTCTCTCTCTCCCTCTCTCCTCTCTCTCTTTCTTTCTTTTTTTTTGAGGTGGTGTTTTGCTTTTGTTGCCCAGGCTGGAGTGCAATGGTGCAACTCGGCTCACTGCTACCTCTGCCTCCTAGGTTCAAACAATTCTCCTGCCTCAGCCTCCCAAGCTGGGATTACAGGTGTGCACCACCATGCCCAGCTAATTTTGCATTTTTAGTAGAGACGGGGTTTCTCCATGTTGGTCAGGCTGGTCTCGAACTCCCGACCTCAGGTGATCCGCCTGCCTCAGCCTCCCAAAGTGCTGGAATTACAGGCGTGAGCCACCACGCCCAGCCATCATTTTTATTTCTACCCTTTGGTGAAACAGGAAAATAAGGCCCTCACATAAGGCTCTGATGAAGTAATTTCTTTTGGACAGCAAGATTTTATTGTGGAGAATGCTCTGAATTTATTAAAAATGGTGACTTTCTCCCTTGCCTTGCTTGAAACAAGAGGGTTTTGTTTTTGTTTTTGTTTTCCCTCAGAGCTTCACTGTTAGAACCTGTTGAAGTTTGAGGAAGTAAAACCCACGAAACACTGGCCACTCAGGTGTTTCTCACTCTTAAAACAAAATTTCAGCAATTTGTTAAAATTACCAATCAGCTGTTACTACTAGTTTATGGCTCCAGGGGCTTCTACTACAGGTAAGCTGATGTCTGTTATTCTTTGTGTTTGATTGTCTCTCCAGATTTCTGGGTGGTGTTTCCCTATAAACTTATTTCTTTAATTGATTTAAGAAAAGTCACTGATTCTCAGTTTGTTCAGCTTTTTTTTTTTTTTTTCTTGTAAAGACAGAAGTGATGATTTCTAAGCTCTTTTCATGTTGGAGGTGAATTTGGAAGTCCTCTGTTACATTTTTAAAAACATAACATGCAAATAGTTATTTCCTGGTGGAGCCATTTCAGTTAAATAGCAGAGTATGAGAATTTTAAAAAGGCTGATTGGGGTAAAGTGATGCTGAGAAGATGTTACTCTTTCGTTGCATTAAAGAGTCTACTTAACGATCAGGAATGGTGGCTCACGCCTGTAATTCCAACACTTTGGGAGGCCGAGGTGGGTGGATCACAAGATCAAGAGATTGAGACCATCCTGGCCAACATGGTGAAACCCTATCTCTACTAAAAATACAAAAATTAGCTGGGCATGATGGCATGTGCCTATAGTCCCATCAACTCGGGAGACTGAGGCAGGAGAATCGCTTGAACCTGGGAGGTGGAGGTTGCAGTGAGCCGAGATTGCACTACTGCACTCCAGCCTGGGCGATAGAGTGAGATTCTGTCTCAAAAAAAAAAAAAAAAAAGAGTCTACTTAAAGTAGAAATAAAACTGAGACAGTCATGCCCATTTGTTTGCATATTTTGTATGACTGCTTGGAGTTTTGAAAGCAGAGTTCAGTAGTTGCAGCAGAGATCATATGGGCTGCAAAGCAAAAAACAATTTACTATCTTACCCTTTACAGAAAAAGTTCAGACCCCTAGTTTAAATGATAAAACCATGCTTTTTAAAGTATCAGACTAAGCACACAACCCACCTAAGCAATCTTCCCTAAGCAGTTCTTTTCAAATTTTTATGACATTATTTTTGTTATAACAATTACCAAAGGCATAGTTACCTATGTTTTACACTTTTCTCTTACCAAGCAAAGTTGTTATGTTGTGCTTTTTAAATTTCATTTTTTTCCCTCTTTCAATCCTTTCTACTTGAAAACTCATCTACTAAACTAGTTAAATAAAATACTAGAATTCGATGTCAAGCCCATAGCTCCTCTTAAATTTCTACTGACAATAAATTGCATTTGTGTTATGACATTCCTCATAATAGCCAAGTGTTAGAACAGCAGATAAAATATCAGAAGACATCAAATAAACAGCTTTATGTAGAAAAATCCCGAAGTATTCCTTTAAGTTCAGGAGGTGAATGGATATTCTAGATAATGAAGCAACATTTCAGAAAGGTGTTTTTTTTTTGTCTTTCTTCTAAAATAAGTACCCACTTTATGAGTTTAAATGATCCTATACAATTATCTTGAACAAAATATTTTATTTTAAAGGCTAGAAACTTTCCTCCACTTACACATTAATTTTATTGTTGCCATTTAATATGCCTGGAAATTTAAAATTAAGAATGTTAATACAATTATATCCTAAGAAATAATTGAGTTGTAATACATCAGCCTCTTCAAAAATTTTCTATCAAATGAGAATCAGTTGGAACAACTAAATGCTTAAGTGCTCTTGATTAATGTTTAAGAATCTCTGTGACTACATTTAAATATATGTGTATTATGAAAACATTATATGAAATCAGCTCTGATTTGAAATAAAGATTTGGGGAAGGGCACTTATGCCTCCACTTTCACCTTATATTATAGTATAACAAAAAGGTAGCTTTTTGGTGGAAAATGTAGACCATTAGAACCATGTGATAAAATTTAAACCCACTGATTATTTGCATGGCCTCCAAATTGAATTTGATTTAATTATAATATTCATGTATTTTGGAAGTGATTTAAAATCATTTTATATATGTACACGTATAATTATATATGTGTACATATATTATATATAAAATTATTTTTATATGTACACATCAGATATTCAACTATTTTAGTGCAGATAATTCTGGGTATTATATAAGTTAATGAGACATATTTTCTGCCATCAAGGAGCTTATAATCTTTGGAAAAAGATAAAGTATATATAAAAATAATCATTCCCTCATTCAACAAATATTTAGTCTGTTACTTGCTATATACTTGGCACTGTCTGTGACTGAGGCCTGAGGAAGGCAACAGTACACAACGTAATCCTGCCTTCGTGGTATGTAATATACAAAAACCTGAATAAAAAAAGTTGTAGGAGAAGAAACAAATATGCTAAGAAAAATTAAAGTAGAAAAAAATAAATTGTGGCTGATAGCGCAGGAGTCGGGGCTAGAAATACTTCATGGAAGATGAGGCCAATGAAATGGACCCCAAAGGATGGTGGAACTTAACACATAAACAAATGCCTTCCTGATGACTGAAAAATTTCACCTCTAGGTATATACTCTAAGAAAAGAAAGCATATATTCACAAAAAGACTCACAAGAATATTCATATTTGCTTTATCCATAGTAGCTCAAATCTGGGCACAATCCTAAGATTAATGAAGAAGGGAATAGGTAAGTAATTTGTGTTATGTCTACACAATAAAAGTAAATGAGCTACTGGTACATGCACTATAAACATGTGGAATGTTTATGGATGAATCTCATAAACGTGTTAAACAAGTCAGACACAAAAGAGTGCACACCGAATGATTTCATTTGTATGAAATTCTAGAACAGACAAAGCTGATCTACAGTGATAGAAATCAGAATATTTTTTACCTCAATGTATAGTGGTAAATTATCTGGAAAGGGGGCATGAGAGAAGTTTCTAGAGTGATGAAAATGTTCTATATCTTTATCTGGATGATAATTATATAGATGTGAATAGGTGTACATGTTTGCCAAAATTCATAGAGCATTTATGCATTTTACTACACGTAAGTTGCGCTTCAGTAAGATTCTCCTAGTATAAAAAAGAACAGCAAGTGGTCCATTTGGTTGGAGTTTTGGACCTATAACAACATAGAGATTTTAATATAAGAATAGAAACTGTAATAAGGAACATGAAAGCAATTATTTTTACTTGTTCCTGTTTTATATGAAATAAAGTAAGAGGCAATATAAACTGCTGAAAGGAGCAGAAGTTGAAAAGTTAAGCAGAGAGAAAAGTTAGGAAGAGCTGACTATGGAAGGGGATTATGACAAGCTGGTAAAATCAACTCTTTATTTCATTTTCTATGGTGTTTCAATGGGATTCATGTTAGTTTAAACAAGGCATGTAGACTGATGTGCTCAGTTGACTAGATCATGGGGAGAAATGAGTCCCATTGATGCAAAGACTTGACTTGAAGAAAAACAAACTAGCAGATAAATAAATCATGGACCATTTGACAAGAGCTCCTTGTGTTGTTGCTTAATGTTCTTCCTAGATATAAATCAAATTTCATTGCACTTGGTGACTTTTCTTCATTGATTATAGTGTGGAGTTGGTCTTATTTCTACTTACTGTGTTTTATTTTCTCATTTTTCAACTGGTTTCAGAGAAGAAAGTGGAGCAGAAATAAATGCGTTTACTCCTTCATTTTTAATGAGAAGTCTCCAGAAGTAATTTTTATATTAGCATTTTCTCAGTGCAGGGTGCAGAAGCATGTTGGAGCTACTTATGATATCAATTCATGCTAGTACTGCTTATGGCGAATGTTCCTGATGTGCCTTCTTTAAAATGTTAAGGAGACACCTGAAATGCCAAATTTGGAGCTAAGGAGACACCTGAAATGCCAAATTTGGAGCTAAGGAGACACCTGAAATGCCAAATTTGGAGCTGAATAGATCTGTGTGTCTGTATCAGTCTTCTGAGACTGCCCATAACAAAACACCATAGACTGGGTGGCTTAACCAGCAAACATTTATTTCTCACAGTTCTCAAGACTGGAAGACTGAGCTCGGGGTGCCAGCCTGGTTGTTTAGGTTCTCTTTGACTTACAGAGGGTCTTCTTTAAATTTTTATTTATTTATTTTTCTGTATCCTGCATAGTGAAGAGAGAGAGAAAGACACAGAGAGAGGACAAACTCTCTGGTCTCTTCCTGTAAGGGCACTAATCCCATCATGAGAAGTCCACCCTCATGACCTCATTGAAACCAAATTACCTCCGAAAGCCACCATCTCCAAATATCATCACATTAGAGATTAGGGCTTCAACATGTGAATTTTAGGGGGAGGCAAACATCTAGTCCATAACAGTAGTCTTCAGTACGTTTTCTTGGTTTCGACTTTCTCAGCTGTAAAATGAACATGTCCAATTGTCACCTGGAGGGTTGTTTTGAAAACTAGAAATGATATATGTAACGTGGCTATGAACAAGTATCAACTATAACTACTAATTGGTGAGTTTATTGAAGTCTTTTTATAACAATAAAGCTTGAATATTATACCTACACTCTATAGTCTTTCAATTTGATTTGGCTTTGGTGATTACTAAAATATATTTTATCTACTAAAGAGATTATCCTTTTTTTTGGCTAGAACATTAGTTATATATTCCAGAGCAAAGGTCAGCAAACTTTTTATGTAGAGGGCCAGATAATACATATGTTAAGGCTTTGAAGGCTATTCAGTCTCTGTGACATCTACTCAACAAAGTCATTGTAGTAGAAAAGCAGAGGACATGGCCATGTTCCAGTAAAACATCATTTACAAAAACAAGTAACAGCCCATATTTGGCCAGTGGGTTATATTTTGCTGACTCCGTGTTTCAGAAAATGGCAGTTTCAATATTACATGACACTTGTTACCTATTTGTCATTTACTTACCTCATGATTATCTCTAATGATTTCATGTTATATATGAAGTTGCTTACATTTTTGGCTAGTATTTGAAAGAATTTTTATAGCCTTAAAAGTGTTTATCAAAATGTCCCTTACAGATCATTTACCTAAATACCTCAAAGAAATGATAAACAGAAAAAATGCATTCATGACATAATAGAGATCAGCTCTTTCTATCCCAAGCTAAAACAATAATAACTTGTGAATCACTACTTAGTAAAAGTTGTATATCTGTGTAAAATGTTGTATAAATTTTCATGTATATAGGTCCTAAGGATTTTTCTCTTAGAGGGCTATTTTAAGGGAGGTTGCTTTTTAGTGGATGTTGGATTTCTAATTGTATTTGGATTAATCTGAATCCTGAAAATAAAAGATTGTGCCAGACTAGGTAAGGAGAATCCATGTACACAGGCCCCTCTTCAGTCCTGTCTGCCATCTCTAACTTATTGAACTTGAGAAATTCTAGCAGATATTTAATAGAGAATACATACTCAGCATGCTGTGTTGTAAGATAAGCAATCACTAAGAGATACATTTCAGTGATGGGGGGAAAATAACACAGACATACATAAATGTCT
The DNA here is from genome assembly GCF_000001405.40 of Homo sapiens. Lineage (NCBI taxonomy): Eukaryota > Metazoa > Chordata > Mammalia > Primates > Hominidae > Homo > Homo sapiens. Next base: position 193,304,716 of record NC_000001.11, read on the forward strand.
CTCTTAGACCATTCCTATGTCTTTCCTAACAATGATTCCATTATCAGATAATCTCTCAGATAGTGATGCCTATAATATTGTTTATAAAGACATGTCCTTGTCTGTTTTCCTTTCATCACAGGATAATGGAAGTAAACCAAGGAGGTATACGTGTGGGATTGTGTCCGGAATTGGTGGGTTCTTGGTCTCACTGACTTCAAGAATGAAGCCGCGGACCCTCGCGGTGAGTGTTACAGCTCTTAAGGTGGCGCGTCTGGAGTCTGTCCCTTCTGATGTTCAGATGTGTTCGGAGTTTCTTCCTTCTGGTGGGTTCGTGGTCTCGCTGGCTCACACGCAGCCCCGGTTCCCGCTCTCGCCTCTCCCTCCACACCTCCCTACAAGCTGAGGGAGCAGGCTCCAGCCTTGGCCAGCCCAGAAAGGGGCTCCCACAGTGCAGTGGTGGGCTGAAGGGCTCCTCCAATGCCGCCAAAGTGGGAGACCAGGCACAAGAGGTGCCGAGAGAAAGCGAGGGCTCTGAGGACTGCCAGCACGCTGTCACCTCTCAGGACTGGGTTTGGTAGATTGTCATTGACATTTTTTACATTCGTAGCTACAAAACCTAGTATTTGTTACTCTTGTTTCCTTTGTATAGATTGCCCAAGACTGTGGTATCAAACTGGACTTTAACAATATAATACGCCACTGATCTCTCAGGTTTATTTAGCTGAAGTGTCATTTGTATCCTTTAATATAAATATGCTCTTTGGATAGTTTTTTTTGTATTATCATAGTAATTACTACAGTGCTATGCACATAACAGTATTCTAATAAATACTTATAACTCAATAAATGCTTATAGATTACCCTTATAATCTATAGGGCTAGGCTACTAATTTATATAAGACCTAGTGCTAACATGCTTACTTGGTAGACTGTCATTTTTAGACTTTAACACATAACAGGCAGAAATCAACTATTGCATATAAAGTGCTTCCATATTTTTGTGCTCAAGCACACCTGTGAAAACAACCATAAGAATCTCCACAAACATTAATGTATTAGTCACAAGAATAGTTTTAGTGCACATTAAGCTTTCAAGACAAATGTAGTTTATTCCTATGTTTAGTAAGATGGAAATATCATCACTCAAATTGCACAGCATCAATTAGGAGATTTTTTTTTACTTAATTCTGATGTACAAGAAGATGTGGTTAGTGTTTTATAAGTGACGGTAGCTGAGAGAGTGCCTTTTCATCCTTGAGTTAGTATTAATGGAGTAAGGAAGAGCAGGCATAGGTACATGTATCTCCTAAACTGAGACAGTTCCTTCAGCAAGTATTTGCATGCCCTTTATGTGCTCGGCATTGCATTAATTGCTGGAAATTCAACTGGAAGAAAGACATAAAACCAAGCTCCTGGCCCTCTTGGAGCCCACCATCTTATAGGTGAGACAGTGGATGCCTGGGTTACTGGCCTCATACAGACATAGAGGAATAAAGATGGTATCTAGGAGAAAGTGACATTTTAAACTGGAACATAGATTTACAACTTCATAAAGAAAAAATCTGATGACATTGTCAGAAACTCACAATGAAAGCATAAATCAAGAGGGTTAGACCTGCTACAAAGAAATGCTGAGGGTTTCCTTTATGGCTGGGCACCTTGCTAGATGTACCATATCAGTTAGCTCATTTACTCTTCACAACAATGCTCTGCAGTTTGTCTGATTCTTCATATTTTATAGATGAGAAAACAGGCTGTGAGAGGTAGAGTAATTTGCTCTAGTAACAGCCAATAAGTGGGAAAGCCAGGACTGGAGGCAAATCTCTCTGTCCCCAGCTGTGGTCATGAGCAGCATGAAGTCAGGGGAGGCATCCAAAGAAATAAATGCCTCCGTCTCAGAACCAGTCTGTTGAGTTCAGAATTTTAAAAGGGCATGTATAAAATGAAACTAGGCAAGGTATCAAGCACAAATACAAAGAAACAGCATACACTTTTAAGTGTATCCTGACCTGGAAATCCCAAAAGAAAGGCTAACTCAACAGAATAAACTGGTTTATAGAAAAGGCCAGAATTGGCCAGGTGCAGTGGCTCACGCCTGTAATCTCAGCACTTTGGGAGGCCAAAGCAGGCAGATCACGAGGTCAAGAGATCGAGACCATCCGGCTTACGTGCTGAATCCCCGTCTCTACTAAAAATACAAAAATTAGCCGGGCATGGTGGCGCGTGACTGTAGTCCCAGCTACTCGGGAGGCTGAGGCAGGAGAATCGCTTGAACCTGGGAGGCGGAGGTTGGAATGAGCTGAGATCACACCACTACACTCCAGCCTGGGCAACAAAGCAAGACTCCATCTCAAAAAAAAAAAAAAAAAGAAAAGAAAAGGCCAGAATTCAGGTACCACTAGAATGTCATTCCTGTAGAATGTAAACTCCATGAAGGCAGGGATTTGTGACACTTTTGATTAGTGCTGTATTCACCTAGAATGGTGTCTGGCATTTAGACAGTTGTCACTACAACCTTAGTCTCAACACAATCACCAATTTCAATGAGTTGTCTCTTGATAACCTTACAGACAAGATGGAGAAATGTGATTCATCAACTAAAACCACTAAAATCAAAGAGATTTGATTAATGCATTGATATAAAAATGAATGGATTCTCTAGGTTTGTCCCACAGAAACCTCTTGGCACTATACTGATCAATTTTTTCACAAAATTCCTAGACAGTCTCTTCCTTGTAGTATAATTTAGTGTATAGAACACAGCTTGAAATGACAGGTGAAGAGTATTTGTAGGTTCTAAAAGTCTCTACAATCTCTAGTTGCTTATAATCATTTACTGCAATGGGATTAAAATATAGAAGGAATGCATGTAAAATATGTGGGCAACACACATCTTGGAAGGATGGACCAGCCAATTATTGTATTGGATGAATGAGGAATCAAAAATGTCACAATAGCCTAGCAGGTTGGTCTGAAATCACTGAAGATTTGTAAAAATATAAGATGGAGAAAAATGTGTTTTGACAGTATTTTATGTGAAATATTTTTGGGAACTAGTGACTGTAACTCATTAAAAGCCTATTATACGAACTGACTGTTCAAATTAATAAAATGTTTTTAATTAATAAAAAGCAAAAGAGATAGATCAATGTAGGTAAAAGACCCACTATACTAACTCCAGGAAGATGCTAGCCATGGTGGTGTGTCCCTGCCAAGGAGTTCTGCATCAAGAGGGGCATTTATGCAAAATGAGGATATAAACCTACCTGTAACGTGAATCTTACCTGATTAGGGCACTATTCTGTTCGACTCTCCCTGTCTAGAGTTTTGGCTTCTCCAACTTATTTTTTCCTTTTTTAACAATATACTTTTTACCTTTTATAGCAGTTTTACATTCACAGCATATCTGGCAGAAAGTATACAGAGTTTCCATATACCCTCTGTGCCCACACATGTACAACCTCCCCGACTACCAGCATCTCCCTCCACAGTGGTACATTTGTTATAACTGGCGAACTTGTATGGACACACTATTATCACCCAAAGTCCACGGTTTACATTAAAGCTCACTCTTAGTGTTGTACATTGTATGGGTTTTGAGAAATACGTAGTGACGTGTATCTACCATTATACTTTCATATAAGGTATTTTTGCTGCCCTAAAAACCCTCTGTGCTCTGCCTATTGATTTCTCCTTCTCACTAATCCCTGTTAGTCACTGATCTTTTGACTGTTTTTATGGTTTTGCCTCTTCCACAATCAATTCATTGCTCACACTGTGGCCAGAGTAATCTTTTTAAGATGATAACCTTCTCATTCACTCCCTTAACTCTCCATTGCTCAGAGTCATGTCTAAACCCTGTGCTGGTCTGGCAGTGAATGAGGCATTCAAGTTCTCTTTTTTCATGGAGACTAATCTTATCTCTCTCTCTCTCTGTGTGTGTGTGTGTGTGTGTAGGAGGAGGACCAGTCAATAAACAATGACACTAACAAATAATAAGATGAGCTCATGTGGCAGTAAGTACTACACAGATGATGAAAGTGTAATAGGATAGGGAGCAATTGGAGCACGGGCAGCTTTTCTTCCAAAGGTGGAAGATTTGGGCTGAGAGGTGAATTGCCAGCAGTTAGCCATGAGAAGCTCTTGGTGATGAGTCCTCCAGGCACAGGAAAGAACAAGCGCAAAGGCCCTGGGGAGACACTTTGGTTAGGTTTAGGGAACAGAAGGAGGCCAGTATTCTGGAGAGTGATCAGTAGGGGCTATGGTATAACCAACATTTTGAATAGCATCAATGGAAGAGAAAAAGAGAGATAGCATTTATTAAACCTTTTAATTTATGTTACTGCTTTTAATTTTGAAGATCCATTTGGCCCTATGTATCCATGGGTTCTGCATCTGTAGTTTCAACCAACTGTAGATTTAAAAATATTTGAAAAAGAAAAAAGGGATGGTTGTATTTGAACATGTACAGACTTTTTTTCTTGTCACGATTCCCCTAAATAATAGAGTACAAATAACTATTTACATAGCATTTACATTGTGTCAGACATGATAGGTAATTTAGCGATGATTTAAAATGTATGAGAGGAGGTGTGTAGGTTATATGCAAATACTATGCCATTTTATAACAGAGACTTGAGCATCTGCAGATTTTGGTGTCTGTTGGGATCCTGGAACCAATCTCACCATGGGTACTGAGGGATGACTGTATTTGAAATTATCCCTTTCTACCAGATGAAAACAAAAGAAAAGAAGATCATATAAATTAAATAACTTGCCATGGTTCTCACAATTAGTAGCAGTAGATGTGGGATCTGAACTCAATTATGTCTGATTTCAGACATACCCCCACCTTTATGTAATTTCCTTGGTAAAAGTATTAATGTTTATCTCTGCTGAAGAGCTTTCCTTGGGTATCTTTTATTCATGTTTATTTGCATAGCAGTTATTTCTTTTTATATTTGTGATATCCTTCCATTTTAGAAAGTAAACTACCAGGAGTCATGAACCCTGCCACTTGTACCCAACCCATCAGGAGTGCCAGTGAGTGATAAATAAAGGAATCAATGTGCCTCTCAGCAGAACCTACCTCTCTTGTGATAAGGGAGACTTTTAGGGCTTGTGAGATAATGGCTTACTATATGTAATCTTAGTTTATATTCTAGTTTTCCTTGATGATGTCAAAGAGTGTAGCAGTATATGTCAAACAGAGAGTCGTACATTTTAAAGAGATGTCTATGTTCTTTAGGTAAAATAACCCCTTTAAACTTTTTAAAATAAAACAATAAGGCATAAGATATACTGAGGTATGGTGGTTTAACTGTAAGATATACAGATATGGTGGTCTGTCAAATTATCACAATATAAAAGCACACACACACAAAGAGTGCCATGAAGACTGCCCTGCCTCATAAACTGCTGAGGTTGCCAGGAAATGATTAAAAAACAAAGGTGAACCTTCAGGTTGGAGTCTTCCATATTTCCCTTCCTAAAGATAACCCTCATTTCTTGCATTTGAATTTGTTAATGTTCAATGAAGTTCATAAAAATAACAATAATTAATAGAATAGTTTAGATATAGTGCCTGGACCATGCACTTTGGTCTTGAAAAAACCTCTCATGTTTCTCTTTTGTCAAATAAAGAATGCAGTGTTTCTTCATGACAGGCCGTAATCATGTAGGGTTGTTTTGTATTATGTTTAATTATGTATAGTCACTTGCTGCCTGAGCTGAGGTGCCCTGGCTTTGTGCAGAAGTATCAAGGTGGAAAGGGAAGGCAGAAATTTTGGCTGGGAAAATTAGCTGTGCAGCAATGAAACCAAACCGTTGAATTGAACATTTGGTGACTAGCTTGTGGACTGTATTATAGGAACATACAATGAAAGCAACCACAGTAAAAGTACTGTAGAAAAAATAGCAGGATAAAAAAAAAAGTAGTAAAGACAATCCAAGGACTATGAGGCGAAATGGCAAAATAGGAAACTGCCCAGGCAGCGTGGATATGTAAACAGGACAGAAAGAATAAAATGTGTAAGCCAGGTGCAAGAAGCCAATCTGGAGGGCAAAATAGCTAGGCAAACAGGTTAGAATTTACACAGGAAGACTGAGAACAAAGCTGAGAGTAGTCGAGAGGGAAGTGGAGAGATAGATTAAAGTCATGTCAACAGATAGGAAGTAATAGAAGCACTAGATCAAAGCAGCCTCCATGATGGAATAGCAGAGCAGGGAATGAAAAATAAGAGAAGCTTAGGTGTGTGACCAATTTCTGATTTCTTGTCTCTCAACTTGTTTTGTTCTTGGTAACAGATCTAACAATAAAGCCAAACATTTCAATGCTTCATTTAAAAATGTGATTCCAAAGAACAAGCTTCTAAAAACAAATGGAAGATTGTCTGTTTCAAAATAGGTCACCCTATGTATGGTCACTTTAGCAATAGCTTATAACCCATCTTGAATTTTCTGTGTTTTTGTTGTTGTTGTTGTTGTTGTTGTTATGTTCCCTCTGCCTTTAGCAAGGCCTTTTGCATTTTGTCAGATGGTGTATTGTGAGGCTGCAAAGTGCAGTAGACAACAGCCTGGCTTTTGATTTGAGTGCTATAGCTTTTGTTACTTAAAGTACTAAAGCATTATTAGATAGTCAGATTGATCGATCAAATGGTCTTAGAGTTGGGGAAGGGGGTGAAGTGGGAAGTGGTTCTGGTTCGTGCTTTAGAGCTGATTGCTCTCAGATAGTTATTTTCTCAAGGCTTTTTTGTTTTTTCTTTTTTTTTTTCTCTGTGGTAATAACCACAAAACATGCAATCTGTTGGTGTATCTCATTTTATTGCATTGCAGATTTTAAGTGTTCCTGTAGTCTCATATATAAATCACTTATACTTTTGTATGACATTTACTGTTTTTAAACTCAACATAAGTTGCTGCATGACAAGATAATTGACAAGCCTACGTTATACTGGCAAATGACTGCAATAGATACTGGCATCCTTTGCTCTGCCTTTCTCTTGCCTGCCTATTGCCAATCACTCAGCTGCTTTGACAGGGAAGTTCCACAAACAACAGCAGTAATCACCATTGTTCATATCCAGGAACAAACTTAGGGAGATTCTGATGCTTGTTCTTGAATCGGCCAAATGCCAATCTGATGAAAGCAACTTGGCATCTTATTTAATAAGGGAGAAATGATTGTGTGGGACAGATGGGGTTTTATTTCAGCAAGAATGGGTTTCATGCTGTTTTGTGTAGCTTAGGATTCATATGTTTGTCATGTCCAGGTGTGCTTTCCTTCTTGTTGTAACACATTTTCTTACACATTTCATCGTTCACAGAAGTGTGCCTTCACTTGCTCTCCAACTGTGGATCTGGATTCTCCACTGCCAGAAGTCATGGATGAAGGACCATCCTCAGGGGTACTAAAGAGATTTTTTTTTCTCCAAAGACTGCAACTTCAGTCTATAGACTCTCCCAATGTTCTCGCTCTCTCTCTTTTTTTCTTTCTTTTTTTTTTTAGATAGGGTCTCACTCTGTCAACTGGGTTGAAGTGCCGCAGCATCATCGTGGCTCCCTGCAGCCTCGACCTCCTGGGGCCAAGCAATCCTCCTACCTCAGCCTCCCAAGTAGCTGGAATTACAGGCACACACCACCATACCCAGCTAATTTTTGTAGCGATTTGGTGGTTTTGCCATGTTGCCCAGGCTGATCTTGAATGTCTGGGCTCAAGTGATCCACCCTCTTTGGCCTCCCAAAGTGCTGGCATTAAAGGCATGAGACACAGTGCCTGGTCCCAATATTTTTTCTTTTCCAGCTATAGCAGGTCAAAAAAATGTTATTTGAATAACCAGCTTTAATGAGACCTGTTATGCTGTGGGGGTGGGAGGTACAGTCTCAGGGTTATGATCAGGAAAATGTTTAACAATGAGATGGCAAACTGCTCTGCTGAAAGAGTTACGAGGGCTTTGTGGGTGGGGAGGCGGGTGCTAAACCGCCTGCTGGGAGAGGAGGAGGTCAGAGGAGAGCAGGAAGGAGGTCCCAACATGATGGACTGCACAGGAGAAAAGAGACCTGAAGGAAAACTACGTGGAAAGGTAGTCAAAATACTTGAACAATAGTTGATGCCAGGCATGGTGGCATGCACCTGTAGTCCCAGCTACTCAGGAGACTGAGACAAGAGAATCCCTTGAGCCCAGAAGTTCAAGTCCAGGCTGGCTAACATAGCAAGATTCTGTCTCTATTAAAAAAACCAAACCAAACCAAAAATGGAATAGGAGCTAATACTTGATTTTAAATTATTGGCTGTGATGTAATGTAAAGTCTTTCCATTTCTTGAAATTTTTAGTCCAAACCTGCTCTGTTTGTACCTTCGTGTTGGTGACATTTTGGGGAATGAAGGGATTGGGGTGGTGTCCAGCATGGGTGAAGTAGTATGCTGAAGGGGTGCCATGGGCTGCATGGCAAGATGTTCCAAAACTGGAATGAACTGAGGGAGTGCAGAAATTTGGAGCCAGATATCCCGAGGAGAAAAGTATGTGTTTCCCTGGGGAGACTGCAGGGCCGCTAGCTTTCCTACAGCAAGAGAAATGGGCATTCTGGTTTATTCATTTGAACTCGAAAGGCAAGTTGACCTCAGAAAACATCTCACCTTTCAGTTCCCCTCCTTGCCTCATTCTGTCTGTTGTCATTTACCTCATGTGATAGTCCAAGTGCTATTTAATTATTATTATAGTTCAAAGGCATGCAGGGATACAATATACATGAGCACTCGGTCAGAGTTCAGAAGGGAGGGCTCAGTGGCGTCAGATTTGAACAAGTGCAGGTGTGCCTCGTAATCTGGGGTGGGCAAAGTCTATTTATATAAACAACTGAGAAGCCCTCACGAGTGAGACGTCCTCCTCACAGAAGAGAACTGAGCGAAGCTAACTCAGGAACAGATCCTCAGAGGTGAGGGCAGAGGGGCACTTCGGAATGCAATCATACATTGTCCTCACCCTAGCCACGCATGAACGTCAATCCGGGACTCCAGGAAGAGAGAGGGATCTGTGAATAAACACATTATAAATTCCAATGGGTATTAGGGAACAATGATACCCACTGCTTGGGTAACTCAAAAAAGAATGTAGCATTTAAAGTTAGAGAAAGATAGTCTTATTGCCTTCAACTGAGAACTCTGTGAGGGCTCCAGGACGTCAGGACCAAGGCACTGACTGAAAGAGGAAACAGTCATCATAGTAACACTGACAGAGCCGATCTAGCGCCAGGCCCCAAGAACTTTCCATATAACTCATGTAATCGACAGGAAGCAATCCCAGGTGGTAAATATTATTGTAATCCCCATTTCACAATGAAAAAAGCAACCACACAGCTAGAAAGGCACACAGCATTTCCAACCCTGCCAGTCTAGGACAGAGCCCGAGGTCTTAGACCCTGTGCTATTCTCCCTTCTTGGCATCACACTTGGTGGGAATGACAGTGTGATCAGCACCAAACAAGGTTTTGTGGTGAAGGGTCAGGGCAGGAAGGGAAGCCTAGAAAACCAGGATTCATTTATTCATTCTCTGTGAGCACACATATGACATTGCTTGGACTTCTACAGAGGGGCTGTGTAGGATCTGTGCTTTGTCGTACAGGAGACAGAGGTTACATAGATAGTCATTTAACAAACACTGATTGAGTGCACAGCATTTGTCTTAGTCTTGCGGAGCTTCAGTTATAAATCATGCAAGGGGCCAGGTGCGGTGGCTCATGCCTGTAATCCCAGTACTTTGGGAGGCCAAGGCTGGCGGATCACCTGAGGTCAGGAGTTCGAGACCAGCCTGACCAAAATGGAGAAACCCCATCTCTACTAAAAATTCAAAAAATTAGCCGGGTATGGTGGCGCATGCCTGCAATCCCAGATACTCAGGGAGCTGAGGCAGGAGTATCCCTTGAACCCGGAAGGTGGAGGTTCTGGTGAGCCGAGATCGCGCCATTGCACTGCAGCCTGGGCAACAAGAGTGAGACTCCACCTCAAAAAATAAAGTAAAATGAAATAAAATAAAATAAAATAAATCATGCAAGGACTCTACCCTTAGGAACTTCGGGGTAAAGACAAAGAGATATGACATTTGCATAGATGATTATATACCCAGATATTGGACTCTTGTAAGTTTCACATAAAAGCTGTGGTCAATCCAGATTGAGAGAGACTGCATTTGCCAGGGATTGGTTGGGTGGCAGGTAGGGGATGGGTAAAGAAGGAATTAGAAAGGGTGTTTCTTCACCATGAGAACCTTATTAAAAAAAAAGAAAGAAAAAAAAAAGAGAAAGGGTGTTTCACCTGGGGATCAAAAGAATAGTCTCATGCTATTCACTTGGGACATGTGTGATTTTTTTCTGCAACCCCTACGTAACTCATAAACACATTCTTTTCCAACACCTATGTGACCATGAGTTGCAAGGTCGAAGCCCAAAGCACCCATTACTCTGGGTAAACATCTCCCAGGTTTGCTTAAACTGTCTTTTTCCCCTTGATGCAAGATTCATACCCACAGAATGTACTCTTCTTGTCCATCTTATCCTTAGGCCATCTTCTGAGAATAGAAACGGAGCATTTGCTTTCTGAACACATTTGTGTGTCCTTCTTCCTTCTCTTCCCTGACCAACTGGAGCACCTATAAGAGGTAGCCTACAGCTTATATAAAGCTCTGTTAAATGCCAGAAGGTAAGGCAGTCTCCCTTTCAGCTGATCCTCCTTGCTTAAAGTAACCAATAACATTTTCCCTCTTCTTACCTATTTTCTTGGTAGTCTTACTGCAGGAATGTGGCACATGGCTAAATAATTCAGTGCTTTCTTTGAAGCATTTGCTACACTCCACCTCTTGCCATCTGCAGGACCCTCCCTTCTCCAAGCCCCAGACATCATTATTTTCCTGTTCCACCCACATCTTAGAGGCTGAAACCTCTCTTTCAGCTCTTGTTGGTCCTGGAAGGAGAAGGATTGCTTCTCCATTTTAAAGCCCTCTTTGATGTAAGTTAAAGCTATTTTCTTGGTGTCAGTTGGCCCTCTGGGTTCTATTCCCCTGTTATCTCTGATTAGCCTTTCTTTTGGTTTTGAGGCTGTGGACAAGTGGCTTATTTTCCCAAGTGGAGAACAGTTCTTGTGTGTCTACTACTCTCTCCACTCTTCCTCCTTCCCTCTCCCTTTAACGTCCTTTTCATCTTGCTCTCAATCTTAAAATGATTCTAGTAGGATGTATTCTATTTTAATCAATAAGCATTTTGAGTCCTGGACAACTATTCTGGACTGACTCATCCTGTGTTCTGTCAAGCGTCATCTTAAAACTCTTAATTTAACTAAAAATAATTTTGAGTTATCCAAAATTTTGATCTTCTTGTCCTTTTGCATTCTAAAACAACTGACCTGAAGTTTCTGTTTCTCCATGATTGGCTGCAGTGAAAGTGTTTGACTCCAGGGAACCTCATCTGCTTTCCTCAAGAACAAGAATTCAGTAAAGCCCAATAGATATTTGTTGAATAAATTAATTAAAATCAAGCTAAGGATGGATAGTTAGTGGCATAAAAATATAATTAGATTTTTTAAACAGCAGTTTACAAACATAGATGCATAGCAAGACCTATTTTTTAAAAGTTTCTACATGCACAAATGGAAAACAAAACTGTAAATATATAAGACAAAAATTTTAACAGTGACTATCTGATTGAGGGAATTATGATCAACTTTTATTTTCTTCACGGCTATTATATTGTCTAGATCTTCCATATGGATGTATTACTTTGGTAAAAGGAAGAAAAGATTTTATACAAGCTGTGACATTCAAACATGCCTAAACCCCCACATTTATATTTTATCTCATCTTTCTTCATCTTCCCCTGTTTAATTCACAACTACTTTTTAGAGAAGGGTGTTCTTATAATGTCACAATTCAAATATATCACAGTAAAAGGGCATTTACCATTTCCCAAAAGACTTTTTGGGTCACCTATTCCAATGGGGGAGGGGAATAAAATAGAGGGATTAATGTGATTTTAGAGGGTTAGAAACTCATCTAGGGATTAGGGAACTGACCTACAAAGTGTATGCCTTTGTAAAAACCATGGACCTTTTTCCCCCTATTGAAATGATATTCGTTTAAAGCACTTACACATTTATTGAGCTTTCACTGAGTACCAGGAACTCTTCTGATGTCTGGTTCCTCCTTGCCCTCCTGAAACTTATATTTCAGCAGAGCAGACAGAATAAACAAGTACATGGTAATAAGTGTTATGAAGAAAATAAAGGGAGAGGGATCTCTTAGTGGGGTCATCAGGAAGAACCTCAGTCAGTGGGTGATGTTTCACTGGTGACCCAAATGGAATGAAAGAACACATCACTTGAGGATGTCAGGGAGGACTATTTCAGAAAGAGGGATATTGCTAGTGCAAAGGTCCTGAGTCACGAATGAGCTCGGCCTACCTAAGAACAGCAGAAAGGCTGGTGTGAGAAAGACCAGTGAACAGTGGTGGAATGATAGAAGGCTAGAGAGGGAAGCAGGATAGAGCTAGCTGATGCAGCACCTGATAGGTCATGCTAAGGAGTTCAGTTTTGTTCCTAAATGTGGTGGGTAGCAACAGAATGGCTTTACACAAAGCAGTGACAAATAGACTTACACCTTAAAAAGAAAAAATAGATTAGCCTGACTATCTCACCTCTTACCTTCCTCCTAACTTTCAAAAGTTCCCAGATTCATAATAGGGTAGGAATCAGCCAAAGAAATCCTGCCATTCTTTGAAGATTCTATCTATTAAACTCAGCTACAGGAAAATTTAAATTTTGTCAACCTTATTTAGGGAATTTCTTATACCGAGGAAAGCTAGTTTGTGATGAAATCTAGGCTCTGTCTGAGTAATTTCAGAAATAGAATACATTTTTTTCCCTGAGTGGTATGTGATGTTCATTGTATGTAAAAGTGTCTTAGAGGATACTCTATGGGATTTTTCCCCACCGAAGAGAAGAAAGTTAAGATTCAGTATCATCCTAAAGTGGAAAAGCAGATCAGTTTGAGGGCAATTAGTATTTAAAAACTGTACTACAAATTTGGATAAGAAAGTAGTCTCTATTTTCATAAATTCATGTGGTAGGTTCCGGGTTCTGAGAAAGGCAGTACATAGATTTAAGGGAAGCTGGATTCTAGGAGCTATACTGTTATTATTATTTAAAATTTCAACTTTTATTTTAGATACAGGAGGTACATGTGCAGGTTTGTTACAGGGGTATATTGCACCCAGGTAGCGAGCATAGTATCCAATAGGTAATTTTTCAACCTATGTCCCCATCCTTAACAGCTTGCAGTGTCTATTGTTCCCATGTTTATGTCTAGGTGTGCTCAATGCTTAGCTCCCACTTATGAATGAGAATATGCAGTATTTGGATTTCAGTTCCTGCATTAATTCACTTAAGACTGTGGCCTCCACCTCCATCCACGTTGCTGCAAAGTTAATGATTTTATTCCTTTTATGGCTGCATAGTATTCCATTGTGTATATGTACCACATTTTATTTATTCAGTCTACCATTGATGAGCACCTAGGTTGATACCATGTCTTTGCTATTATAAATAGCATAGCAATGAACATACATGTCTTTTTGGTAGAATGATCTATTTTCCTTTGAGTATATACCCAATAATGGGATTGCTGGGTGGTAACTCTGTTTTAAATTCTTTGGGAAATCTCTAAACTGCATTCCACAGTGGCTGAAATCATTTTCATTTCTGCCAACAGTGTACAAGTGTTCCCTTTTCTCCACAGCCTCAGCATCATCTGTTGTTTTTTGACTTTTTAGTAATAACCATTTGGACTGATGTGAGGTAGTAGCTCATTGTGGTTTTGATTTGCATTTCTCTGATGACTAGTGATGATGAGCATTTTTTTCATGTTTCTTGGCCACTTGTATGCCTTCTTTTGAGAAGTGTCTGTTCATGTCCTTTGCCCATTTTGTAATAGGGTTATTTTTTGCTTGCTGATTGATTTAAGTTCCTTGTAGATTCTGGATACTAAACCTTTGTTGGATGCATTGTTTGCAAACATTTTTTCCCATTCTGTAGGCTATCTGTTTACTCTGCTGACAGTGCCTTTTGCTACACTAGCTCTTTAGTTTAATTAAGTCCCACTTGTTAATTTTTGTTTTTGTTACAATTGCTTTTGGAGACTTAGCCAAAAATTCTTTGCCAAGGCTAATATTGAGAAGGGTATTTCCTAGGTTTTCTCTAGGATTTTTATATTTTGAGTTCTTATATTTAAATCTTTAATCCATCTTGAGTTAATTTTTGTATATGGTGAAAGGTAAGGAGGGACTAGTTTCATTTTCTGCATATGGCTAGCCAGCTATCCCATCATCATTCATTGAATAGGGAGTCTTTTTCCTATTGCTTGTTTTTGTTGGCCTGGTCAAAGATGAGATGGTTGTAGGTGTGCAGCTTTATTTCTGAATTTTCTATTCTGTTCCATTGTGTATGTGCCTATTTTTGTATAGTACCTTGCTGTTTTGGTTACTGTAGCCTTATAGTATAGTTTGAAGTTAGGTAGTGTGATGTTTCTGGCTTTGTTCTTTTTGCTTAAGATCGCTTTGGATATTTGACCTCTTTTTTTGGTTCCATATGAATTTTAGAATAGTTTTTTCCCTAATTCTGTGAAGAATGATGTTGGTAGTTTGCTAGGAATAGCATTGAATCTGTAGATTGCTTAGGGCAGTATGGACATCTTAATGATATTGGTTCTTCCAATCCATAAGCATAGAATGTTTTTCTATTTGTTTGTGTTGTCTCTGATTTCTTTCAGCAGTGTTTTGTTCTCCTTGTAGAGATTGTTCACCTTCTTGGTTAGCTGTATTCCTAGATATTTCATTTCCTTTGTGGCTATTGTAAATGGGACTGTGTTCTTGATTTGAGTCTCAGCCTGGACGTTATTGATGTGTAGAAATGCCACAGATTTTGGTATATTGATTTTTGTATCCTGAAACCTTGTTACAATCATTTATTTTTCATTTCTAATAGCCTTTTTGTGGAGTTCTTAGGGTTTTCTAAGTATGGAATCATATCATCAGTGATATTATTTTTCTTTGGGAACTTGCAGATGGTTTAGAAAGGTTTAGTTTTCTAATCTCATTTAACAATTAATTTGAGAAATAAAATAGTTTATATTTGCCTGAATTTTTCAATTTGCTTTCTTTATGAATAAAAAAGTATTTGAGCTGTTAGCATCTTCTATTAACTGACTACTTTAATAAACTAGTGCTTCAGTACCTTTACCTTAGTGTCTAATCCTTAGGCACTAAGAAAAAGATGCTAGTTTAAGCAGATCGTGCTGCTAATTATAGGTTGCTCTTTTTGTATCAAGAATAAAGCGAGTCAAGGGAAAATTATTCCACTGCCCTTAGAGGTTTATTAAATACTAATTTAAAGGTCTGTGGCATCTTTAGGAAATTAAATCTTCTGGTTGTAAAACTTCCCACTTCCACTTTGTTGTGTGTGGTTTAGAACAAAAGGAGCTGACTGTTCTCATTTCTTTATATATCAGGTTTTAATTATCTAGATCAAGATTGGAAAATAGATTTTGTTTCACGTGCCAACACTTATCCACCAGTTGTGGTTGCTGCAAATAATATATTGGGAAGGATTCTGCATTTTTACTCCTGATCTGTGGGAGAAAGCACAGTGCTGTATGAACAACATTCACCAGGGGCCCAAGAGTTGGGCAGGAGGCACAGTGCCATGCATTTGCTAGCTCTGATTTAGCTTTTACTCAAGACATGTATTTGCATGTTTATGTGTAACCTCTGAGCAGATTGTCTTTATTAGGACCGTGCTTGCATTTTAGAAACTAGTAATGACAGTGTGGTATAGTCCAAGGAACACTGTATTGACAACTAGAAAACTTTTATCCTAGTCTTGAACTGAAGCAGTGACAGTGGGCATTCTCATTAGTCCTGGTTTCAAAACAGAAGCTTCTGATATATGCTATAGGCTTTTTTTAGATACTGTGGTAGGCAGAATAATGCCCAACCCCACCAAGATGTCCATATTCTATTTAATAATCCCTAACCTGTGCATATGATATGTTACATCGTAAAGGGGAATTAAAGTTGCTAATCAGATGACCTTGAGATGAGGAGATTATCCAGGATTATTTGCATAGGCTTTATATAATCACAAGGGTTCTTATAAATGGAGGAGGATGGCAGAAGAGAGAAAACAGGAGAGATGGCAGCATGGGAAAGACTCAACCTTTATTGCTGGCTTTGAAGATGGAAGAATGGACTTTGAGCAAAGAATGTGGGTGACCTCTAGAAGCTGGAAAAGACAAAGACAAGGAAATAGATTCTTCTGCAGAGCATCCAGATGGAACACAGTCCTGTTGACCTCCTGATTCTAGCCCAGTAAGACCCGTATCAGAGTTCTAACAGTAAGAAAATAATTTTGTGGTATTTATTCCAGGAGGTTTGTGTAATTTGCTACAACAGCAAAGGAAATTGATACAGGTATCTTGTACAGAATAAGGGAGTCACTTTCTAGTCTTAGTTTGTTAATTTGAAAAGTTGATTGATAGTGACTCCAGTCTTTAAATGTACATGACATGTCCTTGTGCTATCATTTTGTACATAGTGATATATTGCACTATATCACAGCTGGGCCTAGGTGTTAACTCTAAGCTGGTCAGGCATTCATAGCTGGACTGTGGTGCTCTCCTGGTATTCTTTTGTATTCTGGTCACAGAACATCAAATTTTTATAGGGTCCATGATTGATGAAGGCTAGAAAAAACCACTCTGTAATTATGTCTGAACACAAAGGAAGCCTGGATATCATGCAAACCACAAAAGTGACCAGACAGCCCTCTATCCTGGCTAAAATGAATGAGTGCCTGTAGCTTTCTCCTTCTCTATTTTTCTTCATGCCAATTACATCTTTAGCCTCAGTATAGCCTTTCCTCCTACTAGATAAAATTTATTAAGATAACCAGTCATGGCTGGGCACGGTGGCTGATGCCTGTAATTCCAGCACTGTGGGAGGCCGAGGTGGGTAAATCACTTGAGGTCAGGAGTTGGACACCAGCCTGGCCAACATAGTGAAACTTTGCTTCTACTAAAAATACAAAAATTAGCCCAGCATGGTGGTGTGTGCCTGTAGTTCCAGCTACTTGAGAGGCTGAGGCAGGAGAATTGCTTGAACATGGGAGGTGGAGGCTGCAGTGAGCCAACATCATGCCACTGTGCATCAGCCTGGGCAATGGAGTGAGATTCTGTCTCAAAAAAGAAAAAAAAGAAAAAGATACCCAGTCATCCAGTCATAGAATTACCCCTGCTTACTGGCAGCATTCAATCCAGAAGAAAGCCTGGCATCCTTAAACTCTCCCAAAGTTACCTACCATAGACCTGAAACTGATAACTTCTTCTAATATTGTCTTACTGACATGTCCCACGGTTCCCAATGGGGTCTTTTTTCCCTTGCTGCAATGAGAAATAAGCTCAACTTTTCCAACTACAGGTGTGGTCCTCCTATCTTTTAGCTGAAGGGCATTGACAAAGGTTAGGTTTTATGTTTTATGGGCATACTATAAATTTTTTTAAAATTGAGATACCATTTATACCATAAAATGCACACTTTAAAGGGTGCAATGCAGTAGTTTTTAGTATATTCACAAAGTTGTGTAACATCACCACTATCTAATTACAGAATATTTTCATCACCCAAAAGGAAATTCCATAGCCATTAGCAGTCACATTCCATTCTCTCTCCCCTCCCCAGCCCTAGTCAGCCGCTGATACTTTCTGCCTCTATGGATTCGTGTGTTCTGGACATATTATATGAATGGAATCATATAATATGTGGCTTTTTGTGTTCACCTTATTTTACTTAGCATAATATTTTCAAGGTTCATTTATATTGTAGCATGAATCAATACTTCTTTCCTTTTTATAAGTGAGTAATATTATATTGTATAAATATACTATATTTTATTTATTCATTCATCAGTTGATGTACATTTGGGGTGTTTTCACTTTTTGCTATATGAATAAAGCAGTTATAAACATTCTGTACAAGCTTCTGTGTGGACCTAGGTTTTCAATTCTCTTGGGTACACCTAGGCATAAAATTGCTGGGTCATATGGCTACTCTATGTTTAATCATTTGAGGAATTGTCAAACTGTTTTCCAAAGCAGTTGTACCATTTTCCATTCCTACAAGCAATGTATGAGGCTTGTTTCTCCTTATCATTACCAACACTTGTTATTGTCTGTTTTTTTTTTTTAATTACAGTTATCTGATTGGGTGTGAAGTGGAATCATCTTGTGGTTTTGGTTTACATTTCTCTGATGGCTAATAATGTTGAGAATTTTGGAAAAAATATCCTTCAATTTGATTGTTGTATGAGCTCCTTAGGACTTTCTGCATATAAGATCATATGATCAGCAAATAAAGATAATTTTACTTTTTCCTTCCAATCTTAATGCATTTTGTTTTATTTTCTTGCCTAATTGCCCTGACCAGAACACCCAGTTCAATATTACAAGACACATGTGACATCTTTGTCTTGTTCCTGATCTTAGAAGGAAAATTTTAGTCTTTGACCAGTAAGTATAACGTTGGCTGTGAGTTTTTATAGATGATTTATTTCAGGTTGAGCTAGTTTCCTTCTATTCCTAGTTTTTTAGTATTTTTTTTTTTATCATGTAGGGTATTGGATTTTGTCGCTCCTTCTTCTGAGCCTATTGAATTGGTCATGTGGTTTTTGTCCTTCATTATATGAATATGGTGTATTACATAATTGATTTTCCTAGGATAAATCCCATTTGGACATGGTATATAAACCTATTCTATGTTGCTGCTGATTCTTTTTGTTGCTTAGTTTTTTGTTGAGAAGTTTTGCCTCTATATTCATAAGGGACATTAGTCTGTGGTTATCTTTTCTTTTGATATTTTTGCCTGGTTTTGGTATCAGGAATACTGGCCTCATAGAATGAATTGGGAATTGTTTTTTCATCATCTGATTTTTGGGGAAGAGTTTGTGAAGGATTGATGTTAATTCTTCTTAAATATTTTGTGGAATTCACCAATGAAAGCGTCTCATTCTGCATTTTTCTTTGTGGGAAGGTTTTAACACTAACTAAATTATTTTACTTGTATTAGGTCTATTCAGATTTTTATTTTCGTTCTCCAGTCATTTTTGGTGATTTGTCTATTTCTAGGAATTTGTCTATTTTATCTAGGCCATCTAATTTGTTGGTGTACAATTGTTCATAGTATTTTCATATAATTCTTTTATTTTTGTAAGATCAGTAGTAATGTCTATTTCATTCTTGATTTTAGTAATTTGAATTCCCCCCCGCCATTTTTCCTTGGTTGGTCTAGCTACTTTATACATCTTTTCAAACAACCAACTTGTGGTTTAATTGTGTGTGTATGTGTGTTTTTTTTGTTGTTGTTTTGTTTTGTTTTGTTTTGCTTGTTTGTTTTGAGATGGAGTTTTGCTCTGTCGCCCAGGCTGGAGGGCAGTGGCGCGATCTCGATTCGCTGCAAGCTCCGCCTCCTGGGTTCACGCCATTCTCCTGCCTCAGCCTCCTGAGTAGCTGGGACTACAGGCGCCTGCCACCACGCCTGGCTATTTTTTTTTTTTTATTTTTTTAGTAAAGACGGGGTTTCACCGTGTTAGCCAGGATGGTCTCGATCTCCTGACCTCATGATCCACCTGCCTCCGCCTCCCAAAGTGCTGGGATTACAGGCGTGAGCCACCGCGCTCGGCCCATTGTATTTTTGAAAACTGCTTTCTTATTCTATATTTTATTTATTTCTTCTATAATTGTTGTTTTCTTCATTTTACTTGCTTTGGGTTTAGTTCTTATTTTTCCAGTTCCTTGGGGTGGAAGTTTAGGGTTATTGATTTGAGATCTTTCTTATTTTTTTGATATCAGCATTTACAGCTATAAATTTCCTCCAAACACTGCTTTACTTGCATCTCGTACATTTTGGTATGTTGTGTTTTTATTTTTATTCATCTCAGAGTATTTTCTAGTTTCCCTTGTCATTTCTTCTTTGGCCCATTGCTGTTTTCGTTTTTTTTTTTTTTTTTTTTAAAAGAAGTATATTGTTTAACTTCTGCCTAATTGGAAATTTTCCAAATGTCCCTCTCTTACAGATTTCTAATTTCCTTCATTGTGGTCATAGTACATACTTTGTGTGATTTTAATTCCTGTATACTTATTGAGACTTGTTTTATTGCCTAATATATGGTCTATCTTAGAGAATGTTCCATGTGCACTTGAGAAGAATATGTATTATGCTGTTTTGGATGGAATATTCTATGAATGTCTGTTGGCTTTACAGTGTTGTTCAAGTCTTCTATTTCTTTGTGATCTTCTGCCTAGTTGTGTATAATCTTTTGTAAAGACTGATGAATTCGGTTTGCTAAATTTTATTTAAAATTTTGGTATCTATTTTGATCTAAACATATGGGAGTCCTGTGGGTTTAAGATGGGAATTGTAGATGTTATCCTTCAGAGAGAAATTACTCATTACTCATGCTGTAAGCCAGAGGATGCCACTGACCTGGAACTATTTCATGGTCTCTTGGTCAGTATGGAAGTTTTACAGTTCACCACTTTACTGCTCACCCAAGACTCAATTTTTCTCTTTTTTTTAATGTTGTATTTTTAATGTTGTATTATTTTAATGTTGTATTAGTTCTTTTGTTGCTGAGTAAAAAATTTCCACAAATGTGGTAGCTTAAAGCAAGACACATTTATTTATTGATTTATTTATTCACAGTTATGATGGGTAGGAGTCTGAGCACAGTTTAGCTAGGTCCTCAGATCAGGTTCTCACAAGTTTACAAGATTACAATTGAGGTGTCATCTGGACTTCATTTCCATTTGGAAGCTTGGCTAGGGAAGAATCTCCTTCCAAGTTCATTTTTTATTCATAATTTGTTCCTGTTTTTGAGATTGTCTTCATTTCCTTGCCACATGGCTCTTTCCATAAATAGTTTATAATATGGCTATTTGCTTCTTTAAGGCCATCACAAAAATATATTTCTATAGTCTACTAGGAAAAGTCATGTATAGTGAAACATTGTAGAGAGATGCAAAGGGATAGTGACCAAGTCAACATTCCACTGGAGGCCATATGATCAAATAGCAAACTGTTTATCCTGAATGCAGGATGTGGGCAAACTTACTTCTGCTCCAGCTGCCAGAAGGTTTGCTGAAGGCAATCACTTCCTGGCACTGTGCTCCTTGAGGTTATCTACTGAGACACCTAGAGCCTATTGTTCGAAGAATGCAGTCTGGCAAGCCTGCTGTAAATTAAACTGCCGATCAACAATCACCTGACAATTACCCCCCCGCTTCTTGCTATCTCTTTTACCTAATAAACATGGAGAGCTGAAAAAGCTCAGGGCCCTTGTTCACTAGAAGCAAGGAGCGCCCTGACCCCTTCTCCCAGATATAATCTTGTGTCTTTGTCTTTATTCCCGTGTTGGTCATCCTTTGTTCAGTCCAACAGGGATAGGGTCCACGGCAAAACATAATCACCTTTATGATTACATTTATAATTCTACTTTATGATGGGAGTGACATCTCATCACCTTTGCCATATAATGTAACCTAACCAAGTAAGTGACATCCTTTTCTTTAGTTAGAAGCAAGTTACAGGTTCCATCTGCATTCCAGGAGGAGATTGACACAAAGAAGTGACTCACTGGGACCACTTGAAGGTTTATTCCCCAAGAAGACAGTAGATGGGAGGGAACCATCAGATAATTTTTTCCCTTTCCCTATGGGTCTGTCCTAAGACAAAGACAGCTATTGTTCTTATCCAAAGAAGCCGCTTGAAGTAGAGCAATCAGTGGCACTTGTTAAGAAGCTGTGTATAGTTCAATGTAGTACCTTTTTGTTTTTAATCTCTTTCTCTGACTCTCATTCCCTTCCTACTTAACCCTCCTTTTCTGGGATTGCATCTTATGACTGCATTAAAACTTCATAAAAATTTAAAAAGCAGGCTCAAGACACTTAGTTACCCAGTTTTGGAGTGTTAGGAATGCCAGTGAGCCTTTGCAACAGGAATAAAGGAGACTATTATCTCCTGTAGCTGTGAGGCAGACTTTTCAAAGCATCAGGTTTATTTATTTATTTATCAAATTGACTATTTTTGAAAAATTTGTATATAAAGTTATATGCATGTATTCTGTACAACATGTTTTAAAGTACAGTCATGTGGCACATACTGATGTTTTGGTGAACAATGGACTGCTTATATGATGGTGTTCCCATAAGATTATAATGGAGCTAAAAATTTATATCACCTAGTGATGTCATAGCTGTCATAATGTAGCACAGTGCATTACCTTTTCTATGTTTAGATATGTTTGGATACACAAATATTTACCATGTGTTAAAATTGCCTAGAGTACTCAGTATAGTAATATGCTATACAGCTTTGTAGCCTAGGAATAATAGGTTATACATATAGTCTAGGTATGTAGTAGTATATACCACATAGGTTTGTGGAAGTACACTCTCTGATGTCCATACAATGACAAAATCACCTAATGATGTATCACTCAGAATGTATCCCTGTCATTAAGCAATGCAGGGCTAATTAAATACATTGTGTTATGGTTAAATCTAGCTAATTGACAAGTGCATTGCCTCATATTGTTATCATTTTTGTGGTGAGAACACTTAATATCCACTCAGAATTTTTAAAGAATACCATATATCATCATTAACTAGTTACCATGCTGTCTAATAGATTGTTTGAATGTATTTCTTTGATCTAACGATCTAACTGTAATTATGTATCCTTTGGCCAATATTTCCCTACCCCACTCCCCAAGAACCCCAGCTTCTGTTAACAACCATTCTAATCACTACTTCCATGAAATTGGCTTTTCAAATTCCACGCATGAGTATGATAATGTGATATATGTCTTTCTGTAGCTTATTTCTGTGTAGCTTATTTCATTTAACATAATGTCCCATAGTTTCATCCATGTTGTTGTAAATGACAGGATTTCCTTCCTTTTTATTGACTGAATAGTATTCCAGTGGGCATATATAGCACATTTTCTTTATTCATTCATCCACTGATGGACATTTAGGTTGATTTCATATTTTGGCTACTGTGAATAGTGCTGCAATAAACGTGGGAGTGCAGATATGTCTTTGACATAGTAATTTCATTTCTTTGGATATATACCCAGTAGTGGGATTGCTGGATCATATGCTAGTTTATTTTTAGTTTTTTGAGAACCCTCCAAACTGTTTTCCATAATGGTTGTACTAATTTACATTTCCACCACTAGTTTGCGAGAATTCCTTTTTTCTCCATGACCTCACCAATACTTTTAAAAATCTTTTTTCTTTTTGATAATAGACATTCTAACAGAAATGTGGTGCTATCTCATTGTGGTTTTAATTTGCATTTACATGATGATTAATAATGTTGAGCATTTTCTCATATACCTGTTAAGTGTTTGTGTGTCTTCTTTTGAGAAATGTTTCTTCAGGTCTTTTTCCCATTTTCAAATTCAGCTATTTGTTTTCTTGCTATTGAATTGTTTGAGTTCCTTATTTATTTTGAATATTATCCCCTTATTAGATGGATAGTTTGCCAATATTTTCTTCCATTCTGTATGTTGTCTCTTCATTCAGTTAATTGAGTCCTTTGCTGCGCAGAAGCTTTTTTAGTTTGATCTTCTTTGTTTGTTTTGAGACAGGGTCTCACTCTCTTGTCCAAGCTGGAGTGCAGTGGCATGATCCATGGCTCACCGCAGCCTAGACCTGCTGGGTTTAGGCAATCTTCTTGCCTCAGCCACTGGAGTAACTGGGTCCACAGATGCATGCCACTACGTGGAGCTAATTTTGTTTATTTTTTGTAGCAATGAGATCTCACTATGTTGCCCAGGCTGGGCTTGAACTCCTGAGCTCAAGCATTCCTCCTGCCTCAGCCTCCCAATGTGCTATGATTACAGGTGTGAGCCCTGGCACCAAGCCAGTTTGATCTTATTTGTCTATTTTTGCTTTTGTTTACTGTGCTTTTGAGATCATATATAAAAAAATCATTGCCAAGGCAAATTTCATGAAACTTTTCCCCCATGTTTTCTTCTAGTAATAGCTTCAGGTCTTACACTTAAGTCTTAAATCCATTTTAAGTTGATTTTTGTATATGGTGAGACAGAGGGATGTAATTTCATTCTCTTGCATGTGAATATTCAATTTTACCAGGACCACTTATTTAAAAACCAATCCCTTCCCCATTCTGTTTTCTTGGCACTTTTGTCAAAAATCAGTTGGCTATAAGATTGTGGACTTATTTCTAGGCGCTGTATTCTGTACTGTTGGTCTGTGTGTCTCTTTTTATGCCAGTACCATGCTGTTTGGTTACTATAGCTTTATAATATGTTTGAAGTCAGGTGGTGTGATGACTCTGTGTTCTTTTAGCTCAAGATTGTTTTGGCTATTTGGGGTCATTTGTGGTTTTATACAGATTTTAGTTTTTTTTCCTATTTCTGTAAAGAAAGTTATGATATTTTGTTAGGGACTGCATAGAATCTCTAGATTGCTTTGGGTAGTATGCACATTTTAATAATATTAATTCTTCAAATCCATGAAGATGATATATTTTTCCATTTATCTGTGTTTTCTTCAATTTGTTTCATTAATATTTTATAGTTTTAAGTGTAATCTCTTACCTCCATGATGAAATTCATTTCTAAGTAATTTTTTTTTTGCTGTTTTAAATAGGATTTTAAAAAGTTTTAGATAGTTCACTGTTAATGTATAGAAACACTGCTGATTTTCATGTTGATTTTGTATCCTGCCACTTTACTGATTTTGTTTATTAGTTCTAATAGTTTTTTGGTGGAGGCTTTAGGGTTTTCTCTATATAAGATTATGTTGTCTGCAAACAAGATAATTTAGCTTCTTCCCTTCCAATTTGGATGCCCATTATTTCTTTCTCTTGTCTAATTACTTTAACTGGAACTTCCAGTACAATGTTGAATAGAAGTGGCAAGAGTGGACATCTTTTTCTTGTTCCAAATACTAGAGAAAATGCTTTCAACTTTCCTCATATATGGGTTTGTGGCATATGGCCTGTATTATGTTCAAGTACATTTCTTCTACACCTAAAGAGTTGAGAGGTTTTTTTTTTAATCATGAAGGGATGTTGAATTTTGTGTAATTCCTTTTCTGCTTCTGTTGAAATAATCATATGATTTTCATTCCTCAATTCTGTTAATGCAATGTATCACCTTTTTGAATTACATATGTTAAACCGTCCTTGCATCCCTGAGATAAATCTCACTTGACCATAATGAATGATCTTTTTAATGTGCTGTTGAATTTGGTTTGCTAGTATTTTGTTGAGGATTCTTGTTTCAATGTTCATCAGGGATATTGGCCTTAGTTTTCTTTGAGAGAGAGAGAGAGTGTGTGTGTGTGTGTGTGTGTGTGTGTGTTTGTGGCCTTGATGGTTTGAGTATCAGGGTAATGTTCACCTTGTAAAATGAGATTGGAAGTATTTCCTTCTCTTTAATTCCTTGGAAGAATTTGAAAACAATTGGTATTCATTCTTTGAATGTTGGTAGAATTCAGCAGTGAAGCCATCAGGTCCTGGGCTTTCCTTTGATGAAAGATTTTTAGGCCAGACATGGTGGCTCATACCTGTAATCCCAGCACTTTGGGAGGCCATGGCAGGCACATCACCTGAGGTCAGGAGTTTGAGACCAGCCTGGCCAACATGGCTCTACTAAAAATACAAAAATTAGCTGGGTGTGGTGGCAGGTGCCCATAATCTCAGCTACTTGGGAGAATCACTTGAACCCTGGAAGCAGAGGTTGCTGTGAGCCAAGATCGCACTCCAGCCTGGGTGACAAGAGTAAACTCTTTCTCAAAAAGAAAAAAAAAAAAAAGAAAAAGAAAGATTTTTATTACTGATTCAATCTTACAGGTTATTTGTTTGTTGAGATTTTCTGTGTCTTCATAATTCAATCTTGGTAGGTTGTATGTGTACAGGAATGTATCTATTTATTTCAGGTTATTCCATTTGTTGGTGTATAATTGTTCATAATCGTCTCATAGTTCTTTGTATTTCTGTGGTATCAGTTATAATGTCTCCTATATCAATCTGATTTTATTTATATGCTTCTCTCCTTTTCTTAGCTTAACTAAAGGTTTGTTGATTTTGCTTATCTTTTCAAAAACCAGTACTTCATTTTGTTGATCTTTTCTATTGCTCTTCTAGTCTCTGTGTTATTTATTTCTGCTCTACTGTTCATTATTTCCTGTCTTCTACTAATTTTGGTTTAATTTATTCTGATTTTTCTAGTTCCTTAAGATTCAATGTTAGGTTGGTTGATATCTTTTTTGATGTACTGTACTCCATACGTTTTGGTATGTTGTGTTTCTATTTTCATTTGTCTCAAGAAATTTTAAAATTTCCCTTTTAATTATCTCTTCATTGACCCATTAGTTGATCAGTAGCATATTTTTATTTTTATTTATTTATTTTTTGTTTTTGTTTTTTGAGGTGGAGTCTCACTCTGTAGCTGAAGCTGAAGTGCAGTGACACGATCTTGGCTCACTGCAACTTCTGCCTCCAGGGCTTAAGTGATTCTCCTGCCTTAGCCTCCCGAGTAGCTGGGACTACAGGTGTGTGCCACCATGCCCGGCTAATTTTTTGTACTTTAGTAGAGATGAGGTTTTACCATGTTGCCCTGGGTGGTTTCGAACTCAGGCGATCTGCCCACCTCCTCCTCCCAAAGTGCTGGGATTATAGACATGAGCCACCGCACCCGGCTCGGTAGCATAGTTTTAAATTTCCACGTATTAGTAATTTTTCTGAAATTCCTTTTGGTATTGATTTCAAGTTTTATACCATTGTGGTCAGAAAAGACAATTGATATGATTCCAATCTTCTTACATTTTTAACGACTTGTTTTGTGGTCTAACATGGTATATACTGGAGAATGCTCCATATGCAGTTGAGAGAATGTGTATTCTACAGTTGTTGGATAAAAATGTTCTGTTATATATCTGTTAGGTTTATTTGGTATAAACTGGAGTTAAAATCCTATGTTTCTTTACTGATTTTCTGTCTGTATGATCTGTTAATTTCTGAAAGTGGGGTGTTAAAGTATCCTGCTATTACTGTGTTATTGTCTATCCTTTCATATTTTAATATTTGCTTTTATATTTAGGTACTCTGATGTTTGGTGCATGTATATTTACAATTGTTATGTTTGCTTGCTGAACTGACCCTTATTATTATAAAATTACCTTCTTTGTCTCTTTTTTCTGTTTTCAATGTGATATCTTATCTGATTAAGTATAGCTATTCCTGCTCACTTTTGGTTTTCATTTGAATGAAATATCTTTTTCCATTTCTTCACTTTCAATCTATGTGTGTCCTTATAAGTGAAGTAAGTCACTTGTAGGTCGCATATAGTTGTGTCTTGTTTTTTTTTATTCATCCCTTCTATTTTTTTATTGAATAATTTAATTCATTTACATTCAAGATAATTATTGATAGGTAAGCACTTACTAGCGCCATTATTTTTTTTCTAGTTTTTTTGGTAGATCCTTTCTTCTTTTCTTCTTCTCTTTCTTTGTGGTTAAGTGACTTTCTTTAGTTATTGTTTTGATCCCTTGCTTTTCATTTTTTGCGTATCTATTATAGGTTCTTTACGGTTAGCATAAGGCTTACAAAAAACATAATTATAACTGGTTCATTTAAGCTAATGACAGCTTAATTTGATTGCAAAAATACCCTCTATACTTTTAGTCCACCCTCTCCCTTTTGAATTTTTGATAGGAAAATTTATATCTTTTTATTGCATATTCCTTAACAAATTATTGTAGTTATTATTTTTAATAGTTTGTATTTTAACCTCTATACTAATAATATAAATAATGTACACAGTGCCATTATAGTATTATAGTATTCTGAATTTGGCTTACTTTTTTTAGCGAGTTTTATATTTTCAATATTTTTGTGTTACTCATTAGCATCATCTTTTCTTTCAGGTAAATAACTTTTTTAGCATTTCTTAAAAGGCAAGTCTGGTGGTACTGAACTTCCTCAGCTTTAGTTTCTCTGGGAAAGTCTTTATCTCTCCTTCATTCCTGAAGGACAGCTTTTCTGGGCATAGAATTCTTGATTGGCGGGGTTTTTTTTTCTTCATCACTTTGAATACATCATCCCACTCTCTCCTGGCCTGTAAGATCTCTTTTGAGAAGTCTGCTGCTAGGCCTATTGAAACTTCCCTATATGTTATTTTATTCTTTTATCTTGCTGTTTTTGGGATCCTCTTGACAATATGAATATAATATGTCTAAGGAGTAGTCTTATTTAGATGGAATATTATTGGAGGATTTTGACTTTCCTATACATGAATATTGATATCTTTACCCAGGTTTGGAAAGTTTTCTGCTATTATTTCTTTGAGTACACTTTCTACCAATTATCTTTCTCAACTCACTCTTGAAAACAAATGACTCGGATATTTGCTCTTTTAATGTTGCCCCGTAAATCCCATATGCTTTTTTAATTCTTTGTTATTCTTTTGTTCTTTTTTCTCCTCTGCCTGTATATTTTCAAACAACCTGTCTTTGAGTTTGCAGACTCTTTCTTCTGGTCATTTCTGCTGTTGATGTGCTCTATTGCATTTTTCATTTCGTTCATAGTATTTTTCAGCACCAGGATTTCTGTTGGATTTTTAAAATTATTTCAATCTCTCTGTTAAATTTTGTGTTCTTGTCACTTATTATTTTACTCATTTTGTTGAATTGTTTCTCTGTATTTGTTGAAATTTACTGAGCTTATTTAAAACATTCATTTTGACTTTTCATCAGGTAGTTTATATACTCCGTCTCTTTAGGGTCAGTCACTAGCACCTTCTTTTCTGTCAATTTGGACAAAAAATGTCGTGTTTCTCTGATTGTTCTTGATCTTTGTGTTCATGTTGTTGTCTGCACATTGAAGAAGTAAATGCTTATTTTCGTCTTTGCAGTCTATTTTTGTCTGGGAATGCCCTTCAGTAGTAAGCCTTTTCAGAGTTTCTAGGCAGATCCTCTGTACTGTTCCCAAAGCCTGGCCTGTAAGCCTGCACTGCAGCCATTGCAGCACTAGAAAGCTTCCTAAGCCCAATATCACCATGAGTGCAGTACCTGTCTGGAATTCTGCGTCCTCCAAGGCTAACATAGCATTGGAGTACATGTGAATCTTATAGCAGACTTCTGAGGGCTGCCTTCTGTTAGGGCTTGTCCTGAGTCCAAGGCTGCTGTAGTTGTCCAGTGGTGATGCTAACTGTAGATTGAGTCTGCTTGGCATGGGCTATGGGTTCCCACCTGGTGTTGGGACAAGTCTGGTGGTTCAGTCCATGGGTACTGGCCTGAAGTCAGGGGCTGTGGGACTCTGCCCACTGTTGGCTTTTAGTGTGGTAGGCTCAGTGTTGGGGATCCAATACAAAATTCTATGCTTAATTCCCTACTTTCCCCTAAGCAGGTGGTATCTGTCTCCACGATATGCTGCCTGGGATTGAGGGAGGGGTAACATGGGTAATGGAAAAGTGTCCTTTCTACCCTCTTCATTTGTGTCTTTTCTTATTATTATGATATAACCAGTTAATGTGATCTCTTACCTGGCTTTCTTAACTCTTGTGAAGGTATTTTTGTCCATGGATAGTTGTTCTAATTGATGTATCTGTAAGGAGATGATTGCTGGAGAGTTCTATTCCACCTCTTGCTTTTCCCTCAACCAAAACTCAATTTTTTTTCAATTGCAGTGGTGAACTAGGCATCAAAAATTAGACCTTGATTACTCTTAAATCCATTGAAATATAGATACTGCCATTCCCATCAGGAGGGTGGCTTTCTCTGGTATTCATTGTCACTTCCTCTAATTAAAGACTAACTCCATTATTTACATTCTTGATCCCATAACCTCAAGTTTCTTCCTTACTTTTTTCTATTTGTTATCCTCCCTCTTAACTTGGAGTGGAAGAATATATCTCCCTTCTGTCTCCAGTAAAGAAAGGAGGTAATAGTAGCCCTTCATGACAGGCACTGAATTCCCCACAAGGCTGATGACTTGTTTCTCCCCAGCTTCCTTTTACATTATTTGAAGTGAGAGTGTTTGTTTCTTTACTGGGGCTGTTCTGATCTGATGCTGCTCTATAATCTCTGTGGGGAAGTGAGTCTACTGGCAATGGGCTCTATTTAGAATGTGAGATACTTAGTATTTTTTGTTCTCTGCTTTGGGCATTAGCCTCAATTCCAGGATAAGATAATCTCACTTGACATTCTGTTACATAAGTATGTGCTGATATATTAAAGTATAATATGGGAAATACTGTAATAGATGTATAAGAAAATACAGAGACATAGAAATTTTAGGATTTCTCATATCATCTTGCCCTTTTAGATGAACATTTTAGGTCTTCATTTAGAAATGAGAAGAACAGGAAAGATACCCAGGAAAATGCATGCTTATGGTTTTGATTATATGTTTGTATCCCCTCCGCACTCGTCTGCATTTAATCTGCAATTGGCCTAAGATTCAAGGCTAACATTTAGAGGCAGAATAGGGCTCCAAATACAGTAGGTTCAGTTCAGCTTCAGATGTTGAGAGGGGGCAGGGATACTAACAGGTCAGTGTACGTGGATGTGTCTCCTCTTTCATTATGCTTAGCCCCCTTGCTCTTGCAGGTAGAGAGTTCCAAGGTAGACCACTTAGATTAAAATCAAGGTAATTCAATAATGACTAGATGGAGCAGGCGAAGTCCTAGGATACCTAACTTGGGTATTCATAGGTGTACAACTGACTCTTAGTCTTATCTATCAATTCTGTGAAATGTCCAGGGTCCCATCTGGACTTTAGTAGGTCCTAGTAATGCATAGAAACCCACTTCCATAACCTCTAATTAGGGCTGTTCTTGATTGTGGTAAATGAAGAGACAATCGACATCAAGAGTTCCATTGACCGTGATAAGAAGCTGTAAGTGTAGCCACTGCTTAAAAGTACCATGAACTTCTTAAGTTTAAGCTTGACTGTGCTTCATTCTGCTGCAACTCCAGTATGAATGGTGTGTGTTTGACCATTTGGAGAAAGCAGTTATTAAGAGTACTGCATGTGCTATGCCAGCTGTATGTAATTTTTAGAATATGGCTTTAATTCTCTATTTTGAGAAGACATTTTATTCATTCCCCAGTTGGTCAGCATTCCTGAGAGACACTCAATTCATCAGAGGTTACTTCCAGGGCAAGCCCAGTTGGGAGAGGATATGCACTGATTCTAAAGCATCATGAATGCAGTCCTTTCAAAGGGAAGCAGCTTTGTTTTAACTCCAGATGCCACCATGTTCTGTTAGACAGCAGCTGTCATCCCACGGATCAGATTTTTAAATATATTACTAAAAAACAATGTAAGGAATTCAAAAAGTACTGTGAGTTATTTCAGAGATGTTTGGAATGATACTCTTTTTTTTTATTTGAGAAACTTGCTTAGTAGAAACTGTTGTGTATGCTACTGAATGACACTAGGTCCAAAGTGGATAAACATTTCCTTATAGGGTAACTTATAGCAAAAACAACATTTTCTCCCTGTTATCTCAGATGCTGGTTTCAACATTCAGGATGGTCTATATTTACATTTTTAGCACAGAACAGAATTTGATAAAAACAAACTTCTTTTTTATATTCTATTTTTATTGAGTTAGAATTTTCATACAGTGAAGTGCACAGATCTTAAGTGTATGTACAATTTAATAAGTTTGATAAATATATATTCCTGTGTAAGTATCATTACAGTCAAGATAAAGAACATTTTCTCATTCCTACTTCTATCCTCCCCATCCGCTATAGGCAAACATTTTTTCGCTTTTTCTCAGCATAAATTAGTGTTGTCTGTTCTAGGGCTTCCTATAAATACAAACGTATGCAGTGTTTTATGTCTAACTTCTTTTGCCCAACATTATGCTTTCCAGGTTCATTCATATTTTTGGATATATCAGTAGTTTTATGAGTTTGTGGGATCTGTAAGTTAATTTTTTTTCACCAAATGTGGAAAATTTTTAACCATTATTTCAAGTATTTTTTTGTTATCCATTTCTCCTTCCTATATTTTTTGAAACTCCAATTGCATATGGTCAGACTATTTGATATTGTCACTGAAGCTCTGCTTTTTTTTTCCTTAATTATTTTCTCTTTTCCTTCGAATGAATTTCTATTGATACAACTTCAAGTTCACTAACTTTTTATTCTCCAATTTGCTCTTGCATTCATCTAGTGAAATTTTTACTCCAGGTATTATAATTTTCTGTTCTAAAATTTTCATTTAGTTATTTTTTATAGTTTCCATTTCTGTGTTGAAATTATTATGACTTATTTTTAAGTTCTTAAACATATTTGTTATAGCTTCTTTAAAGTCTTAGTTTGTCAATTCCAACATATAGGTCATTTCAGGAACTGTTTCTACTGACTGCTTTATTTTTTCTTGGTTATGGGTCACCTTTACTTAGTATTTAAAATGTGAAGTAATTCAAAAAATTATATACACATGGCTGGGCGCGGTGGCTTAGCCTGTAATCCCAGCACTTTGGGAGGCCGAGGCGGGCGGATCACGAGGTCAGGAGATAGAGACCATCCTGTCTAAGACGATGAAACCCCTTCTCTACTAAATATACAAAAAATTAGCCGGGAGAGGTGGCGGGCGCCTGTAGTCCCAGCTACTCGGGAGGCTGAGGCAGGAGAATGGCGTGAGCCAGGGAGGCGGAGCTTGCAGTGAGCCGAGATTGCACCACTGCACTCCAGCCTGGGCGACAGAGCGAGACTCTGTCTCAAAAAACAAACAAAAAAATTACATACACAACATTGTGTATGACGCATTAGGGAGACTAGACTCTGTTACCTTTGATGTGTTGATTGTTTGGTCTAGTAGCAATTCAGTTACTGGATTGTCACCTTTATCTTAGGAATGCTTGGTCTTATGCTTTGTTATAATACACCTTGGGAAAGGCCGTTATGTTTCTTGAGCCCCTCTAATTTGGTAGGATTCAAGCTCCAAACTTTGTCTCTCCGTGGTGTACAATAGATAACTTATTTGCTCAATTTTTTCAAACTTCTAGCTGTTTCTTTTTCCTGAGCTCCTTGGAGTTGTTCTTGATTATACACAGTTCAGTGGTTAGCCAAGAATTTTAAGATAATTTATATATAGATTTGGGGCTTTCCCCTTCTTTTTGAGGGGGTTTCCTCCTCAAATTCTTGCCATTCTGGGAGCCACTACACACTGACTTCTCAATTCGATGATGTTTTGCCTTTCTGCATGAGTTCTGTCTATCCTGCATTAAATGTGGACTGGGAATTACCCCTGAGGAAAAACCATAGAAACGTGGACCTCACCCAGTGAACATAATTTGGTTTAGGTTTCTGCAAAAGTAATTGCAGTTTTCACCATTATAAGTAATTACTTTTGCGATTGTAGTTTTCACCATTATACTTTTGCAACAACCTGATACTTTCAGAAGCCTAATCTTCTATAGTTTTTACCTGCTTATGGTTGCCCTCTGGTGCCTTCAAATGGTTTTGTTTTTTAAAACTTTGTTGAGAGGTATAATTGTTAGCTTTCTGAGGCTTGGTCAAATATAAATGACTTCATCATTACTAAAACTTGACTATGAGTTTCAGAATGAATACTTTGTATTGTACACATGATGAAGTATGAAATTTGGGAAATGATCAAATATGTGCTTAGAAATACTTTTTCTTCCTCTCTGTGGTTGTCTTATTTCCCCTTTCCCAGGAGATTTATTTTTACTACAGTCGGCCCTTTGTATCCATATCCAGATGCAACCAACTGAGGTTCGAAAATATTTGAGAAAAGAAAATAACAATACAACACCAAATAAAACAGATAAGAATAATATAATATAACAAAACTATTTACACAGCACTTACATTGTATTAGGTATTGTAAGTAATCTAGAGATGATTGAAAGTACACAGGATGATGTGCGTAGGTTATATGCAAGTACTACACCATTTTATATAAAGGACTTGGGTATCCCTGGATTTTGGTATCCTTGGGGGTCCTAGAACCAATCCCCCATGGATACCGAGGGACAACTACATTTGTTTTCCTGCATATCTCAGCTTTTTAAGTCTGAAGTATTTTCTTCTGTCATTTCCAACATTTGCTCAGCACTTTTCCTGATTATAGTATTCTTCACAGTAAATCGTAATAATCAGTTAGTTGTTTCTAAATCCCTTTTGACTGCATGGGGGCATGAAGGCATTTCCCTGTCTTATATCTAGCTCTATGCACTTTACACATAAATATCTTGAGAAATGAATACATAAATGAAATAATTAAAGAAAAGGAACATATTGGAATGGAAATTAGAAACTCAGATTTTGCGAAAGCTCCATTTTTGGGGAGGTTTTAATTTTTAATTTTTGGTGAAAATATAAGGTGTTTAGTTTAAAATTTTTATTTTTATTTTAGTATACATTCAAGGGGTACATGTGCTGGTTTGTGACATGGGTATATTGCATAATACTAAGATTTGGGATTCTAGTGAACCCATCACCCAAATAGTGAACACAGTGCCCAACAGGTAGGTTTTCAACCCTTGCCACCCTTCCATCCCTCCTGGGGAGGCCTTTAAATGGTTATTTTCCTTTACTAAATTTTGTCATAAATCATCGATATTTTGGGTTCGGTTAATTCAACATTAATTAAATGTTTACATTGGAAAATATATAATTTTCATTGGAAAGGCAGAGGAAAGCCCTAGCTGACTGCGTCAGGCAGTTGGAATTTCAGAAGCAGGTCAATAGGGCAGGGGGGAGATGAAATCTGGAGCTTATCTGCTCTAAATTCTGTTAAACCATTACTCAGGACAGGACTCTGGAAAGATATTAATGCACTAATGCATTCCAGAAGAGTGGTGACAGTGGCTGTATGCCACTTTATGTCACACAGTTTACATTTTAATCTATGATCAGGTAAGCTCTATTTTGCCAAGTAAGATGATTTGAACCAGCTTATAAAGAGAATTGTGGTAAGATGACGTACAAAGCTAACATTATAAGTAGTCTGCTTTTCTTTTTGAAATAAATGTGGTAAACATATTGAAAAGAAAAGTGTTTTTTGAGACAGAGCTGCTCTGTTGCCCAGGCTGGAGTGCAGTGGTGCTATCTCGACTCACTGCAACCTCTGCCTTCTGGGTTCAAGCAACTCTTTTGCCTCAGCTTCCTGAGTAACTGGGGTTACAGGCATGCACCACCACGCCCGGCTAATTTTTGGATTTTTATAGAGACAGGGTTTCACCATGTTGGTCTTGAACCCCTGACATCAGGTGATCCACCCACCTCATCCTCCCAAAGTGCTGGGATTATAGGTGTGAGCCACCGCGTCTGGCCTGAAAAGAAAAGTTAAAGGAATTCTGGACCTATCTAATCATCCATAAGCAGAAAGGGATTTAATGTAATTATTTTGCATTCCTCAATATTAAACTATCTAATAAACCCACTTATTCCCTCATTTATTTATTGCTTCATGCACATTCATTTTTTATGTAAATACTACATGCCAAGTATGGTACAAGGTCTTGAATACATACAGATGAATAAGACATATTCTTTCCCCACAAAGGCCTCACAAAAAGCTGTAATATACCTTGAAATGTGTAAGTACTTAGATATAGCAAAGTGCAATAAAAACCCAAAGAAGGAATGTTTAGTTTCCTTGGAAATGTACCTGGGGGAGGTGCCTTATTAATTGGGACTTAAAAAACAAGGTCAAAGATTTTTACAGAAATAAGGTAGTAGAGTTGATATAAAGAAGTACTGTAATGAAGAGGGGAGAAAGGCCTTTCACTCATAGGAACAGCAGAAAGAAAATCATGGAACTAAGGTCTTAGAAGATAAAATGGTGATAAAGCTAATGTAAAGTAAATCAGTCTTCTAACATATGCACTAAAGTCCTTTGGTAATTAATATTTTGCTAGTGCTTCAGTGCAGTATGTGGCTTTGGATGATTGCGTATAACTTTATGGTAGGGTAGGGTAGTTTTGTTTTTTTTTTGATGGAGTCTTGCTCTGTCGCCCAGGCTAGAGTGCAGTGGTGCGATCTCGGCTCACTGCAAATTCCACCTCCTGGGTTCAAGTGATTCTCCTGCTTCAGCTTCCCGAGTAGCTGGGATTACAGATGCCTGCCACCGCGCCTGGCTAGTTTTTGTATTTTTTTAGTAGAGACGGTGTTTCACCAATTTGGCCAGGCTGGTCTCGAACTCCTGACCTCATGATCCAACTGCCTCCACCCTCAAAGTGCTGGGATCACAGGTGTGAACCACCGCGCCCAGCCATTTTGTTCTTTCTTATTACCAATGATTTAAAGAGTAGTATAAAGCAACCTATGTTATGCAGCTAAGCTTGAGGGTACAACTGCTAATTTGGAGGCTTTAGCTTGTAGACATGTTTTATTTGTCCAGCACAATCAATTAAAATTTGAGTTTGAATGTACTTACCCAGTTTGTAACAATATTCTCACCTCTTTATTGGCCTTCATGTGTTATATCACAGACTTAGGTTTTCTTGCTGGCATTTTAGTGAGCAATCCTTAATCTAGACGCTGGTTTTATAATCATTTGCAAAACTTTCCAACATAAAACTCAGTATGAATAAATAATTGGATTAAAGTTGATTTCAGAAATTGTACTGTTTTGTGTTATGATTGAATCTGGGAACATTTTGTTACTTTGAACAGCATAATAAACAGTGTTGGTTTTAATGGGTGGATTATTGGGCATTAGTCCAAATTATCCAGCTAGAAGAGTTTAAATTACAAAGGCCTAGAAATTAGCTTGAGCATATGCCTCAGTGGCGACCTTAGGAATGCAGAGTTACTGAAGTTGGCAAAGAAATTGTTGTGTTGCACAGTATCATGCTTGTAGAAAAGAAAACAGTGATGATAAAACAATTATAAAACAGAGTTATTGCAAGGGAACCATTTTACTTGGTAAAAACAAAATAAAAAGCCATCCAATTTTTGAGTGAGGGAGATCTTGGAACACAGTTTCCAGAGGGGCAGTGAGTGTGAATTCAGTAGTCTCCATTGCTTTCTCCCAGAATTGTACTTTTCCCCTCAATTTCTGTAATTTTGTCTCTGTACTGATGAACTAGCTCAGTCCCCAGGGATGTTTCTTTCTCCTTAGGAAACTCTAGCCTCTATTTGGATGGAGTTCCTTTGTGGTTTCTCGTTAAGCATACCTGAGACAGAGAAATATTTACAAGTAATTTGATTACATATTAAGGGCACTTTCTTGCTCTCTCTGTCTCTCTTTAAGTTTATATAAAACTTAAACAGCACAGTCTTTAACATTTTTTTCAGCACAATTTTATTTTATTTTATTGTGGTAAGAAGACTTAACATGAGATCTACACTCTGAATAAACTTTGATCCTCAAATAACCCACTGTTGCCTCCAAGCTCTGACACAATCCACCTGGCTCCTGCTGAGCTCCTTTTTACCTGTATCCTTACCAGAATTACCAGACACCTCAGTCTCTGCCCTTGTAGGGTCCTCTCTGAGGACCAATCACTTTGCTGCTGACTTCCAAGAAGTTCTCTAATATCCCATCTGGTAGGGATCTTGACTCTTGTAAAACACTTTCCTTTTAAATCAGTAAGTCTATTTCCTTTCAATCTTGGGACCATTCTCTCCGTCTCAAAGTAGGAGGAGAGTCTTCTTTTTCAGTAGATTGGCATCCTGATATTAATATCTCCGGCACATAATGATGGAGACTTTTTGGTTTATAGATGACTAGCCACACCGATTTTTGAAGATCTCTAAAATTCATTCATTCAAAAGAGACTGTTTCTTCTTCTCCCATAGGGGTAGGACTTTATTCATTTTGGGATTACTGTAGTTCCTAATCATACAGTAGAGCAAGCATTCATGAAATAATAGAAGGTTCTACTTTTGGCCATTTTCATCAAGAAATATATCCCATCAGCACAATTTCCTGTTTCTGCTGCCACTACTGTGGCCCAGTTGACAGTACTTGGTAAGTGAATGTGATTGTGCTCCTCTGCTGGCACAAAGCTCTAGACAGATTGTACAAAATATCCGTCAAAGCAGTTGAAGTGAGGTGTTCCTCCTAAACTGCTACTGAAACTGTTGGCACTTGCTGGACTCTCCTGTTTCTGCAGAAGCTGCTGGTGACTCCCATTTGTGTGTGTGTGAGTGTGTGCGTGCGTGTGCGCACGTGCGCACCCGAGCGCGCAACCATGCACACCCGGGCGCCCGCCCATGCACACCCTTGTTTGAATTCAGGGAAGAATAGCTAAATAAATCATTACACTGAAAATCGATGAACAGTATCTATTAGTGTTTAAGTCCTTGCCTGGCAGGTGTCCCTTTATAAACTGTCAATAAGCTACATAAAAGTACATAGAAGGTGCTTCTGATGAGAGGTAGTTTTTTTTTTTTTTGTAAACATGGATTTTGTATTAAAAGTATTATATTCACTGTAAAAAAAGCACTCTAGTGTTTCTGCCTTTACTTAAAATGTTTTAGAGACTTCTTTGTAGAAATTACCTTCAGAGCTTTAAGCAAAGTTTTCTGCATATTGTCGATAATGGTAATTTTTCATTATTTATGATTGGGTTTGATTTTGCACCCAGTCAAAAATTATTTGGTGTGAACTCTGGTAAATAAAGTGGCTGATCATGCTAGGTCTTATAATTTTGGAGAAGAGAATAAAATTGGGTGTCATGAAAAATAATGAGATTTTCTTATGTAACTCAAGCTGGCTACCTGAGATCTTTCTCTTCTTATCTATATAACTGAAGAAGAAATGATTGTGTGAATATTGGCATGATATTGCTAAGTGTCTGAAAAGCCTCTGACAATTTGTTTCTTAACCAGAAGATTCAAACATTAAACTTTTTTATAAAAAAGTGAGCAAAACCTCTTTTTTCTACAAGGTGCTTTACTGTAACTCCTACCATGAGATTATATGTTTTGTGAAAGAAGGGACAATATCTTTTTTGTCACTTATATATCTCTCATGCCTCCCATGCTGCATGACACATAGTGGCATATTCAATACATATTTGTTGTGTTAATAAAACGTAAACACACCAACTTTCCTCTTCAATCAACATTGACCCTACCGTTGGTGAAAGCAGTGATAGCAAGATAACTTTTAGACAATTATGAATTGCAAATGACATGTAAGTAAGATTACACTATTAAATACAGATTATTTCTGCTTATATTACTATTAGGTTGGTGCAAAAGTAATGGCAAAACCACAATTACTTTTGCACCAACGTAATATATTGAAGAAGATAATGAGAATTATTTAATAATGATTATCTAAGATTATTTAGATTTTGGTATGGCCTCAGTAGAAAATATAGAGCAAATATTCATATAAATTATGATGATTTCCAAGAGTAATTTTGCTCCTCTACTGAGCAGGCAGAATGATCTAAAAGTTGGTCCGAACTCTCCAATCTTTACTCCAAAGTCTCTACTGGCTTCACCTGTACTAAGGTAGGTTCACTCCAAGGGGCTTTGGGCTGGCTCGTCCTGTTGCCTGGAATCCTCTTCCCTTAGATACCTGCCCAGCTATATTGTTTATTGTTTGTAGCTCTTGCTACAAATGATAGGATTTTACAAGATTTTTTTTCTAATTGTCATTGGTTTTATGAGTTTTTTTTTTTTTTTTTCAGGAGAAACGAAGTTTCATTTTGAAGTAACATAATTTGATATAGAATTAACTACGGTAAAAAATCCAGAAATGATATTAATAGACAGATAATTCTGTTGAAGTCACCACAGGTAGATTTAAAAGCTCATCTTCACTTTACAGAATTTCATGCCTTTCCAATGAAAGGAAAGTAAATGCAGAAACATGATGATTTTCTAATCTCACTTATTAGTGTTGGTTGATTATTGAACATTTTGGTTTCGGTTTTTAAGTACATTAATATTAGAAAGGGACAGATTAATAGCCCTTCAAAACTACTGTCAACTTCTCTTTACTTTGTTATCAATTAAGCATGCATTCAATTCCATATTCCTACAGCAACATTTGATTAATACACGTCTTCTAAGAGCAATGCTTCAGTGTTATTTTAAGACTGGTATACTGAGCCAGAAGTAAATTAAAAAAATTATCTCAGTAGTTGCAGCTGAAAAATGGTGAATGCAGAGAGGTTTGCCACAGGACAAATATTTAGTCAACAGAAATTTCTTATTTCTGGTTGTGTCTGGGGATAGTAGGAAAATGGAGGAAGTTTGCAAAAGATCTTGTGGAAAATATATCTTTTTGATTTTTTAAGTAAATATGAACTTTAAAATGAAAATACCAATATATACCCTTAAGTGCAGATTTTACTTCACAAAGATATATGATTTTATTTAAGTGGGACATTTGAGTTTTATTTAATTCCTTTATACACTCCTTCATTATCACTCCATTTCCAATCAAGTTACAAGTTTCTATTACAATGATTGAAATCTGATTCCAGTTTTTAAAATCCATGTCACTAATGTGGATTAAGCTATGGAAAACCTGTGCCGGCCGGGCACAGTGCTCATGTCTGTAATTCCAGCACTTTGGGAGGCCAAGGCGGGCAGATCACGGGGTCAGGAGATCGAGACCATCCTGGCTAACACAGTGAAACCCCATCTCTAGTAAAAATACAAAAAAAAAAAAAAAAAAAATTAGCCAGGTGTGGTGGCGGGCACCTGTAGTTCCAGCTACTAGGGAGGCTGAGGCAGGAGAATGGCGTGAACCTGGGAGGCGGAGCTTGCAGTGAGCCGAGATGGCGCCACTGCACTCCAGCCTGGGCGACAGAGCGAGACTCCGTCTCGAAAAAAAAAAAAAAATCCTGTGCTAAAAAGATGTGTCACATTACAGTTTTATAGGAGCAGCTTTAGTACTGGGAATTGGAATAGGAGCTGTTTCAATACATTCTAATTTAATTTTTGACCAGGAAGGTAAATTTCAATGACTTTGGTTTGAGAGTTAAGCTGTAATTGGTACTATAGGTACACCAGTAATTTTTTTTTTTGCCAGTATTTTATCAAGGGGGAGATTTGTAGAAGATTAGTAAGGTCAGAGAAGTTTAATTTTTGAATTAATTGTATCAAGTGTATGGCATTAAGATAATGGTTGTTTGCAACTTAACTTTGGAAGGGGATCATCATTTATTAGTCCTTTTTGGTATTGAAATTTTCTATTTTTTATAAAAGCATTATCATATAAATCAAATAGGAATCTCACAGCTTTTTTGTTATATCTTTCAGAATATTACTCTTCTATTTTAAGCTTACAGTAAAAATGTGATTTCAGAGTCCCAGTGTTGCAGTACTCAACTATGTAGTTCTTCCTGAGGTAGATGAAATGTTAGGATCAGATTTGTATCAACTTCCAGATTATTGGTTTTCCTCTCACTTTCTTCTTTGACTTTGGAAAAACAGCTGGCAAGGTTGATTTGAGACCTTTTATGACTTCTCTCACTCACAGACTCAACTATTTTAGCACTGACCTTTGTCTCTCTCTCAGGGATAGAGATAACTTGATACTACTAGTCACAGAGAATGAAATTGAACATCAAGGGGAGAGACAAGTAAACTAGAGAGAAGCAATACCAGTGAATTTTAAGGCAAAAAAGAATGGAAATTCCCTGTGGGTATTTTCACACAGAATCAGGTTATAAAAGCAGATAAAAATGTTTTATTGTTTTAGTTTCTTTGTCTGAAGACATAAAAAGAGCAGCAGATATGGGGAGGGAGGATGGGCCATAAAGTCTTACTTGAAAAAGAGCTCTGATAATCTTGTTAGGCTGAATTTAGACTGTTACAGAATGTCTTTTTTTCTTTTTTACCTCTTCTACTTGTAAATGCATTTATGAGTTCTTTCTGAATTTTGAGTATCTGTGTTTCACCTGAAAGCCTGCATCAGATAGAGCTGACAGATTGCCAGTTCTTTTGTCACCAAAACATTGTCCTTTTTCCACCCGTGTAACTATGTCTGCCAAAATTAAGGTATATTCACATGAAAGGAACTTGCTTATAAGTCATTATCAAGTGCATATGTGTTACCACCACGATTTGTTTTTATCATGATGTTCATAACTATCTGGCATATATGTGTTTATTTGTTTGCTTGTTATTTGTGTCCTCCCTTTGGATGGTAACTTTTATAAGGAAAAATATGCATCTTATGAATCTATATTCCATCAGTTAGAGCAGTGTCAGGTACACAGTGGCTGTTAGATGTTGGCTAAACAAATGGATAAATGAGTCATCTTAGGCAGATATTTTTCTGCAGTGAAATTGTGCCCTGTCTTGACTTTGCAGAAATTTCTCACCACTGTTTGGAGATATACACCTGTATGTCCAACTGCCTGCTTGACTTTTCCACTTGAATGTCTAGCAGGAATCTCACATGTCCACAATATTCCTCCTTATTTTTCAAACCAAGTC
This sequence comes from Homo sapiens, assembly GCF_000001405.40. Classification (NCBI taxonomy): domain Eukaryota; kingdom Metazoa; phylum Chordata; class Mammalia; order Primates; family Hominidae; genus Homo; species Homo sapiens. Next base: position 193,347,225 of record NC_000001.11, read on the forward strand.
CATTCTTAGTCAGATATATGTCATAGACATCTCAAGTAAAGATGCAAGTAAAGGGTTACTCTCCCTGTGTATAATCCTACAAGTTTAGACAGCTCTACCTCCAAAAAAGTTGTTTAACCTATCTACTTTTTTTTCATCTTTTCATTTTCCACTTGGACAAGCTACTACTGTCTCTCATGTGGACCTCTGCAATGACCTCTAAGTGGTCTCTCTGTTTCTAGTCTTGCCATTCTACCATCTATTCTCCACGTAGCAGTTAAAGCGTTACTTAAAAATTATAAACCACTGTCGAGTGCCTTCCCTCTACCATTAGAATAAAATACAAACTCTTTATTATCGCCTTAAAGATTTCCATATTCCGGTTTCTGCCTTCTCTTCTACTTCATCTCATTCTACCTTTCTTACTAAACTCCAGGCACAATGACCTTCTTCCCATTCATCAACCAGGCCAAAGTCACATCTAAATCTAGGGCCTGTGGAACTTGCTATATCCTTTGTTTAGAATGCTCTGCTCCCTATCTTGTCATTGCCAGGTCATCTTGTCATTCAGAAATCAGCTCCAGTCTCCAAAGGGGTCCTCAGTCGTGCTTCATTACATTCTCTAATTTATTTTCTTTGTAGAACTTAAACTATATAAAATAACCACATAAACTTCTTTTCTAGAACAGAAGCTCCATGAGAGCTGAAAGCAAGGACTTTGTCTTTCTTATTCCCTGTCCTATTCCTAGGGCCTAGAACAGTGCCTGGCATATACTAGTAGGTGCTCAATAAAATATCATAAGTATAGACATATCAATGAATATGTAGAGATATGTATTCACAAAAGTTCAAAAGATAGCTAAAATATCCTTGCTGTTTTTGTTGAATATGAAAATGTTTTAGACTTGCTAAAACTATCAGTTGACATAGAGATAACGAAGGAAGCAAAAGACACATAGTTTTTTGAGCTCTAAGCTTATGGAGCAGAGGCAGAGGTGGGGAAAAGCCTGTATGTTCATGTGACTAGAGAAGCAATCCAGCGCGTGTAAGTGGTTTTGTTATTAGGATGGACGTGCCAGTCTCTCTATTACTGCGTCTTCCTGCCAGCTGCCATTTCTCTGAGACATTAGAGTGTCAACTTGAAAAGGCTATGTTCCATAAGTCTTACTTAAGGAGCCATCAATGCTTTTTCTTTTAAAAAGTGAGAGTTTCAATTAAGTTTTAGAAAGTAAGGTTATCTTTGAGTTGTAAATAATATGTTAACATTGTGCTGGATCCTAAAAAGCTAAGTACATTAACTTGGAATGTGCTGAGCTAGTGGTAAATTGATATCCAGCCTGCAGTTGCCAGAGGAGAATTTTTGTCTTGTCTTCACAAAGAAGACAAGAAGAGAAAATGCAAGGGAGTCTGGGTCAATTAATTGCCTACCAGAGCACTGCCCTATGTATTTCAAGCAGGGAAAACGGAAGAGGGCTGACTGGTTTACTCTGTAAGTAGATTCTTGCTGGGGGAGCTCAGTTTCAAAATCCTAGAAACCATATGTGTCAGTTTAATCAGAGTTTGGCCCGGAGGAGAATTAAAATGAAAGGAAATTCCACAATTAGAAGGTGTGGAAGTAGAAAGCAGACTAAATCAAGCTTTTAGAGAGGCAGTGTGGGCTGGTGAGATTACATTCTTAGGGTGTATAATAGGCCAAGGTTTTTATTTCCAGATTCTTTCACTTAAGAGCTTCTATGTCTGAATTCTAGTGGAATGGAGGCCTGTCTCAAGCTTTTTTTCTCCTCCATTGTAAGGGCCTCACCTTTGTCATTTTTACCTACAAATCCAAAAAGGGATAGTGCCAGGTTGGTGTGAGGTCTAAATAGAATTTTGTAGTAAAGGCCTGGACTAGAAGCTTCGCTTTAAAATAGTTTTCTTCTTCCTTTCCAGCATGTATTTCCTATTCTGTCTGGTTGGCTTGCTGCTTAAAAATCAGAATACAGAAGAGAAGACAGTCTTGTGGAGGGTCAAAGGAGCCACTGTTTGTAGTTATTTGGGATCTTTGAGGAAACCCCTGCTAAAATAACTTGATTGTAAGTTATGGATTGCTTATTGCTAATTAACATTGACATGTAACTGTGTGCATGGAATGTGGCCCAATTAAGTGGAATGGAGCTAGGGCAGAGCCTGGCTGCATTCCCAGTATGATGGAGAGAATGAAGAGTTTAGGAACTGAGTTTAGAAGTTTTGAGGATGAAAATATTTTTAGTCTTAGGAAACCCAGCACTCAAAACCTTGTGAGAGGAACATATAAAAAAAAAAAGCAGCACGCAACAAAAGACCCAACATCCCACCAATCAGCAATTAGAAAATGGTCTAGAAATGGTTTTATTATTCACATATATGCCGGCTTCCTCTACCCCCTTTAGGAACTTTATTCCAGTGTTCATTTCTTTTACCACCTTCTCTATTTTCCTAACAATATAGGACTAGCCCTTCAATTTGCAAATGATTTAAAGTGTTCCATTTTCAAGGTACTGGGGATAAAAAGATGAATACACCAATCTGCACCTTAAGGAATTTAATCTAGGCAGGTAAAAATACATGTAAACAAATTGAATTTTATACAGCATTTTAAGTATAGTAATATAAGTATGCTCAAGGGATAGAGACAGCATTGATTAAGAAAACTGCTTAAACTCATGTGAAGTGGGTGAGGTGTTAAGAATGAGATCTTTAAATGCATTTAGGAAGAGAACTGTCGAAGCACTAACCAGCTGACTGATTGCTGTATTATATTTGGCATGATTTTCTTTATTTATTAGAGGATGGAAAGGCTACTTTAGTCTAGATTTGTTCTATTCATTTCTTAGACATAGCCTTGTTAAGGAAAATATGGAATTAATGATAATGTTGTATTTATGTAACTTCAAAATGTTAACTAGAAGATAAGCTTTTAAAAAAGAATGCCGGGGATATAAAATAAGTCCTTTTTTGACACAATAAGTAAAAATGATAATCGACTTGGTTTTTTACATGGTTGGTCAGCTTCCATTCTTGTTTGTACATAAGTCTTCTCTTTTGATCTATAATCAGAATGTGTTTTTAAAATGTACCAATCTATGATACAATTTATTTTTAAAATGGACTTAAACCAGGTCTTCAGTGAGATGAATTTGTTCGTCTAAGCGACTTCGAACTCTAATTTTTATGTAGTACTTTGACTACATAAGCAGGGAGTTATCTGAGAGTGGTATAATGAAACAAAAATGATTATTAGATTATCTTAAATCAAAACTATGTGTTAATTCATGTTGAAATTAGAAGAATTTGAAGCGAGTTCTTCTTTTTCCTTTTATGCTGTAATGTCTTCAGTTTAAATTATGTTATTCAAAGGGTACTGGAGCTTTCATAAATTATTCATTTGCAAAGATTTAGCTATTTCAAGCCACTTCCCCCGAAACAGAAGGGGTTGAGCAAAATGGTTTCTTTTTGCCAAAGCATTCATAAATATCCCTTTGCCTTACTTCCGCAACTAATTTGGGTGTATGTTAGTTTAAGGGACACGTATTTCCCACTATCAGGTTTTCTCATTTAATAGTTCCCCTTTCTAAAACAATTTGGGAATGAGCTTTTTCTCATTCTGATTATCACACAAATTCAGAACTGAGAGAAGAATTAATAATATATATCTGGGGATTTCAGCAACTCTGGAATCTTTCTATGCAAGCTAGTCTTTTCCTTAACATTTGCCATGTCATGTGTTTCAGGAGAAGCAATAGCTGTTTTCTTTTTATGTCTGCCTCTATAGGTATCTATAGCAATATGACTATCCTCTGAGATATTCTTGTTCATGTATTTTTGTTACTGTTAGGATGACTAGAAATCAATTACAACAATTTCTAAACTTTGTATTTCTAGGGAGATTTTCCTTAGTCTGGACCAAACCTTCCCATTATTGGACACAGATGGTCAGCTAGTAATCAATCATCTATAATTATGCTTTGGAAAAACCTCATGAGCAAAGACCCTCGACTTGTAGTCAAAGCTACAATTTGTAAGTAATTATGCAAAATTTATATTCTGCAATCTCTTTGAAAGATTAACTCTGTGATTGAAAGATTGCTTCCCTTCCTGAGACAAGTATTATTTGGTATTATTAAAAGAAAAACTTCAGACAAATTAAATTTAACAGAGTTTAATTGAGAGAAAGAAAAAAGAACCAATTTACCAATTGGGCAGCCCTCAGAATCAGAACAGATTCAAAGACTCGGACTGCCACATGACTGGAGAGGATTTATGGACAGAAGAAGGAGAGTGGCATACAGGAAAGGAAAGTGGCATACAGGAAAGGAAGGTGAAGTACAGAAACAACTGGGTTGCTTACAGCTCAGTGTTTGCCTTGTTTGAACATGGTTTGGACAGTTAGCAGCCTATGAGCGGTTGAAGCTCAGCTGCTATGATTGGCTGAGACTCAGCTATTGTTACAGAGGTATACTCCTAAGTTAGGTTTTCAGTTTGCTTACCTACTAACTTAAGTTGCAGTTCCTACATAAGAACTCAAGTATGCTAGTACAGGGCTTTCTCACACCAGATTTTCCTTTGATTTAACCATACAAATGATATTATTTATTGCAATATTTTCAAGCCTTGTTGGGTTTCAAATTGTGAGTCATTTACCCTTTTCCTTTGCTTCCCCTTTCCGTGCTTCAAGTCCCCTAATTGCAGCTTCTGCCCTTGATTGACCTTGCGGTAAATAAGAATTAGAGAGAGGTGGAGGTGAAGAATCAGACTGTGGGACATTTCTATAAGAATGGGTTGAGGAGAGCCAAACTGGAAAAAGTAGTAGGTTCCTAAAGCAATGGCAAACAAAGCCAGAGAGCAAAGTAAGGAAGAGTAAATGGGTGATAAATGGAAGCAACAAATGCAGAAAACTAATCTTGCAAGAAATATGGTAATGAAGTTAAAGAGACCAAAGGGTAGTAGCTACGGAGTATATTAGAAAGAGGAAAGACTGTTTGAAGCTAGGACTTGAACATGTTTACCTAGAAGGAGAAGTGAGTGAAAATAGAGAGTTTGATGATACAAAAGAGAAAGCATCATTGTGAAAAAACTCTTGGAAGAGATACAAGAGGGGAGATCAAGAGCTCACATTAGCAAGGAAGCAGAACATCTTTTGAGAGACTACAATGAAGAAAGAAGTATGAAGATAGAGATTTTGGTGGCAATGGTGTTCAGTTGTTTGGTGAAACATCGGTCTAGATTTTGCTGTGAAGGTACTTTTAAAGATGAATCAACATTCAAAGTAGTAGACCCTGAGTAAAGCAGATGACTTAAGGTGAGTGGGCCTCATCCAATCAGTTGATGGCTTTAAGAGCGTAGACCGAGGTCCCCGGAGAAAGAAGGAATAGAAGGAATTCTATTTCTAGACTGCCTTTGGGTTTCAGGCTGCAACATCAGCTCTTCCCTGAGTCTCTGGCCTGCCCTGCAAATTTTGAACTTGCTAGCCCCACAATTGCTTTAGGCAATTCCTTAAAATAAATCTCTCTCTCTCTCTCTCTACATATATACACACACACACACACACACACACACACACACACACATGCACATACACATACATACATACTTTATATATACATATATATACACATACATACTTTATATATACATATATATATGTATATACACACACACACGCACACATACAAGAGGGGAGATCAAGAGCTCACATTAGCAAAAAAGCAGAACATCTTTTGAGAGACTACAATTAAGAAAGAAGTATGAAGATAGAGATTTTGATGGCTATGGTGTTCAGTTGTTTGGTGAAACACCAGTCTGGATTTTGCTGTGAAGGTACTTTTAAAGATGAATCAACATTCAAAGTAGTAGACCCTGAGTCGACCCATATATACGTGTCCTATTGCTTCTGTTTCTGTGGGGAATCCTGACTAATGCAGAGGTTCAGGATGAAGTGGAAGGATTTTGAAGATGCTCAGGTTAGCCATATCAACCTTTTGGTTAAATGAGAGACTAACATATGTGATGAAAATGAGGAGTGGGCTTAAAAGTAGAGGTTTCCAAAGAACATTTAAGTGGGTACCTGAGACTGTGACTTCTTCAGAAAAGGGAGTCTGTCTTATTCATTTTATATCCTAAAATCATAGTGCAATAGTTGGCATTTTGAAAGTGCTCAACAAATACTTGGTGTTTATCAAATAAGCTGAATGAGAGGCCTGTGAAGGGTCCAGTTAAGACTAGATTCTATGAATTTATTATGGTGAACAAATTACCATGGCTCTGTAACATTTGTGAGAATACAAGTTCTGTGGAAGTAGGGACAGAAAGAATAGACCATGGGAATCAGCACGGTGAGAACTATTGAGGGTCAGGAGGTTGAGAACAACCAGTGTGACAACCAATGAACTACGAACTAAGAAAGTAACTGTGATGCCCAGGCTGAGTTGAAAAGAAAAAGGAGCCGCACTGGGATTATTGGTCTGGGAGAACAGGAAGGAGCCAAGGGACAAAATGACTTAATGAAGACAGGGAGACTGTTTAATGGGAGACGTGGGGTAGAGAAATGGGAAGAAAGGACATGTCCATTGATTTCATAACCCTCAGGATTTTGGTGGCAGAATAGTTCTGAGTGGGAAAAGTGGCGGGTGGGGGGGAGAAATATTGTGATTATTTTCAGAATATATTATTTTTCTATTTATACATATCTTAATTCCTTAATATATAATCCCTTAAAATATATAATATATAATTTAAGAAGGTTGTAACAAAGAAAAAAAATACAGTCAGTTCCTGCATAGCATTTCCTACTTTAATTATGAAAAATTATGGAGAGCGGCACATCTAGCACTGGCAAGCTAGTTTGTTAGGTTTTAGGTCTTTATATACTCTAAGCAGCTATTGAGTGTAAAGAGCACTGAAGGTAGAAATAGAAGATCTTGGGCTGAATACAGTGCCTCTTGCCTGTAATCCTAGCACTTTGGGAGGCTGAGGCAGGTAGATCACTTGAAGTCAGGAGTTTGAGACCAGCCTGGCCAACATGGTGAAACCCCATCTCTACCCCCGACAAAAAAAAAAAAATTAGCCAGGCATGGTGATGGGCACCTGTAATCCCAGCTACTTGGGAGGCTGAGGCAGGAGAATTGCTTTAACCTGGGAGGCCGAGGTTGCAGTGAGCTGAATTGTACCACTGCACTCCAGCCTGGGCGAGACTCTGTCTCAAAAAACAAAAACAAAAACAAAAACAAAAACCTTGGTATAAGCCCAGTCATCTGCTAGATGAATGAACTTGGGCAATTTACATAATCTCATAAAGGTGTTAACTTACGAAAGTTTGATGGTAATACCTTTTACTATTATTGTAAAGATTAAGTGAAATGTACAAAAGTTCTTTTCAACTTTAAAGTTTAAATGCTAAGTAGTATTTTATAAATATTGATTAGATATGTTACTGTTCTTTGAGAGACATTCCACTTGAACAAGATATTTAAGGGTTCAATTTTAGTTATAAAATGGCATAATTAAAATGTCTTTCAGTTTATTAGTTTAACATATTTAATAATTGATAATATTTGATAGAACATTATCTATTTAATCCAAAATACAGACTTAAATGCACGGTAGTGCACCTTAAATGTTGTGACTTTCCTTGTTTACGAGGGGATAATTCTTATCATTTGTGTTGTTACCAATCCCCAAGGAGAGCAACAGCAGATTTTTGTGTGTGTGAACTTACTTTCAATACAATAAATTCCTAGATGTAGAAAAGTAATTATAAATTGTATATACTCTGAATACAACTAAAGTTAACCGAAAGGATTCATTTCATATTAGAGTTTATGCTAAAAATAAAGAAAAAATACTATGCAATTACACAATCTATGTAATTATTTTCTCACTAAATGTTAATTTATTTTTCTACAATTAATGCTTTAAGTCCTGAGATCCAAGCTCTTTACTGAATTCCTAGACTGGTGTTAAAATTCTACCCAGAATTTACACGTCTTAACTTGAGTGTTGAGTCCCTGTGTAATCAATACAATATTTGGTATGAAAATATTTGAACAGTTAATACTCATCATTTCCTGTACCTAAGGTGATATTTAATGGATTGTACAGTATGAGTCATGATATTGTGCAACAAGAATCCTTTGGACTTTGGACTCTTATAGAGGAAGAAACTCTTTCCATCAACATGGCTTTAAATGACCCTGATGCTCTGGCCTCATTATCACAGAAAGCAGAACTCATATCTTGGCAGGAAACAGGAAAGAGAATGAGAATGTAAGAACAGAACATTCACGTTAGAGAGAAAAAGAGAATTTGGGAAGCTTGAAGTCATTTCTGAGAGTATTAGTTAGGATATAAACTGGGCTGCTGCAACAAACCCCTGTCCCAAAAGAGGGGGGTTTAAATGAGATAGAATTTTATTTCTCACATAATAGAGAGCAAGGTAGGTGAGCAGTTCAGGGCAGGTGGCATGTCCTGCTCAGTGAGACCATCTAAGGATCCTGGATACTGGGACAGCTTTGCCATCATTAACATGTGACTTCTTTCTCTAGATGTCAAGCAGCTCCATTAGATGTCTCATTTCCCAGCCATCAGGAGGAGGAAAGAGGGAATGAAGAACAAGCTTCTTCCTGTGGGTGTGACCCAGAGGTTGTTCGTGTCACTTCTATTCACATTTGCTTGTGTAGAACTTACACAATCATACTTAACTTCAAGAAAGATTGGGCAACATAGTTTATAGCGGGGAGGATTTATGCCCTGAAATTGATGGTGTCATCTTTTCATCTTCCCTCTCTCACCATTAGCATGTAATCTGTAACTGAATTTGAACAATCCAACTTCCAAATGATTTCCATTTTTCTCCATATTCCTAACAACACTTTAGTCTAAAGCGTCCTCATCCTTGCCTAGTTTACTACAATAACCTAATTGGTCAGCGTGCTTCCATTCTTGCCCCACCAAGTCATTTCTGACACCGTGGCCGCTAATTCTTAAGAATAGAAACCAAATCATCACTCTTCTTTAAGGCCTTTAGTGTCTATTTCCATAGAATAAAATCCATACCCTGCACCATGAGCCGTAAGACCTGGCAATGACCTGGCTCTAGTGTACCCAGTGCTATCCTTGCACCATGCTTTCCACCAGTCACTATGTTCTGGCTTCTCTGGCCTCCACCTTTTTCTAGAACACATTGATCCTTTCCCCACCTCAGGCCCTTATCCCTGCTATTCTTCATCCTGTAAAACTTTTGCTGGGATCTCCGCGTGGCTGGCTCGCCCTCATCTCTTGGCACTCAGCACAAATGTCATCTATTTTGAGAATCTTTCCTGACTGCCCTTTGTAAAGCAGCATGTCTTGTTCCCAGTGACTCTTTATTGCATTACTTTATTTATTTTCTTCATAGCATTTATTAAATTATATAATAATCCTGTTTATTTGATTATTTAATTTTCTCCTTTCATTAGAAAATAATCCTTAGGAGGGCAGTTTCTTTGGCTTATCCTGATTCTCAGACTCTGGCACATAAAAGGAACTCAACAGATTGCTATTGAATGAGTGATTAAATGAGTTAGGTACACTTTATATATTTCTTACAATAAGAATCTGGTGCCCACTGTGGGAAAACCAGGTAAAAGGAACCTTACACAGATTTGCCTCCACTAGCTTTACTTCTGGCTTGGGTGTACTGCATGTTACACCTAAGCCATGAATTTATCAACCTCGGATGGTGTTTGAAGTTTTAGTCATTCTCTGCAGTAGGTTGAATGGTGGTCCCTAAAAGTTGTGTTCATGTCCTAATACCCAGACCTTGTGAATGTTACTTTATTTGGAAGGAAAAAGTCTTTGCAGATGTAATTAAGAATCTTGAGATCATCCTGATTAACTGCATGGGTCCTAATCCAATGACAAATGTCCCTGTAAAGGCAGAGGGAGATTTGAGCCTTAGAGGAGAATGTCATGTGAGGACAGAGGCAGAGATCAGGGTTTTATAGTCACATCCCAGGAATGCCTGAACCACCAGAAGCTGGAAGAAGCAAGAAAGGATTCTCCCTTAGCGCCTTCGGAGTGAGCATAGCCCTGCTGATGGCTTCATTTCAGACTTCCGGCTTCCTAAACTTTGAGAGAATAAATTTCTATTGTTTCAAGCACCTGAATCATCTTTAATATAAATAAGTCCCAAATATTACAGGGACTATACTAATACTAACAAATAATTTGTCGTTTACCTGAGATTCTAATTTAACTGGACATTCTGCATTCTTACTTAGTAAATCTGACAATCTTACTATAATCCTAGGAGTATATGAAAATGAAGAATTGACTGGGAATGATGTAGCGATTCTGCCAAGTAAGAACTGGCATCAAATAAAAAAAACAATATAAGTTGAAGTAAGTGAAATTGGTATCACAGAAATTATAAATATGCTATAAAGTTCTAAAATTTTGCCCAGAGAAGTAACTAAACAAAATGCCTAGAATTATAATGGATTTTAACATTTTAAATCTGATGTAAATCTTAGAAAATTTGTTTCATGTGACTGTAAAACACAAGAACTAAAGTCCATCTGATCTTGACTTAATTTTTAGAAATCTCTAGAGAATTAAGATCAAATTTGGGACTGCATCATATTTCTATTACCAGCAGTTTATTAGATTCAGCTTGAAAAGAGGTAAATTAAAACACGGGAGTTAAAAAAAAATTAGACTGTAAACAGCTTTTGATGAGGCACTTTAAAAGACGATCTTCCCCAAGAGCCTGCAGGTGTTTCTAGAAATGAGCAAGGAAACTCTAGAAACCCATTTTTCCTTCATATGCCTCAGGAGCAACTAAGACCACCCATGAGGCAAGATTCTGTTTTCCCGTTTAAATTTTGCATTCTTAATGTTTATAATCACTATCTTTTTTCCCCTTGTGAGGAAATATCATGCAGGCTATTAAATAAGTAATTAAATCCATTTTAGGATGAGTTGAACAAGCAAATAGGGTGCGGAAAGGAAGGAGGGGAGACAGAGAGGGGGAGAGAGGAGAGAGAGAGACAGAGAGAGAGAGAGAGAGAGAGAGAAAAGAGAGACAGAGAGAGAGAAACAGAGCAACAACTCGCCCCCAAAATCTGTATGTTTTCTTAATGAAAGCCTAAGTAAATTGGGTAGATTTCATGTTTCTTACAAATAAGAATCAGGTGTCCGTGGTGGGAAAACCAGGTAAAAAGAACCTTCTGCAGAGAGTTTCCTCTCTTGGCTTTATTTCTGACTTGGGTGTACGGAATGTTACACCTGAGGCAAAAACAACCTCCCTTCCTCCCTTGCAATTGAAGAATTTAGATTCTGTAGGAAGGAAAGAGCAATAGAGACAAGAGAAATAAAGAGGGAGCTCTGAGTGTGATTTGGAGGTGGAATGCATGTGAGGTGCATGGGCAGCTGGGGGCAGTGAAGAGGGCAGAGACTTTTTAAAGAGGCTGTCACAGGAGAAAAACAGAGAATTTGAAAATGACTTCCCACCAACGACAGAGCAATAGAAGTTGTTGATCAGTCCGTAAGGAAGTTTCTGGAGGATCTGATATTTATTCATTAACTTATTCCTCAATTATGAATTAACTACTTAGTATGTGTCATTAATTGCGCTAGATGCCAGGGTTTCTCCAAAGAAACAGTTTGTCCTTATTTGAGAGAGTGCAGTATATAGAGAAGAGAAAGATGTTAAAAAGGAAGTACAATAAAGACTAAGTGCTATGACGACAGAAATGTATATAGTGTATAGGAAACATACAGAAGGGAGGGAGGGAGTGAAGTGGAAGTGGGTATCAAAATCTTTACAGAGTTGGTGCCTAGGTTAAACTTTGATGATTTATTAGATTAGGGAAAGCTGTTCTCTGAGGTTAGGCACGGGTTTTAAAGGAGCTAGTGAAGATTCTGAAATTATTCAATAAAATAATCATATTTATGAATAGCCACCCTTTATCAAGTGCCTTCTACATGCCACGAATTGTGTATACATTACATTAAGTCTTCACAATAACCTTATGAGTAAGGGAGTCTTATCCATGTTTTACAGATGTGGATACTTATGGTAATGGGTATGAAGAATTATATAGGTTAACACAGAGACCGAGCTCAAAAACAAACTCTTGAGTGCCATGTTTTCCATTTTGCCTTGCTGTCTGAGTATTAGAAAGTACATATATTAATAATTGTTCTGAAGTGTGTCCTACTTAAAGTATTGAGGATTTGATAGTTAAATTTCAGTTGTTTCAATGGAGAGAAACATATTTCCTGATAAAAGCAAAAGTTGATAGTCTCTGCTTTTAGTGGCTGTGCTCTACACCAGAGCCACATACTCTGTGTAACATTCAAGGCCAGCTTTCACTGAAAATCTCTTAATTGAAATACAGTTATCAGAGAATGCAGTGCTTCGACTTAGCATGCAAACCAACAACATTATGTTTAGAACCCACTGGTGTAAACTGATTTGGTATTTAGGTGTCCTTTTACAACATCTGCCTTATGTCTTTAGGAGATGGCTTCTATGGGTGTCTTTTACAGAGAATGACCATGCGTCAGTCGGGGCAGCTGCTCTAAAATGTGCTTTAGTGGAGTGCTCCTTAAACTTTAATGTGCTTTTTGGTCCCCTGGGGGCCTTCTGAATCTGTGGGTCTGAGGTGGGGGCTGACATTCTGCTTTTCTCAATATGGAAGCTCCCATGTGGTGCTGGCGCTGCTGACCCACTGACCGCATTTTGAATAGCAAGGGTTTAGAATAAATGAAGGCGGTCTGCCTTGATTCCACAGTGCCATAAGATGTAAACAATTTATTAGAAAATAATCACTGGGTGCCTGCATTGTGCATGTACTGTGCAAAACACAAGATATGTTTATGAAAAAGTACAATCTCTGCCTTTTAGACACTTGGATTCTTGATGCGCAGCCCTGAAATGTGGGGTGGGGTAGGGAGGGGAAAATTATTATTTTTGTTTGCATTGTGTCACAAGTTATAATGAGTACCTTTGTTTGTAACTTAAGATTTTAAAAAGTGACTTTTAAGAGTATCTTACATTGTAGTAGGGAAGAGAAACAACATGCAACATGTTAAGGCAATATTAAGTGTTACTTTGAGAGCAGGGTGGGGAAATCTCACTCCAGGACTTTTAATTTTATTCTAAAACAAATGAGGATCCAGTCAAAGTTATTTTTGGAGTTAATGGGGGACATGATTACAATCTAAATAATAGTTTAGATTTTAAGTGTTTTCAGCACAAAAAATAAGTATGTGAGGCAATGCATACGTTAATTAGCTCCATCTAGCCATTCCATAATGTATGCATATTTCAAAAACACCGTGTTTTACATGATAAATATGCACAGTTTTTGGTCAATTAAAAATAAATAAAAATAAAATGATAATTTAGGTTTCAGATTGATATGCAAGGTCTTCAAATCAGGTGAAGGAAGGTGATCTTCCTTCCTGGAGGCAGGAAGAACAGTTTATTACTATAAATGTGGGAAGTAGAGACTGAAAAAAGAGGGTAGATTTGAGAAGACAGAATTTGCTAGTAGTAGTTTCTATATAGGGAATGAAGAAAAGAGACACGTCCAGATGACTCCCAGTTTTTTGGTTTGGGCAGTTGAATGGATGTTGATCCCATTTATTGAACAGAGAGCATAAAAGGAGGAGACTTTGTAGAGTGAAGTGGGAATGGCCCTTCGAAGTTAAAATGTCCATTGGATTATTGGGGATAGAGTTGTAGGATTTAGGACAGGTGCCTGGGCTGGAAATAATAGACTTGGATGATGACTGAAGCTCTGACACTAGTTAAGATCATCCAGGGAAAACATCTATTGTTGAGGCTTTTAAGCTAGATTCCCGGAGAGTACACATATGGGTTTCAGTGAGTACTGCACCTTTACAGTTTGTATGAAAATTTTAACATAACATTTACAGCTTGTATGAAAATTTTAAGTTTCATATTCATTTTTTTTTCTGGAAATAATGGTTCAAAGGTTTCATGACTCTCAAAGGGGTCTTTTGCCCTGAGAAGTTTAAGAGCCACTAGAATAGAATGCGAAAAGAGATGAGTACTGGACCTGAGACACCAATAGGAAGGTGTCTTAAAAAAGAAGAATCACTAAAAAGAGAACTACCGTTTGATCCAATAATCACACTACTGGGTATCTACCCAGAGGAAAAGAAGTCATTATATGAAAAAGATACTTGCACATGCCTGTTTATAGCAGTACAGTTCACAAAATCCAAAAATGTGGAACCAGCCCAGGTGTTCATCAATTAATGAGTGGATAAACTGTGTTGTGTGTGCCACACACACTCACACACACACAATGGAATACTACTCAGTTATAAATAGGAATGAATTAATGACATTCTCAACAAACTGGATGGGATTGGAGACCATTATTCTAAGTGAAGTAACTCAGGAATGGAAAACCATACATTGTATGTTCTCACTAATACATGGGAGCTAAGCTATGAGGATGCAAAGGCATAAGAATGATACAATAGACTTTGGGGACTCGGGGGAAAAGGTGGGAGTGGGGTGAGGGATAAAAGACTACAAATCAGGTTCAATGTATACTGCTCGGGTGATGGGTGCACCAAAATCTCACAAATCACCACTAAAGAACTTAGTCATGTAAATGAATACCACCTGTTCCTCAAAAACCCATGGAAATAAAAATTAAAAAAGAAATAAAAAATAAAAGTAAAAAAAAAAAGAAGAATCAAAGTCTCAGAATAGAATCTTGGGGAAATGTCAATGCCAGGGAAACTTTAATAGGTTTCTCCAGGCTCTGCAACTTCAATGCCTCTTATATTTTCCCACATTCTTCCTGGCATAGATTCTGGGGAAAGAAAGGCCTAGGGTCTGGAAGATTTGAGCCACAAACACTGATGGGGTTTGGGAGAGGAAATAACACATTAGGAGTGACAAGGTGGGACTAATGAAGATGAATAGTAAGTGTTTAGTTGAACTTCAGACCTAGGGATTTTTGGAGGTTCTTCTTAGAATTTTCTTAAGCCTAAAAATTTCTAGTTTCATCTTTGGTAAGGAAAATAAACATGCTTCCTTCAGTATAAAGAATTCTTGTTCACGGAACACATACCTGGCTTTTTATTCAATTGGCTATATGGAATAAGATGAAAGGAGAGTCCAGCACTGGCTTTATCTGGTAAAATTAAGATAAAGCATCAAATGTCCATTGAAGTACAAATTTCTGAATCATGTTCCTTGCAAATACATTATGTTTTGGAAGCCTTTCACACACCAACTGGACTAAGAACAACTCAAGCTTGATCCTGTGTCTGTTTTTTTATTTTTTTATTTTTAGCACTTAACACTATCAACACCTTTGTCCTCACAACTCAATTTTCTGTTTATTTTTATAGGTTTAGAGCAGAAACTTAGGAACTTTGTTGTTATAGTGCTAAAAAATAGATGATACTGTAATCAGGACAGGGAAGACGTAGGGCAGACATAGAGCTCTCTGTTACTAATAGATTTGTGTCTGGAATGTTTACTTGGTGGCCAAATATTGTGTTTCAACCCTGGCAAGTCATCTTTATATTGTTAATTGCATTAGTTTTCTATTTCTGCATAACAAATTACCCACAAGCCTAGATTTAAAAATAAGCAGTTATCTCCTGTAGGAGGGCTTAGTTCCTCATGATGTAAACTTCGTTATAAGGTTGTTTGAGTGTCCTCATGACATGGTGGCTAGCTTCCTCCAGATCGAGTGATTTAAGAAAATGAGATGGAAGCCTTGATGTCTTTTATGACCTACCTTGGAGGTCAAACACTATCATTTCTGCAACATCCCATTGGTTATACAAGTCTGTTCTATGCAATGTGGGAGAGTACACAGGGCATGAATAGGAGACAAAAGAGGCATACCAGGAGGCAGAGATTGTTGGGGACCATTGTGGAGGCTGGCTGCCATTGTAATGAAAACTATTTTCCCAAATAAGTATTCTCCTGGACAACTGAGATCATGAATTCCGTTACAGCTATCTTATCACCAACATCACCAAGTATGCTGCTTTAGGGGTATTCCAAAGAGCTGCGAAATCACTCCGGAGACACAGGTAGGTCTAGAAATAAAGATACTGTCAATAACATCACTTCAGTTATGAAGAACACAGTGCCTATGAATTGTTACTTCTGTTTTAAACACATCCAGTGGCCTCTAAGTTGAGGGCTTTAGGTCTCGTTGTGAATCAGCTTTAATGGATAGTAGTGCCAGGTAAAGTTGGGTTCAGCAAAATAGTTAATAAATATGTTTTCAGTAGATTGAACTTGGATAGGTACCAGTTGCTTTTAGTCAAGAATTTCTCCCCGGGAGGATTGTGCCCTTGTTTCATGGAAAACAATTGCTCCATCTCCTCCTATTCCATACAACCTATAAAAGGCTACTCTATGAAAAGCATTCATGTACAAAGAGTTTCGTGATCCCTTAAAATGTCTTCCCTGTTTCCCTTCTTTTCCTTTTGGGCATCGCCAAATGCCATTCCTTATTTAAATGTGATTAAATTCTAGGATAACTTGTGCCAAATTGTAAACTTGGAATTAATATAGGTTGGGAACTTCATAAGATGCCTTTTACATGTCCCATTGGAGATTAATAAGGATGTGAAGCACCTAAGGGAAAGTCAAAATAGGATGCGATATAGGTCAGGTTAGACCTTGGTCCATAATCTGTCTCCTGCACCTCTGTTTGGCTGCCTGAAGGGAGTTACTCCATGTTGTGTACATGAGAATCACTGCCAGGAACCAGGGACAGGTATGGAGATCTTTCAAACTGAGTTAATTTCATCTTTCTGGATTCAGAGGAAGAAGCTGGCCTGAATGTGTGGGGAGAGAAGTTGTTTTCTGGGGATCACTGCTAGCTTTTATGATACTGGGTATTAAGGAATACGCTTTTGAAATTTAGACAGGAATAGTGGCTATGATCTTATTTTAACTTTCGGTTCTGTCAAATAATTTAAGTGATAGTTTTATTTTAGAGCAGTTTGATTTTACCACCTGAGGAATAAATCAAGAAAAAGGGAAAATTTTAAATGGGCTATGTAGGGGGATAGCAGGCTTAACTAAATCATTAGCACTCTAGTGACTGCTTGTATTGATTCTGGAAAGTAAAGATGCAACTAAATTCACGTTAACTTCAAATTATTACCCAGAAATTTATACCTGTTTTTATATCTTCATTGACAAAATAATGCAAATGTGCCACTTAAATTCTAATGGGGACCTGACTCCTTTTTCAAGGAAATTACTGCTTATTTTGTGGGTAAAGTTTGTGTGCAATTCACAGAATACATTGCCTTAGTAATTATTAGAGCATATGGATAAAGTAGAAAAGTGGGAACCATGAGTGGTCCCATCTGGACCTGTGGGCCATTTAATCAAGGTCACATGTTATGTGATGACTAAATCTGGAAGTACAATTAGTAAATAGCCTTGATGCCCAGTTTTCTCCATACCATTAGACTGGCCATTCATTTATTCATTTTTAAGATAGGCAAAATATTAATATCCCTGATGTCTATTTGAGTAAACTAAGTAATGCTGCAGTAACAAGCAATTCTCAAATCTTATTGGTTTAAAAAGACCTAGGTTTGCCTTTTGCTTAGCCACATGTCATTCACAGGTCTGCATGGGTTCAGATCAATGTCACTTTACTCCATGATACAGGCTGATGGAACAAACTCTGTTTAAGATATTGCCTGTCTTAGGACAGAAGGAAAGGAAAGCTGTGGGAATCCATGAGCTTGCTTTTAAAGATTTTGCTTGGAAGTGTGTTACTTGAGCCCATATTTCATTGGCCAAAGCAGGTCACTTGGCCAATCCTGGTTTCAAAATGCAGGGATGTACAATTCTCACTTATAGAGGGGCCCTGCAAAGCACCCAGGCAAGCCCACTATCACTAGGGTGGGGAAAGATAATTCTCTAGGGAAGGCGGCAAATACATTAAACACTAATACAATCCACCAGACTCACTCAAGGAGTTATTTGTAATGAGACTAGCGTAAGATGTAAATGTGATAGTGCTTGTAAATTGGTGAGAAAAAATTGTAGAGCCGTGTATTTATGTCATTATTGTTATTAGTAGTAATAGACTGATAGTAATATATAAGGAACCATATGAGTTAAATATTTGTTGAATGAGAATGCATAAGACAGTAGCTTTAAAGAGACTGTCGTCTAGAAGGGGAGATAATATATATGCAAAAATACAAAAAAGTGTTAAATACAATTATAAAACTTTATGATAATTCCACAGAAGAAATAATTTCTTTTAATTGGAGAATTTTGGAATCGTTCAGGTTAGTTGGGTACATTGAACATTTCCCCAGCAATGCTCAATGGCTAAAAACCAACTGTAGGCTTGTCCAAGTGACTAATGATTTCATGTATTTCTGCACTTTTGAACCTAGGACATTTCCCAGGATTGGACGAGGCCAGTAAGGTGAAAGAGTAGAGGCCTGAAGATTCCAGAGAGCTAGTAACAACTTCACTGAAGTGGCTGAGATCCACAGTGTGTCAGGAGGTGTTTCTAGAGAGGTACAGTAGATGGGAAATGAGAGGACATGAATTCAGTAAGCTCCTTAACCTCCTGCCTCATTTATCAAATGGGTCTGATGAAAGTGATATATATGAAAGCACCTGGCATAATATTGGTCAGATTGTGGTGCTTGATGATGGAATGGTGCATAAATAAATAAACACGGGCTCTCAATCAATGTTGGATGAATGTGAATCTGAAAAGGGGCTTTATTGAGTGGAATAATCAAGAAGGACCAAAGGAAAAAATACCATTGTAAATGAGACCAGGGTCATAGAATTGAGCTAGTGGAAGGGATCAATAGAAGGTCATGGTCATTGCAGACTTTTTCTCTTACATATTAGGACCTCTCTTAACCTAGCTCCTCCTGTTTCACTGATGCTTTTTATTTCCTCCATAAATCTTACTGCATATAAATCCAACGTGTGCGTATACTGCACACTCATGATTAGGAGACTAGTCTCTAGCAAGCTGTGACACATTTGCTTTCCTCTTTTAAATTTGTCTGCTTACAGAAAGCATGGCATTTCCCCCCAAATCTTTTTACACCAGTTGCACCTGAAATGATGTAATTTAAATAATACATAAACAGATAACATATAAATGCAAAAAGAAGAGAACATTGTTGCCATGAAAATTTGAGTTGAATGATGTGTAGAGATGCAATGAAATTTAATTGCTAAAAATATTGCTCTCCAAGTAGACATAGGCGAGAAACATTGAGGATTGAAAAATAATGTTGGCTGGGCACGATGGCTCACACCTGTAATCCCAGCACTTTGGGAGGCCGAGGCGGACAGATCAGGAAGTGAAGAGATCGAGACCATCCTGGTCAACATGGTGAAACCCCGTCTCTACTAAAAATAGAAAAATTAGCTGGGCATTGTGGCGCATGCCTGTAGTCCCAGCTACTCGGGAGGCTGAGGCAGAAGAATCGCTTGAACCCGGGAGGCGGAGGTTGCAGTGAGCCAAGATTGCGCCACTGCACTCCAGCCTGGCGACAGAGCAAGACTCCATCTAAAAAAAAAAAAAAAAAAAAAAAAAAAGAAAACTAATGTTGAAGCATTCTACACTTGCTTTCTCCCCAGCCCCCTGCATGGTAGAGCATCATAGAGAGGATAAAACTGTGGACTCTGGAGCCAGACCTGCCAGGATTGGAATCTGGCTTTACCCAGTTGGCAGCTGAGTGACCCTCAGTGCCTCAGTTCCTTATCTGTAAACTAGGGATAATAAACAATCCCAATCTCATTAGGTCATTATGTGGCTGCAATGACTTCCCTCACAAACTATCCAGGGTTAGGGAAACTTCACAGGTTAAGGGCATGGTGCTCTATAAAAGTCCTCTCACTTTAAACACCAGCCACAGGCTTGGTGTCCTCAGGGCCCCTTGGCTTCTGATGAGCTGCCTAGAAATTGGGGGTTTCTACTATCCAATCAGCCTCAACTATTTGCTAGAATAATTCACAGAACTTAGGAAGGTGCTGTGCCAACATAACTTGGAGATATTTCAGGTTTAGTTCTAGCCCACTGCAATAAAGTGAGTCACACACACTTTTTGGTTTCCCATTGCATATAAAAATTATGTTTACACTATATCATAGTCTATTAAGTATATAATAGCATTATGTTTAAACATGTACATACCTTAATTTAAAAAATATTTTATTATTAAAACATGCTAAAAATCATCTGAGCCTTTAGTGAGTTATAATCTTTTTCCTGGTGGTGGGTTTTGCCTTGATGTTGATGGCTGCTGACTGATCAGGGTGGTGGTTGCTGAAGGTTGAAGTGACTGTGGCAATTTCTTAAAATAAGACAACAATGAAGTTTATTGCATCAATGGACTCTTCCTCTCACAAAAGATTTTTCTGTAGCACGTGATGCTATTTGATAGCATTTCACCTAGAGCAGAAATTCTTTCAGAACTGTATATTCTAAATCATTTGTTGTCATTTCAACAATGTTTATAGTATTTTTGCCAGGAGTCGATTCTCAAGAAACTACTTTCTCTGCTCATCCATAAAAAGCAACTCCTCACCCATCCATGTTTTATCACGAGACTGTAGCAATTCAGTCACATCTTTAGGCTCCCCTTCTAATTCTGGTTCTCTTGCTATTTCTACCACATCTGCAGTCATCCAGGCTTTGTTGTCCCAAAGTAGAGTGGATTTAGCATAATTCTTAAAAGTCCCAGAATGATAAATGAACATTGGCTTCAATGTAAAGTCAGTAGCTTCCTTAGCCCTTAATAAGAGAGTCAGCTTGTCCTTTGAAGCTTTGTAGATGGGTATTGACTTCCCCTCTCTAGCTATGAAAGTGCTAGATGGCATCTTCTTCCAATAGAAGGCTTTTTTGTCTATGTAAAAATCTATTGTTTAGTGTAGCCACCTTTATCAGTGATCTTAACTAGATCTTCTGGATAATTTACTGCATTTCTACATCAGCACTTGCAGCTTCACCTTTCACGTTTATGTTAAGGAGATGACTTCTTTCCTTAAATAGCATGAACCAACCTCTGCTAGCTTCCAGCTTTTCTTTTGCAGCTTCCTCACAGAGGAAGCCTTCACAGAATTGAGGAAAGTTAGGGCCTTATTGTGGATCGGGATTTGGCTTATGGGAATGTTGTGGCTGGTTTGATCTTCTATTCAGATCACTCAAACTTTCTCCCTATCCGCAATAAGGCTGTTTTGCTTTCTTATCATTCGTAAGTTCACTGGAGTAGCACTTTCATTTTCTTTCAAGAACTTCTCCTTTGCATTCACAACTTGGCTATTTAGTGAAAGAGGCCTTGCTTTCAGCCTGTTTTGGCTTTCAACTTGCCTGCTCGCTAAGCTTAATCATTTCTAGCTTTTGATTTAAAGTGAGAGACAGACGATTTTTCTTTCATTTGAACACTTATAGAACATTGTGCAATGGATTATTAATTGGCCTAATTTTAGTATTGTCATGTCTCAGGGAATAGTGAGGCCCAAAAAATGGAAGAGAGATGAGGAAATGGCTGGTGGTTGGAGCAGTCAGAACACACACAACATTTATCAGTTAAGTTTGCTTTCTTATACTGGCATGGTTTGTGGTGCCCCCAAACAATTACAATAATATCAAAGGTTACTGAGCACACACCACCATAACTGATATAATAATGATGAAAAAGTTTGAAATATTGCAAAAACTACCAAAATGTGACACAGAAAAATGATGTGAGTACATGCTGTTGGAAAAATGACACCTATGGATTTATTTAGTGCAGGGTTGCCACAAACCTCCAATTTTTAAAAACAGAATATCTGTGTAGCAAAATAAAGCAACTCACAATAAAACAGTGTATGCCTGTACTTATAGCTACAATTTTATTATAGCAAAAGGATACAAATCAGAACCAACCAAAAGGAGAGATGCATAGGATGAGGTCTGGGAGGAGCTGAAGTGTAAGTCTCCTAGTCATCCTCTCTCAGTGGAGACCTGGACATCACTACTTCTGTCCAGTACATCAATGTGTGACAAATTCAAAAGTATCACCAACCAGGGAAGCTCACTGAAGCTGCTTTGTTGTCAGAGTTTTAATTGGGCTTTCATTACATAGGGATGATTGATTGGATCATTGGCTCCAGCCTCCTTCCCCTGTCTGATATCAGATGGCTCAAAGCCCCAGCTCTCTAACCACATATAGTTTGTCTTTGTGACATGCACCAAAATCTTCCTTGGATAAATACATTTCTTTCCTATCTTATCTCCCTGTTCCCATCTTGCCATCTTTCTATCGTGATTTTAAAATTTTTATTCTTTTTTTTTTTTTTTTTGAGACAGGATCTTGCATTGTCACCCAGGCTGGAGTGCAGTGGCTGGCACAATCACAGCTCACTACACCCTTTACCTCCCGTGCTCAAGCAATTCTCCTACTGAGGTACAGCCTCCTGAGTAGCTGGGACTACAGGCATGTGCCACCAAGCCTGGCCAATCTTTTTTTTTTTTTTCCTAGAGACAGATCTCCCTATATTGTGCAGGCTGGTCTCAAACTCCTGGGCTCTAGTGACCCTCCCTCCTTGGCCTCCCAAAGTGTTGGGATTACAGACATGAGCTGCTGCGCCTAACCAAAACTTTTATTCTTTTTTTTTTTTTAATTTTTTTTTAGATAGAGTTTTGCTCTGTCACCCAGGCTGGAGTGCAGTAGTGCTATCCTGGCTCACTGCAACCTCTACCTCCTGGGTTCAAGTGATTCTCCTGCCTCAGCCTCCCAAGTAGCTGGGACTACAGGTGCTCACCACCACCCCCATCTAATTTTTGTATTTTTAGTAGAGACAGGGTTTCACCATGTTGGCCAGGCTGGTCTCGAACTCCTGACCTCAGGTGATTCACCCACCTCAGCCTCCCACAGTGTTGGGATTTCAGGCATGAGCCACCGTGCCTGGCCCCAAATTTTTATTCTTTAAAAAATCATGAACTTCGGGGTGGGTGCGGTGGCTCACACCTGTAATCCCAGCACTTTGGGAGGCCAAGGCGGGCGGATCATGAGGTCAGGAGATAGAGACCATCCTGGCTAACACGGTGAAACCCCATCTCTACTGAAAATACAAAAAATTAGCCGGGCATGGTGGCAGGCACTGTGGTCCCAGCTACTCGGGAGGCTGAGGCAGGAGAATGGCGCGAACCCGGGAGGCAGAGCTTGCAGTGAGCCAAGATTGCGCCACTGCACTCCAGCCTGGGCGACAGAGTGAGACTCCATCTCAAAAGAAAAAAACAAAACAAAACAAACAAAAAAAAACATGAACTTCACGCAGACCAGATTTTTATAATTTTCCTATGAGAAAATTAATATTCAAATTCATTTGCTGTTACTACACATACTAATATTATTATAGTTATTCAGGTCACTAATGCCTGTAGTAATAGTAATCATGGCATCATTATAATAATGGTGAGTATTGAAAGAGATGGTGAAAATGCTGTGAGCTGGTAAAATTTGATGGCTAGTAATATTTTTATCTTGTTTTCATTGTTTTTTTTTTTAAATGGGTTGTATAATATTTTTTATTCAATGATGATTTAATATAAATTAATAGCTAGCATTTATTGCCTGTAAGATACATGCTGGCTTCTATTCCCAAAAAGACTAAGACAGAAACCCTAGTACCTAAATCTACATCTACTCCTGCATCTATCATCTACTTAGCTATAGAATAAGTATAAAATACTGGGGCATTAAAAACACATGCCAAAATATCTTGTGAATATCCAAGGCTAAGAAATGGCATGCAGCACTTTCCAAATGTATTTGCCTGTAGAGTCCTTTTTTATTAGAATTCCCATTAATGCCTGAAAGAACACCAAACAGGGCAACTGCCATCCCCCACCTAACAAAAACCCCCAAAAACCCCTTCCCAATAAAAATTATGTCTCAAAGCAGTCCCTAACCAAAGGCAAACACAGTATTCTTGATGTTCTAATGCAAAAATGGTTTGGCCTGTTTTTCAAGTAGCTGTTAATACTTTGGCTATTTCATGTTCTAGTTAATTGTTTTTGAAATACTCTTGTAGAATAGAAATAGTATGACACAATTGTAAAAAGCAAAAATGTTAGCAGCGCTTAACAAGAATCTAATGCTGAATGAGGAAGCAAGAACACAAGAATGTTGCATGGACTGTGCAAATAGATGTTCATAATATGACTATGCCATTAAGAAGATGTTAAATTATGTTTCTATTCTTTAAGAATAAATTTTTGAAATGATACCTGTAAAAAATAATTTTAAAACCCCTTGGTTTAAAATTTTTGTTTTGCTCGAAAATTTATCTGCAAAATTAATTTATACAAAGCATCTTGTTCCCTAATGGGTTAATGGATGGAAGAGGGGGCTGTGCTTTGGAAGAAGGAGGTCTATGATCAGGACCACTTAGCAACTTTGTGGATCAAGTTTTTCAATTTCTCTGAACCTAGCATTTCTCAGATGTAAACTAGAGATGGCAATGTCTGCTTCACAGGATTATTGTGAAAGTAAAATGAGACCAAATACATGAACTCATCTAGCACTTGCCTAGAAGACAAGACTATTATAAAGCTTCTTTAAAAATAATTTACTGTTGTTATTCAGTCTAGAAAGCCCTGAATAATTCAATTTTCCTAAGACTTTATCTGCTGATGATCTAGCACGTTTGGAGTTTTTTTTTTTTTTTTTTAGTGAGCTTACAGTTCACTGGGCCAAACACTGAAGGATGGTAGGATGATGAGGTGTGAGAAAGGTAACTGAATTTTGCAATTACCGATGGCTTTCAAGAGAGCAA
Organism: Homo sapiens; assembly: GCF_000001405.40. Lineage (NCBI taxonomy): Eukaryota > Metazoa > Chordata > Mammalia > Primates > Hominidae > Homo > Homo sapiens. The sequence goes on from NC_000001.11 coordinate 193,372,051, forward strand.
TTTTTTAGAGTGGTGAGGGTGGAGGTCTGAAGGCAGGAATGCTTGTATCACAAGGAATTCCTTTAAGATGCTGGGTGGAAAAGGAGAGAAAATGGAGCTATGGCAGAAGGCTGAAGACTTAGAAAAGGGAATTATTTCGCCCCCCCCAGAAGATGACATCCTTAAGTTTCTTGAAGGTCAGCAAGAATTAAGAGGAAGACAGTGGAAAGGCTACAGGTTTAATCAGATCTGTTTCCAGTTCCAGTTCAGTCCCCAAATTACAGTGTGATCGTGGGCATGATCCTTAACTTCTTCAAGTCCCTGTGGAACTTATACCTCCCCCATCCTCCTTGTGACTTTAGGTTGAAGATTATTTGAAATTAAGCCTGTAAAAACATTTTAAAAATTACAGAGGATGTTATCGTACTAAATAAATATAAAACAATCCTTTCAGAAGATGGTCTCTCCTTGTTCAAGATGCTTATTACCTTTATGGCTGCTGCTATGGAAATTTTGTCTATTTATGAAGTATAGGTCTGGCTCTTGGAGAAGTGTTTATTGGACTGAATTGAAGAGTGACAGCACTAACATGGCAAATGCACTTGGAGATTGCAAGGCAAATCACTCCTCCCCATTTATAAGCTAAGAGCTCTTCCCCAGGTCTCTGGATATTCTACCTCACATCTTTTTTTTTTTTTTTCAAACTTGCCAACTGCTGTGCAGTCTGTCAGTTCTGTGTTCTTCATCTCACACAGTTTAATAATATCTCTCAGCAGTTTTCTGACTGAAAAATTGCCTGCTCTTTGTTTTCATCAAGGTAAAACGGTACCCACATAAGGCCATTTACACAGGGAGGAAAAACGCCTGGAAACCCAATGTCAAACATGGCTTTTTCAATGCATGTTATGTTTTGAACACTATGGTATCAACAGTCAAAAGTTAAATATTTTTTAAAAAATTTTAACCTGAGGGACTAAAAAAAAATTTCTAGAGTCTGAGTTTTATTTTACTTACTTAATTAATTAATTAATGTCATGAAGTCTTGCTCTGTTATCCAGGCAGGAGTGCAGCGGTGCAATCTCAGCCCACTGCAACATCCGCCTCCTGGGTTTGGTGATTCTTCCACCTCAGCCTCCTGAATAGCTGGGACTATAGGCGTGTGCCACCACGCCTGGCTAATTTTTGTATTTTTAGTAGAGACGGGGATTCACCATGTTGGCCAGGCTGGTCTGGAATTCCTAACCTCAAGTGATCCGCCTGTCTTGGCCTCATAAAGTGCTGGGATTACAGGTGTGAGCCACCATGCCCAGCCTGGAGTCTGAGTTGTAACTATAACTCCTTAAATTCTGATTTAGTTTATTTTTTAGCTTTTGAATTTATTTTTGGCACAGTTTGTATTACACAGGGCCAAAGGGGAAAAACAAAAGACATTTTTCAAGAACTGTAAACACTGAGCAAGAATTGTAAGCACCTTAGAAGGAAAAATTCCATACAGATTATAATAGTTTGTTCCCTGATTTAGAGATTCATTCCTCAAACAAGCATAATGCTAGACCTGAGAAGATAAACATGAACAAGGCAGCACGTATGTTATTCCCAACAAATTTTGACATATAAGAATGTAATTGCAATTCAAGATGATGGATGCAGAAATAGATCCGAACATATATGAAAAACTGGTTTTTGACAAAGGTGCAAAGGCAATTCAGTAAAGATAGTCTTTTTCAATAAATGGTGCTGGAACAATTGAATATCTATTTGGAAAAATGAATATTTTTTTTAAAACTCAGATCCCTATCTTATGCCATATTAAAAATATTAACTCAAATGCATCACAAACCTAAACATAAAACCTAAGCCTATAAAATTTATAGAAGATATAAAGAGAAAGCCTCTGCGATTTTGGCTTAGGCAAAGCTTTCTTACATACATAAAAGGCACAGTCCCTAAAAGAACAAACTGATAAATTTGATTCCATATTCAGAGTATCATTATATGGTATGTGTAGGCTTAATATTTTAAGAAACTGCCATATTGTTTTTCAAAGTGGTTGTACCATTTTACATTCCCGTAGCAGTATATGAGAGTTTAGTTCCTTCATGTTATTGCCAACAATTTTTATGCTTAGTCTTTTCAAATTTTAGCCATTCTAATTGATGTGTAGTGGTATATTACTGTGGTTCCATTTTGCATTTCCGTAATAACTAATGATATTCAGCATCTTTTTATGAACAAATTTTCATCTATATAAATTCTTTAACATCTCATGTACCCTATGAATATATACACCTCCTATGTGCTCACAAAAATTAAAAATAAAATCAAAATAAAATCTAGTGGTGGCATAAGGGAGTGTCAGGGGAATCTTGTAAGGGGGAGAGGCAGCCAGTGGTCAGTTGAGAGGATTAAATGGCAGCACCTCACATACTGCTTTCCAGATTGGAGGCTTTAACAAGTTGATAGAAACTGCTACCAATATAAAGTGCAGGGCTCAGAGGGTCAGTATGATAGGATATTTTGTTTTCTTGTTAGGCTTTAGTATTTATTATTTTTTTTTACAGCTTGCCTGGGATAAAATTGACCTACAACAAATTACACATACCTAGGTACATTTGACACATGTATGCACCTATGAAATCATCACTACAATCAAGATATTGAACATATCTACCACCCTAAACATTTTCTTGTGTACCCTTTCCCTTTTCTCTTTTCCTTTTCTTTCTTTATCCTTCCTTCCCTCCCTTCCCTCTGTCCCTCCCTCCCTCCCTCCTTTCCTCCCTCCCTCCTTCTCTCTCTCCCTCCTCATTCGGGTAAATAGCAAGGAGTGCAGTTGCTGAATTTGATGTATGGGTATGTTTAGTTTTGTAAGAAACATCTAAACTGTCTTCCAAAGTGGCTATAAGATTTTGCATTCCCACAAGAAATAAATAAGAGTTCCTATTGCTCCACATTGTGCCAGCATTTGCTGTTGTCAGTGTTTTGGATTTTCACCATTATGATAGGTGGGTAGTGGTATCTCATTGTTGTTTTAATTTACAATTCCCTGATCACTTATGTATTAGTCATGGTTCTCTAGAGGGACAGAACTAATAGGATAGAGGTATATATGAAAGGGAGTTTATTAGGGAGTGTTGATTCACATGATCACAAGGTGAAGTCCCACAATAGGCTCTCTGCAAGCTGAGGAGCAAGGAAGCCAGCCCCAGTTCCAAAACCTCAAAAGTAGGGAGGCTGACAGAACAGACTTCAGTCTGTGGCCAAAGGCCCAAGAGCCGCTGGAAAACAACTGGTGTAAGTCCAAGAGTCCAAGAGCTGAAGAACTTGGAGTCTGATGTTTGAGGGCAGGAAGCATCCAGCACAGGAGAAAGATGAAGGCCAGAAGACTCAGCAAGTCCGCTCTTTCCAGCTTCTTCTGCTTGCTTTTTGTTAGCTATGCTGACAGGTGATTAGATGGTGCCCACCCAGATTAAGGTTTGGTCTGCCTCTCCCAGTCCACTGACTCAAATATTAATCTCCTTTGTCAACACCCTCACTGACACACCCAAGAACAATACTTTGCATCCTTCATTCTAATGAAGTTGACACTCAATATTAACCATCACAAGCCCACCCCTTGTGAACTTGAACCCATAGACATCCCATAAAATCATACATAATCTTCAAATAAAGACAATAAGGTCATAATTATGCCGAACATAATACTACGATCTTTTGTACAACCAGAAATGCAATAAACCTAAATGCTCTTACATAAAGGTAACAACACTTAAATGCTGAAATGAAGTCAATAAATCTTATGTCACACGATAAAGGAAAAAGAAATACAATGAAGACATTTTCTTAATACAAGTGTATACATGCACAAACATGTTTTTAACAAAATAAGGAGGAAAACTCATGACAATTACAGTCCTCATTTCTGCAACTTGTCACATTGTGGTAGCTGGTACAGATGACTACCTTTTTTGACTACCCATTCTGTATTCCCCTTGCCTCCAGCAAACACCTCAGCAGGTTGTGGTTTTTTACCTGGTGGAGTGACCCAAATGTTCATTCCTGAAGGGCCTGGACCATTTGTAGTTATGCCTGGATTGGGTTGTTGTAGTTTCTCATTGACCTTAATCACAAGGCATGATAATACTAACAGATGCCCTAAGGGATCTCTTGTATTCCACGCATACTCTTCCTTCACTCCATTGTGGAGTAGTAGACTGATTTCATCTTGATAGTCTTGGTCAATCACCCCAGCCAACATTGTAACTCCTTTCTTAGCCTGTTGACTTGTGGTGGGAGGAGACAAAAGTGGCCAGGTGGCAATCTTAACTTCCAGTTTAAAGGAATCATTGTTGTGTCTCCTGGTGGCAGCATTCCTCCTTCTGAAACTAAGACCTCTAGGCCAGTAGAACGTAATGTCGCAGGAACAGGAAGCAAAAGTTTTGCTAGTGGGTCACTAGGGGTGATGGTGAATGGTGCCACTTCCACTTCCAGCCTTGATTTTTCAACCCATGAATTCTGGCTATGGGAGAAACAGTACCATATATTGGATGCTGATTCAGGGCATACAAAGCTTTCTGGAGAACTTTGTCCCAGCCCTGAAAAGTATTGTCACCTAGTTTGTGTTGTAATTGTGACTTCAAAAAGCCATTCCAGCATTCTCTCAATCCAGCTGCTTCAGGATAATGGGGAACATGGTAAGACCAGTGAATTCCATGACCATAACCTCACTGCCACACTTCTTTAGCTGTAAAGCGAGTGCCTTGGTCAGAGGCAAGGCTGTGTGGAATACCATGATGGTGGATAAGTCATTCCATGAATCCATGGATGGTAGTCTTGGCAAACCCATAGCTGGAGTAAGTGCGTATTCCAGTGAGGACAAACCGTTGCCCTTTCCATGATGGAAAAGGTCCAGTATAATCAACCTGCCACCAAGTAGCTGGCTGACCACCCCGAGGTATGGTGCTATATCGAGGGCTCAGTGTTGGTAACTGCTGCTGGCAAATTGGGCACTCAGTGTTGGCTGTAGCCAGGTGAGCCTTGTTTAGTGGAAGTCCATGTTGCTCAGCCCATGCATAACCTCCTTCCCACTTTGTTCATGGGCCCACTGGGCGATGACAAGGGTGGCTGGCAAAAGAGGCTGAGTAGTGTCCCCAGAATGAGTTATCCTATCCACTTGACTATTAAAATCCTCTTCTGCTGAGGTTACCTGTTGGTGAGCACTCACATGGGATACAAATAACTTCACAGTTTTTGGCCACTCAGAGAGTGGCCATTACTGTAAGTTTCCTGAGGCCTCCCCAGCCATGCTAAACTATGAATCAATTAAACCTCTTTCCTTTATAAATTAACCAGTCTCAGGTATGTCATTATAGCATCATGAGAATGGACTAATACAGTAAATTAGTACCATAGAAAGGGGTGCTGCTATAAACATAAGCAAAAAATATGGAAGCCACTTTGGGAAATGGAGGAAAGGTCACTCTAGCTATGCAAAGAGACTGGTGGCATTTTGCCATGGCACTAGAGATCTGTGGCACTTTGAACTTGAAAGAGATGATTTAGGATATCTGGCAGAGGAAATTTCTAAGTGGCAAAGTGTTCAAGGGAAGCAGAGAATAAAAGTTTAGAAAATTTGCAGCCTGATGACGCAATAGAAAAGAAAAACCCTTTTCTGGGAAGAAATTCAAGCCAGCTGCAGAAATTTGCATAAGTAATGAAGAACCAATTGCTAGTCACTAAGATAATGGGGAAAATGTCTCCAGAGCACATCAGGGACCTTCATGGAAGCCCCTCCCATCACAGGCTGGGAAGCCTAGGAGGGAAAAATGGTTTCACGGGCCAAGTCCAGGGTCCCACTGCTGAGTGCAGCCTAGGGACTTGGTGCCCTGCATCCCAGCTGTTCCAGCTGTGGCTAAAACGGACCATGGTACAGCTCAAGTTGTAGCCTCAGAGGGTGCAAGCCCCAAGCCTTGGCAGCTTCCATGTGGTGTTGAGCCTGCAGATACACAGAAGTCAAGAATTGAGGTTTGGGAACTTCTGCCTAGATTTCACAAGATGTATGGAAACATATGGATCCCCAGGCAGAAGTTTGCTGCAGGAGCAGGGCTGTCATGGAGAACCTCTGCTAGGGTAGTGTGGAAGGGAAATGTGAAATGGGAGCCCCCACAGAGAGTCTCCACTGGGGCACTACCTCATGTATCTGTGAGAAGAGGGCCACCATCCTCTGGACCTTAGAATAGTAGATCCAACAACAACTTGCACCATGCATCTGGAAAAGCCACAGACACCCAACACCAGCCAGTGAAAGCATCCAGGGGTGGGGCTGTACCCTGCAAAGCCACAGAGGTGAAGCTGCCCAAGGCTGTGGCAGCCCACTTCTTGCATCAGCATGACCTGAATGTGAGACATGGAGTCAAAAGAGATCATTTTGGAACTTAAAGGTTTAATGACTCCTATTGGATTTTGGACTTGCATTGGGCCTGTAGCCCTTTGATTTTGGCCAATTTCCCCCATTTGGAATGGGTGTATTTATGCAATACCTGTACCCCCATTGTATCCAGGAAGTAACTAACTTGCTTTTGATTTTATATTCTCATAGGCAAGAGGAACTTGCCTTGTTTCAGATGAGACTTTGGACTTGGACTTTTGGGTTAATGCTGGAATGAGTTAAGATTTTGGCAGACTGCTGGAAGGGCATGATTATGTTTTGAAATGTGAGGACATGAGATTTGGGAGGGGCCAGGGGCAGAATGATATGGTTTGGCTGCGTTCCCACCCAAATCTCATCTTAGACTTTAGTTCCCGTAATTCCCATGTGTTGTGGGAGGTAATTGAATCATAGGGGCAGTTACCTTTATGCTATTCTCATGATAGTGAATGAGTTATCTTGAGATCTGATGGTTTTGTAAGGAGCTTTTTCTCCCACATCACTCTACACTTCTCCTTGTTGCCACCATGTGAAGAAGGACATGTTTGCACCCCCTTCCACCATGATTGTACGTTTCCCAAGGCCTCCCCAGCCAGGCTGAACTGTGGAGTCAATAAAACCTCTTTCCTTTATAAATTACCTAGTCTCAGGTTTGTCCTTATAGCAGTGTGAGAACATACTCATACGCCAATTTTTTTTTGTCACCAATTTTCCAATCATCCTTCTCCTAAGTCCCTGACATCCAGCCAAACCATTGGTTATAGCCCATGAATTAGTATCCACTTGCACATCTGGCCATTCCTCCTTCCAAGCAAAGTGTACAACCAGGTACACTGCTCAAAGTTCTGCCCACTGGGAAGATTTCTCTTCACCATTGTCCTTCAGGAATGTCCTAGAAAGAGGCTGTAGTGCTGCAGTTGTCTGCTTTCAGGTGATGTCTGCATATTGTGCAGAACCATCTCTGAACAAAGGCCTAGTCTCCTCTTCCCCTGTCAACGATCATAGGGAAATCCTCATGAGGCCATCAGTGCAGGCTGGGGGAGAGAAGGCAGAGTGGCAGAGTAGAGACCGTGGACATTTGAGCCTCTTCCTCATGCAACTTACTTGTGCCTTCAGGACCTGCTCAAGCCCAGTTACATATATAACACTTCCATTTGATGATGGAATGCTGCTGTGCATGCCCAACTTTATGGCTAGATGGGTCAGAAAGCACCCAATTCATGATAGGCAGTTCAGGTCACATGGTGACTTGATGACCCTTAGTCAAACGTTCAGTTACTACCAAAGTTCAGTAACAGGCTAAGAGCTGTCTCTCAAGAGAAGAGTAGTTATCTACAGAAGATGGCAGGGCCTTGCTCCAAAATCCTAGAGGCCTCCACTGTGGTTCACCTGTGGGGGCCTGCCAAAGGCTCCAAACAACATCTCTGTCTGCCACTGACACCTCAAGCGTGATTGGATCTGCTGGGTCTTATGGCCCAAGTGGCAGAGCAGCTTGCACAGCACCCTGGACCTGCTGCAGAGCCTTGTCCTGTTGTGGACCCCACTCAAAACTGGTAGCCTTTTGGGTCACTTGATAAATGGGTTGGAGTAACACACCCAGTTGAGGAATATGTTGCCTCCAGAATCAATAGGCCCACTAGGCACCTGCCTCTTTCTTGGTTGTAGGAAGGGCCAAATGCAAAAACTTATCCTTCACTTTAGGAGAAATACTTCGACAGGCCCCACATCACTGGACTCCCTAGAAATTTCACTGAGGTATAAGGCCCCTGAATTTTAGTTGGATTTATTTCCTATCCCCTGGCACACAAATGTCTCACCAATAAGTACAGTGTGTTTGTTGCTTCTTGCTCACTAGGTCCAATCAGCATAATGTCATTAATGTAATGGACCAGTGTGGTACCTTGTGGAAGGGAAAAGTGATCAAGATCCCTCTGAACAAGATTATGACACACAACTGGAGAGGACAGTGAAGGTATATTGCTGGCCTTGTCAGCTGAAGGCAAATTGCTTCTGGTGGGCCTTATGGACAGGAATGCAGAAAAAGCCATCTGCCAAATCAATGGCTGTATACCAGGTACCAGGAGATGTGTTAATTTGCTCAAGCAATGAAACCACATCTGGCACAGCAGTTGCAATTGGAGTCACCACTTGGTTAAACTTACGATAATCCAGCGTCATTCTCCAAGATCCACTTGTCTTCTGCATAGGTTAAAAAGGAGAGTTGAATGAGGATGTGGTGGAAATCACCACCTCTGCATCTTTCAAGTCCTTGATGGTGGCACTAATCTCTGCAATCCCTTCAGGGATGTGATATTGTTTTTGGTTTACTATTTTGCTAGGTAGAGGTATCTCTAATGGCTTCCATTTGGCCTTTCCCACCATAATAGCATTCACCCTACAAGTCAGGGAGCCAATGTGGGGGTTCTGCCAGCTGCTAAGTATGTCTATTCCAGTTATACATTCTGGAACTGGGGAAATGACCACAGGATGAGTCTGGGGATGCACTGGAGCCACTGTAAGCCTCCTTAAATCCCTACTTTAACTGGAGGACCACAGTGACGTTTTGGGTCCCCTGGAATCAATGTCAGCTTAGAGCCAGTGTCAAGTAGTCCCCAAAAGGTCTGATCATTCCTCTTTCCCCAATGCAAAGTTACCCTGGTAAAAGGCCAGAGGTCTTCCTGGGGAAGGATGGGAGAAATATTAACAGCATAAATTGTCAGTAGCATAGTAGGGTCCTTCCACCTTCCACAAGGGGACCTGAACCCCCTTCATTCAAGGGGTTCTGGGTCTGTAAACTGGTTCAAGTCTGAAAATTGATTGAGAGGCTGTGATTATCTATTTTTATAATTCAAATTAACCTTTTGTCCACTACATCTGGAAGTTTTCTGCTTATACAAATTAAGTAAGAATGCAGTACCCAGCACTTTGGGAGGCCAAGACAGGTGGATCACGAGGTCAGGAGATTGACACCATCCTGGCTAACACTGTGAAACCCTGTATCTACTAAAAATACAAAAAAATTAGCTGGGTGTGGTAGCGGGAGCCTGTAGTCCCAGCTACTCGGGAGGCTGAGGCAGGAGAATGGTGTGGGGGAGGCAGAGCTTGCAGTGAGCCCAGATTGCGCCACTGCACTCCAGCCAAGGTGACAGAGTGAGACTCCGTCTCAAAAGAAAGAAAGAAAGAAAGAAGAAAGAGAAAGAAAGAAAAGAAAGAAAGAAAGAAAGGAAAGAAAGAAAGAGACAGACAGACAGAAAGAAAGAAAGAAAGAAAGAAAGAAAGAAAGAAAGAAAGAAAGAAAGAAAAAAAGAAAGCAAGCAAGCAGTAGGCTTCCTATCAATTTCACTTTTAGGAACACCGTGATTACTTAGCCAATGCTAGACCTCTATACTAGTCAGACTATTCTGATTGCTGCTCTGCCTCTGCTGTTCATTACAGTAACTACACCCACCTTGCTTTTGATGGTTGAGTGCCGCCGCTTGGCCTTTGCCACCTTGGGATTCAATTATTTCCATTGCATTAAAATTTTATAGCTGAGTGACTGCGGTTCCCACTATAAGATGTGGCATACAGAGAAGAGCAATCACAGAGCTCTTCAAGGATGCAGTTACTCCCCTCTCAATCAATTTCACAAAATATTGGCGAAGGGTATGTCTTCTGGACCCTCCCAGCAGGGATGAGTAGGTCTAAAGTGACTAATCCACTCTATCACCTCAATCTCCTTAAGCCTTTGGATTTCTTCCTCTACATTAAACCAAGGGAGATCAGGCATTTTTAGCTCACTCACAGTGGGCTCTCTTTTGATCCATGTTTCATCTAACCAAACAAGTAAACTATTAGCATATTTTTTAAACTTCCCAAACTGCAACATTAAATACATAATCCCTGCTCAGTGGGCCCATATCAATAAATTCAGCCTGATCCAATTTATGGATCCACCATTATCCCACACCCTTAATATCCATTCCCATGCCTGTTCTCCAAATTTCTGCTTATATAAATTAGAAAACTCAAGCAGCTTTTTTGGAGTATAGTGCACCTCCTCATGGATCACACTCTGAACCTCACCTCTAGGGGCCTGCAGGGATTTGAGTCTAGTTACAGGTCTAGAAGCAATAAGGGGTGTTGGGGGTGGGTCCTGAGGAGAATCAACCTTGTTTTGCCTGGCAACTACCTCAAGGGAGGCCATCACTGTTGCCTCAGGTGGTGCATGGTTTATCTCCATGTTACCACCACTGAGGGTTTGGAGGCTGTTTCCTCTGGCAAAAAAAGTCTCATTAGAATTTAGGAGCCCAGTGACCTCAGCCTTATCGGGTCCTTCCACACATCCCCATTTCAAGTTGTAGGGTCCCATTCTTTTCCAAACAATGCATTCGTTTTAACAGTAGACACCTGGTGAGGTTGTGCATGCATCTTTCATTGCAGGTCAGCCACTCGCATGATAAGAGCTTGTGTCTGATTTTCCACAATTTCAGCTCTTTCTCTACAGGAGATAAGACTCTCACTCAGGGCAATCTTAGAAAATTTGAGGCTCAGTATGTGCTTCTGGTGCCAGGAGTTAGAATTCCTGAGTTCACTGTTTTTTTCATCACTTTGTCCAGTGAACTTAGGAGCAACCAACCAACTTCATTATATTCCTTGGCTCTCCACATATGGTCAAAGGTATTATGTATAAACTCACTAAACCCTTTACGTCTCATAAGCAGTGAGTCTGGAGTATTTAATGCATTTATTTCACATAACTCTCTAAACAGTTCATGGTCAAAGACTATCTGTGTTCTCCATACCATTAGAAGTAGAGTCCTTAGCATTTTGGGGTCTAATCAGATTAAGTGGCCAACTCCAGAAACCCCAAAACCAACTAAAGAAATTCATCCTTAAAATTCTGTTCCTGTAGAATCACTCCTGGTACCAAAATCTGTATTAGTCAGGGTCCTCTCAGGGGACAGGACTAATAGGGTAGATGTATATATGAAGTGGATTTTATTAAGGAGTATTGACTCTCACGATCACAAGATGAGGCCCCACAAAAGGCCGTCTGCAAGCTGAGGAGCAAGGAAGCCAGTATGAGTCCCAAAACTTCAAAAGGAGGGCTCAGTCCAAGTCCCAAAAACCTCAAAAGATAGTGCAGCCTTCGGTCTGTGGTTGAAGACCTGAGGGCCCTTGGCAAACCACTGGTGTAAGTCCAAGAGTCCAAAAACTGAAGAACTTGGTGTCTGATGTTTGAGGGCAGAAATCATCCAGCATGGGAGAAAGATGAAGGCCAGCAGACTCAGCAAGTCTGCTCTTTCCAGCTTCTTCTGCCTGCTTTTCTTTTAGCTATGCTGGCAGCTGATTAGATGGTGCTCACCCAGATTGAGGGTGGGTCTGCCTTTCCCAGTCCACTGACTCAAATGTTAATATCCTATACCAACATTCTCACAGACACATCCAGGAACAATACTTTGCATCTTTCGATCCAATCAAGTTGACACTCAATATTAACCATCACAACTTATGATGTTGAGTATGTAATCATTTGCTTGTTTGTCACGTGTATATCTTTTTTGGTGAGATGTCTGATCAGACCTTTTGCCTGTTTTTAATTGGGTTGTTTCCTTTCATAATGTTGTTTTTAAGGGTTCTTTGCATATTTTGGATAACAGTCCTTTATCAGATATGTGCTTCGCGAATATATTCTCCCAGTTTGTAATTTGTCTTCTCATTCTCCTGACAGGTGACTTTCAGATAGCATACATTTTAAATATTAATAGAGTTGAATTTACTAATTCTTTCTTTCATCAATCATGACTTTGGTTTTATAACTAGAAAAGTCATTGCCAAATCCAGGGTCATCTAGATTACCCTTTATGTTATCTTCTAGAATTTTTTTTTTTTTTTTTTTGAGACAGGGTCTCTCTCTGTCACCCAGGCTGGAGTGCTGTGACATGATCTTGGCTCGCTGCAGCCTCTGCCTCTCAGGTTCAAGTGATTTCCTGCCTCAACCTCCTGAGTAGCTGGGATTACAGGCATGCACCACCACACTTGGCTAATTTTTGTATTTTTAGTAGAGACGGGGTTTCACCATGTTGCCCAGGCTGGTCTCAAACTCCTGACCTCAAGTGATCTGCCTGCCTCAGTCTCTCAAAGTGCAGGGATTACAGGTGTGAGCCACCATGCCCAGCTAGTTTTTTTTTTTTTTTTTTTTTTTTTAAGGGACAGGGTCTTGCTCTGTTGCTGAGGTTGGAGTGCAGCAGTGTGATCATAGCTCATGGCAGTCTTGACCTCCTGGGCTCAAGCAATCCTGCTGCCTCAGCCTCTCAAGTAGCTAGGACTACAGCACGCACAACCACACCTAGGTACATCCTTTTTTTTTTTTTATTATACTTTAAGTTTTAGGGTACATGTGCACAATGTGCAGGTTAGTTACATATGTATACATGTGACATGCTGGTGTGCTGCACCCACTAACTCGTCATCTAGCATTAGGTATATCTCCCAGTGCTATCCCTCTGCCCTACCCCCACCCCACAACAGTCCCCAGAGTGTGATGTTCCCCTTCCTGTGTCCATGTGTTCTCATTGTTCAATTCCCACCTATGAGTGAGAAGATGCAGTGTTTGGTTTTTTTTCTTGCGATAGTTTACTGAGAATGATGATTTCCAGTTTCATCCACGTCCCTACAAAGGACATGAACTCATCATTTTTTATGGCTGCATAGTATTCCATGGTGTATATGTGTGACATTTTCTTAATCCAGTCTATCATTGTTGGACATTTGGGTTGGTTCCAAGTCTTTGCTATTGTGAATAGTGCTGCAATAAACATACGTGTGCATGTGTCTTTATAGCAGCATGATTTATAGTCCTTTGGGTGTATACCCAGTAATGGGATGGCTGGGTCGAATGGTATTTCTAATTCTAGATCCCTGAGGAATCGCCACACTGACTTCCACAATGGTTGAACTAGTTTACAGTCCCACCAACAGTGTAAAAGTGTTCCTATTTCTCCACATCCTCTCCAGCACCTGTTGTTTCCTGACTTTTTAATGATTGCCATTCTAACTGGTGTGAGATGATATCTCATTGTGGTTTTGATTTGCATTTCTCTGATGGCCAGTGATGGTGAGCATTTTTTCATGTTTTTTGGCTGCATAAATGTCTTCTTTTGAGAAGTATCTGTTCATGTCCTTCGCCCACTTTTTGATGGGGTTGTTTGTTTTTTTCTTGTAAATTTGTTTGAGTTCATTGTAGATTCTGGATATTACCCCTTTGTCAGATGAGTAGGTTGTGAAAATTTTCTCCCATTTTGTAGGTTGCCTGTTCACTCTGATGGTGGTTTCTTTTGCTGTGCAGAAGCTCTTTAGTTTAACTAGATCCAATTTGTCAATTTTGGCTTTTGTTGCCATTGCTTTTGGTGTTTTAGACATGAAGTCCTTGCCCATGCCTATGTCCTGAATGGTAATGCCTAGGTTTTCTTCTAGGGTTTTTATGGTTTTAGGTCTAACGTTTAAGTCTTTAATCCATCTTGAATTGATTTTTGTATAAGGTGTAAGGAAGGGATCCAGTTTCAGCTTTCTACATATGGCTAGCGAGTTTTCCCAGCACCATTTATTAAATAGGGAATCCTTTCCCCATTGCTTGTTTTTCTCAGGTTTGTCAAAGATCAGACAGTTGTAGATATGTGGCGTTATTTCTGAGGGCTCTGTTCTGTTCCATTGATCTATATCTCTGTTTTGGTACCAGTAACCTAGGTACATTCTTTTTCCTTTCTTTTGTAGAGATTGGGTCCCACTATGTTGTGCAGACTGGTTATCCAACTTCTGGCCTCAAGCCATCCTCTGGCTTTGGCCTTCCAAAGTGCTGAGATTACAGGTGTGAGCCACTGCACCTATAATTCATCTTAATTTTTGCAAAGGGCGTAAGGTCTGTGTCCAAATTCATTTTGGAGATATGTCTATTCAGTTGTTCCAAAACCATTTGTTGAAAAGATTATCTTTGCTTATTGTATTGCCTTTGTTCTTCTGTCAAAGAGCAGTTAATTCTATTTATGTGGGTCTATTGCTGGACTCTCTATTATGTTCCATTGATTGATTTTTATATATATATTCTTTCACCAATATCATACTGTCTTGATTATTGCAGCATTATAGTATGTCTTAAAGTAAGGTAGTGCTAGTCCTCTGACTATTCTTTTCCTTCGATATCTTGTTAGCTACTCTGGGGTCTTTTGTCTTTCCATAGAAACTTTAGAATCAGTTTGTTGATATCCACAGAATTATCTACTCTGGGGTCTTTTGTCTTTCCACAGAAACTTTTGAATCAGTTTGTTGATATCCACAGAATTAACTGGTTGGGATTTTTATTGGGATTTCATTGAATCTATAAAGTTGGGAAGAATTGACAGCTTGACAATATTGAGTCTTCCTATCCATGAAGATAGAATATTACTCCATTTATTTGGTCCTTCATTGATTTCAGGCCTTTAAAATATATATTAGAGACCAGGTGCCGTGGTTCAGGCCTGTAATCCCAGCACTTTGGGAGGCCAAGGAAGGCAGATTGCTTGAGCCCAGGAGTTTGAGACCAGCCTGGCCAACAAAGTAAAACGCCGTCTCTACTAAAAATACAAAAATTAGCCGGGCGTCGTGGTGCACTCCTGTAGTCCCAGCTACTCAGGAGGCTGAGGCAGGAAAATTACTTAAAATTGGGAGGCAGAGGTTGCAGTTAGCCAAGATCATGCCACTGCACTCCAGCCTGGGCAACAGAGTGAGATTCTGTCTCAAAAAAAAAAGTATATATATATATATACATACACACACATATATACACACACACATATGCATATATATACGCATACACATTTGTTTATATGTATACAATGTGTCATGATTAAATTAAGCTAATTAACATATCCATCACCTTGAATACCTGTTATTTTTTGGTGAGACATTTGAAATTTACTCTTATTTTGAAATATATAATATATTATTATTGACTATGGTCACCCTGCTGTGCAATAGATCTCAAAAGCTATTCCTCTTGTCTTTCTGAAGCTATTTCTCCTGACTTTCTTTCTTTTTATATCATTTGACTAACTACTCCCCATTCCCTCCTTCCCCATGCTGCAGTCTGTATTAACAATTCTCTGTTAGTCTCTGTTAATCAATTCTCTATTAAACAGTCTCTGTTAATCATTCTAACAGGTATGAGGTAATATCTCCTTGTAGTTTTAATTTGCATTTTCATAATGATTAGTTATTCTGAGCATTTTTTCATATACCTATTGGCCATTCTTTTTTTAAGAAATGTCTTTTCAGGTCTATTGCTCATTTTTAAATTGTGTTATTTGTTTTCTTGCTATTGAATTGTTGGCGTTCCTTATATATTTTGGATAGTAACCCCTTATCAGGTGTATGGTTTGCAAATATTTTCTTTCATTCTATGGGTTGTCTTTTCACTTTGCTAATTGTTTTGATTGCTCTGCATAATCCTTTTAGTTTGATTCCATCTGATTTGTCTGTTTTTGCTTTTATTGACTGTGCTTTTGGGATCATATCCAAAAAATCATTACCCGGATCAGTACAGTGGACCTTTCCCCCTGTGTTTTCTTCTAAGACTTTTACAGCTTCAGATCTTATACTTAAGTATTTAATCCACTTTGACTTGAATTTTGTATACTGTGTAAGGTAAGAGTCTAATTTCATTTTTCTGCATGTGGACATTCAGTTTTCCCAACACTATTTATCGAAGAGACTGTTCTTTCTCAATTGCGTGTTCTTGGCATCTTTGTAAAAAAATCAATTGACCATAAATGCAGCGTGGGAGAAAGATGAAGGCCAGAAGACTCAGCAAGTCTGCTCTTTCCAGCTTCTTCTGCCTGCTTTTCTCTAGTTGTACTGGCAGCTGATTAGCTGGGTTTATTTTTGGGTTTTCTATCCTGTTCCATTGGTCTGTGTGTCTGTTTTTGTGCCAGCACCATGCTTCTTTGGTTACAATCATTTCATAATATGTTTTGAAGTCAGGGAGTGCAATGCTGCCATCTTTGTTCATTTTGCTTAAGTTGTTTTGGCTATTATATTAGTCCGTTCTCACTCTGCTATAAAGAACTACCTGAGACTGAGTTATTTATAAAGAAAAGAGGTTTAATTAACTCACAGTTCTGCAGGCTTACCAGGAAGCATGACTAGGAGGCCTCAGGAAACTTACAATCATGACAGAAGGTGAGGGGGAAGCATGCACATCTTCACAATCATGGAGCAAGAGAGAGAATGGAGGGGGAGTGCCACACTTCCACACACCCTCTGAAGCAACAGCCCAACCTTGGCCCCTTTTAGCCACCGCTGGGCTGGAGCTGCTGGGATACAGGGCAACAAGTTCTGAGGCTGCACAGAATAGCAGCGGGGGCGCTAGGCCCAGCCCATGAAACCATTTTTCGCTCCTAGGCCTCAGGGCCTGTGATGGGAGAGGCTGCTGTGAAGATCTCTGACATGCCCTGGAGACATTTTCCCCACTGGCTTTTCATTGCTTATGCAGATTTCTGCAGCTGGCTTGTATTAGCCAAGTCTTCCAGTACAATGTCAAAAAGGAGTAGTGACAGGGGACATCCTTGCTTTTTTCCGATCTTAGTGGGAAAGCTTCTAATTCTCACCATTAAGTGTGATGTTAGCTGTAGATTTTTTCCAGATTTCTTTTTATTAAGTTGAGAAAGTTTCTTCTCTTCTAAGTTTGCAGAGTTTTTAATCATAAATGGGTGTTGGACTTTGTCAAATGCTTTTTCTGCATTTATTGATATGATCATTGATTTTTCTCTTTCAGCCTGCTGATGTGATAGATTTATTATTATTATCTGAGATAGGGTCTTTCTCTGTCATCCAGCCTTGAGTCGAGTGTCATGATCATGGCTCCCTGCAATGTTGACCTCCTGGGGTCAAGTGATCCTCCTACCTTAGCCTCCTGAGTAGCTGGGACCACAGGCCTATGCCACCATGCCCAGATAATTTTTTTTTTTCTTGGAGACAAGCTCTCACTATGTTGCTCAGGCTGGTCTTAAACTCCTGGGCTCAAGAGATTCTCTGGCCTTGGCCTCCCAAAGTGCTGGGATTATAGGCGTGAGCCACTGAGACTGACCAGATAGGTTATGTTAATTGATTTTTGAATGTTGAACCAGCCTTGCATGCTTGGAATAAATTTGACTTGATCATGGTGTATGATGGTATTTTTTTCTATTATAAATTTCATTCTAATTGTTTGTTGCTAGTATATAGAAATACATTTGATTCTTGTCTGCTGATCTTGTGTATTGATCCTGTAAAGGTGCTAATCTATCAGTTCTAGTAACTTCTAAAAGAGTCCATTGGATTTTCTATGTAGATAATTATGTCAGTACCGGTGAGTACTCAGCTGAAGACTTGAGTGAGATGTATTATCTTAGATCTTCAGAGCTCTCTTTCTATTCCTCTCTCCCCTTTATGGTACTGTACTAGCTGTGTTAGCCTCCCATGCCCCCAACTCTGTCTTAAATCAGGGGCAATAATGAGCCCCATCTGGGTCCCTGAATTCTAAACCATGACCTGGAAATGCTCTTTAGGTAGTAAGGTCATAGAGCTCACCTCATTTCTTACTCGTCCCTCAGGATCACTGTCTTTCATTACCTGATATCTAATGTCTTGAAAATAATTGTTTCATATATTTTGTCTGTTTTTTTTAAAGGAAGCACTATATTTTGTGTATGTGGTATAAGTATTCAATTATTCTCCTATTGATGGGTATTTAGGTTGTTTCTTTTTTTTTACTTTAGGAGTGAGATGTCTTGAATGTCCTTCAAATATTGTCTAAATTGCACTGAACTTTGCCCAAACAATGAATACTTACTGTGATACTTACAATTACATAAAACATAGGAAAATTGAGTGCTTAACATATACCAGAATTGTATTAAGCAATGTATATAATTCCATTGAGAATTCTTATTTAAAGGTAAGATGTTGAAAATAATTACAGCATAAAGTTAAAGAATGAGAATTCATAGTCACACTCAGCTTATCCTAAGTCCTAAAAAGAATTAGACATTCTGGTTAAATGACATTTTTGGACAACTGAAAGGTAAAATATTGAGCTAAAATACAATGTGATCTCAACCTAATTATATGAAAATCCTGAAAACCATATTATAAATTTTCTAACTTTAAGGAATAAAATTAAATAATTTAACATCTTGATAATTCCAAAACAACCTTATAAATATAAACATTTATATTCTGCTGTAGATGTGGAACGTTGAGATGAATCAGTATTGGCAAATGCTTTTAGGGTTATAGAAGTAGAATGATCATGTGTTTTAGCTGACTAAATGGTGGAATGATTATTTTCTTCCTAGTAACCTCATAGTGAATGTTTTATCTGTAGCTCTATATCAGTTATCAGAGTCTGTGTGTTCAGAGTGTTTTATATTCATGTGACTTTATTCCCTTGGATTATTAGTTCTTGGAGGGCAGGGACACTGTGTTCTTTATGTTTTTAAACCCCAAAGCACATGGATAAGTATTGGATATGACTAATTAAATCAGGCACTCAAAGGACTCAGAAGGGTAAGAAATGTCAAACCCCTCTTGGATAAGTTGGGATATAATTAAACACATAATTTTAAGAACAATATTGAAAATACTAACAGTCCAATATTAGAGCAAGAGAAAAGTCTACATCTTAATCGAAAATTTCTCTCTGTACATGTGGGGAGTGTAGTGATGTGTATGTACATGGACCTGCAAGAATGCAAAAAGAGAGTCAGAAATGAATAAAGTAGAAAAAGGAATCTTTCCAGTAATGCTAAGGATGAAGGATAAGTTTTACCTTTTGGAAAAGGAAGAGGAAAAAAGCTTCTTTATGTTTCAGAAGAAAGAGGAAAAAAGCTGAGGCTTGAGTGTTTTGTGTCCACTTTCCCATCCAATGTGTTTTCATGAAGCCAATGAAAGAGTGAAATCCTTAAAAGTATTTAATTAAACAAATACATATATTAAGCACTTACTATTTAATTATCACTTTGCTAGGGAAATTCAGAATCTACTTTTTATGTGTTTATTGTCTAACCATAGTTTATTTCCCCTGAAGTGAAACTTTCCTTTGGGGTCAGGAAGATAAACTCCAACAAAGATTACTTGGAAATTAAACTGTAAAGCACTTCTCCAAGTCTTTTCTTCATGCTATAAATAGTTCTGGCTTTGGCCATTTGAAAACTGAATATGGGAAAAGAATGATAGCAAGCTGCTAGTTTCAGAAAGAGAACTTTTAAGAATATTTGGATATACCTTTGCAGAATTAACTTCTGCATTTAAAATTTTATTTAATTTATGATTGCTACTCCTGCCCACTTTCCAAGCAAGGTAAAACTAAGAATGAAATATTTGTCTTCCTCTTGTCTCTTATGTGTATTGAAACAGTTGTATTATGAAATTGAGAAGTACAAAGTAGGGCTGGATCTTTATTTTCTATGGGGGTGGCTTATGCATCCCAGAGAGTGGTATGAAGTAGGTTATGGGAAAGATGTGCCACAGAAGGAAAAAAGCATACTGAGAAGCATGTCAATATTGTTTCCATGCTTTTGGCTGTATAGTTTGGCAAAAAAAAAAAAAAAAGATCTTAGAAAAATAATAGAGAATACTGCACTCAATACTGTTTTTCTAATCTGCTAACTTCTTAATGCAAAAGATTCTATTTTAGAATACATCTTTCCATAACAAGTTTTCTTCCCTGATACATTTGGTGTGTGGTTAACTTTATAAATTACTTAAAATGTAACATCTATTTTGGTAACTTATTGAAGCCATTTGGTAACAATTGAATCTAGGCCTTCAAGAAAAGGATAAGAAAGACAGGGTGGATTAAGAAAAAGTACCTCAAATAATGGAAATTATTTATTTCGAATGTCGTATTTCTGTTACAACACATTCAAATACGCATATCCAGATTTTGATCTTCTGAAAAAGTTATGGAGAAATAAAGCAACAAGTGCTATAGACATTTTATATGTGTATGTAAATGTGTGTGCACGTATAAAGGCTTTTTAGTGGTGAATGATAAAAACAGTAATTTAAATATTTATTCAATTATTTTTCATAAGAATAAAGAAACATGGTAACTAACATTTTAAAACGTCAAATTATAGTTTTAAAAAGTGGTGATATTTTATTCCTGATTATCCATCAGTAGGTAATATTAAGATGAGCAATTAGGTATTATTTTTAAATAAAATAAATATTTTTGTTAATCAAGAATATGTAAATTTTTAACTTGTCACATAATGAGCATCATGGCTAATATCATCTAGACTGTCAATCAATGTCAGTGGCATCAAGTTGCTCATATATCAGGTCAATGGAGATCACTGGCTTTCAAACAATGGTCAGTGGGTTTATGTGGTTGTGGCTCAGACGTCACCAGAAGGGAGCAGTAAGAGGCCAGGTAGGCCTTGGTCTCCTGCCCAGGATTGAATTAGAGCAGTTCCATACTTACCTGCTTTATATATTAGAGTTCTACAAAAATCTTCCTTTTCTGAAAAGTTTTCCTTTACAAAGAAGGTATTTGAAAACTATGTTAAAGATGCATTTCTTATGCTTTTTAAAATATCTATTTCCTCTTTCTTATTAAAATTCATCCATGGGTAAAACTAAAATGAAAATAGAAACAACTACAAAATTAGCACCAAATGTACTACAATAATTCATAATTGCTATAGTTTTAATGACATGTCATTAATGATAGCTTACTAAGGGTTGTAGCAGAGGAAAAATAAATTATAGGTTATGTCTAATTCTTCTACCTGCAACTTCAACTATTTCTTCCAATTTTAGAAAGCAGATAGGAAAGCAAGTGAATGAGAGAGAGGTACTATTCAAAGGATAACCTTGAATCTATTCTAATTTATAAAAGAAAGCAAATCATTTGGATGATTGACATTCTAATTATTACTATAAAAATTATTTCACCACTCCTCATTACTAATGACATCACACTGGTTGAAGATTTTCCAAGCTAAGGAGCTGAGATCAGGAAATCATTGCGTTGACTTTCGAATATAAAATTCCTAATTGCATAGGATACATTCTTTTGAGAACACCTTAGAGTTTTGAGGTGAAACAGTTCTTATTCTATGTTTATTTTTATCTCAACCAAAGAAAGTTTGCATAGCAAAAAAGAAACATCTTTGGAGGATGACTGGTAATTCTGTCTCACAGGATTGGTGTCATAATCCAATCCTTTAGCTCACTGTGAATGGTGCCTGCAAAGGAGCTGGCATTTATCTGCTGGAGTGAAAGGGAGGAGGCATAGCTTGGAGAAACAAGAGTCTGGCCAGTGAAAAAGGTGGGGCCTGATGAATAAATTAATTGAAGTGAAACTAAATGGCTTGTTGGAAGTACCGTAATCCTAAAAGTAGAGTTTTCTGGGAAATCAGTAGAAAAGTGAGATTTATGATGGCAATATAATTAGGAGGATAACAAACCTGTAATGTTGCTAGAACTTAGTAGGCCAAGGCTGTGCATGTTCTCTTCAGGAATAACTCATGGATTCATGAGTGATGTACTTAAACTAAAACAGTCACAGGCTAGATGTACCAGCAAGCTGTGCCAACATTGAGTGTGGGCTAGGTCTGGGAGTATAGTATATGGGACAATGACAGGAGAGGAAGCCCCTTAATAATCTGACCCACTTTCCTTTATTTTAATAGGGGGTTGGTGTGAATGAGCTTGGCAGTGGTGAGTGGAAGTGGAACTTCCACAAAAGTAAACAATTTAGAGATGAAAATGTTCAAGAGGGAAAATGCTTCTAGACCTCCTGTCTTCACAACCAGAATTTCTGAAAACTTCCTGGGTTGTTACTTTCAATGGCACATGCAGAAATCCAAATAATCAATCCAATAAAATTAGACATGGTAATATTCTATCTGTATCTTTAGAAATCAAAACTTTTTTTAAAGGAATATATAAGGGTTGAGAAACTGCAAGCCACTGATACTACTAACAGGGGTTCCAAGACCTCAGCAGAAATTTTCCTTTGAAGTCTGAGGAAAATTGCCTAAGACATGTTTTACCAAGTGTAGGGTGTGCCTCAAAGAGAAGAAAATGCCAAATACTGAACTTGAGAGCATTCATGGACCATGCCAAAAGGGTGAGGCGAGAGGCTTTTTGCTATATTTGAATCAAGAAGAATTATCTCCAATCAGTTAAATCATTGGTTTCTCCTGTAGGAAAGCAATATTATGGTTAAAGAACTGGCTCTGTAGTCAGACACATCTGGGGTTGAATTCTTAATTGGTCCTACAGTTTGTGACCTTGGATAAAGAATTTAACCTTGGTAAATCTCACTTTCCTTATTTCTAAAATGGCATAATAATGATAATTTTCTCAAGGTGAGGGTTAAATAATTGAAAGCTTGCAAAGTTGCTGGTCACTCTTCTTATTTTCATTATTATGAGTAATATGCAATATGATATCTGGATCATTTAAAGTTCCTGAAATGTGAGCAGTCACAAAATACAAATGTGATTCCCATCATTATTTTCAGTGACTTGGGCAGAAGGAGGAAACGTGAGAGATCAGGGGCCCAAGGAGGGCTTTCTCTAAGGATAACCCATTGTCTCTCTTATCAAACTCTCATTAGTCAAATTTTGGAGAAATAAAAATGTCAGCTTGAGTTTAAGACAATTTCGATTATCTGGAAAACTAATGTAGCTAACTGTTGAGAGGTCTATTTGCATGGGTGTGAGGGACTTCTGGGAGAGAAGGAGGAAAGAATGATCCAAGTATGGCTCATCTGACTTACTAGCAATGCTTGTTTGTTTTTTGCTTGTCAGGGTTTGCATTTTACTTTCGAGAGACTGAATATGGAAACAGACAATGGCCAGAGCATATATGACAATAGAATTCTGAGATACATAAGAAGCTCAGAAACTAAACCCCAACTACTTTAGCAACCAGTCCAATAAGCCAAACCACAACCTTTTCAGCAACAAGTCTAGGGACCCAAACCACAACTGTGGCAATAAATGGCCCAGCAGTGTGAGGACTTGGTCAGCGACTGCTAACTTCTCTCTTTTTGCTCCAACTTCCAACTTAGGACCTGCCAGGTCTGTCCCGCAGACCCTGACCGACGGATGAAATAAGTACTCAGACACAGGAATGCAGTGTAAGAGCAGCTATGTGACTGCCTGCCTCTAGTGGCCAGAGAGGAGCCCCAAGAAGCTGGAGCTGCTAGCTTTTATTTAGTGCAGGCACAATATGGAAAACCTGGAGCCATCACAACCTGTACGTAATTAACATTTATTGTTCCCCTTTCAGCGGACATCATGGCGCCGGAAGATCAAAGGTCAGTTGTTGGTCAACATAAGTAAACAAGCTTGTTTAAGATAAATTCCTTGGGAGGCCGAGGCGGGCGGATCACGAGGTCAGGAGATCGAGACCATCCTGGCTAACACGGTGAAACCCCGTCTCTACTAAAAATACAAAAAATTAGCCGGGCGAGGTGGCGGGCGCCTGTAGTCCCAGCTACTCGGGAGGCTGAGGCAGGAGAATGGCGTGAACCCCAGGGGGCGGAGCCTGCAGTGAGCCGGGATTGCGCCACTGCACTCCAGCCTGGGCGACAGCGAGACTCCGTCTCAAAAAAAAAAAAAAAAAAAAAAAGATAAATTCCCCCACACTCCCTTGTACCTACTCCTTGCCCTCTGCCTCAGGGTTATAGTACAGCTGCCTTCAGCTATTCTCCCCTGGGGCTCTGCAGAACCTTCCGACCTTTCAGAAGGTTTACGTCCTTTCCCTATAGTTTTTCCCACCACTCTGACCAATCCGCCACAAGGACCAACCAGAGAAAGACAAATATGCTCTTTAGATCACTCACCTAAGAGGCTCTGTTCCTAGTTAGCCTGCCTCCAATTTCTCCATGGCAAAGACCTCCTTTAATCACAGTGTACCTGACGCCTTCTCTTTTTCCATTACACAATTTTCCCACTCCACTGTCTGCCTTTCAATCTCTGCCAAACTGAAATGGTGTGGGTGGACTCCCTTGCCCACATCAAGGGAGTATCCATAGCGAACTCTGAATAAATATCCCATTTGTTCTCATTAGGGTTGTTTTCACTTATTACCACATTCTCTATCGTGCATGTTTGTTTTCATGAAACAGCAATGTTTAACATTAATGCATTAAGTTACCAGTGAGTGAAACAAATATCTCACAGTGGCACTGTACCCAGAGGATTCTTAGTATATTATTTAAAGAGCAAATCAGATGGGAAATCAATTGGAAAGTGCAAGTGAGGAAAATAATCCTGTACCCTTGGATGTTTGTAAGCCCTACTTTGAGAAGCCCTGACTTCAGGATCACAGGATCTTTTTTAAAACAATTTTAGTGAGGTATAATATATATACCACATAATTCCCCCACTGGAGGTGTATGGCTCAATTATTTGTAGCTAATTTATATGTTGTGCCACGATTATCATAATCCAGTTTTAGAAAATTTCTGTCACCCCAAAAAGTTCTTTCCCGACCATTTGTAGTTATCTCTACTCCCACAGTGAGTAAGCTACCTAGGACATTGCTTGTAAGTACTATGTTATACAGTGCTGCGTACCAACCTTTCTAGAAATACTGAAGGGAGGGGAATGCACTTAAGAGTTGAGATTAACAAACTAGTGTGCAGAAAAGAGTAAGCATAGCAGGCTTCAGACTATTAGCCTTAGAAAGGCCTGCTCACAAAGTTGGCTCTTGGTTGACATCTGGGGACTTGAATTTCAGGAGGATTCTGAACACTCTAACTGCTAAGAGGTACTCATTTTGCCCCTTCTGTTTATATAAAAAATGTGGCTTATGCAGAACACCTGTTTTCCTCCAGGGAATTTGGAAACTTGGTAGGAGCTAGGCAGAGGGTACCTGCATGATCATTCCTTGATAAAAACCTTGGGCAGTGAATATCTAATGAGCTTCCCTGGTAGGTGGCACTTCACAAATGTTGTCACAATTCAGCTTGAAGGAATTAAGTGTGTCCTGTGTGACTTCACTGGAGAAAGACTCTTGGGGGCTTGTACTTGCCTTCTTCGGGATCTTGGCCCAATGTACATTTTCTCTTTGTTGATTTTATTTTCTGTCCTTTTTGCTGCAATGAATCTTGGTTAGGAGTATGACTACATGCTGAGCCCTGTGATCCCATCTAGCAAATGGCTGAACTTCGGGGAGATGTTGAGGACCTCCAACACATTAATCACCTGGGGATTTTTATAAGAAATGGGACCTAATTTAAACCCACAGTCTGGTTGCAGGGACAAGGTTATAAAAGAGACAGGTTATGGTCAGTTTAGGGATTGTCACATCCATAAAAACTAAAGAATAGAGAATTTCTGCTTATCTCCCACAAAACTGTGAATTAACAATAAATAAAGCAGTACTGAATTTGAAGTATGAACTGATGAGGATTCTTAGTATATTATTTGAAGAGGAAATCAGATGGGAAATCAATTGGAAAGTGCAAGTGAGGAAAATAAAAAAGAAACTAAATGTGGAAATTTTTGGAATTGATCATTAAAAATAAGAGTGTTTTCTGGCACAAGTTCTGTACCTTCATTAGATGTATGGTTGTACAAATAGGAATATCTTTAAGATCCTCTAAGCAATTTATATCTTCAATTGGAACAAGGAAGACTTTTATATTAATGTTGAAAAATATGCTTTAGGTTTAAAATGATCATTTTCAAACTTTAACTGTCTGTAACAAAAGACTGCTAAGTAGGGAATACATACTCTACTAAAAAGAAAATGTATACACTTTATAATATATAGTGACATTTCTATTTTATAGGCTTTCATGGAGGGAGAGGAACTGTAAATATTCAGCTGCATGTAATTTTTTAACAAATTTGTAAGGATCAAAGGAGATATTTATATGAAACTACAAATTGTGAAACAAATATAAGGTATTGTTATTATTCTCCAATTATTGGCTATAGGTAGATAAAGGCAGAGATGTAATGTCCACTCCATAAAATAGAGGAATGTCTCATCTGGTTAATTTTGTGTGTTTGTTGCCTTTCAGAAAAGTGATAAAGTACTCTTAAGATAAAATCAACATTTGTTTGGTGCTTGTTTATAAGGACATCATTTCTGTTTACAGTTTTATGGTTGTCAATGTAAAAGTTTTCTTTCTCTATAAATCTTAATATTTGGGGAAGGGCTTTGGAACTGCTGAAGATTAGTTAAAGGAATTCAGTATTGGTCACATTTGGATTCAGGTATCTCAGAAAATTGAGGCTTAAGAGATAGGAATTTGGATCAACCCCAAGAGGATTTTGTCTATAACTGTAAAGAGTAGCGATGAAGAGTTCATCACCCTTCCCTAGTTATTGGAAACATAAATTCTACAGAGGGAACAGAAAAATATATTGAAAAAATATGAATGCATATTAGAAGAATAATTAATAACAGTAAAGATGGCATTTTAAATGACTATTGAGTTTTTCATTGAAGTTATGTTATTTTGAAATCACCTAGTTTGTAGATAATTGGTTTTGATTTCTGATGATGTTAGTTTGTGAATTAACTCAATAACTGGTTTATACTTTTTAAAAAATTGATGACATGTTTTCGTTGATACTAAATGGCAAATCAGAGCCCAGAGAGGCGAACTTCTTTCATCTCTAATTTGACTCATTCTCACAGATAGTCTAAGTAAAATATTTCTTCAATAAGATTTACCAGAAGATCTTGGAAAGCTATTTCTTTTATTTTCTTCTTTCTACATTCTTTATAACATCTTTGACATCTCTACATAATCGTTTCTCTTCATTCTCCAACATGTTCTTTTCTGCTTTTTCCCTTCAATGGAGAAGTGCTCCTTCAACATCATACAAACTGTCACATCTGTTAAAGTATATTCCCCAGTGTTCCATTGAGAGGAGCAGAAAAAAACTAGAATTATCTCCTTACTGAAAAATAATTTAATATTTCTGTAATCTGAAAATGACTGGAAATGTTTAAAATAGAAATATACATATATATGTTTCTGTTTTAAACATTTATATATACATATATACACATATATACATATATGCACATATACATACATATATACACACACACAAATATGTGTGTGTATATATATATATACATATATATTTACATATATATATATATATATATACATATGTATTTTGCCAAAGAGAGAGAGTAGTGGTAGCAGTTGTCTTTTGTATAAACATATATGGTGCTCAGAGTAATCTTTGTGTGTGTGTATGTATATTCACACACACACACAGGCACACACACAAACCCATATATATTTAGAATACAGCTGATGATGAATTGCGGGAGAGCGATGCCAATAATTGCCTAACAACTCACTAGCTGACCAACATTTAAGGGAAAAGGTAAGATGTGCCTTTTTGAGCCTGCCTATTAGAAGTTCCAGTAGTGTACAAGAAGCCAACTTTGTTTTTCTTATATCTCTGCTATTAAAAAAAAACTCAACACATGAATTTATTATCATTGAAGTTTTTACCAAAGTGCAAAACTTTAAGAAATGTAAGCACATTTTAGCATTAATAGAGTACTTTAAGTGTAGTGGGCATTCAGTCAACATTTAGAGCTGATGATATAGCATTTATTTTACTTTTTTTTAGTTTTGTAGAAAAAATACAATGTACTTAAGTGTATCTTTCAGATAATATCAATACAAATTTTGCCCTAGAAAAATCAAATGAAAAGCTTTCACTCATTCTATAAGAATGTGCTTTTGTATTGATAGGAAAACTAAAAACAAATAACCTCAGGGTTAAGAAAGCAATTTTGTGAATTTAAAAGTAATTTCTTTGAGCAGAAATAAAATAACCAACTCTCCAAGCATGCTATTTTATTCACTTCAAGTAAGCAAACTCAAAATGTGTGCAAACCAATCTAGTTGGGTAAAAAGTAGGCAAAGTCATTTATACTTTTTCTGTAATTTTCTTGACATCTTTTATTACTTTGTGGGCCTCTGTCAATCAAAGAGGAATGGCAGAAATTGTGAGCCTTGAAAAAGTTGTGTAGTTCTCATTTAATTGCAACTTGGAACTACAAATACATTAGTAATATTAATAGCCATCAATTAATAGTGGTTTCTGGAATTTACATATAGATGTCCACACAGTAAAAAGTTTGTATGTAAATACATATATTAAGTAGTTAACCGTTATAGAACACTGCTTGGCTCATAGTAAGGACTCAATATTAATTGTCTATTATTACATGAGTATATGTGTTATATCTATATATTATTTAATTTTATATTATATTAAATAAGTAGTGGTAAATCCTACTTTATTAGTTATAAATGGAGTTAGCTGCTTGTCAGTCTGAACTTTTGACTTTGGTACTGCCCATTTCAATATTCAGCATGTGACTGATAACCATTAAATTCTGAAAGGTCAACAATTCTCTCAGCCCTGAATGTTAATTTTGACATCATCTTGCCAAGGAAAGTGAGAAACGTGACATGAATTATTGAGGTAGAAGAGCAGAAAAGAATGCTCCTAGGAAAGTGATATCTATTATATATTACCAACTGCTAACTTTTTTTCTTCTTTAACATCAATTTAGACTCTTTGCCGATTATGTCAATTGGCTTTACTGTCAAATCATTTTCTTTCTTTTTTTTAGTGTGACTCTTTCTGGCAAGGGATCATGATTTAATACATATTAATTACAGGGATAAAAGTATTATTTGGCCAATTCATTTTTATAACAAAGGTGTGAGTGAACATGGTGGGCAGCTTCTGACATGGCTGTCAATGAACCCCACATCCTGATATGCTCTGGTGTAATCTCCTCCCCTTGAGTGTGGCTGGACCTAGTGAATTGCTTCTAATGAGTAGAAAACAGGAACAGTGATGGAGTGTCACTTCTGTGTTTGGGTTGCTGCCATTCCCTCTTGCTCTCCTGCTTGCTGCCATGTGGTGAGATGCCCTGTGGAGAGGTCCATGTGGCAAGGAACTGAGGAAGACCTCCAGCTAGCAACTCCTGAGAAACTGAGGCCTGAGTCCAACAACAGGATAGGATCGGAATCCTGCCAACAACTACATAAAAGAACTTAGAAGTAGATCCTGCCTAGCTGAACCTTGACATGTATGATTAAAGCCTTTTTGCTGCAATGAATCTTGGTTATGAGTATGACTACATGCTGAGCCCTTGATATGTATGATTAAAGCCTTGAGAGATGCACAGAGTTAGAGGACCCAGGTAGGCTGTGCCTAGAAACATGACCCAGAGAAACTGTGAGATAATAAATGTTTTAAGCCACTAACATTTTGGGGGTAATTTGTTACACAGAAATAGATAACTAACACAATTAATAAATAGCAGAGCTAAATAATTACTCGATGATTTTGGGTTGTAGAGACAATTTGTTTAATTTAATTCCAATCAACTGAGGTACTATATAAAATCTCTCTGAAGAGTTAAAAAGAATTATACAATATTTCAAACATGTACTATTTTTCTAATCATTGCCCCTCCACTCCACACTCCACACCTAGCCTGAACTTCACTTTATTTTACCTGTAGAGGTAGAACTAAGATATTAGAATATTTCTTTCGACCTAATTACTTGTTAGTCAAATAACAAAAATAAAATAATTTGACAAAAATGCTTTGCATCTCATAGCTCCTGGCTATGTCATGTCAAGGAAAATGAAATATAGCATACATTTGTAATACATTCATTACTCATGAAAAAAGTTACTTCCCATGGGGTGTTCTCGCCAGAGCGCTCCTTTGAGGTGATCTGCCTGGATTACACCAGTCATGATGCATTACATCATACAAGACAGTGGGGATTGGCCCTGTCAAATGCAATGTGCCAGATGGAAATTGTCAAAGAAAATTTTCCTTGAACTTAGACGATACAAAATTTTCACTGCTTCTTCTTACCCTAATTCAAAAAGCATATTGTGGGCAGGTAAAATCTAGAGAATGTGATTAAAGATACTGTGTCAATTACATGTGAACTATTATGAGTTTGCCTTATTTTGTTCTTACAACTTTAGGTTAATATATCCAAGTGAGCAAGGTATAAGGAAAGTAAAGCCAACGTTTATTGAATTAATTGATTTTTTTCAGAGAAATTAAATATAATTTAGAGTATTTCTGGTTTCATTTTATTTCAGGTCTAACAACAGTTTTGTGCAAGTTTGGTAACTCTGGCTTGAAGTTGTTCTGTTAAAGTGTTGTGGTTTTCATTTTTTGATGAATATAGCTGATTCTAAATAATTTAGCTGTTGGCTTAAGGGCAGTTTTAGGATGGTACAGATTTTTTTCTTCTGCTTCTGTATTTAGGACATTCTAATTAAGCATTTCAACCAGAAACAGGAGGTGAGCTCAGGTTATCTTGTGGTTTGATTTATTGGCTGTTCTGATGAAGAAGTTTAGTGGAGGAGGAAGTTGGATTTAATAGAAAACTGAAGCTATTTTCAATGATTCATATTAGTTTGGGTTCTTTTAACAAAAGTGCCAAGTATTGATTGGTTTTAAATATCAACTCCTGCTGGATCAATACAATACAATTCTGGTCAAGATACAACAGAAAAGAAAGTTTATTCATGAGGGTTGAAATTGACCCTAATGATAACCAGTATGTAGTTCTGTAGTTGAATGTTATAAATACTCTTAACATTATTGCTATGGGCGATTGGACAAACACAGCCTGTTAGACCATGAGTCAAATTTACTTACTTTCTGGGAGTTTGCAAGTCTGTTTAGAGCGAAATTGATTTTGATTATCTGTTATTTGCTCAGATTACTTGTAATCAGTCAGGTGTAGCAAGTTATTCAGTATCCAGACACATGTAATCCTGACAAAGTCTGCTTTTCTCACAAAGGCTTCAAATGGTAGTGCTTTCAGGCACCTTCAAGAAACTATTCTAACATTGCATGAAAGATGAAACACATTCTGTAAGTAATTTGGCAGTGGTGGAAGAGGAGAACGGATAATTAATCATCTACATATATTTAATTTTAAACTTATTTCCCTATTTTAAAATCACAAGTAGTTGTTGTAATATACTTTGCTATTTTACACCTCAATGCTTTTGTACTTGCTGTTACTTTTGCTTGAAATTTCCCAAGTTATGTTTATTTGTGATGGAAGACTCATCCCTGGTGTTATCCCTGGAAGATGATTTAAATGCTAGACCACTTCCAACCCCACTCAGATTAGCTGCTTCTTTTTTTGTGCTCATATACTGTAAGTTTACCTCCTTATCACAGACCTTTTTACATTGTATTATAAAATTGATTTACTTGTCTGACATCTCTTTTACCCCTCAAGACTGTAACACTTGAGGTCAGGAAGCACATTCTGTTTAACATTGTAGTCCAAATGACAAGGATAGTGCATGGCACGTAGTTGCTCAACAGTTCTTTATTTGGATAATGAATAAACTAATAAGATTAATTCAACTTAAAAAAATAACAATTAGCCTTTTGGTTGGCTGACAGAGGAATATAACTATTCTACAGTTTTCTCTTGGTATTGTTGGTAATGATATTTTACCAGAAATTTCCAGTAATAAAAAGTTATTGGAAAAGCAATAAAATTCTAACAATATAAAATTCCAATGATAAAATTCTAACAATTCAGAATTTTACAGGTCTTTGGGGTGGGGGATGTACAAACATTATTCTGAAATAAAAAAGCAAAGCTATAAATGCATCACATATTTGGGATTTTGAGAAAGCAATTGACTCTCTTGGGTTAGACCCCAGTTAGCTGAAATTTTGATTGCTTTTGAAAAATAAAGCCTTTCTGATAACAGATGTCTAATTGTGTCTGAAACCATTCATTTTGGTTGTCAATTACTGTTATGCAAAATACTATCCCCAATCTTAGTGATTCATTGTTCTGTGGGTTGGTTGGGCTCAGCTAGTCAGTTCTCACTTGGGGTCATTCATGCAGTTGTAATGAGATGATTGTTGTTGCTGGAATTATTTGAAGGCTTGATTGGGTTGGATGTCTAAGATGGCTTCTTCATTTACTTATCTGGCATCTCACCTGGGAGTGTTGGGATACTGTGGGCTGACTTCCAGGTTTTTCTGTCTCTAGTATGGCATTCTTAAGATAGTTGGGCCTGTTACACAGTAGCTGGCTTCCCTCAGCGTAAACATCCCGAGACTCAGGTGGAAGCTGATGGCTTCTTATGACCTAGCCTCAGCAGTCATGCAGAATCTTTCTGCTATATTCTATTGGTCAAATATGAGTCACAGGGCCAGCCTAGGTCCAAAATGAGGGAACATAAAGGCGTGACTATTTGGAAGCGTGGTTAATTAGAAAGCCACCTTTAGAGAATAACTACCATTTGACAAATTTTATATGGAATGTGATATTCTTCCATTGTGTAGAATACCATTCTACAAATTACGTATCTTTTCATAATTTCCTTTGGCATAATAAATGTTTTAACATTTTAAATGGTGTGGTAGGCAGAATAATGGCCCCAAAGATGTTCACGTCCTAATCTCTGGAACATATGAATATGTTGGGTTACATGGCAAAAGGGAATTAAGCTTGCAGGTGGCATTAAGATTGCTAGTCAATTAACCTTACGGTAGGGAGAACATCCTGGGTTATCTGCGCAGGCCCAGTGTAATCACAAGGGTCCTTAAAAGTAGAAGAGGGAGGCAGAAGAGGAGGCAGAGTTAGAAAAGGAGACGTAACCATGTAAGCAGTTAGAGCGATGAGATGTGAGAAGGTCTTGGCTTTCCTTTGCTAGTTTTGAAGGTGAAAAAAGGGGTCCATAAGCCAATGAATGTAGGAGGCATCTAGAAGGTGAATAAGTCACGGAAATAGATCCTATCAAAACCTACAGAAAGGAAAACAGCTTTGACTTTGGCCCTGTGAGACCTGTGTTAGACTTCCAACTTATAAAACTGTAGGATAATAAAATTCATTGTCTTAAGCCACTAAACTTGTGGTAATTTGATATGGGAACAATAGAAAATAATACAAAAGGCAATGGAAACTTGAGAACAAATAGAAGGTATATCAGGCCTATGTCCCATCCATGTCATGCATATGTTCACTCCCTGAACAGTGTAGAAAATGACTCTTTAGTCCATCAAGGACCTTTAGTTATGATGTAAATGAAGCAATTTCAGGATGCTGGACCATTTTTATAATGTGGACAATGCTTTCTAAAAGGACATTTGATAGTAAAAGTGATATAAGAAGCTAAGGTACAAAACTTATGATGACTTCAGACAGAGTTACCCCTAAAATTCTGTGTTTTATAGCCTTTTCTCTACCTCAATCATTTGGGGTTGGGAAAATTAAATATTTGGGTTAAATAATCAAAATTCCTGGATAAAAACCCTTTATTCTTTCAAGAATAAAAATAAATCTATGGTATGCTTTCTTGTTTTGGTCAATTAAGGTGCAATTAAAAAAATAAAGCTCCAGGAAGGAAGTGTGCATAGGATACTATGTTATCTTTCAACCTTTTAGAGGGAGGGAGAAAACATGTCAGCTAGTT
Source organism: Homo sapiens (assembly GCF_000001405.40). Lineage (NCBI taxonomy): Eukaryota > Metazoa > Chordata > Mammalia > Primates > Hominidae > Homo > Homo sapiens. Next base: position 193,405,972 of record NC_000001.11, read on the forward strand.
GGATTGTACTGAGATATTTGCAAAGTCCATCAAAGGTGGTAGGGCTAGATGGATCAGGAAAAATTCCTTCTTGATAAATTTTGTGAGAAATAGTCTGTAATCTCATGGACCATTATCTCTTTATGTGTATTAATTTTTATAGAAATCATTATCACAAAATAATATGTTAATATACAACAAAGGAGAAAATCAATTTGTGAACAAATCCCATCTATAATTCTACTATTCAAAGATTTACCTCTAATCCTTTGGTTATATAGTTTATACCTTCCAGATAAAAACACTCATAATTTTTTAGCAAGGGTGGTATTATATATTATTTTATTGTAATTTTAACTTGATTTTAAATTCAACATTATTTTGCTAACTCATTTCATTTCAATAAATATGTCATCATTATTATTAATAAATTTTATTGAGGTAAGTACATGTATAGGATTTACCATCCTTACCATTTTTAAGTGTACAGTTAAGTGGTAATAACTACATTTACATATCTCTATATATAATTTTCCCTTCATCATCCCTCCTTCTTATCCTTCCTGGCCTTTGGTAGCCACCAATTTAATTTCTATCTTCATGAGATCCACATTTCTAGCTGCCACATATGAGTGACAACATGGGATATTTGTCTTTCTGTGCTTGGCTTATTTCACTTAACATAATGACATTATTATTATTCTTGATGGCTGCATTGGTATTTCACTATATGAATGTACCATAATTTATTTAATCAATTGACATTGTTTGCCACTACACACTGTTGCTCAGCAATGCTGGAATAAACTTTCTTGCTCATAACATTTTTGAGCCTTTGTCAAATTTTTTTTTTGGATACTTTTCTAAAAATAGACTTTTAGGATTAATGTGCATGCATTTTAAAGCATTTTGATATACTCTACAGTTATTTTATCAAGCGAAAATTTCTGTTACCGTAAAGGACATTTTCCTGATCCCTCCTAGTTATTTGATCATTTTGTTCTCGGTAACATAAACAACTCTTCTTTCACATGCCAACGTGTGTCTTGGATGACCACTAGAGGTCGTCTAACAAATTAAATATTTCACTTGTGGCTCACATTTTTCAGTCAGAGGTTGACCTTTGTGTAAATCAGAGAGAAAAATAGTCTAGAGTTAATGCTTGCTAACTCCAATAACATTTAACATTAAAGTCAAATCTCTTTCCTCCCTCCACACCATCACCCACTTTTTAAAAAATGCCTTTGTGTCTGTGGATAACTCAACAGCCTTTGACTGTATTTTCTCTGTAGTAGAGAGGTTGTTTATGGCTTATTTGGAATATGTTTCTTTTTCTTGCACTTACTTGTTACTTTCACATATTTGGTCTCTTATACTTACTTAGTTTATGCCAAACAGCAAATCTAAGAAATCTTGAAGTAAAAATGCCTGTAAATTATTTTGAGCTGTTTTATTAAGGTGGTAGTTTTGCTATTGCATTTCTCCTGCCCCTCTATAATGATGTAGACTATATATGGAGGTACCAGAATTTAAGCAATTGGCATTGCTTTGTTAATACATTTACATCTTGATGAATATGCCATCATCATCATCATTTTTGGAGGCTGCAGTAATTACATGTTATAACCATTTAACATTGGTTTAAATATGTGAGAATTATTTCTTTCTATGCGCTATCATTCTATACATACGGGAAATAAGACAGAAAAGATTACGCAGCAAATATAAACGATTAAAAAATTTAAAAAGTTATGTTCTAAAAATCATCTATGATTTGTTTGGAGATAGGTTAGAGGTGACAAACACCATCTGTGATGGTAAGTTTTATGTGTTAATATGACTAGGCCATGGGATGCCCTGATGTCTGTTTAGATGTTATTTCTAGGTATGTCTATGAGGATGTTTCTGGGAGAGATTGACATTTAAACTGGTAAATTAAGTAAAGCAGATGGCCCTCCCCAAAGAGCATCATTCAATTCTTTGAGCGCCTGAAAATAACTGGATGGGCATCATCCAATTTTTTTATGTTTTGACAATGTCTAGTTCTGTCACCCAGGCTGGAGTGCAGTGGGGTGATCTCTGCTCACTGTACAACCTCTGCTTCCCGTTCAAGCAATTCTCCTGCCTCAGCCTCCCGAGTAGCTGAGACTATAGGCGCACGCTGCCACGCCTGGCTAAGTTTTTGTATTTTAGTAGAGAAGGGGTTTCACCGTGTTGCCAGACTGGTCTCGAACTCTGAGCTCAGGCAATCCGCCTGCCTCGGCCTCCCAAAGTGCTAGGATTACAGGTGTGAGCCACCGCACCTGGTCGGGCATCATCCAATTCTTTGAACACCTGAAAAGAACAAAAAGGCAGAGGAAGATTGGATTTGTGCTCTCCTCTGCCTGTCTGCTTGAATTGGACGTCAGTCTTCTGTCCTCGGTGCTCCTTGTTCTTAAGCCTTCAGGCTGGGTCCGGAGTCTACATCATCGGTCCTCTGGCTCTCAGGCCTTTGAACTACACCACAGGCTTTTCTGGGTCTACGGCTTGCAGATGTCAGATCATAGGACTTCTCAGCCTCTGTAATCAGTGAGTCAATAACTTATTGATATAAGTTATCTCTATAACCGTCTGTCTATCTATCGATCTATCTATCTATCTATCTATCTATCTATCTATCTATCTATCTATCCATCCATCCATCCATCATCTGTCTATCTCTCTATCTACCTAATCTCTATAGGTTCTGTTTCTCTGGAGAATCCTAATTCACCATTTAAATATACACTTGCTAGATATAGGAACATTAGTTTGTATTTGGAACATTTAGATAGTTATCCATATATCAACAAAGTTGTTATAGTGATCAAGGCAGCAGTGAGCCTCCTATTTTCTTCTCTGTCAGACGTTTTGTCCTACCAAACCCATGGCTGGAATTGCTCCAAAAGTGGCGGCAGGGGAATTTCTGCAGGGAAGTTCCCCAAACCATCCAGAGATGGGGCTGGTTAAGATTCTAAAGAAAGAAGCACTAAACGCCAGGGTGATGAATCTAAGGAATTTATTAGGGGAACTTACAGAGCGCTGCTCCAGTCCTTGTGGCGGACAGTGAGAGAAAGGGGCTGTTCTACCTAGGTATGTCTGAAATGAGGGAGTCATGTAGGAAGTTTTTATCAAGGGTTGAGGAATTTGGCTCAGGGCCCGGGGCCAGTTTCTTTTAGTGTTTTGAGCAACAACCTAGATAACTTTTTCAGTGTCTGGAAATGTTCAAGGCCGTGGTTTCGGTTCAAGCCTGCTGGAAAAAACTGCAGCTGGCGAGGTCACAGAGCAGCCAAGGCACTTCATGATTTGGGGTCAGGACATAGAAAGAAAGGGTGAGGGTGAGTCTGGGGGAACCTGCACAGAAGTAACAGGTTTATCTAAATGGTATATGTAATATAATGTAAATTATATGTATTTTTTGTTATAGTTACATTTTTATAGCACACACATATATGTAGACTTCATGTTTTTTTTAAGGTTAAAGACTTATGATAGTTGGTAGTAAGCTAATTTTTTCATCTTCTTTCCCTGTATTATGTGGAAGAGATTCTTTAGCAATCAATCTTTTAAGATATGGACTCCTTTTTAAAAACACACAATAAAATATCATTTTCCTAGAATCATTCAACTTCTCACTTCTTAATTCATATCCCATTTTCCTCCCAAACAATAAAAAAATTCACATAATATCGTCTGGCAATAATTTCTTGGAAGGCCTTTCATCATGGAAAAATGCCTTCAGTTTGGGTAGGTGCAGTGGTACAAATAACATTTGATTTCAGGGTGACCAGAAAACTATCAAACTAAATTGGCTGCTTATTGAAAAACACTCCTTGTATAATCTTTTTTCCTTACCTATAATCTTGTATTGGCAATGGCATAAGTACTGTGAAAGTTCTTCACAGTTTTCAAGCCTTTTGTTCTTAGGACACCTTTAGACTCTTAAAAATTATTGAGGCCCCTGAAGAGCTTTTGTTTATGTGTGTTATACCTAAGTATGTTTAGTAGATTCAAACTAAAAACTGAGAATATCTAAAAATATGTATTGATAATTTATTTTAAAAAATCCCATTACATGTTAAAATAAATAACATTTTAATAAAAATCTTATTTTCCAAAACTAAAAAAAAAAAAAAAAAGAAAAAACACTTTAGTTAGACGAGTGGCATTGTTTCACATTTTTGCAAGTTCCTTTAATGTCCGGATTAACTGAAGACAGCTAGATTCTGATATCTGTTTCTGCGTTCAATTTCTTGCAATATCACTGATCATGGAGCCTCTGAAAAACTTCGCTATATGCTGATGAAAGAATGAAAATAGAACAGTCAAATAGTATCTTAGTATGATTATGAAAATAGTTTTCACCTCATGGACTCCCTGAAAAGGTCTTAAGGACCCACAGGGGTTCCAGGCCATACTTTGTGAACCACTGTGATAGATTATACAAATGTGGCTATCCTTATACATCTTTATTGTAGAATAAAAACATTCATGAGAACCATTATTGCAGAGTGGTATAGGAGTGTTACAGTCTAGGGTTTGAAGAGCAGCTCTGCTATTCAGTTGTTTTGATATATTGGGAGAGTTAAACTTTTAAACCTCAGTTTCCTCATCTGAAAAATGGGGATAATAATATGTACTTCATGGGTTGTTTTTAAGGATTGGTATTCTTAGATACCTTCAATCTTTTGTGGTTTTAGTTATTATAAAGTTATTACTGAGAAACTGATGGACTTTGGGTATATTGATAAAGGACCCTTTCTGGTCCTCCAAAGTGGAGAACCTGGCTCTGTATTGTAAATTCAGAAAACCAGTGGATGGCAAAAAGATATTGTGGCACCTCTATGTAAAATTACTGCCACCTACTACTACTAGTATTATTCTATGTTATAGTGAAGACACTGAGGCTCACAGCGGTCGAGTCACTTGGAAAAGACCAATGCCAGCAGGAGAGGTGGAATGGTAATCTGCATGGTCCACCTACAGAATCCACACCTTTAACTAGTACCCTATACAGATTAACTAGTACTCCTAACTAGTACCCTCTCTAGGTAGTATTTTAATTGTCATACTACAGATTTTGGAATTTAAATCTAGAGTTTAATTTTTGTCATTTTCTGAGTACATTCCATATTATAGAAAAATTATTAAAATTTACCCCCATTATTAGATTTACCATGGGGCCACTGTTAAAAATAAGGGGTATCTAATGTGAAATTTTTCAGTCATTCACTTGTAGTTAGTCACAACTTCAAGTATTCATGAATATTACCATATTAACTTTAGTTATAATTGCTTTGCTTTGCATCTGGTCTGACTTTGTCAGAATCTCATGTTACTAATTGTATGGATGTGTTCTATGACGTTCTTTCCATAGAGTTTCTCACCTCCAATTGTGTAAGAGGTCTACTTTGTTTTTTTCTAACTAATACCTAATACAAAAATTTTATGTTTATATTTATGTAGCAATTACATGGCTGATTCGTATCTCAGTGTAAGAGGACAAAATTAATCTTTTCTGATGAGTTTTCTTACTTTTATCAGAGAAGAAACATCTGTGTAAATCTGCTAATATTCATTGTTTTTCTTGGATAAAACTATGAGGCACAATTTAGGTGATATATGCAATTTAATTTGTGTTAATAAGGGTCAGCATTACCATCTGGACTATAAAATAAGATCACTTCTTGAGGAAAAGAAATTATGGAATTTCTAAACTTGTTATAAGAGTTTCCTTTTAACAACATTTATTTAATTATGATTTAAAAGAAAAGTTCCATTCTTTGAGAGACAGTTTTAAAAATATTTCACGATTGAAGTCAGCCCAAATGCTATGAAATAACATGGTTTCAGCAGTTTGAAGAAAGCTCTGAATGAAGTGTGAGACGTTAGAGATTGATCATAGTTCCTGTGTGTGCTGGCTCCCACTACTTTAAAAGTTTCTGGCCTTCTTTGCCATCTCATCTCCTCTAAGCATTTTGTTTTTAATCTCTATTTAACCCTGAACTGAGTAAGTCTTTCCTCTCCAGGGTTTTTCATTGATCAAAGGCGTCAACAGCCTTCTTCCTCTGCGACTAATTCTCTCTAAAACAGACAAACCCCTACCACGCTGAGTCTATAAGGTTTCTAAATTGTTTCTTATGTGTTTCCATTTCTCTCTTCTGCACCCATTTCAACCCTTACTTCCAGCCCATCTTCATCTATATTTGCTATAAGCAAGCAGACTTTTCCTGTGTTAGATTAAGTTAAAACCCCAAATATTTTGTAAGATAGTTTTAAAAAAATTGTAGTTTTGAGGTGTAATTTTTGTTGTTGTTGCTTTGAACTAATTTTTCTAATGGGTCCCAAATTAATTAGATGACATACAGTTTTATATATCAGCCTTTATAATGTGGTATAGAATGATTATATATCATTCTTATACTTCTGGGGATTGTTAAACTGAAAGTGTTTTTAAATGATTTCCATCATGTGATTTTAAGTAGAACAGATCTAAATATTCAGCTTAGAGAAGTATTTTAAAAACTTCCTCTGATGGTTTGGTTTACATGTAGGTGATTGGTTTTAATTTTAATGAGTTATTATCTTTTTGACTTCAGAGTACACAATAAGAAAGAGAACACTGGTTGCAGTAGACATGAGACTATGCAGATGAACAATATTTTTGATGTACTGAAAGAATTGCTCATTTTACACCTGGGAAAATGATTGAGGATTTTAAAGTTTTATTTTCCCAGAAATAGCAAGAAGAACTGCTTTTTAAAGAGCCACACTGAAGACATGGATTTTAGGATTTCTTCCTCAAAATCCCAGAGGGAAAAAGGACCCTAAGTACAGTTCTCTAAAAGACATAATGCAATTATAAAAATCATGTCTCAGATTAACACAGCCTATCATATATGGGAGCCAATGTCTTAGTAATGAACAATTTCAAACTGTTTATTCTGTCAAATGAATGCATTTTACCAGGGTGAGGCAGTACACTACATTTTTCTTTTGGGCAACTCCTGAACTTGACCTTATCCTTAAGATCTATAGTAGAAAAGAAACTAGAACTGTTACATAAAAACAATGATTTAAGGAGCAAATGTAGTCACTGTATTTCATCCTAAAATACTTACAAATTCATAAACGCTATGATGTATGAGGATAGTTGAAGGAGGAAACAATGACTCTGAAAAAAATTTATTGTTTATTGATTATTTTTTCAATCAACAACCATCTAGTGAGTATCTACTGTGTGCCAGGTATTCTTCTAGTGCTAGAAGATATAGTAGTGAGTATATCAGACACTATCCCTCCCGTATTTGGCTTACTCTGAGGTGTGTGGTTACAATGATGGAAGAAAGACAGTAAACTGAAGTAATTCCAGCTAGCAATAAATGCTGTATTGAAAATAAAACAGGGAAATGGGATAGAGAGTAACTGGGGAGACTACTTTTTATTGAAATGTCAGGGATGGCCTTTTTCTGAGAAGATGATTTTTGATATAAGACTTATCTGGAAATGGAACTGGCCTTGCATGGATGTGGGGCTTCAACATTCCAAACAGAGATAGTAGCAGAAGCAAAGGCCCTGTGGCAACCATCAGCTAGGTGAGTTCAAAGAACAGGGAGTGTGGCTGGAATGCAGGGAGTGAGAATGAGCATAGTAGGAGGTAAAGTCAGAGAGAGGGCAAGGGCCAGGCCACAGAGCGCCTTGTAGACCGCGGTAAGAATTTTATTTTATCTCTAGTAATTGGAGAGTTTTAAGCAAGAGACTAGTGTAATTGGATGTTTATTCTTTTTTTAAAAAAAGATTATCCTGGCTGTTCTAGGGATTATGGATTGTAGAAAAGACACCATATTGATATTTTACATATATTATTTTTAATCTGTATGATATACCAATGAAGTAAATATTTATGATTTCTGTATAAGAGATAACTGAAACTTAGAGAGGTTAAGTAATTTGTGCAGTCACACAGCATGCAAGCAACAGAACCAGTAGAATCTGTACTCTTTTTTACAGGTGATGAGAGTTAGGGTAACAGAGAAGAACCACAGAGGAAAGTGAATCCTCATAATTGTTATGTTGGAAAAGTTTTATTTTTCAGTAAACTTGTTTTATTGTTGTGTAACAGGCATGCAAAAAAGGTGCACAGTCGTAAGTTTATAGCTCAAGGAATTTTTACAAAATGAACACACCTGCATTGCTATCACCAGATTAAGAAGCCTTCCTGTGCCCCTTCATAGGTGCTTTCACTCAACAAAGGTTAACTATTATTTTGTTTTCTATCATCAGGGATTCATTTTGTCTGTTTTTAAACTTTATTTAAATGGAATCATTATTCTTTGATGTTTGGCTCTTTTTATCAATGTTAGATTTGAGATTCATCTGTATTTTTGGGTAAGTAGTAGTTTGTTAATTTTCATTGTTAAATATTGTCCCATTGTATGTATACACCACAATTAACTTTTTGGGTATGTGGGTTGTTGCCAGTTTTTGGCTTTTACAGTGTTGCTGTGAATATTCTTATATGTGGCTTTCCATGAACACGTGTATGCATTTTTATTGGGATTATAATTAGGAGAAAATTTGTAGGGTCTTGGGAAATATGAGTTTTCAACCTAGTCAGAGGTAAAATGGACTGGCTTGCACCAGCTCACAAGAGCTAATTTTGCACGTCTTCCAAAATTCACGTTCAGTGACATCACATTGGTAGCTTGAGATTGGCCATCAGAGGCATGTTTACACTATAGAAATTGGCAAATGATACAAATTACTCCCCCATCCCCCACCAGAGACTCAGCTGTTAAACATTTACTGTCACAGCACATCACTGGCTTTTGTAGTTTTCCTGTAGTTTTCCAAATGTACTGTACCAATTTTTATACTACCGTCAACAGTATGTGAGAGTTCATGTCACTCTACGTTCTCACCAACATTTGGTATCTTGGTTTTAACTTTGGCCATCCTGGTACATGCGTAATGGAATCTTATTATGAATTTAATTGGTATTTAGAAAAAGTTATGATTTATTTAAATTAGCCTGCTACCTGTGTTGTAAACCAGATTGTAACTTTTGAGGGCAGATATTTCTCAAAGAAGACAAGAGCAGTTGAATAAATACAATTTCTCAATTGAAACTCATGTTGTGGGGAAAATACTTGTATTCTATAGAAGGTTAGCAATGTTCTTAAAGCTTAGTGTTCTTTCATTTAGAGACATTTGAAACATTATTGAAAATTTCTTACTACTTTCTTCTCTTAGAAACTTCTGGATTAATTTTGATATCAAATGAAATTTAACGATGTCCATAAATAGAAAATGACATTGTGTGATGTCAACATAAAAGATGAACTTCCTGTTGACTTCTACTTATGTGGTCCAATGGGATGACAGATGGCAAGAGCAACGGCCAACTACTAGCTTTAACACCACATTAACTTCTTCATGGGTTATTATTTTTTTTGAGGGGAGGGGGACTTTTCAGCCTGTATTACTGCTGCAAGCAGCCTTATAACTGGTGATTTGTGGTGATTGCTCCAGCTGCTCTAGCTTTATCTAAGTTATACGTTCTTCCACACCAGGAAACTGACTGATGGCAGCAGAGCTTAAAATAACTCAGGGCATTTGGATTTGAAAAGTTAAAAGCTCTTTTATACTAATACAGCATTTGCTACTATATTTGAAAGTGATCTATCTACTCAGTTGGACAAGGCACAGTAATGTGCTTTATGTTATGTCTCCTATTATTTCTTTCTTAATTGAGTAGTGGAAAATAAATGAAGGGATATATGAATATAGAAACACATTTCTAGTGCAGAGACACATTCTGTGAAGCACTGGGGATATTATTCAAGAAATAATTTGAATGCCACACATAAAAAGTGGAAGTAGCATGGGTGAAAAAGCATATAATGAGACCCTAATAATATCATTAAATGATACTAGGAAGAATGTACAGAAAACTTATGCAATGATTTTGGATCTTGCCACTTTTTTGGCCACCTAAAGGTGGCCAAAACATTTATCTTTCATCTTAAAATATTTTGCTTGTCACATTATGTTCCATAAGTAAAATTATAGGACTATGCTGTTAAAAGGCCTCTGTATTGAATTGGCAGTACAATCTTTGTAAACACTTGTGGATTTAGGAAAATAACTTTTACGTGGAATTCACGGATATTTTCAAGCAGATAAGATGTGTTGATGATTTAAATCTAGAAAGAGTTTCAATAGGTAAAGATTAGATGAGTTAAAGGAGTGGCTCAGGGATTATGGGGTTAGGAGGAGATGAGGATGGTAGAGGACAGTGTTTCCAAACCTTCCACCGGTAAATCCACACCTTGACCTGTGTTCACGCAATCTCTTTTTCTATCTTGTGCTTTCCCTTATATCTAATCTTTCCCTTGTGCTCTGGACCCCATTCCTGCTTTCCATTATCCTTTGCCTCTCCCCTGGACCACTGCAATCCTATCAGAACAAACACACACATGCTGTGATCTTTGTCTTTGGCAAAAACAAAACCCAAACTTCCTGGGTCCCTATATTCCTATCAGCCATCTCTCCATCCTCAGCTCCCACTTCACAGCTTTAAGAGAGACAAAGATGTGAATCTCTCTTCCGTTACTGCCTTTCTCTCCTACTAACACCAGTGAGATTCCAGACATTATTATTTCACTGAATCTGCTGTAATTCACATTACCCATTACATCGAAGTTGCCAAGTCCACCGATTTCTGTCCTCATTTTTCTCCACTGTCTCTTAACAGCGCAGCTTAGAAGGCTCTCATGGCCTGAGCCCCACACTTTCTCTCATCCTTTGCCCCTCTCCTCTTTGCACACCATGTTTCAGTCACACTTGTCTTTTCTTAGGTCTTTGAAAACATCTCTACCAATCCCCTGCTGTTTTCTTGGCAGGAGAGAGCTTCTCTCTACTATTTGCATGGATAGTTTCTCATTGTTAGGTCGCAGATTTAATATCCTTTTAGAGATGTTTCCCCTAACTACTTTATTTAAACTCACCCCTCAGTTCTTCTGTATCTTAGCCCCCCCTTTTTTTTCTATTTGCCATTTACAATTTACTTCATATTGTTGTATATTTATGGTTATGTGTTTACATCTTTCCCCCATTTCCTTTACTAGAGTATAAACCCCATAAGCTATATTATGCCCTGTTCATTCTGGTAGCTTTGTTATCTAGAACTGTGCTAGATATTATCTATGAACGAATAAAAATAGGACCAAATTGATTATAGTCTATGTTAATATTACCATGGTTTCATTCCAATAAATAGGTCTTGTTTTGAATTCAAACAGTTAAATGAAAGATTCTCAAGCATTTTCTAAAGAGTTTCATTTTCCTTATATATGATACTGCTATAAATAAATTGCCTTTTCATTGAGTTTTTCATCCAAAAATTTTAGGTAGCATTTAAAAAGCTTTGGATCTCATAATAACACCTCACTTAACTGAATCTGCATGCTTGTATTCAGTCTAAATTAAGAAAAGGTATGAAGCCTGATGCACTGTGAAAGATGCTGAAATCCCCCACACTTTCAAGTTACTCCTCCCCTGTCTGTGATGCTGAAGTTCTGCCTTGCTCTAAATCTTCTTCTTCTTCCTCTTTCTTTCTTTCTTTTTTTTTTTTGAGACAAGTTCTTGCTCTGTTGCCAGTCTGGAGTGCAGTGGCATGATCATGACTCACTGCAGGCTCGACCTCCAGGGCTCAAGTGATTCTCTCACCTCAGCCTCTCAAGTAGCTGGGACTACAGGGATGCTCCACCATGCCTGGCTGATTTTTGTATTTTTTGTAAAGATGGGGTTTTGCCATGTTGCCCAGGCTGGTCTTGAACTCCTGAACTCAAGCAATCCACCCGCCCTGGCCTCCTAAAACGTTGGGATTATAGGCATGAGCCACGACACCTGGCCCTAAATCTTTTTAACGTCCACTTTCTGATGTAGTTGCAGCCAGAAATACACATTAATTGAATGCTTGTGACAGGGATCACTTCAGATAATATTTTGTTTATGTAATTAGCTTCCCTTAATTAAGGGTCAAACCTGAGGGACTTCTTCAACCATTGCTATCCAAACTTTGCATTAAATGCTTTTAGTTTTACTCACGGTAATTCTATTCCAGGACAGATAAATCCCACCAGGACATTCTGACCTGGTTCTGTCCCCTGTACACACAAACAGATAAACTCAACTTCAGCTCCAAGGTCCTCGTTTTTGACTTGTTCATCTTTTCCAAGGCTGAATTGCAGAGACATTGCTTCTATCTCGTTTTCATTTTATTTTCCCTTCTTAACTTCCAACTTTTTCTTTTTCTGATGCTGACATGGAAGCATTAGCTTGAAAAAGCTGTTGATAACTCCCTATATGTCTGGGAAGAGAAGCAGGATCTGACTGGGACATGTAGCTTTTACATTTCTCCTCTCCTTTAGCACAGAAATTCTTGCAAAACTTTCTTGTCATTTAGAAATTTTAGTAGGTATAGGGGCTTAAAGGAAAGGAAATAGAGAAAAGCTGTTCTTCATTAACAGGAGAAGACCTCGGGCTGCTGAATAAAGGAGAGCAGGTTGGGAGACAGGCAAGTGAGAGACAGGAGTTTGAGAGCAGTGAATTAGCAGAAGACTTGGAACTGAAAGAAAGGGAAAGTGAAAGTGCTGGAAATAAAGTTATGTGTGGGGTAAGTGATGAACACATCATATACTCATACTTTTCTTTACCTTGGTTTCACTCCTATCAGACAAATGCCTAGGACTGTGTGAATCTTGTCCAAATTCATCAGAGAATTTTTTTATTCTATGGGGAGGAAAAATGTATGGTTTCATGAAATACTTCTTGCCTTCCTGTCTTTTCCCCTTTCAATTCATTCTGCACCACGTATGGTTAGCGAACTGATTTCCTAAAACAGTCTTTCATTATGTCACTTTAAAATGGAAGAATCTGTAATGGTTCCTTATTGCCTATTGTATAAAGTATAAACATCTCATTTTATATTTTAACCACATTCAGCATTATTTCCTACTGTTTTTCCACGCATACCTTTTGCTATCTCCCCTAACTCTACACTTTTTCTTGGCTTTGCATTTTTAAATTCATTTCTATGAAACACATATATCTTTGATACCAACAGTTAGATTAGCGCTACCTGACTACAGATGATACAAACAAATACGACTAAAGTAGCAATCTTTATGTAGTTATTTTGCCTGGAAAGCCTTTTTTTCTTATTATCATAATAACATAAATTTGTGTAGTGTTCACATTTTCCAGTCCTTTATCGTGCATGGTCCATATCAGTACTTCTCAAAGTTGGATATGAGCAAGAATCATTAGTAAAGCCTGAGAGAGATTCCTGTGCCCCACTCCCAGAGATTCTGAGTCAACACATGTGGGTTGAGACCCTAGATTTTCCATTTCTAACAAATTCCCAGGTGCTTTCCCACACTTTCTATTTTCCTATGATGCTGATGGTTCAGGGACCATACTTTGAGTAGCTCTAGTCTATCCAATAACCCTAAGGAGTAGGCTGTATCATCTTCAAGATAGAAATGGGGAGAATGACACTCGGAGGAGCACAATTGACTAATCAATGGTCCTGTGACTTGTGAATTATAGCACTAGAACTCATGTTCTCTGAGCTGTGATCAAGTGTCATTAGTATCTCATCCTACTGCCTGTGTACAGTCTAAGGCATCATACATATTTATGACAGCTTTGAATGCTTAGCTCAATTCTTACTTCAGTCTGGCAAAAAAAAAGTGAGGATTTTTGCTTGTAATGATTTATGATACTTAGTATATACATTAGTAGTTCTCGAAGTTCAGTCCGTGTATTCTATGGGTCTCTTAGATCCTTTCTGAGTGTTTTAGAGTTTAAAGCTATTTTCATAATAATGCTAACAACATTGTTTACCTTTTTCACTGAGCTGACATTTGCAGTCAGGGTGAAAAAACAAGGGTGGGTAAAACTACTGGCACCTTAGCGTGAATCAAGGCAGTGGCACCAAACTAAACTAGAAGTCATTGTATTTCTTCACCATACATTTACAGTTAAAAAAAATGCCAGGGACGCTGAAAAGTATCTTTAGGAAGCAGTAAAGATTATTAGTTTTATTAGATCTCAACCTTTGTGTGTATGTCATTTTAACTTTCTGTATAACAAAATGGGAGGTAGGAAGAAAGTCCTTTGGTTTCATAGTGTGACGTGTGATGGCTGTTTTGAAGAAAAGCGCTTATGTATGTCTGAATTGCAAGCTAAACTAGCTGCTTTTTTCATGGCATGTCATTTTCACTTGAAGGGACAACTGACAGGTAAACTAGGGTTATCCTAATTTATTTGGCAGACATTTTCATAAAAATAAATGAAGCGAGCAGGTCATTTTAAAAAAGGAACTGATATTTTTTTGTTGTTGTCAATAAAAATATTTGAGCTTCCACACAAAAATTAGAAATTTGGAAAACTAGTATTTATCACCATAAGGTAGTCAGTTTCCCAGTACCTAAAGACTTTTCCAGTGAGACAGGTGGTGGTATTAACGAATGTGATTTTTTGACAATGTGATGAAATGGATCAACATTTGGAAGGCCTAAATAGTTCAGTGAACAGATACCTTTCATGTGATCAATGCATGGTTAACAAAAAGGTCTGTTTAAAGTGCCAAATGGACTAATGATTTTTAATGTAATAGAATACAAAAAGTTCATGGATGTGGTTTTCAATGTCACATTATGGTGTATTATCAAAGAAGAATAAACACAATTACCTGAAAAGGCTATTAAAATACCCTTTCCTTTTCTAACAACATATCTGTGTGAGGCCATGTTTCTTTTTTTCATAGATTTTAACCAATCAACATATTACAACAAACTGAATATAGAAGCAGATATAACGAATAAACTGTTTATGATTAAGCTGGAAGGTAAAGAGTATTGTAAAAGTGCTTGTCAATGCCGCTCTTCTCACTCAAGTATTTTGCTTTGGAAAATGTGGTTATTTTTTGAAAACAGATATTACTTATGACATCATACAATGGGTTTACATTGTTATTTTAAAGTGAATCAATAAACAAAATATTTTTAAAAGTCTCCATTTTATTTTCTAACATGGCAAATGCCAATAAATAAAACCTATAGAAATTTAGGGGTATAAAGGAACTCTTAGACTGAAAAATTTGAGAATTGTTGGCTGACTTTATGAATTTTGGTAATTGATTACATTCAGTATGTTAGTAGCATGGAAATAGAAATGGCCTAAAGTTAAAAATAACAACAACAACAACCACTTTGATTTTGGCTTTGTGAAAATTAAAAGCAATTCTCAGTTACAATGCTGTAACCAAGTGTCTGGAATAAAGAATCCTACTATGTAAGATACTTCTAAGCATTTTTAAGTTTGTGTTTTTAATATAATAATGCATATACATGAGTTTAAAAATAAAATTACATTTTAAGAGTCCTAGCCTAATCTTCACTACCTCTATTTTGTTTCTTCATGGGCAATTCTATTTAATTCTATTAGCTTTTTCTAATACTTACCCCCTTAATCTAGCACCCCTTCTGTGCTCTTCCAGAATCAGACAACCTCACTTGTCTCTAAAGAGTGTGGCTACTTGTTCTGTCACCTCCCCCGTGACCAGCCCTGCATAGGCTCTAACTAACCTCACTGAGCCATGACCGAACAACCTCTCACTTCCAGCCTGCCTCCTATGCCTCTTGCCTCATATCCAGGGCGTCCCTATTGACACTGAAGCAACACCTTGCTCACTTGATGACTGTGTTTGTTTATTTTTATTTTATTTTATTCATTTACTTTTTCAGATGGAATCTCACTCTGTCACACAGGCTGGAATGCTATAGCATGATCTGAGCTCACTGCAACCTCAGCCTCTCGGGTTCAAGTGATTCTCCTGCCTCAGCCTCCTGAGTAGCTGGGATTGCAGGCATGTGCCACCACGCCTGGCTAATTTTTGTATTTTTAGTAGAGACAGGGTTTCACCATGTTGGCCATGCTGGTCTTGAACTCCTGACCTTGTGATCCACCCACCTCGGCCTCCCAAAGTGCTGGATTACAGGCATGAACCACTGCACTCGGCCTGTGTTTGTTTAATTCACACATGTGAAGTGAACCTTTGACCAGTAATTTATAGAAGCTGATGGTTAAGTCTTCTGCCCTCATCCCTAGCACAGTGGACAGTCTCAAGTGATTTCATTTACAGAGACTCTCACAATTGTGACAATGAGCCATCAGTTGTGCTTGCTATCAAGAGTAGCCGAGTTATAATTTGGCAACCACCTTTGATTGGGACTCACCTTTTACTTGTCTCATTCCCCCTTTCCGTTATTTCTCCTAATAAATTAGCAGCTCATCAGCCTTTGCCACAGGCTCTGCTTTTTGGGGAACCCAGGTTAAGACTCTCCATATTTCTAAACAAATTAAAAATCGTATCTTTACATTTTTCAATTTAAGCATTATCAATTGACTTTTTTCATGAAAAATGAGGATTTAGTGTTCTTATATTTCCTTACCCCACTCCCAATACATTTGCCATTTGCTGTCCCCTCTATAAATTCTGTTATAATTTTTGGTTAAATGAATATTCAGTGTTTATGTCATTATAACTGCCTTAATATGGTTTGCAGATGAGTCACATAGTGTATTAGGATACATTTCTTTACCCTTTAATTACTTAATTTTTATGTACCAATCACTAATTAAACCCCATACTCACTGACAGAACATTAAAACATCTCTCAATGTAGTCATACATCCAAGAAATCTATGAGTTCAATGTGTGTGTGTGTGTGTGTGTGTGTGTGTGTGTGTATGTGTGCACATGCGTGCATGCAGGCTTATCCTTTCTGAAAACTTTCATCTTTTTTCCCCGGTCAGAACTTGCTTTCTAGGTTTGCTGCCCAGCTGTCATTCTGGAGTACGTCTTTATCATCATCAGTTCATTTTACTCTTGTTTTTGGATCCTCTGTTTTGGAGTTTTTTTCTTCCTTTTCTTGGATTTCTCTTTTGCTTTTGTAGAGCACATCTTCCAAGAACCTTCTGAGAAAGTATTTGGAAGGCAAATCTTTTGAGACTGCACAAGTCTGTAAAGTCCATGTATATGTATATGTTGATGCTTTGAGATATAAACTTCTATTGCGTTTGTGCCACGTTGTTGGGCTTTTTTTTTCTTCTTTGAACTATGGTGTAATTTACTTTGACACAGTATGGAGCTATTCATGTATTGTTTGGGCACTTTGTGGGCTCAATGTATCATTATGAAGACATGGTCTTTCTTTATGGGAAATTAAAAAATTGTTTCTTTGATAATGTATTCTACTTTACATTTTCATTCCTCCTCTCTAGAACAGCAGTTAGGCAGATGTGGATCTTTGAATTGATCCTCTAATTTTCTCATTTTTTCTTTCCTATCATCCACACTTCCTTGGGGAGGAGAGGGATGAAGATTAGGAATGTCCTCAAGTTTATTTTTAACAATTTGAATAAATAGGTATATCCAAATTTTACTTCTAAAAGTTATCTGAATATTCTTTTTCTAGCATGTGATTGTTTCATATTGGAATATCTTTACTTATCTTTCTGTAGGTGTTAATTATAATGCTCTGAAGTTTTCTTCTGCTTCCTGCATTTTCTTTATTTCTTCTAAATTTCTCTCAACTATCTGCTCGTTTGTTTAGGTTTCTATTTTAATATCAGAGGCTTCTACTTTGGGATTTTCACCATTTTTAATCAAGACTTTCACTTAATCTCCTGTTTGCATACAGTATCTCATTCTCATTCTCAGAGGCGCAGTTATCTTTATAAAGAAAAGCTTCTATTTTCTGTAGAGTTCCTGAAAGAGTAGTGGCTTGGCTTCTTAGCTTGTATAGGACTTTAAGTATCCTTATATAGACATTTAACCAGTCTTCCTGTTTTCAATGCCACTCTTCATCCCTACCTTCAAGGGTACCAGGTGAATCCAAATGCTTGAGTCTGAGGGGCTAGGGCAGAAATCACTGGTCTGTTGTTGGTGTCTCACCATAGAAGGTTCATATCTGAGCCTTCTCTGTTCTAAGTCTGTTAATAATTGCCCATAATTTTTTCACATTCTGAAATTTCATTGGGCCGGGTGCCGGTGGCTCACGCCTGTAATCCCAGCACTTTGGGAAGCTGAGGTGGGTGGATCACTGGAGGTCAGGAGTTTAAGACCAGCCTGGCCAACATGGAGAAACCCGTTCTCTACTAAAAATACAAAATTTAGTCAGGTGTGGTGGCACATGTCTGCAATCCCAGCAACTTGGGAGTTCTGAGGCGAGAGAATCACTTGAACCTGGGAGGCAGATGTTGCAGTGAGCAGAGATTACACCACTGCACTCCAGCCTAGGCTATAGAACGAGATTCTGTCTCAAAAAAAAAAAAAAAGAAGAAAAAAGAAAAAATTTTGCTGAAATCTTTTATTTAGTGTTGTCTCCTCTGTTCTCTTTGTCCCTGTGAGACTATATATATATATATATATTTTTTTTTTTTTTTTTTTGGTCATATTAATGGTATCCCTAAAGAGAGGGTGAGGACAGACATGGGTGTTCAATCTGCCATGTTTAACTTAAAATATATTTCTTTGAATTTTTAAAAGGAATTTGGAAAATATTTGTATTTTCATGATCCCAAGAACATAAGGAAATAAGAGACTGGACAGGTGGGGAAAAAGATATTATTAAAATTTCAACCCAGCCTTTATTTCCTATAATTTTACTGAAAAGCTTCCTGGGATATTTAGTCCAAATCTCTCCCTGGGCTAGTCATTCAATGAGAAACACAGGGCTTTCCTTTAATCTTCCTGGAAAGTAACATTCAACTTTGACATTAAATTTTTCACTTAATCTTAGAATATATTGCTCATATAAGTTGTAAAAGGACTGTGTTAATCAGATTGAGCACTAAGTAAATTGCTTAAGCTTCCCTGCCAGTTAGAAAAACCTCAGACTCTTGGGCCTAGTTTTTCTCCTAACTTACAATTCAAATTAAAGAAGAAAAATATTGACTCTAGTGGATTAAAACCCCAAACACAACTTGAAGCCTAAATGCTGTTTTATGTCGTTCACAGAAATGTCTTTTCTATTAATTCAAATTAAGTTGCTTGAGGTCAGAAGCTATGGTGCATACTTGTTTTTTGTACTCCATTCCCTCTTCAGGCGTATTTTCACTATAACACCAGTATCAGAATATTCTGAATTGCTTGAAAAAATCAGAAGCTTTTTTCCCTATACCACCAGTATCAGAATTTTCTGAATTGCTTGTCAAAAATGCACACCTACTGGCCAGGCATGGTGGCTCATGCCTGTAATCCCAGCACCTTGGGAGGCCAAGGCAGGCAGATCACTTGAACTCAGGAGTTTGAGACCAGCCTGGCCAACATGGTGAAACCCCATCTCTACTAAAAATACAAAAAATTAGCCAGGCATGGTGGTGTGTGTCTGTAGTCCCAGCTACTTGGGAGGCTGAGGTGGGAGGATGGCTTGAACTTGGGAGGCGGAGGTTGCAGTGAGCCAAGATTGTGCCACTGCACCGCAGCCTGGGCGACAGAGCAAGACTTTGTCTCAAACAAACAAACAAACAAACCAAACAAACAAACAAAAAAATGCACACCTACTAAATCAGAATCTCTTTGGATGGGCCTTGGAATCAGACTTTTAAAAGGCATCCAAGGTGATTTTAATTACTTTAAAATTACTTAAAAATTTACCTCACAGTATGCTAAGTAGTGTAGGTGCTTTTAAATCTTTGTTTAATTAAGTAAATGTTAATTCCATATGACATATCATTAGAATTTATTTACTTAAAAAGAGAATTACGACAATTAATAATGATTAGGCTTTGAAAGTAGAGTCTCCAATGAATCCTGTGTAAGGATTTATATAGCTTCAGAGAAAATCCTTCCAAAACTGGGGCAGGATCGTTTTTATAAGATGTCAACAACTGAATTGTTTTAATGTTATCTGTCCTTACGTTCAAGCTATTCAATATGCATGAGACAAATCTCCCATTTCCTTTGGACTATTTCTATTATTTTGCTGTGCTGTTGCTCTGGTTATGTATTGCTGTGTTACAAATCACGCCAAACACAGTAGTAAAGATAACAACCATCTTATTATGCTTATGGATTTTAAGAGCAAGAATTTGAATAAGGCACAGTGGGTGGCTTTTATCTGCTCCACAATATCTGGGGTCTCAGCTGGAAAATACCTAAAATGGCTGTGGCTGGAACCATGTGGGGACTCCTTCACTCACATGTGTGGGCTGGAAAGGCTTGAAGCCTGTGCTCAGCTGAGACTATTGAGCAGGACACCTGGTCACTCTCCATGTGGCTCTAGCTTCTGCAGCAGGGGCTTGGGTTCTGAGGAGTGTCTCTAAAGGGAGCCATCGAAGTGAGTGATTCAAGGGAACCACACAGAAGGAGCATGGCCTTTCATGACCCAGCCTCAGAAGTCACAAAAACATCATTTCTATCCGACTGTATAGTTTAGGCAGTTTCAAGTCTACCCATAATTAAGGGACAGGACATAGACCACCATTTCTTTGTATTTTTTTATTTTTTATTCTCCTGCCTCAGCCTCCCGAGTAGCTGGGATTACAGGCATGTACCACCACACCCAGCTGATTTTTGTATTTTCAGTAGAGACTGGGTTTCACCATGTTGGCCAGGAAGGTCTCGAACTCCTGACCTCGTGATCTGCCTGCCTTGATCCCAAAGTGCTGGGATTACAGGTGTGAGCCACCACGCCCAGCCTATTTTTTATTTTTTGAGATAGGGTGTCATCCTTTCACCCAGGCTGGAATGCAGTGGCATGATCAAGGTTCATTGCAGCTTTGATCTCCTAGGCTTAAGCTATCTCCCACCTCAGCCTCTTAAGTAGCTGGGGCTTCAAATGCATGCAACCATGCCTGCCTAATTTTTTTTTTTTTTTTTTTGTAGAGACAGGGTCTCCCTAATTTGCCTGGGCTGGTCTCAAACTCTTAGATTGCACAGAATTCTTAATGGGAGGATGTGTTAGTCTGTTTTCACACTGCTATAAAGAACTGCCTGAGACTGGGTAATTTATAAAGGAAGGAGGTTTAATAGAGTCACAGTTCCACATGGCTGGAGAGGCCTCAGGAAATTTACAAACATGGCGGAAGGGGAATCTTACATGGCTGCAGGCAAGAGAGAGTGTGTGAGAGCCCATGAAAAACTCTCACTTATAAAATTACCAGATCTCGTGAGAATTCACTCACTATGATGAGAACAGCATGGGGAAAATCATCCCCATAATCCAATCACTCCCCTCCCTCAACACGGAATTACAAGCATGGGGAAAATCATCCCCATAATCCAATCACTCCCCTCCCTCAACACGGAATTACAAGTCGAGATGAGATTTGGGTGGAGACACAGAGCCAAACCATATCAGAAGAATACCAGAGAATTTTGGGGCCATGTTTTAAAACTACCACAATGACTAAACTAAGAAGCACTTCTAATCATTTAATTTCTAAAATCCTTTCTTCGTTCTTTGTTTGATCATTATAAATATTTTTGTCTTTCCAGTGAAGGCAAATGTACCCAAACCATATCCCTGTAGGTTCTTATTTATATATATAATTTTCACAATCACTCTGAAGTTGATATTACTCTTTCCATTTATCAAATGAAGACACCGATGTGTTGAGAGGTAGAGTAGCTCGGTCAAAGTTACACAGTAGGGGAGCTCTGACTCCAGAGCACAGGCCTGTGGCTACTATCTAATCAGCAGCACTTTCATATTCATGTGAGATCCTCTTATAGAGAAGCAGGGAAGTTTACATATCTAAATGTCACTGACAAGAGCTGAAATACATTCCTAAGCTCACTCTATCAAATATCCTAAACCTTTTAAAAAGTTGCTTTTGGCTAAATGGTGGCTGGGTCATAAACCTTATCATCTATGAAAGCACTGAGGGGCTACAGATTTTTAAGGTTTTCATTTCCTGTGGAAAAAAAAGAAAATGTTCTTATTTGCACTCTGCTGCTGAATTTTGACCAGGGAGTAAAAGATGCCTTTCTCTCTGAAAGAGGGCAGGACACTTCCATTTGTTTTTCTCTGAGGGGTTGGCTATTTGATCTAATTGTTGTGATAAGCTGACTGAGGGTCAGGTGTGCACAAGGCAGCAACACCTTGGATGGAAGGAAAAAGGCTGGTAACAGGTGGAGGCCGTAAATAGAATGTGGCTTAGGAAGGGTCAGACCAGGGCACACGAACTTAACTATCTGAAATCAGTTAGAGCTGGACTCAGAATCTATACAACAGCTTGAGTCAAAATTCAGTTAATGAAGCTGAAGTCCAACCTGGAGATAAAAATATCTAAGCCTGGGAAGCTGCAAAAGTCACCTTTTATCAAATAAAAAGAGTGAGGCTATGCCAACGTGCACCTCTTCTTGTGAAGTTCACGGAAGAAGAGATGAGTGGGAGTCCACTCTTCTGCGATTCGCTTGCAGTTCATGAAAATAAGGAAAGCGGAGTCCCAATAAGGAGTTTTGGAGTGAGAAATAACAAGGCATAGCAGTGGTGAGAGAGGGCATCCCTGTCTTGTGCCAGTTTTCAAAGGGAATGCTTCCAGTTTTTGCCCATTCAGTATGATATTGGCTGTGGGTTTGTCATAAATATCTCTTATTATTTTGAGATACATTCCATCAATACCTAGTTTACTGAGAGTTTTTAGCATGAAGGGCTGTTGAATTTTGTTGAAGGCCTTTTCTGCATCTAATGAGATAATCATGTGGTTTTTGTCATTGGTTCTGTTTATATGATGGATTACATTTATTGATTTGCATATGTTGAACCAGCCTTGCATCCCAGGGATGAAGCCGACTTGATCATGGTGGATAAGCTTTTTGATGTGCTGTTGGATTCGGTTTGACAGTATTTTACTGAAGATTTTCGCATTGATGTTCATCAGGGATATTGGTCTAAAATTCTCTTTTTTGTTTGCTGTGTCTCTGCCAGGCTTTGGTATCAAGATGATGCTGGCCTCATAAAATGAGTTACGGAGGATTCCCCCTTTTTCTATTGATTGGAATAGTTTCAGAAGGAATGGTACCAGCTCCTCTTTGTGCCTCTGGTAGAATTCAGCTGTGAATCTGTCTGGTCCTGGACTTTCTTTGGTTGGTAGGCTATTAATTATTGCTTACATTTCAGAGCCTGTTATTGGTCTATTCAGAGATTCAACTTCTTCCTGGTTTAGTCTTGGGAGGGTGTATGTGTCCAGGAATTTATCCATTTCTTCTAGATTTTCTAGTTTATTTGCATAGGGGTGTTTATAGTATTCTCTGATGGTAGTTTGTATTTCTGTGGGGTCGGTGGTGATATCGCCTTCATCACTTTTTATTGCGTCTATTTTTAGATTCTTCTCTCTTTTCTTCTTTACTAGTCTTGCTAGTGGTCTATCAATTTTGTTGATCTGTTCAAAAAACCAGCTCCTGGATTCATTGATTTTTTTTGAAGGGTTTTTTTTGTGTCTCTATCTCCTTCATTTCTGCTCTGATGTTAGTTATTTCTTGTTTTCTGCTAGCTTTTGAATTTGTTTGCTCTTGCTTCTCTAGTTCTTTTAATTGTGACGTTAGGGTGTCAATTTTAGATCTTACCTGCTTTCTCTTGTGGGCATTTAGTGCTATAAATTTCCCTCTACACACTGTTTTAAATGTGTCCCAGAGATTCTGGTACGTTGTGTGTTTGTTCTCATTGGTTTCAAAGAACATCTTTATTTCTGCCTTCATTTTGTTATGTACCCAGTAGTCATTCAGGAGCAGGTTGTTCAGTTTCCATGTAGTTGTGCAGTTTTGAGTGAGTTTCTTAATCCTGAGTTCTAATTTGATTGCACTGTGGTCTGAGAGACACTTTGTTGTGATTTCTGTTCTTTTACATTTGCTGAGGAATGCTTTTCTTCCAACTATGTGGTCAATTTTGGAATAAGTGCGATGTGGTGCTGAGAAGAATGTTCATTGTGTTGATTTGGGGTGGAGAGTTCTGTAGATATCTATTAGGTCCACTTACTGCAGAGCTGAGTTCAAGTCCTGGATATCCTTGTTAACCTTCTGTCTCGTTGATCTGTCTAATATTGACAGTGGGGTATTAAAGTATCCCATTACTATTGTGTGGGAGATAGAACAAGGCAAAACTCAGTCGATTTTTTTTTTTTGGCATTTCTTCTTAGATTTCTATCTCCTAACATAGGATCACTTATTTGTGAAATTATTTGTATACCTTTTTTATGGAGTGATGATGTGATACAAATTCTATCCTTAAGGATATAAGAACATCTTTTCTTTATATTAGGATTTTTCTGGACCCATGAGTTACATGCTTACTTCCCACACCCTCATATCTTGTTTAAATTTGTAGAATTAAATTCATAGGTAATTATTTCTGAAACTTCTTCCCTGTGTGAGCAATCTAAATAATTATTACAATGCCTTAAGTTGCAATCAGGAATGTTTACTTAGCACAGACTTTTTTCCCCACTACTGCACTCAAAGGATAACAGATATATGGCAAATCTAACCATATTCTTTGTCCTTTGTCCATGAAAAACACTTAATTGGTCACTGTGCACCAAACTTGACCTCAGGTTTTTCTTGACACGTATCTCAGGTAGACACTCACATTTAATTTGAGTTGATGCTTGAGGTGAAACCAAAGGCATTATTAAGTACTAATAGTGAATAGAGAAAGAAAATGATTTGGACTAACTGTGGGACAGGTCAGATTGACCTTAAAAATGAAATGTGTGATAACAAAATATCCAATAGCAAATAAAGGTCAATTTGGAACTGGGTATAACAAATGCTGTTGATGCACCTCCCATATCCTGTGGGCTCCCTGATTTTTATTATACCCATGTACAGTCCCAACCCACTGACAGATTCCCACCTTAAGCAACTGCATATTTCCCTTTCCCTGAGGGCTTTCTCATTGTTACTAGAGCTTGCTCAGCTGTAAAAGATAAACCAGAAAGTTTGAGGGAGCTAATCCCTGGGAGGCAATCCTTAATCTATAGGGGTGGCAGTGGTGGACACATGCCGT
The DNA here is from genome assembly GCF_000001405.40 of Homo sapiens. Lineage (NCBI taxonomy): Eukaryota > Metazoa > Chordata > Mammalia > Primates > Hominidae > Homo > Homo sapiens. The sequence goes on from NC_000001.11 coordinate 193,431,054, forward strand.
AGCCTCCCTGTCTTGTAGTGATAGGGTCCTGGGGTCCTGAAGTTTGGCTCTGGGGTTTCTCAGAGGATCTCCAGCTAGACTGAGCTCCTCTTGCTTTTTATTCATTTTTCTACCTTCCCTGTCTCACTTTCCTAACTTTCTTACCTGTCTTTCTGAGTTTACCTTCCAAATTGTCTATCTGCCTCTGAGTCCTTGTCTAAGCATCTGCTTTTAGAAGAGCCCAACTTAAGAATCAAGGTTAACAAACTAGTATAGGAATCATTAAAATTTTGATTATGTAATATGAATAAGTTCCAGAGGTCTGTTCTGCAACGTAGTACTGTTGACCAAAATATAAAGGTTGTTAAAGCAGAAATAATTTGATAAAAGTTTATTGGAAGCCAAATGTGAGGATTGGCCTGGGAAGACACACCCACAAAGTTAGGTGTGTTTCAGTCTGTTACACATTGGAAGGCTTTTATAAGAAAGTTTAGGAGAAGTGAGGGGGGCTCCTCATATCAGAGTTGTCCTTTTTCTTTGGAGGGTAGAATACATATGCAACATATAGGCTAAAATGTGTACATGCAAGACAATCATTAAAACTTCGTGATTCAGAAACAAATCAACAAAACTTCATGGTTCAGACATAAATGACTGTCCTTTTCAGTGTCAGTAGGTTACATATTAATCAGTACATCAACAATTTGAGGGACTCACAATAAGATTATTTACTTAGTGACAGGATGTAAGCCATGAATCATAAGACCTCCCCCAGCTGGTTAATTTGGAAGCCTGTCAAATGTGACCTATAGGTTATCAGTGCCTATATTTAACAATACTGTATTGTACACTTGTATTAGTCTGTTCTCATGCTGTTATAAGGACATACTCAAGACAGGGTAATTTATGAAGAAAAGTGGTTTAATGGACTCACAGTTCCACAGGGCTAGGGAGGCCCCAGGAAACTTACAATAATGGTAGAAGGGAAGCAAACACGTCCTTCTTCATATGGCAGCAGCAAGCAGAAGTGCTGAGAAAAAGTGGGAAAAGCCCCTTATAAAAATATCAGATCTCATGAGAACTCACTCACTATCACAAGAACAGCAGGAGGGTAACCACCCCCATGATTCAATTACCTCCCACTGGGTCCCTTCCAGGACACGTAGGGATTATGGGAACTATAATTCAAGATGAGAATTGGGTGGCAACACAGCCAAACCATACCTTTCCACCCCTGGTCCCTCCCAAATCTCATGTCCTCAAATTTCAAAACCAATCATGCCTTCCCACCAGTCCCCGCAAATCTTATTTCAGCATTAAATCAGAAGTCCACAGTCCAAAGTCTCATCTGAGACAAGGCAAGTCCCTTCTGCCTATGAGCCTGTAAAATCAAAACGAGTTAGTTACTTCCTAGGTACGATGGGAGTATAGGCATTGAGTAAATACAGCCATTCCAAATGGGAGAAATTGGCCAAAAAAATTGGCCAAAAAAAAGAGATGGCAGGTCCCATGCAAGTCTGAAATCCAGTGGGGCACTCAAATCTTAAAGCTCCAAAATGATCTCTTTGACTCCATGTCTCGTCCAGGTTACACTGATGCAAGAAGTGGGTTCCCATAGTCTTGGGCTGCTCGACCCTGTGGCTTTGCAGGATACAGCCCCCTTGCCAGCTGCTTTTATGGGCTGGCATTGAGTGTCTGTGGCTTTTCCAGGTGCATGGTGCTAGCTGTGGGTTGATCTAACATTCTGGGGTCTAGAGGACCATGGCCCTCTTCTCATAGCTCCACTAGGCAGTGCCCCATGTGTGGGGGCTCCCACCCCACATTTTCCTTCTGCACTGCCCTAGAAGAGGTTCTCTGTGAGGGCTCTGCCCCTGCAGCACACCTTTGTCTGGACATCCAGGTGTTTCCATACATCCTCTGAAATCTAGGCAGAGGTTCCAAAACCTCAATTCTTGTTATGTCTGTGTACCTGCAGGCCCAACACCACATGTAAGCTGCCAAGGCTTGGGGCCTGCACTCTGAAGAAATGGCCTGAGCTGTATGTTGACTCCTTTTGGTCATAGCTGGAGCGTCTGGGATGCAGGGCACCAAGTCTAAGGCTGTACATAGCACAGGGGTCCTGGACCCAGCACAGGAAACCATTTTACCCTCCTAGGCCTCTGGGCCTGTGAAGGTCTCTGACATGCCCTGTTGTGAAGGTCTCTGACATGCCCTATTGTGAAGGTCTCTGACATGCCCTGGAGACATTTTCTCCATTGTCTTGGCAATTAGCATTTGGCTCCTTGTTACTTATGCAAATTTCTGCTGCTGGCTTGAATTTCTTCTCAGACAATGGGATTTTATTTTCTACCTCATCTTCAGGCTACAAATTTTTCAAACCTTTATGCTCTGTTTCCTCTTGAATGCTCTGCCACTTAGAAATTTCTTCTGCCAGATACCCTAAAACATCTCCCTCAAGTTCAAAGTTTCAGAGACCGCTAGGGCAGGGGCAAAATCCGCCAGTCTCTTTGCATAGCAAGAGTGACCTTAACTCTAGTTCCCAAGTTCCTCATTTCCATCTGAGAGCACCTTAGCCTGGGCTTTGTTGTCCATATCACTATCAGCATTTTTGTGAAAGCCATTCAACAAGTCTCTAGAAAGTTCCAAACATTCCCACATTTTCCTATTTTCTTCTGAGCTCTCCAAACTGTTCCAGTCTCTGCCTGTTACCCAGTTCCAAAGTCACTTTTACATTTTTGGTTAGCTTCTCAGCAGTACCCCACTTCTGGTACCAATTTACTGTATTAGTCTGTTCTCATGCTGCAAGGAAGGAAAGAGATTTAATTGAAACACAGTTCCATAGGACTGGGAAAGGCCCAGGAAACTTACAATTATGGTGGAGGAGGAAGCAAACACGTTCTTCTTTACATGGTGGCAGCAAGAAGAAGTGCTGAGCAAAAGAGGGAAAAGCCCCTTAGAAAACCATCAAATCTCATGAGAACTCACTCACTATCATAAGGGTAACCTCCCCAGTGATTAAATTACCTCCCATTGGGTCCCTCTCAGGACACCTGGGGATTATGGAAACTACAAGGTGAGATTTGGGTGGGGACACAGCCAAACCATATCAACAGTTAAACATTTTGTTAAGAGGGTAGATATCATGTTGTGTTTTTTACCATAAAATAAAACGTAACAAACAAACAAACACCTACAAGGTGGCATGAGGAAACTTTTGGGGGTGATGAACATGTTTATTACTTTGATTGTGGTGATGGTCTCACATACGTATGCATGTGTCCAAACCCATCAGATTGTATTCATTAAATATGTACAATTATTTGTATATCAATTATACCTCAATAAAGACGTTAAAAAGAAAACTCTTATCAATATCACTTTTAATATCTACATGGAAGCCATTAATGTTATTGTTCAGCTTTTAGAGTTGGAGGCCCCAGTGGTAGACAATTACTCATTTCCTCTCCCTGAAAGATTATACAGCCCTACTCTGTTGAGTTCAGGAGTGGCCATGTGACAACTCATGATTTTCTGTATTATTTTTTTCCTCTGGTTAAGGCAGGCAAAGTTCCAAGTAAAGCTACACTGTCAGCCTGAGCTCTGGAGTGAAGATGATAGACCTGGAGCAGAGTCTTAGTTGAACTATAATATACATGTATTAAGAATAAGAATATGTGTATTAAGTGAATAAGAAATAAACTTTTATTCCTTGTAAATTACTGAGACTTTGGAGTAATTTGTTGCCACAGCATAACTTAGGCTAAATTGACTAATATGGAATCTTTAAATATAATTTAGTACAGTGGTCTCATCTTGATTAATCATAAGATTAATTAGGGAGATTTACTAGGGAGATTTTTACATGTATAGATTTAAAATTCTGATACTAATTCAGTAGGTTTGGAGTGGAATGCAGGAATCTGCATTTTAACTGTTTGAAACCCAATCACTTTGCTTATTTTAAAGGTGAAAAGAGATTGACAATTTGAAAAGTTTTCCATTCTTTTAATTAATTTATTTAAAAAAAACACATTGTCATCTAGATGAGAGTTTGAATTAATTATAAAAATGTTTTCTCCTGAAGAACAGAAAGGTAAGCTCAATTGTACACCTGAATAGGGGAAGTTCTGAATTAGCATTATCAAAACTAATACAGTTTAATTGTATGTCATATATATAGGCCACCTGGGTTCAAATCTAATCAAAAATTATGAATGCATCATATTACTAAGGCCATTAGTAGGCCAGAAAGACAAAGAGTAGTAAGGCTTTAATAACAGAAGGTAAATTTGTTGCACACATGCACTCAGAAAAATAGTGCCCTTGCTATTAAGAGAGTATGTGTCTAGAAGGAGAACTCACTGTGGAGACCAGAGATCAAATTAAAGGTGGTTCAAGGTCAGCTGATGGAATTTTCTAGCATCACACTTGACAGCTCTATGCCATTCATTCGATTAGGTCACTGTATATGTTTACATTTTAGAAATTACTTATTCAATTTAATTTTGACTTTTTACTTTGTTGTCTCCAGCCTGAAGAAGACATTTTAATAGATGCAGCTGATGTCCTAAGTTCCCCCAAGGAGGAGAGAGTAGAGGCAAAAGATTGGCCCACATGTAAGTTAATATAAGGCAGAATTTGATAATTATAATAAGAAAGGAACTCCTCCTGATATGGATTGGATCTGTGTCCCCATCCAAATTTCATGTTGTATTATAATCCCCAATATTGGAGGTGGGGCCTGGTTGGAGGTGATTTGTTCATGGGGGTGAATTTCTCATGAATGGTTTAGTACCATCCCCTTGGTGCTGTCCTCATGATAGTGAGTGAGATCTGGTCATTTAAAAGTGTGTGTTACCTCTCCTCTCCCTCTCTTGCTTCTGCTCTGGCCATGTGATGTGTCTGCTCCCCATTTGTCTTTCACCATGATTGTAAATTTCCTGAGGTTTCCCCAGAAGCTGAACTGATGCCAGCGTCATGCTTCCTGTACAGCCTGCAGAACCACAAGCCAATTAAACCTCATTTCTTTATAAATTGCCCAGTCTCAGGTATTTCTGTTTAGCAATGCAAGAATGGCCTAACACCCCCCAAACTGACTTAGATTCTTTGCTGATCTATTTCTATAAGACAACTTCTGTTTGCAGGGGCATTTGCATATTGTTCAACTTAGGTTCCATAGTCAAGGATACTGCTACATATGTTCCACAAGAATCATAGCTGCATGAACTGCTGCAAAGGATGAGTTACATTTCCAGCTTTGGCTTCCTCACCACCATTTAACCCATTGCAATCTGGCAATTGATGGTGCTGTGTTTCTCAAACTGACTCCTCCAAAGATCACCAAGAACTTACCCCATTCATTATCTCTCTAGATTTTGATATTATTGATAAATCTTTTTTATTAAATACCCTGAGGCAGTCTTCTTTGGGTTAAATCCGGCCGGTGTTCTATAACCTTCTTGTGCTTGAATGTTGATGTGTTGCTCCAGGTTTGGGAAATTTTCTAATATTATCCCTTTGATTAAACTTTCTACGTCTTTCTCTCTACCTTCTCTTTAAGGCCAATAACTCTTAGATTTGTCCTTTTGGGGCTATCTTCTAGATCTTGTAGTTGTGCTTTGTTGTTTCTTATTCTTTTTTCTTTTGTTTCCTCTCACAGTGTATTTTCAAATAGCCTGTCTTCAAGCTCACTAATTTTCCTTTACCAAGTGAACTACTTGACTTGATCAATTCTGTTGTTAAGAGACTGATGCGTTCTTCAGCATGTAAACTACATTTTTCAGCTCTAGAATTTTTGTTTGATTCTTTTTAATTATTTAAATCTGTTAAATTTTTTTATTTTTTTTATTTTTATTTTTATTTTTTTTATTTTTTATTGATCATTCTTGGGTGTTTCTCGCAGAAGGGGATTTGGCAGGGTCATAGGACAATAGTGGAGGGAAGGTCAGCAGATAAACAAGTGAACAAAGGTCTCTGGTTTTCCTAGGCAGAGGACCCTGCGGCCTTCCGCAGTGTTTGTGTCTCTGGGTACTTGAGATTAGGGAGTGGTGATGACTCTTAATGAGCATGCTGCCTTCAAGCATCTGTTTAACAAAGCAGATCTTGCTCCGCCCTTAATCCATTTAACTCTGAGTGGACACAGCACATGTTTCACATGTGCTGAGCACAGGGTTGGGGGCAAGGTCATAGATCAACAGCATCCCAAGGCAGAAGAATCTTTCTTAGTACAGAACAAAAATGGAGTCTCCTATGTCTACTTCTTTCTACACAGACACAGCAACAATCTGATTTCTCTATCTTTTCCCCACATTTCCCCCTTTTCTATTCCACAAAACTGCCATCGTCATCATGGCCCGTTCTCAATGAGCTGTTGGGTACACCTCCCAGACGGGGTGGCGGCCGGGCAGAGGGGCTCCTCACTTCCCAGCAGGGGTGGCCGGGCAGAGGCACCCCCTACCTCCTGGACGGGGCAGTGGCCGGGCGGAGGCGTCCCTCTCCTCCCTCCCGGACGGGGTGGCTGGCTGGGTGGGGGCTGCCCCCCACCTCCCTCCCGGACGGGGCGGCTGGCCGGGCGGGGGGCTGCCCCCCACCTCCCTCCTGGATGGGGCAGCTGGTCGGGCGGGGGCTGCCCCCCACCTCCCTCCTGGATGGGGTGTTAAATTTATCTGATAGAATTCTTAATTACTTTTCTGTGTTATCTTGAATTTCTTTGAGTTCCCTCAACACAGCAATTTTGAATTCTGTGTCTGAAAGGTCATATATTTCTGTTTCTCCAGGATTGGTCCCTGGTGCCTTATTTAGTTCATCTGGTAAGGTCATGTTTTCCTGGATGATGTTGATACTTGTAGATGTTTGCATCTGGGCATTGAAGAATTAGCTATTTACTTTAGTATTCACAGTCTGGGCTTGTTTATGCCTGTCCTTCTTGGGAAGTCCCTCCAGGTATTTGAAAGAAACTTGGGCCCCAAGCCCAATAACACTGTGGTTTTTGCAAACTTGTAGAGGTACTACCTTGTGGTCTTGTATAACAGTCAGAAGAATTCTCTAGATTACCAGAGAGAGACTCTGGTTCTTTTCCCTTACTTTTTCTCAAACAAATGGGGTCTCTTTCTGTGTGCTGAGACACATGAATTGGGGGGTGTGGTGATGCAAACACCCTGTGGCGACCACCAGTGAACTATGCTGGGTCAGACCTGAAGCCAGCATGGCACTGGGTCTTGCCTAAGACCCTTCCTTTCAGGGCAGGGAGTTCCCCCAGGCCCCATGCATGTCCAGAGATGTTGTCTGGGAGCCTGGGATTGGAGTCAAAAACCTTAGCAATTTACCTGATGTTTTATTTTCCTGCAGCTAAATTGGCACTCAAACTGTGATACAAAGTCCTTCCTATTCTTTCCTCCCCTTTCCACAGGCAGAGGAGCCTCTCTTTGTGGCAATTAGCACTACTGGTTCACAAGGGTTCTACCAGGCCACCGTCTATGTTCACTTAAAGCCCAAGGGCTCTTCCATCAGCTTGTGGTGAATGCTGCCAGGCCTGGGACTTACCTTTCAGGACAGTGGGTTCCCCTCTGACCCACGGCAAGTGTAGAAATGCTGTCCAAGAGCCTAGGCCTGGATGCCAGGACCCCACAAATCTATTTTTTTCAAACATCTTTTTCTTGTAGATTTTAAAATACTACTGTATTCATTACATGTTTATTATATACTCATCCTGTGCTTTAGAGATGTAACAAGAGTTTTCATTTACTAAGCACTTGTTACATGCCAGGGGCTTTGTATATATTATTTTATTTAACACAACAATCTATTGAAGTAGCTAATATTATCTCCATTTCTCATATGAGGAAATTGAGGTTTAGAGAGTTTCAGTCCTTGTAAACTGTGGTCATACAATAACTATATATTAGAGGTGAGACTCAACCCAATGACCAACTGTAAACTTGTGTTCTTTGACGCTTTAGCAGGGTCTTAGAAAACCTTTGTGATAGTTAATTTTATGTGTCAACTTGACTTGGCAAAGGGGTGCCAAGACAGCTGGTTAGACATTATCTCTTGGAGTGTCTGTGAGGGGATTTCTGGAAGAGATTAGCATTTGAATTTGTAGATTGACTAATTTGTCTCATCTGTTAAAGGCCCAAACAGAAGAAAAAGGCAGAAAAGCACATTTACTTTCTCTTTTCTTGAGCTGGGACATCCATCTTCTCCTATCTTTGAAGTGCTCCTCGTTCTTAGGACTTCAGATTTGGACTGGGCTTTTGTGGTTCTCCAGCAAACAGACAGCAGGTAGTGTGAGCCAGTTCCAATAATAAGTTTCCTCTTATATGTCTATATATCCTATTGGATCTATTTCTCTGGAGAACCCTGTCTAATACAGGCTTTGGTACCATGAGTAGTTCTAGGAAAACAGAATTTTAAAGACAAGTTTTCTGAACTGGTCCTGAGGCTTCTGGAATTGTCTCTTTAATATGATTAGATGTCTCCAGTAGTAAAGAGAGCCCTGATAGTCCATGTCATGAACAACAGGCATTAAACATGCCTAACCAACCATTTAAGAGAAGCAAGATGCTAAGTGACTCTCCATATGATACTTTCAAAACATTTTTAGAAAATGAAGGAATAAAATAATATTGGTTGGTTGCTCCAATGTCACTGGACAAAGTGGTGAAAAAAAAAGATAAACTCAGGAATTCGAATTTCCAGCTCAAGTGCCACATAAATAACCTAAGAGCTTCTAAGTATGCCCTGAATGACAGCCTTGCCTCCTATAGCCACAGGCTTGAAATTGCTGAAAATTAAATGCAGAAAATCATCTGTAGTTTACTAAATTACAACATAGGTTGAACTCCCAGACTTACTGAGTGTCTGCTGTTAAAGTGAAGGCATTGATTGGGAAAGAATAGGATCCTGTAAATTGGGATGGTGATTTGTGGGAAGACCCTGATGAATCTGGGGACATTGAGCCTCTAGATTCTGTTGAATCCTGTTTGCCAGTGGAAGGGGTCTCCTCACCCCTAGTGGAAGAGACATTCTCACCCCAAGTGGTCTCTCCATCCCTAGTGGTAGTGGCCTCCCCACTCATAGCATTCTGGTCTTTCTACCTTAGTCTAATGGAATTAACCCTATGTTGCTGGAGGAAATGGTAATGGCCTTCCCTGAGGCAGTTGCCATGCAAGACAATGCTGATTCTCCTCAGGACCTGCTCCCATCACCCTTCTTTGTTTCTAAATTTACAACTAGACTTAAGGCCAAGCAAGTACCTAAAGGTGAGATCAAAGTGTCACCCGTGAGGAAGTGCACTATACTTTACAATAACTACTTGATTTTTCTATTTATGCAAGCAGAAATCTGGTGGATCACATGTGGGAATGGATAGTAAAGATGTGAGAGAATGATGGAAGGAACATTAAGTCGAATCGGGCCAAATTTATTTGTATGAGCTTGCTAAATAAAGATTTTGCATTTAATGTTGCAGCTTGGGAGTTAGAAAGGGCTCTAACAGTTTGGTTACTTGACTGAAACATGGATCTAAAGATAGCTCACTGCATGTGACTTGGAAATGCCTGAACTACCTTGGATTAACATAGAGGGAAGAATTCAAAGGCTTAGGAGAATTGGAATGGTAGAGTGGATTTTCCATTTAAGACCTACTCATCCACACTGGCTGGGTATTCTCAAAATACCTTTTATTTTGAGAAATAATTTGTGAGGTAAGGCCCAATATTTTTGAAGAGTTCCATGGCCTTTCTTCTATGTTGACCATAAATTACAGTGAGAATTGCAGACACTCAGTTGAACAACCTAAATACAGTAGGAGTAATTGGATCCTGGGATAGTTTGGATGTATCTCTCAAATTTCACATGTTGGAAACTTAATCCCCAAATTCATATGTTGATTGAAGGTAAGGCCTTTAGGAGGTAATTAGGATTGTATAATGTCACTGGGGAGGGGCCCCCATGATAGAACTGGTGGCTTTGTAGGAAGAGAAAGGGAACCTTGAGCTAACATGCATGCTCTTGCCCTCTAATTATGTAATGCCTTCTGCCATGTTATGATGCAGCAAGAAGGCCCTCACCAGATGCCAGCACTATGCTCTTGGACTTCCCAGCCTCAAGAACTGTAAACCAAATAAGTCTCTCTCTCTCTCTCTCTCTCTCTCTATATATATATATATATATATATATATAAATTATTCCATCTGTGATATTCTGTTATAGAACAGAAAATGGACTAGGACAGAAAACTGGTATTGGGAATGGGATTGTTGCTAATAACGGATACCTAAAAATGTGGAAGCGGCTTTTGAACTGGGTAATGGGCAGGGGCTAGAAGAATTTGGAGGATCAGGCTAGAAAAAGCCTGTATTGCTCTGAACAGAGCATTAAGGGTGATTTTTATGAGGGCTCAGGAGAAGACATGAAGACTAGGGAATATTTGTAACTTCTTATAGATTATTTTACTGGTCATGCTCAGAATGCTGATACAAATATGGATAGTAATGGCCATTCTGATGAAGTCTCAGATGGAACTGAGGAACAAGGTATTGGAAACTGGAGTAAAGGTCATTCTTGTTATAAACTGGCAATGGACATAGCTGGGTTGTGTTCATAATACAGAACTTAAGAGCAATGAATTAAGATATCTGGCAGAAGAAATGTCTAAGCAGCAAAGCATTCAGGTTTCTGCTTGGCTACTTTAAATTGCTTATATTAGGCTATGAAAATTAAAAAATGACTTAAATCTGGACTTTGTAATTAAGAGGGAAGCAAAGCAGAAAGACTTGGAAAACTCTCAGCCTGGTCATTTAAAGAGTAAAGTGTATTCAGAAAAGGAAACCAAGAGTGTAGCCCAGGGACTCTTTGCTAAAGAGATAGAAAGGATCATCCGGACAATGAGAGAAAGAGTCCAAAGGTATTTCAGAGATCTTTGAGGGTGCCCCTCCCATCACAGGCTCAGGGCTCTAGGAGGGCAGAATGGTTTTGGGAGACAGGTCTGAGAACCCTCTGTGGCCTCACTGCCCGTGGCTGCCTTGTGTCTCTGCTCTCTGCATCCCAGTGCAGCAATCCTTGGCCATTCCAGTTGTGGTTCAAGTGGTCCTGGATATAACTTGACCCCTCTGGGTGTGGCTTGACTTGCCACTCTGAAGGGTACAAGCCATATACTTTGGCTGTGTCTACATGGTATTAATTCTGTAGACCAACAAAATGTAAGAGCTGTGGGGGTATAATTGCATCCACCTAGATTTTAAAGAATGTTGCAGACTGCTTGGGAGTTCAGGAAGAGACTTGTCCCAGGGTTGGAGTAATCAGAGAGATCCCTCACTAAGGCAATGCCCAGCAGAACTTTGGGGTTGGAGCTGCCATAGAAAGTTCCCACTAAATCAATGCTTAGTGGAGCTCTGGGAGCAGGACTGCTGCAGGGATCCCAGAATGTACAGTCACTGGCAACATGCAATGCCAGCCTGTGAAAGCTGCAGGCACCACTGTGCAGCTACAACTTGAGAAAGCTGAAATGTGGCCTGAGTCCAACAAAGCCATAGTAAAGAGTGAGGCAGTTTTGGGGCCCAAAGCCTGCAGTGTGTCTAGGAAGCAGCACATACAGTGAAAGATTAACTTAATGTCTGCCCTATTGGGTTTTGGACTTGTTTGGGGCCTGTTACTTCTTTTTTTCTGGACTATTTCTCCCTTTTGGTAAGGGAATATGTATCTTATACTCTTCCACCGTTGTATCTTGGAAATGAGAAATTGTTTAATTTCACAGGCTTACAGCTGGAAGAAATTTGCCTCAAGTTGACTTGTGCCTTGAGTTTCACCCATATCTGATTCAGATAACTTTGGACTTTTTAAAGTTGGTGCTGGAACAAGAGTTTGGGGCAATTGGGATTGAATTATTGTGTTTTGCATGTGAGAAGAACATACATTTTGGAGGTGGAATGCTATGGTTTGAGTGTGTCGCCTAAATTTCATGTGTTGGAAACTTAATCCCCGAGTTCATATGTTGATTGGAAGTGATGCCTTTAGGAGGTAATTAAGATTAGATAAGATTATCAGATTGGGACCCCATGGCTTTATAAGAAGAGAAAGGGAAGCTTGAGCTGATAGGCACACTCTTGCCCTCTTGCCATATGAATGTCCTCTGCTATGTTATGGCAAGCAAGAATCTCCTCACCAGATGCCAGTGCCATGCTCTTGGATTTCCTAGTCTTCAGAATCATGAGCCAAATAAACATCTTTTCATTATAAGTTATCCAGTCTGTGGTATTCTGTTGCAACAGAAAACAGAGTAAGACAGGGAGTAAGAGCCAAGTGGCAACACTCAACTGCCAAAGGCATGGTGAAGATAGTTACTCTAAGGGACAGTAGGGTCAAAGCAGTAATCAGAATAGTCTGATTCTCGCAGACTGGTAAAGTTGGCCTGTTAATTATAGTGTTCCTAGAAGTGAAATAGATAGGAAGCTATTAAATTCTTACTCAATCTGTATAAGCAGACAAGTTCCAGGTAAAGTGAATCATAAAATTCTAATGAGAATCATAGAAACAGAATCATAGCCCCTCAATCAGTTCTCAGACTTGAGCCAGTTGACAGACCCAGAGCCCCTTGAATGAAGGGAAGACTGGGTCTCCTTGAGGAATGACCCTTGAACACAACTGAAAATGTGTACTGCTAATCTTTCTCTCAGCCTTCCTTCAAAGGACCTAAAGCTTATTACAATGATAATTGTGCATTGGAAAGAGGGCAATAATCAGGATTTGGGAGGAGGCTCTTGAACATTGACTCTGAACTAGCACTGATTCCATGAGGCCCAAAATGTCAAGGTGGCCCTCCAGTCAGAGTAGGGGCTTATGGAGGTCAGGTAATTGACAAAGTTTTAGCTCAAATTCATCTCGCTGTGAGTCAGGTGTATCCTCAAACCCATCCTGTGGTTGTATCCCCAGTTCCAAAATGCATAATTGGAATAGACATGCTGAACAGCTGAAAGAATCACCATACCTTTTCACACTTAACAATTATTAAGCCCATAATAAATAATAATAATATAATTAAATATTAAATAATATTAAAATAAATAATAAAAGCATTATACATTAACATAAATATTATTATATCATAGAAATAACGATTGCTAAATAAAAATTATAGTAATAAAAGTGGCACTCCTTTATTTTTTATAAGCCTTGTTAGTGTCTGTCTTGAAGATAGCTGAATTCTCATACCTGCTTCTGCATTCAATGTGTTGCTGTATGATATGTGGTTGATATGTCTGAAGAAAATCCAGCCTCATATAAATATGTGGTTGGACAAAGGAAGACTATTGTGATGGCATTTTCAAGTAATTGTGTATTTCTTTCTTTGATAGTACATAAACATTCAACAAGTGGAGGTTTTTTGAGGGTTAGTGATAATGTGGATCTGAAGCCATATCAGTGAACTTCTTGTGTTCTTTTATATCAGAATTCAGTGGCCTATTTTGTATAATACTTTGAATGAATATTTTACCTGGGCATGAAGCTAATCCAGAGCTCCACTTACAACACTGCCTTTTATAACATTCTGATGAGACTAAACATGAATTATAAAACATGAAACTCAGCATGAATTATAATACATGAAATGAAATAGGAATTTACTTGAAAAGAGCTAGAGGTTTCTAAAGCAAGTTGATGAGAACTGATAATAAAACTACAGACACTTTAGGGAAATTTCTGATTTTCATGCCTATTGAATCAGACTGTGGAATTGGAACTGTCTTGATAGTTCTATGAGGCTAATATATACTATTTCCTAGGTGCCAAGACATTCACTTTATTTGGCATTAAATATAAATAGCTATTCATCTATTGCCATTAACCAGCTAATTAACTTTATTACCATTGATAGTTTTTAAATTCTTCAGGTCAAGGCTATTGAGTTCTAATTTTTTTTTGGCAACATCTTTTTTTTTGATTATTATTATTTTTTATTATTATTACACTTTAAGTTTTAGGGTACATGTGCACAATGTGCAGGTTAGTTACATATGTATACATGTGCCAGCTCGTGTGCTGCACCCATTAACTCGTCATTTAGCATTAGGTATATCTCCTAATGCTATCCCTCCCCCCTCCCCCACCCCACAACAGTCCCCAGAGTGTGATGTTCCCCTTCCTGTGTCCATGCGTTCTCATTGTTCAATTCCCATCTATGAGTGAGAACATGTGGTGTTTGTTTTTTTGTCCTTGCAATAGTTTACTGAGAATGATGATTTCCAATTTCATCCATGTCCCTACAAAGGACATGAACTCATCATTTTTTATGGCTGCATAGTATTCCATGGTGTATATGTGCCACATTTTCTTAATCCAGTCTATCATTGTTGGACATTTGGGTTGGTTCCAAGTCTTTGCTATTGTGAATAGTGCCACAATAAACATACGTGTGCATGTGTCTTTATAGCAGCATGATTTATAGTCCTTTGGGTATATACCCAGTAATGGGATGGCTGGGTCAAATGGTATTTCTAGTTCTAGATCCCTGAGGAATCGCCACACTGACTTCCACAATGGTTGAACTAGTTTACAGTCCCACCAACAGTGTAAAAGTGTTCCTATTTCTCCACATCCTCTCCAGCACCTGTTGTTTCCCGACTTTTTAATGATCGCCATTCTAACTGGTGTGAGATGGTATCTCACTGTGGTTTTGATTTGCATTTCTCTGATGGCCAGTGATGATGAGCATTTTTTCATGTGTCTTTTGGCTGCATAAATGACTTCTTTTGAGAAGTGTCTGTTCATATCCTTTGCCTACTTTTTGATGGGGTTGTTTGCTTTTTTCTTGTAAATTTGTTTGAGTTCATTGTAGATTCTGGATATTAGCCCTTTGTCAGATGAGTAGGTTGCAAACATTTTCTCCCATTTTGTAGGTTGCCTGTTCACTCTGATGGTAGTTTCTTTTGCTGTGCAGAAGCTCTTTAGTTTAATTAGATCCCATTTGTCAATTTTGTCTTTTGTTGCCATTGCTTTTGGTGTTTTAGACATGAAGTCCTTGCCCATGCCTATGTCCTGAATGGTAATGCCTAGGTTTTCTTCTAGGGTTTTTATGGTTTTAGGTCTAACGTTTAAGTCTTTAATCCATCTTGAATTAATTTTTGTATAAGGTGTAAGGAAGGGATCCAGTTTCAGCTTTCTACATATGGCTAGCCAGTTTTCCCAGCACCATTTATTAAATAGGGAATCCTTTCCCCATTGCTTGTTTTTCTCAGGTTTGTCAAAGATCAGATAGTTGTAGATATGCGACGTTATTTCTGAGGGCTCTGTTCTGTTCCATTGATCTAATCTCTGTTTTGGTACCAGTACCATGCTGTTTTGGTTACTGTAGCCTTGTAGTATAGTTTGAAGTCAGGTAGCATGATGCCTCCAGCTTTGTTCTTTTGGCTTAGGATTTACTTGGCGATGCGGGCTCTTTTTTGGTTCCATATGAACTTTAAAGCAGCTTTTTCCAATTCTGTGAAGAAAGTCATTGGTAGCTTGATGGGGATGGCATTGAATCTATAAATTACCTTGGGCAGTATGGCCATTTTCATGATGTTGATTCTTCCTACCCATGAGCATGGAATGTTCTTCCATTTGTTTGTATCCTCTTTTATTTCATTGAGCAGTGGTTTGTAGTTCTCCTTGAAGAGGTCCTTCACGTCCCTTGTAAGTTGGATTCCTAGGTATTTTATTCTCTTTGAAGCAGTTGTGAATGGGAGTTCACTCATGATTTGGCTCTCTGTTTGTCTGTTATTGGTGTATAAGAATGCTTGTGATTTTTGTACATTGATTTTGTATCCTGAGACTTTGCTGACGTTGCTTATCAGCTTAAGGAGATTTTGGGCTGAGACAATGGAGTTTTCTAGATACACAATCATGTCGTCTGCAAACAGGGACAATTTGACTTCCTCTTTTCCTAATTGAATACCCTTTATTTCCTTCTCCTGCCTAATTGCCCTGGCCAGAACTTCCAACACTATGTTGAATAGGAGTGGTGAGAGAGCGCATCCCTGTCTTATGCCAGTTTTCAAAGGGAATGCTTCCAGTTTTTGCCCATTCAGTATGATATTGGCTGTGGGTTTGTCATAGATAGCTCTTATTATTTTGAGATACGTCCCATCAATACCTAATTTATTGAGAGTATTTTGGCAACATCTTAAAAATGTTACTTTGCCCATCTATGGCTGCTTTCCACCAACCCATTCAGCATAGGTGACATTTCCCTGCTATAGATTTTCTCTCCCTTTTACAGAATGGAGACTCATCTATACTCATTAACATTTCTAAAGGCTACTAAAGATGAATATTCTCATAAAAGCGCCAGGTCATTTTGATTTTGTTATTTTTCATTTAAATGATATGTATGCCGTGACTATGTGTAAAGTGGATCAGGGCTGAAGATACCACACATTAGTTGATTCCCATTGTGAGGAGAAGCATATGACAAGTTTTCATTCTAGAGTCCTTTTCAGTCTCCAGTTGCCAAGAAAGTTATGGATATACAGTTACGTGTCTCTTGATGATGGGGATGCATTCTGAGAAATGCATCGTTAGGCAATTTTGTCATTGTGCAAACATCATCATGTACCTACAGGAACCCAGATGGTATAGCCTGCTACACATCTAGAATATATAGTATAGCCTATTTCTCTTAGGCTAAAAAATTACACAGCACATTATTGCACTGAATACTGTAGGCAATTGTAACACAATAGTAGGTATTTGTATATCTCAACATATCTTTAGCTGTTTACATAGAAAAGGCAGTGCATTGTGGCTCTGACATTATGATGGCTATGCCACTAGGCGATAGGACTTTCTCAGCCTCATTATAATCTTGTGGAACCCTTGTCATATATGTGATCTATTGTTGGCTGAAATGTCACTCTGCAGCGTGTTACTGTCAATTGTTTTCAGTAAGAAAGTATGTTGATAAAAGTGCAATTTTTGTCCATGAAGAGGGGGAAGCATATTATCTTTTCTATAATTTTGTTTTTGTATTTCTTGTTTTCACTCAGAAGACAAGGCTGTCTGTCTTTATACAGAAGCTCCTTGACTTATTATGGGTTTAAGTCCCAATAAACCTATCACATGTTGAAAATATCATAAGTTGCAAATTCATTTAATACACTGAATCTACTGAATATCGTGGCTCACCCTAGAATTCTGTAAATGTGCTCAGAACCCTTATAGTACAGTATTTAATAAATTACATGAGATATTTAATACTTTATTATAAAATAGGCTTTGTGTTAGATGATTTGGCCCAGCATTGCCAGAGAATATTGCATCACATATTGCTAGCCCTGGAAAAGATCAAAATCCAAAATTGGAAGTACAGTTTCTATTGAATGTGAATCACTTTTGCACCATTGTAAAGTAAAAAAATCATAAGTCAAATTGTCAGAGGATCCAGGGGCCCTCTGTACTTTCTGTTGGCTTGACTATGACAAAGGGAGACTGATTTTGTTGCTAACTTGCACAAGTATATAAAACACAAGACGTTGGTATATAGTGTTACGTACATTTTAAAAATTACCAAGCACTTGAATGTCCTCTCAAACATGTGTACATATCTGTGGATCAAGTTCCTCCCTTAATTGTGGGTAAACTAAGCCTATTTATGCATAACCGGCTACCTTTCAGTTTTTAATAAGGTAAAATGCTGAATACTTATTTTTATAAAGTCTCTCTTGCTGACCTTTGTGGAATTAGTAAATTATGTTGATAGCTGGAACTTCATTTCTTAAGAGGTTTATAAACCTCTCAGGACCTTTGTTTTTTCTGCAAGTGGTAAAACCCAGGTAGAGCTGAGTAGAGAGATTTGTTTGAACTTTCAGTCCTAGCAGGTGTGGGGCTCACTTTCACCTCTGCTATTCACAATGTTCCTACGAACTCTTTGGTTCATGGGATTGCAGAGAGTCCTGACCTTCATTGCTTGAGCTGTGTTCCATTTCTGTGTCACCTTTCATCTTATGTTCTTGGGGAGCCTTTACAGAAAGAAAGGAACACAGCGCATCACTGATTCCCTCACCCCTTCTATGCACAGCTGACTTCAGTTCCTTTTTAAAGCCTCAGCTTGTGTCTCACCTCTGGCAGGAAACGTCCATCATCCTCTCTGCCCTCTGCTTCTGGGCCACATTCCTCTTATGGTATCTTTCACATGCCCCCATTATGACACAGTCCTCACACTGTGGAAAAAAACACACATCTTAAGTGTCTCTGTCTGTCTAGATCATGAGATAGAAGATTTCTTTCTCTCTGGTGCTTGGTACTGTGTCTGGTATAGTCAGTGAAGTGATCCAATGGTGCTAAATTGGCCCCACAGTAACCAGGCAGGGAGTCTGTGAAACGTCATGGCTTAGCCACCTGTGCCTTCAGAGTCTTGCGAATTAAAGGGAGAGGCTACACTTGAGCCAGTGGGGAGTGGGGGTGGAGAGAGGAAGTTAAACAGAATTTCAGTAAAATAGGGTCAAAGGAGTAGCAGAGCATAAAAGGACACTATTCTCACTAATATTTCTGAGATACTTGTGTAGCTAAGTCTGTACAAAAAAATAGTTGTTGCTAGGGTAGATGAGTCAAATTTCACATTTTAAGGTAAGAATATCCCAGTAAGGGCAATGGGGTTATATTATCTGATACTACTTTCTCTTGTTAAATGTTCTATTAATATTGCAAGCACATTGTATAAATTCCAGTTATCAACTATGTTGATAAAGAATGAAAAAAACCTCTCTTATGTTGCTATTTTTTTGAGGAATTGGCGGCAGGAGGGTGAATTTTTCCATAAAGGCAAGGTGGGGATACACTTGAATCCCCAAGCTCCTTGAGAGGACTCTTTGAGATCTTGTAGCACCAAAATGAAGCGCTCAGTGGCCACTTTTATAATACTCTAGTGAAATCTGGGATTTAGTTTTTCTGTAAATTATTAAATAATTTCTCAAATAAATATACATTATTTAATATTGATTTCTCAGGAGCTAGTACAATACTTAATATATAGAAAGAGGCCAGAAAATATTTGTAAATATCTCTCCTAGAGATTTACCCAGAGCAGCCATATGATAGTCCCATCTCTCCAATGAGTAATGGTAACTTTTTCTTCTTATTTTTCCATCCCATCTCAACGTCTAAGTTCATCTAAAATCATTGGAATTGGATAAGATCTTTTAGAAGACCTACACTTTTGGCATCTCTCCCTGTTCTTGCTGCCTCCTGTAGGCTCTTTATTCTTAGAATTGGAGGAAGTCTGTGGACATCAGATGAAGATGGAAAGACTTTCAAAGAATAATGCTGTCTATATACTGGAAATGAGAAGGAACTCATTAAAAGCAAATTTAACGTGACAATATCCAAGGAGGACACTATATATTTCTTTTCACTTTGGGCAGGCATAAACCTAGGTCAGCTATCTCCTCCATCTCCTTCCTTTGGGCAAATTTCTCGATTCAATTTTATCTTTTAGAAAAATGGCATGTCTGTGGAGGAGGCTGAGGGTTGAGATCTTAAGCAACACACTCTGATATTGGAATGTTAAAAATAAATGCCTCACACAGCAGTTTGCCATTTGAAGAGACTATCATGAAAAGATTGAGAAAGTGGTTGAAATCAATTTAGCTGTTCTTTATTCTACAATGAAGAAAACAGAGTTCACATTATTTTGGTAAAAAATATTTTTGAAACAATCAGTTTGTTAGGTGTGTGAATGAAATTTACCACTAAGTCATAAAAAACCAAAAAACCCAAACCAATGGAAAACCTTACCCCAACTTAACCCTAAGCCTCAAAGGCACTGAGGCACACATATTTTAAGAATAGATATGCACATTGAATTTCTTCTCACACATCCATTTGTGAATTAGGGTCTGATTTCTCATTTTTAGATCTCATGTAAACTTGTTGACACCAGTGGGTAAAAGTGCTGAGCGTGTTTTATAGAGAAGAGTATTCTCATTATGTATGACCTGGGGCAATGCTTTACAGATTTTGGTACCAACAAAATTGTTTCTGTTTGAGTGCCCACAGAAATGGACTTTCAGACAGGCTTTTAGTACAAAATAATTTATTTGAGAAATGTATGAAATGCCAGAAGGGAAATAAGGAAGTGAGATGGGAAACGGAAGGCAATCAATAGAAGGTACATCATCAAGCCAGTTACTACTAATTGCCATTATTACATAATACCAGGGGGAAATTGGGAAATGGTGTAGAATGTACACTTCACAGCTATCCCTCCTGGGGAATGTGAAATATGTACATCTATATACCTATGTCTCTATCTATCATTGATCTATCTCTATCTATCTATTATCTATCTATCTATCTTCCATCTATCTATCATCTATTATCTATTATCTGTCTTTAAAAAATCTATCATCTATCATCTGTCTATTTAATCTATTATCCATTTATCATCTATCTTTCAATCTGCTATGTATCATCTATTATCTGTCAATCTATTGTCTATCATCTATTATCTGTCAGTCTATATTATCTATCATCTATTTTTCAATCTATTTATTTATTATCTATCATCTATTATCTATCTATCTATCTATCTATCTATCTATCTATCTATCTATCTATCTATCTATCTACCTATTTCTCTATCTTATCGTCTATCTATTGAGCTAAGTATAAATTCCTCACTCCTATCAGTCATTGGTTGAAGGTTGCTCCAGAGGGGTTAATTCCAGAAACTTCTGGCCTACTATTTGCTGAGGTAGTCCAGGCTTTCAGAAGCTTCAGAGAAAAGCCCTCAGGCAACAAGATTTTGACAGGTGTGTACAAATTGGCCCCTAGACACTGAGGGCACCAGCATATGTTGGTGCATCTGAGGGGCCTACTCTGCATCTACTGTGGTAACCATTTGGTTTCTGAGAGGGCATTCCTGTGTTGACCACTGAAAGTGTGAAATTTCTTTAAAGTTTTGTGTTTTAAGATACCAATAAATGTAAAATGTGCATTTTGTTTCATAATATATTTGTTATTAATTATAAATATGAGATGTTTAAAATCACTTATCAGTAGAATAACATAATGTTTTGCCCAACCTAAAATTTTTTTACATGAAAGAAATGTCTTAGCCTGACTTCCTTTGAAAGCAGAGCTTAAGACAAGTCTTGCATGCAAGTTTATTTGGGGACTAATTGCAGGGGCCAGGGGTGAAGGGCTAGGGGCATAGCAAAGCTAGGAAAGCCAAAATAAGGATGAGCTATCAAGTTGGCTACTGCTGCGGGTTGAATGGTGCTGGATGTTGCTGGGATCATCTAAGAAGCCTATCAAAATTAAATATATTTCAGAACTGTCCAGCGTGGGGACCAAAGTGGAAGCACGTATCCACTATCGGTTCCCCAGTGGTCAATGGAAACCCCATAGGCATTAACTATGCTCCCTACAATGTGGTGCACACCTGAGTGATGATCAGATTCAGACAAGTCCTGGGATAAAAAGCATAGGCCAAGGTTCAGAGTTGTCAGATTACATTTTGGGAAGGTGGTAGGAGCCTGTGCAGAACTGATTGCTGTAGCAGGGGCTGAAGTGTGGGGTGGGCGGGCTAGGAAGACCTATAATGGTGCACGTGAAGTGCCAATACAGTGATGCTTCAGGAACATGTGAATAAGAGTTGAGGATGATAAGAGGCATACTCTAGGGGGAGGTGTGTGGTTATTGATATGCTACTCCTTTGCCAAGATCCAGCACTCTTTTGCAGAATCCAGATGCATTTTGACAGTCTCTTTCTGTTAAAAGAAATTCAAAATTCATTCTTCCTTTCCCCTCACAATCATTTCTTAATTTTATATTATGATACAGAGTTAATTTATTAGCCTTTCAAGGTTATTTGTTAGAATCATAAGTTTTAAGACCATTTGAGAAGATTCAACATATATAAATAATTTTTCTTTCAAAATGTAAAAACCCATTAATATGAAAACATATGGTATATGTTTCATAAAACAAAACAGAAAATGTAATTACTTATAAATAATCTTCAGTTTGACTCTATTCTCATCATAGCCCACATTCTCCATTGTTACTCTTGAAAATGGAACCCTGCTTTTCCAGTATCCATGTAAAGGAAAGGCAATGAAGAGGTGGTCTAATTCCAACTATGCTGGCAGCTACAGCTCTCTCGAGCTAGAGACTCAGAGGGAGTCAGGAGAATCATTTATTAGACTAAATATTCAATGTGTAGTGTCATAAAGTAATCAATACTACATCAGCTGCTGCTGGCCATCCCAGCTCTATTATCTGTGAAATGGGCTGGCATGACATTGGACCCAGGGGAAATGGGAGGAAAGCCTCTGGTCAAAGGATGCTTTATTTTACTCTACAGAGAGATGTAAAATGCATATAAATGAATGTTTAAATATTTGATTTAAGCATTTGGTTTTATTGGTTTGAATACACTATGAGTTTTATTACCTCAGTGAAGAAGTCTTTTCAAAGAAAGATTATGGAAAGCCTTTTCAGCATGTGTGATTCCCCCCAAAAAAGATGCTTGTACTGTTTTTTTTAGTCATTCCTAACAATTAATACTACTGAGTCCTAATGAAGAGGATTATAAAATGTTCCCTTACTTGTGACCACTTCAAATCAGAAGGTATATATGATTTCCTCACCCATTAAGCAGGCATAATAATCATGCTTTAGTTTAGTATACACGAGATTTAGAACAGTGCTTGGCATATAGTAAGCTCTCAGAAATGGTAGTTGTTAATATTATTATGTTTATATGTTGTAACCCGCTTTGGTTACCATATGCTTGTCTAAATCTAGGCAGTAAAAACATCCAAACATTCCAAGCAAATAACAGGCTAAATAAAGATGCTATTAACAGTACTACAACTATAGTTAATAACATACTGCATGCTTGAAAATCACTAAAAGAGTAGAATTGAAGTGTTCTCACCACAAAAAAATGATAAGTATATGAGCTAATGCATATGTTAATTAGCTAGATTTAGTCATTCCACATTGTATTCATATTTCAAAACATGTTGTACACCATAAATGTATATAATTTTTGTCTATTAAAGATAAATTTAAAAAAACAAATAATAATAAACAAGAACACAACTATTTTTAAACCTAAAACTTTAACACCAAAGGCAATGCATAATTTTGAAAATGAAGTATGTGGAAAATTTAAGCCATATCTTCAATTATTTCTCAAATATCCTCAATGTATATATTATAGGTAAAATGTACCAGAAACAAATTTCTTCATTTATTCAGCAGATCTTTAGTGAATTTCTACAATGTGCTAATGCATTAGGTGCAGAAGATTCATCAGTGATGAGGACAGTCAGAGTCCCTGTCATCAGTGGGCTTCAACTATAATGAGAAAGACAAGACAATGAAAAAGTAAGCAAATATATAAATAAGGTAACTATGGATTGTAATTAGAGTTTAGGAAAAATAAACATAATGAGATAGACAATATCTGTGGGAGGCTACTCTAGAGGAAGGCTAGTGAAGACTTCTCTGAGGAGGTGACATCTTTGCCAAATGTTGAGAATGAGAATGTCAGTCAAGTGAAATGGGGGTAAGAGGAGAGGAGGGAGAGGAAGCATTTCAGATAGAAAGATCAGCACATGCAAAGTCCTAGAGGAAGAAAAAGAGTTGGTGTGTTCAAACAATATACAGGAAGGAAGACGATGTTCTTGCACTATTGTGAATGAGGGGAGTGTTGTGCAGAGTGAGGTTGAATAGGGCACAAACCTATGGTTAGAAACTTGGTTTTATTCTGAGAGAAATAGGATAACATTGAAGGATTTTAAGCAAGGGATAATGCAATCTAACTTATCTTTTTAAATATCTTACTATTTTATGGGGAATGAGTAATTGGTGTTGTGGGAGTGATACGAAACAGAAAACCAATTCAGAGACTGTGGAAGGAGTCCTGGAAAGAAACAGTGCCTGGAATATGGTGGCTGTACAGATGGAGAGCAGTGAAGTGACTTGAGATGCGTTTTGGATCTGTAGGACTTGTTGATGGCTTGGAAAGAATGGGGAAAGAAAGAGTCATTGATTTTGGCTTGAATAATTCAGTGGACTGTGGTTCTGTTTCCTGAGTTGGGAAGGACTTTTTTGTCTTATGAGATGCCTATTACACATTCAAGAGGAGTTTGCAAGTAGGTGGTGGTGAAGTCTGGACTTTGATCTAGGTATAAATTTGAAATTTGTTATCATAGATGATATTTAAAAGTGCAGGAATGAATGTGACCACCGAAGGATGCTGCTGAAGAAATACGTGTAATAAGAACAAAAAAAAGTGATCATGGATTTGGCAACAAAAGGTTGTTGGCAACCTTAATAGATTGAAAAGTGACTTGAAAATAAGAAAGTAGAGCTAGCAGATGTAGACAATTCATTCAGGGAGTTTTGTTGAGGAAAGAAGGAGAAAGAGAACATGCTGGATTGGGGACTATGAGCTTAAGAGAGTTTTTGTTTTTTTTAAGATGGAAGATAGTGAAGGTATATGGGAGACAGTGAAAATATATGTAAAAATATATGGGAGATAGTGAAAATATGTGTGGAAATGATCTGACAGAGAGAATGGGTGGATGGTAGGGCATGGGGAGATGGCTGAAGCTGTGCACTTCTTGAGAAGGTGAGAGGGTTGGAGCAAAAGCGCCTGTGGAAACAATTTCTTTTGGTAGGTGTAAAGACACTTAAAATTGCAAAGAGGAAACATGTGCAGAATTGATTTGCACTATGAAGGAATTCTAATCTAGTAGTTTCTATTTTTTTAATGACTCTGTGGCAACATCCTCATCGGAAAGGATAGAGAGGAGGTTTAAAGAGAAAGGAAGGTCATCTTGGAAGGGGAAAAATGAACTTACTTGGGAAAAATTTTAACGTTGCTGGGGATTGGTATCTGATCATTTTAGGTCTGTTATCATGAAGTTACGGTGAAACCAAGAAGCCAATGTGTGATATTTTTTAGATTCAGCTGCTGAGTGGCAGGCAGGCAAGAGGAAGAGAACAAAAAAAGGTTCCCAGTTAATTACAATGGAATGAAATATGATGAGGAAGTTGAGGGTGTTTCCTAGAGAATGATTATAGTCATGGATCTTACATCTAGTTTGAATAAGAAGGAAAATGAACAGGATGGGAATGAAAAAGTAGTGAGGCCATGGATGAAGGTCAGAGTGAAGTAGAATGAATGAAGTGAACATTCTAGAATGAGCTAGAAGAAGAGAAGTATCAAAGTGGTAGATTTCAAATGGAAATTTTGGTGATGACTCATTTACTGATATTTACAAGGTGTCAGTTTTAACAACAGGAACGGTTGGCTAAAGTGGAAGAGAACTATATGGAGGTGAAATAGAAGAACTGGTAAACCAAGGTTTCTGATGAGACATCATGTGGTTGCTGAAGTCTGAAGGAATGTTAAATGCTGTAGGGGTAGAAGAAATGTAGGGAGTCAGCAATGTCTTCAATAAATGGGGGGCCATATGAATGAAGTCCATAGAGGAGAGCACAAGAAGGTGGGTGGCATAGCAAGATGGCGTAGCTTCAGAGAAGCTGTGGGTTTTGAAAGCTTTTGGAGAAATAAACTGTTTAGAAGCAGCTATGTGGGTCAAAAAGAACACCGGCTCCTTTTCTGTCCCTGAGACAGCTGCAGAGAAGAATTTTAGATAAGCACAGTGCAAAGGGTCATTTAAAGAAAAGGTGAAAATATGAGTAGGTTTGTTGGCCACAGATCTGAAGTTTCAGAAGGCACAGTGAATAGGTGAAGGAGGGGTAGGAAAGGGTTACTTGGGAAAGGTAACAAGATGTCACTCCTGTCCATACTGAATGTTTTGAAAAACTTGGATTTCAGAGAGTAATCGACTGTTCTCTTCTGAGTGCTGATGAGGTGATATAAAACACAAACCAGCCATACCCAGCTATTAGACACAGACATGCCCCGAGAAAATGTATGTAAAAACCACTCTGTGACACACAATTGCATAAATGTTTGAAATCTTTGAACTATCACTCATGTGTATTGTGGAATGTTTGCATGATTAAATGTTAGGTTGCAGCATTTACTTAAGGAGCCTCATTGGGTTCCCACTTCTGTTTTGTGGGTGATCAGTTTTTAGGCTGGGCTAGACTTGGAAATTTCTCTTGTCACTGAGAGTTGCTGGGTAGAAACTTACAGAATGAAACTTTCAGGTTAGAATAGAAAACACATGTTGAGTTGCTGGTTATAGGCATTGTTTTTTTCATATTGCAGTGTAGAGGGCAAAACATCTCCTTGAGAAACAGTGGACTAAGACTCTGTTATTTTGAATTTGAATTCTGAGTGACTGTAGACACAGAGCCTGGATTAGTGCTGTCATACAAAAAATCAGCCACAACAACACGCATATGGGAAAAGAACAGCATTGTCAGGAAAAAATGGACACTAAGAGAAAGAAGAAAGCAGAGGCAAGAGGCTCCAGGCTTCACTAATTCCTAGCGAGTAGATTTAATATAAGAACATCACTGTTCATTTATAGGTTTTTTTTGTGTGTAATTATGCTAATGCATGTACAGTAACCTTTTAAATTTCAGTTTCCTAATGTTGGTTGTTATGCTCAATCACTTTTGTTTTTTTTTCCTCCTAAAGTCCCAAGACAAAGAATATCTCTTGATACTATTAAATATAGATGTCTGGACTGAATTGAGCTTACACGACAATTGCAGTCAAGATTCTGCAACTCAGAACGGGCAAACCAGGTAAGCGGTGCCATTTTTAGAACGTTGTTTTAATAAGGTTTATTCCTGTCTTGGTCGGCTGCATTTTACATTTGTAATCGTCAGGCTGTGAGTGTGAAGAGTTATTGCCATGACGACCAGGACTGACTGACTTGCCTTTCAGAAATGGTAACGATTCAGCATGTTTGTAGATGATATCTGTGGTTCTCAATGACTTTCTAGAAGGTCATACGGTTTTGGCAGATGTTCCCAGTGGTGTGGAAAGACTACTGGATGAGAAAAAATGTGAACTGTGTTCTAGTCCTGCCTCTCCCTGAACCAGGTGTATAGCCTCAGGAAAATCTCCACCTATTGGGGGCCTCAGTTTCTTCATCCATTTAATAGGAAGCTATAGCTAGGTTATATAGTCTTTAAGGTTGTTTACAGTTCCAAATTTCTCTGATTTCTTACACTTATATATTTATGAGACTGTTGAGCAAGGTAGTCTATCTACTCACTTCATAATCCTGTCTTCACTTTTAAACGTTTTGTGAATTCTGTATTTTTAAATCTTACCTTCAGAACTGGTTTGAATCACAAAGAAAAACACTTCTTAATTTTATAATTTTTGATCCAGATTTTTATTTTTTAAAAAACCAAACAGCTCCAAACACTTGCAGGTTAAAAATTATCCGCGAAGAAAGAACAGGTCTAAAAATGTTTTGAGCAATTGTAGCTTGATTGGGATACAAGTGTAATTTTTCAAGGTAATAGATCTGAATGCCTCAACTCATTTGATACACATGTGTACACTGGATTTTTTAAAAAATATCAAAGCCTGCACTTCAACCAGCGGTTATTTTGATTATTGTTCGCAATAAAAACATGAACTAACTGCTTTGTGAATATGTTCTTTGTTCTTCTTGGCTGCGTATAGTGGCTGGCAATCCTTTTTAGCCATCATATATAATAGCTATCTAACTCTTGATTTTTGTGTAACATAAAGCGGTGTTTCATAATGAATCATTTTGTCTGTTCGTGTTCAAGTGCCCTATCTATTCTATCATTTGAAAAGCTAGTTATGATAGTATGGTTTCAATTGTCAGACATTCTCTTTATTCTAAAAAAATAGGTTGACCCACATTTAGATGTTTTCCTACTCAAAGGACTTTGAAAGAACTTTTTATGTAACACTTAGTCATTGCCCTTTTCACAGTCCCTCTTCCGCTGCTTCTAATTAGGCTCTTTGGTAGCTGGAATCGTCATTTCCCTGGCATGAAGGCACATGGTACCAACTTGTTGGTTGCTTGATTTGGAGGGTCAAATATGGACTTGCTTCTTTTGGTCTACCTTGCTATTGTGCTTTTTGCAGGTGGAGTTGACTTAGGTTTGTCTTTTCACTTTGGCCTTTCTTATCTGTTCACGTTTTCATCTTTATTTCCTAGTCTTCTCCCTCTATTCTCTGACATTCACTTAATCTAACCCCTTTTATCAGGTCTTCCAATATTTCCCTTTCTTGTGCCTTAAATGTTTCTAGACTTTCATCTGAATTTATGTGCTTACCTTGATCTTTTCTCATTTTCTAATACTTATAAGCTCATGTCTTCATATCAAGGCGGGCTTCATGGGCACATGACCTATGCAGGTACACGCTTAGAAGGACCCCACACTTGGTTTAGTGCTCTGCTCTTACCATCTTATTTTTTTTAATACGTTTTGAACAAGAACCTCTGCCTGTTCATTTTGTATTGGTCCCCACAAGTTAGGTAGATGTTCCTGGTTGTAGTTATTTTTTCCCCTTTCTAGTTGGGTAAGTGGTTTTTGTTTTAATCTTGAATTCTTTTTCATTCCTCATAATATTTTTAATTTATTCCCTTCCTGTGGTACACTATTCTGACTGCTATTTTAATGTAGTCATATTAGCTCCTTTTATTTCTCACATCCTTCAGGAACATTTAGCTTTATAGAAAAATTGTATATAGTCAACTTTTTATTAGCCACCCTGACTAAGAAAGAAGAGAATGAGAGAATCAATAAAGATTGCAGTTCGCAAAGGGAATAATTTTGGGAGAGCACTGTATGGTTTTTCCCCTTTGTGAGACTTATCTTTTTATTCTTGTTTGCTCAGGTTAATTGGTTTGCACTCCCTGAATACACAATAATTGGTGGTTGGGGGACCCTGCTGAGTGGCAGAGGTTAGCTAACCTGAAGTTAAATATCTCTACTAACAAAGGAGATTGATTGTCCCTATATTTTCTGTTTCTAGACATAAGAAATGAATCATTTTTTGGTTTTCAGTTTTACCTGAGGAGATTAGTAGGATGTAAAGACTTTTCTAATAATATTAAAACACCATTTTTGGATTTGACAAACCAAATTTCCCATCCTTATCTTTTTATCTGGTGGCAGTCTGAATCAATTTACCCTGTGATCCTGTCTGCTGGGAAGCATTGAAATAGTAAGGAAGTCTGATGTGCCTGCAGGTTAATCCAGCTGTCTGGGTGTAAGTTATTATTATTATTTTATTAAAAACAGTTTATGTCACTTATTAGGTGCCAGGCATTTTTCTACACACTTAAAAATACAATTTGATTTAATCCTATGAGGTAGGTATGATTAATTATCCCTATAATATAGTTTAAGAAACTGAGGGAAAAGTAAGTTATATGACTTTCCCAAAGATACTGCCATTTAATGTTAGAATGAGGATTTGCACCAGGACAGCCTAGTTCAAGTTCCTGTGCCTACACCCTATATCATGCTGCTGTTCTTTTATTATTATTATTATTTTTAATTTTATCTATTCAGCCCCTTATAGAGTTGGAAGTCTGGATGACTGACGGAATAAAGCCTTATGGTAAAGGACTTTCTAAAAGTCTCTATTTCTTTACTTTTCTTCAGTTGGCAATACATAATAACAATGTAAGTGATTCACAATATGTAAACATCTAAACAAACCTAGATACTAAAACTGCATGTGACTCTAAAGTGAAAATATCTGAGATGCCACATGGTTCTTACTGAGACAAATACTTGACAGTATATTCCTGGGGACTAACGTTAAAGAGATGCTTCACTAACTGTCACAATCCCTTTTGGAAACTTGTGATCACAGCTGGTGACATCCCTGACATCTTTTATCTGTTCCCATACTTTTTCTTTCGGCTAGACATTACAGACTGTGGAGTTAGATGGCCAATCAATGTGCTGCTTCAGAATCAATAGATCTCAGTAAGCATTCCATTAGGCCCAGGAGCCTTTCCATTTCTCAGTTCTGTCTGGGCTTTGCACATTCTTTCATGAAAAAAGAGAGTTTGGGGATTATTTTCTCTACCTGTAGCTTCTCATGGACAAATGAATCCCCTATCATTATAGAAATCTAGTCAATAAAGCTGTCAGAATTCTTAAAACATTGACAGTAAAGCCAAGTTCGTGTACCTAACCTCTGTAGTAAGTTCTGAGTGTGAAATATAAGAGGAGGAAATGATATTTATAAGAAAGTGCCTTGAAGTTAAAAAAAACACAAGGTAAAAATATTAGATGATAGAAAAGAATCATGAACTTGCAAGTTGGGAGAACTGAGTTCGTGGCTTGGTTTTGCTACTGAGAATTCTGGTTAGTTAAATCTCTGCAAAATGAGTGAATTTAACCTGATAATTGTTAGTGTTCAGAACAATTAACCTGATAATTATTAGTGTCCAAATGCCACATTTTTTAACTTTAAATAATTTTACTCCCACAAGCCCATTTCTATCCCAGGTTCCCAGACAGATAGACATCTGTGGAATTTGCATGTTCCAAAGTAGTACGAGAAATGGCACAGGACTGTTGTTAGTATGGCCTCTACTCCTTTCTCTTTCTAGCACCTAAGCATCAAGGGTGGAAAGGGAGACTGGAAGTGCAAGTCTGAAAGGAGAAAAAAGAAGGTGAAACCAGTCTGCAGGAGAAATGACTGGGAATTTAGAAGGAGTGGGCACCCACAAGAGAAGAGAAGACACGAAGTGAGAAAAGGCTGCTGCTTGCCAAGGCACTTTTAAGAACGGGACATCTTATCACTTTTCAGTTGTTTGAGCTTCTTGCTCCCCAGACTTTCAGCTAAAATTGTGGCTGTTTTGTTGGCGGAAATCAGTGAAAAGAAAATGAGTTCTGTGTCTAGTTCAGTTTACAGCAGAGGCAAGACGATGCCTGAAGCAGGTGGCAAGGAGTGAAAGGGGAGTGTGCATGGAAGCAGCAGGTCAGAGCCAGAGTTTATCATGAAAGTCTGAGCCCTCGCAAACATGGTTCATGCACAACCCATAAAATTTCATCAAACTCTCAGTCTCAAAAATTTGTGTAGGAAGAGCCTGACATGAATGCTGCAAATACATGATTATTATTCCTAGACATATCTAAGGGCATCTAAAATTATAAAATTTATAGTGATATTGCTTAAATTACATTTTTGAATATCTCACTCATACATGTATTACCTATATTATTATACTGTTAATTATACCTTCATTGATTTTTTTTAAATTTTATTCTTTTGTTTTAAGTTTAGATGTGGATGCATTTTCTAAAAACTACAAGATTACCCAAACAGAACCGATTGAATTTCAAGGTTAGGAAGTTTTTCTAATAATAATTTATGGTCCAAGTATAATGTGATGAAGTGTGCTTGTAGGTACCAACCTGAGACTATATTTGGCAAGAGTTGAATAAAATATGGGGGAAATGATTTCTAGCCTTGTTAGAAATGCCCTCAGAATGCATTGTTATTTCTAAAGAATGCTGCATTGTATATATGCAGATATTTTTCAGCCAAATCGCTGAATTTGTAGAGATTTCATATCACATAAGATTTGTTTCCAATGCATTTTCTTCTGAAACTATAAGAAGACTAGCTTCTCTCTTAATTTCTAAGAAAAATGTTATAAACCTTTATTATGATGGTACAATTTATGAAACAATGTAAATTTTACATTTTCACTTTTGAGAGTTATTTTTCCCCAAGCCTCTGCCTTTTTTGAGTATTTGCAAAGCTCTGCAAATGACAGGCGCATCCACAATGCAAAGAATAATCTTCCTTTGGGGCTGTTCCTGGGGTAGTGATTAGTAGCGTCTTCACTGAATATTTAACTTCCTCAAAACTGCTTATCTGTGCTGTGGATCAGTGCAAGATCTGGGTGAGCTGTTGCTACTTTACATAATTAAGTTTCTCTTGCCAAAAAAAGAGAAAGTAACAAAATATGAAGCAAAAGAAGCCGAAAGTTGGACTTTTAAAACATTCTCCCTTCATGTTATTTTCTCATTGAAAATAACCTGAAACAAAAGCAAAATATTTGAGATTTAGGAGGGAGTTTATGCAGATCAGTCAGGTTGACAGCTCACATTTTCTTGCAAAACTCTTAGGAATTTTCCTCCGCAAATC
The DNA here is from genome assembly GCF_000001405.40 of Homo sapiens. NCBI lineage: Eukaryota > Metazoa > Chordata > Mammalia > Primates > Hominidae > Homo > Homo sapiens. The sequence continues at coordinate 193,463,119 of NC_000001.11, forward strand.
CCTCCGCAGTCAGTGATAAGTACTAAATGCCACAAAGAAAACAATTTCCCATTGTTCAAAAACTGACTGGTGAAGTATTGTGGGTGAGGCAAAAAAGAGGGTAGGGAGAGAAATTCTATTGTAGGGAAACTAATGCCAGACAGAGCTATTAACTCAAATGTACTGAAATGATAGATAATTCAAGCTTCTCATGTCACTTTAAATTAGTAAAAAATCACTGCACAGGATTTGTGCTTAATCCCATTTTTTATATGTAGAAAATAGGCCCCAGAATTAGGTTGACGTGTACTTTTAATGTGTAGATAGGACATCTACTCACTTTCTAGGCATGTGTGGATGAAAAAGACTTTGCTTGCTTAGTTGCACGTCATTCTTAGTTCCTTCTCTTTTGAGTGTGCTAGCGTACCCAATGGAATCCCCTCCCCTGTATTTATTGAACGCTATAATGTATGGGGGTGTCTTTTCCTGGTTAGTGTAATAGGAAAAATTGCATTTGCTTATCTATTGCAAATGAAAATCATCTGGGGAATATAAAAAGCATTTTCAATTCTGCTACCATTATTTCAGAAGCAATCAAATGCAGAGGAATGAAAGTCAAACACGGAGAAAAATGCTGATGGATTGGGCAATGTGCATGGCTCTCTGGGACCATCATTATTTCAGTATTCAAGAGGAAAATGCACATTTGAAAGATGGTAAATTCCATCACATACAATCAATCATTCATCTCCTCTAGCAACAATAATTGTGGAGGAGATAGTGTTCAGACATTAACTAGGTAGTCATCCCTGCTTGTTTGTTAGTTTGTTTCAAGGCATACTAAATCTTATGCAACGTTATGTGGACATCTCAGATGATTTTCAGATATTGGTACTTAGTACCAATCACCTGCAAATAATGAGGTCAAAGTAAACACTGCAACCTCAAAGGGCAAGATGCTTAGCATTGTCTTTCATCTAAAACATTTTGTCCTTTCATTCCAGATTTTAAAAATAGGTTATCTGCCTGCATTTTATGCATTTTTCTATCTTTATAATCTGAAGGTGATTTTATTAATACAGTAAATCTTGGTCAAGTGATACTTTAGGAAGATGCTTTTTCTGGGTAAACTAAAAGCCTGACGTGGCTCTTCCTGATGTTCTTAAATATTTTATTAGCAATGTCTCTCCTCACCCCTTGCCTATTCATAGTCTCTTTCAGTTTAATGATATAAAGCAGGTGGTAGGGTTGTCAAAACTGGGTTTCCATTAGAAACAATCTCTGGGAATGTGGTGTATTTTCTCCCTTATTTTTCTCATTATTAGATATCTCAGGCTCAAAGGCCCATATGGCAGTTTGGAGAAAGATATGTCCTGTTCAAAACCAATGTTCTGAGAGTTTGAGAGCCGTGAAATCAGATATCATAGTTTTTACACTTTTTCAAAGCTTTCAATTGTGAATTCTGGATTTCTCTTTTTCTTTCGAACTCTGAAAAAAGCCCAATCTCTAACAGCACCTCCCCTCCCACCCCCTTCTGGTACTGGCTGTAGCAGTACTTAGGAAGGGAAGAGTGTCTTACAGGAGGTGGAGACACATTTATACACCAGTCTTCATGCTTGGGAAAAAGCGATTTAGTCACTGTTAACTTCTTTAATTATTGATGGTTCAGAAAATGTTATCTTTCTTATCTTTTATTTGTAACACTTTTCCCTAAATAAAAGTGAGGCTGGATATTCAAATTATTATTTAGTGCAAGAAACTAAAAATAGCTTTCCCTCTTTTTAGATTTTTTTTGACAACAGAGATGATACATTATATGTGTATATTTTACCTTAATAAAAAGACTTAAAAAAAAAGAAAATTAAAGAGAAAAATAGAAAGAAAGGTAGGAAAGGCATAGAAGGGGATATGACACTTTAGAATCTCCTAGCTTAGAATGTGACAGAAGGAGAGTGTTAGTAAAACTGAGGAGGCTGGGTGCGGTAGCTCACGCCTGTAATCCTAGCAATTTGGGAGGACGAGGTGGGCTGATCACTTGAGGTGAGGAGTTTAAGACCAGCCTGGCTAACATGGTGAAACCCCATCTCTACTAAAAATACAAAAAATTAGCTGGGCATGGTGGCAGGCCCCTGTAATCCCAGCTACTCGGGAGGCTGAGACAAGAGAATCACTGGAATCCGGGAGGTGGAGGTTGCAGTGAGCTGAGATCGACCCATTGCATTCCAGCCTGGGCAACAAGAGTGAAACTCCATCTCAGAAAAAAAAAAAAAAAAAAAAAAAAAAAAGAGGGCCATTCCCTGCTTTATTTGACATAATCTAAAAGCTCCTATCATTTCCTCCTTTTAAAACCTTTTATTGAAATACAATATACACACAGAAATGGGCACATATCATAAGTACATAGCTGGATGCATTTTCACAAGCTCACACACCAGGTAATCAATACCCCAGACCAAAACAAACAAACAAACAAACAAACAAACAAGAAGCAGGCCTAACAGCATCCAGAAGCCCTCCTCGTGTTTCCTTCCAGTTACTACCCCTCTCTCCCAAGGGTGACTGCTATCCCAACTTCCAGCAGCATAGCCTGTTTTTTGTCATTTGGCATATATAAATGAAAAATATTATATATACTATATATATAGTATATATGTATAAATAAATAGTTTATATATGTCTAGATATCTCATAGTGTATATACTGTATATATTACATATTGTATACACTATATGACATGTACTATATATCTATAATAATGTAGATAGTATATATCTATATATACTAGTATACTATATACAATAAATGGAATAATGCAGAATACACTCTTTTGCCTGCCTTCTTTCACTCATATTGTGTCTGTGAGATTCCTCTATGTTGTTGCATGCTGTTTTAGATTGCTCATTGATCCACTACCTTCTAACTATTTTAATTTGATATTATACTTGTGAATAGCCATTATTTTTCCTTAGCGAGATGAGAGTGATTAAGAGCACAGAATTTGGAACCAGGATATCTGTGTTGAAAGCCCAATTCTTCTACTTATTAAGTATATCATTTTAGGTAAGTTATGCAAAGTCTGTTGCTTTAATATCTTTATCTGGGGGGCAGATAATATCTTCCTTGTGGGGTGGGCCCTTAATGAGGTATATATTAACTTTCACTAATATGTGTAAAGCATTTAGAGTGTCTGGCATATGTTTAGCACTATGTAAGTGTAAGGTATTATTGGTTCTAACTTGTACTTCATTTTTCTCCTTCTATATTGCTTCAGTCTCTGAGCACAGACTGGAGGAATAATGTATGCTAACTCATCAACATAGGGAAGAGGTGCTTTTGGCAGAAATAAAAGAGGTTCTTGACATCACTTGCCTTTTGCTCCTACTCTATTAATTTAATTTAATTTTTTTTTTATTATTTTGTTGTTGTTGTTGAGATGGAGTCTCGCTCTGTCGCCCAGGCTGGAGTGCAGTGGCGCAATCTCGGCTCACTGCAAGCTCCGCCTCCCGGGTTCATGCCATTCTCCTGCCTCAGCCTCCCAAATAGCTGGGACTACAGGCGCTCGCCGGCACGCCCGGCTAATTTTGTTTTGTATTTTTAGTAGAGACGGGGTTTCACCATGTTAGCCAGGATGGTCTCGATCTCCTGACCTCGTGATCCGCCCACCTCGGCCTCCCAAAGTGCTGGGATTACAGGTGTGAGCCACTGCGCCCGGCCACCTCTATTAATTTTAGACATAAGTATATACATTTAATTTTCATTGGTTTGTTGTTAATTAAAAACCGTAATTACTCACTGGAAAAATAATAAATAATAACATGTAGCATATGGTGATGAAAATGTAATTTACTCAACAACTATATTTCCTCACAAAATCATACAGAGAAGTATTAGCCGTAGAAACTTCATACTTTTGCTTTAATCCACTTTCTTGACCCATTATTTACTGTTAGTGTTGACAGCATGGAACTACCTTTGCAGCATTTATGATTTAAAGTATTTTATGGAAAAGGTGGTGAGGAAGAGTTGGTACCACAACCTGAAAAGTGACTAAAATATTTTCCACCTTCCCTTCATCTCTTCACCTCCACTCACCTTTTCTTCATCTACCACTCCCACCCCATCTCCCACTTCCTTACACCCTCCAGGGTGAGCTGGGAACAATAGTGTAATACCATTTAGCTACAAAAAATAATACACTATTAAATACAAAATAGTTTATTTTTTCCTATCTTTGGATATTGTCCCAACTAGTATCACACGTAGGAAAGAGTCTTACAGACTTGAAAAAGGTTTATAGAAAACAAAATTTTTAAAATAATAAAGGTATTAGAATGTGTATAGACATTATATTATTTAAATTGGACATTAAATTTTTCAGTATATAGCTTACATTTTGTTATTTCTGAAAACTTAGTTCTATGAAAAAGTTCTAAATGCCATTGGGCGCTATGATTTTTCTGAGAAAGTAGTTGAAGAAATTTCAACAAAAATTGCACTGCTATTGTCTTTTGCCTTAGCTTAAGAAATTTATTTCCCATTTTTATTGGTATAAAATGTGTGTAAACAGAATTTCTAGAAGACATAGGATGCAGATATTATAAAGCCTTAAGAGTAGCTTAGACTTCCCTATCTTATAGAGAATTGCTTAACCAGTTTCTCATATATAAAATTGTAAACAATACTTTAATTTTAGGGTTTATCTCAAAATACAAATCACTGAACATTTCTGTCAAAGTAAATAACTACTTTGGTCTTATTAGCTCCTCATGCTGCGAGGAAGCAAGTATGCATATAGACATGTGATACTAGTAAACTTAGTTTTGAGTAAATTTATCTATATAAAACAAATGTTAAATATTTGAGTAAGTCCAGTTCCATGGAAATCAACCCAAGCATGGAAAAACGTAATCTTACTACATAATGTAATTGTATAGAGGCCTCATGAGTATAGCCAGGGTTCTCTTGAGTATTTCAAGGTGAAATTAGATTAGTGATATTAAAAGCATGTTTGGGGGTTATATACTTTTCCTTTGCTTCACATTTTTATATTATCATCCATCTTTCTCAAAGTGTCTCCCCAACTAATGGTTATGTATGTGAGTTGGAGTGAATAAAACAATGTATGGCCTTTCTGTACTAGTAGACCAACCCTAAGGGAATATTACTGGAGTACTTTCAGAAGAGTTAGGATAGGGTTATTTTTCTAGTCCATTTTGTGCTACCATAACAGAATGCCTAAGACTGGGTAAAAAATAGAAATGTTTTTCTCACAGTTCTGGAAGCTGGGAAGCCTAAGATCAAGGAACTGAAAGAGTTGGAGTCTAGTGAGGACTGAGTCTCCACTTCCAAGATGGTGCCTTGAATGCTGCATCCTCCAGAGGCAGGGAACGCCATTCCTCACATGGCAGAAGAGTGGAAGAGCAAGAAAGAGAAACTCACTCCTGAAAGTCCTCTTTAAAAAAGCATTAAGCTTGCCCATGAAGGTAGCGCCCTCATGACCTAATCACCTCTTAAAGGTCCTACTTCCCAATACTATTACATTGGACATTAAATGTTAACATGAATTTTGGAAGGAACAAGCATTCAAACCATAGCAGTGGACCCCCTTTGCCTGGAACAGTCTGCTTTTAGCACTGAAAGTCTCGTGTTCTAGGAAATCTTTCAGTTGGGGGCAAACTGGAATGGTTGGTCACCCCAACTTCTTCCTACCCCTAGATATCTCTACCATTGGCCTGTCACAGAATCTGGAATGAATCCATAGGCTAGCACTATGTTTTCACGAATCATATGTTAAAATGCACCAAGACAGTACATTAATACGAGTTTTCATTATTCATTTTTTAGTGGGAATATGTTTTTAGCTATGTAGCTCCCACTTCAGACAACAGAGAGCTGAGCCACGACTGAAGAGTAATTATTGATAGTGGGGAGGAAAAGGAAAGAACAACCGTTTGTTAAGCACATGCTACGTTTAAGGAGTCCTGATGGGCTTTTAATATTAATAGAAACAGTTCAGAAATCAGGCACTGGGTACATGGAGAGGGTAGGAGATTGAGTTAGCGAGTGGGGAGATAAGAAGCAAATCCTCTAAAAGAAATTAAGTCATTACTTAGCTGAGTGGAGAAGATAGCTTTCAGGTCAAACCCCAGATTTGCATTTGTATTTTGACTCTGCGTCTTTCTAACAGTGGAATTGTGACCAAAAGTCTTAACCCCAACACTGAGTTTTCTCATCGCTAAAACTGGAATATAATACTTTCCCCAAGGGGTTCTATGTTTTGTGCAAATTAAATGAAGTAAAGTGGGTAGAATATTTAGTGCCTACTACCTAACAAGCACTATATACACGTTTGAAGCTGCCACTCCTACTGTTACTGTTGGTACATTTATTCAAGGACGCCTTGCTCAGAAAGCCCTGGCTTCTCATTTATCCCCACTTTTGAGGGCCTATCATTGCTTTGTCTCTTTGACATGTAAGCTATTTGATGTCTTTGCTGAAAATCACTGGGTTTCTTGTTGCATATATGCACATGGCCACACAATCAGAAGAAAAAAAAACAAAACAATGAAAAGCAATTGACTTTGCTTATAAAATCATTATCACAGCAGTATTGTTTTTCTTCTGTGCCTCATTCTGAGTTCCATTCTTTTGGGGTTTTCCCAGGCATCAATTCAATGCTTCCAATTTTTATGGGATTTAAGTTACATTTAAGGGGCTATATAAATGCAAAAAAGGGAACAAGTTTGGGACTTCCAAATCTGTGCTATCAAAAGGACTGCACGAAATTTTTCATTTTCTTCCACATAACTCTGCCTGAACGTTATTTATGGTTCGAGCAAAATAGTAGACATGGAATAAGAATTCATTCAGCTAAGGCATCTCGGTTATTCATAGGTGAACTGAAGCCCTAAACTATCATCAAATTTCACTAGCAACATTCCAATGATGCAGTCATATAAAATTGAAATTGTAATGAAATGTAACTTTACATGTATTCATGGATTTAAAAGGAAAAAAGAATACCATTTCCTCCTATTGGTGTCAATTTAAAGTCCCTATTTTTTTTAAATCGAGGTGCCTACTAAAGATAGGCCCAATATTTTTGGCAAGAGGAGAACTTTTTTCATTGGTGTTTATTCTCCAAATAAGAATTACATGTAAACACTTGTAATTGATCTTTAAAGCCTTTCTTGACATAAATATAAAAAGCAGACTATCACAGATTGCCAAATTTGTAAGATATGGCAAAAAGTATTTGGTATCATCTATTCATGTTACATGTAAAAATTTTGCTTTGAGATCGCATACACATATTAGGTGAGTCACATCTGTGTCTTTTAATTTCAATTCTCTTTCTGTTACATTACACTGCTTTTCTTAATGAAAAATTTTAGCAAATAGTATTGAAATAGGATTTTAAGGAAAGAGTGTGAAAATAGAGGAGTGCCTTCCAGAATGCCAAATAAAGTCCAGTAGTTTTAATAATTTTAAAATATTGATAAAATAAAGAGTTAATTCATATTGTCAGGAAGAGCATAAGGGAGATTAAGCAAAGTAACATTTTTTTTTTTTTTTGAGATGGAGTCTTGCTCTGTCACCCAGGCTGGAGTGCAGTGGTGCAACCTCAGCTCATCGCAACCTCTGCCTCCTGGGTTCAAGTGTTCTTCTGCCTCAGCCTCCCGAGTTGCTGGTATTACAGGCACCCACCACCATGCCTGGCTAATTTTTTTGTATTTTTAGTAGAGATCAGGTTTCACCATGTTGGCCAGGCTGGTTTTGAACTCCTGACCTGAAGTGATCCACCCGCCTCAGCCTCCCAAAGTGCTAGGATTACAGGCGTGAGCCACCGTGCCCGGCCACAAAGTAACCTTTTGAAATAGAATCTAAAGTGCCCCAAAATGGCTTTTTAATGAAATTCTAGTGAAAATCCTAAGGAAATGATGTATTACTATTTACTTATTAACCTATGAGAATACATACTATGCTTTTTATTTTTCTCTTGAAAGTAAAGAAATAAAAGTAATGGTTAACCAAGCCCCATTTATTTCTGGTTTCTAACGCCATTTAGTTCAGAGTTTCTTAAAGTGAAGTCTTTAAACCGTGAACATCAAAATTAATGTAATGCTTCTTAAAAATGCAGTTTCCAGGCCATCCTTCAAACTTACTGAATTACAATCTTTGAGGAATGGGGCCTACAAGTCAGTCCTTTAACAACCTCCCCAAATGACTCTGAAGTACAATAATGTTTAAGAACCATATTTAAATTTTACTCTTCCATGTTGATTAATGATTTGATATCACAGATTAAGTAAAAGATGGTTTCTTTTGCATTACTTAAGTTTTAGTGTCATTTGAAGAAGTGGCTGTACTGGTCCTTTGCAGTGATTTTTAATTTTATTGTTACGTGGAATAAATATTTCATTGTATGTGGTAGAATCTGACAGCCTATCGAAGAAATTTCTTAGAACATTAACAGGTGAGTCTGTAAGCTGTGCCTTTGTTGGGGCAGCTCTTTGGCATAAACCAATGGGATTTGAGTAATGGGCCATATGTCTGTTACAATTCTGTAAAAAAATTGGCTTACTTCAGAGATGGAAAAATGATGCCATCAAGCAGGAGTTGACAATGTTTTCTTTTCTGCAAAAGGCCAAAGAGTATTTTAGGCTTTGCAGGCCATACAATCTCTCTCGCGACTACTGAACTCCACTGTTGTAGTGTGAACACAGTCATAAACAATACATAAATAAAAGGAGCATGTCTGTATTGCAATAAAACTTCATTTACAAAAACTTTAATTACAGTCTGAATTAAGCCTGTGGACCAGTGTTTGTTGATCCCCTAACATAGACCATTTAATATGTGATTCAATCAATATTTAAGGTAAAAGCAATAGCACAAATATTGAATATTTACAACCTGAACGTATATGAGAACATTGATAAAATGGATTTAAAAATACAGTGTTTGCTTCCTGTTCTATTTTTCTTTATTTTCTTTCCTTATTGGTGATACAATGGCCCTACTGTGACTAATCATTGTGGTAGACTGTAAATGTAGCCACAGATTGGCCTCTCATCAAGAGCTTAAGTCTATTTCCACTGCCCTTTAAGCTGGCCCTGTGATGATCTCCGTACAACAGGATGCAGCAGAAGTGTTGTGTTAGTTCTAACTTTAGACTTAAGAAGCCTTTCAGCTTCCACTTTCATGCTGGGAATCCTGATGAAGAAAGAAAATTCATGTGGGGAGAGGTCTCAGCTGCCTTCATCATCTTAATTGTCTTTATTGAGGTCCACATGAGGCCCACACGTATAATTGGACCCACCTGAGGAAAGGTAAGCCCAGCCCAAATTATCAAGCCCCAAAGCGGTGATCTAAATAAGACAGTTTTTGTTTTTAAGCCACTATGTTTTAGTGTGATTTATTATGCAGCAACCTATAACTGATACAAACAGGTAGCAAGGTCATGAGCTGAGAATGAAAAGGGGGTGGATGTGTTTGAGGTTTGCATCAAAGGTATGGCATGGAGAAAGTGTGAGATGGTACATCTGTGAGTATCCTAGAACGGACAAGGGAAATACAGTAGGGTGCTGAAGAGTACTGAGTTCACTTGAGGTGAATAAACTTAACATACTTTATGAACTTAAAATAAGGCCAGTTAGAATGGTTGTGTGGTTTTTGCCCCAAAATGTTCCAGCTGTGCAGATACAGACAAAAAGTGGAGAGTTGAATTTAAATATGGGTGGCGAGGTTTTATCAGGTGAACATGATAAGGGTAGAGAGAGGAAATTGGACTAGGCATTTATTATAATCAATGAGAATGATTATAATAATAACCTGGGTACAGACGAAACTGAGGCTATGGCGACTCTGAGAGACTTTGTAAACATCAATGGATTGTTGGTTCCAGTGGGGTCAAAGAACTGTTGGGCCAAAGTTCTACAGGAAGTGAGCTGGTAAGATAGGAGCTGGGTTGCCAGAGAGTGCAATACTTGAAATTAAATCATGCAGAAGACAACAGTTTTGTGATGTGGCAATTTGGCCCAGCTGAACTTTTTTTTTTTTTTTTCCCCCAGAATTCCTTCCCTGCCTGTTTCTATTTAGGGAGGGTGGTTGTGAAGTAGCAGCCATTTTGTTTTTATGCTCAAAATGTTGGGCAGGATACTTTTGTAGCTCACATATGTTGTTGCTTCTCTGCTGGCTCATTTGATGGCTATGGGGCAGCAGCTCAGCCTGCCACCACCTCTAGATGTTTCTTCAGCTTCTCCAACTCCAAGGCTGGGTGAGTGTTTGCTCCCTAATGAGGTACACTAACTTTTTCTGCAGGATGCCCATGTTATCAAGGTTGGAGGCAGTGAGAGACTGGTTGGGTTCCAGTCTGTCCTCACAGGTTTCCAGTTGTCCTTACTTTTCTCTACTTTATTTCCAGCCTCCCTTTTTAACTATATGCTTTGTGGACTTCAGGCTGCAGCATCTGACTTGAAGACAAAAAAGCCTTACAGAGAATGAGTAGCCGGCTCTCTCAAGTCTGTATGGTTCAATCCCTGTTAATCTATCATCTAATCTGGCTAATCTTTAGTGCTTCTGTTTCTCTGAATCTTAACTGACATAGAGGGGATACTGTCTTAGTTATAGGTATTGATAACAAACTCCAGGATATAAAGATGTAAATGAGGGGATGGGGAAGAGTAAACAACAGGCTTATTGGAAGACAGGAGGTCAAGCAAGTGAAATGCAAACGTATTGCAAGGATTGTCTTTGTGGACATTGAACTCACCAAAAATTAGGACCAAAATAGTGTTGGAAAGAATAATACTGAACCCAGAAGCTAAAATCCTCAAAAACTTTGGAGTCCCCATTGAGAGGCTCTGGATATAACAGCTACAAGGAGGTGGAATCGGTGGTAGTGTCTGATGGCACAAGCTTTTAAGGGAGGGTTTACAGAGGAAGTTGTATGGGTGTGCAGTATGGCAATGGTGTAGACTAGACACAAATTAGTATTAAGGAGGAAAGTTACTAGGGCACGTGGTTCCAGGTGTGTGGAAGAGTAAACACGTTGCTAAGTCCTGCAGCTCCTTTTATGCAAAGTCACTTTCCTCTTTTAGCAGGCCCAGCGCTTTTCTGACCAGGTACTATTGTGACTTGACTTTAATTATTGGTCTGGTGGTCAGGAGAATAATTTTAGATCATCTCCAAGGGTGAAGTGAATCTAGTTAATGGAGAAAGGTATGTGGTGATGAATATCAGGTGCAGCCTCAAGACCAGCTGCATCTAATGACAGGTATGCAGGCCTCTTGCTTCAAGGTAGGGGGATCTCTACAGGCCTATTACAGCCTCTTGGGTCCCTATTGTGTTGGCTCCAGATCCTGTTGCCATTGTATCTCAGTTCTCCCGCTGCACTCCCCTGTGTTTCCCAGTTCCTTACTGGAGCTGATCCTGAGAGCACTCCCTAGTAAACCTTCTGCTCAGTCTTGAAGTCTATTTCCTAGGGAAACTGGCCAATTCTCTTCTTTTTGAAATATGCCCCTCTCTCTGCTTCTAGGACACCACATTCTCTTGGATCTTACCCTGACTCACTAGCACCTCTTTCTCATTTTTCTGGGTTTTTCTTATCTCCCAGGTATGTAAATATTGGCTTTTTTTTTCTTTATAGTCACTTTGAAGTGATATCATCCCGACTCATGGTTTTAAATACTATATATAAAAATGGACTGAATGAACCTGGGTCACTATATTAAGGAGGAGCCCACTTTTGAGGTTAATCATCATGAATTTGAAAGGAGACTAGTTGGCAAGATTGACATTTTTTTCCATGGTCATATTCAGCTGTCTCATCATAAATAGGCATTTATTCATTCAAAAAATGTTTGTTCAGTTTCTTCCTTGCATCAGGCATTTTTTTTTTCTTAGAGGAAACAGTAGAGAACAAAATAGACCAAAACCCTTGTCCTTGTGGGGTTTATATTCTGGTAGACATGATCCATTCAGTGGTCCATATTGGCCAGTGGGTAACCCACAAAAATTATTTGAGCTTTAATGTCCTAAACTGCTTATTGGAGAAAATAACATCCATCTTGCAGGTATGCTGTATGTTTAAATGAGAAAATATGTAAAATGCTTAGAATCTTATATGCAGTGGGAATTCAACAAATAGCAGTCTATTTTTAGATCTTAGTTCATATATACATTTTTTTGTTACAGCCTTAGACTTAGTTGTTTCTTAAGACTGACTGGGATTTCAAATGTACTTTAATCCAAGATATTTGTCTCACAACATTAAAAGAGTTCATTCTATTGATAAATATTTAATGAGTTTCTACTTTGTGTGGGGCACACAGTAACACAATGCAGCTTTTTATTCTCTTTCCCTTGCAGGTGAAATGATGAGTTAATATGCTTTGTACCCTAGAGCATGTTAAAAGAACACTATTCTCAACATTTGATGATCCTCTGCCCTGTCATTGGTCTTGAACAGCCAGTTATGTTGAAAGATGGCTTTCTCCATGAACTCCCCAAAGTTTTCACAATTTGTATCTCAGCTTTCAGCTGGCTACAATCCTCCCACCAGAATCTAGGTTCTTAAAATTTAGTTTATCCCTTTCCTCTTTAGAATTTTTAAAAACACACCCATAGACAATTTTACCATGGTTTCAAATTTCTAGTGGTATCTTAAACACTAACCAGTATTTTGTAGCTCTCTGCTTTTAGCCTAATCTTCTCTTCCATCTTTGCTTCTGCTTCCTCAACCTGGCTTCCTTCTGGTGAATAATTCTTCACAGGTTCTCAGTTCCTCAGTTATCTTTTATTCAGTAGGATCCCTCCATTTGTTCCTTGGTTCTTGTGCTTTTCCTTCCTGCCTCTTCTTCCATGCCTCACCAGTGTGGTGTCTCACCCACTGTCTACACTTCCATTCTTTTACCCTTTCTACTGGAGTTGTTTCCCAAGTCCGCTTTCCAGCCAGCTTCCCGTCTACTGCTCTTTCACTGTCTAGCTTATTCTTGCTCATATTTCACATTATATTCTCCCTGTCCTCCTCCCCATCTTTTCTCTTTCCTCCTTCCATCTTCCTGCCTTTCCTCTCTGATGCTCTTTTAACTACTGTTTTTAATCAGGGCTACTTTATTTCAGAGGGTTAGAGAAGTATAATGAGACATGGACAAGAAGGAGCCTCGGGTCTTTATGCTTCAAAGCTTTATTCATTTATTTGTCTTTTTCCTTTGGATGCAAAGATTGTTTCTACTGTTATTTCTCATGGGTGTCAGTATCCAACTTCTATTCCCTTTGCTGTGTGGAAAAAATTTTATCTAAGATTCAAAGACAGTCTTATTGCTAGAGAAAAATGTAATTTCTCCCGAAGATCTTGCTGCATTTTCAATGATTTTTCTGGAATATTCTTTATATACTATATCCCCTTTTACTTTTTTTTTCCTGTCCTGACCCAAACTATAATCTGAATACTGACAACATCCTTAAACTATAGTTCAGGATTTTTCCATATTTATTAACTTTCAAGTTTGAAAACAGTATGAACAGGTTTGGACCTAATTGCTTCTGTGTGTTAGTCTTTAGGCTTTGTATTAGACTACATAATCCATGAGGCTAATGTCTCAGACATTTTGCTTTTTGTGATGTTATTTCATGTTGAATTTATAATTTATAGATGGCAGTGTAAGCTTTTTACATAGAATATGGGGTTAAGGTGTGATAGGGTTTGGCTGTGTCCCCACTCAATTATCATCTTGAATTGTAGCTCCCATAATTCCCACGTGTTGTGGGAGGGACGTGGTGGGAGATAACTGAATCATGGGGGCGGTTTTCCCCATACTGTTCTCATGGTAGTGAATAAGTCTCACGAGACCTGATGGTTTTGTAGGGGGGAATCCCTTTCACTTGGTTCTCATTTCTCTTTTGTCTGCTGCCATGTAACACATGACTTTTGCCTTCCACCATGATTGTGAGGCCTCCCTAGCCACACTGAACTGTGAGTCTGTTGAACCACTTTTTCATTATAAATTACCCAGTCTCGGTATGTCTTTATCAGCAGCGTGAAAATAGACTAATACAGGGTGGAAGCCCAGAAGGAGCTAAACTAGTTATTTTTTCTCTTGCTTTCTGCTTCTTTACTGTCTGAGATCTGGTTCCACTTTTTTCTTCCAGGAGATAAAGAAAAAAAATAAAAAGAAAAGGAAGAAAGAGGGGAAGTAGAAAGATGATGGGCAGGCAGCTGTAGGAGTTTTTCAAGTGCTCAAATGAAGGGAATAAATGGAAAGATTATCAATAGCTATTCCAAATTTTTCTTTCCAATGGGCTACCTCAATCCCTTAGAGGTTTTAGTGCTGACCACTTGTCTTTTAAGGGTTTGTTGGCCCCCAGACCTGCTTCTTTCATGGGGCCAACATGAATTGGTTTCTATTCAACTGAGATTAGAGACTAAAATTTAGAGCTTTATTTACAAGCTACATAGATGAAAAATAGACTTTAAAATGTGTGGTTGTCTAATCATTTAGTCAGATAGCTAATTGGAAACAGCTGTGATAGCTCCAAGGCAGATGTATACCTTCCTTATAAAAGTCAGGTGAGACCTACATGATAGGGTACCTGAAAGGTAGGTTTACAATACAGAAGAGGGAAGGGCTGTGTGCAAACATATTTTTTGTAAGAATTGTATCAATTTATGAGAGATGACAGGAGATTGATTTTTTAAGAGGTAAATTTCAGCTGCAGAATTTAAATCTGAAACTTTGACTATCCAGTAACAGACTGAGCCAGCATTTAACAAAGCAATGAAGCAGGGAGGATCTTAAAGTCTTTAGCTTTAGTTTGGGATGGGGGTTGGTACACTTTTTCTGTAAATGGCCAGATAGTAAATATTTTAGGCTTTTCAGTACACATGGTCTATGTAGTAACTACTTGTGTAAAATGAATATTAGTACACATATGCCTTGGGATGCAGGAAATTTCAGATGATATCGTTAGCATTTTGGTGGGAGCAAATAAAGGTAAAGGCAAAGTGCTTGGTTTACAAACTTGAAAAGCTTCCTTAGGGTATTCCTTTATACAACTTAAATGTGTTGGAAACCATGTAAATGAACAGGATGCTCTCTTCAAATTTAGGACTTCCTTGGAAAAGCCATATGGAATAGTGTGTTTCAAAAAACTGACTTGTTTTTTTTCTCTTGCCCATTAGAATATCCCACTGTAATATGCTGCATTACTTTAATAAGGGTCAAATCAGAAGTCGATTGTATTCTTGTTTCATTTTTGCACAGAACAATTTTGGATAGTAGGATTAATTCTGGTTTTCTGTGGTGTTTGGCTGTTTACTGGGGGAATTTGTTGATAATGTTTTAAAAGTATACGTTAGTGTTTAACTCTCATTCATACCAGTGATGTGTTTGGAAATAATAATGTGATTCACTTACTGTTACCCTTAGAATTCTAATCAAACTTATTTTAATACCATATGGAGAGTCATGGGTTGCAGATTGTAATATAATCAAGGGAAAACAAGATTTTTAATAATCCAATTGCATTTGTCAACGGCTCAACTTATTGGTGCAGAACAGTGCACAGGACTGTAATAAGTGGTACTATTTGGTAAGGGGAAGAAGAAGCTAAAAGCAATGTTTCCTATGACATATCAAAAGGTATTTTTAAACATTATATCTATGACTACTTATCTATATAAATTCTTACTCTATGTAATATTTTACTGGAAAGAAAGTTAATGTGGTATAATAAAGTTTAGTATTTAATAAAGTAATGTAATTAAAGTAATATAATAAAATTTAGTATTTGTTAAAGTAGTTATCTTAATGGAAACCACTTATAGAAAATAACTATAGTAGGCATTTTGATCCCAATGTTATAAAGTGACTTATCCAAAATATGTAAGATTGCATTAAACTTTTGTAAGTGGTCCCCAAAATTTCAAGAAACAAATGTGTGAATTGAAGAGAAGTCACTGTATTTTTCTGGGGAAAACTTATATAATTCTTAGAAATGTCAATTTGACTGTATTGACAAAGCTTGCTTCTTTCCTCACATAGTTTATCTTATTGTGGAGCCTGTCAACTAGGAAGAGGTGAAGACTAGACTGCAATGCAGTAAGATAAGGCATTTCTTGGGGTCTTAGGAATTGCAATTTGAGGGACAGACTGAGCTAGAAACTAAACTGTGTTCTGAAGAGAGGTAGGATGGTACAGATTTGTAAAAGGATGCTGAAGGTAATCACAAGTTGTTTTGAAAGATATCACTGGTGACAGTGGTTGGTTTAGTACATGAGTCCACAGTTCATTGGTTGTCACTGTTTAGGAGTTGCAGCATTGGTGAAATTCGGCTGTTTTCCAGGATGTTGTGGTCATGGCGGTGTGACCCAGTTCAAATGTTAAAGACAAGTTCCTGTTTTGCAAGGTTTCAGGTCACGCAGGTAGTTCTTAGAATGGCTTCCTGACTGCATTTCAAGGCTCTAAACCACTTTGTATATCACATTTCACAAGCCTAATGATAACCTGAAAAAGAGAACCAGGTCTCTTTTTCTTAGCATAATAAAGACCAAGGGAGATCAATATTTATTAAATCATAAGCTCCAAGATATTATACTACACAGCACTACATAAGGGAAAAATGATGAATCAAGCATAATGGTTGTCGTAAAATAGGTACAAAAGGAAATAACAATATATGTTAAATAATGTAATTTACAGCTAAAGGCACAAGAGAAGAAATGTCTTTGGGCAATTGTAAATTATAATTAATAGTCAATTAAATTCTTCAGATAATTTCCTATTTAATTCTTGTGGATGGGCCACTCAGATTTGCAGCCCTAGTTGTGAGAACCTTCCTAAATCTTTGCCCCATTTGAGGTATGAGAAGGTAAGATTAGTATTTTCCCATTTATGGAGTTAACTAAATAATCACATAGAAACAGAATAGAATGGTGTTTAGCAATGGCTGGGGAAAGGAGGAAATCGGGAGTTGTTCAATAGATATAAATTTTTAGTTATACCAGATGAATAAGTTCTAGAGATGTGCTGTATATCACAGTGCCTATAGTTAACAATATTGTTCACTTAAAATTTTTAAGAGGGTTGATCTCATGTTATTTTTAGCACAAAAACCCTCCAAACAAAAACAACAAAAAACAAGGGCATTTAGAAATGTTTGGAAGTGATGAATGTTTATTATCTTGATTGTGGTGATGGTTTCATGGGTGGGTACATATGTGAAGTTGTATCAAGTTGTATACATTAAGCAGGTGCAATATTTTGTACATCAACGACAAAATATATTCATTCTTGCCATAGGCTGCAAGGAGTGGGGGAGATAGGAGATGGAAGAGATTGCTAATGGGTACAGGGTTTCTTTTTTGCATGATGAAAATGGTCTAAAATTGATTGTGGTGATGGTTGTCCAACTCTGTAAATATACTAAAAACCATTTAACTGTATACCTTAAATGAGTGAATTTTATGGGATGTAAATTGTTAATAAAGCCATTTAAAAAAGTAGATTTCTGTGTATTCTGCTGTGTGGCTGAATGAAGCTTCTGTTCTTTGTGATAGATGACAAAAGCCAGCCATAAAGACTGGTTTCAATCATTTAGAATTTTCATGTTATTGTTTTGATATCTAGGAATTGTGGGGGAAATCTGCTATCTTTGCCTGTTTGGTAGCAGGACCTGATTTCTCTCTGGAAGATTATAACCTTGCTGGGTCTTGGTCCATGTGGTTTGGATAGCACAGGGCCACCTCCAACTCCTGGCCTGGCTAAATCAGAGTCCTCCGTGGATATTTACTGAATGTGTCAGGAAAAGGTGTCCTCCCTCTACTGAGGCTGCTGAACTGGTAATCTGTGGAGCTTGAAGTTGTCATTAACATCTTTCTCACCTTGTTGGGAAAGCCCAGTTGAAGTATAATAAGCACATAGAAGAGGGGAGAGATAAGCTGTCTCTGTGGCATATGGAGCCCCTTGATCTACCACTCCTGGGCTTACTAAATACAGAAGTCATACATTATTTTTTAAAGAAATAATCTGGTCCTCAGGCAAAGGGTTTCCATCACTTGTAATTTATTTCCTCATCTTAGAGCTCTTTCTTTAAAAATTTAAGGTAGAAATTCTCGTAATCTGAGTTTTTATTTGATGCTCTATAGGAAATAGTAATGATCTTAAATGCTAGATCTCAAGTCTCAGTTCAATCTGAAACTTTAGTTAACATGTCTAGTATGTTCAACTTTTTAAAAGTTTATATATGGAGTAATTGTGAATCTGTGTCTCATACTTCCTACTCAGAAATGTCAGTTTTGTTCACAATACCACACATTATAATGCAATCCAAACTGTGTTATTCTGGTTGATTAAAAACAAACTTAAGCACATTAAAATTTTGAAGCACTTATTTGAGCATTCAGTGACTCCTGAATTGGGGTGGCATCAATCTGCAAGCAGCTCTGTTGGGAGGGGTAAAATGGGCAACTTTTATACAGTATTCTCCCTTTATTCACGGGGAATAAATTCCGAGACACCCAATGGATGTCTGAAACCAAGGGTAGTAACAAACCTTATGATATACACCATGTTTTTTAATGGATACATACTTATAATGTTTAATAAATTAGTCACAGTAAGAGATTAATAACTAAAATAGAACAATCATGACCATATACTATTAAACCAGTTTTATAAATATGGTCTCTCTCAAAATATTAATATTTTCAGACCACAGTTCACTGAAGGTAACAAACCACGAAAAGCAAAACTGGATAAGAGGGGGCTACTGTAAAGAGGTTGCAGAAGCAAGGCAAAGAACAGTGTTGATTGGTTAGAGTGGAAAGTTCCTGGTTAGAGGTTAGTTGATTTCTGACTCGTACAATTTCTTTAATTTGCTGTTTACCTTGGGCTTTGTTTTGTTCACATAGGAATTTAAAGTGCTAGAGCCACCCGGGTCTAATGGCTACCCAGTTAGAATTTTTTTAAACATGGTCAAAGGCATGTGAAGCTTATTCTGATAAGTTTATAATTCTAGTCATACATTTAAAATAACTTCTCTCTCACACCTCATTATATACAAAGTATTGGGAAAAATATATGTATTTTAAGCTCTTAGCCTATTCCTATATTGTCTTATACTGCTACTAACACAGGCATGCTGACCCTCTGAAGGGATGTTTAATCAATCTAATGAAATTTTGCTTGAAAGGGACAATTTTTTAAGAAAATGCTTTAATGTCAAACACAAGAGTCGGGTATCTTAATATGTATCAGCAATTGAACATTTTCTTTAGTAATACAAAGGAAAATAGAATGACTTTAAAATCTCTTTGTCCTTTGAACACTGAATTTAGGTTTGACCAAATGTTGTGTTTGTACCATTGATTTATCTTTGAATTTTCTCACTATGAATAAGAATTGTGACCTCGGAAATGCAAGTCTGCCATCCAGGCAGGTAGTAAGATAGAGCAGCAAGCCATCCTGGTAGAGGGAGAAGGGCAGAGGACTTGAGGGTCAGGCATTTGATTTATCTCTAAGTGTAATTACCTGACTCCAGTTTATGGTGAGGAGAGGAGGGGGTAAAAGGAAACAAAGGGTGAAGGAAACGATGGAAGTAGTAATGCTCAGCGAACAGTTGACTATGCCACCTGAAGTGCTTATGAACCCGTTTTGGCTTTGGAAACTTTCTTCAGACATGGATGCTCACCTGTAAGTCTCTCTGTGTGAAAGAGATGAAACATTGTGTGGTGGGGGTGGGGGTTCTAAATCCCTGTTCTAACAAGGTCACCTCTGAAAGCTCCTTGGAGTTGGAGCAGCTTTCCGTTTGTCTTCTGGTGGGAGGGAGGACTTGTAGGGAGAGACATGTACAAGCACTCACTCCTTTTGCCATGGAGGTGGGTACAATGTGTTTAATGTGTTCTAAGGGCTTCTTGCCTGTTTAGATCATGAACTACAAATTAGTTGAGAATGAACCGAGTACATTAAATATACATAATTATAACCTAGAATTATAAACTTATTAGAATAAGCTTCATATGCCTTGAGGAATGCGTTTAATAGGTAGTACTGTATTTAGGCATGGCTATATTCACTTTATCCAAACAGACAACTTCTCTTAAGTTATTTCATTGTTTGCCTGGTAAAGTTACTGGAACTGTAGTGACCTTCAAATAATAGAATAAGTTAATCTTAGATTTGTTGCTTATTTACCTGATAAGAGTAAAATAACTTTCTACATATTATACATATAAAATATTTTAGCTCCTACAATCAAATTAACATATTCACTTCAGTTACCTTTTTTTTGTGATGAGAACTGCTCTCATATCTCATCACATTTAAAGTATAGGTTAACTACAGTCACCATGCTATACATTAGGCCTCCAGAGCATATTAGTCTTTTTATATTAGTCAAATTTTGTTTTTAATTTTTTTTAACTTTTAAGTTCAGGGGTACAAGTGCAGGTTGTTACACAGATAAACTTGTGTCATGGGGGTTTATTGTACAGATTATTTCATCACCCAGATATTAAGCCCAGTACCCATTAATGATTTTTTCCTGATGCTCTCCCTCTGAAAGGCCCCAGTGTGTGATTCCCCTCTGTGCACGTGTGTTCTCGTCATTTAGCTCCCACTTAGGAGTGAGAACATGCGGTATTTTTTTTCCTGTATTAGTTTGCTAAGAATAGTGGCCTCCAGCTCCATCCGTATCCCTGTAAAGGACTTAATCTTTTCCTTTTTCATGGTTGCATGATATCCCCTGGTATATCTGTACCACATTTTCTTTAGCCCATCCAGAAATATTTGACCTAGCAATCGCATTACTGGGTAAGTACCCAAAGTAATATAAATCATTCTATTTTAAAGACACATGCACATGTATGTTCATCGCAGCAGTATTCACACTAGCATGGTCTTATAACTACAAGTTTGTATTCTTTGACCAACATCTCCCTCCCTGACCTTCTATGCTATATCTATGAGTTCAACTTTTTAAGAATTCACATATAAATGAATCATGCAATATGTCTTTCTGTGTTTGGCTTATGTCACTTTGCATAATATTCTTCAGGTTCATCCATGTTACAAATGAAAATTGTTTCTTCTTTTTTTTTTTTTTTTTTTTTTTGAGATGGAGTCTCACTCTGTCACCCAGGCTGGAGTACAGTGGCGTGATCTTGGCTCACTGCAAGGTCTGCCTCCCGGGTTCATGCCATTCTCCTGCCTCAGCCTCCCGAGTAGCTGGGACTACAGGCGCCCACCACCATGCCCGGCTAATTTTTTGTATTTTCAGTAGAGACGGGGTTTCATCGTGTTAGCCAGGATGGTCTCGATCTCCTGACCTCGTGATCTGCCCGCCTAGGCTTCCCAAAGTGCTGGAATTACAGGCATGAGCCACTGCACCTGGCCGAAAATTGTTTGCTTTTTAAAGGTTGAATAATTTGTGTATACACAAAATATACGTATCCTATTTTGTGTATGTATATATGAGAGACATATATCATAGACTTACATGTGGAAGATATGGAAACAACCCAAGTATCCATCAACGAATGCATAGGCAAATTGTGTATACACACCACAATTTATCCATGCATTCACTGATGGATACTTGGGTTGTTTCCATATCTTGGCTGTTGCAAATAGTGCTGTAATGAATGTGCTGTAATGAATGTGAATTATCTTTGAGATAGTGATTTTATTTCTTTTATGTATATGATGCACATATGATGATGGTCCCATAAAATCATACCACATGTTTATGGTACCTTCTCTATGTTTAAATATGTTTAGATACACAAACGCTTACCATTATGTTGTGATTGCCTACAGTATTTTTTACAGTAACATGCTATTCAGGTCTGCAGCCTAGGTGTGTAGTAGCCTATAGAATCTAGGTTTGTGTAAGCATACTCAATGACATTCATGTGACAAAATTGTCTAAGGAAGCACATCTCAATGTATTTCTGTTGTTAAGTCATGCGTGATTATATACCAAGAAGTGGGATTGCTGGATCATATGTTAGTTGCATTTTAATTTTTCAATGAATCTTCATACTGTTTTCCATAATGACTGAACCAATTTACATTTCCACCAACAATGTATAAGGGTTCCCTTTTCTTTACATCCTTAACACCTATCTTTTGACTTTGATAATAGCCATCATATGTGAGGTGGTATCTCATTGTGATTTTTCTCTGCTTATCCCTGATAATTAGTAATGTTGAGCAACTTTTCATTTACCTGTTGGTCATTTGTATGTGTCCGTGCTGCCCAAAGCAATCTACATATTCAGTGCAATCCCTGTCAGAATTCCAATGGAATTTTTTACAGAAATATAAAAAACAATTCTAAAATTCATATGGAACCACAAAAGACCTGGAATAGGTAACACAATCTTGAGCAAGAACAAAGCTATAGGCATCATACTTCCTGACTTCAAATTATATTACAAAACTGTAGTAATCAAAACAATATGGTACCAGAGTAAAAACAGACACATAGACCAATGGGACAGAATAGCGATCCCAGAAATAAACTCATGCATATATTGTCATCTAATCTCTGACAAAGCCGGCAAGAATATGCCACAGGGAAAAGATAGTCTCTTCAATAAATGGCATTGGTGAAACTGGATATCCACGTGCCAAAAAAAATCTGATTTCACCATACATACAAAGAAACTAACAATGGATTAAAGACTTAAAAACTGGAGCCATAAAACTTAGAAGAAGACATAGGGGAAAAACTCTATGACACTGATGTTGGCATTGATATTTTGATATGACACTAAAAGTACAGGCAACAAAGGCAAAAAAGAGTGGGACTAAATGCAACTAAAACATTGTGGCATAGCAAAGGAAACAACAATATGAGAAGGCAGCCTATAGATTAGAAGAGAATATCTGCAAACTGTATAGCCAATAAGGGGTTAATATCTAAAATACACATGGAACTTGTACAACTCAATAGCAAAATAACCAATTTAAAAAATGGGCAAAGAACATAGATATTTTTCCCAAGAAAATATTTCTTCCTCTTGATGCGCATATGTTTTCAGAAGAAGACAATTTTTTAAGGGATATTATAAAATATAAATGCATATTTGTGAAAATTATTTAAAATCTAGAGGAGCAACAGTTCCCTGTATACGAACATTTATTTATATGCCCTACATGTCATATGCCAAGTTATGTCATACTGGAAATAATCTTATAAAAGTTGTGTCTTTGATAGCTTATGATAGGGGAAACTATCCATTGCATGGCATAAAGATCACATGAGACAAGCAGTGCAAGAATTTTTCTTGATTTCAATAGATCAGAACCCGCTGTGAATATATAAAGGCAAATTATCTTCCTCACTGACTCAATTCTCATAGGCATAGCACGGTCTACTTCCCCCCCTCCCTCAGTTTGGAGCCTAAGAAATGGTAGTTACTTAGCAAAACTGCAAAGCTAAAATCTCTGCTAATTGGCAACACTAATTACTGTTAGCTGGGGATGTAGTGTTCAATATTTACTGTGTTACAATTAATGCGATATTACCAATTTGTTTATTTTAATGTCTGATTTATGATGAAACATCTAACTTAATATTTGGAAAGTGAAATACCACATACCTGATGCATAACACATTTTAAGTTACTTGGCTCTAGTTGGTAGCTCCAGAATGAATGTACTTATCTGTAGGTATTGTGTAAAGTCTAAGCATAGCTATCAGTGTACTGGCATTCATTTTGAAAAACAGATTTCTGGACCATTTTAGTCCATGTTAAATGCTGAGTCATTTCTACCTTCTTCCTGGTTGTGGGGCAGCTCAGTAGGGTGGCCAAATGACCTGTTTTCTAATGGACAGGGCTGTATCTGCACTGCAGGAAAACATTTTTAGTGTTGTATTTATGAAAGTATGACATGAGGCCAGTACGTGTCCTTACAGGAAAGACTTCCTGATGTGCTTATGCAAATTCAAACACTGCAAGCATGTCCTGAATTGGGAACCACATACTGACTTCAGGCTTCTAACAAAGGATATTGGAAGGAAGGGGTATGGGACTGAGCATCTCAGAAGAGTGTTTTGAAACAGAGAAGCCAATTTCAGTAGTATCTCAAGGGGTGCCTTTCTAAGAAGACATGACAAGGCTTTTCTCTGTTTCAAGCAGCAGTAAATAAGCTGTAATTCCTGTAAAGTTTTCCCAGCACATACTATTACTGAAAAAAGTAAACACTGTGTGCATGCATGCTTTGGTATGTTCATGTCAGCTGGGGGGATTCATTTTTAAAAATACTTTCTGTGTTAATACAACCTGAGAATTTTGAGGGACTGGGTGGTCTTATGTGTTAGAGGCTCGAAGGCACATCAAGTACTTAGGGGAAATTTGCTTCTGATATAACCATAAAAACTCAGGGAATTGTGGTGTCTGCCTAACATATCAAATCTTGAGGGTCTTTTGGGAGCCCTTATTTACTGCTCACAAATTCTGCATTCCAGAGCTGGGATTTAGACTGAGTCATCTCTTCTACCTCTAAATTTGTCTTAACTTCTAGCTCTCTGTTGCTTTTATAGCATAGACTGATAAGTAGTAGATCAAAAAATTTTCGGGTTGAAAAGAAAAAAATGGTGATACAAAAATGATAGGTATGAGAACTTTAGGATAGGATAGAACAGCTTTGGGGAAGGCAAGACCTTGAAATTAGACATAGCATGGAGGAAATTGGGCTCCAGAGAGAGATGAAAAGCAATCGGTTGGAGTCTAGGTGATCGGTTGCAGTCTAATTTTAGGAGATGTAGTTGGGATGGGAATAGCTGTCATCACAAGAAGGGGGCCCAAGAACAGGCTGCAGGTGGAGATTCAGGCCTGCATTTGGCACACAGAGGCTGGCTGTGGCCCAGTAAGTTCAGGACTGTGGTTGAGAGCTCCAAAACTGGACTGCAATTGTCGGGATGATGAGCAAAGTAGGTATACTCATTTTGCCCATTTGCTGTCTAGGCTGAGACATGACTTGATCTGAACAGTCTCTCCTCAGTATGAGATGATTCTTCGACATTCACAGCCCCTCATCAAATCTCCCCCACCAGCGCCCCATCTCTGAAGGATATCTTGGCAAGTTTCCTTGTCCCCACCCTCCACCCCACCTTTTTTAGTTAATAAATTCCTAGTCCTGCCTATTCAGAACTTAGACTTTTTAATTAGTAGAGGGTAGTTTTTAAGATCATGGACTCCTAAGCCAGAGCTAGAATGTTTTAACTGTGTGAACTTGGGTAAGGGCCCTAAAGTCTCTGTCCTCAGTTTCTTATTATGTAAAGACTATAGTATTTACTTCTTAAAGTTTTTGTGGGGATGAAATTAGTTAATCCACATAAGGCACTCAGAATAGTGCCTGGCATATAAGTGTTGTATGTGTTTATGACGGGTATTATTGTCTGATTGTCCCCATTGACTGGGGGACCTTGGCCACATGGGCTGTTTTGTTATTTCTCCTCCAACTTTAGCATGTGGGAACTGGGTGTTGCTTGGTTAGGAACATATTTTGCTTCCTGCTAATTTCTCATTTGTGTATACAATGTACATGGAGGGGGTAAATTGGGAGGCAGAGACCATCTTGTGTAACTGGTCCCTGGATAACTTGGTGTCCATTGAGAGCCTTTGTATGGCTAGTACCCAACTGTGGGTCACATGTATAAATTACTTTGAGGGTCCTGTAGGCTTCCCCACTGGATTACTTCTTTGACATGAGAGATGTCTTCCATCCTCCCAGCTTCTACCCCCAAAGGCCCTACAGCCTCCTGCTACTGATGACTGGTGGACATCCCCTTTAAGCAATCTTTCCTGCCTCATCTCCAGCAAACTAAAAGCTTTCAGGTGTTGGAATCTTAAAAGTAAAACCTTCAGAAAATCTCTCAACAGAGGTCTGAAATTTCAGTTTTTGAATATGAAGTCCACTTTAATAGGAAACATTCAGACCCACTGCTATACAGTGCCACTCTGGCATGGCAAAGATATTGGCCTAGGGCCATTTTTAAAGGAACATTGTCCAAAAGAAGGGACAAATGGTAGGGCAAGGTGACATCGTAAGCACCTGGCCAAAGGGGCATTACTTATATGAGTGGAAAATCAGGTGAGAGAATCCTAGTGATGAGAAAGTCTCCAAAAAACTCACAATGTGCACCATCAGAGAATGTCAGCTTTAAATACCATTTAAGCCCAGAGAGAGCTGTGCCACTGTGATATAAAAAGAAACATATATTTGGTCTCTGTCCTCCAGTTCCTGAAACAGCTGCTAAAACCCTGGTGTGATGGAATGATAGAAGCATCTTTTGTTTTAATAGTTGGTCTTAGTCCATGGTTCCTGACAGAAGAGATTCTAAGACCCTTGGAATCTCCAGAGTAATGTGTATCTTTTTGTGTGCTAATGAATGACTGGTGGCTGGGGTTCCTAGACAATTAGGATACAGCTTTTTGCCAGAAAGACCAAAGCATGATTAATGGGTTGAAACTTTCAACCCACCTCTCAACCTCTTGAACCTCCATATAAGCCCTAAATGAAGGGATTTGGACACCTTCCAGGTTGGTGAACACATCCACATGGCTGGAGGTTGGTACCCCCAAAACTCCATGAGGACAGAAGCTCCTGCGTTTGGGACCCTTCTTCAAGTTATGTTCCTTATCATTTGGCTCTTCGATTGGATCCTTTGTAATATTTTTTTTTTATGGTAAGCCATTAATAGTAAGGAAAATGTTCCCTTGAATTTTGTGAGCTGTCATAGCAAATTATCAAACTTGGGGGGGGGGGTTGTGGAGAACCCTGATTTGTAGCCATTCAGACAAAAGTGTGAGTAACCTGGGGACCCACTACTTGTGACTGGCATTTGAAGTGGTGAGATGGTCTTCTAGGACTGAACTCTTACTGTTGGACCCCCCAGTTGGTGTCTGAAGAGAACTGGAAAATTGCCCAGTGTGAGGAACAGGGTTCTCCTGTATCTCTATTCCTTACCCTTCATCTCCATCTCCAATGCTCATTCTAGAGGGGTCAGAAACCACAGTTGGTTCTAAAGTGTGAAGGAGAAGCCCAAGCCTTGGAAATAGAGGCACAACTTGCTGTTCCCTTTGCCATTGTTGGCCTCTGCCTCAAAGTAGACAGTAAAGCAGGTGGAAGAAGCTTACCTTTAAATGAAGTTTACAATTTTAACTATTACATGACACTTTTAAAATAATGCTGTACTGAGAATGTCCTTGAGACTAGGTGTAACTTTTTGTTATTCAATAGTAACCAGAATAACTTTAGGTTTTACTTGAGATTTTGTTCAGTATCAGGGAGAAAGGAGTGGCATGGTTGGTTTTCAGGAGGTAGTTGTGGGAAAGGATATGGCTGCTATAGGATTGCACTCTTCTGTATCGCACTAATTCACAATCATAGTTACATGCCCTTAGTTTTAAGAATGAGTTAGGTCTCATTAATATTTTTATTGTTATTGCTAATACTTGTAATGAGTCTTGTGTTTCATTCTGCATATGGCCAGCCAGCTATCTCAGCACCATCGATTGAATAGGGAGTCCCTTCCCTATTGCTTATTTTTGTTGACTTGTCAAAGATCAGATGGCTGGAAGTGTGCAGCTTAATTTCTGGGTTCTTGATTCTGTTTCATTGGTTTATTTGTTTTTGAACCAGTACCATGCTGTTTTGGTTACTGTAGCCTTATAGTATAGTTTGAAGTTGGGTTATACGATGCCACTGGCTTTGTTCTTTTTGATATTGGTAGTTTGATAGGAATGGTGTTGAATCCATAGATTGCTTTGGGCAGTATGGCCATTTTAACAATATTGGTTCTTGCTTCAGGAATTTGTGTGAATTGTCCCATTGTTTTCTAAAGTGGAATATATCTGGAAAAGACTGAGGCCTTGTCTGATTTTTATTATCCTCATAGATAACTTGATCATTTTTTTGCTTGGAAGCTCAAATGATTCTTCATTATCCTTGAACTACAGAAGTTTGCTAGATTATTCCTGGTATTTATGGTTCTGGTTAGTTTTCCTTGAGACCTGATGTCCCCTTTTAATGTTTTTCATTTCAGGATTTTTTTTAAAATTACGTTTCTAAATAAGTGTCGTGCTCTATCATTTCACTTTCCCCCTTTGGATAGCAAGTTATACATATGCCTTTTCTCTGCAACTGTCATTTTACTTATAATTCTTTTAAAAGATTTATTTCATTTTATTCACTTCATTTCTCTTTGTATTTCCTTCTGCATTTTCAGCTCTGTCCTTCTCCATATATAATCCTTATAATTTTGTGTTTACTTCTCTCATGGTTCCACTACAGTACTACCTTCCTTGTCACCCCCACCACCAAATTATCAAATTCTGCTAGTCATGTTTCATCTCATCCTAATTTTTCCTCTATCTCTACACTGAGCTTTTTCATCTCTGCATTGTGTTCTTGTTTTACAGAGCCATTTTTTTTAGGTTTTAAGTATTCATGGTAAAAAGTTTGACAATATTTATCTGCCTCAGGGCCAAAGGTTTCTGGTGAGGGTTATTTTTCTATATGCTTTTCTTGTTTCTTTTTTTTCTTGCAATCCTTTCTGTAGATCTTATTTTTCCTGTTTTGCTTTCTTTTTGATTACTCATCTTTGAAAGAGAGAAATTTTTCCCATACTGGTTGTTGCAGGATGATTAAGTTGGGGGGTGGGTGAGGGGCAAGACCATGTTACAGACTAGATGGAATTTTTATCATCCAGCATTTTTTTTTTCTGTGTGAGTTTGTTTAAACTTTATTTTTCCCAAGGCAAAGTAAACAGACAGTTGGTAAACTTTTTACTACTATTTTCTTTTCACGATGGCAGCCACTATTTACAAACAGCTCATCTAGGGAGCTTTATCACCTCTGCTTCTCAGAGCCATATCCAGTCCAGTGAAGCTTGTGGTACTTACTTGTGTACCCTGCTCTTCCTTTGTGAAAACGGACTGAAATTTTTGTACGTTGACATATGTCCTTTCAGGTTCAAGACATGGACGCTGGTGACTGCCTCTTGAATCTGAAAGGTTCAAGGAGAATTAAGATTTGCTACACATACTAAGTAAATCTTGGTTTGATTTACTAAGCTCTGTCTCTGCTCTCCATTTCACATCTTCAGACATATAAGTTCATCTCTACTGTTTTTGGCAGCCCTTTCGTGTATATTTGAGGTTTGGGGTTTTATCTATACTCTAGTTCCACTGAAAGTCAAGTTTGCATTTTTGTTTCCTTTTCTCCTTCATTGAAGTGTTTCTCAAAACACAGTTCTCAGATATATGCATTGTAATTACTTGGGGTATTTATTAAAAAATTCACATTCCCAAGTGTGATGGTTAATATTGATTGTCAACTTGATTGGATTGAAGGATGCAAAGTATTGTTCCTGGGTGTGTCTGTGAGGGGGCTGTCAAAGGAGATTAACATTTAAGTCAGTGAACTGGGAGACCCAGACCCACCCTTAGTCTGGGTGGGCACCATCTAAATACTGCCAGCGTGGCTAGGATAAAGCAGGCAGAAGAACATGGAAGAACTAGACTTGCTGAGTCTTCTGGCCTTCATCTTTCTCCTATGCTGGATGCTTTCTGCCCTCAAACATCAGACTCCAAATTCTTCAGCCTTTAGACTCTTGAATTTATACCAGTGGTTTTCCAGGGGCTCCTGGGCCTTTGGCCACAGACTGAAGGCTGGACTGTCAGCTTCCCTACTTTTGAGGTTTTGGGACTTTGATCCACTACTGGTTTCCTTGCTCCTCAACTTGCAAATGGCCTATCATGGTACTTTACCTTGTGATTGTGTGAGTCCATTCTCCTTAATAAACTCCCTCTCAAATATACATATATCCTATCAATTTCTGTCCCTCTAGAGAGCCATAATATTCCAAGGTTCTTTCCAAGGCTTGCTAATTCAAAGCCTCTTAAGCTGGCTTTCAAGATTCAAAATTTTTAGTAAGGTACCTATTATGATTTTTACATACATGGAAGTTGACAATCACTATTTTAGTGAATAAGTTTTAAAGAGGTAACTTTTTCCATCTAATGTGGTTTTCAAAAAATTTGCTACCTAACACATAATGTAATTTCTGCACCATTGTCTTGTCTTTGTATTGCTCGCTGCTGTATAGAACCAAGATTCTACATATGGTTACATTCTTATTTATTTTCCAAGTCTATAAAAATCTGCAGAGGCTTCAATTCACTTTGGGTATATCAGTCCATATACCATGCATATTTTAAAATCTTACCCATTGTCTAAAATTCAGAAAGTTTTCCCATCTTCTTGATTTGTCTCAATCCCCAGTGAGTGATGACTTCAAATATAAGTATTGGCAGCTGTGAGAGCTATATAACATATCCAAGTCTCTTGAGCACCCCTTAAAGAACTTGGAAGATTTACTTAGTATGTATAGCAGGTCTTAATTCTCCCAAGTTAAACCTCTTGTGGCCAGCTTACTGAAGCTGTGAAAATGGAGATGCTTTATTGAGAATGGAAAGGGAATTTGTAATTGTCTTTCATCTCCCCAGGCTACCATTCCAAATATGACAGCAAGGACTGGGAATTTCAAGAGTAAAGAAGGTGGCATTTTGTGTTTCAGATGCCTTGATTTTTGTCACACTCAGTTTCCTGTGAGCTGATCCCTTTCATGCTGTTTAGAGGTTGACTTCAAAATGACAACTAATTAAAAGTAGAAAATTTGGTATCTTTTGAACATGAGTACTTCTTTAGAGATGAGAGGGGTAGATGCCCTAGATTTAAAATGATTTAACTCTTTGGCCAAATTGAGCATCCTCATGGGTTACTAGTAAATACAGCTCACAGATAGTTTTCTATAAAGATATATCTTAATCTCCTTTCTGGATCTAACAAAGTGGTATATCTCTGTCCCCAGGGTGTTTTTCCCATGGACATTAATATGATCTGAATATTAAAAAGAAAACACTTTGGCGGTCTTTGGAAGGGTATGTGTAGGTTTAAATCTTAGATAACAGAGCTCAAGGCTACCAAGGCTGTAGCATATTGAAAAGCATTTAATTAAACTTTTTTCTCCAAATAGTTGTCAGGTTTTAATTTTTTAAGCCTTACGATTGTTGACTGTCAGTGAATACAGCCTATGTGCAGCAGAGTTTCCCTGACTTAGCCAAGGTGTTTGCTAGTGGGGAAGGGTACAAGGCAGGGTCAATGCCGCAGATGAAGCAATCTCCCCTAAAGCAGCTTTTGAAGTGACATTTGTGGAAGGTAAATGTTGCTGCCTATTGCCAGCAACTCTTGAGAACAGCAGTTCAACCTGACTTACATAAAATGTTTAGGTTAAAACACAGAATTTTATATAGAAACACTTAGGGCAACCATGCCTTGGGCCAAGAAAAGCAATATATTGTGCACTATATGGTTCCTTTTGCTAATGGCAGTGAGGGTTAGCATTCAAAGAATAGTTATGATTGAAATTGTTCTGTTATGCACACAAATCATAAAAGGTGGATAAGAGAAGGGTGTTAACATCTAGAATGCCAGCTATGTACCAGATATAAACAATTAGGGCCTCTTCATATTTCATTGTGTGACATCTTTACTTTTCCCAAGTCAAAGTAAACAACCATTTGTTAGGATTCACATTTAAGTGACGTAAAAACTGAGAAGAGTTAAGCGGCCAAAAGTCACTTAGGTTGTAAGTGGCAGAGTTGGGGTTTGAATCCAGGCAGGATTGGCTAGAAAGACACCTCACAAATCCTTCACTGTCCTTTTACCACCTTTCTGCTTCCTCACAGGGATATTTGGACCAAGTTTGAAAATGTATCAAAATGCATTGAACTTTCTGCAGTGGTCTGCATGTTGGTCATCTTTGTTTATTTCTTTGGCAAGAATCATAGTGTAATCTGCACAATCAGTACATGTATATTTGTAGAAATAAAGTTTGGCAGAATTCTTACCCTGAGTAGTGAAAAGATTCTGGTCTTTTGATTCAGAAAGAATCCGAAGGGAACTGTCCTTGAGCAAGTTACCTTGTAAACCTCAGTTTTCTCTGCTGTAAAATGGTAATGATTATCATACCACAATATCATACCATTACCATAATAGCAACCTTTAAGATTGTGGAATGAATTAGGAGTATGTAAAGGGTCTAGAACAGTGTCTAGCATACAACAGGAGCCTAAAAATTATTACTGTTACTATTGACGTGCATGAGAATTCGTTGAACACTATGCTGCTGCGCCCTTTGTAAACAATGATTACTGAGCCTCTAAATCTTATTGACACCTATTTTTACACTACAAATATTCTCAGATAATGTTACCAATTGGGTATGGTAATGACAATTCAAATATTCTTTACTTACCTATATAGTCAGTGAAAATTTCAAGACAAAAATTGGCTGTGTATATTTTCTGCAAGAATTCAGATACTTTTATAATGGTGAATTCCGCCTACTTTCATGAAGAGATTTTTATTTAAATTTGACTATTTCAAACATTTACAATAGAATATTAATATAAAGAACAATAGATACCTATCAGATTTATCAGATTGATGGAGATTATCAAGATTTTGTCACATTTATTTTTGTCCTTTTGTTTGTTTTTTTCCCCCCCATTTTTGCAGTATGTTAAGGAAAATCCCAGACACGTTATTCCTATGGCTTTCAAAATGCATCTACATAAGGGCAGTTTCTTCCGTATGACAATATTATAGCACATCCAACAATACTAGTAGTAATTTTTTGGTGTTATTCAATAGTCCACTATCAAATTATTCCAATTGTCCCAAAGACTAGGAAAATATTGCCTTAACATATTAACTAAATGCAACCTGTGGGACTTGTGTTAAGTTCCTTAAGCATTTTTGTTTTTGAATCTAGAGCAGCCTCTTTTCCCTTAAGGCCCCTTCTTTTCATGTCATTGATTTGTGCAGAAACTGGGTCACATTCTGGGGAATGTGCCACATTCTGGATCTGTGTCTTTACTTCCTTGTGACATTTAACTTGTTTTCTCTATTTTTCTATTTCTTACAAACGGAAGTTAGCTCTATACTAGAGGCTTGATTATATTTAGGTGCAACATTTTTGGCCAAAGATATTCAAAGATGATTCTAGGTGTTTCATAAAGAGGCCACAGTAGTTGGTTGTCCTAGTTTTCAGGATGCTAAAATTGAGTAGTTAAAGGTACTGACAGACTTCTGTTGATAGTCATCATTGGATATTATTTCATTAGGGGATACAAAGTGGTGCATTTCCAAATCTATTTCTTTTTTCAAAGCAAAGCTTTATTGAGCAGTAGTTGACATACAATAAACTACACAAATTTAAGATGCATAATTTGAAAAGTTGACATAGGTACACCTGTGAAACTATTATCACACACAAGAAAATGAGCCTATTCATCACCCTTAAACATTTCCTTATGCTTCTCCATAATCCTTCTCAATCCCCCTTTCTACCCCCATTCCCAGGCAACCTGATCTGCTTTCTGTCATTATCAGTTAATTTGTATATTTCTTATTTTTCTCTAATACTCATCTTAAGTGAAATAATTGTGGTTTATAAAATGATTTTAGAAAATTGAGGCTGGGTGCAGTAGCTCACGCCTGTAATCCCAGCACTTTGGGAGGCCAAGGTGGGCAGATCACTTGAGATCAGGAATTCAAGACTAGCCTGGCCAACATGGTGAAACCCTGTGTCTACTAAAAATACAAAAATTAGCTGGGCCTGGTGGTGAGTGCTGAGGCAGGAGAATCACTTGAACCCAGGAAACAGAGGTTGCAGTGAGCCCAGATTGGGCCACGGCACTCCAGCCTGGGCGACAGAGCGAGAATCTGTCTCAAACACACACACAACAAAGAAAATTGTTTGTCATTCAGCATGATCATTTTAGAAGTTGTTAACTGGGTAGTATGTGATTGATACAGCAAGCAACAGGGGAATGAACTGGCTCTAGCGCTTCCCAACACTACTTAGGATTTAGCTTTTCCCCATGAAAGTTATTTGATGAACATTTTTTTCCCCTACAACTTTTATAGATCTTTAGAATCCAAAAGGTAATATTAACTGGATTAATTTATTAATTTCCCTTTATTAACTTAACTATTCAGGTTTGGCCACTTGTATTACAATAAAATATATAATTGCTATCATCTACACAAAGTGTTTTTCCCCTTTATTGAAACTGTAAGAGAGTGGCTTATTTTTTCCCTCTAGTTCTCAGATTTTAATTTATCTTTAGCTAACTACCTTATGAAGAGCAGAGTACAATGTGTTATCTTTCTTCTTCATTTGCAAGGCATGTGAATTTTGGAGTAAAGATACCTGATTCAGTAGGACCAATGACTTTTAGGCAGTTCACCTCAATTCTTAGCACAAGGAATACACTATAATCAAATGTTGGCTCATATAGATTGTTGTGCTATCCTGGAAAGACAGAAACTTGGTAAGCCACAAATGAAACGCTGCAACTATTGAAAAAGGTGGGTCGGGTGCAGTGGCTCACGCCTGTAATCCCAGTACTTTGGGAGGCCAAGGTGGGTGGATACCTTGAAGTCAGGAGTTTGAGAGCAGCCTGGCCAACGTAGTGAAACCCTGTCTATATTGAAAATACAAAAATTAGCCAGTCGTGGTGGCATGTGCCTGTAATCCCAGCTACTCAGGAGACTGAGGCAGGAGAATCGCTGGAGCCCAGGAGGTGGAGGTTGCAGTGAGCCGAGATTGCACCACTGTGCTCCAGCCTGGGTGACAGCGTGAGATTCCATCTCAAAAAAACAAAAATCTCACAGTGAAATAGGAAACAAGTAATTTCAAAATCAGTGCAACATGAGTGGAATTCCACGAGAGAGATCTACCCTCTCGTGCTCTGTGCAGCTGCCAGTGGGGAGCTAGCAGGTCCAGAGCTTGGCAGAAGCCTTTGTGGTAGAAAGTGGCTTTGGTACCCCCAATTGCCCCACCACCCAGTCATGCTTTTTTTTTTTTTTTTGGTTCCTATAGATTTTCTCTTTTGGACAGCTCATCAGTGCCTTTTACAGATCATGTTTTAAATATTTTATCCAGCATTTTAGCTGTTTCAATCAGGTGGGGTTTTCAGAGTGTGAAGTCTGACATAATGCTGGAAATGGAAGTCTAGGGAGCCTTTCACGATTACCTTCCTAAGGTATTCCTCCACTGCACAGCAGGGTGCACAGATGTCATCAATTTCTATCTTTCTTATTGGCCCTCTGGAGCCTGGAAATTCCCTAAAGCCGGAATTTCTCAGTCAACTTATCTCGGGAGAGTGAGAACTTAAGTACTACTGACTTATATCGCGGGGTCCTTAGAGACTGTTTTTCTAAACAATTCATTATCTACTATTCATAAAGTATTTCCTTGGAGGGAAGAATTTGGCTGCCAAGTTGCACTTGAGGAAATGGCTATTGAAACTGACCGTGTTTATACTCTTGTATCATAATTATCTGGTGGATAGTTCTTAAAGCTTTTAGTAGTTTTCTTCTTTTTAATCTTCAAAATGCAAAGAAGTCTGGAATAAGGACATGAGTTGCATCTGCTGTTACTGTGCCTCTCCTGGAAGATTTTTATTTTCGAGTTGCATCTGCTGTTACTGTGCCTCTCCTGGAAGATTTTTATTTTCCTTTTTTCAGTGTATAGGTTCTCAGCTAATTTACTTAGGGCTTCTCCGTGTTTAACTCTGTCAAGAAAAATAACCCTGAAAATAGAAGGAAATGATGAGGCAAGAGATGGGGATGAGGGGCAGAAACTCAATCAGCTAGATGATTGTTTTTCTTATCCCACCTTGAATCATCTCTATTAACAAGGAGAGCTTAGTTTCTTTTTATATCCAGCATACCTGAGAGCCAAGCATATTACTGCTAAGAGCTACATTTCATGTTTTTCTTTTTGCCCATAACAGTATTTATTTTGTAATAGCTTTAATAAAGAAGTCATTGTGGTTGAGTCACAGATAATTTTTTTTAAAAAGTACATTTTCTATAAGGATGTCAAGACAAGCCACTAAGATGCTTGAGATATAGAGAATAAAACCTATTAATAGTTCAGTGGAGTCAGAATGTTCCCGTTTTAAATACAAGTGGCAAAGCCCAAATATTTGATGTTATTAGATTGTAGAGTTTAGCAATATAAATTGGAAACATGTAAACAATGTAAATGAATATACATTTTTGGTGAATTCTGAGGATTTTCTCTGGGGGAATCAAGGTTATTAGAATACATGCTACAGTTAGAACATATTTATGTCAATGAAATTTGGGGGAACCCAAATGTGGAGTTAGTTTTACCATAATCATCAGAAAAGTGACTACATTCTTAGTTTATTATATATTGATGAAGCATTTTGAAAAAGAATTGCTGCTGTATCAACTATGTATAGTTGTTCTGAGAAACTACACGATATAGTTATTGGCTTCTAATCTTCTATAGTGAATGAGATTTTATTTTAAAATTCTGATTTTTTTGAAGGCATTATTTTGCAATTTACTGTCACTGAAAGAGAACCATTTTTTTTTACTGGAGAAAATTAGTTTTCTGAATTGTTTCTTATACATTATTTTCTATGAATCTACCTTGCCTTTTAGATGGGTTTTTATTTCTCAACTAAGTGGCTCTATTATTTTTAATATTTTGTAATGCTGAACACTACAGTACTCAAACATATTTTACTGCTTGTTTGGGAAAATGTTTTGTTGTATCTATTTTGATTTGTGGTAATCAACACTGAAGGCAATAGTCAAGGCTTTAGATAATTTCAGTATAACGTTTTCACTACTTTTTATATTACATTCTCAGTACAGTTTAAATTTTATTTATCCTTGAACTACTTTTGCACACTGAGCACATGTCTTTGCCTGAAGCTGGTGTGGCCAGTCAAGAACTGTGAGTTAAACTATAAATTGTTCCTTCCAGTGTACATTACTATGTAGTTCTATTTGGTAAATTTCAGATAGTGGTATGAACTTTCCAAAGATATTTCTGACTCCTGCTCTCATCTCAATGATGAATAATTGTGTTACAGTGAGAGCACCTTCACCAAACTCTGCTCCTTCACCCAGCCCACTGGCTTACCCAGGCCCTCTGTTCTTCAGTAAGGCGTTGTCTGATGCTCCCTGGTGTTAACCCCGCGTAGCAGTGTATTGTATATCAGCACAGCCACTTATACTCTCATCCACTCTTTTATACCTACCAAGAATCATTTTGGCTGTCCTAGGGTACAGTCTTGATTTTCAAAGATAAAGAGAAAAGGGTGTATTCTTTATAAAGACATATTACTTGCAAAGGAAATATAATTATTCTAACATTGGGCTTTGCTTTCTCATCAACAATAGGGAAAGTTAGAAGACAGTTTAAAAAAAATCCATACACTGTTAAAATGGAAGGCCTTTAACCCAATAATCTTATGCAGTTAAGCTATCATTCATTTATGAGGGTAAAAAAGTAACATTTTTGGACATGGAAAGATTCAGCATGTACCATGAATTCTACCTAAATAAAATACTAAGGAATTTAATCAAATGACAATTAATTCAGAACAAATTTCAAGATAGGGGAAGCAAGGAAAAGAGGAAAGCATTGTGAGCAATGACTCTTGCTAAATATATGTGATTAGATCTTAAAATGGGCATTTGAAATAGAGGTAAGAATTCTTGACACATCAGATTATTCTCTGAGGGATATAAGCTATTATTCAACTGCGTTTCACTAATATTTAGGTTTTTAAGCCCAGGAGGTGGACAGCATGGGGAAATAAACACATTCTTTTTTTTCAGTAAATATTTTTAAAGCACATGCTATATGCTTTGCTTTAGGCACTGAGGTAGACAAGCTCACAATTTTATATATCCATTCTAGTAGAAAACAGATAACAGACAAATTCACAGGTAAACAAGATAATTTGAGTATTAAGTACTATGAAGGATTTAAAATAGGTTAATTGTGTAGCAGTGGTGGGGGGTGGGTAGTACCTTAGAATGGATGATTGGGGAGTATCTCTACAAATGCAGTGACTTTTGGTCTTAGACCTGAATGAGAAGGGGCAGCACAGTTGAGGACACTGGGAAATGAGATGATTTTATTATTTGGCTTAGAATGACTTCTTTTCCAATGACAAGGTTTGTACCTCTCTGGAGCGTGATGGCTGCAGAGAACCGTGGGCAGCTGGGTTCAATGTGCAGTGTTTTCTTTCTGGTGGACTGGCCATATCCCTGGAGTTATAGAGCCATTGGATATGGG
Source organism: Homo sapiens (assembly GCF_000001405.40). Classification (NCBI taxonomy): domain Eukaryota; kingdom Metazoa; phylum Chordata; class Mammalia; order Primates; family Hominidae; genus Homo; species Homo sapiens. The sequence goes on from NC_000001.11 coordinate 193,501,315, forward strand.
GAACTCTGGCATCCCATAGATTCCCTGTTCTTAAGAGGCCAAGAAGAATTGTGCATGGGCCAAATCTTTCCTGCATCAGAGACTTAAGAGTATAGAGAGAACAGAGAGCATGAAGGATTCTTTCAGATTCTTCAGCAGAAGGTGGAGAGTTTGCCTGCTTCTGCACCATAAGCCCAAGGGACTATCCTTCACCTTCTTCTGCTTGTAGATTTCCTGCTTTTCAGGATAGTGTTAAAGCAGATCTAAGTCTTCAGTGAGCCATTGAAGAAACATAATAATGCAACTAAAGAAGGCTCAGAATCCAGAGAAATAAAGCAGAACAATCAGATTGTATGTGCTTCTGCTTTCAAATTATAAAAAAATAAAAATTATAAAAATTGTGCTAATACTACAGAAATTAGGGAGATACTGTAAGGAAATCTTAATCTCTGCAAAACGTAGTGTGTGGAAAGTAGGACAAGAAGCAAAATAATTTTAAAGTATTTAGGGGATGGGAAGAATGAGAGAGCAAGGCTTTATCTTATTAAAGCCAGGAAGGAATGAAGGAAAAATAGACACTTTGTATGACAGAGTAGGATACAATGCATCATCACAGTAATGCATCATGGGAAAAGATATGTTGTTTCAAATAACTGCAGAGTTACAGCTATTTCATTATCAGTGCCGGCAGTCAAAAATTAGTAAAGTTTATCAGAATTTTCAGAGACAGGAGGAAGAATGGCATAAGCAGCAGTTTGATCAACAAAAGAGAAGGAAAAAGAAAAAACTATATTAAAGATAAATGGAAAAATAGAAGGCTAAAATCAAGTATTTCACACACAATACCTATGAATGGATTAAACTTTTCCATGTGAAAATTTCAATATCAACTATAAGACATACCTCAAATCCGTGTTCTTTACCAAAAACACATATACAATCATGATCAAAGTTAAAGACATAGGCAAAGAATTGGCAAGCAGATACAAGGCAGAAGAAATCGGGACTGGTAATGCTAATAGTAGTAAAAGTGTAATGTAAAGAGAATGAAAGAATGACAATATATAATAACAGGCAAAATACACAAATAAGATACATATGTATATATATACATGCATGTGTGTATGAAAGCCCAGGCTATGCAGAAATGTAAGAATATTTATGGAAACTTATCTCACAACAGGCTGTGTATGATCCAGAATGCTGAGGGAAAGCTACAACAAAACATTTCTTGAGGAATGCACTTTAAACCTAGACTTCAAGAATATCAAAGATAACTTTTCAAATAAGATGAACCTGTAATCAATTACAAAATGAAGGCCAAATGAATTGCAAAACAAAGCCATCATGAATTACCTGAAATGGCATACTGTGAATGAGAATCACAAAGTCTGCAGATATTATAATTTATCTGTGCACAATATAAACAGAATGTTTACTATGTTTAAAGAAACAAAGTATATCTAAATCATGATCATAATACTATGAAAATGACCAATCATGTGGTAAAACATCTGTATGGAATTTATAAAGATAATTTTTTTCAAAATGAAAATTTTATTGGCTAGTTAAAGCTGAAGAGAGAATCATCCAAAAATAGATGCAAGACAAAGCCAACTGGCATGAGGAGAATAAGGGACATACATATTAGAACTAATGGCTAAGAATTTTCTAGAATTGCTGAAAGATTACATTTATCAGATTCAGAGTACCCAACATACTCCAAATCAATCAATACATAGACATATGAAACTAGACATTTGGTAGAAAAACTACAGAACAGCAAAAGGGAAGCAATAAGGAATGATAGACTCGCTGAGTCTAGTCAACAGCAATACAAATCAAAGTACAGTACAAAATCTTCAAAAGCTTAGAAAAATGAAATTATATACCCATTAAGTAAAACTACTTTTCAAGAACAAGGGCAAAATAGATATTCTTTAGACAAAATTAAAAATGTATACCAATTTTAGTGCATAAAAAACATGTACTTAAATATTCCAGAAGCAAGCATTAGAAATGCAAAAAAAGCTAGGAAAGAAATCTGTAAACAAATGCTAATTATATACAAGCACTACATGTTGTAATGTCTAATTTGTGAGTTTTAAAAATAAGTAAAAGATGGACAGAAGTAGCATATTGGGAAACAGGTAGTCAAGAGCTAGAGCACTTAGGTTTTCATACAAGTTAGGAGAAAAGATAAACATATGGGTTCTAAATTTTTAAAATATACGTGCTTATTGAATTAGGGTTGCTCTGAAAGAATAGAAATAGAATAAAATAAAGAAAATGGAAATTAACGTAAAACTCTAAGCAAAGATCACAAGAAATGAATAAAAGCAACTGATAATGGTTTGGCTGTGTCCCTATCCAAATCTCATCTTGAATTCTCATGTGTTATAGGAGGGAACTGGTGGGAGGTGATAGAATTGTGGGGGTAGGTCTTTCCCATGCTATTCTCGTGATAGTAAATAAGTCTCATGAGATCTGATGGTTTAAAAAGGAGGAATTTCCCTGCACAAGTTCTTTTTGCCTACTGCCCTCCATGTAAGATGTGATTTGCTCTTCCTTGCATTCCACCATGATTGTGAGGCCTCCCCAGCCACTTGGAACTGTTTAAGCCTCTTTCCTTTGTAAATTGCCCAGTCTTAGGTATGTCTTTATAAGCAGCATGAAAATGGACTAATACAGCAATACAGCAGAAGCAAATTGAAAGTACTACATAAGATATTAGAAATGATTCCATGTATTAGTAATAACTATAGAGAAACATATAATTGTCCATTTAAAAGATGTTTAACAGACTATGATGTTAACAGACTGTGTTAAAACAGTATTGCTCTTGTTTACAAAAGGCACAATTAAAACACCAGGGTACAGAAGCCTTTGAAATAGAGATGGAAAAAGACAATGGAAAGAAAGATGGTGTAGCTATTCAAATATCACAAAATACATTCTTTCTAACAAAAATTATTAGAGATAGTATCATACTCCATATTGATGAAGGAGTCTAATACCTAGGAAGATTTAACAACTTTTATTTATACACCCAACAATAGCTTCAAAATATGGGAAGCAAAAATTGACAGAGCCCAAGGAGACTAAAGACCTCCTCCATCATAGTGGGAGACTCTAATTAATACAAACTGTCTCTGTAATTGTTAAGCAGACAATATATCAGGATATAAAAGATTTGAACAACACAATTAGCAATATTGATCTGATAGTCGACATATATAGAACATTGCATAAAACAATTGAATACATACACTTCTGAAGCACACAGGAAACATCACATAAATTGACCATTTAAGAGGACATTTGCCATCCATATATTTCAAATGATTGAGACTTCATACCACACTTTTTTACCACAATATAATTAAGTTAAAATGGCTAACATAAAAATAACAAACTCCAATGGCAGAAAATGCTAATTATCCTCCAGTGTCCATTCTTTCTTTTAGAACTGGAATTTGCCAAGGTTTGGCTAGGCACCTGGTGCTTCTGCCTACCTTGTAACTAATTTCTGGGGATCAAGTTTTGGAGTGGTAAGTGCTTGATACAACTTCCTCGTGACAGGTTTAAAAAAGGAAATGGCTTTTAAGTCATGTTTCCTCTTTGTTCCTATCCACAGACTGGGATGCAGGTACAGTCTGGGTGAGGCAGCCTCTTCTTACAAAGGAGGGGCTCCACCCTAGGGGTTTGGGAGAATAATAAAATAGACTAGCTCTTGGGGCACAGCAGCCACCTCAATTGGGTCTGCCCACCTAACTGAGTGAGAAATAAACTTCATTATTTTTTGAGCCACTTTAGTTGTTATGTTATAGCACCTTAGCTTATGTCATAGCTAATTCAGGCTCTCACATATATGGAAATTAAAAAAAGAACTTCTAAGTAATTATGAGTCAAAGAAGAAATCAAAATGGAAACTAGACTATACATAAAACAAAGAGTAATAGAAATATATTTTTGCTTCCTTATTTATGCATATATCTGTATACATGTTTAGTAGGATGCCAGTAAAGCAGTGCTTAGAAATTGTAGTCTTAAGTGCTTGTTCAATGGGCAAGGAGAAAGGCTGAAATTTCATAAGCTAAGGATGCATTTGAGAAAGTTAGAGAAGGGAATAAACACAAGGAAAGTAGAAGTAAGGATATATTAAGTAGGCAGACAAAATACTAAAAGGATTAATAAGCAAAAAGTTTCTTCAAACACATTATTAATAAAAGTGACAAACCTCAGGCAAAACTGATCAAAGAGAGAAAACACATGGAAAATATATTAGAAAAGGAAAAGGGGACATGGAACTGATGTGGCAGAAATTAAAAGATAAAGTATTTTGAAAGATTTCATGTCAAAAATTTGAAAACTTAGCAAAAATGGACCAAAATTAGAGTTTAGTATCCACAAAGAACAAACAAGGAGAGGCCTAAGTAAAAAAAAAAACAAAACAAAACAAAAACAGGCTTTGTTTGGGAGCCAAAGGGCTGCACCCTAGAGCAGGGATCCCGTATCCCTGGGCCACGGACCGGCACCAGTCCCTGGCCTGTTGGAATGGGGTGGCACAGCGGGAGGTGAGCCTCAGGCAAGCGAGAATTACAGCCTGAGCTCTGCCTCCTGTGGGATCAGCCACCGCATTAGATTCTCACAGGAGCACAAACTTTACTGTGAACTGCGCATGCGAGGGATCTAGGTTGTGTGCTCTTTTTGAGAATCCAGCCCTGCCCCCGTCATTCATGGAAAAATGATCTTCCACAAAACCAGTCCTTGATGCTAAAAAAGTTGGGGACCGCTGCCCTAGAACAAGGAGAACCAGCAGAGATACAGCAACCCTCCAAAGGCTGTGTCCTCCCCATTGCATCCCCTTAGCATATGCACAATTTTGATTTATCCTATTACTGATGTTTATGCTGATCACTTGAATAAGGTGTTATACCTGCCAGGTTTCCCCACTGTGAAGCTATTCTTTTCCCTTTTGAAATTAATAAATGTTTGGTGGGGAGGTACTTTGAAACTATGTAAACATTCCATTCTTCACCAAACTTTCAATTAATATAGGCTTATAGATGGCTATTTTATTAAATGGGTTAATAATATGTTACTATCATTTATTTTGATGTTAACATTTTCCTGATTTAGCTAGTCAGCTGGGCCTGAATAAAGGTGGGGAATAAACACACACAGGGCATAACTTTAAGGAGGCACTCACTCTTAGGATTATGCAAGTAAAGAGTCGGTACTCATATGATCCTGTGAATGAGTGTTTTCTTAAATTTTGCATCCTGAGCATCTCTCTTCCCTGGTTCTGACCTTATTGTGAGGTTGGCTTTTTGTGTCGTTTTTGGCATGTCCCCCTCAATTATGTGAGCACAAGATGTTCTAGGCTCATCTTGTACTTGTTCTAACCTTAGGATCAGTTGCTTGTGGAAGAGTCCTGGTTTCTGTTAGCAGGGAATGGAACTGAGAAGTCAAAATCTAGGCACTTACTGTGTTCCTTGATTTGGGGGCATTGGTGATGATGTTCATAGGCCCTCTTAGTGAGCAGAGCGAAAGAATATGGGAGGGGGATGGTTACCCTCATGCTGTTCTTGTGATAGCGAGTTCTCATGACATCTGATGGTTTTATAAGGCTTTTTCTCCCTTTTGCTTGGTGCTTTTCTCCCCTGCCACCATGTGAAGGAAGGGTGTGTTTGCTTCCCCTTCTGCCATGATTGTAAATTTACTGAGGCCTCCCCAGCCATGCTGAACTGTGAGTCAATTCAACTTCTTTCCTTTATAAATTACCCAGTATCAGGTATGTCTTTATTAGCAATGTGAGAACAGGCTAATACAGTGAAACATCTGGAGTCTATTATCTTTAACATATTATTTGATCAAACTTCTGTCTATAGCCAGTCTCCCATTTCTGCCACCATGCCATCCTATACTGGCACATGCTCCACATTTCACTTGGATGTTGAGTGCCCTGTGCCGGGCTGCCCCCACATACATTTACCTTCCTTACCCTACTGGAGCTTCTGCTCCTCATGCCAGGCATCCCCTATGCATATGTGTTGTGCTGCTTGGTGTCAAAAGACAAAATTAAAACAAATTTAGTTTAAATATAGTAATTGCCTTTATTTGCCATTCTAGAATTGGCAACACTTCATTTTACAAGATAGAATGATTGCTTGAATGAGCTGACCAGAGGATTTTGGCTTTATAGACAGAAAAGGGCTGAAGAAAGTAGAAACAGAACAAAAAGTGGATTGATCATTGCAAAGTTACTTACAGGGTTAAAGCAGAGGAGAGACTTTCTTATTACTCTGACTAGGGTTGACTAGAATCTCCTGTGTTTCAGAAAACTGGCCCATTTTAAATTTCAGTTTGATTATGTGACACCTGTAGCATAAATGACTACCTTCTGACTTGCCCTGGTCTGCTGGGGCTGTGTAGGATGCTTGTCTAAAACAGTGGCCTCCCGTAAACATTAAGATTGGGCTCTCTCACCTGACATCAGGCCCCTTTTGTGTGAGCACCCTCTTGTCTCTGCTCAGGCTCTGGCTCCCTGCAATTGGGTTGTCTACATACTTCACTCTGTTGGGCCACTCTCACGCATGGGTTCTCATTCTGTCTCTTGTTCCTTACAGGCTGCATGGATGTCCTTCTCAGATTGGCTGGGCTCTCATATTGGGATGCCTCCCCACAGGGATTACTACCTAATCTGGGATTACTATCTGAGCTGGGATATTCATGCCGGGTGACCATCCTTCCCAGGTCACCTCCTCCTTTTACCTAAGGCCTGATACCTTGTGCTGTATATCTCTATTACGTGGATGACCTCCTCAACCTGCTTGGACTCTGATAGACTCCTTTCAGCTAATATGGATGTTTTCCTTGTTCTAGCCCATTTAATGACTTTAGCACTGATTTTTTTTTTCAGAATTTTTTTCAGGAAGGCAAGGAAAAGGAAGAAATGGAAAAAGAAGACAAGTAAACCCAACTCTTTTCCCCGCTGAGGCATGAATAAGCTCTTAGCAAATCTGACAAATATATTAGAAACAGGGAAACTACAGACAAATCCATCATAAAAAGAAATGCAGAAATTCTAAATGAAATATTAGCACTTGAATCAAAATGATATTAACAGAACATATAAATAGATCATGACCAAGTTGAATTTATTTCAGGAATTTAGTGTTAACTTGATGTTAGAAAAGAAATAAATGTAATGCATTGCATTCAAAGAACAAAAAACAAATCATGTAATCTTAATACAGTAATTTTACTTGTTATTTCAATATTTATAGTAGAAAGTTTAGCAAACTGAACTTAAAATCTGATAAGAGTACTGAAAAAATCCTACAGCAGGCACGATACTTAAAGTACAATGTCGAACACTTTCCTTCTGAAATAATGAGACCAGAATGCTTGCATTTCTGTTTTTAAGAAAAAATTTCTTTAAGTTCTGGGACACATGAGCAGAATGTACAGGTTTGTTACATAGGTTTACATGTGCCATGGTGTTTTGCTGCACCTATCAACCCATTGTCTAGGTTTTAAGCCCCACATCCATTAGGTATTTGTCCTAATTCTCTCCCTCCCTTTGCCCCACACCCCACGACAAGCCCTGGTGTGTGATGTTCCCCTCCCTCTGTGTACATGTGTCCTCATTGTTCAACTCTCACTTATGAATGAGAACATGCAGGGTTTGGTTTTCTGTTCCTGTGTTAGTTTGCTGAAGATGATGGCTTCCAGCTTCATCCATGTCCCTGCAAAGGACATGAACTCGTTTATAGCTACATCATATTCCATGGTGTACATATGCCACATTTTCTTTATCCGGTCTATCATTGATGGGCATTTTGGTTGGTTCCGAGTCTTTGCTATTGTAAATAGTGCTGCAGTAAACATACATGTGCATTTGTCTTTATAGTAGAATGATTTATAATCCTTTGGGTATATACTGAGTAATGGGATTGCAGGGTCAAATGGTATTTCTGGTTCTAGATCCTTGAGGAATGACCACACTGTCTTCCACAGTGGTTGAACTAATTTACAGTCCCACCAACCGTGTAAAAGTATTCCTATTTCTCCACAGCCTCGTCAGCATCTGTTGTTTCCTGACTTTTTAATGATTGCCATTCGAACTGGTGTGAGATGGTATCTCATTGGGGTTTTGATTTGCATTTCTCTAATGACCAGTGATGAGCTTTTTTCAGGTTTCTTGGCCACATAAATGTCTTCCTTGGTGAGATGTCTGTTCATATCCTTTGCCCACTTTTTAATGGTGTTGGTTTTTTTTTCTTGTAAATTTAAGATCCTTGTAGATTCTGGATATTATACCTTTGTCGGATGGGTAGCTTGGAAAAATTTTCTCCCATTCTGTAGGTTGCCTGTTCATTCTGATGGTAGTTTCTTTTGCTGTGCAGAAGCTCTTTAGTTTGATTAGATCACATTTGTCAATTTTGGCTTTTGTTGCAATAGCTTTTGGTGTTGTAGTTATGAAGTCTTTGCCCATGCCTATGTCCTGAATGGTATTGCCTAGGTTTTCTTCTAGGGTTTTTATGGTTTTGGGCTTTACATTTAAGGCTTTAATCCAGCTTGAGTTAATTTTTGTATAAGGTGTAAGAAAGGGTTCCAGTTTCTGTTTTCTGCATATGGCTAGCCAGTTTTCCCAGCACCATTTATTAAATAGGGAATCCTTTCCCCATTGCTTGTATTTGTCAGGTTTGTCAAAGATCAGATGGTTGTAGATGTGTGGTGTTATTTCTGAGGTCTCAGTTCTGTTCCATTGGTCTATATATCAGTTTTGGTACCAGTACCATGCTGTTTTGGTTACTGTAGCCTTGTAGTATACTTTGAAGTCAGGTAGCATGATGCCGCCAGGTTTGTTCTTTTGGCTTAGGATTGTCTTGGCTATACAGGCTGTTTTTTGGTTCCATATGAAATTTAAAGTAGTTTTTTATAATTTAGCAAAGAAAGTCACTGGTCACTTGGTGGGAATAACATTGAATCTATAGATTACTTTGGGGCAGTATGGCCATTTTAACGATATTGATTCTTCCTATCCATGAGGATGGAATGATTTTTCCATTTGTTTGTGTCCTGTTATTTCTTTTAGCAGTGATTTGCAGTTCTCCTTGAAGTCCTTCACGTCTCTTGTAAGTTGTATTCTTAGGTATTTTATTCTGTTTGTAGCAATTGTAAATGGGAGTTTACTCATGATTTGGCTCTCTGCTTGTCTATTGTTGCTGTATAGGAATGCTTGTGATTTTTGCACATTGATTTTGTTTCCTGAGACTTTGCTGAAGTTGCTCATCAGCTTAGAGTTTTTAGGCTGAGACAATGGGGTTTTCTAAATATACAATCTTGTCATCTGCAAACAGATAATTTGAGTTCCTCTCTTCCTATTTGAATACGATTTATTTCTTTCTCTTGCCTGATTGCCCTGGCCAGATCTTCCAACACTGTGTTGAATAGGAGTGGTGAGAAAGGGCATCCTTGTCTTGTGCTGGTTTTCAAAGGGAGTGCTTCCAGCTTTTGAACATTCAGTATGATATTGGCTATGGGTTTGTCATAAATAATCCTTATTATTTTGAGATATGTTCCATAAATACCGAATTTATTGAGAGTTTTTAGCATGAAGGGATGTTGAATTTGATCTAAGGCCTTTTCTCCATCTATTGAGATAATTATGTGGTTTTTGTTATTGGTTCAGTTTATGTGATAGATTACATTTATTTATTTTTGTGTGTTGAACCAATCTTACATCCCAGGGATAAAGCCTACTTGATCGTAATAGATAAGCTTTTTGATGTGCTGCTGGATTTTGTTTGCCAGTATTTTATTGAGGATTTTCATGTTGATGTTTATCAGGGATATTGGCCTGAAATTTTCTGTGTGTGTGTTTCTGCCAGGTTTTGATATCAGGATGATGCTGGCCTCATAAAATGAGTTAGGGAGGAGTCCCTATTTTTCTATTGTTTGGAATAGTTTCAGAAGGAATGGTACGAGCTCCTCTTTGTACCTCTGGTAGAATTCGGCTATAAATCTGTCTGGTCCTGGGCTTTATTTTGGCTGATAGGCTCTTAATTACTCCCTCAATATCAGAACTTGATATTGGTCTATTCAGGGATTTGACTTCTCCCTGGTTTAGTATGGGGAGGGTGTATGTGTTCTGGAATTTATCCATTTCTTCTAGATTTTCTAGTTTATTTGTGTAGAAGTGTATTTGGCATTCTCTGATGGTAGTTTGTTTTTCTGTGGGATCAGTGGTGATATCCCCTTTATCATTTTTTATTGTGTCTATTTGATTCTTCTCTCTTCTGTTCTTTATTCTAGCTACTGTTCCATCTATTTTGTTAATCTTTTCAAAAACCAGCTCCTGGATTCATTGATTTTTTTTGAAGGTTTTTCGTGTCTCTATCTCCTTCAGTTCTGCTCTGATACTAGTTATTTCTTATCTTCTTCTAGCTTTTGAATTTGTTTGCTCTTGCTTCTCTAGTTCTTTTAATTGTAATGTTAGAGTATCAATTTTAGATCTTTCCAGTTTTCTCTTGTGGGCATTTAGTGCTATAAATTTCCCTCTAAACACTGCTTTAGCTGTGTCCCAGAGAGTCTGGTATGTTGTCTCTTTGTTTTCATTGGCTTCAAATAACTTCTTGATTTCTGCCTTAATTTCATTATTTAACCAGGAGTCATTCAGGAACAGGTTGTTCAATTTCCATGTAGTTGTGCAGTTTTTGAGTGAGTTTCTTAATCCTGAGTTCTAATTTGATTGCACTGTGGTCTGAGAGATGTTATGATTTCCATTCTTTTGCATTTGCTGAGGAGTGTTTTACTTCCATTTATGTGGTCGACTATAGAATAAGTGCTATGTGGTGCTGAGAAGAAGGTATATTCTGTTGATTTTGGTGGAGAATTCTGTTAGATGTTTATTAGGTCCACTTGGTCCAGAGCTGAGTTCAAGTCCTGAATATCCTTGTTAATTTTCTGTCCCATTGATCTGCCTAGTATTGACAGTGGGGTGTTAAATTCTCCTACTACTATTGTGTGGGAGTCTAACTCTCTTTGTAGGTCTCTAAGGACTTGCTTTATGGATCTGGGTGCTCCTGTATTGGGTGCATATATATTTAGGTTAGTTCTTCTTGTTGCATTGATCCCTTTACCATTATACAATGCCCTTCTTTGTCTTTTTTGATATTTGTTGGTTTAAAGTCTGTTTTATCAGAGATTAGGGTTGCAACCCCTGGTTTTTTTTTTTTTTTTAATTTTCATTTGCTTGGTAAATATTCCTCCATCCCTTTATTTTGAGCCTATGTGTGTTTTTGCACATGAGATGGGTCTCCTGAATATAGCACACCAATGGGTCTTGACTCTTTATCCAATTTGCCAGTCTGTGTCTTTTAATTGGGGCATTTAGCCCGTTTGCATTTAAGGTTAATATTGTTGTGTGAATTTGATCCTGTCGTGATGCTGGCTGGTTATTTTGCAAATGTGTTGATGCAGTTTCTTCATGGTGTCATTGGTCTTCATATTTTGGTGTGTTTTTGCAGTGGCTGGTACTGGTTTTTCCTTTCCATATTTAGTGCTTACTTCTGGAGCTCTCATAAGGCAGGCCTGGTGGTGACAAAATCCCTCAGCATTTGCTTGTCTGGAACATTTCCATTTTATTCATGGTTGTACGGGAGGTCTTATCAGTAATATAAGGAAAGTCTAAATTATAGGCAGGAACCAGACCATATTTCTAAGTTTCCAACTTAAAAAATCTTTAAAAACTTTTACCATATTAAAAAACTATATAAGCTACCATCAATTCTTAGAAAAAGCAAGACAGGTGTGGGAAAGAAAAGATAGCCACAAATTCTTTCTACTACTTTAATTCCTTTCTCCTTGAGTCTAGGTTGGTCTTGATGACTTGCTTGACTAGAATGTGACAGATGTGATGGACTGGGACTGCCAATGCTAGGTCATGAGAAATTCTAAGAATTCTGCCTGGTCTCTTGGAACACTGATTCAGGGACCCCTGAACCACAGTAAAGAAGTTCAATACTGGAGAAGACACATGTAGATCTTCAAGCCAACAATCCAAATTGAGCCCCGTATTACAACTCTCCATGTTGATGTACCAAAAAGGTGTACGAAGCCATCTGAGGCCCTCCTGATCAGCCCATCAGTCAGCTGAATCCTGCCGAGAAACCTCTGTCAATTTCACATGGTACAGAGAATTGCTGATCTGAGCTCTGCCTGAACTCTTGACTCACAGAACAATGAGATATAATTAAAAGATTGCTGTCTTAAGCCACTAAGTTTTAAAATTTGTTTTACAATAAAAGATAACCAGAGCATAGATATAACAAAAAGTACAAAAACGATAGCTTCTAAATATATACATGGATATTTTCTTATTTAAATTTTACTGCCTTTTCTCTTATCACTTTGTGAATTCCTATATATATTTTCAAAACTTGTTGACTCAGCTGAACCAATTTCTTTTTTTCATATTAGAGTGGCAGACATAAAATAATTCTTCCAAAAACAAAGTGTGTATTTCTATTCAAATATTTTCCCTGAAAATCTTTCAACCAAGAGATTAATAATTGTTCCTTGATTAAATTCAGTGTTCACTTCCTGACATGTAAGGTTAGACTGAATGGAAAGACATAAGCCTGATTTCTTAAGTTAGAAATGATTTAAGTTAGTTCATCTGTAGGATTCACTAAGGCCAGCCTTGTTGAGATAAATGTATTTCTAATTATGTTTTTAGAATCCTAGGCAGGATGTGTTGACCTCTCTCAGATGATTTAGCTGAGCACATTACTCAAACATTTCTGTTAAAATATGGAGTGCTCAAGTCAGGAAGTAATGCATGATAGCTTTGAAGCTTGGAAAAATAACAATGTTTATTTTATTTAATTCTTTAAAATTTTGAGAATAGAATCACTGAAACATAAAGAATGAGTTCCTGTGACAATTCTGGACTTATAATGAGATGGAAAATATTCAGAAGTTGTTCCTGGAATCAAATTTGGTTTTGATTATTATAATTGTAGATGGCTTTGAATAGAAAGATCTTTAGAGGATATATATATATATACACACTGGCATAGAAGAGTCTGAGTCTGAAAGTCCAGGCACGGGCGCTCTGGTACTGTACCTTCCTCCATATAATTTGATCTTAGAAAAATTCTCTCTCCAGTCCTTAGTCTCTTCACTATTCAGTGAAGAGAGTGAGTTTGCTTTAATAAAATTTGAGACCCAGAAGAATGTTGAGAAGCCATCTAGTCGGACTTCCTCATTTTATAGATGGGATTACTGTATACTGGTATACACCCAGTATACGTAGGATGACTATGCAATTTGTTGATTGTGATGGTTATATGAATATAATAGCTGAGCAGAATAATTATTCTTGATATATGCTTACCTTAATCAGTTTCTTAACATGAACTCATCTGTCATACATCAATTGTATAATTTCTGAAAAACATTTTTTCCTCAAAATTGACTTATTTTTAGGTTTCTCATAAAATTGCTTATAATACTTTATAAAGTTGCACTTGGTTAATGAATTTTGCATGCTGACACTTTAATTGACCTTTCTCCGTAGATCTTATTCTGAATTGAGTAAATTCTCTCTCTACAGGTAATGGGTAACCTCAGAATAAATTCTGCTAAATGGGATTATATTTTTATATTAATACATACAATTATTTTAGTCAAAATATTTTCACTGGTAATGTCTTTTTGTCTCCAAAAATTATATTTCTTTGCAAATATTTTACAAGGCTAATCTCATTAAAAATTATCTCTGATCTTAAAGAAAAATTTTAAATCCAAATTTAGAAGGATGTTGCAAAATTTTAAGTCTAATTTTTTTTTCACAGGTTTGAGGAATAAAAAGTTTAGAAGTAGGAGGTCCATCAAAAGATTCCTCCCACAAAAGTGATAATCTTAAAGCACAATTTCTAAGTATCCTAAATTAAATATTGTACACTCTTGAGCTCTTATTTTTCAGTCCTTCATTGACTGCATAGGACTAATTTAAATTCTTACTGTGTATAAGATTTGTTTTCAATAATTGCAGTTAACTAAAAGTTACAAAAGGTGAAGCTTCTTGATGCTCCATTTATTGGATATGTTGATTAAAGATTTCCAACTGATTTTAAAGAAAATATATCCAAAACTTAGATTACTGATGTATAAAAATTTTTCAGTACTATTGTTGGGTACTTAGTTTGATACACAAATTAGTTTTTCAGTGGTACAATTAGTTGGGTTGATGATGATCAGCAAAAAGGAAAAAATATACTGCTCTGCTGAAGTATGTTTTTATATTTAATATCAGCTTTATTAAAAACATTTTATGATTCAGATAACCTACCTCAGGAGTCAGCAAACTTGTTCTATAAAGAACCAAATACTGAATATTTCAGACTTTGTGAGACATATGGTCTCTGTTGCAAGTACTCAGTTTTGCCATCATAGCATGAAAGCAGCCGTAGACAATAGTACTCAAACAGATGTGGTTGTGTTTCCAGGGCCATCGTAACAAAGTATCACAAACTAGTTGCTTCAACTACACACAGTTATTCTCATACACTTGTAAAGGCTGGAAGTCCTAAATCAAGGTGTTGACAAGATTGGTTGCTTCTAGTGGTTCTGAGGGAGAATCTGTTCCATGCCTCTCCTAGTTTCTGGTGGTTGCCAGCAATCTTTGGCATTCCTTGACTTGTGGCAGTATAACTCAAAAGTCTGCCTCTGAGGTCACATGGCATTCTTCCTTTGTTCCTGTCTCTGCATCTCTGGTTCAAATTTCCCTTTTCTTATAAAGATACCAGTGATTAGATTGAGGCCCATCTTAATCCAGTATGACCTCATCTTATCTTGATGGTATATGCGAAGACATGATTTCCAAATAAGGTCATATTTTCAGGTGCAAGGGGGTTAAGATTTGAACATATCTTTTAAAGAGACACAATTCTACCCACTGTACTATGTTCCAATGAAACATTATTTACAAAATCATGTTTTGTGGGCTGTTATTTGCTGACCTTCCTCTAACTGAACTTCAATTGTAGTAATGTTTGTAAGTTTTCACAGCTATAGATCTTATATTAATTGGTAGAATATTGCAGCTTATTTAAACACAGTTACAAATTATGTAGGCAGTGCAACCAATTCCAAGTACATTTCTGCTTATAAGTTAATTTAGTAAAGAACATTATTTTTTCATAGCACTATATCAACCTAAATTTATATTCACATACTTTTATATGTATGATTAACTTTTAACTGAATTTCTATAGCATTTGTAATAATTTCAAATGTTTGATCTTTTATAGAATGACTCTCTAAAAGTTTTACTTTGATTCCTTGAATTGAAAAAATTGAGTCATGATTAGAATCAACTGACTTTTAAAAAATTAATGATACTTATATAAAACTGGCATTGTGCTGTGTGCAAAGTTATTGTTCTACTAATAGAGCTAACACATTAAAAAGTACAGCTTCTTTTTTTAATCTTGCATATGAGAATTTAGAATTAAAAATAAGCAAAAATTAGATTGCATTTGATCTAAAGGCAAAGTCTTGCTTCATAGAGTGATATTTAAACTCATAGCTAAAGCTTTTATATCATCACCCCTGGTCACAGCCTTATTAAAATAGTTACTAACTTCTGAAACTGACATTCTGCAGATTTGTCTTCTGATTCTCTTGTGGTTGGTAATGTCACTTTTGCCCTCATGGTTGATGAGAAATGCTAATATTAAAGTTATACTTTATCATTAATCTTCTTCTGCAATGGAGAATACTGGATTTTTCTTAGTCATGTATTTAAGCGACTCATGCTGAAAAGTCTTACGAAAAGGAAAAAAGGTACCAAACAGCCATAGATTTACATCCCATAGTGTAAGTGATGAACTATCATAGCAAAAGTATTCAGACTACATTTTCTACACCCGTGGTAGGTCTGCTTCGCTTCTATTTCTCATTCATGTTAAATGCATTTCTGTCTTGTGATGTCTACTTTCTCACTGATCCCACCAACTGGAAGTCTGGTTTTCTACATCACACACTGACCGTGGCATGAACCATCTCACCTGGATGGTATACATGATGGCCAGGGGCAGCAGTGTCAAATGCTTTGCCCTCCTTCCATGATGGCCAGAGGAAGGTAACTCTTCCTACCTCTATTGTCTGATCATGTTTTGTTTTGTTAGCAAATGCCCTGACTCACAAACCTGGAAGAAGAAGATTTAGTTATAGTGCATCTGAAAAAGGGCAAGAAAAGAAAAAGCCTGTGTACCTTTCAGATTTTATGAAACTATATGTTGAAGTCAGAACACTGTTAATTACATGTGCATGTCACACAGACATGCCCATGGCAGAAGAGTCACATACCAGTGGAATTGTGCTTAACCAATTAGGCTCATTTTAATGTAACTATTAATATTTCACTTAAAATAAATCCTGAATAAATGCTGAACTTCCAGGATGTAGCATAATAGGCATACATTATAGCTGTCATAGGTAACTGCTACTTATGGTCATCCTTAGAATGTCATATAGTAAAGTAGACTTTCAGGCTCTTGAGCCTATCAGAGTTAATTTACTTTTATAAAAGTATGCTTTAGGCTTAACTTCTGCACATTATCTCCTGTGTGTTATTTTAATTTTCTTTAATTTACCTAAATAAATTTCCCTAAAGTAATTTGTCCTTCCCTCAGAATCTATTCAGCTTGAAGTGAGTTAAAGAAAACAGCTTTCTTCTGGAGAATACAGCATACTTAGTCTCTGGAGAAATGTAAAAAACCTTCTCCTGAACTGGTAGTTCTTAAGCCCTAGTGTGTGTAAGAATCACCTAGGGTGCTTATTAAAACTGTACATTTCTGCCCTTCACTGGTAGTAAAAATTAAAAATTCAATTACATTTTGGACATTTTTAAAGGCTATTGACTTATTATCCCTCCCTTTTTACTTTCAAAATGACTATTTTCTCTTCCCTTTCTTGCATGTAACAAATACTGAATTTCTAATAGTATCAAGCAAAATCTTGATAAATAGGTTAAGGTCATCTTGAGCAAAGAAGGCAGGGATCTCAGATTAAAATAAGTGTTGATGTGTTATTTAGAAAAAATCGAGATATTATAAGGGCACAGCTATAGGGAAACTTAACCTAACTTGAGTGGTATGGTAAACTGAAGAAGTGATATGTGTTCTGAATTTGTTTTTAAATCAAGTACTTGAATGTGACTAAGAGGAAGGTTTGTGGATACCATCCTGGAAATAGTAACAAGAAGAGAAAATATATACTAGATGTGTTAGGATATTTATAGTGCTAACCTTTCCTGTCTCTAATGGATATTTCAGAATATCAGACATTTTCTTTTTTATAATTTACTAAATTGTTTTTTTTGAATGTTGCAATATATTGATTTTCATAGTTTCTTAAAATGATTTAGAAAATATTTAATTATACCTTTTTAAAACAATTATATAATAGTAGCAATCCTAGTCAGTAATATATCGATTCAGTAAAATTTAAAAATAAACTTTTAAAGTAATTGAAGATACTATACTTCAATTACTTTAAAAACTATGAAAATGAAAAAGACCTATGAAAATATATGTTTTAATTCTAATGGGGGTTTGACTGAAGTGCATATCAATTTACATCTAGAAAAATGTAAATTAGAAATGCACTATGCCATTTAATATGCAATATAAGTCTTTATAAAATGGACCCACCTTAGACGACTTCTAGTTGCATTTTTCAAAAAATCAAATCCACTTTTTGTTGTAAGTCTCTTTCCCTAGAAATTACTCTGATGGCACAGCTCCAAATTAGTTAACTGTACAATGCTAATGACACAAAGACCAAGGCTATGTAATCTGTTTATGACTGCCCACCTGTGTGGGCATATGCCACTCATCACCAGAGTAACTTTCACAAGAGTTTGAAAGTGTGAATGGAGCAATTCAAATTTATGCTCACTCCTGAAAATAGCTTGCATTTTATGTCTTTCTGTTGAAAAATTAGCATCACTTTTGATAAGGTAGAATGATTATGCTAGGGATTTAACTTGTATATTTAGTCTCTTACAAATATTAGCAGGATTAGATGATTATTTAGATACCAGATTGAAATTTTCAAGCAGTGGGGATGAGAGGGAGAAATGTCGACAGTTAAGAGATCCTGGTTAAGGGATGGTCTACTGGATGCAGGAAGGATATATTGAATATTTGTATCTACCTATACTTAATGGCTCAAACTCAGTTTGAAGGTCAATTTTAGAAGAGTGATAAGGCCGCCTCTCTAAGTGAGACTTCCTATACTACTTGATGTAGTCAATAGAAGCAGAGGTTTATGGAAAGCAGGAAACTATTTCTAGATAGTGAAGGTCTAAGTTTGGACTGTTATAACAATACCATAAATGGGTGGCTTAAACAACAGGCTTTTATTTCTCATTTTTCTGGAGGCTAGGGAGTCTAAGATCAAGGCACTAATTGTGTCTGGTGAGGGCCTGGCCTGCTTCATAGATGGTTATCTTCGCCCTGTGTCCTCACATAGTAGAAAGAGTGCAAGAGGGCCTTCTGGGGTCCTGTTCATAAGGGCACTAATCTCATTCATGAGGGCTCCACTCCTTATGACCTAATTACCTTTCAAAGGCCCTACCTTCTAATACCATCACATTGGAGATTAGGATTTCAGCATATGAATTTTTTGGGGAAACTAACACTTAGTCCATTGCGAGGTGCTGAGTGAAGAGAACTGAACCGACAAGAAAATGGGAATTGTATTCTCCCGGTCTGATCATTGACTCAAGACCTTTAGGAGCCACCTGGCGGTGGCCTCACGTCAGCCAGTGTAGGCTGGTGTAGACTGCCACAAGGAAAGCACACCTACCTATGCAACTCTTTTCTTTTGTACTAGAAGTGTGGCAGGATACTATTTTCCCCTTGTTTACTTCTAGTTATCCATGACACTTTCTTCATTAGGACAATTTGACTACAAGCTCTTCATTGCCTCAGACAACTTCTACTCTGGAAAGTACAAAAAAGATCCACAGCCTCAAATTTAGACTCTCAGGGGATATAGGGAAAAATGATTTTCAGTTAAGGATTTATGCTTCTGAGACTAAATATTTTCCAGCTTGGGGCACAGAAAATAGGAGGTGAAGTGAGAACTTACGACACTGGTAGGTCTCCCTGCTTATGCTTTTTCAATCCCTTGGTAAGAGGATATGCTGAGAGAGGTGTCAGAGATCTCATAGCAATGGGAACTTGGGCTCCTATCCCCCAGGGAGAGCTCAAGGTATGAAATTTCACATTTCCTGGCCTGAGTTGGAGATAAAGATCATGCATGACTGACATGGCAGGGAAGGAGCAAGGCGAGTTGCCAGACCTGGAGGGGTGTTTTGGACAGAGACCAAAGAAAAGACCGGAACAAGAATGTCTCAGTGGATGCTAGCATGGACAGATGACTCCCAAGTACAAAAACTGCCATGTTTCTCACCAAGAGCTGGGAATTAGGTATAATAACTTTGAGGGAAAGTTTGTAGTTTTGGGAAAGTGATACATATTCTGAGATTGGATGGAAGGGGACAGTGTAGAAATGAAAGTGAGTCATTGGTCACCTATAATTGTGAACTGGGATTTGTTACAGCTTTTGAACTTCTTGATGGCAGAAATACTTTCCCGTCCTCTGTCTTCACTTATCTCCATCTATATAAATAGATTTTTTAATTAATGAAAATCTGTATTAATACATTTTTATTTAGTACCCGCTAAGTGCTGGGGAAATTAGAATAAGTTCTTGGCCTCAAGGAACTCCCAGTCACACTGCACATGGTATTTGCACACATGGATGGGCAAATAATTGCAATATAATATGGTAGGCACCATAATAGATATGTACTCAAGGAGTAGTGGTAGCACAAGGGAGGCAGTGATTTACTTTGTGGGTTGAAGAGAAGTCAGACTACTTCAGAGAAGATAGCCTTTGAGAACTCTTTAAGGATGAATAGGAATTTGCCAAATAATTTAGCAGAGAAAAGTTTTTCAGGAACAGGACATTGACAAAGGTGCAGAGTCACGAATGGTTTGTGTGTGTGTGTGTGTGTGTGTGTGTATCTATTTTGTAAAGAGAATGGTAGCAAAAATTACTGTTCTAAGCGTAAGATTGTTGCTTATTGACCTTAAATTGTGGGAAGATGGTGAGACGCCAAGACAGTAATGTTTGTAAAACACATCAAAAACTTCACAAATGTAAGGTTATGGTGTTATTATCTAATAAAATGCTTACTAAATGAAGATTATAAAGGCCTAACTTGTTTTTTAGATCTTTAGGTATTGTTACCTCTTTTTAAAAATATATATGAAAAAGCCTCCTTTAGAATCTTAACTTTTCCTTATTATTCTGACCCTGAAATGGAATTGTCTTGTCATTTACAAAACATTTAATAGTGCCCAACGTTGTCATAAAGAGAAAAATAATCTTTGATCTTTTCTAATAGCTGATATTCATAAACCCTTCTTCTTAGAGGTCTTAAAATGTTTCTGGAGAATTATCAATTGTGCATAATTATATTGTTTGCCTATTTTTTTTGAGATGAAGTCTTGCCCTGTTACCCAGGCTGGAGTGCAATGGCACAATCTCAGCTTACTGAAACCTTCGCCTCCCGGGTTCAAGCAATTCTCCTGCCTCAGCCTCCCAAGTAGCTGGGATTACAGGTGTGCACCACCACATCTGGCTAATTTTTTGTATCTTTAGTAGAGACGGGGTTTCAACATGTTGGCCAGGCTGGTCTCAAACTCCTGACCTCATGATTCACCCGCTCGCCTTGGCCTCCCAGAGTGCTGGGATTACAGGCATGAGCCACCGTGCTTGGCCTGTTTGCCTATTTTAACACTGGAAAACCAGAAGCAGTCGGAACATTAACTTTGAACACTGGAATAAATCTGTAATGGCAAAGTCAATAGCAGAACTTCACAAACCAGAGAACTTAAGGGGATTTCAGTTATTATCACTTATAGAAGAAATGTGTATTAATGCATTATCTTAAAAGAGGAGTTAAGTCTATGCTACAAAACTAATAGAAAACAATTAAAAGACTTACTACTTTATTTGGCATGTCATTTTCTTTGCGTTTCTAGAAGACTTAAAAATGATTGTCTACTTGCTATCATACCATATACATTTTTGACTCTTTGGTCAAATTTGTCTGAATTGATTAAACAAAAATAACATGGGAGACAGTAGGAAGATTAAAATTCACAGCAGGCAGAGGCAATAAACCAAATGACTGAATTTGAAGTTTGACTTCTTTCTGATATTTTTATTAGATTCTCACAAGTAGAGTTCAAGCTTAACACTTTAGAATGAGAGATTTCCAAAATCCTGGCTTTCAGTGAATAAGGATAAAAACAGAAAAAAACTGCCCATAAAAATTTAAGAAAATCTAGAATGACTTATACAATCTTAAGTTTGGCAGCCAATATATTTCTTTCTTACATAATCCCAAGAAAAAATGTCAAATATTTATAGATGTACTAGCAAATTATAAGAACAAGTTTTCTGATATAAGCTGTAACACTTAACATTTCTAATTTTATTAGAAACCTTTAAAATATACTGGATTCTTCTAACAAAGAAACTGGCAGATTTATAACTCTTCAGTTATATTTAGTATTCAGCTCTTTTAACTCTTATTTTGAAGATTTCCTTACCCATTGGGAGACATTAATTTATGTTTGCAGAATTCTTGGTTTATCTTTGAGAATTAAAGTATGTTTTTTATTTATTCACCCACTCGTTAGATTCTTTCAGTCTTGCAACATTCAATATTGAACAGACATGTTTCATGTAAGGATTTGTTCTAAGTCATTGCCAAGGGCAGCAATTACGTGTGTAGGTTTTGGGGCAGATGGGTAAATGTTGCTGTTCCAGCTTTATCAATTAACATCAGCATGCCATGCATATTATTTTATGTCTCTAAGTGTCTCTTCTGTAAAATGAAGAGAATAATAGAACTTATAATTTCATAAAAATAGAATGAGAACACTTAATTTGTAGTAAAAAAGCCAAATTTCAAATTTTAGAGAGATCACTCAATCTCTGTATGTATCAAGTTTTTTCAGTAGTAAAGCAGATTTATGTCATTTGCCTGATCTACCTCATTATTGTTATAAAGACAAAGGGCACAACATACATTGTACTTTGTAAACGCTACAATGCTAGAGTTAGAAGTCTTATTGAATTATATCTATGATCTATATAATCATATAATATATAATTATACCTATATAACTATAATCTATATAGTAATTATATAATATATATCTATATAACATATAATCTATATAATTTATAATATATAATATCAATATAATAATATAATTAGATCTATCTAGTTATATCTATATGATCTGATATGTAGACCTGGGATGGAGAAGGTGCTGAATAAGGATTTGTTGAATGAATAACATATTTATTCATTAATAAACATTTATTAGAAGCTTATTGCCAGGATTAAATAGAAATGCATTTAAAGAGCTAGCACCATGCTTAATACTTAGTAAAATTTTCAGTATGAGAGTTGTTGCTATATTATAGCTATCATGCTCTATAAGTCCAAAGTAAATGTAAGCAATAATTATTTTCATTTTAAAAAGCCCTAAATATGCAACAACATATGAAAACATTTTGTTTAGGATTGAAGAGCACATTGTACCCCTTTAACACTTGCCACATTTGTCTCATATTTTTTCATGTGTGCATGTGACATATCCTCTTTCCTCGCCTTCACTCCAGACTCATGTTTTAAGCTTCCTTAAGATTTGATGCATCTATTGAGTGCCCAGAGGGCTCACAGCCAGCGGCTGCAGCCTCTTAGTTCTTCCCTTGCAAGCTTGGTTAAAACTTAGTACTTCCCTCCAAATGAGACTTGATCCTTGATAAGAGCCAGAGACCCAAGTTTTCTCTAGAAGTTCATAGTCATCATTGCATGTACATAAATAGTTATACTCAGGCAGAAATTCTCCCTTAGTTTTGGATGTTTAGTGTAGCAAGTGTTTGTATGAGTAGCTCCTTCAGTATTTTAATGGAAAGGAGATGTAAGCTCTCCACTAGAATAGAAGCTCTACAAGGGCCTGAAATATTCGCTATTGTATGTGAGGGAGGGAGGAAGGTCAAGTATTATTGGCACGGTATCACGTAAAGTAAACCTAGAATTCTGAATATCTTTATGGCATCTATCACAGTTGTTGTTTAAAACCTTTTTCATTTCATATCCGTAAGTTTCCAAACCCATTCTTTTCACCGCTAAAAAAAAGTGGATTGAAAAACTAAATTCTAGTCTATGAGAGCTTTGTTCTCCGAATCAGAGTAGCATAAGATCCTTTTATTAATGCTGTCCAGGAATATTACTACTTATGTTATCAGCGTAATCCATTGACCTCACATTCCTTCATAGCTTAATTTAAGAACTAGTGGAGAAAAATTTTTAGGTATTTTTTGAAGGTATGTGTTCAGACTGGCTAATGAAGGAAATCCTTGCATTTAGAAAATGCCTTCAGGTTATCAGAGTTTATCTGATTCCAAGTCAGTGAGTAACCATTTATTAAGTTCCAATTTGCCAGGCTGAAAAATTCTATCCCTTCAGAGATGATTAATAATGTAAGGGCAAGATACTTAAGAGCAACACCTATTTTAAAGTCCAAAGAAGGAAGAAAATGAAGAGAATCATGTTCGCAGACTAGTTTAACCATGGTCCTCAACATAAACTAGATAAAGGAGTAGAAAGTATAGAGCCTAGAATTGGGTTTTAGGAGATTGCCTTAGTAAAGCTGTGGAATGAAGCAGAGTTATCAGCAAAGATTTAGAGAAACAATAGTGAGAGTGACTGGAAAAATACTGGTGTCCTATGAGCTAAAAGATAAGTGCTTGAACAAGGGAATGGCAAAAAGTTGTATATGAAACAAATGGCTGTTGTGTTTGGTTGAAAAGAATGATCTCACGTTAGAAAGCAACCTGGTGGAAGGTGACAAAGCTGTAGAGACAGGAGTTAAAGCAGTGAGGATGTGGAGACAGCAATGGTAGGTCTAATGTTGGAAAGAATTTAACCAAGAAAGAATGACATAGGCCAATAGCTGAGAGAGGTTAAAGGCTCAAATGAAGACTTTTTTGTTTTTTTCTAGTCTATTTGAACTTAATGATGTTTACTCTAAGTTTTAAAGAGCTAAACCAAGCATTTTACTGAACCATGTTAGCTGGCATTTTATTTGCCAACAGACTATTAATTATAGTTTTCATTGGCAAGAGGTAGTTGTTAATATAGTTAATGAGTATCCTGTTGTAGTATAAATGGAGCTCATTGGCCTTTGCCTTAGGATGCCAGCATCAAACAAGTCAGTAACTGTTGCTGATGGTTAATTTCTTAGAAATTGCTACTTCTCTTACAGCATCAGAGTGGTTACCCCCTTGATCTTCAGTAAGTAAACAGTAAATAGAATAAGTTACTAAATATACAAACTGGGATTACACATGTGAGTTCTTCTACAACAGGCAGTAAGATTTTGGCAGGAGCAATTAAACCCACTGAAAGGTTGATGTGAACTCCTCCTTAAGTCATTCCATTTCCAATGGCTAACATAGTCACAGAGGAAAGATGACCACAGAGCCAGTGTAGTCAGAAAGCAACTTTATACTGCTGAATAGTGGCTTTCTCTGCTATTTATTTAGTAAGAGGTGTTAAGCTAAATTTGGCCTGAGGATGCCTCCATACTTTGAGTCTGTTATAACAAACTGCAACCTTAGTATAGAAACTGAAAGCCTCATATCGGTGTATAATTTTGTAATAGGTAGCTAAGTCACAATCAATCACAACAGCCAAACTTGAGTCACAGGCTGCCAGCTGATCTGACCATATTTAAATAAGGTAAACAAAGAGCTGTGATGGATCAAGCTTCTCTTGTATGTCACTTTATTTTTTCTGTCTATAAATGCTGTCTGTTCACAATACAGAACGGAGCTCTCTGAATGTCTCCTCATTCAATGTCCCCAATTCCTGAATTTGGCTGCCCAATTTGTGAATCGTTCATTGTTCAAATAAACTGTTAAACTTAATTTATATAAAGTTTTAGCAGGTGAAAGACTTCTCTCAAGTAGAATTTCATGCTTGATATTTTACAACTCAGAAATATGCCTATTGCCATCTCAAGAGCACTTATTTTTGAGGCAATGTCAACAAAAGACAAGGACTGTGTGGTTGTTCAGGTTGAGGGTTGTTTTATTTCCATTTAGTTTCTGGGGATAATTTGAGTATTTCTTTAATTGTTGCTTCTTTTAAGAAAAAAACTCTAGTTGTTCCAACAATCTTGGATTTTTAGTATTTAGGCATACCAGGAGGTCCTCAAATTGTTTTCAGTACCCATAAGCCTAATGGAAATCAGGCATTTCCTGTCAATCATGCTGTATATCTCAGTAAAATAGCACATTGATTTTTTTTTAATTTTTGGCTAAAATTTTTTATCAATTTCTTGCTAATCAGGAGCTCTGGTGGTTAAACTTGCTGTTAATTTGTTAAGAATGTTAATTTAACAAACATAATTACAAAGAAATATTTAAAAAATGGGATTTATAAGGAAGTTGTCTTAGTCTATCTTGTGCTGCTGTAACAAATTACCACAGACTGTAATTTAAAAGAAACAAATTTAATTCTCATAGTTCAGGATTCTGGGAAGCCCAATATCAAGGTGCAGGCATCTGGTGAGGGCCTTCTTGCTGCATGATAACATGGCAGCAGGGCAAATAAAGGAAGAAAAGGGGGTAGGAATGGGAGAGGAAATTTGCCTTTCCACTTTTTGTTTTATCCAGATCTTTAGCCAATTGGCTGGCGCCTGCCCACATTGAGGGCAGATTTTTCCCACTCAGTCCACTGAATCACACACCAATCTCTCCTAGAAATACCCACAGAAACACACCCAGAATTACTATTTGACCAGTTCTGTAAGTATATTTTAATTCAGTCAAGTTGACCCTAAAATTAAGCATCATAAAAGTTAATACAAATATACTTAATAATGAAAAAGTTGAGAGCTATTGCCAGAAATTTTCCTGCCTGTACTGGAAATCTGTGATTTTCTTAACTCAAACACTTCTTTGAAAATCTAATGCCATTACTTAAAAATAGACTAATATGTAGAATTATCTAAATTGCCTGATTATCTGTATTTTGTAGACAGGTTGTGTGATTTGAGGAGCCAGTTTCTTCTGAGACATTTTGGGAAGCTGCCCCTCCCAGTTTTACCTGTAACCTTGCTATGTAAACTCATGCTGATGCTGCTAGGGGTGGATTGGTTTCCTTAGGGAAGCCTTAGACAGTGTGAATAATTGGGGTTTTATTTACTGCTGAGGAATAAACACATGCTGGCATTTTTATTACTATTCTGGGACTTGTATGCATCATTTTCCATGATTGCTGTTGCCCAGCCGAGTTGCTACTTGGGTAATCTGGCAGAAAGAGAAAATGTTATCTCATTGCAAATTCTCTTTTTAATTATCAGGGTTTTGGAATTCCAATCCAAGAGATTAAAGCTGTGTAAATAAAAAACACACACACACACACACACACACAAATAAAACCTCCAAAATTCAGTTTCTAATTTTTTGAGTCCTCAAAATCCATGTCAATTCAAGTTCCTTTTTTTATAGCATGGCAATGATAATCTTTTATAATATGAGAAAATCTATAGGCTTTAATTTTTTTGTTCTAAGATTAGGATAAAAAATGTTAATGTCTTTGCATTCTCGTTATTGAAATCAGAAATTTGGGGACATAAATGCTCAGTAGCACTTTTACCCATGGGTGTTCAAGTTTTTCATATCTTGCTAATTATTAGGTAAAATGCATACATTTGTTGAGAATACCATGTACTACATCTCCTTAAAAATATAACACTTCACTAACCCCTTTGAGTTTTCACACAGTTTTTGCCATATGGGGTAGAAGAAAATTGAAATGGAAATGATCTAATTATGAAAGCTAAATTTTTACTTATAATAGTTCTAAGTCTAAAGTCAGACATACTTTATACAATTGAAAATACAGAAGTATCACAAGTAAACAATAAGTTATTCAATAGTAATAATTTTCTCACTTTTGTTCTATAGACAGTTCTTCTTTCCCTTTATTAAAAGCTCCACAGAAACTTCCTAGGATCTTGCTGACTTCTAATGCTTACTTAAAAATTCCTCTGGTATGTATCAGAGGTAATCAAGTAACCAAGTATTTTTGGATAAATGGAAATATTAAAAATTAGAAAGAAAATCTATCATGCAGATATCACATTTAGAATTTAAAAAGTTGTATTCCATTCCTGGATTTTATGTATCAATTTTGTGAGCCTGGTCATTTCAAAATTTCTTAGCGCTTCAGCTTCCTCATATTCAAAGTGAACGGGTTGGACTAAATAGTACTTAGGCTTCTCTTCAGAGTTATCTCTGTTCGACTTGTTTTCTGCAGTGAATAGTTGTGAACTAGCAGAAGGTTAGGCTGTTTTAAGTTGGGTCATAATTTTCCTGTTTTATTTGAAAGAGATGGTTAAGAATATGCCACTCAGGCTAAGAATATGCCACTCAGACCAGACCATCTAGATTTGAATCCTGGCTCTGCTGCTTACTACCTATTTAATTTTGGGGCAAATTAACTTAATCTCACAATTCTTTTTCTTTATCTGCAAAACCATGATAATGTACCTACCTCATAGGATTGTTAGGATATTACATTAATCAATATATGCAAAAGCTTAGAACAGTGCCTGGTATATAGTTGTGTTCCTTAAGTATTATTTGTTATTAAATATATAAAAATAAGATTTCAATTCAGGACTCAGGAACCACACTGTGTGTTTCAGAGAGAAAGGGGTTTAATATAGATGATTTAGGTGCTCATGAAATGGGAAAGGGTCGGAGGAGTTAGGGTTGAGACTGGGACACTGGTTCAGGGTACACCGTCATAGCTGCAACCCAGCAACCAAATTTTATATCACATTGGTGGATTTAATTTCATCCAGAACTCTCACTACAGAAGTGTCTGGGGAATGTGGCATTTACTTTTCAGGAAGAAATGAATGCTGAGTGCCAATTACCTATATCTAGTTCTAGCTGCCTAACAACCTCAACTTCTTCCCAGAGGGCCCCAATTCAGTGTTTCTGAGAAGTCTCTCTGATATGTTATTTTTTTAATCCTGACAACAACCCTATGAGCTACATATCCGCAAATTAGAGAAGAAAACAGGCTTAGAGTGAGCAGTCAAGTGACTTGGCCAAGTTGAAATTGTTGAACCAATTCTGAGTGTAGGTGGTCTGATTCCCAGAGGCTTGTCTATGCTGTATGTTTCATGCTTCGGACTTGCGCCCTTTGTGCTCTCCAATGACTTAAAGGAATGTGCCCCTTTCAGTCCAGCTTTACTCATTGCAATAGATGAAATTAAAGCTAGAGATATTTTTAAGAAACATATTGATGAGGATTTAATCTGACAAATTGTCTACAAACCATATTGTTGAATAACAAGGTGGTCCTATGGGTGGGAGTAGAGGGGAGACAGCATGAAAGAATGACATCAGTAGGACTCATATCTAGTGCCAATGGTCAATTAAATTCTTGTGATCTTGTCCAAAATGGGCAGAGGCTGATTATTGAAGATACGGTGGCTAACAAACAGAAAAATTATCACTCAATATTAGGTATTAAAGTATTTTATAAAAAATATGCAACAGATGCTTCTTGAATTTTCCAATGTTTTAACTTTTCTGTTTTCTAGGATTCCAGAAAATGCTATAATTTGGTAATATTTGACTCATAAAATGAACATGAGCTCTTAGAAACATTTTCAGATGTTTATTACTTTGTTTATTTGTTGAGAACATACTATGTGGCGAGTACTGTTCTATGAGCTGCTAATAAAATGGTAAAAAATGCAAGGTCCTACTAATAATAGTTTCATGGGGAGAACAAGCAGTAAATAAAAAATAAAATGAACAAAAAGCATACTTTAAGGGTTTGAAAAATACCAAGAGGAAAATAAGATGGGTTAGAAAGTAAGGGTTTATTTATTTAGAGTCTTGCTGTATCACTCAGGCTGGAGTGCACTGGGCTCACTGCAGCCTCCTTTTCTTGGGTTTAAATGATCCTCATGCTTCAGCCACCCAAATATCTGTGATTACAGGCATGCACCACCATGTCTAGCTAATTTTTGTATTTTCAGTAGAGACAGGTCTTTGCCATATTGGCCAGGCTGGTCTTGAACTCTTGACCTCAAAGAGATCTGCCTGCCTTGGCCTCCCAAAGTGCTGGCATAATAGGTGTGAGCCACTGTGCTCAGCCAGTAAGGGGTTATTTTAGCTAGGCTGATAAAGGAGGCTTCTCCGGCAAGTGACATTTGAGCTGAGATCAGCATGAAAGAGAGTCAGTCAGTCAGTTATGTGGACACCTGGAAAGGAATGATACAATCAGAAGAAATGACAAATGCAGAGGCGAAAAGTGGGGATGACCTTTATGTGTTCGAAGGCAAAAAAGTCCACTGTGAACAGAGAGTAGTGGACAAAGTGAGAAGTGGTGGACGTTGATGTTAGTTAGATTCAGATCTAGTTTTGATTTTATTTTTTTGCATGGGAAGTGATTAGCTTGTTATTAGTAGAGGTATAACCCAATTTTTGTGTTATAAGGATCATTTGGCTACTGCATGGAGAATGAACCCTCAGAAGAGAGTGGAAACAGAAAACCCACCAGGATGCTGTTAGCTTGAATGAGAGTTGATGATGTCTTGAATTAAAATTATAGCAGTGAAAATGGTGAGAAGTGGTCAGATTCTAGGTGTATTTATTGGTGGAACTGACGCAATGTCCTGGTAGATGGATTTGGGCTGTGAGAAACATAGAAGAATCAAGGATGATACAAAGGTTTTAGTCTGATCAGCAGGGTGGATGATGATATCATTTCTGAGATTGAGAAGACCAGGGAAAAAGTGACTTTAGAAAGTCAAGAATTCTTTTTTTGATACATTAAATTTGAGGTAGATATTAGATTTTCAAACAGAGATGTAGAGTGGTTGGATATACAAGTCTAGGGTTTAGTGGGGAGATTGGGATTAAATATTTGAATCTGGGGATCATCAAAAATATGGATGCTATTGGAAGCTGTAAATGGGATGAGATTGTCTAGGGAGACTAGAAAGAGAAGAGGGCCAAAAAGAGAATCATGGATAATTGAATAAATCTGAGAGTGAGAGAGGTCAACAAAGTAGACTGAAAGATAGAAAGCAATGTGCTAGGGGAAAAATCTGGAAAATTAAAGTGACACAGATGGTTAGAGAATACAGAGATGACAGAATTAGCCAAATGTGTCAAATGCTGCAGGATATCTAATAGGAGGAAAGATAATTGACCATTGGGTTGGCAAAAGGAGGGCCATTAGTTAACTTAAAAAAAATGGTTTTCAAACAGTGGTGAGGGAGTTTTATTGAAAGTAGAAAATGATGACGAAGTTACCAAAAGCAATTGTATCAAAAACAAAAATTAGCAAATGGGACCTAATTAAAGGGCTCCTGCATAGCAAAAGAAACTATCAACACTGTGTGGTGGTCCACACCTGTAATCCCAGCACTTTGGGAGGTCGAGGTGGGTGGATCGCTTGAGGTCAGCAGTTCAAGAGCAGCCTGGCCAACATGGTGAAACTCCATCTCTACTAAAAAATACAAAAATTAGCCGGGCATGGTGCAGGTGTCTATAATCTCAGCTACTCAGGAGGCTGAGGCAGGAGAATTGCTTGAACCTGGGAGGTGGAGGTTGCAGAGAGCCGAGATTGTGCCACTGCACTCCACCCTGGGTGACAGAGCAAGACCCTATCTTAAAAAAAAAAAAAAAAAAAAAAAAAAAAGCAATAAACAGATTAAACAACCTACAGAATGGGAGAAAATACTTCCAAACTAAGCAGCTGAAAAAGGTCTAATATCCAGAATGTATAACAGACTTAAATTTACAAGGAAAAAACAACCCCCTTAAACAGTAAGCAAAGGACATAAACAGATACTTTTCAAAAGAAGACATACAGGTGGCCAAGAAGCATATGAAAAAATGTTCAACATCACTAATTATTAGAGAAATGTAAATTAAAACCACAATGAGATATCATCTCACACCAGTCAGAATGGCTATTTATACTAAAAAAGTCAAAAAATAACAGATGCTGGTGAGGTTCCAGAGAAAGGGGGATGCTTATATACTGCTGATGGGAATGTAAATTAGTTCAGCCATTGTGGAAAGCACTGTATCCAGTCCTCAAATAATTTAAAACATAATTACCATTTGACCCACCAATCCCATTACTCAGTATATACCCAAAGGAATATAAATCATTCTACCATAAAGATACATACACACATATACGTTCATTACAGCACTATTCACAATAGCAAAGGCATAGAATAAACCTAAATGCCTATGAATGATAGACTGGATAAAGAAAATGTGGTACATACACTCCATGGAACACTATGCAGCCATAAAAATAAATGAGATCATGTTCTTTGTAGCAACATGGGTGGAACTGGAGGCCATTATCCTAAGTAAACTCGGGAGCAGAAAACCAAATACCACATGTTCTCATAAGTGGAAGCTAAACAAAGGGAACACATGAACACAAAGAGGAGAACAAATGAGACCAGGGCCTACTATAGAGTGGAGGGTGAGAGAAGGGAGAGGATCAAAAAACTATCAGGTACTATGCTTACTACCTGGGCGATGAAATAATCTGTACACCAAAAGCCCAAGACATGTAGTTACCTATATAACCTGCATATGTCCCTCTGAACCTGAAATAAAAGTTAAGGAAAGTGAAAAATTGTTAGTTCCTTCTGTGACGTGCCCCCAACATGCCTAGAAAAATACAAGTAGGGGTTCCTTAATGGGGTTATACAATTGGTGCTTTTTTTTTTCCCCCTGTCTCCAAGGCTCTGTGGTATGCTTTGAAGCTAGTTTTAAGTAGCCTTCCCTCATATTAAATTGGAGGTTCAGGATTAGGATTTCTCCCACCAAATTGTATTCTTATTCAGAATAATAGTAAAATAGCCTCATACTACTACCTTATGGTATGTTTCAGCTGATTCAGTTGATAGAAAACCATGTAATTTTTCAGCTTAATTTAACATTGTATCTAGGGCAAGCTCCAGGAGAAATTAGGTAGTGAATGCCCTGTTTTGTAGCTGGTTTATGGAAAATTTGAATAATTTACAAAAACGTACTTTTCTGAGATATCAAGCAGTTCGTTGAATTATGTTGGCATTCCTAAGCACTAACGCACATAATGAGAGAATATACTCCATTATACATGACATCTGGACTGGGAACAAAAACAGAATGTCAGCAGATATAGTAAAGGTTATAATAATGGTTACAGCCAATCTGGCTGACAATACTGTGTGTTCTTTTGACTGCTCGTGGGTGAACAAGACAATCTTTTAAAAGCAAATAAACACATTAACACAAGATAGGCAATGTTTTGAGACAGTGCCAAGTTGCAAATATCGTGTATGGACTCCTCTCAGGGGTTTTGAATTTGGGGAAGTACGTTTTGGGACATGTCATTAAATTTGCTGAAATGTGGCGCTTTCTTTCCTCTTCCCTATAGAGAGAAGCTGGAAGTGTTTAAGGGTTAGTAGCTCATGCCAAGATGTGGATGTTGATGTCCTAGTTGTTTCCTGACTCCCCCTCTGCGAGCATATGTTCGGCTTGGCTCCTCCGCATTGTCTGGAGGAGGCTTTCAGAGTGGTTCTGGGCAGAGCTAGACACTTGCTGAAGAGCATCTGATCCCACTTCATTTCCCTATAGCCTGGCTTACTGTGCCAATCACCAGTGGGAAGTTGGCAACTTGAATTCTGGGCTTTCTCCATGAAGTGAGGCACCACAGCATTTGCATGTATGACATTGTGTTTGTGGGTTATTAAAGAAGACATTTTGACTTGTTTTTGCTAATATTTGGGCAATGGAAAGATGCTCTACATATTCCATAGTCAAAAGGATCATCAGGACGACTGTGACATAGAATACACATGAAAATACATGAAGTAAAGCCCATGAAAACAATCAACTCTAAGGTGCACTCTAAAGAACTAGTTGTTGTGATAAATATTAGTGTTTCTCAATGGGTAAAAGTATTTACTATAGAGCAGTGTTTGAAAACTCAAGTGTTTCAAGTCCAGGGAGGCAGCTTGAACATTTGGGTCAGGATGTAACTGTTAGGAGTGGCGGGTCTTAGAGAAAACTGGTGATTGCACACCCAGCCATATTCAATTAGAGAACAACACAATAAAAGCCATAAAAAAGACCTTTGCAGGATAAGAGCCTGCTAATTGCCAGCTAGTGACATAATAGCAGAGAGTAAATAGAATTTTCCAGATGAAACAAAGCTTTGAGATTATTAATCTTTCATTTCACCAATAAATGAGGTGACATCTCTCGATTAAAGTCCCATAGGTACTTAGGGATAGGACTAGAATACAAATGCCTGGTGTTTTCTGTGTCAAGCTGTGTAAGGCAAAGACTGAGACCTAAACAGTACAATTATTTAACTCTGATAAAATAGTATGGTGCTACTGTATATATTTTTCTTTTTCTCAGAGGATAATGATCAATCTTTGCAAAACCCACTTCTAAGCCCTGATCATAAAACTCTGTTTTTAAAGACAACATTGTCTTCCGATTCTTCTGTATCTTATTTTTTAATTTTAATTTTTTAAATGTTTGTGGGTACATAGTAGGTGTATATATTTGTGAGGTACATGAGATATTTTGATACAGGTATATACTGTATAATAGGGTAAATGGGACATCCATCACCCCAAGCATTTATCCTTTCTTTGTGTTACAAAGTATCCAATTATACTCTTTTAGTTATTTAAAAATGTAAGTTATTGTTGACTGTACTCACCCTGCTGTGCTATCAAATACCAAGTCTCACTCATTCTATCCATTAATAACTATATTTTTGTACCTATTAGCCATCCCCATTCTTCCTCTATCACTACTATCCTTCCTAGCCTCTAGTAACCATCATTCTATTCTCTATGTTCATGAGTTGAATTATTTCAATTTTTAGCTTCCACAGATGAGTGAGAACATGGGAAATTTGTCTTTCTGTTCCTGGCTTATTTAACTTAACATAATGTCCTCCAGTTCCATCCATGCAGTTGCAAATTATAGGATCTCATTCTTTTCTTATGGCTGAATAGTACTCTAATGTATATATGTACCACATTTTCTTTCTTTCTCTTTTTCTTTCTTTTTTCCAGATAGAGTCTCTCTCTATCACCCTGGCTAAAGTGCAATGGCAGCAATCACGGTGCACTGTAGCCTCGACCTCCCAGGCTCAAGCTATCCTCCCATCTCAGCCCCTTGAGTAGCTGGGATTACAGGCGTGCACCACCATGCCTAGCTATTTTTTTTTTACTTTGTAGAGATGAGGTCTCACTATGTTGCCAAGCTTCGTCTCCAACTTCTTGGCTCAAGCAATCCTCCCACCTTGACCCCCTTAAAGTGCTGGGATTACAGGTGTGAACCACCACACCCAGCCACATTTTCTTTATCCATTCATCTGTTGATGGACACTTAGCTTGCTTCTAAATCTTAGCTGTTGTGAATAGTTGAATAGTGCTGCAGTAAACATGGGAGTGGAGACACAAAACTGTTGGAACCAAATTCATGTTGTTTTTTTAGACAGGGTTTCACTCCTGTTGCCCAGTCTGGAGCGCAGTGGCGTGCTCTTGGCTCACTATAACCTCTACCTCAGCCTCCGAAGTAACTGGGACTACAGGCTTGTGCCACCATGCCTGGCTAATTTCTGTATTTTTAGTAGCGACAGGGTTCCACCATGTTGGCCAGGCTAGTCTGGAACTCCTGATCTCAAGTGAACCACCTGCCTCGGCCTCCCACAGTGCTGAGATTACAGGCATGAGCCACTGCATCCGGCCCAAATTCTTGTGTTAAATAATGTCACAGGAGAATATATTCCTGTTTCTTACATTATAAGTGGAATTTGCCTGGAATTGGAAAAATTTGAACATGTAGGAGAGACAGGGCTATTTATAAATGAAAATTCAATGACAAACAGTAAAGAAATACATCAAATGAATCATTTGTGGTTGTACAACATAGACCTTCCACATTGCAGGAAAAATGTGACCAATTTTTAGGTAATATAATTTAAACAGAAATGTTACTTTTAAAAAATGAGAACTTTTATACTTCGGCTTCAAGTGTCAATTGTAAAACCATTTTGGAAATAGTTTTGCGTTTTACTTAAAAAGTGAAATGAGTGAACACTCTAAGGCACAGCTCTATAGCTTGGTGAAACTCACATGTATGTCAGCAGACACATCAATGTTCAAAGCAACATCCTTAAAAGCAAAAAACAGGAACAAGCCAAATGCACATCTACATTTGCAGTGGATAAATTGTATTGCATGCATATAATGGAATAACATATAATGTGAAAATGGACTACAGCTACATATATTAGTAAGAAACAAAAGGTGCCTTAAAAATATATACACAGAATTTCCTTTAAAATTTAAAAAGCAGCTGAAACTGAGCAACATGTGGATAGGAAATTCATGTGAGTTTAAACCATAAAGAACAATAAGGGAATAATTAAGGTAAAAGTAAGGATAGTGGCTAACTCTGAAGAGAGGGACAAAGGAGGTATAAGCAATCAGGTAGGGAAACCGGGGGCCTTAGGGATATTGATAATATTCTGTTTCTTTAAATGGTGGCATTCACTGATCTTATTCTTAAAATATATATTCATCTTTTATATAAATTTTATGTCAAAAGTATAATAACTGAGCAGAATAATTGGTAAGAAGTATTGAGTAATTATTGTCTTGAGTTTTTTCCCTTCATTCTTGACTGATAGTTTGGCAATTGATTATAGATAATGAATTATACACAGTCATGCACCACATAATGTTTTGGACAACGACAGACTGCAGATACAACAGGGGGTAAGATTATAAGGGAGCTGAGAAACTCCTGTGGCATAGTGGCATGTGGCAGCTGTCTTAACATAGCACAGTGTGTTATCTTTTCTATCTTTAGATATATTTAGACACACAAATACTTATCGTGTTACAATTGCCTACAGTATTCAATACAGTAACGTGCTGTATATGTTTGTAGCCTAGGAGCAATAGGCTAAACCATATAGCCTAGGTGTGTAGTAGGCTATACCATCTAGGTTTGTGGAAGTACACTCTATGTTGTTTGCACAATGACAAAATCACCTCAGCAACACGTGATTGACTGTATTTAATTGTATTAAAAATGTTTGTTGTAGAAAAAAATGGAAAAAATGAAGTTTGTCGTCTTAACTTTTTCTAAGTTCAATTGTTATCATTTTTACCTCCCAGTCGTTTTTAGCAGTTTTAAGTATATTCAAATTGTTGTGTGACTGATCTCCAGAATGTTTTCATCTTGCAGAAGTGAAACTTTTGATTCATTAAACAACTCCCCCTTTCCCCCTCCCCCAAGGCTCTGACAACCACCGTTCTACTTTCTGTTTCTGTGAATAGGTTCCATGAATCTGACTACTCTAGATACCTCATGTAAGAGGAATAATACAGTACAGTAGACTCCCCTTACTTGTGGTTCCACTTTTTGCAGTTTGTTACCTGCTGTCAACTGTGGTTTGAAAATATTAAATAAAAATTTCCAGAAATAAACAATTTGTAAGTTTTAAATTGGGTGACATTCTTTGTAGTGTGATGAAATCTTGTCCCATTCAGCCCAGGATGTGAATCATTCCTTTGTCCAGCATAGCCCTTCCGCATATGCTACCTGACTGGTAGGCACCTAGTAGCCATCTCAGTGATCAGATCACCTGTCCAGGTATTGCAGCGTTTGTTTTCAAGTAACCCTTATTTTACTTAATAATGGCCCCAAAGTACAAGAGCAGTGATGCTGGCATATTGTTATAATTGTACTATTTTATTATTAGTTATTAATCTCTTACTGTGCCTAATTTATAAATTAAACTTTATTGTAGGTATGTATGTACAGGAAGAAACATCATATATATAGGCATCATTAATACCCTTGGTTTCAGGCATCCACAGGGATCTTGGAATGTATCCCCTGACGATAAGGGAAGACTCTTACACTTGTCTTTTGTGACTGGATTATTTCACTTAGCATAGTGTGTCCAAGATTTATCTGTATTGTAGGATGTGGTCAGAATTTCTTTCCTTCTTAAGTCTAAATAATATTCCATTGTATGTGTATTAGTCTGTTTTCACACTGCTGATAAGCACATACCTGAGATCGGCTAATTTACAAGAGAATGAGTTTTAATGGACTTACAGTTCCTCGTGGCTCGGGGGGCCTCACAATCATGGTGGAAGGCAAGGAGGAGCAAGTTACATTTTACGTGGATGGCAGCAGGCAGAGAGAGAGCGAGCTTGTGTGGGGAAACTCCCCCTTATAAAACCATCAGATCTCATAAGACTTATTCATTATCATGAGAACAGCATAGGAAAGATCTGTTCCCATGATTCAGTTACCTCCCACTGGGTCCCTCCCACAACACGTGGGGAATTCAAGAAGAGATTTCAGTGGGGACACAGTCAAACCATATCAGTATGTATATACCACATTATGTTTATCCATTATCTGCTGGTCAACACCTACGTTATTTCCACCACTTGGCTATTGTGAATAGTGCTGCTACAAACATAGGTGGGCAAGTAAGTCTTTGAGATCTTGCTTTCTTTTGAATAGAGACCCAGATGTAGAATTCCTGGATCATACGGCAATTCTATTTTATTTTATTTTTTTTGAGGGTTATCTTTTATAGTGGCGGTACAATTTTACATTCCCACCAACACTATTTTTCCCATCCTTGGTAATTTTTTCCTGTCCTTACCAACATTTAACTTCCATTTTTTTTTTTTTTTCTGATAGTAGAATTCCTAATGGGCGTGAGGTGATATCCATTGGGGTTTTGATTTGCGTTTTCCTAATGATTAGTAATGTTGGGTCCCTTTGCATATACGTGGTCATTTATATATCATCTTTGGAGAAATGTTTATTCAAAGGATTTGTCTGTTTTAAAAGCTTGGGCTGTTTTCTTGTTAAAGGCATTTTTTTTTATATTCTGGATATTAACCTCTTATCAGATACATGATTTGCAAATATTTTCTCCCATTCTGTAGGCTGCATTTTCACTCTGTGGATTGTGCCCTTTGCACAGAAGCTTTTACTTTTGTTGCCTATGCTTTTGTTGTTATATCCAAGAAATCCTTGCCAAATCCAATGTCATGAAGATTTTCCCCTATTTTTCCTTGTATGCTTTACAGTTCAGATCTTTTAGGTCTTTGATCTACTTTGAGTTAAATTTTGAATGTGATGTAAGGTAAGGGTCCAACTACATTCTTTTGCCTGTGGATATTCAGTTTTCTCAACACCATTTGTTGAAGAAACTGTCCTTTCTCCATTGAATGGTCCTGGCATCCTTGTTGAAAATCTTTCGGAGATTAAGAATTATGTATATATGTTTAGCACCTTGAAGACTTCGTTCAGCTGTTTCCAGCTTTCAGTTTTTGAAGAGTCAGCTTTCAGTTTCATTGTTCTACTTTTCTAGTTGCTTTAAAGATCTTTTAAAATTGTTTTTGGTTTACTATGAGTCTAGGTGTGGATTTCTTTCTATTAACCTGGCTTAAGATGTTCTGGGATACCTAAGTCTTTGGATGGGTGTCTTTTGTCAGCTCCCCATCAATATTTCGTCTGTTAGAGCTTCTGTTCCATTCTTTGTAGGATCTTTTGAAAATCTTAGTAGTTTTTTTGTTGTGCGTGAGACAGGGTTTCGCTCTGTCACCCAAGCTAGAGTGCAGTGGCATGGTCACAGCTCACTGCAGCCTTGACTTCCCAGGCTCAAGCAATTCTCCTGCCTCAGCTTCTCAAGTAGCTGGGACTACAGGAGGCACCACCACATCGTTAGTAGATCTTTATTATACCTTCTCACTCCGAACTTCATGTTTCACAACATCTCAGATGTCATATTTTCCATCTGTCTCTTTGTGTTTCATTCTGCATTCAATCTTTAGCTCTCTATCTTTGAACTTACTTTCTTTTCTGCCATATCAAATAACTTATTTAACTCTTCCTTTGAATTTCTCACTTTAATATTATACTCTTCCTTTCTACTTAACTGTTTTGCATATCTGCTGGTTCATAGTTTTGGTACTTGCTTATTCTGCCATTATATTCTTTTACTAACTGCTGTAGACTGAGTGTCTGTCCCCCCAAATTCATGTGTTGAAACCCTAATCAAGAATGTGATGGTATTTGAAGGTGGGGCCTGTGGGAGGTGATTAGGATTAGATGAGGTCATGAGGGTAGAGCTCTCACAGGGCTCTTAGGAAAAGAGGAGGAGACAGAAGATCTCTCTGCATGCATACACCAAGGAAGGCCATGAGATTTTGTAACCAGGAAGACAGCTTTCACCAAAACCTTGACCATGTTGGTACCCTATTCTTGAACTCTAGAACTGTGAAAAATATTTGTTTAAGCCTCTAAGTCTATGGTAATTTATTATAGTAGCCTGAAATAAGATATGATATCTGTTCTTTTTTAACATTAATTATTCATATTTTACATTGATAATTTAAACACCTGCAGTTTTTGTGGAACTGATTTGTTTAAGTCTCAGTCACACAGGCTTGTTTCCAGTTGTGATTTGTGTTTCAATTGTGAGCTTATGCTTGTTGAGACTTTTATCTGTGGGAATTCTTTGGGGTCTGAGGTTGAGGTCATTTCTACAGAGAGCATTTGTTTGCCTCTGTCTAGCATCTGAGAGCACTACAATTTGGACTACCTTAAATTATTTTCTACTCGAGGTTTTTCAGGCTGTAAAAATAATGTAAAGTCTGATCTCGCATCTGTTATGAAGTTTGCTTTATTGTTAGCAATTCTCAGGCAAGACATTTTTTTCTCTCCACCCATGGCCTAGGCCTAGTCAGGCAGTTTTCCTCACTGTCTTCCTTCATAGGTGCTTTTATTTATGTAGTTCACTCTTTGTCTGACTTGTCATCTCTTTTGAGTGCCAACTTTTTGGAGGATTGTAATTTGACATCTCATCTTCTGGGATCCTTAAGCTTTGTTTTCTCAATCTCATGTTTATCAGTAAAAACCAAGTGATCTGCAAATGCTTTTTGGAAATCCACTGGTGATTTCAATACTTGGTCTCTCTCTGGATTCGCTCTTTTCTTGTCACTTTTTGCCTTTCAGAGTTTCCCCACTTTCTTGCTAGGTTAGATGAATTTTAAAAGATATTTTTAAATCCTGCATCTTAAAAGATATGATTAGGTTAGAGAATATCTTGCTATAATGCTGGGCATAGAATTCCTATGTGACTTTTATATTCGATATTTCTGTGTATTAAAACTATAATCACTTATAATTT
The DNA here is from genome assembly GCF_000001405.40 of Homo sapiens. Taxonomy (NCBI): domain Eukaryota; kingdom Metazoa; phylum Chordata; class Mammalia; order Primates; family Hominidae; genus Homo; species Homo sapiens. Next base: position 193,541,792 of record NC_000001.11, read on the forward strand.
AATGTGCTATCGTATTTATTGAAATTGAATAAACTGTATCCTCTGTTCACTTTTTGGATTACTGGGTAATTCCAAAATTCAGTTTTATGAAATGTTTTTATGCTCATATTAGCTGCTTAATAGATGGATGAACTCTGAAATCTCAGTGTCTTAATGTAGGTGAAATTTATTTCTTACAAAAATTCTCTTGGTGGTGGTGGAGAGAGGGTGGCAATTTTCTTTCATGGAGTATTCACAGACATGGGCTGATAAAATCACTTCTTCCATACATGACTTCCAGATGGCAGATGGGGAAGAATTATACTAGAAGTTTTTTTGAACCAGGTGTAGAAGTGCTGTACCTAGCTCCTGCCTAGAACACATTGCCTCCTATTCACTTACAGGACCAATATTGGAGAGTTGGGAAATGTAGTCCTTGGTGTGGAAGTCACTTCACAGCGATGGCTCTGGACCTTGGAAGGGGAGCCTGAATCTTTGGTAGACAGCTAGTCTGTCCCTACTACAGTCCTATTCTTTGGCCACCAAGTATCTATCATGTGCCCTTCTTTGTATACACAGAACACATTTACCCCTTTCCCCAAAGAGAAAACCTGAAATCCATCCCAATTACACATCCAGTGTTAAGTTTAGAATCCCTCTGTGATGTGCAGTTTTTTCCTTCAGGTCCATATGTGGCTTCTTGTGGCCTGGCAACTCACGTAGTAAAAGATAAGTTAGGTGTCTCTAGGATGTTTCTTTAGATGTAAGAAGTCTTACATGAACCTCATGAATTAGTCTGCCAATTTTATCACGTATTATCTGGCCCCATCCATATCTAATATTTCTCTGTAACCTCTTCTTTCTTTACAAAACAACAACAAAAAACCAACAAAAACAAAAAAACCCTGTGTTTTACCCCAGTCACTTTTGCTCTCAACTGTTTTGGTGCCAGGAATACTCAGCAGTTTTTTTGAAGTGAGATAAACACTGATGTCTTCTGTGTCATGGGGTCCCTCCACAGGGTTGCTTGCATTCCTGAAGTGTTTGCACTTGGTAGGATAACTCTTCCTGTTTCAAATCTTTCTTATGTACCTGAGTGCACACCAGCTGTGAGTAGAGTTGGGTAAGGACAGGCTCCAGTTCCAGCTGCCACTGTGTGCCTCTGGCCACGTTGCTAACTCTGGTTTGTGATGTCAGAGTCATTCATTTCCCCAGATCCCTTCTCCTTTTTTGGCTCATCTCTTGCAGAACTCTCAATCTTGCTCCAACACATCTTGCCTTTTCATGGCACCTCACTTTCTACTCTATGTAAAGCAGCATATATAAAAACAGAACAAAACACTCAATTTCTTATGGGAAGAGATGTTACCTAGTTTTATGTGCTGATATCTGTGTCTCAGCTCTTACCCAGGCAGGAGAAACTAGAGCTTTTTTCAGTGCTTTACTATATTTTATGATAGTCATATAAAATATTTTTTCAGAATAATTTTCTTTAAACCAAAATGTCCCAAATGAATGTATAGCACTGAGAACAAAATAAATGAGGAGAATGGTATTAGAAAAAAATACCTTATATCAATTCATAGTTTTCCCTTTACGTAGGTGTATTGTCTTTCTATAATAAAACTAGCATGAGGCATACGGGCATGTGGAGCAGATGAATCAGCCCCTCTGTCCACTTGCCTGGAAGTGTGGCCTTGAAGAAACAGCAGAACTGCTTTGGATAAGATGAAAATTGGGCCCCACGTGGAACTCATTAACTTAGGAAAATAGAAACCAGATTATCTGGGGATTCAAAAACTGTATTGTGTTGCGTTCTTCACCTTGTGTTTAAGATTCTCTTGGATTGGTTTGTAAACTTTGGCTCCACTGGGCTTCTGTAAGGTCAGAGGCATGCTGAGAATTTTGATACCAGGAATGCCACCAGGAGCTTTTGTGTTCCAGGATGATATCTGAAGGAAAATAACTTGTCTCGGTGGTTAATTGCTTTTATTTTGGGATCCACCTTTCTCCTGCCATCTTTTTTCCTTTCTTCTACCCAGAATACTATAAAGACGGCAGATAGGCAAGATGCATAACTTTAAGTTTGCCGAAGGGGGAAAAAAAAAGGCTAATCTTTCCTCAGCCTAAGGGAATTGCTAAGCAATCAGAAGTTTGCTAATGAGCACAAATAGACCATCTATTCTTGAAGATGCAATGAAGAAAAACATCTAAAATAAACTCTGGAGGAGGAGGAGAGAAGAAATAAGAGATTCACACTTCCGCATTCTTTTCAGATCAAAAATGTTGAGAGAAAAGTGAGAGTACTTGAAAAGTTAAGAAGTTAAAGCATGAATGAATTAATTGTTTTAATGAAGGGTGGCTGTTTATTCAATAAAAATATGGCAAAATATAGAAGAGGTCCAAGAAGACAAGAAAGAAAGTATATAAACTTTCCAATAATTTGAAACTTGAAACTGTTTAAAGTGCCATTTTGAAAGTTTTAAAGGGAAAATCTCTTGTTACTATCGAAGAACTTCTAAAATATTATCAAGCCCCAAAAAGAAAAAAAAAGTATCTATTTGGTGATAATCAGTGTGAAACTTGATTTATACTCTTCCAAACTTATTTAACAATTCAATTGATACATTTAAAGTGAAATCTTAAAATGGACTATCAATATTTGGGTGGCAGATATAATATTGTACTGATGGCAGCCATTTATCTAAATCTTGTCTTAAAAATGATAGCTATTTCCCAGCTTTCCAAATCCACAGTTATTTAGGGCAAAGAATTCCTGCTGGCTGGCCAGTTGCCGGGTTGAAGAACTAGGATGATGCTATGTAAAATAAAGGGAAAACTGAAGGAAACAGGGAGGCTGGATCCATTTATATCAGTGATATGAGAAAGGGGCACCAGAATTCTGTAGGACCAGAGTAGGAGAAAGAGGTCTGAAGAAATGGAATAGTCTTAGAATAAGAGAAAAGCAGACAGGAAAGAATCTCAGAAGTGTTGCCATGAGTTTAAAATTAGGTCCTCTTTCAGGTACTTTGAGTTGTATAATAAATGTTGTCATATATTTTCTACATACTCTTGGTTATTCTTTAAATGCAGCAGAATAAACATGGCCATGTGGAAGCCTCTCCTATGTTTATGTATATTTATGTAACAGTTCCCATGATGGACACTAGTAATGAAGATCGTTGATAGCAGTATCATAAGTTTTGTAAAAATTTGTCATGAATTACTTAAATACTGAGTGTCCAGTAATAATTTGAAAATGATTGTTTTTTTCCTCACTGTCCTCCTGGCCATGAACATCGTTAAATGCAAATGCAGTGAAATGAATAGGCTTTTGTAATTGTATGTTGAACAATGAGTAAAGGGTAGGAAAGAATTGTGTTTGTATTTTTTTCTGTGTTTTATGTACATGTCTACAACAAATTATATAGCCCAATTTGGGTGTTTAAGAGGCGTGGAAGGAGTAAAAGTTGAGAACATGACTATTATTCTGTTAAGGTATTTTTCAGTTTTCTTAAGGCCTTTGGATTCTGTATTTCTTAGGCACTAAAAATTATGCTACTTGAGCAAGTCTTTGGGAAGGTCTGGGCTTCAGTCCAGGCACCTGCAGGGCTGGCTCATGCAAAACAGAGAAATACGGGCAATTTATCTCTGGCAGTTTCCTTTTCAGCATCCCTAGTTTCTTGCTGTGCCTCAACCATCAAGGATTATTCTGCCATTTGTAAGTTGTCCTTAGTTCCTATCAGGGGTAAGTGAATTTGTCTTTAGTTCCTATCAGGGGTAAGTGAATATGACCCTGTAGGAATAATTTTTTAAATAGGAGACCCTTAAAAGACTAAAAAGTTTTTACTAAGAAACTTCATTTACTCTTTCATTCATTCATCCATCCATCCATCCATCCATCAATCCATCCGTCCGTCCATCCAATACCTGTATAATGACCAAGTGGTAATGAGTTAATGCTTCTTGAACAGTTAGCACATCCCAGGAACTGTTGTAAGCATTGCATCTGTATTATAAACTAATTTTACTTTCACAACGACTGTATAAGGCAGGAGCTATTGTCATCATTTTCTAGGTGAATTAACAGGAATAAATGTTACATGACTTCCCCAAAGTTCTGCAGATAGTTAGTCAGGTGATCAACAATGAACCAGACAGGCTGAATGGGCCCAGGGAGCAGTATCATTTTTAATTCTTCAGGTGGACTAAATTATGTAGCCAGGACTGAGAAACGCTGCTATCAACTAATTGCATCCTACCAATTTCTTTCTTAGGAAGAATATGAAGTCAAGGAAGACCATCCACAGAAAAGATGCTTGCCAAACTCCCAGGTTCCTGGCAGAATGAATAATGTGAATAAAATGCATGTTTAGTCCAACAGTCCTTCTTAAGTGGTATATAAATAAATAGTATACAATAATAGATTTTGTATGGTGCAATTGTTTTTATTCAGAAATGTAGATACATAGAAATACAGTATCTTAAAAACATAGGAAGTTCCAGGGCTGCCCACTTACTGCTTCCTGTATCAGGCGGCATGAGAGTTACTGAGGATACAAAGATGAGTGAGACACTGCCCTGTAAAGCCATAATTGAGTTCACCTTTATGAATCTGTGTCTTAATTCTGACACATCATTTGAAAGTCATTTTTGGGGTAAAGGGGAAGGAATCAGGAGAAGATTAGAAAAATCTCCAATGACATCTTAATTATAAAGGTAGGGGAAGCTTTGTTTTGGAGGGCACTTTATGTAGAACTAAAGTATTTTACATAATCCTAGCTTTCCTATCTGCTTCTCCAGCTTTTCCAGAAATAATTATTGGTGACCCATGTGCCAGATGCAAAGTTCAGTTTTCAGTTATTTCATATAAATACTTAAAAATACTTAATTTTGAATTTGCAGTAAAACTTCTGCAATCAATATTTCTCAGATTTTCATGAAGCAAATAATTACTAAAATTGCTGCAAACAGATCAATATCCATGAGATCAAGGTTCAAATACACTCAAGTTTATTCCACTATTGAACCTTTCTTCTTCCAGCAAACATTTTTCAGAAACACATGTAGATGTGTTTGAAAGAGTTTCTGTGGATGGTCTTTGACTTCATATTCTTCCTAAGAAAGAAATTGGTAGGATGCACTTGGTTGATAGCAGTGTTTCTCAGTCCTTGCTACATAATTTAGTCACCTGAAGAATTAAAAATGATACTGTTCCCTGGGCCCATTCAGAGAGTTTCTGATTTAATTGACCTGGGTTAGAGCCCTCACATCAGACATTTCTACAAACACTGCAGGGAATATACATATGTTAACACTACTGGATTAGAGGGTAAAATGATTTTATTTTCCTCCCCCCATAGCTTTCTTTACTGCTCTTCCATTCTTAGAACTTGGTATTAATTAATCAAAACCTATTTTTAAAAATGAATCAAGAAACCCCAAATAAAAATGATTAAGTGATCAATAATTTTATACTTTGCTCATTTTTTAATATTCGAGGAATAGCTAAATGGCATCATTTAGAATAAAAATCAAATTATAGCACAGCTGTGTTAATTATGAAAACAGATTAAAGTTTCAGTCCTTCTCATTTGTGTTTCTTATTTGGAGTCAGGCTTTTATATTTCCTTTTCCTCACACCCCTAGTCGCCTTCCCTCTCTTTCCTTCACTTCCCTTCTCACTCCGTTTAACATTTTATTGGGATACAGAAGCTTGACATTACTGTGGTTTCCTCAAGGTCTTTCATAGGTGCCACAAGACACTCTTTGCATTCCTTATCTGCAATAAGGCAAAGCGTAAGGAGTAAGGAAGATTATAAACAAACTTGAATGATATATACCCCCCCTTTCATATTTAATCTGTGCCCGAAGATATTGTAAGCTAAATTACAAAATGTAGTATTGTTTCAGAAAAGGCAGCTGTTCAGGTTTACTCTTAGCAAGTTCAAATTGAACTCCATGGAATATGGAACAGGATAAATTATTTACAATCTATTCAATTGCCAACACTTCCTTTGGACTGCAAAGAATATACATTTGTATTCCTGTTATACTCTATTGTGCTCTTCTATCTTTCACCATCCCCTAGGACAAGGAGAGGGTTGGAAGAAAAAAAAGATGATTGCTAAAGTCCCAGGTTCCTGGCAGAATGAATAATGTGAATAAAATGCATGTTTAGTCCAACAGTCCTTCTTAAGTGGTATATAAATAAATAGTATACAATAATAGATTTTGTGTGGTGTAATTGTTTTTATTCAAAAGTATAGATACATAGAAATACAGTATTTTAAAATCATAGGAAGTTCTTTTATTTATCTCTAGAAACCATATTAGCGCTTACGGAAAAGCAACCAGACTCAGTATGACTATTATGTAGAGGCCAAGAATATGACTTATACCTGTAATAATTTTCTTCATTACTGCCATGAACTATTTTAAAAAAGCAATTTTAATGATTAAATAGTCTGATTATGAACTTTTCCATCTGAGTGACCATGTAGACCTGACTTTATAAAGAAAGTGAAAGTAGGAAACTAGTAAATTGCTCTGCAAAATACCAAGATCCTTGAAAAACTTTCAGCCTTGTTTCTAATGGGGGTCTTCAACTGTAAACTGATATGCGTGAAGGTATTAGTTTGACTTTTCATTTTAAATGTTTAATAATGAAAGTATTGATCTATTTTATAATATCATTTGCTCCTGATGCATTTCACAATCATCAAACTATAACACTGGAATAGCATGCTTTCCATAAGTGGTTATCACATGACATACCTAATATTTACTTTTAAAATAACAATCGGCAATTTCTATGATGATGATCCACTGCATTGGATAGCTAATTTTGAGTGGAATCAATAATACAGCAAACTGGTTACTATTTGGGTGGAAAAGTTTGCTTTTGTAAGTGATATTTTCAACCTGCCTTCAAAATTGCTGCCAAAGCCATTACTCTTCACCTAATGAGAGACTTTCCTGGACTCTTAATGAATACAGCCATTCTCCAGTGCAGTGTTCAATACTGACTGTGGACCGTGCTGTTTCAGACCTGAATTGAAATTCATCAATGCCTGTCTTGTTGGTGAAATCATTAGGAAGCAATGCATTATTAAAGAGTTTTTCAGACACAGAGGGTTTGGAATTGCTATTGATAACAAATGTTGCTAATGTTTTCCTGCAAAATTGCATGGTGAAAGGCCATGGATCTAAAGCTTCAAGCAGTTTTGAGAGCCTGGAGTGGAATATGTGACTACTTGTGGTAGGTATGAGCTTTGAGTGATAGCTGCTTTTTTTTTTGTCCATTAGCTAGAAACATATAGGAGTTCAACCAGCAATGACAGAATCCCCAGGAAAAAATATTGTAATGTTGAATTTCCTTCACACACACAAAAATTTGTAGTGTTAAAGCCTTTTCGCTTAGATGAGCTGTTCTCCAGTGTTTATTGAAGAGTAGTAGGTCCAAAGGTGAACAGATAAATAGAGCCCTTCACTTGCTGAGTTTGAAGTCTGTTGATTTTATGAGTACCAATAAGGAAAGGCAGCATAGCCATAAAAAAGCACAAAGAACTTCAAATGTTATGTTCTGTTGTCCAAGACCTGCAATTACTCTACTCCTTATATTGTCTCTGGATTTTGCACATTTGACCTGATCTTTTCAAAGATTCTGATTTGGCAATATAATCACCATTTTCATTATCATAGATTTTAGAAATTTATTTTTATATTGAATTTTACTGTGAGAGTGAAGGATTTTATTCAATTACTTAGCTACATTCTGCACTGATATTTATAGTTAAAATGGCTTTTACCATTCCTAACCACACCTAGCCTGAAAATGATTGTCAGTTAGCTGACTTGGGAGCAGTGAGCACAAACTAGATTTTTCTTTATTTATAAGTTGCTTTTTTTAATTTAAAAATTTTAGGTTCAGGGACACAAGTACTGTTTTGTTACATAGGTAAACTTGTGTCATAGGGGTTTGCTGTACGGATTATTTCATCACCCAGGTATTAAACCCAGTACCCATTAGTTATTTTTCATGATCCTCTCCCTCCTCCATCCTCCACCTTCCACCCTTTGAGAGGCCCCAGAGTGTGTTGTTCCCCTCTGTGTGTCCATATGTTCTCATCATTTAGCTCCCACTTATAAGTGAGAACAGGTAGCATTTGGTTTTCTGTTCCTGTGTTAGTTTGCTGAGGATAATGGTGTCCAGCTCCATCCATGTCCCTATAGAGGACATGATCTCTTTCTTTTTTATGGCTGCATAGTATTCCATGGTGTATATGTATCACATTTTCTTTATCCAGTCAATCACTGATGGACATTTAGGTTGTTTCATGTCTTTGCTATTGTGAATGCTTCAGTGAATATACATGTGCATGTGTCTTTTATAACAGAGTGATTTATATTCTTTTAGGTATATATTCAGAGAAAGGACCTTTCAACAAAAAAGTTTATTAATTACTAAAGTTCCTTTGAGTTAATTTGAAATTCATTTGTTGGAACTCATTAGGATTTTAGCAAGCTCAATGTTTGCTTGGAGGAATCTAATGGAAGGATATATTGAGATTCTGCATCATGTCTAGACATAAATTAGAAAGCTACAGGTATGGTAAAATGAGAAGTTGGTAGCATAGTGGCAATTTGTTGAATATATGAGCCTTTCTATGATTCAGATGATTTAGATGTTTTCGGTCTCATACTACTTTAAAAGTAGAATTAGAATAGAAACTGACATTGTTTTTAACATTCATACATGCCAGGTTCTTTTTAAATACTTTATATGTATTAACTAATTTAGTCCTTTGAAGAATCTTATGAGGTGGGTACAATTACTGCATTCTTTTAAAGAAGGGGATTGGGACATAATGAGAATAAGGAACTTGTCAGGACTTGAAGTCAAGCAATTGGGCTCCAGAGCCCTCACTCTTTTTTCTTTCTTTCTTTTTTTTTTTTTTAAGACATGGTCACACTCTGTCACCCAGGCTACAGTGCAGTGGTGCAGTCTCAGCTCACTGTAGCCTCTGCCTCCCAGGTTCACGTAATTCTTGTGCCTCAGCCTCTGGAGTATCTGGTATTACAGGCATGTGCCACCATGCCCAGCTAATTTTTATATTTTTAGTAAAGACGACTTTTCACCATGTTGGCCAGGCTGGTCTTGAACTCCTGACCTCAAGTGATTCACCTGCCTTGGCCTCCCAAAGTGCTGGACTTGTAGGTATGAGCCACCGTACCTGGCCCAGGGCCCTCACCCTTAAACCTATCCTCTACAGGGCTACCTAGGTTTGGGAGAGACATAAGAAATATAGTATGAATGAGAAAATGATATTTGAATATCTTATATGAATTAAAATGATATTTAGATAATTTGAAATAATTACAAGCTCACGTAACTAGTTTGTGGCAAAATAGAGACTAGAATTCAGGTCTCCTAACGTGTCAATGTGAGACTGGGGACAGAGGCTGGGAATGTGGCTCTAGTGTGTGGCTGTGTTGGTATGAAGCCTTGTTGAAGGTCTGAAAGACCTTAGAACCATTCCCTCCCTCTGCCACTTTCTAGCTTGGTGAACCAGGATAGCTTAGGCTCCCTGGGATTTGATGAACTTGTCCTAGAACAAAAAGGTCAAACAAAATGATCTCTAAGGCTTTTTCCTTCTAAAATTCAGTGATACAAATTTAGTCCCTGCCCTCCCCACCAACACACACACACAGGTTTAGTATCCCTAATCTGACGAACTGAAATCCTCCCAAATCCAAAACTTTTGGAGTACTGACATGACGCCACAAGTAGAAAATTTCGCAGCTGACCTCATGTGACGGGTTGCAGTCAAAATGCTGTAAAAACTTTGTTTCATGCACAAAATTATAAATATTCTATAAAATCACCTTCAGGCCATGTGTATGAGGTGTATATGAGTCAAATGAACTTTGTGTTTGGACTTGGGTCACATCCACAAGGTACCTAATTATGTATAGGCAAATATTCCCAAATCTGAAACACTTCTGGTCCCAAGCATTTTGAATAACGGATTCTCAATTTGTATATCTCTGTGTGTGTATATATGTGTGTGTGTGTGTGTGTGTGTGTGTGTGTGTGTGTGTGTGTGTTTATTTTGGAACTACCTCCCTTAAGGTTTTACCTGTCATGAGTCAGTCATTTATGTAAAAGAGAAACTTAACTTTTCTATTGGTGGGAAATTTTATCTAAGAAATAAAGAGTAGTTCAGTGGTAGGTAGAAATTTGGACCATCAAAGATTTTTTCTCAGTTAATATACTACATCAAAGTTTGATTTAACAAAGGCAAATTATAAATCCTCAATAGAACAAAATAGCATTAATTTATTTTTAAAACTTTAAAAGTGAGATTTTTGTATGTTACCTTAGTATTTGTATAATATAGCAAATACCCATAGGTTAATATAAAAACACTCTCTTTATTCTTCTTTCTTCAAAGCACCTCCCAGTACCTGAAAAAGTGTAGCATATTTAGGTATGTACTGTTTACCGTCTGCTCCCTACTAGTGTAAGTTCCCAGAAGGTGTGACTTGTTTTGATCCTACTGTATGTCTATCATCAAGAGCACAGGTCAGGAAACTTTTTGTGTAAAGGGCCAGATACTATTGTAGGCTTGGCAGGTCATACTGTCTTTGCTGCAGCGACTCAACTCTGTTGTAGCATGAGTGTAGACACAGAAAACCCAAGCACTTAGTTGTGGCTGTGTCCCCAGAAGGTTTTATTTACGAAGGCAGATGTTGGTCTGGATTTGGCCTGCAGGTCATAGTTTGCTAACCCCTGATCCTGGAGCAGGTCCTCTCCTATAGTAGAAACTCAATAGCTGTTTATTAAGTTAATGAGCGAAAACAGTAATTATTATTCATGTAAGAAATGTTTAAGACATTTTATTGCTTATCCGTGCATCGTTAGCCCACTCTGGACGAAAGTCCCTGCTTGGAAGACATATTACTCTCTGATCCATTCTTTTCTGTAAGATTTCATTTATCTAACATTTGGCCATGTGGCACCAGCTTCCTAAGTTTGGATCAACTTCCTATTTGCCTTCAACAAGTGTCCTTTCTCTTGTTTTTCTTTCTCTTGTTTCCTTGTCCTATCTTAAAACCTATCTTTTTATCAACAGTCTTTATTGATTTTTTTTCCTCTGACATTTCTACTTTCTAAGCTTGTACTGTCACCCCAAGAATCATGTTCTTGGCTTAAATGATTTCTTTAGCATAGAATTTTGAGCTTTGGAACTATCATATATAACCCTGTGATTAAAATAAATTCAGAGGAAGAAACCCTTCAAGATTTTGATTTAGGCTTTATTTTACTTTTAAAAGTCTTGTTAAAATTACGAATGTCTGTTTAGGAAGTAGGAAGAAAAAAGAAATTAAGGATATAGTTTAAAGTTGATAACTCCTTTAGGAACCTTTAGACTTTTTTTAAATTTAATAAATTGAGCAGAGAATAAGAGAATCTAGAAATCTGAGGATTTTCTATAATGCTTTTTAGTCCAGATTTTCAGTTTTTTTTAAAAGAGATTTTTATTTGGCCAGAGTAGAAAATAAAATTTAAATGCCATAGATGCCGTGTCTATGATTTGATTTTCTTCTGCTTACCAAGCTAATAAGTTCACCTGTTACTATTTCATGGATGCTGGCAGAAAATAGAATACTCCTAGATTAGAGACAAAGGACTTTATGGATTATGACATAACAAGCAGCAAGGGTATCAGCATATTCGTGTTGGCACCCCTTGCTCCCAATTCCTACAGAACTGACACAGTACAGCCCAAATATATGCTAAGCACACAGTGGGTTTGCGCTGTGGCTGAGGAGTACTGAGTTTGGAGAGTCTACTGCTTTTATGCATAGTAAATACAACTTGGTCTTTGTCTAGAGGCAGAGGCTAACTCCTCTGTCAGGGTTGCTCACTGCAAACACAGCCCTGAGAAATGGACTGAATAAAGAGTGGTCAAGGTCTTGCATTCTTGACACACCCAGTATGACATAAAAGAAAGCACTAGGCCTGAGGAGGACTGTCTCTCCTGCCAATAGGTAGAATGACTGGAAGCAAGAAGTTACATGAGACTAATTGGGAGTAGCACGGGTTGGCCCTAGTGATCTCCTAGAGAAGAAATCAATGTAAAGACAGGAGGTCTGTTAAGCTATGCAATATCTTATGGGGCTCCACTAAACCTCAAATGGTTATATCCTAGAGACTATTTCTGTCAGCCAATGAATATTTACTTATGTCATCTGAATATTTCTTGTCAGTTAGATACCAAGTTTAAAATACACATACCTAATTAAAGATAATTTTGATTAAATAAAATTTAACTAGAACTTAACTTGAACTTTCATAGTTCGGATGCTCTATAATTCTTAAGTCCACAGATATTTAATCTCTCCATGCTGAAACTTGTTTATAAAAGTTTCTGATTAAAAACACTTCTTTCTTTTTGTTGGATTCTTGTCAATATGAAATTCACATACAACTTTGGCACCAAATTAGAAGGAGGGGTCTGTGACATGCGTAAATTATTACAGAGCTAATATGTAATACATTTAAATCTAAGGAGTACAGACATTGGTGTGACACTAATAAACCGTGGATTTTCTTGGTATTACTAGTACTATCATAGATCCATTTCCATTGCCCAATCTGAAACTCAGCTTGAATTACTAGACTAAAAATGAGGGAAAGCTATTTGTGTTTTTGACTCTGCCTTAGGCGTTATAATGTGGGCATAAAATCATGAAAAAGGGCAAATCAAAACATTTTGTTCATACTCTTTTTATTTAAAAAAGGTAGTAAAACAACCCTGAGTATGAATTAAGATTTTTAAAAGATTTGGAAATTTTCATGTAAGAGTTATGATAGGACAAGAGTTCTTTTGGACAAAAGCACTTTTATGGGTTATAATTTTCCATGTTGTTGAACAGAAATGACAAAACTAATGAGGAAAACAAAGTATGTTTTAAATTTTGAAATGCTAATTATATATTACAAGAATAATTTCATTTTTGGCTATTTAGTTTTTAAATTTTGATGACTAACACAACTCCGTGTTTTCCAGCACTAGCAAGCAGCGTTTAGATATTCTTTACAATTCTGAGTTTGGCGTAAAGTTGATTCTCAGGATACTAATGAAAGATTTATAGAGTTGGTCTAATACAATAATTGGAAGCCATTTCATAGTGGCCATGACAATCTTTCTTCCAGTTTTATAATTTTAATAGGTGTTATTGGACTTCTACAATATGGAGTGTGTATTTTTCTCTGTTAGTAGTTTACAACCAAGTGTGAGAATATACATATACAATAAAGACTAATATAAACCATATTAATTAGTTCAGGTATCAAAGAACTACAGAAACTTAGAAATTCAGGAAATTTATTTACATGATTCATTGCATTAATAGAGCAAAGGAAATATTATTTTGATCAATGCAAAAAACCAAACAACAAAAAAAAATCCCTTCAGAAAAATCAGTAAGTACTCTGTGGTGAAGGGCTTTTTAACCTCAAAGTCATCAACCGTAAGTTCGCACTTTGATTAATTTGATACCAAAATTTAAGGTTTTCACTTTTATGAAGGTCACCACATATACAATTCATGGGCAGCCAACAGGATGAAGAAGATATTTGCAATTCTAATATTGATGAGCTACTTTCTGAGTATAACTTACTCCTGCATATCAACAAGAAAAATCCAAAACGGTGCAGATAGGTAAGTTACTAAAGAGGAAAATCGAAAGGCCAACAAGTATATAAAGGTGAGGTAGGAGGCAGAACTCTACTCTGGAGGTGGGGCTTGGTCATCGGACCAAATTGAGGATTCGCTAAAACAAGTCAGGGGCAGAAGCACCTCCCCATAACACAGGCCCACCAATGTGCTGTGGCAATACCCAGAAATTACCACTTCTTTCCACGGCAACAAGGAGATAGCCTGGAAGTTACCACTCTCATTCTAGAAATTTCTGCATAAACTGCCCCTTACTTTGCATATTATTAAAAGTGGGTATAAATATGAATGAGTGCTGGAATGCCTCTAGGCTGCTATTCTGGGCACACTGCCTATGGTTAGCCCTGTTCTGCAAGGAGCAGCACCACTGCTGCTGCTGTACACTGCTGATTCAATAAAAGTTGCTATTTAACACCACTGACCCACCATTGAATTCTTTCCTGGAGGAAGCCAAGAATCCTGCTGGGCTAAACCCCGATTTGGGGGCTTGCCTGTCCTGTATCAAAGGGATGTCCAATTCAAATAATCAGAGAAATGAATATGAAAACAATTAACACTTCTGAGAAGTCATCAAACTGTTTTTAAAGGGCCAGATAGTAAATACCTTAGGCTTGGCAGGCCCTATTGTCCCTTTGCAATTACTCAACCCTGTCACAGTAGCATGCAAGCAGCCTAGGCAATACATAAACAAATGGGCATGGCTGTGTTCCAATAAAACTTTATTTATATAAACATGCAGCTGACCAATAGGCCATGGTTTGCACATCCTTTTTGCTGCCAACAATTAGAAAGATGGACGATGGCAACTTTTTCAGGCATGTAAGAATATTGAAATTAACATGGCGCTGGTAGGAGTTGATTGTGGCAGCCACATACTACCTTGTTATATTTAGCATTATGTCATATTAAGTATCCTTCAACCCAAACTTCTACTTCTGAACATATGTCCCACAGACATTCTTTAACAGATTCATGGGACACATGTCTGAGGCTGTTCATTGCTGCATTGTTTGTGGTGGGGAGAACTGAAGGCAATCCGTTACCAGGGGAGTGGATGCTAAGATGTGGTGGATTTACTAAATGGAGAATCAAGCAGAACTTCTGTGCAACGGGCTAGATGAACAGACAGTTATATGGATGGAGCTTAACAACAGTTCTGATTAAATGGTGAAAAACAGAAGAAAATAGAAAATAAACACCCATTTATAAAAATGTATGTACACCGCGCAAAACTACAGTCTTTCAGGAACACATGCAAACAAACGTATACATGTAAACACATTAGAAGGTGTCCATGGAAGAAATCGGGAAATGGCGATTACAAGAAACAAAATGTGAAATAGGACTTTGGGAGACCCATGATGACAGGGTGTTAGGGACTCAGGAGAATGAAACACTCAACCCTGTAATGGAGAGAAAAGGAATAGGAAATGGAAGAAGAGGCAAATCTTCTAAGGAAGTGCCACCAAAAGAAGGCTACTTCAACCTTCCGTGAGCAGTGAGCAGCCAAGCTCCCCAGAAGCTCCTTCCCTGCTGAAGAGCTAGGCCCGCATTCCTTTTCCAGGATCTTTGCTGTATGAATTGATGCCATATGACATCCTCCCTGGCTCCACTCTGTCTGGTTCATGGGCCCAAACCCCACCCTTAACACCATCTCCATTTTGCTGACCTGGGTCTAAGACCCTTTGTTTCAGGACCTGTTTTTGTCTGTCTGCTCATGGCACCTTTAGATTTGACATTTCCGGCCGGGCGCGGTGGCTCATGCCTGTAATCTCAGCACTTTGGGAGGCTGAGGCAGGCAGATCAAGAGGTCAGGAGATCAAGACGATCCTGGCCAACATGGTGAAACCCCATCTCTACTAAAAATACAAAATCAGCTGGGTGTGGTGGCACACGCCTGTACTCCCAGCTACTTGGGAGGCTGAAGCAGGAGAATCGCTTGAACCTGGGAGGGGGAGGTTGCAGTGAGCCGAGATCGTGCCACTGCACTCCAGCCTAGTGACAGAGCAAGACTCTGTCTCAAAAAAAATTTTTTTTAAATATATTTGATATTTTCATTTTTTGCCTTCACTTGGAATTGTGTGTTTAGTCCTGACTTAATCTGTTCTATAGTGGTTGGTCACACTCAGTCCTACCTCAACCATAGTGCCTCAAACTAGACCCATGATAAGGTAGATGGGAAACTCAGAGTTCTAATGAAAAAGACAAAATTTCCTTGTATTAATGCAAGCTATAAAGAGCTGTCCTAGGCATCCTGTCTATGCCAATCTGTAAGAGAATCCACTTCTCTAAAATAAGCAAATGAATAAGTAAAGTACACAAGATTAGAAATCCTTAGAATTTTTACTTTAAAATTTAAACCCTTACCACAGATAAACTTCTCTAAGTGAATAGTTGAAATTTTTTGTGTAAAATTCAACATAGTTTTGGGGTATGAATAGCCTCATCTTTGCCAATCTATATACTTTCTATTCAAAGCCCTAATTTTTATAGGTAGATAGAGAACTGGGCAAAATAAATTTCCTAATCATTTTGCAGGCTATAGAATAGTACAGAGAGCGGTATCTCTGAAATGATTTGAGTATTACCCTGTTTCAAAGAAGATAAGATTTGGGGACTTCCTTCAAACACCTGCTTGGATACTTGTATACCCCACAACAAAACAGCCTAATATTTGGTGGTACAAATTTACAGAGAGAGAAGAATGCATGTTGCTTTCTTTAATGTAGGATCTTCATTTTGATAAAAGGACTTAGTGCAATATAGTTTTTAAATAATAATTTGTCTAATAATAATCTGATTTTGTTAAAAAATAGATCCATGTTGAATTTCCCACATATTAAAAAAGCAAGGTAGACATATTTCTCAAATGCATTCCACACATGATGCACTTTGTAGGTACTTATAAATCCTTTATCTTAGAGAGTATTTCTTCTCAAGTTTGCTCATTGTTGGAATGACTCCCTGTGTAATTTCCACTTACATTTAGATTTTGTTGTTTATAACAATGTGTTCCATTCAGTACAAAAGGGAAGACCATCTAGAGATGACTCATAATCTTATAGAGGTGGTTTAGTCATAGCTTTTCTAATTCTGTTCAACCACTGGAGCTATTAGCTGTATTTCCTTCTCCCAGATCCAAACCATAAACACCCGACTGCCTTAGCATCTGCCAGCATCACCAGGCATCTGGACCAGTGGTAACGGTGTAGCCAGAAGTCACACAGAGTTGTCCGGGTCACTTCCTTGGGCAATCTTATCCTGACCTTGGCACTAAGATCTGTTGGGTGTTGTCCAACAAAAGTTTCCTCTTGTAGTGAGAATTCACTAAGAGTGTCAAAACGTCTTTGCTTTTTGTGGGTATGCTTGGCAGGCAACCCTATTTCCTCATTTCTACTTGATTTTTCTCAACCTCCTGACTGTGTCAGCAATTGTTGACTTTTTGGTGAGTGTTAGTACCAATTTGACTTCTCTGGATGAAATAGCTGGATACTGATTTTTATTTTACTTTCTGTTACAAAGGTAACTATTTGTCTTCTTGGTGACATAAGTGATCTGGCTACCTGCAATGTCATTTTACTTAAGCTGTGCAGAGTGGATGAACATGATACAAAAGCATGGTTGTGTTAGGGGGACAGTTCTTGGTCTGCAAACAGTGTATTTTCAAAAGGTTTTTAAAAATTAATTTACAATTTGGGGAAGAAGAAAATGCACTTGACACCTAGGCCTCTAGGAGAATATATTTTATAAAAATAAGTAAATATATATCTTGAGTAATATAAATGCCTTGGCTCTAGTAAACCAGGTGAAAATACTGACTCTTGGATTTATGATGTCTTAGGAGGATTTTTTTTAAAAAGAGGATTTTCCTCATTCCAATCTTTCAAAAGCATAATCCTCTAGATTTAAAGAGATTCACTGCTGTTTGAAAGGGGTCTGAGCTGTTAAAGTTCTCTTGGGCAGCCAGCATGCTGAAGCCTCTGAGTAGGTATGTGAATCAGCAAGATATTTTTTTCCTTTTAGTTTCAGTGCAGTGGGTAAAGCCTGACAAATAAATCCAACGGGAGTAGGAGATTGGAGATGAACCGTATTTTAGTGAAAAAACTACGAACAAGAGCTGTTAGCTTATTTCTTTGCCACATAAAGCGCATAACCAAGTACAGTACTAAGTAAGTGTCCTTAAGGCACTTAAATTCTTGATGACTGACTTGCTAGAAAACCATATTCACTCACTTTGGGTGGCATCTTTTGACTGGGGATCCTTACAATGTTAGCTGTTTAGCCTTGTGCAGCTGTATACTTCTAGCAAGATCACACATGAAACTCATGCTGTAACTCAGATGAGCAGAAGAAATATGATGGGTTCTATCTATAAACCATCTGATTTTAAAGAAGAATTTCAGCGGTTGGTTTGGATAATGTCCAGTCTTTCTTAGAGAAGAATGCTCATTCTATTAGAGTTTCAATGAAGACCTAGGAAGGGAGGAATATGGCCTATGCAATCTCATGATGAGGCAGAAGAACTGAAGTCCATGGATAAAATGCCCTTAGAGTGTCCTGTGGTATTGAGGCAATACCTCTACCCACTTTTCCACCCGGGCATTTGTAGATGAGACCTGTGGCTGATGTAACCACTGATCTGGTCTCTTTCAAATTTGCTTCTGCTGACTGCAGGTCCTGAATGTCTGATGCATCCTGTAGCCCACTGGTCCTTCTTCCCTTATCCATCCCTCCTGCAGTGGGCCTTTTTGATGTGCTACTCTTCTTCAGCTCAGAATCCACAACATAAAGAAAGGACAGCTGAAGAAAGTGATTCTCAGTGTTTCCAGTTGTCTGACCCCATAGCCCTACCAGATTTACCATGACGTGTCTTGCTCGAGGAAGGAAAGGGAAGCCCTGCCCTGCATCGTACCCTCCTTTTGTTACTGAGAGCTGTGACCACTGACTTTACTTTCCTCCCTCCTCTTTCTCTCTTCTCCAACTCAAAATACCTAGGGTCTGGATTAGAATGACCAGCCATGCTGGTTTTCCCAGGACTAAGGTAGTTTTGCTGGATGTAGGACTTTGATTTTCAAAATCTAGAAAGTCTAGGCAAATTGAAAATAGTCGGTCACCTTTTTTCTCAATTCCAGCCTATTGAGTGATTCTCAGTAGTAAATTGGGATATTTTCTCTACACACAGAACTCTATGGTCTAAATTCTTTTGATCTCGTTAAAGATATTCTGATGAGGGAGCAAATCTTTTTGCAAGATTTGCTTCAAAATGCTATTTATAAACATAGAATCTCACTCTTCTAGAACTGTGTCCCCATACCAGAAAAAGAAAATCTTGAGCCAGCTCTAGAATATATTATACATTTAGGAAAAATAAAGAGAAAATGTGAAAACTATCATTATTATATAAAAAACTCTCCTTTTAAGAATAGAATAAGCTTATCCCATTTAACTGAAGCAGTGATTTTCACAGTGAATTTCTATGACAGCTAAATTTTAGTGAGCTGTTTCAGGGTTTTGATTCAGCTTTCACTAAGCAATATGTGCATATTTCTTATATATATTCATATAGATGTATAGATATCTACATGTATATGTGTATATGAATAAAAACCATTATTGAAAGTCAACACATGGCTGGGCATGATTGCTCATGCATGTAATCCTAGCACTTTGGGAGGCCGAGGAGGGTGGATTGCCTGAGCTCAGGAGTTCAAGACCAGCCTGGGCAACAGGGTGAAACCCTGTCTCTACTAAAATACAAAAATAAAAAAAAAAGCCGGGCATGGTGGCGGGCACCTGTAGTCCCAGCTACTCGGGAGACTGAGGCAGGAGAATCGCTTGAACCTGAGAGGCGGAGGTTGCTGTGAGCCAAGATCGCACCACTGCACTCTAGCCTGGGTGACAGAGTGAGACTCCAGCTCAAACAAAAAAAAAAAATGTCAACACACACTTTTAAAATAATATATTCCTTAAAATACTGCCAAATGAGACAAAGTATCCTTTCCAGAATAATACATTTTTTTGGATTAGTATTTTATGCATATTAATTTCTCTTGCCAGAACTTGCAACAAATTTCCTGTCATCTCACTCATAACTCTTCACATTTTAAATTACCACAAGTGAATAGAGACCATTTTTTTCTGTTTATTGTTTTATCTCTCACACCTAGCATGACTCCAGGTCCACGGGAATATTTAGTAAACACTTTCTGAATGAGTGACTAAGTTCTGAGGTTGCAATGTTTTGTCATTTGTAGCTATTTACCTGCAAAAATCAAAATTTTTCTATGTAGTACGCATGCAAAGCCAAAAACTGAAGCAAATGGAAAACAAGGATGATATTCATACTGTAATGTTTGTAATGGCTCTTTGAAGAATTATTTCTATTTTGTTAACTTTTGTTTTCTCAACACAGGAATAGTTTCCATCACTTAGCAAAGGTTCAATAAATATTTTTTGAACTAGTGAAACTGGTGTCCACTGATTGCAAATATTTGTAGTCATCTGTGATGAGTAACGGGACCCATAGATTTACATTTCCTAAGTCCTGGAAGCTGTGACAGTTGTCTTACATGGCAGGGGGAGTAAGATTGCAGATGGAAATAAGGTTGCTAATCAGATGACCTTAAGGAATTTTTTCTAGATTATCCAAGTGGCCCAATGTAATCAGAAATGTCCCTAAATGTGGAAAAGGAAGGCAGAAGAATCAGTGATAGAATGATAGGATGTGAGAAAGATTTGACTAGCATAGCTGGCTTTGAAAAGGGAGGGGCAGGGCACAACCCAAGGAATGCAGGTTGATGGAAAAGGCAAGAAAGGAATTCTTGCATAGAGTCTCCAGAAGGAAAGCAGCCCTGTGGCACTTTGATTTTAGCCGGGTAAGGCATGCTTTGGACTTAGGTCCTCCAGAACTGTAATATAATAAATCTGTGTTGTTTACAGACACGAAGTTTGCAGTAATTTGTTACAGCAGCAATGGCACAGGGATATATTATCAAAAGAGTAATATATCATTGTTCTCATTTTTTTAATAAGTAAATATTTTAAGTTAGAACTTATACACTACTTGCACAATACCACTCAGGTTTTATTTTGTGTCCCTCACTAGATTGTAATAAAAGGGTTCTACTTTTTGCGCTAAAAATGATAATTTTTATATAAAAAAGGCACAATAGAACTAGCTGTTAAAGTTTTAAAATACGTTTTCTCTTACTTAGGTTTACTAAACATCTTGAGTATCTTAAAAATAACTTTTATAATTTTTTTTTTTTTTTGTTAAAGACAGAGACTCTCTCTGATACCCAGGCTAGAGTGCAGTGGCGCAATCTCGGCTCGCTGAAACCTCTGCCTCCCAGGTTCACATGATTCTCCTGCCTCAGCCTCCCGAGCAGCAGGGACTACAGGCACGTGCCACAACACCCAGCAATATTTTTTTTTCTTTTTTCTTTTTTTAGTAGAGATGGGGTTTTGCCATGTTGCCCAGGTTGGTCGTAAACTCCTGAGCTCAGGCAATCCTCAGCCTCCTAGGACTACAGGCAGGAGCCACTGCGCCCAGCTTAATATATTTTTTTAATTACAAAAGTAATTACCAAAGTAATGTTCACTGTCGAATATTTGGTGAAGCAAAAAAAAGACCCTCTGTAACTCTAGTACCTCTCCCATCCAGATATAACCACTGTTAATATTTTTGTGCATATCCATCTAGCTGTTTTGAAATGTTTATATCTGTACATTTTTTTTGCAAAATTGCTATCTTACATATGACTTTAGTCAATTTTTCTTAACATTTCATACTTTTCTATATTACTAAATTTTTTTATGATACAGTTTTAACACTTGGATGGTATTTCATTACACAAAAGTTACATGATCTACATCTGTAATATTTAGGTGGTTTTGTGAAAATTTTTAGCTTCTATGTGCTTATTGTATAAGCATTCAGATAAATAAAAAGAAAATGAATTCTTATCTAACCAGAAATAACTACTGTTATCACTCCTTTTATATTCACAAAAATTAAGTGTGTGAATATCTACATATCTGTTGTCTCAGAATATATAGTTCCTGGCGGCCAGGCATGGTGGCTCATGCCTGTAATCCCAGCACTTTAGGAGGCTGAGGCAAGCGGATCACAAGGTCAGGAGTTTGAGACCAGCCTGGCCAATATAGTGCAACTCTGTCTCTACTAAAAATACAAAAATTAGCCGGGCATGGTGGTGCCCTCCTGTAATCCCAGCTATTCAGGAGGCTGAGGCAGGAGAATCGCTTGAACCCGGGAGGCGGAGGTTGCAGTGAGCAGAGATGGCAACTCTGCACTCCAGCCTGGGTGACAGAGCAAGACTGTCTCAAAAAAAAAAAAAAAAAACACACATATATATATATATATATATATTTGCGTATATATATACATATATATGCGTATATATGTCTATATACGCATAGATTTGCGTATATATGTCTATATACGCGTAGATTTGCGTATATATGTCTATATACGCGTAGATTTGCGTATATATATCTATATATATACGCGTAGATTTGCGTATATATATCTATATCTACACATATATTTGCGTATATATATCTATATCTACACATATATTTGCGTATATCTATATCTACACATATATTTGCGTATATATATCTATATCTACACATATTTGCGTATATATATCTATATATACACATATATATGTGTATATATCTTTATATACACATATATATGTGTATATGTATCTTTATATACACATATATATGTGTATATGTATCTTTATATACACATATATATGTGTATATGTATCTTTATATACACATATATGTGTATATGTATCTTTATATACACATATATGTGTATATGTATCTTTATATACACATATATGTGTATATGTATCTTTATATACACATTTATATACACATATATATGTATCTTTATATATATACATATATATTTATATTTCCTGGCACTTTTAATGACTTATATTTTGTCTTATTAATTTATTGTAACTTAATCCAAAATACTGTTAGCTGTTTAGTTTGTTGGCAGTTTTTTTCTTTTTAGAAACAATACTTATTTTACAAACAAATCTTATTCACATTTAAATTGCTGTCTTGTGATAACTTTAGAAAACTGATATTTACATGTAAAGAGGATATTTACATTTCAAGGCCTTGGATTTGTATTTAGGAAGTGATCCTCAGTAACCTGAATAGAATTGCGTTCTGATTAGGAATAAACATATAGATTAATTACCACCTGTAGAAGAAATTCAAATCTAATTGTTTTGATTTGCTTCTCCATAAATATATTATTAAGGTTTGGTTTTTCTTTCTTTCTTTTTTTTTTTTTTTAAACAAACTGACTTCCTATATGCTTTGTCCATTTTATGCTGGGATAGGCGGCAGTTTAGTAATTGATGGCAGCTGTTTACAGACTAGATTGATTTTTTTCATAAATTTTTACATTTCACCTCTCAATTTTATAATTTTTATTGGAAAGTGAACCTTTTAAATCTTACGTAGCCAAATCTATAAAACTCATTTTTAAAGATTCTTCCTTGATTAACTTATGCAGAACGAAAGTTTTTGTTCAATACAATGTAAATATTCACCAGTTTTTTTTTTTTTTTTTGAGATGGAGTCTGGCTGTGTCACCCAAGCTGGAGTGCAGTGGCACAATCTCGGCTCACTGCAAGCTCTGCCTCTCTGGTTCACGCCATTCTCCTGCCTCAGCCTCCCGAGTAGCTGGGACTACAGGTGCCTGCCACCACGCCTAGCTAATTTTTTTTGTATTTTTAGTAGAGACGGGGTTTCACTGTGTTAGCCAGGGTGGTCTCGATCTCCTGACCTCATGATCCGCCTGCCTTAGCCTCCCAAAGTGCTAGGATTATAGGTGTGAGCCACTGTGCCTGGCCTATTCACCAGTTTTTATTGCTAGTGTTTTTGTTTAATTCAACTCATTCACCCAATGTTTTTGTTGTATATAGACTTGTTGAAGATCTAGCTTATTTTCCCCACATGATTAACTAATTGCCCACTTATTAATTTATCTGCTCAGATTTGTAATGTCACTTTATACTATAGTGTCACATAATAATTTCTCATAAATACTAGGGTCTGAAGGGCTCTTTATTCTGTTTTGTTGGCTTAGCTCTTTCCTTGAGCTAGTATTTTATTTTACCCATAAATAATATTTTGAAAATGTTGATAGGTCCTTAAAAAGAACTATATTCAGTGCTTGTAGGACTTAAAATTAGAAATATTAAAGTTTAGTGTATATTAAATCATCCTTATTAGTTGTAGTTTTCTAATCCTCTTTGTCTTCTTTTTCGCCACTTGGTGTTTGCCTGAGGATGATGTGTCTCGTATTCCTGTGTTTCTATCAGCTTTTTAAATGCATTTGCTTTTTATACATTAATGCCATGTTATCTGATATATAGACATTCAGGACATATCATTTTTGTAGATTGTACTTTTGTTAATATAAAATAATCCTTTTTATGACATATAATATCTGTGCCTTTAATTCAACTTCTTCTGATATAGATATTGTCATACTCTTTATCATTCTGATATATCTTTGACTTTCCTCTCACTTTTCATCTTCTTTGTATTTTGTCTAAATTGTTTCTTGTAAGTGGTACAGTTTATTTTTTACCCAGTCATCAAATTTGTCTTCTAAAAAGAGAATCTAATTCTTGTGCATGTATAATTCAAAGTAATATATTTGTCTTTTCTACTTCACTTTATACTCTTAAAATAATTAGTAGCACTTTTTTTGGTCTTTTGTCAAATAGACTGCATTTTCTTATCAGTCAGAAAGATTACAAGAGAGCACAGTAGCATATTACAACACAAATAGCAAATAAACAGGAGCTCCCACGAGTTAGGTCATAATATGTTCTGGGCTGAAACCTCATTTATGAGCCTATTTGTTAAAAAGCTGGACCTTTGACAAACTGAACACCTAGGTGTTAATGTGAATTATTTTTCATATCTTTTATTCTATTCCAGTATCGTAGGTATCCATCTAGTGCATCTCTACTGGATTGAGGTGTAATCTTTCCTTGCCTCCCTGCTCTTTTTCTGGTATTTACCAATTCAGCACACATGAAACTGGAATTTACAAGGTGCGTTTTTGCCAGTGTTCTTCCTAGGTGGAGTCTTGCTACTTTAGAAACACTTTATCCCAGGGTGCATCAGACCACTGTTCATGCCTAATGTGTCCAGATACTTCCTAATACTTCGATTTCTCGAAGGTATACCTATGAATTTTAAGAAAAGTACTGGCTCCACCCTTTCTCTGGCTGACATATGTCTCGTGTCATATGAATATACCTCAGTATACAGACTCAGTGTTAAACTCAACTCTGAGGTTGGAAGGAGAGAGAGAGAGTGTATGTGTGTGTGTGTGTGTGTGTGTGTGTCTGTGTGTGTGTGTGTGTGTGTAGCTGCTAGCTGTGATTCTCATTACAGCTTCCAAAATCTCATAATTAGTAGACAATCTTAGAAGATTCCAGCAACGGGTGTGCTCTCATTCTATTCCCCCCTTGCCCCATTATTTAGTGCACTTAAGAAAATCTTTTTCTGAATCTTTAAAGGTATTTTACTGAATAATTCCTAACCAAGGTTCATTTTAGTCTGGGTCTTGGCTTTCTCACTTTGTCGTTATTTCTGGATGACTGGAAGAACTGTCTCTCCGTATTTTCTTCTCCTCCCAGCCCAGTCTGCCTTACACACAGCTGTCAAGATAATGTTCCTGAAATTTCTAATGGTTTTTATTCAGTGTATCCACTCCAGCTTAGCACAGAAGTCTGCCACCATTTGGTTTCAACCTTTTTACTTGATCCTTCTCTACTGTAACCAGACTGACCTTCTTGCTGTGTTCTAAATATTCCTGTTTTTCTACCTCTATGATTTCAGTTGTTGTCTTTTTTTTTTTTTTTTTTTGAGACAGAGTTTTGCTCTTGTTGCCCAGGCCGGAGTGTGATGGCATGATCTCCGCTCACTGCAACCTCTGCCTCCTGGGTGCAAGCGAGTCTCTTGCCTCAGCCTCCCGAGTAGCTGGGATTACAGACATGTGCCACCACGCCTGGCTAATTTTGTATTTTTAGTAGAGACGGGGTTTCTCCTTGTTGTCATTAGGCTGGTCTTGAACTCCTGACCTCCAGTGATCCACCCGCCTTGGCCTCCCAAAGTGCTGGGACTACAGGTGTGAGCCACCGCGACTGGCACAGTTATTGTCCTCTTTACCTCGAGTATAAGTTCCTTCTTTCTCCTTTGCCTTTGCCGACTATTAACAAGCCTTTCTAGACTTCGAGGCTGGTCTCTGCAGAGCCTACTACTTCAGGAAACGTTCCTGACTTTTCTGCACGTGACCCTGCTCTCCTTTGCTGTTCGGCAGCCCTCTGTTCTTGTGTGATTCCTGTCTTTCTCCACCTAACATTAGCATCACTTGGTTACTAATCTTTTCCCACCTAGGGTCTCTATTTTCTGCCCTAGCTCCTGGTACCATTTTACAAGTAAGTTACCGTTTAGTAGAAATTGGGACATTTGAAAAGTTTGCCCAACTATGAACATGGGTTGCTGTGTGATTTGGATAGTCATTTAGTAACTCTGTGCTTCTGCACAATGCCATGTAAAATGGAAACTGAGATGGAGCTCGTCAATCTACTTCCAAAGGGTGTGATTTTTGCTCTTTGACAGACTTTCATCAAAATGTCAAAATACATTTTCCCTCTTCTACTTTATTAGCTACTGTCTGGTAACGTTTCTGCTTCTTCCTAGAGTGGATTTTCCAGAATTTTTCCATTTTCCATCATTTCATTTTTCCTTTCTGTCCTCTTTAGAAATAGTAGCGTCACTGCAACATAAGAACGTTTGTAAACCTCTTTTTTAGGACTGTGATCCAGTAAAGCTCACAGGTTCTCAAAGATCTTATCATAAACATCGAAGAAATGAATAGTCTAGTCATTAAATTTGAAACTTGACTTTCATGTGAAAAGTCAAATAATTTGCATAAGTAATAGCATTAGAACTAATCTTTTCCTGACTTCATGTAAGTGGAAACACTGGAGTAGAGATGTTACAAAAGGTTATCTCCAGTTCCAGGAAGATGACCCCATACTCATGGGTCACCTACTTCCACTCCTGTAGCCCATGATAAAGGGCGTCTCCATGTTTGATAGTGTTTGAATGACTTGATACTTTCTCTTTTATACTTCCTCCACTCAGGCTCCAAGGAGACACATTTTTTCACAATTTTTTTTTTTCCTCTTTGGAAACTTCTGTATGCTTTTTACCTTCCCTTAGTGTGTAAGTTACTTCCCTTTTCCTCTCTAGGTGCAGCCAAAGACTCTTTACAGCATTTTTAGTTCTCAATCCTATTTTCCAATTAAAAAATGATGCAGCAAATGTTCTGACATATAAACCCTATTGTTTTTCCTTTGGTAACATTCCAACCTTCCTGCAGGTTTCAGCGCTTCCTGTCATCTTAAGGTTTGGGTGTTGGCTATGTGGGTATTTTATCAAAATTCAAACTGGTATCTGTTTAGCTTATAAATGGTGACTTGATAGTAACCACAAATGCTAATGTTAACAGTTATTTTCCTTGTATGGTTATTGATGAAGGAGGATTTGATTTCAATGTGTATTACTTTAGAAGACTTGATAAATTGTTTCTGATTAAATGTCCTCTCTTCAATGAATGTATTCCCTGTGAAGGGAAGTGAAAATTGAGAAAGGACAGCAATGTTTGTTGTGACAGGTAAGATTTGTTTTAAGTGCTTCCTATGTGTTATCTTAGTTGGTGCCATATGGCGTTTTTAAGATAAGAAGATGGAAAGAAAGGAGTTGGAAAATTCTTTTTATAACTACTTCTAGCTGAAGTGTACTTCTAGCTGAGTTTTATAAAAATATACTTCTAGCTGAGTTTTATACAAATATAAAAAGGTAAAACTATAGTGAGTCTGTAATTGCATCAAATAAAATTATTTTTCTTATTCTGGTTTCTATACTTATATAGAAAGACAAGACACATTTCTTTCAGAAACACTTTCAAAAATTTTTCCAAATTAGCTATTTCACTTTGTTCATCAATATTACATAATAATTTGAGATTAGGGAAGTGAACCTTCACTCACTTTATGTACAGAATAACTCTTCTTTGTTCTAATAGTTGTTTGCCCTTTCTGCTTATGTGAAGATGTGAGAATTGAGAAACTAAGACCAAAAACCTGTCTGCCTTGAGACTCAATCCTTTGTTTTAATGTTTCTCAGTGTATGGAGACAACTCACTTTAGAATCATCTGTGGCATTTGTTGTATTCTTGGGTGGTTGCTGAGATACACTAAACCACAGTCTCTTGGGGTAGTGATCAGGAATCTGACTTAAAATAAGTAAGCAGATTGTAAAACCAGAAACACCACAGGTTTAGTTTCATTTTAAAAAGGAAATTTCCATGTTCTATTTTCCCCTATGACTAAGGGCACAGGAGGAATTCAGTCTAGATGTGTCTGGAAATTGTGGTAGGACTACATATTCAAACAGTTTCTGTGGATGGAAAAATTAGTTTCTGTATGTCCTTGTTCACTTGAAAGGGAGGCAAGAACTATTAAGAGTATCAATTGAATGACTTATATATGCTAGATATTCTGTCAAAGGGAATGGCAAGCCCCAGGGTCATGGGCTGTGGGATGACAATCCTAAGAGCAAGGATATGTAGGTCTCTGGCTCTTTCCTTGTCTGCCATTGCTTTGGGACACTGCATAGAATAAAGAACTTGAAGTTAGAGTTAATTTTTAGACCCGGCTCCATCACTTATTTGGTCTAGTTGCTGAATCGTTTTGTTCATATCTGTATACATGTCTAAAATGGGGGTAACCACAGATTCTCTAAGAATTAAATGAGATGATACATGTTTGATGCTCAGCATCATTTTCGTCTCATTTTAAGCCCTCAATCTTAGAGAAGAACAGGAAAAAAAAAAAGGAGACTATTGATTACAGAAACCTAAGAATTCTGATGAACCAGATGATATCAACTAACATGATGAGAGTAGACAATCAGTTTATGCAACTCTCTTCATTGTAGCATCTTCAGCAAGTCATCTTTGTTTCATCATAACAATTTAAAGATTAGCAGTCTGAGATGGAAGAGAATCCCTAAGTTTTCACTCTGATCTCAATTCAGAAAGGTTCTTTCTAGGAGTTTTATTTTTTTAATTATTTTACTTTAAGTTCTGGGATACATGTGCTGAAGGTGCAGGTTTGTTACATAGGTATACATGTGCCATGGTGGTTTGCTGCACCTATCAGCCTGTCATCTAGGTTTTAAGCTCCTCGTGCATTAGGTATTTGTCCTAACGGTCTCCCTCTCTTTGCCCCCCACCCCCCGACAGGCCCTGGTGTATGATGTTCCCCTCCCTGTGTACATGTGTTCTCATTGTTCAACTCCCACTTATGAGTGAGAACATGCGGCATTTGGTTTTCTGTCCCAGTGTTAGTTTGCTGAGGATGATGGCTTCCAGGTTCATCCATGTCCCTGCAAAACAACATGAACTCATTCTGTTTTACGGCTGCGTTGTATTCCATGGTGTATATGTGCCACATTTTCTTTATCCAGTCTATCATTAATGGGCATTTGGTTTGGTTCCAAGTCTTTGCTATTGTAAGTAGTGCTGCAATAAACATACGTGTTCATGTGTCTTCATAGTAGAATGATTTATAATTCTTTGGGTGTATACCGAGTAATGGGATTGCTGGGTCAAATGATATTTCTGGTTCTAGATCCTTTAGGAATCACCACACTGTCTCCCACAATGGTTGAACTAATTTACATTCCCACCAATGTGTAAAAGCTTTCCTATTTCTCCACATCCTCACCAACATCTGTTGTTTCCAGACTTTTTAATGATCACCATTCTAACAGGTGTGAGAGGGTATCTCATTGTGGTTTTGATTTGCATTTCTCTGATGACCACTGATGATCTTTTTTTCATATGTTTTTAGGCCACATAAATGTCTTCTTTTGAGAGGTGTCTGTTCATATCTTTAGCCCATTTTTTGATGGGGTTGTTTTTTTTTTCTTGTAAATTTAACTTCCCTGTAGATTCTGGATATTAGTTAGCCCTTTGTCAGATGGATAAATTGAAAAACTTTTCTCCCATTCTGTAGGTCGCCTGTTGCCTCTGATGATATTTTCTTTTGCTGAGCAGAAGCTCTCTAGTTTAATTAGATCCCTTTTGTCAATTTCGGATTTTGTTGCAATTGCTTTTGGTGTTTTAGTCATGAAGTCTTTGCCCATGCCTGTGTCCTGAATAGCATTGCCTAGGTTTTCTTCCAGGGTTTTCATAGTTTTAGGTTTTACATTTAAGCCTTAATCCATCTTGGTTAATTTTTATATAAGGTGTAAGGAAGGGGGTCCAGTTTCAGTTTTCTGCATATGGCTAGCCAGTTTTCCCAACACCATTTATTAAATAGGAAATCCTTTCTTCATTGCTTGTTTTTGTCAGGTTCGTCAAAGATCAGATGGTTGTAGACGTGTGGTATTATTTCCAAGGCCTCTATTCTGTTCCACTGGTTTGTATACTTGTTTTTGTACCAGTACCATGCTGTTTTGATTACTGTAGCCTTGTATTATAGTTTGAAGTCAGGTAGCATGATGCCTCCAGCTTTGCTCTTTTTGCTTAGGATTGTCTTGGCTATATGGACTCTTTTTTAGTTTTAAGTGAAATTTAAGGTAGTTTTTTTTTTTCTAGTTCTGTGAAGAAAGTCAATGGTAGCTTGATGGGAATAGCATTGAATTTATAAATTACTCTGGACATTATGGCCATTTTCACAATATTGATTCCTCTTATCCCTGAGGATGGAATGCTTTTCATTTGTTTGTGTCCTCTTATTTCCTTGAGCAGTGGTTTGTAGTTCTCCTTGAAGAGGTCCTTCATGTCCCTTGCAAGTTTTATTACTAGGTATTTTTTTCTTTGTCGCAATTGTGAATGGGAGTTTACTCATGATTTTGTTCTCTGCTTGTCTATTATTGGTGTATAGAAACGCTTATGATTTTTGCAGATTGATTTTGTATCCTGATACTTTGTTGAAGTTGCTTATCAGCTCAAGGAGTTTTTGGGCTGAGAGAATGGGGTTTTCTAAATATACAATCATGTCATCTGCAAACAGAGACAATTTGACTTCCTCTCTTCCTAATTGAATACCCCTTATTTGTTTCTCTTGCCTGACACCTGATAGTAGGGTGTCAATTTTAGATCTTTGTCGCTTTCTGATGTGGGCATTTAGTGCTATAAATTTTTCTTTAAACACTGCTTTAGCTGTGTCTCATAAATTCGGGTACTTTGTCTCTTTGTTCTAACCATTACTATGTTGAATAGGAGTGGTAAGGGCATCCTTGTGTTGTGCCGGTTTTCAAAGGGAATACTTCCAGTTTTTGCCCATTCAGTATAATATTGGCTATGGGTTTGTCATAAATAGCTCTTATTATTTTGAGATATATTTCATCAATACTTAGTTTATTGAGAATTTTTAGCATGAAGGAGTGTTGAATTTTATCGAAGGCCTTTTCTACATCTATTGAGATAATCATGTGGTTTTTGTCACCGGTTCGGTTTATGTGATGGATTACGTTTATTGATTTACTTACGTTGAACCAGCCTTGCATCCCATGGATAAGGCCGTCTTGATCATGGTGGATGTGTTGCTGGATTTGGTTTGCCAGTATTTTATTGAGGATTTTTGCAACAATGTTCATCAGGGATACTGGCATGAAATTTTCTTCTTTTGTTGTGTCACTGCCAGGTTTCGGAATCAGGATGACGCTGGCCTCATAAAATGAGTTAGGGAGGAGTCCCTCTTTTTCTATTGATTGGAATAGTTTCAGAAGGAATGGCACCAGCTTCTCTTTCAACCTCTGGTAGAATTTGGCTATGAATGCATTTGGTCCTGGGCTTTTATTGGTTGGTAAACTATTAATTACTCCCTCAATTTCAGAACTTGTTATTGGTCTATTCACGGATTTGACTTCTTCCTGGTTTAGTATGTGTCCAGGAATTTATCCATTTCTTCTAGATTTTCTAGTTTATTTGCATAGAGGTGTTTATAGTATTCTTTGATGGTAGTTTGTATTTCTGTGGGATCGGTGGTGATATCCCCTTTATCATTTTTTATTGCGTGTATTTGATTCTTCTCTCTTTTCTTCTGTATTAGCCTTGCTAGTGATCTATTTTATTAATCTTTTCAAAAAACCAGCTCCTGCATTCATTGATTTTTTTGAAGATTTTTTTGTGTCTGTGTCTTTCAGTTCTGTTCTGATCTTAGTTATTTCTTGTTTTCTGCTAGCTTTTGAATTTGTTTGCTCTTGCTTTTCTAGTTCTTTTAACTGTGATAGTAGGGTGTCAATTTTAGATCTTTGTCACTTTCTGATGTGGGCATTTAGTGCTATAAATTTTTCTTTAAACACTGCTTTAGCTGTGTCTCATAAATTCGGGTACTTTGTCTCTTTGTTCTAACCGGTTTCAAAGAACTTCGTTATTTCTGCCTTAATTTCGTTATGTACCCAGTGGTTATTCAGGAACAAGCTGTTCAGTTTCCATGAAGTTGTGTGGTTCTGAGTGAGGCATGAAGACAATATTAGAGAAAAAATATTAGCCTCCAAGAAATATGGGACTATGGGAAATGACCAAACCTATGATTGATTGAGGTCCCTGAAAGTGACAGGTAGAATGGAACCAAGTTGGAAAACACACTTCAGGATATTATCCAGGAGAACTTCCCCAACCTAGTAAGACAGGCCAATATTCAAATTCAGGAAATACAGAGAACCTCACTAAGATACTCCTTGAGAAGAGCAACCTGAAGACACATAATCGTCAGATTCTCCAAGGTTGGACCGAAGAAAAAAATGTTAAGGGCAGCCAGAGAGAAAGGTCAGATTACCTACGAAGGGAAGCCCATCAGAGTAACAGTAGATCTCTCTGCAGAAACCCTACAAGCTAGAAGAGAGTGGGGGCCAATATTCAACATTCTTAAAGACAAGAATTTTCAACCCAGAATTTCATATCCAGCCAAACTAAGTTTCATAAGTGAAGGAGAGAGAAAATCCTTTACAGATAAGCAAATGCTGAGGCATTTTTTCACCACCAGGCCTGCCTTACAAGAGCTCCTGAAGGAAGCACTAAACATGGAAAGGAGAAACTGGTACCAGCCACTGCAAAAAACATGCCAAATTGTAAAGACCATTGACACCATGAAGAAACTGCATCAACTAATGTGCAAAATAACCAGCTAGCATCATGGTGACAGGATCAAATTCACATATAACAGTATTAACCTTAAATGTAAATATTCCTTGGATACTGCCTTAGTTACATCCCAAATGTTTTCATATATAGAGTTTTATTATTCTGTTCTAAATATTTTTTATCTTTCTTAGTTTGCTTGACTATCATAAGAAAATACCATAGCTGGGTGGATTAACCAAGTAGGGTGGCAGCAAAGTCACTATCTTGCTGCATTCTCACATGACAGACAGGAGGGATCAAGTGCTATGGAGTTTGTACTTTGAAGGGCAGTAATCCTACCATGAGAGTCCCTCCCTCATGACCCCCATCAAAACCTAATTACCCTCCAAAGGTCCCATCTCTGAATACTATCACATTGGGTGTTAGGGCTCCAACATAGGAATTTTATGAGGATACAATTCAGTCCACAGTACTATTCTTATAAATTTTTATTTGAGTCATGAACCATTAGAAGTTTCAAAACAATATGTAATCATTTGTTTTTGGTTATATTGATATATACATATATAGCTGTATATATGCATTTATAAATTTTATAAAGCATATGTTAAGCTGATTGTTTTATATCTTTTCTGCTTTTTTTGGGTTTGATTTGTCATTACTGAATGATATGTGTTTAGATTTCCCACTACAAAGGAAAACTTGTCTATGATTTTTGTTGTGGTTCTGTCAGTTTCCATTTTCTATATTTTATGTTAGTAGGTGTACATATGCTTAAAATTGTTATATTTCCCAGATTATTTGAACAATTATGCATCTTTGCATCTATTAATGGTTATTAATTTTAAGTATATTTTGTTAGCTATATACACAGGCAAACCAGCTTTTTGTTAATATTTATATTGTTAATATTTTTCCATTCTAACATTTTATTCTGTGTGTCCTTCATACTCTACAATTTTTTGGTCTTTTAAAACCATGTTTAGGTATACATTTTTTTCTCATTCTATTTCTCCCCCTTTAGTAACATGTAATTTATCTACTCTTTTCCCTTTCTTACAATATTTACTTGAGATACAAGTACAAGTACACTTAACTTATGGAAGCCAAACTTTAATCAATATGTTTAATCTTATCCATCCAGATAAAAGACTATGGCCCTGATTTATTTATGTATTTTTTTTACAGACAGGGTCTCACTATGTTGTCCAGGCTGGTCTTGAACTCCTGGGCTCAAGTTATCTTCCCATCTTGGCCTCCCGTAGTGTTGAGATTACAGACATGAGCCACCACACCTGGCCAAGACTATGTTTGGCACTTTAACTGAGATTTCCCTGATCGTGATATATGTCATATTTTGGTCTATATTTTATTTCTATTTTGTTTTTCTTTTAACCCTACTCACCAGAGATTGTTACTATTATTCAGACAATTTTGTTGTGTTGACTTATTCAATGTTTTTCAGTTTCTTATTACATCTCAGATCCTATGTATAAGGTTTATATTTTTCTTCTGCCTGTGAAACATCCTTTAGGAAGAACCTATTGGTATTAAACCATTTTAGGGCAGTGTGCTGAAACATGCTGGTTATACTTCTGTTCTTATATGGCCTCCTTGTTTCTGATAAGACTTTTTTCTTGGTTAGTTAAAATGTGAATTTGGTTCTAGACTGTGTGTGTGTGTGTGTGTGTGTGTGTGTGTGTGTGCGCGTGTGTGCATGCGTGCAGGTATTTTCTTCTTGCTGAGCAGTTAGCTTCCCAGATTTTTATAATGCAGCTTCCTTAAATGAGTAATAGAGATGAATTGACATAGATGTTTTGTGTTTTGAAAATCTTTTATGTTAAATATATCTCAATCCAAAGTGTGACATCACTGCACTTTTTATTCTTAATTTGATTTCCTAAAGACATTTTGCTCATGATATCATTATAAAATACACAACTAAGTAATATCTGAAGTGAACTGATATCCCGACTATGATAACATGTATGAAAATAATGATTAACTTCAAAACATAGATTTTTCTAATTTTATATGTATTAATAGATAGAAACTATTTGACTCCTTAATACCTACATGATATAAGCTTCTAAAATAAAGTTCTTTTGGTGTGTTTTTGTGCAAAAATACTGTTAAAAAAGTATTAATGGTTACACCAAAAGCAATCACTAAAATTTTACAACAAATAGGAAAACTGCTTATAATTGAGATATTTTGGCTGCGTCTTTATTTTTATACTCTGTTATCTGTTCTCCAGGCATTTGATAGAATGCTACCACAAACTGTAGGAGACAGAGGCAGATGGGATGCTAGTGCAGCCTGTGCTCTGTAGCGAGTTGCAACCTGGGCAGATATTCCGAGTGAGGGTACTTGCCTAGTATGCCTCTTTGGCCACCGGAATCTCACAATTTTGTTTGGAGTTCATTGTGTTGATACATCCAGGTACACTAGTATTAAAAGAAGTTACTTTGCAACTGTGTAAAAACTGATAGATAACAAAATATTACTTGAATTTTCAATCATACATTCTGTAGGTAACTAGAGCATGGATACACACGTGCATGCACAAATAGGAAATTCAGCAAACTTGAAATGATGTGCAAAATGTTACTAGTATTAGCATCTAATATTTCTTCACTACGGAGTTGTTGACACACTTTGGCAGATATATCTCAGAGAAATATCTTTTATTCTGGTGCAGTTCCTATTATTTTTTATTTCAACCTCATTTTATATTAGCCTCTGTTCCAATTTTGAGTGTGGATGATTAATATTATTAGCAGACATTTCTTAGTTCTCTGCCATGTTTGCTGAAACCAAATGATAGGCTGTAATTTACTTTATTTCTCTTTCTAAGCAGATACTCTGCAGAGTGACGGCTGTGTGTGTTTCCTGCATGGCTCACCTCTTTCTGGGTGGTGTTGGTTTCTTTTAGCTTTTAGCATTCAAATCTGCCTGATGGAACTCTTTTCCCAGTCTCTATCACTCTACCAAATGTTCTTCACTCCTAGTCCCTGTCTCAGTTCTTATGACATAGATCTGTAATTCTTCTCAAATAATATCAGTGATTATGTCCTGCTAATTTTATATTCTAAGTGCCTTTTAATTGATATCATGCTCTCATTATGTTTTTGGTGATAGTCTTCCTATAACCTAGATAAAGGGAAATGGTTATTTCAGAGTGAGCTATTCAAAATGCAATCCTGATCTTATTCCCTGGCTTACCCTTAGAACACCTGGTGAAGAGATATTAAAAAAAAAAAAAAAAAACCTAAACACCAGAAGTCAGCCCCCGCTTGCTTCTCTGGTGTATTCTACTCTTTCTATCCTCACCAACCTTTGCATTTTATGCTGTCATGCTTCTAAAATATTATTTTTTTAACCACCTATCAAACTGCCTTTAATTATATGATTTTTTTATGCTTAGAATGTTCTTTCTGCCCTTTTTCATCTGTCTACTTTCTATTCATCCCTTAAGTCTCAGTTTAAGTATCTTCACCCCTAGGAAACCTTCACATTGAACTAAGCAGCCCTCTGAGTTCCAGGAGTCCCAGCCCTGTATGCATAATGTGAAAATGATCTATTTGTAGTTCTTTCTCTTTCTCCAGACAATAAGCTCTTCTGGAACAAGGAATCTCTATTCATTTTTGTATCCAGGCTTTCACATAGTTTATGCTTCATAAAAGCTAAGTCTGTAA
This sequence comes from Homo sapiens, assembly GCF_000001405.40. Taxonomy (NCBI): domain Eukaryota; kingdom Metazoa; phylum Chordata; class Mammalia; order Primates; family Hominidae; genus Homo; species Homo sapiens. The sequence continues at coordinate 193,578,460 of NC_000001.11, forward strand.
TTTCTTACACAGATCTAAATTGAATATTTTAAAAGACTCCAAATATTACCATCCAACAGGATTTCCAAATTTATTCACAGGATAACTTCAAAAGATGAAAATATGCTCCCACTGAGAATATTAAATAGAATATGGTGCGTACCTCAAAGGCAATGCCAAAGGGCAATTTAAAAGAAGTTTTGAATATTGCTTGCATTGGTACAGTAAACAGAACATCTCCCTCAGATGAACAATTTGAAGAAGTAAACAACCATTTGGATATATGTTTGCTAAAAAACATAAAAATCTTATGTTTTAGTATTCGTCTTCCAAAAGTAATCGTACCGACTTTCAAGTCTAAAGAAGTGTGACTTGGAGTCTGTGACAAAGTAGGGCTCCAATAGAGCAAGACCAAATGGAGAAAAGGGCAAATTTAATTATTTAAGAATCCATGAATTATGATCATAATAAAAACCATGAGCGTCCCTGAGGTTGTAATCAGTCTAACATCTATTTTTGAAGGCTTTTCCTTTTCATCTGCCTTTTGTCTTTTGTTCTGTCTTTTGTCCTTTTATATCCCCTCCTGGATATCTATCTATCTACCTTAGCGGTACTATAACTCCTACTTGAGCAGGTGTGACATCCCCTACAGCATTTAGAAAAAGATTTGTTTAAGAGGACAGGTACACCTGCAGCATGTTATTAAATGAAGACTGAAAAACTAGTGAGAATGTAAATCATCCAACAAATTGTGCATCATTAATTCTCGATGCCAGCTCGATGTAGGAGAACGAAAATCTGTACCTCCTACCAAGTGTGCTGTAAAATTTTTCAAATTTATTTTGATAGATCTGTGTTGCTGTAAAACACACAGGACCCCAAACTCTTAAAAATTAAAAGCATTACAGAGGATGAACTTAATGACAGCAGGGGACATTCTTAGTTTTCTTTTACATTTTACCGGAGTACATACATTTGCTGGTAAGAGGCATGGTTCTCAATTATCTAAAAAATGAAAATAGGATAAAATATTTGACAAAACTAGAAAAGTTCATATGAACCTATTTTTGCTGACACCTAGAAATCCCTCACTGATGTGAAACAATTGTGCTCACTGCCACATCTGTAGATTTCTGGTGCTGTTTTGCAGCTGAGTGTTTAGTGGGAGATCTGCTGGATCAAAGCACAGCTCCCTTGAGATAGAATAACACACACATTCTGTGTTGCAAAGACACAGGAATTTTGGTGTGTGTGTGTGTAATTGTCCATCTTTAAAGGGACTGAGTTTTCTGAGGCTACTGCTATATGACCCTACATGATTGGTAGTTGGGAAAAATCAGCTAACTGGTTAATTTCTATAGATCAAGCAGTTGTGGTGGCTTTTCTGATCTTTAAATCTTTTATCTAGTTGTATTGATTGGGATTGATTACTGAAGTTCTCATATAAGACATCTATTGTATATTGTGGGATGTATAGAATCATAAGAGTGTGGTAAGTAGTAGGTTTTCTTGGTTTAATGTCTTTGTATAAAGAGAAAAGACTCTGGGTTTTAGTAAGAAATAACCTCTCATTGACTTTAAGCTGGTTTCCTTAAACTCAAACCTCATTGCTTAAATTTTCATAGGACTTACATTGTCTGCCGGGTTCAGTTCAGGGTCTTTAATAAGAACTCTTCTCACATGAGGAAACTAAAGTGAAAACAAGCTAATTAATCTCCAAATTATATCCTGAAATGAAAGCAGATGCACGTTACTGCAAAGCATATCTTTCCTTGGTCCTCACTGAAGTTGCCTTAAGGAGAGGCGTGGAAGAGGCCACTATGGCAATCAATGAACAAAATCATCTGTAATTTTAAATGGAAACAAATTGATATCCCACATGAATGGTTTTCTTTTTCCCTGCAATACAATCTTGACATATTACAGCAATATCTTGAGGAGTTTATTTTGGGGATTAAGTACAAATAGCAATGCAAACCTGTAACCATAGTCTAGTGCCCAAAGAGACCACATTTTGTGTTGAAATAATACACAATAGAGAAAGCTGAATGGGTAAAATAAAATCCTTCTTTAAGAAAAATAATCTCTTCTCTGAGTTATTAAAGTTTGCAGCCTCCTTGGTTTTCGATGAGCTTATTTAAAATCTACGGGGGGAAAATTAGCAGCTTAAAATGCTGACAGCATGAAAAAACAGTGAGAAATACTCGATTCTTCAAGGAGTCCTTCCTTCACCCCCCAAATAGTTTGATTTTTCCTATTTATCTCCTTTGTCTTTTGATAAAAAGAAAAGAACCCTTTGAGAGGACAATTTTGAGGTCTTAATCCATACTTCTTTCCAGTTTATCTTTTACATTCAAAACAAACACCTTTAAAAGAATCCTTTTTGGTCTGGTAGTGCTAAATGCTAAGCTTAGGTATCAGCAGCTAATTAGCTTCACATCTGGGGGGATTGTCAATGAACTCTATCTCCTGAATATTTATTTATGGATTTTTAAAGAAAAAGCTATTTTCTGAAAACTGGAGCCTATGGAATATTCTTGCATCACGTCAGTTCAATAGGAAGGGTGGTGTATGTTGGTTCATCTCAAACCTACCTTACTGTAGATTCAAATAATAAAACTCAGTGTCCGCATTGTAATGAAAGTGTGCCATATTGATCTCACGTTAAATGTTGCCTTTCATTTCAACATCTTAATTGGCTTCTACTTTTGAAGAAATTTCACTTTATGCTCTGCAAATCCTGTGCCAGCTCTAATGTTCTGAAAGCTCAGCATCCCTTTTGTTTGCTTGTTGGTGTCCCTGTGTGCTATCTGGGGCTAGGAAAGTGTGCTGCCTGTGTTTTAGAGAACACCCAGAAGTGGTGAATTGCTACACAAAAGAACCTGTATTTCTGTCATGGTGGGACTGCATGCCTTATTACAGACCTGATTATTGCATAGGGTATTACTGTACTGCTTTCTCTACCACCATCACTACCTTTGCCAAGGCCATTGTCAGTATCTTCATTGCCTCCTGCACATTTTACACTGCTGCTTTGCCAACACCACCACCACCTGTGCCAGTGCTGACTCTCCTACTAGGACCGTTGCTGCAGTTTCCAACGCTGTCACATTCCCTGCCACCCCAGCAGCTGCCTTCACTAGTGCTGTTGCCAACACTGTCATTAGTATCAACCCTGCTGCTGTTCTCTTCTCATACTGAGGGACCTCTCGTCTTTTTCTGACTTTGACAGAAAAGCAAAAATCAGCATCAAACTGAAAAACAAACTAGAACAAAATTGCTCCCTGGGGTTCACATAGCCTCATTACTATTGTTTCTACTATTTCTCTGAGCTAGAAACTGAGAATTCAGGGAATCTCAGGATTTTTTAGGTTTTTTTTCATTTGTTTTTGTTTGAGACAGCATCTCATTCTGTAACACAGGCTGGAGTGCAGTGGTATGATCTCGGCTTGCTGCATCCTCTGCCTCCCAGGTTCAAGTGATTCTCCTGCCTCAACCTCCCAAGTAGGTGGGACTACAGGCACACACCACCATGCCTGGCTAATTTTTGTATTTTTAGTAGAAACAGGGTTTCACCATGTTGGCCAGGCTGGTCTCGAAATTCTGATGTCAAGTGATCCACCCACCTCAGCTTCCCAAAGAGCTGGGAATTCAGGTGTGAACCACCTCACCTGGCCTAATCTCAGAATTTCTATAATCCTTTTACTAGACTTTGGCCATGCTTTCACACCAGCCTGTGGGAAATTGAGGAGGGTAAGTACAGAAGAGAGACTCAGAGGAATAACCTTACCATTGAATGAGTTCAATTAATCCCACATAAGCTTGAGATACATGTTTATCCAGGAAACAGGGCATTTGATATTCCCCCCACTGATAGAGGTGCAGGAAAAAAAGAACAGGAGGTGGTAGATAACACAACTATGACCAGGAGGGGTTCAGGGAAAATACTATGCTCAGGTAAAACCAATCATTATTGGGGATTGATTTTTGGGAGAAGACTGTGAAATTTAAACTCAAACTGAAATTTTCAAGTTGTAAAGTTGACAGAGATATTAACAGCAGTAGGAAATCCAGAAAGAGGAGCAAGTTAAGACATAAGTAGAGCCAGAGTTTAAACCTGTTAGTTTTTTGTTATCAGTGGAACTTAAGTGTAAATATATCTAAGAGGAAACAGGAAATGCATGGAGAGGCTAGGCTGAAGATACAAATTTGGGAAAAATTTAAACAGGTGATGGCTATAACTAAGAGTGGGCAAAACTAGGGAAGATAAAAAGGGAAAATCTGAGCAGACAAATGAGGACTTCTGTATTTATGTGGAAGAAGGAAGGACACAAGTGGGCAGAAGAGAAGAGTAAGAATAATAGAGGTAAAGTTGAGATTGTAACATCTTGGAAATTATTAGGGGAGGAGAGAGTTTCAAGAAGAATGGAATGGCCATTATCAAATCATGTGTAGGCATCGAGAGAGAGAACTGTATTTGATCATTAAAATGTCACAATTCATTCTGAGACTGCCGTTTTACTAAAGCAGTGTTGACCAAATTCCTGTTACAAATAGTTGAAGAGTTGAGTTGACAGATCTTATCCACTTGTATCATATATTACTCTTACAAAAGGTTTCTCAGGGTGCTTCTTCAAGGACATGCTGTAAGGTTATAATCATATGAATGTGCAAAGATGAGAGCCAGAAATTTTTATTGCAGCATTGTTTGTAATAGAGGAAAATCAAATACGTAATGGAAATAGCCAATACAGAGATTTGGTTAAATCCTCATCAGTCAAACAAAATGCAACCATTTTAATGAAAAAGATTTACTTCAGTTGATGTGGAAAGGCATTTGTGATCAATATTGGTAAATGAAACATACATTTATAGTATATGACTGTATTAGTCTGTTCTCATGCTGCTAATAAAGACAAACCTGAGACCGCATAATTTACTAAAAAAAGAGGTTTAATGGACTCACAGTTCCATGTGACTGGGGAGGCCTCACAATCATGGCAAAAGGCAAAGGAGGAGCAAAGTCACGTCTTACATGGTGGCAGGCAAGAGAGAGTTTGTGCAGGGGAACTCCCCTTTATAAAACCATCAGATCTCAGAGACTTTTTCACCATCAAGAGAACAGCACAGGAAAGACCCGTCCCCATGATTCAATTGCCTCCCATCAGGTCCCTCCCACGACACGGAATTGTGGGAGCTACAATTCAAGCTGAGATTTGGGTGGGGACACAGCCAAACCATATAAATGACCAATTTCATTAAATATATTTGCATATATATTTTTGGACACCATAAAATAATGACACTGTTTATTATTGGATGGGAGGATATCAATTGATCTGATTTTTTTTCTCTTTAAATTTTTGTATTTTTGAATCTAAGTGAAAAGTGGCTACCACTTTTGTAATTAAAATGGGAACAAATGCAAGAAAGGATAGAGAAAATGGTGACTTGACATGACTTCAAGGTCAAGGAAAGGATTTGAGGCTAAAGAATAGGGCGTGGGTCTAATAAAGAAGAAAAGGAAAGGAGAACAAGGGAAAAACTTAAAGATCCAATGAGAGGAATAAACTGAATGAGCAAGATTTCAGAAAATCTTGCAAAATGTTAAGATCATACTAGGCTTTATTCCATAGAAGGCAAATTCTGAAGTGGAAGGAGGAAGAAGATAGGATGGCTAAATGTATAGAAAAATGTGTACATATATAGATGAAAAATTCAGATAGCTCAGGTCAGATGGACTACTACACCTTTTAAAGAAAAGGTCAAGGTGAAGTCTGAACTAAAGGTAAGAGGATATGCATGGGGAGCTGAGAAAAATGGAGAAATTTTTGAACAATCACAAAAATGTAATAGTGACACAGGGAGGAAAACGATGAGTGAAGAGTGTCAGGAGTGCAGCGGCAATGGTTCAGCCTGAATTTGCAGTGTAAAATTTTGTTTTAATTCCTGTTACGTGTTAATAGGGTTAAAGCCAAGCTTCTAATCTATGTCAGTCTTAGAGTCCATGAAAGTGAAGGAACACTTCCACACTAATCATGAATGATATTGAGCTGCAATTGATCCAAGCAGTGTTTGGGAATTAAAAAAAAATGTCTTGACAAAGCTAGGTGGAAGCATAGATACAGTTACTCACGTACAGAAACTATCTGTGTCATCACAAAATGCATTTTCAAGGACATAAACACAGTCCTGATGGCAGGCATTTTATTAGGCCACTAAGTTCTTTAAATTTTCTATAGCTTTAAAAATCAAACTTGCCTGACCAAGTTTTCTAGCCTTCTAGCTTTTCACATGCTTGCAACACTTTTATTAGCTTGAATTAGGGCTGGCTTTGCCTTATGCATCCGGAAGAGCTGATAGAAAGATGTTTCTCCTGCTCTTCCTAAGGGATTCAGGTTAGAAGCTTCACACAAGGGCCTTTTCAATATTTCTGAATTATTTGAGAAAAATTAAGCTGATCTAAATATATTGATAGGCAGTTATTCAGCTGGTGGTGCACTTTTTCATTTCCTCTCAGTTTAAATGCACAGAATTGCCTTGGAAGAAGTACTGCATTATGGAAGAGCTAAGACTGATAGTCCAAAGTCCATTCTGTATTGTAAATGGAAAGGAGGTAGACAAGGAAACATAAAGATTAAAGAAAAGATGGAATGACTTTTTTTCATTCTGTCGAATGACTGTTTATATTGGGCAATACTTCAGGCTTGTAGGTTCAGCTTGAAAGTTCTTCAAATCAGAGGAGCCACTTAATATATAATAAAGAACAGTATAGGCAAGTCATTTATAAAAATGAAAACATTTTATATCTGCTTTTTTACAGAACAAGTTTCTCACTTCTGAGACATGGCTTTTTTTTTTTTTTCCTGAGATCAGGGAAATATGAACTAGGGGAGCTCCACATCTAACAAATGAAAGACAGCAGAAATACATCAGTTTAGTTTGTTGTGATATATATATATATAAAGCTATAAATAGGCAATTACAAAGATGTATTTATTTGTATCTATGGCAGTTATCGATCCCTGATTATAATATTCTGCCAATAAGATCATAGGCTAATTCAAAACTCTGACCACTTTAAATCAGAAGCACTTCCTAGCAGCAATTTTGGGCTGCAAATACAAAATACATTTTTTTTACACAGGGTGCTCATTTATTTTAATCAAACTCATTAACAAAGGTGTTACAGTAATAAGTCCTGTTTTAATTTTGGTTACTTGATGCCCAGAGTAAATTGACTTTCTCAAGTCACAAGTAAATTTGAGCAGCTAGAATAAGCAGTTCCTTTTGGGATGGCAGCATGTCCGTCATCACACCCTCTGGTGCTTCCTGCTAACTTTTGCATTTTTTCTAAGGATAGTAGTGAAAGAAAAAGGAATAGCAAGCAGTAAGGTGGACAACATGTAAAGATGTTAAAGGGCTCCAGAATTGTAAGAAGGCCCAGGCTCAAGGTCTCCTAGAGCAAGTTAGTTTCTCTGAGGCTCAGTTATTTTTTGTCTGTAATACAGGGTAGCAAGTAGTAACTGTGTTAAGATTTTTGTCATTTTTAACTATGTTGAGATTTTTGTTTACTCCCCTCCTGTATGAACACAAACCTTTATAGGATGTTATTAGGAAAACTAGTTTGTAAAATTGTAGAATAGTGGCTGTCACTATTACAAGGTGATGTCTTTATCGTTTTAAAGCTTTGAGTGAATTTAATTTTTCCTTAGCGTCAAGGCTACCAGATAACGTTTTTTTCCCCCATTAGAAAAGCCCCTTTCCCAGCACTTCGGGAGGCCAAGGCGGGCAGATCGCGAGGTCAGGAGATTGAGACCATCCTGGCTAACACGGTGAAACCCTGTCTCTACTAAAAATACAAAAAATTATCCGGGTGTGGTGGCACAGGCTTGTAGTCCCCGCTCCTTGGGAGTCTGAGGCAGGAGAATCGCTTGAACCTGGGAGGCGGAGGTTGCGGTGAGCTGACATCGCGCCACTGCACTCCAGCCTGGGTGACTGAGAGAGACTCTGTCTCAAAAAAAAAAAAAAAAAAAAAAAAAAAAAACCAAAAAACAAAAAAACAAAAACAAAACCTTTGGTGGTAACTGTGACTTATGCAGCAGCATTATAAATACAAACTCTGTGGTATACTGTCAGAGGGGTAGCTATCAGAGGCACTGATGATTCCGGGAATAAATATAGTACTTGTACTGAAGGTTCTTCCACCTTGTTTTCTAAGTTTACTTAATTGGAAAAAGAATCAGTCATTTTTGTTTTTGATTTACCATGATTTATCCCAATACTATTCATTTATGCTTGAAAAATATTTGCTTTTTTTCCTTATAGAACATCAGATATTTTTCAATCAATAGGTTCATTCTTTTATTCAATAAACATTTGTAGAACACCCATTCTCTCTCAGGTACTGTGTTAGACACTGAGATTTAAGGTTTAATTGTAAAGTCAGATGTGTAAACATAAAATGACCACAGCCTGTGGTAACAGCTGTAATATATCTGTAAAAAGGCTCTTTAAACCAGGAATATATAATAGACTTGGTCTGAGGAGTTTGAGCAAGATTCATGGATGCAGCGACATTTTTCTGGGATTTAAAGATTGAGTTTTTAAAAATTAGGAGAAATGTGAGAATAGTTTCTGAAAAAGTGGAGTATATAAAAAAAGCGTGATATGCATGTCTTGCAGGAACAGAGTTGAGCTGGAGGCCATTATCCTTAGCAAACTAATGCAGAAACAGAAAACCAAACACTGCATGTTCCCACTTAAGAGTGGGAGCTAAATGATGAGAACTTACGAACACAAAGAAGGAAACAACAGACGTGGGGGCCTACTTGAGGATGGAGGGTGAAAGGTGCGAGGAGGGAGAGAAGCAGAAAAAAATAAATTGAGTTCTAGGCTTAGAATTCTAATTTCTTCTCAGAGCATGTTCATGGGTTAATATGTTACACTTCTCTCTTCCTATGTTTAGCAACCTGTGCAACTATGAAAAATAACTGATGGTCACACTTTGTATTCTTTCCAACAAATCAAATTATTAAATGATTTACTCAATTGTCATTGTACTTAAGAAATGTTTTCATTTATTGTTTTGAAATGCCTTTTATAGTCTAGTATTACCAAGTGACCTAATTAACTGAAAAACTATATAATCAGCTCTTTAAAAATCCATAAGGCTAAAAAGTAATAAACATAGTAACCCAAGAAATAAAGTATAAATGAATAATATAGAGCAGTGGGAAACTATCTAATAAACATTATTAGTTCAGAAATAGACATTTCATGTTCCTAGTACTAACAAATACTTTGCCAAATAATACTTCTTTCTTGCTGATAGAGATCTATTTGGACTTATTTCTCTATTGAAGTAAATGTGAAAAACTTCCAAAATTTTCTAAGTTTTCTCACCTTGACTTTTATCATTGACATTGTGAAAATGTCATTTTCTTCTCCTAGTGGGGCAATTCAGGAAAAGGACCACAGCATGGACCCTTTCAGAAGAACGCATTTCCGAGGGTTGGCCAGAGGAGATGGGGATGGGAGGCAAAAATTCCAATAAGCGGGTTTCTTTCAAGTTATATTTATGCTAGTCTCATCAGTGCTTTACTGCAGACAAAAGGTCTTTTCAATCCTTTGGATTTTAAAATAAGGGGGGAAATTTATATATATATATGTGTGTATACACACACACACATATATGTGTGTATACACACACACACATATATATATGTGTGTATACACACACACACATATATATGTGTGTATACACACACACATATATATATATGTGTGTATACACACACACATATATATATATACACACACACATATATATATATACACATACACACACACACACACACACACACACACACACACACTGTTTGAAATAGTGCTGTTTCTGCATAAGGAAAGCTGTAGAGGCAGCCAAGCCATCTGCTGGTGCACCAGGGGCCAGGCTCAGCTGCAGAGTGTCAGTGTATCTCCTGGATGATGGCAGAAATAGGAAAGTGGACTTGAAGCAATGCAAGGGACTAGCCCAGGCTTATTCTCTTCCACAGTTTGTTAGGTGCGTATTATGGCCCCTAACTGCATGCTGCCTGTGACCTTTGAAAAGTCACTCCATTCCATTAGGAACTGATAAGTTTTTCACATGCAAGGAGCCCTCCTTTCCCTCTGCAGGGAAACACAAAGTGATTATGATGGCATTTGACTTGCATGCTTTCCTGCTGAGAGAAAGGGTTTGCGATCCTGGCACGTAGGGAGAGAGGACGACAAAGTGGGATAAAATATGCCAGAAAGAGCAGTGAAGCAGATCTAATATTTCTCTAAGGGGATGTTATTATGTATTTTCCAGAGGTGGATTTTAGCTTGGGTGACACAGACGGCTGCCTGGAGTCCTTGGCACTCTCCTCCTGCCACTGACTGGGGAATGCTGTGCTCCAGGTGCTGGTAGAAAGCCTTTTCATTTTGGCTCAGGGGACCATGGGGAGAGGGGTATGGAGTCTTTCATATCCAATAGCTGCTGATGCGAGCGGTAAGAGTTTGAGCCCAAGAGACATTTCTTTTCAAATTCGTTTCTCATTACTAACTTTGAAGAAGTCATAGATTCTATATCTAAAAATATTTGTTTAAAGCTCAGAGTTGCTGCTCTATGAGGAAACAATGGAAGCGGGATTTTGAATGTTAGTGGAGAGGAAAGAGGAAGAATCTTATAATTAAATTTGTTCTTTTCTTATGCTTTTTCAGAAAAGGGAACAAATTAGAAGCTGTTTGTTTTTTTCTACTCTCAGAAATAGAGAAAAAAATTAGAAATGTGTCAAAGACTAGGATGTAATTTTTTATTTCTCTTCATTTCAAGTTACATACATGATACACAGAACACAGAAATGAATTGTGCAGTTGCACTTGAATGGATTGATTTAACAAATGTTTCTGATCATCCACTAAGGGCCAGGCCCTAGGTGAGTGGTGAATACATAAGACACACATGGTCAAGGAACCTATCTATATTTTCTGTAGATACCTTTTCCATGTACAAAATTACCCAGGCAACATAAATAAAGGTTGTTGGAGGTTGTGTTGGGAGAGGTACGGGGTGCAACTGTGGCGTTTGGGATGGGGGTTGGGAGTTCTGAACCTCCAGTGGAGTCAGGAAAAGCCTCCTTGAGGAACTGGTGTTTCAGCTGAGAGCAGAGGGACACTGTTAGGGAGTTAAAGAGGAAGGAGGACAGTGTTCCTGTCAGAGGGAGCATGTATGAAATTTGTGAGCCAAGAGGATGATGCATTCAGAATCTCTGGCATTGAGCCTACTTCGGAAATCATGGGAGAGGCAATAGATGCTGGCTGAGGTCCCATATAAGAGATTTGGATTTTATCCCAAGGACAATGGGAAGTTGCTAAAGGGATTTAAAAGGGTGTGACATGGCTGGGTTTTTATTTAGAGTGTCATTCTAGCTACTGTATGGAGAACGGTCCAGACTGAGTCTGAGAGGCTGTTACAGTGGCCGAAAAACCAAATGACAGGGGTCTGTGCCAGGTGGCTGTGGTACAAACAAAGAGGCAGACAGATTAAGCAGATATTTATAGGTAGAATTGACAAGCATTGGTGCCGTAGGAGGTGGGAATGGAGATGACTTCCAAATTTTCTGGTTGACTCCAAACCCTGCAGACAGCAAATTAGATGGTTTACAGTCTTATTCATTGTTTTGCCTGTACTGGGATCATGTTCAGATCACTGTATCCATTTCCTCCTTTCTTTCTTGTGTTTTGTTTTGTTTTGTTTTGTTTTTTAAGAGATAAAGCCTTGCTCTGTTGCCCAGGTTGGAGTGCAGTGATGTGATCATAGCTCACTGCAGTGTCAAACTCCTGGGCTCAGGCAATTCTCCCACTACAGCCTCCAGAGTAGCTAGGACTGCAAGTGCCAGCCACTGTAGTCAGCTCATTTCTTTATTTTTTATTGTAGAATTATAATGAATATAATAATAATCTGATGCTATATGGTACTTTGCATATCTTCATATTTAATCTTTACAACATACTTGTTGGTAGCCATATTTTAGAGATAAGGAAGCAGGTTTAGAGAAGTCTTAAGTAACTTGCTCATTTAACTGGTCAGCTGGTACTGAAGGTCAGGTCTCCTTAATTGCAAAGATTTTGTTTTTTCCACCACAAGAAATATATTCACAGCCAGTTCATGTTTGGAAGGATGTATTAAATAACAGAGTCCACATAACCCATTTATATTCATCATCTCATTTATCCTTACAATCAACCTATGAGATAGATATTGCTGTGTTCCTCAATTTACAGATACGGGAAAATTGGCACAAAGAATATAAAAATCTTGCTCCAATTTCTGTAATGTGAGGAGACTCTGGAGTTGTGGTTCCCAGCCTCCAGAATTCAGTCTCTTAAAATTACCTAAACTGCCAACAGTAACATGTTGAATACAGTTGTCATGTTTTATAGACAGAGCTGTGATTCTCCACTGATCATTTCAATACCCATATGATCTAGTAGAGTGCACTGCAAAGAGTTTAGGTGAAAAATGCAGGTGTCGTTTTGTCCACAGGGTGATATAAAAGTTATATATGTGTGTGTGCGAGTGTGTAAGAGTGTTCATTTGAGAGACAGCTAAATATAATTTGAAAGTTTAACTTTTCGGAGGGAAGTCTTATTTGGCTTATTTTACATATGGTCAGCAGAATCTCTTGATAACCCTATATACTGATGACATTGGATGCCATGAGTGTTGAGAAGGAATATATGTACTGATAAGATCAAAACTGAGATAACTTGAGAAAAAGGAAACTTCAATATATTTATCTTAAAGAGAAAGCATTTCATAAAAATAAATTTGGAATTATACTATGAGTATGACTTGCATGAGTCCAGTAAGGTCATCATTGTTTGAGAATAAATTGCCAATTTAATAACTGGTAAGAGCCTTTATGTGCTTCCTCAAGCTTCATGCCTAGTGCATCTCCAGAACTGTGGTTAGACAGGAGAGCATGGGCTCCAACTCTGTTTATTATTCTCCTACTAGATCCTTTCTCAAAATCTGGCTCCCAGAATGGGAGAAAGTTTGGAAAGGAAATGAATTTATGTAGAATACAGTTTCTACCTGCAGTCTATTCCCTGTCTCTCGTTCACTTACCTACTCCCCCTTTACCTAGCTGCCCCCTCGTTGATTGTTATGGAATGGTTGCTTTAGCCTACGGTTCTGGCAAAGAGACATTCAATAATTCCCAAGGAATAACTTTGCAAGGTGCATTCGCCCGTTCTGATGAGCTGTAAGAGTAGTTTGCTAAATGGCACTTCAGTGTCTCACCTTCTAAAATACCTAGTTTATGGCAAGAGGGATCAGAAGCAGAGATTTTCAGCTGTTCCTCTTCTTTACCCTTTGTTTCAGCTTTATGGCTGGTGAATATAGTCGTATAATATTGTGGCTGCCAATTAAGTGGGATATTGATACAGATCACTGCAATCACAAAACAAATGGTACAGTAGAACTAGCTTATGGATGAACTTTCTTACAGCAGAGACCAATCTGAAAGGACTAAAAACTGTGCCCCTGACCCAACAGAATAAGAGAGTGTCTTGAAGGGGGTGGTTAGTTTTTTGGGAGTGATTTGGGAGGGTAAGGAGAATTTTTTTCTCTGCTGCCTGCATTTTGTTTCTAGCAACATTAGGGTATGATACATACCATCTTTATGTATTGTAGACATTAATGGGGAAATGACTTATTACTCTTTGACAAAATGTCCTTGCAATAATATAATCTGATGATTGTATCTTGTTAAAATTTTTTTGCTGTTTGCTTGATGTTTTGTTTTTGTTCTGGTTTTTTGTTTTGTATTTTTGAGCTCCTGGTATCCAAACTGCAGGATTTCTTACCTGCATATTCTAAAACAGTTTGCAAGAAAGACAATGGGTTGCAATTAGCTGAAAAGTAGGACACAGGAAGAAATGGAACAGGCGCGAAGTAGTCAATTCTTGCCTAACTTTCAGTTTGTTTCTAGAATTACAAAAAGCAATTTATGTAATAGACAAAACTGGCTAACAGGTTTTGACCACAACATGACTTGAAAGAACAGACTGTGACCTCAGCTTAAACTGCATATGAGCACATTCTGAAAACCAACATTCATACATTTCTGGCTTATAATACTCCCAATACATCTTTACACACTGTTCTTTCTTTAGTTACAAACTCTTTAAAAATATACTGAGGTATAAGATTAAAAATTTATCTTGCTATTACATTCAGATGTTAATCTTCATTTCCAAACCTTAACACAGGATCTGTCCTTTACAGATGTTTCTCTTAATTACTCAAATACTTAGATTCTCTTTCCTTAAGTCTCTCTCTCTCTCTCACCCTCTCACCTCTTTTTCTATTTTATCCATCAGTTTATATATCATCTTCCCTTATGTCTCTCTCTGTCCTGTCATATATTCATAAGGTGATATTTGTACACACACACACACACACACACACACGTACTTATAAACAGCAGCCTCACTGCTAATAGAGGCTCTGGTAACAGAATATGCAGTGTCCATCCACATAGGACAATAAATAGTTAAATTAGATTAGTACTCTTTGGCCCTTAACTTTGAAAGGAAAAGATCACCACGAACTTCTTTACCTTGTCTGGTTAGTTTTCACCCTTCCTTCCCTGGACATCATTTTTTTCTTACCCTGTGTTGGGGAAGCCAACTATCAACCCTTTAGTGAACCCATAGGAAATACTAGATATGAAATAGGAATGTCTCCACTGCTTCCTTCATCTCAGTACAAATGAAAGGAATGTAGGATGAACATTTGAAAGGAAAGCACATTTAAATGTCAATATATTTTCCATCTCCTTTTAATTATCCCTTTTCTTTCTCCTTCTCCATCTGTCTTTAACACATAAACAGGCATGCTCATTTAAAGTGTTATTTCACTCTAGGAGGTACTTTTTAGGAATATGGAAAATTGCTGAAGGAAGAGAAAAACATTAGTAAACCTATATTCCGATTAACGTTGTGAATTATATGAGTTGCTCTTATTTTGAAAGTGGAAGTGAGAATCTCAAGTGTGAAGTAGAGTTAGATGCTCATATGATTTCCTCATAATTCCTTCTCTTTTAGAGAGAGAATATCAGAGAAGAAAAAAAAAATATGTAAGTAAATATAGTAGCATGCAAAATCTACACCTGCCATATATTCAGATTTTACTGTACAACTTAACTTCTGAATCATAAAGGAAGCAGCAAAACTTAGTCTGAATATGTACAAATGGTGTTAACCCAACTTTGTAAGTATAAGAAAATATTTTTATGCATGCATACCTACACTAGGTTTTTCTTACTCTTTGACGTTATTAACTGATATTTTAAAAAATTAAAATGCTACAAAAGTAGGAACTTGTTTTATTATCATTAGCATTCACAGCTTCAAACAGTGTGTGTAAATTTGAAGAAAAATGAGAAGCATATTCTAATACAATGATAGGTACTGTTGCTTGCTATAAGAGGAATATATAATTGAATATTTTCAAGGCTGCTTTTAATTTATTCTCAGTGGAAACTTTTCTCCACTAATTTATCAACGCAGTTTGCCAATTTGAGTTTGGACTTTTTTAGACAAGAAATGCTGTGACCTTTCTAAAGTGTTGGAGGAATAATCTTCTGAGGCACATGATAATAATTATGATTTGTTACTCACTAATGCTACACAAGAGTTTACGTTGTTAACCAAATGATTTTAACCAAAATTTTGAGTACCGTTACTATCAGAGATGCGGCCCTCTTTTTTGGGGGGGTTATTTTTTAACCTTTTTAATTAAAAAAACAGTTTTAACTTTTAGATGCAGGGGATACATGTGCAGGTTTGTTACGTGACAGGCATAATTTTTACCTTTATATTGTTATTTTTCTGTGCTGAGTTTTCTGAATACAGAGATTATATGTATATACAAGAAAGAAAACCAAATTTTCTAATTGCCCTAAATGTGCAATAGAAATTACAGAGAGGAAAAAAAAAACATGAATCAAGCATTAAGCCATTAAACTGTACCTAATAGGCATTTATTCAATGGGCATTATGAATGTGAGTCGTGCCCCATTTAAAATCTAACTGAAATGATTGCACATTTCATTAGTGAAGATAATTACCAGTTTATTCTTTCCCCCCAAAATCATATATGTATGAAAAACACCATTAGAAGGTAAACAGTACTTTTAAGGAAGGAAGTAAACATGACCTATTTAAGTAGGGTCAGTAGAGGAACATCTGTTTCCCCTTTCTTTGTCTTTTTTTTTTTTTTTTTTTTTTTAACAATTGAGACTTCAAAAAATAATTCCCAATTTTATCCCACAAATTCAATGTGTGAAATAATTTATTTTTCCAATGCATTCAACATCAGTTTCTTAATGTTAAAAACAAACTCAAGAATACTCAAATGACTTACAAATGTGAACATTCAGTATCTCTATTTACACAGAAATGGGATGTCTTCAATCCCTAAATCTCTGATTGGGTAATGAGGAGGAGGATCAGTGTTCTTGCTCTAGTTTTATAACTAACCGGCTGTGCAACTTGGAGAAATAACTGAACCCCTCTGGGCTTCTATGGTTAATTAAGAGAACTCGAAGATTTACAGGCTCTTTTTCAGCTTAGAACAATTTTGTCATTCTGTTGTAAAAACACCAACATATACATACTCAAGCATATGTCAGTGTCCAGTAACTAATTGCCCAGTAATTTCTCGTATGAAGAGCTTTATATTAATTTCCAAAATAGATGGCATCTGCAAAACGTGTTTTGGTGGTAGGAGGGGTTTGGATTAATCTCAATCTAATTCTATTCGATTTTTTGAGAATTAAATGTGATTATCTCCTTGATCCAAAATGTAATAATACATGAATACTTACTGAGTGCCTATTATATGCCAAATATGGTGTTCTATATGAAGGCTACAATGCTGAGCAGTGCTGACTATGAACCTGCCTTCATGGCACTTATAGTCTAGCAAAGAGACAGGTATTAAAGTGTAATTCTATCATTAAACCATAAAGCTTAAGTCATAAATCTTCTCAATTTAGTCCATCACCAGCAACCACCAAACCAAACACATGCAACAAATAATTTTTTAAAACAAAACATACCTTCATGCTCATGAACCGAAATGTCCTCAGAGTCCAGAGAATGGTGAAAACATTTCCAGATTCTTGGCTTTGCCTGATGGTATTCTGTTTATATGGTAGCCTTCCTTAATCCTCTCTTCCTTTGTTCCTTAATTTCTAGGCTTCAACCTGTTTAAACAAAAAGTGTAGTTTTATTTCAACTAAGTCTGAAATCCTCTTTCCTGTCCTTGTTCCTCAAATTTGTAAGATAAAGCATCATTTTGTTTTGGGTTTTCTATTTTTTTCTGCATGCAAGATTTCTGTGAGACCATTCAACACTTTTCAATATGGATGATTTCTTACAACTTGTCTTCAATGCATTTTTATTCAAAAAGACAACCTTCCCTCTGGAGCTGGGAATGGGGGAAGACAGAGCTGTCTGGTGGGTGCCTTTAGGTCATCAGAAAAACCATAATAATGGATATGCAATTACAAACAAATTTTAAGTATTGTGAATTTGTTTTCAAAAACTTTTCAGGGAAGACTTACCTGAGAAGTGACGAAATCATGGGAAAATTGGAAACTGGTGTGACTGCAGCAGCATTTAAGAGAGGGAGGCCGGGCATGGTAGCTCATGCCTTTAATCCCAACACTTGGGGAGGCCAAAGAGGGCAGACCACCTGAGGTCAGGAGTTCGAGACTAGCCTGGATAACATGGTGAAACCCCATCTCTACTAAAAATACAAAAATTAGCTGGACATGGTGGCCTGTGCCTGTAATCCAAGCTACTCAGGAAGCTGAGGCAGGAGGATAGCTTGAACCTGGGAGGTGGAGATTGCAGTGAGTGGAGATAGCACCACTGCACTCCAGCCTGGGCAACAGAGTGAGACCAAAAAAAAAGAGGGAGGGAAAGAAACATGA
Organism: Homo sapiens; assembly: GCF_000001405.40. Lineage (NCBI taxonomy): Eukaryota > Metazoa > Chordata > Mammalia > Primates > Hominidae > Homo > Homo sapiens. The sequence continues at coordinate 193,596,474 of NC_000001.11, forward strand.
GAACACTTTTCTTAGAAAACTACAAAGTAGTACACCAGGATAATATTTACTCCCACAAAAAAAAGATTTTGATAACAAAAACAACATACACTAGAGCAGACAAATTTGCTGTTCTAAAAAAAAATTACCTCTTTGTAAGTTTGGTATACATAGAATGGGTAGGAGAATGCACACAAAGGTAGATGTACATAAATTCATGACTGAATTGTTTGTAATAATCCTAAATCTGAAGCTATTACCAGAAAGTTAAAAACAATTAACAATAAAGAAAAAGGCCAATATCCCTTTTAGTTAGTTATTGGAGATTTAGTTTTAAATATGTGCTGACTTTTTAATATGTAAAGTATCCTTAAATTCGAATTGAGTATTTCATATTCACAAATATTGACAATACTTTAGTTACATCAGATAAAAACAAAACACGTAGGAAATTATGACTTCTAATAACAAGTTTCACTTCTCTTCCCCAGTCCTGTTATCTTTCTATCCCAAAATGCATGTGAAAGTTTCCCATGTTTAGGATTAGTGTTCTCCCCAATTAGTGAGGCATCCAGAATGGTATAGGGAAAGCACATGTAATTTGGTTTTGATATTCTGTTTTATTCAATTACATTTTTTATTGATAGGCTTCAAGGAGTCAAAATGCCTATTTTACAGTTGCTTATTTTGAGTTAAAAAAGTACCACATATGAGTTAAAAAAAACTTGGATTTTGGTCGTTTTACTATAATTGCCTTTGAGGTTTTTACATTGTTTTTCATTGTATTTTTCTCTTACATGTGTTTTGCATACATAATGAACAGCAGATGCAATCAAAATATTAGAATAAAATTATATAGCAAATGCTTGTGTAATCTGATGTTTTTCCAGTTGATTCAATTTTTGCAAAAAAGTACTCAAACTCCATTATAAATAAGGAGAGATGTGTACCATAGCTGCTAGCATCTGGTTCCTAGAATAATGTCTAGCACTTAGAAAGTATTCAATAAATATCTGTTGAGTAAATGAAAGTCACATCTAGGTTTTCTGTCTCATTCTCTCTCTTGCTTTCTTTTAAAATTGTGGATGTGCATGTGTTACGTGTGAGAATTCCAAAGTGATTTGGAATATTTGTCAAATTGCACGCTCTTAGATTGTCTATTTCAGAGCATTTTATGGCTTTTCCTAAGTGAAAATAACAAAGCAGAAAGTAGAACACTTACTATTTTATTTGCTGAAATACAATAGAAAATAAAAGCACTTCACAATTGAGTGCTTTTAATGGAGACACTGTGCTAAATACAGGGGCTCTTGAGTGGGGAACAGGTAACCCAGGGTTCCCAACTTCTTGGAGCCCTAGGTATATGAACAATGAATGAACAATTACAAGTAAAATAAATGTTATAAGAAAGTGGTTTGCCAGTCAATGATTGGGATACTTGAATGTGTTTCTCAGAAATCTATTGGTTGATTGGTCCTCCTTTAAATATTAATGTTACCTTTAAGGGAGTAGTTTTCCAACTTTTTTGAAACCACATGTTTCTTAAAAAGCATTTTGAAAAAATCTGTGCCCCTCATTCCAAGTTGACATTTCAACTTTCCTATTGTAAATTTAAATAGTTGTAAACATGTAATTTTCAATGTTCTGCTAACATTTGCATTTAAAAATAAATATGTTACATCACTTCTTTACATGTCTGGCATTACCTAAAAATACTCTGATTTTTTTTGTTCTTTTTTCTTTTATTTTTTCTAATCGACATACAATTGTACATATTTACGGGGTACACAGTGAAGTTTTGACACTTACGTAGTAATTAGGTCAAGCTAATTAGAATATTCATCATCTCAAACATTTATCATTTCTTTGTGTTGGGACATTCCATATCTTCCTTCTAGCTATTTGAAACTGTATCTAATGATTTGATTGCCACCCTTAGCCGTTAAAATAAAAGGGAACAAACTATTCTCTGAAATTAAGAAATCCTATACTTTTCATTTTCTCCTTTGAGCTCATAAACTTCCTTCATATTTATCCTAATGTTATGTATTATTAAGTCTTTTACTCATCATTCCAAATTTAATTAAAATGTTCCTTTGACTTAACTACTAAAAAATTAAAGTGTTTTAAGTTATGATTTCAATTGTCTTTAGTACACAATTGGTTAAAAGAACATAAATATAAGTGTGGATGGGCTATTAAATATTAAAATTAAAAATATTTAAATGCATATCTTGAATGGATATGATTTTTTCAATTAGTTTATAAATCTTTAGCAGAACATGACATATTGCTACATTGAAGGAGGGCTCATAATCAGCTATGGTCCTGTTTTTTATTTTTATGGATGTAAGTGCTAAGGAATGGTGGGAATAGAAGGAATTTTTAAACACGTCACTCACTGCTTTGAGTCTTTTCAGGTTATATGCCAAAAATCACATAGCTACTTCTCAGCAAAATGTGTACTTAATGATTTGTCACTGACAGTGCTGATTGGATCCTCCCTCAATTTTGTTAAAAGATTTGGACACCCCTGCCTTATAGGATATTACCTGTCATCGAAGCAACTCATTTTCTTAACATCCAACACCAAAATTCCAATATTTCCTCCTAAAGTTTGGTGTCTCCGTTTTCACACACCACGATGATCATATGTCTTTCTCTTATAAAATAGGAAAAGAATAATTATGAATGAGGAGGTAAGAAAGCTGATTCTGAATGAAGTTTTCACCTCAGGGAGTGTTCAGGCAAACCAATTTCTGGGAAGAGTACATATGGTTAGGCAGCTTTGAAACTGATTTCCCTTAACTGACCATTTCTACATACTATTTGGAAAGTGCTTATATGCCTCATGGGCATTTGTACCCCAGTTAAAGGCAGCTTCATTATGTTATCAAGAAAAAAGGACAACTGAATTCAACTATCGACACCTAGTAATAAAATACAGTTACTGGTTTGGTCTTTTATTGATATCACCAATCCATTATTTTTAATGTTAGAACTTGAAGTATAAGGTACATTTTACTTTCTTTATGAAGGTCCTCTTGTGCCTCTTACAAGAAGCAAAATATTTTCAATGGATCAATAGAATACACAGCAAATATAATACATATCCAAAGGCATTATAGTTATAAATTCACTAAATGTGCTATGAACACACTGGGATCATTCTGTGGCTCTAAATTAAACAGCTCCATTTATAAGATGAAGACTGCTATAAAAATGTATTTCCTATAGGAAAAGAATTATGAGATTCTATGAGTTCTGGTATAAAAGCCGGAGTAAAATGGAATATGCTTTTACCTCTAGAGAGTTCTCGCAGATATTGTAGCATCTTACAGAGAAAAGGAAACATCTTCACATGTCGAAATCATTTCATATTGAAGGGATAAAGAGTGATTAAATCTAATTAATCTATACCTGTATTTATATTAATGGTCTAGTGTTCTTTTATAAAGTAAAGAATTTCATCCCTAATAATTTATATTTGGTCCTGACACAATTTTTCTCCTCACTATTGAATATGCACGTATTCACTTTACCTCTTAGGAGCTCATTTGCTTTATCTGTCAAATGAGACAGATGGTTTTTAACTTCCCTTCTAGCTTGAATTGTCTTACTGGTGTATGATGTTATGGAAATTTATATTTCAAACAATAATTAAAGTAAGTTGTGGCTGATTTATCATATCCCTAGATTTTAATATCATTTGAAACTGAAACCCTTTACTCTAGGTCACTATAAAAAAAGTGAGACCAAATCTCTGTTTTCTTGGCTTTATTAAATATTTGATTATAGCTAGCTTCTCATCTGTTTACAGCTGCTTTAGTTTATAAATACAATCAAAGATTTTATAATTACTGTCTTCAATACAAAGAAAAAATATATAATGTCAGGATTTCATATGATGTAGGAGTAAATTGACTTAAATTTAGTTCAGATGCGGATAGGATGTGTGTGTTTATACCTCAGATGTAAGAATATTGCCTATGTGTCCAGACCCTCCCTTCCTCCTCAGTCTGGACATGTCTCCAAGACATGTTCCAAAGGGGGTCTCTCCTTAAGACTTTGAGTGGCTTTTTCATTCTAAGGGAATAGATTGACATATTATATGATCTCCAGATGACAAGGCCCTACTTTCAAGGGAAGGGGTGTTTTCAACACAAGAGGTATATTTTGAAGATGGTTTGCCAGCACGCTTCTATAGCACTCATGGCAGTCTACTGGAGAGGGCCTTGGAATAAAAGAGTGAGTAAAATCTAAATGGACTGCTTTGTTTGCACCTTCCTTCATTTGGGGAAAGCATTGATATTGGAAACTAGAGAAGTTATCTGTAGTTTTTGTTGCATGATGATCTTCTTGATGATCTGTCTGCATTATGGTGAAATCAGCACCTTCATGATTCATTATGGTGATGAGTGCTCTAATCAGCTCTTAGGGTGGGAATGATCATCAATCATCATTGACATAGCCTCAGCAACACAGAGAATAAGGAAAAAAAAAAAGACAGCTACCAGGGATTAGTCAAACTCAGACACACCTGAGATATATCTTGGACACTCCTAGAATTGTGTGTGGAGACAGTTGAAGGACTGCATCTTCCAAGACTGTCAAGCCAGAGTGGTACTTTTTTAATTGATGTTTTCCTAAATCAATGATTACCATCACCATGATATAGCTCAGACTGCTATAAAATTGTTGCCTAGAGTACAGTTGTGTGGCGATTGACAAAGAGCTATAAAGGCACAGACAAAGGTTAAAAGCTCTCTTAATGTAAGTAAAGGATACAACTTAATGCACAGTGTTAGTACCACTCACTCCCAGCTAATTGGCAAGTTGTCGCCTTCCAAGCCCAGATACTTCCTGTGTAGGGTGTAGTGCTGTCAGAGACTTTGAGAAGCTAACCTTGCCCTTTCATTAGGGATATGAAGTCCTCTTGGCCCCTCCGAATTATTTTTGGAGACTTTGGCTGTTTGCCTACAAGCTATAAGAAATTTGTGGGCCGGCTTGATGCGGTGGCTCACGCCTGTAATCCCAGCACTTTGGGAGGCCGAGGCAGGTGGATCACGAGGTCAGGAGTTCAAGACCAGCCTGGCCAACATGGTGAAACCCCATCTCTACTAAAAATACAAAGAATAAAAATAAAAAATAAAAAAATAAAAATAGCCAGGCATGGTGGTGGATGCCTGTAATCACAGCTACTCAGGAAGCTGAGGCAGAGAATTGCTTGAAAACAGGAGGTGGAGGTTGCAGTGAGCCAAGATCACGCCACTGCATTCCAGTCTGGGTGACAGAGCAAGACTCTATCTCAAAAAACAGCAACAACAAAAGATATTTGTAATAATCTGGGCTCTTTTCTCAGTGACTCCTGAGGGACTCTAATGTCAATTTCCTGGTGTGACATTCCTTAGCAGGTGGCAATGTCAAACCTACTTGAGATGTATTCTCACACAGTCTCATTAAGTTTCTCTTTTTCTTAATATTTAAAGGTAGAGTCTTCTGTTCCCAGCATCTGCTTTTCTGGGAGGTGTTAATGTACTTTATTTGAGCTCAAGATCCTAACTAAAGAAGTTTCATCAGTGAAAACAGACTAATCTCTGCTGTCCACTTACCTTTACCTTCATTGCAATAGGCCCTAATAATTCAGTCTTGGAGAAATTGTAAAATTAGTTTATCACGCCATTAATTAAGGCTGGAGTGCAATATGTTGGGGGAAAACATTCTATTCCCTCTTCCTCCATTTACTTTAAGTTTGCTTTGGGCCATAATTTAGATGTAGAATATAAATCCATGTACAACAAAGACTTATTTCTTACCTGTGTTAACACCTTTGCTTGCCCCTGTCTAGGATTATTCACTCTTAAACTAAATTGATGAGTTGAATTAGTAATTGAACAAATATATGGAACATTTTTAATACAATAACAAAATTTATCAAGCTATGTGCCAGGCACTGTGCTTCTTTATAGCTAGCTCATAAGTTAGGCACTTTATTATCCTTATTTTACAGATTCCCTAGACGCCTGAAGCTTGGAGCAGTGAAGTTTTGAAACTAGGCAATCTGTTTCTAAGGCTCATACTCTAGTTTGTAGTGTACTATACTGCTTGCTTTGCTTTCTAGCTAGAAAAAGGGAGCTAATTATATATTTTATTTTAGCTGTCCTATTTTGGAAGCTATACTGAGTGTAGGTAAAAACTGAAAACTTTGCTGGTTTCAGCTATGACATTTAAAGAGCTTGGAAGTCATCATTCCTGCCCTTGCAATAAAAACAAAAAAGCTGGACAAGTTGATAATTTAACAGGTTTTTGTAGACATTTCAGAGCAATCAGATTGTGAAGCAAAGCAAAGTACCACCATGAAATCTGGAGAGACAGGTGAAACTAGAGAGTCTCAGCTGAGGTCTGCTTATCTGGAGCAGAAGATGCTTGAGCAATAAACTGGCAGAAACTTTTAAATGGAAACTTTGGCAAACTGGTGGAGGCTGAGCATGGACTAACATGACAGTGATGAAATCCTGGGGGCCACTGTCTTAGAGGAGTCCCCCACAGCGTCAAGGGCTTTGCCTTCAGGAACCCCACCGGGTTCTCCCAGTGAAATATTCTCTCACAGGAGAAAAGAAAGAATAATCTTTGTAAAATACACAAAGAGGCTTCTCCATAACAAAGTCTAAATGAAATTTCACCACTGAAGTCTCTTTCAGCCTTTCAATTTCACTTAAAGTGCTGGTGATGTTGGCAGGGAAGATGGAGATGTGAGGTCAATAAAAGTCAGGCCTTGAAGGAAATAGATTGGAAGTAGTGTAGTTAGAAAAGGATATAGAGGTCTGCTGCACCACTTTGAACTGTGACATTCACAGCCGAGAATCACAGGCCCACTAAAAGAGTGACAGTCAGTTGATTGCAGAATGCTCCCTTTTCCCCACACCTTACCATCAGTGCTCTAGTGTGGTAAGAGTGAATCTTAGTGGAAAGAGCTGTGAGATAGACTCGCTCTAAGGAGGAATACTTAGGAAAGGCCAAAGTCAAGAGAAGACAAAAACTAAGATGCTCTGGCACCTACAGCTGCAGATAAAGATCTCACAGCCCAAATCTTAGCAGATTAACATAAATCCTTACATTCAAGGTGTGTTTATTTTAGTTTTTATTACCTGGTATGTGCTGGCTTTCAATGAAAAATTGCAATGCATGGCAGAAGGCAAGAGACAGCCTGAAGAGACAAAGCAAGCATCAGAACCAATGTCAGATATGACAGAGTTAGTGAAACTATAAAACAAGTAATTTAAAATAACTATAATATGTTAAGGATTCTAATGGTAAAAATAGTCATCACATAAGAAGAGATGAGTAATGTAAGCAGAGAAATTTAAAGTAAAAAAACCAGAAGGAAATGCTAGAAATAAAAGCAGTCATACAGGCAATTGTTTTGATGGGTTTACCAATAGACGTAACATGGCTGAAGGGAAAAAATCAGCTTGAAAGGTCAGTAGAACTTCAAAAACTGAAAAAATGAAAACAAAAACAAAAAATAGGCAAAACATCTAAGAACTGTGGGACTACCTCAAGAGGTGTAATAATATGTGCAATTAGGATACCAGAAATAAGTGAAAAAGAATGGAGCAAATGGACTATTTGAAGTATAATAGCTGAGAACTTTCCACAATTAATAACAGATACCAAAACATAGACCTAGGAAACTCAGTAACATTGAGCCAGAAAAATACCAAGAGTATACATATAGTAGGCATATCGTATTCAAATTGCAGAAAAGCAAAGGCAAAGAGAAAATCTTGAAAAAAGCCAGAGGAGGGTGGGGTAAATACTTTGTCTAAGAGGAACAAGAATGAGAATTACAAGGGACTGCTTATCAGAAACCATGCAAGCAAGAAGTGAGTTTGGTAAAATGTTTTAAGTGTTGAAAGAAAAAAGCCCACCAATCTAGGATTCTGTATTCAGCAAAATTATTCTTCAAAAGTTCAGGAGAAATACTTCTTCTGAGAAACAAAAGCTGAGGGAATTCTTTGCCAGCAAATCAGTCCTATAAGATGTGTTAAAAAGTTCTTCAGGCAGAAGCAAAATCTTACACGTCAGAAACTTGAATACACATAAAATAAGAGTATTGAAGGCCTAAGTAGTAAAGTTAAAATATTTTAATTACTGTATTTTTAATTGACCTAAAATTTATTTAAGGCAGGAGTCAATTCTCCAAGAGCACGTAATCTTAAATATACCAAAATATATGAGGCAAAAACTAATAGAATTGAAATAATAGACAAGTCTACTATTTTTATGGGAGACTACAATGCCCCTCTGTCAGTAATGGATAAGGAAACAGAAGATTAGTAAAGTTACACATGACCTGAACAGCACTATGAATGAAATTGATCCAATTGATATATATGGAAGACTCCAACCTACTACAGAATATACTCCTCGAGCTCATATGGAACTTCTGTTTTCACCAAAGAAGACCCTATTCTGGGCAATAAAACACACCTTCACACATTTAAAACAGTAAAAATTACTTGTATGTGTTCTCAGACTACAATGAAATTAAACTAGAAATCAATAATGAAAGATAGTTGAAAACCTCCAAATATTTGGAAATTAAAAAGTACACTTCTAAATAAACCATGAGTAAAGGAGAAGCTACAAGGAAGATTAAAAATATTTTGAACTAAATGAAAATGAAAATACAGCTTATCAAAAGTGTGTGGGAATTAGCAAAAACACTGCTTAGAGGAAAATATATAGCATTATATACATATATTAAAAAGGAAGATCTAAAAACATGAAATTAATCTCAGCACTCATATTAGGGAGCTAGAGAAAGGAGAGAAAATTGGGCGTATGGCAAGCAAAATAAGGATAATAATTACACCAGAAATCAATGAAATTGCAAAAGGAAAACAGAAAAAAAAAAAAGACCAAGAGCTAGTTCTGTGAAAAGTTCAATAAGATTTATAAGCCTCCAGCCAGGCTAACCAAATAAAAAATAGAGATAACACAAATGATCAATATCAGAAATAAGAGAGGAATCATCAATACTTATTCCATGGACGTTAAAAGAATAATAAAGGAACACTCAACTCTATACCCACAAATTCGATAACTTAGATTAAATGGACCACTTTCATAAAAGACATAATATGTCAAAGTTCAGACAAGAAGAAATAGTCAAACTGAATATGATTATATAGATTAAGGAAATTGAGTCAGTACTTAACCTTTCCCAAACAGGAAGCCCCAGAACCAGATAGGTACCGTGGTAAATTCTACCAAATATTTAAAAAGGAAAGAATACTAATTTTTCACAATCTTTTTTAGAAAGTAGAAGCAGAGGAATATTTTTTGACTCATTCCATAAGGCCAGCATTACCCTAGTATAAAAATCAGATAAAGATATTCCAAGAAAAGAAAACTGAAAGGACTACCAGCAGCAATTACCGGTGAAGATGTAGAGCAACAGGAACTGCCATTCATAGTAGGTGGGAATGCAAAATGGTATAGCCATTTTGGAAGACAGTTTTTGTAGTTTCTTTCAGAGCTAAACATAGTCTGCCCATATGATCAAGCAATTTTGCTCCTAAGTATTTATCCAACTGATATGAAAATTTATGTCCATACAAAAATCTGTATGCAAATGTTTATGCAGCTTTATTCTTAATCGCCAAAATGTGGAAGCAACCAATGTGTCTTTTCAATAGGTGAATGGACAAATACACTGTGGTACGTTCAAAGAACAGAATACAATTCAGCAATAAAGATAAATGAGCTATAAAGCCATGCAAAGACACGTATGAATCTTAACTGATAAGTGAAAGTAGCTGGTGTGAAAGGACTACAGGCTACCTTATTCCATTTATATGACATTCTGAAAACAAAAACTACAGAGATGAGAAACAGATCAGTGGTTTCCAGGCTGTGGAGGTGGGACAAGAGGGTCAAATAGGTAAATCGCAGTGAATTTTTTTAGGGCGATGGGGCAGTAAAATCGTTCTGTATGATACTGCAATGGTGAATACATGACATTATGCACTTGTCAAAACCTGTAGAATTTAATAGCATATAGAGTGAATCTTAATGTATACCCATTTAAAAAGTTATTTATAATGCTGAGGAATTCCTGTGTAGAATGCAGAATGTAGCAAAAACAATCTAACTGTATTACAAATGTGTTATATAAACCCATTTCACTGAAGGTAGCGGGTGGGGTGGGGGGGAGAAAGATGCTGACCTAAATAACCTTGGAAATGATCCAAGTAAGTTTAGTCTATAAAACACAGGCAAAAGAAACTGTACATAAGCACTCTAGCTGCTAAAGTTGTTTCCAATGGGTGTATGAATGAACTATTCTGATACTACACACACATACGTGTGTTGAATAACTAAGTATATGGCAGATGACAGAAGTTGCAGATAAGGGGAGGAGGACAGAATGAGTTATGTGGTAATGGATTAGATTTGAAGGCAGTATGCACCTGTGGTTAGCCTAACACACACACAGATGGTTACATTACAGATATATTTACAGATATCTGTACATACATGAGTTAGTAAATATATATTTCATTTTGCCAGCCAAACGGGCCTAGAAACAATGACATCCCAGTAGCAACCACCACACTAGTGTTTAGATCTTGGTTACTAATACCATTTTTCATTAAAAGAAACCAGGGATCCCTAGAAAAATGTCTAATTTTAACCCTGGGGCAAGAAATTTACAAGATGAACCTAGAGCCTCTTGTAGTGCCAGAAAGTAAGGAAGTTCTCAAAGAAAACCTACAATGATGGAGACATGTCAAAGGAACACAGGAGATAATGAAAGTGTTCCCAATTGCCAAAGATGGAACAATTTGACCTATAAAACAAATAAAATAGTATTGGAGTTACACCCAAAGTGAAATATCCATGAATCCATATAAAGGATTGCCCAAATAAATCTGGGAGAAAGGATAATGCAGAAGAATTTCAAATAATGTATGTAGCTATTTCATGCTGAAGGAGGTAGAACATAAACCCTTCTTAAATGTGGGCTGCACATACTAACTTCTAAATAATAAGCATGGAAGGTGAGGAAAAAAGTAATTTTACAGTGGAGAAACCTGACAAACATTGCCTCATGCAGATGATCAAATTAACATCAGTAATGGTAAGTCACCTTGATAGTATTTACCCTTGATAAGAGGTGATGAGAATGGCACTTTACCCGTGTTGATATTTCTCCCAAAAACCTATAACTTCAGTCTAATCCTGCAAAAAACTTGAGATAAGTCTCAGTAGCTGAACATTCTACAAAACACCTGACCACTAGTGCTCTGAACTTTCAAAGTTATCCAGAACAAGGAAGCTATGGAGATGTGACAGCTAAATGTAATTGTGATATCCTGGATGGGATATTGGAGCAGAAAAACGAAATTAGGATAAAACGAAGAAAATATGAAGGAAGTGTGGACTTTAGTTAATAATGTTGTGTCAGTATTGGCTCATTAATTTTGACAAATGTGCCCTAATGTAAGATGCTAATAACAGTAGAAATGCAGTAGGGGGTGGTATATGTAAGGTATGTATACTATCTGCACAGGTTTTTTGGAAATCTAAACTATTCTAGAATAAGAAGTGTATTCGAAAGTTAAAAAAAGACACCTGAAAATTTTTTTTAGGTTTGTGAAAATACAAGCTTTATTCATAAGTCATTTGCCATCCCAATCATCACAATTATGACATTAATCAAATATCTGAAGTCAGTTAAATAAAGGAAGGTTGCTACCTTAGCAAAACAATCTGTTTCTTTCCTAATCCATGTGGAGAGAGCATATAAATTTATTATGAACACATTGTATTACAATTAAGTGCTTTTGCAGTTGATCTTCTTTAAGGATAATAGAGAATATAGATGCATACAATAGAGTATATAAATGTCTATTGCCTAGTTGTCACCAGTTAATACTGCAGGAGCTCTAGTGTATGACAGGCACACGTGAAGCAAAGAAGATTCAGGTTTTCAGGGAATGACTCTTCTGAATGCCATTCTAACCAGATTCCCCCTATCAGTGGTTCTGATGGAGCTTCCTGGGCCTTCACCCAGAACAGATTTTCATTCATTTATTTGTTACTTCAAATATTTGTTCCTTTCTCTTTCTGATGTTCCCATTATAGTTATGTTACTCCTTTTGTAATTGTCCCAAAGTTTTGGGGTATTCTGTTTTTTTCAGTTTTTCTCTTTGCATTTCAATTTTGAAAGTTTCTGTTGACCTATCCTTAAGTTCACAGATTCTTTCCCCAGGCAGCATTCAGTCTGTTAAAGGCCCATTAAAAGCATTCTTCATCTCTGTTAGTGTTTTTGGGTTCTACCTTTTCCTTTTGATTCTTTCTTAGTTTCCACTTCTCTGCTTACATAACTCATCTGTTCTTACATGTCATTCACTTTTTCCTTTAGTGCCTTTAACATATTAATTGCAGTTATTTTAAGTTCCCAGTTTGCTAACTCCAAGATCTCTGTCGTATCTGAGTCTGGTTCTGATGCTTGTCTTTTCAGACCTTTTTTTTTTTCTTGTAATTTTCTGTTGAAAGGCAGACATAAAGTATCAGGTAAAAGCAACTCATTGTAGATAGGACTTTTGTGTGAGGTTTTATGTTTTCTTGCAAATAGTTAGGCTTTATTTACTGTTTGCTGCAGCTGTGGTGTCAGAGGCTAAAATTTCCTTCAGTATCCTTGTTTTTGTCTTTCCTGATGTCTTTGGGTTTTTCTAGAGATGCCATAAACAAGGTCTGTGGCTTGTTCTTCAAGCTGTGGTTCCATTATTATATAGGAACCCTACTGACGTGGTGGTAAGATGAGGGGATCGGAAAGTGTTTTATGTGATTTGTTCTCGGTATTTTAGTTGAGTTGGGTATTTCCCTTTTCCCACATTGAAGGCCATGGGGTGGGTGTGGAGGTGAGGGCTTGAGTTGAATACTTTCCTTTTCCAATTTGGAAAGTGAGAGGGATCTGGAATTGGTTTTCCCCCTTGCCCTGGTTGGTTAGGCTCTGGGAAAATAATTTTCTTTGAGGGTAGGCCTTGTGAAGAACAGAGAGTCTGGTTGTATTTCAGAATTGTTACCTTTCCCTTCTTCCTGCTGGAACCAGGAGGGGATTTTTCTATAATTTTCACAGTGTCACAGTGAGGACCTTAGGAAAGGGTGGGGAGCCTCCTAACTAGGCTTCCTCAGAATTTTTAACTCTCAAGCTAGTCTGCACAAAGCCTCTTGCAGTCTGTCAGTGATGGCTTATGGTGTTCCTATTGACTCCAGCTTGGGCTTCTGTTGCCAGTAAATTGTGATTCTCTCTATCTGCCTGTCTTTCCTGTTTTCAGAGCAACAGTTTGCCCTGTGACCTCGAATCTCTGACAAATCTAAGGAGAGCTGTTGATTATCAGTGTGTGGTTTGTTTTTTTTTTTCAGGGTTTTTTTGTTGTTGTTGTCATGAAAATATGAGCGATAACTTCCAAGCTATCTACATGTCAGACCAGAAACTGGAATTCTAATTTGTTTTATATATATATATGTTTAGAGGCTTTTTTGTTTTCGCTTTAAGTTTCGTTTAAGTTTTCGCTTCAGGCAAAACTAAAAGGTCTTAGTGCTAAAATTTAACATGTAAAAAAATCTTTGAACATTTAAATTTTGTTTCAGGTTCACTGAGTTTTTAAATCTAATGGATGCATCTGTTTTTATAACAGCAGTAGTAGCTTGTGGTCTTTGCCCAATTCGGTGTTCGGTGAAATAACCCCATGTAACAAAGGTCTTTCACGAGAGATATGTCTTTGGCTTTTAAGTCAGTTTTAATATTAAATGAATCCCTATATGTGTCTTGGCAATATCTGAACAACATCTAAAGTAACTATCATGTTATCAAGAAAATAAATTTACATTTGTTTAATATATTCAGCAACAAAATCAATGCAACAGCAATTGTCAGATAATTTGAGCAGTGAATTTATAGAGGTAATTTTAATTTACATCCAGGAATGCAGGCAATTTTTGTCCAGCTATTGACATTTGATTGACTAAGCTTAGGAAACAACAGGAACAACATCCTTTGGAATTTCTTTGTAGTAGACAAAAATGGACATTAATAAAATGAAAAGAAACTAGACAAAGGGCTAAGAGTTTTACTACAGTATATTTGCCATCTGAGAGTTCAACCAAGTGAGCACTTTGCTATAATTTAAAAATATAATGATAAAATTTTACTTGTCTATTATATAATTGTAGCAAATTATTTTGTCTCTAACAAGGAAATCGTAAGGTTTTGTACTTAGACTTCCTCACATCTCCCAGAGTCAGTGACGCAGATGCTGATGTGAGATGTCTCTTTTTCAGATGTTTTCCTATTCAGGGCACAATTATTCCTGTCTTGAAATAGAAATTATCTTTTAATGAACTCCATTTAAATTTCTTTTCCCTATTTTTATACTCATTTCATTGAATAACATAATCTCAGAAAAGATTAACTTGTATTATTTCACAGTTGCGTCTCCAACACTATCTTAATGTAATCTCTTCATATTTTTTTGGCTATTCATTGGTTTTTACACTATTCTTTTCAAGTTTTCACATGGAAATGTAATAAAAAGGCTCTGCTTACTCTCTTTTCGAGACCATTAAAAAACTTTAAAGACTGCCTGAACACCAATCCCTGGGCACTATGCTAGATTCCTTCCTCATGCGATGGACAGTTACTCATGTCTCATTCTTTGTGTTCCTCTTGAAAGTTTGCAGTCCTTCCAGGAGTCATCCAATCCAATCAAGGTCAGTGTGAAAATATATATATATACACACACACACACACACACACACACACAGTCTTTTTTTTTGAGATGTAGTCTCGTTCTGTCTCCCAGGCTGGAGTGCAGTGGTGCGGTCTCGGCTCACTGCAAGCTCTGCCTCCCAGGTTCATGCCATTCTCCTGCCTCAGCCTCCTGAGTAGCTGGGACTACAGGCACCCACCACCACAGCCAGTTAATGTTTTGTATTTTTAGTAGAGATTGGGTTTCACTGCGTAAGCCAGGATGGTCTTGATCTCCTGACCTCGTGGTTCACCTACCTCGGCCTCCCAAAGTTATGGGATTACAGACATGAGCCACTGCTCTGGGCCCAAATACATTTTTAAATTAAGTTTTTGTAAGGGGCTGTATCAAATGCTTTGCTGAAATCTAATGCCCGTGATATTGATTCTGTAAACCATATTCATAATTTAAAAAAAGGTTAACCAATCACATATGTCTAGAATGACTAACATTGATCCTGATTTTCTAACTATTCATAGGAAGCGATACTCAAGAATATTATTTTAGTGTCAGGTTTATTACAAATGACTCCATAGTGTAACAAAGATGGTTAATGTGGAAACTTCCAGGTAATTAGTTATAAGAAAAAAGTTATTATAAATGAATGAGAGTGTTTTTTAACTGCCAAGTGGGCTTTCAAGACCCTAGGTGTTTTATTCCTTTAGTTATATGTTTTTCTTAATTAGGCCTTTGTCTTCATTTTAAGTAGGTATTAAAATGAAATATAATTTTGGAAAATGATGAATTTTGAAACTGATGAATTTAAATATTCATTTAGAACTTTATGTGCCATAGCTATCGAGTTTGTAAATCTGTATATTTTAATTATTTGATTCCTAATTTCTACTATACAAATATCACTGCAATAATTGTATTTTTTTGTTTTTTTTTTTTTTTTGAGATGGAGTCTCACTCTGTTGCCCAGGCTGGAGTGCAGTGGTGCGATCTGGGCTCACTGCAACCTCCACCTCCCAGGTTCAAGCAATTCTCCTGTCTCAGCCTCCCAAGTAGCTGGGACTACAGGCACATGCCACCACGTCCAGCTAATTTTTGTATTTTTAGTAAAGACAGGGTTTCACCATATTGGTCAAGCTGGTCTCGAACTCCTGACCTCAGGTGATCCACCTGCCTTGGCCTTCCAAAGTGCTGGGATTACAGGCGTGAGCCAACGCGCCTGGCCAATAGTTGTATTTTTGTAACAACCACCCAGTGAACATGCTATTCTTAGATTGCTAAACCAAAGGATTTCTTTTGCCACAAATCAGATTGTATGTTTTACAAATTTACTGTCAAAGCTAATAAAATCTTAGACCATTCAGTTATCAACAATATAAGCCAACACTTTAACCAATTTTTAAAATAAACAATTTAGATCAGGGTTTAGCAAACTACAGCTCACAGACCAGATCTACTCATACTGATTCATGTTCATATTGTGTGTGGCAGCTTTCTTCCTATGACAGCCGAGTTGAGTAGTGCTACCAGATACCCTAGAGATCTCAAAGCCTAAAATATTACTATTTGGCTTCTTACAGAAAAAAATTTTAGATCTCTGGTTTAGATTAACATTGACTATTATTAATATTTATTATAAATTGATACAAATAAGAGACAACTGTGGACAACGGGATATCTGGGACACATGATTAGAGAAAACACTGCATTGACTGCTGTGGAATGCATTCTTTTGTAAAGTAATGTTCCCAAGGCCCTACAATTGTACTGAACTCGTGCATCTGTGATAGGAAATGGGCTGATATTTACTAGCATTGTCTAATTCTGGCATGCATATGAAAAGTCGAATTTGTATAAAACAGTATAAATACAATGTCATTACTATCAGATGAAGTGATACATGTTAGGATGTGTGTCATAAATATGCAAAAGAAGTATTAGATGTGCACTGACATCTAAGTAAATATGTAGGACAGATACAGAAACTCATATTCAGTCATTTGATGAATACTTATTGAGTGTCTATTAGGTGTGAGCCACTCTTTTTTCTGTCTGAAGATAAAGTTTCTGCTCTTATGGAGCATTTCTCTTATTGCGGGAGGGAGACAGACCCACAAAGTAAACATATAAATATGTAATATATTGGGATGTTATAAAGAAGTATGAATCATGATAGGCTGGTGGAGGAATGACAGTGGGCATGTAATATTTATGTAAATTGGTGAGAAAGGGCAGAGACATTGAGAGAAGGAGGGAGGAAGTCAAGCAGATATGCTTCAGAAAAACGTTTAAGCTTGAGAGAACAGCAATTGCACGTGTTCTGAAGCAGTAGTGGTTTAGCCACCTCTGAGGAACAGTAGGAAGCCAGTGGGTTTCAAGGGATGATTAAGGACACTGCCGGTCAGTGATGCCGTCCTTGTGGGCCTGTGTAAAGATTCTAGAATTGTCTGAGTGAGAAAGAAACCATGGGAGAGTTTGCAGTTGAGGGATGACCTGATATGATTTGAATTTTAACAAAGGACTCTGGATGCTGTGTGGAGAATGACCACAGGAGGCTTGTGGAAGTAGGGAAGCTGGTTAGGAGGTAATTACAGTTGTCCAATCCCCTCCCCTTTCCTACCACCAAATGGTGACTTGGTGGAAGGTGGCAGAGATAGTGGTGGGTCATGAGGATTCTGAATATTTTTTAATCTCAAGAAAAAATATCTAGAGTTTCTGATAGATTATATATGGGGCGTGTCAGAAAGAAGACTCAAGGATGTCTCCAAGACTTTTGGCCTGAGCACTGGGATGCAGGAGTTGCCATTTACTGAAGTGTAAAATACTATCAGAAGAACAGGCTTAGCAACAAAATCAAAAGTTTACTTTTTAAATTCTGGCATGTAATTGTAATAGAGATGAAATGCAAAGACGTTGTCTTGGTGAGTAGGACACTTCAGACATAGATTTTACCTGGGATTCAACATGTTGTCAATTAAATCATACAGTCAGGATATCATGACTCATGAGGATTATCAATTTTTTTTTCTAACATGCAAAGATCAGACTATATTTTTAACATGAAGATAAGCAAACATTTATAATCTGTCAAAATGGAGCTTTTTCGTAGGACTGCATTATTGAAATATTTGTCTTTATTCAAAATGGTTTATTTTTGTGTGTGAACATTTTATGTAGAACCTGTCACAATCGAGGGTAATAGATTCCGTTTCTGGTGAACTCATAAGCCCCTTTTGAACAGATAATTGGCATGTTGGCATATCTGATCCCAGGAGAAAAGAGATTTCAGTCTCATTCCTTCTGGAATCTGCAGTTGAGAAGGAAATAGTAATGGAGACATGGTGGTTTGACTTTTGGTGAGTTCCTCTTTCTTATCCCTTCAGTCAAACTAGGAATCATCTCTTCTAGGACACCTTACTTAAAAGAATCCAAATAAAGTACATACAAGTTGATGTTCTATGTCCCCATTACCAAATATTGTTTATAGATATAATCAAGACTGATGATATTTCATGATTAAAATTATTTGGCTTTGAAATCCCTGGACACAACTCAATATAAATAGACATAATAAGACTAAAGGCTTTGATATAAAAAGCCACCACTCAATGTGTTCTAGTGAAACAGTAGTATATGTTCAGTTCAGTTTGGAAAATAAAGAATTGTTGTTAGGAGAGACATGCCATGTTGTTGTACTTATTATCTTTGAATCAGTCAAGCATGACCTCAGTAGCTGCATGAGCAGCAGCAGAAGCGATGACTAAAAATCAAGCATCCAGGTTGATGTCACCTCTGCTGTAATCTTGCTGTGTCATGTTCGGTAAGTCACTTCCCCTCTTTGAATC
Organism: Homo sapiens; assembly: GCF_000001405.40. NCBI lineage: Eukaryota > Metazoa > Chordata > Mammalia > Primates > Hominidae > Homo > Homo sapiens. Next base: position 193,615,078 of record NC_000001.11, read on the forward strand.
TCAGTTTCCTCCTCATTAGCTCAGAGAATGATTGGGTTTTCATAAGAAGTCATATTTTTTGACTCTTAATATGGCCTTCATTTGTAACATGCTCTCTTTATTCTAGCTGCTATAAAAAATTACAAACTGAATGGCTTATAAACAATAGAAATTTATTTCTCAGTGTTTTCCCAGTTCCAAAGTTTAAGACCAAGATCAAGAACCTAGCAGATTTGGTGTCTGTGAAGGCTTGTTTCCTGGTTGGTGGATGGTGCTGTCTCCCTGTGTCTTTATATGATAGAAAAAGGGCAAGAGAGCTTCCTGGGGTCCTGATGATCGGGGCACAAATCCCTTTATGAAGGCGCTGCCTTTATGATCTAATCACCCTCCAAAGGCCCTTACCTTCTAATGCCAGCATCTTAAGGGTTAGGATTCCAACATATGAATTTTGGGAGACACAAATATTTAGACTACAGCACGTGTTATTATCTCACAATAAGGCTTTGGCATAAAAAAAAAAAACAAAACTGTTCTGATGAACAGCATGCATGCCTAAGTCCCAATGTAGATAGATAATGTTGAAGAGTTCCCCGTGAGAAATGGTTTTCAACAAGGACAAACCAAATTCAAAAATGAAATAGCCACCTTTCAGGGATGGTGGGTTAGAAATGCCACATACATATTCATCGGGTGAGATGTATGGGTAATGACTTTTTAGGAAGACTTCTTTTGTTTGTTTACTTTAAGTCATAGATCATTATAAATCCACTTTGTTTTATGACTCTCTTACTGGATATTTTACTCTGAAATTTGTAATGTTTTTGTATGGAAGAGATAGTAAATATTAGTTTGGAGGAATTTAATGATTGCTTTTTTAAAAAAACAGAATAAGGCCATGTTTCTTGCCTAAATTTAGAAATGAGAATACAGTCATGCCCCGAATAATGATGTTTCAGTTGAGGATAGATGGCATATTATGACAGTGGTTCCATAAGATTATGGAGCTGAGAAATTCATATTGCCTAATGGCGTAGTAGCTGTTGTATTTGCAGCAATGCCAGTGTAAACAATCCTACTTTGCTTTTTATTGTGAATATAGACTGTACTCCTTCTACATATAAAACAAAAGAGTTAACTGTAAAGAGCCTTAGGCAGCTCCTTCAGGAGGTAATCCAGAAGAAGGCATTGTTATCATACGAAATGACAGCTCCAAGAGTGTTATTGTCCCTGAAGACCTTCCAGTGGAACAAGATGTGGAGGTGGAAGACAGTGATATTAATTCTCATCCTTGCAGGCCTACACTATTGTGTGTGTGTCTTAGTTTTTAACAAAACAAAAATTAAAAATAGAGAAAAACTTAGAGAATAAGGATATAAAGAAAGAAATTTTTTTGTACAGTTATACAACCGTTTGTATTTTAAGCTAAGTGTTATAACAAAAAAGTCAAAATGTTAGAATTTTAAAGTTTATAATAGTTATAGTAAGATAAGGTTAATTTACTATTGAAGAAAGAAAAATGTTTTAAAAATAAATTTAGTGTAGCAAAAGTGTACAGTGTTTATAAAGTATACAGTGGTGCACAAGAATGTCCTAGGTCTTCACATTCACTCACCACTCACTCACTGACTCACCCAGACCAACTTCCATTCATGGTAAATGCCTTATACAGGTGTATGATTTTCTAAAATCTGTTATTACTGTATTTTTACTACTCAGTTTCTACATTTAGATACATAAATGCTTACCATGTTACAACTGCCTATGGTATTCAGTATAGTAACATGTTGTACAGGTTTGTAGTCTAGGAGTAACAGGCTATAGCATATATAGCTACTGACTATATACGGTGTGTAGTAGGCCATACCATCCAGGTCTGTGTAAATGCACTCTGATGTTTCTACAATGATGCCATCCTCTAATAACACAATTTTCAAAATGTGCCCACTTTTTAAGTAATTTATGACTGTAAAAAAGGTATAAAAGAAGTTTGGACTAAGCCTGTCTATAGATGCAGCCAGTGTGGATGAATATGAGGCATAGCATGGTTATGTCTGCCTACAAATACTTTCTCCCTGCCTCCCCACTTAGATGATTAGAAACTCTCTCATATATTCGAGTGAGATTATAAGAGGAGCAGCGTTGCTATGAGAAAGGTTCCATTCAAACATATTTGTGTTTACTGAGTTGAAGGGCTAGGTTATTTTGGAGGTTGGCTTCTGTTTTAGATTACTCCCACCTGCATATTAACATGGGTGTGGTTGAGAAATAAGCTAGCTCTCTTTGCATTCTTTGTAAAGGAAAAGGGATGAGATTTGGAGTATCAGTGGAATGGTCATAGCTTGGGATAGTATAAGAAGAATGTAATACTGCATTACAAGGTCAGGAACCAATGGTGGGATACTTAGATATGGTGTATTAAAAAATGGAGAAAGATTAAGAAAAATATGTAAGGCCGAGTGCGGTGGCTCACGCCTGTAATCCCAGCACTTTGGGAGGCCGAGGTGGGCGGATCACAAGGTCAGGAGATCGAGACCATCCTGGCTAACATGGTGTAAACCCCAGTCTCTACTAAAAATAAAAAATAAAAAAATTAGCCAGGCGTGGTGGCGGGCACCTGTAGTCCCAGCTACTTGGGAGGCTGAGGCAGGAGAATGGCATGAAGCCGGGAGGCAGAGCTTGCAGTGAGCTGAGATCACACCACTGCACTCCAGCCTGGGGGACAGAGTGAGACTGCATCTCAAAAAAAAAAAAAAAAAAATATATATATATATATATATATATATGTAAATGTGTGCATGTTGAGTACTTTGCCTACTTCACAGTTTCGTTTCCCATATTCCTGACAAAGGTCTTTGAGTTTGAATTACCCTAAGGCTATTATAAATTCATCCTCCTTGAGGAAAATGAAGGTAAACACTTTAAAAATTTTTGTACATGTTTAAGGGGTACAGTGTGATGTTTCAATGCATATATACATAGTATAATGATCAAATCAAAGTAGTTAGTATATCCGTTTCCTCAAAAAGGTTATCATTTGTGGTGATAACTTTCAAGGTTTTCTTTTCTAGCTATTTTGACATATACAATACATTGTTCTTGGCTATAGTCACTCTACTATGTAATAGAACATCAGAACTTACTCTTCTTATCTGACTATCTTTGTGCCCCTTGACCAACCTCTTTCCATTCTTCCCACCTTCATACCTTTCACAGCCTCTAGTAACCACTATTATACTGTCTACTTCTACGAGTTCAACTTTTTAGATTTCACATATAAGCGAGATCATGTGGTATTTGTCTTTTTGTGCCTGGCCTATTTCACTTAACGTTATGTCCTCCAGGTTCATCTATGTTGCCACAAATGACAGGACTTCATTCTTATTTATAATTGTATTCTATTGTGTGTATACCATGTTTTCTTTATGCATTCATCTGTCAATGGACATTTATGTTGATTTTGTCTCTTAGCTATTGAGAATAGTGCTGCAATAAACATACGCATAAGCATAGCTCTTTGACACAGTAATTTCAATTCCTTTTGCTGTATACCCAGTAGTAAATTTTGGGGGTCATAAGGTAGTTCTGTTTTTATTTTTTGCAGGAACTTTAATACTGTTTTCTCATGTGAATTTAGTAAAGTTGCAGGATACAAAATCAACATACAAAAATTGATAGCATTTCTATACACCAATAGTGAAATATCTGGAAGAGAAATCAGGAAGGCTATCCCATTTATAATAGCTACAAAATATTAGGAAGAAATTTAACCAAGGAGGTGAAAGATACCTACAATAAGAACTATAAAAAATTAATGAAATAAAGTGAAGAAGACATAAATGGAAATATATCTCATGGATTGGAAAAATTAATATTGCTAAAATATCTGTACAACCCAAGGCAATCTACAGATTCAATGCAATCCCTGTCAAAATATCAATGACATTCTTCACAAAAATAGAAAAAAAATCCTAAAACTTGTATGAAACCGCAAAGATCTTGAATAGCCAAAGCCATCCTGAGCAAAAAGAACAAAACTGGAAGCATCATACTATCTGACCTCAAAATATACTACAAAGCTACAGTAACCACCATAGCATGGCAATGGCATAAAAATAGACACATAGACCAATAGAACAGAATGAAGAGTCCAGAAGTAAATCTACACATTTAGAGTCCACTGATTTTCCATAAAGGTGCCAAGAATACACACTGGAGAAAGGACAGTCTCATCAATAAATTGTGCTGGGAAAGCTTGATATCCACATGCAGACAAACTAGACCTTGAACGTTCACCATATACAAAAATTAACTCAAAATGAATTAGAGACTTAAAGACCTGAAACTATAAAAACTACTAGAAGAAAACATAAGGGAAACACTTCATGACATTGGTCTAGGCAAAGATGTTCTGAATATGATCTCAAAAGCATGGGCAACAAAAGCCAAAATGAACAAGTGGAATTATACCAAACTAAAAAAGCTGCTCAGCAAAGGAAACAATACATAGAGTGAAGAGACAACTTACAGAATGCGAAAAATGTTTGTAAACTATGTACTTGACAAAGAGTTAATGTCTAGAATATATAAGGAACACAATAGCAAACCCAAATACTCTGATTAAAAAATGATCAAAAGACCTGAATAACCATATCTCAAAAGAAGACACACAAATGTCCAGCAGGTATATGACAAAGTGCTCAATATCACTAATCATCAGGGAAATGCAAGTCAAAACCACAGTGAGATATCGCTTCCCTTCAGTTAGAATGGCTATTATCAAAAAGGCAAAAATTTAAAAATGCTGGTGAGGATGAGGAGAAGAGGGAACTCATACACAGTTGCTGGGAATGTAAATTAGTAAACACTTTTTGGATCCAAATTTGTCTCACATAAAGAAAGTATATCAAATGAAACTTGACACTGAGGAAAAAAAATCCTGATTTTAAAATAAATTTAGAAATAGAAATATTAACATATTCAATACTATGAAGTAGTCCATTCTCCCTGAACAAATTTACATGTTTATGTAAATCAAAATACCAAAGGGATTTTTTGGGGTGGGAACTAGTTAAGCTAATTACATAGTTCATATTTAAAAAAAAAAAAGTAAGCGACAGGACAGTTCTTCACACAGGGTTTAATGCAACATTCATTAGGATGATGCAGAGTGAAATAGTCGTGCATGTGTTGAGGTGTAAAAGCAGCCCAGTGGTTGGACATGTGGGCTCTGGAGGTAGAGGGCCTAGATATACATCTTACCTTTGCTACTTACTGACTTTGGGATCATGGGAAAATTATGTAATATTTCTGGGTTTTGTCCTTGGGATCATGGGAAAATTATGTAATATTTCTGGGTTTTGTCCTAAATTTTAATCTGAATTTTAAAATAGTATTTATCTTATAGAATTGGCATGGAGATTCAGTGAATTAACACACACAGAGTGCTTAAAGCAGTGTGAATTAGCAACAGCATTACTACTTCCATCTCCATCAGCACCCCAACAATGAACAAAACGGAATGTCCAGAATTAGGCCCAAATGCATGTGGGAGTTTAGTATATAATCCAGGTGTATTGTAAAAAACTAAAGCAAGCATTACTCACCAAATGGGTGCTCAGAAACCTGACTAGCCGTCTGGAAAAACATGGTAGCTACTCCTTCCTTAAACTAAACAATTCCGGACGGACCCATTACTTAAAGGTCTAAAAACTTAAGATGTACATTTTCTTAAATTACACATGTACTTACCTATGACTAAGCAATCCAAATCCTAGGTAGTTACCAAAGATAGATAAAAGCACATGTCCTTACAAAGACTTGTACACAAATAGTCTCAGGAGCTTTATTCATGATAGCCCAAACAGGATACAACACAAGTGTCCATGAACAGGTGGCTGGATAAACTAGTCATGATATATTCATATAGTGAATGAAATACTACTCAACACTAACAGGAATGAACTACTGAACATACAACAACGTGGAGGAATCTCAAAAGTGCGATGCTCTGTGAAATAAGCCAGACATGAAGGACAACATACTGTACTATTATGTGAAAATCTAGAAAAAGCAAAGTACAGGGATTGAAAGCAGGTCAGTGGTGAGCCAGGGATGGGAGAAGGAAATTGAATGCAAAAGAGCATGTGGTTATTTAGGGAGTAATAGAAATGTTTTATATTTTGGTAGTGGTGATTATACAACTGTATGCCTTTGTCAAAACTCCAAACTGTACATCCAATTGTATACTTAAAATGGGTGAATTTTGGGCTGGGCATGGTGGCTCATGCCTGTAATCCCAGCACTTTGGGAGGCTGAGGTGGGTGAATCACAAGGTCAGGAGTTCAAGACCAGCCTGGCCAAGATGGTGAAACCCCGTCTCTACTAAAAATACAAAAAAATTAGCCAGGTGTGGTGGTGGGCACCTGTAATCCCAGCTACTTGGGAGACTGAGGCAGAGAATTGCTTGAACCCGGGAGGCAGAGGTTGCAGTGAGCTGAGATTGTGCCACGGTACTCCAGCCTGGGCGATGGAGCGAAACTCCATCTCAAAAAAAAAGTGGGAGTGAACTTTATTGTGTGCAAATTATATATTTATAAAGATGATTATATTTTTTAAAATTAAGGCATAAAAGCTATGGCACTTTTAAAGCATGTCTCTGATATTCTTCTATACTCCTCCCTTGAAATGATGGAGCTCTGTTCTTTTCCTTGAATCTGGTCTCTGGTTGCCTGGCCAAGATAATATGACCTTAAGAAACTGGCAGCTTCCACTTTCCCTCTTTTGAGACAGTTCCTTTTTGGAACCCAGACACTAAGCTGAGCCACATGGAAGGATCTCAGCCAACAGGTAGAATCAACTGTCAGATGCATGAGTGAAGAAGCTTTTGAGATGACTCCAGTTCCAGGCACTGTCTGATTGTAACCGTGTGAGAGACCCTAAGTGAGAACTACAGCTGAGGCCAGTCTGTTTCCAGAACCGTGAAAGACAGTAATAAATGATGGTTATTTTAAGCCACGTTTTGGAGTGATTTGTTATGCAGTGTCAGATAACTGGTACAAAAGATTTGGCAGAAAATGTGGGATATTTAAATAACTTCTGAATGGGAGAAGCTTTTCTGTCCGTGACATAAAATGTATAAGCCAGGGAAATAAATATTGATAAATATATTAATAAAAATTACAGGAGGAATAAACTTTAGTGACCTATTGCACAGAATGGTGACTATATGAAATAATCATGCATTGTATGTTTTCAAATTGCTAAAAGAGTAGATTTTAAATGTTTTTACCACAAAAAATATATGTGATGTGTGGATTTATTAATTAGCCTGATTTAATCATTCCATATTGAAAACATATATCAAAACTCTACATCGTACCCCATAATTACATATATAATCACTTATCAAGTTTTAAAAATTTAAAAATTATAAATTTTTCTGTTATAAAAAATATCAGGTCTTTTTTTGTTTCTCAATCTGGGAAAAATGTTTCTTCATATGCAACATGGAATTTAGTTGTTTTACTATATCATGAGCATTTAGAAATCAATGAGACAATCTAGCAAGTGTAGAAAATAGGCGTAGAACATAAGTGAAAAGATAAATCAATACGGCTTTTATACATATGCACAGATTGTTATACTTATTTGTAATGCAAACTAATGCTGCAATATTACACCATTTTACCCACGATATTGGTGAAGATAAAAAGATTATCCAAATTCTCAGTGTTGTCTAAAAAGTTTTTAAACGTATTTTCCAATATATTCCTGGTGAGTGTGTAAATTGGTTCAATCTTTTTGGAGGTCACTTTTTTTTTTTTTTTTTTTTTTGAGAGGGAGTCCCACTCTGTCACTCAGGCCGGAGTGCCGTGGTGCGATCTCTGCTCACTGCAACCTCCGCCTCCCAAGTTCAAGTGATTCTCCTACCTTAGCCTCCTAAATAGCTGGGATTACAGGCACCTGCCACCATGCCCAGCTAATTTTTTTGTATTTTTAGTAGAGAAGGGGTTTCACCATGTTGGCCAGGCCAGTTTCAAACTCCTGACCTCAAGTGATCCGCTGCCTTGGCCTGAAATGCAGAGATACCTTGTGTTAGATAAATAATAGTGGCTTCATGAAATAAAGGTTTTTTTTATGTAAGTTGTAACACTTTATGCATTAGGATTAGGTTAGAGAGTCTGTACCATTTAGTCATTCAAGGATCTAGGCTGCTTTTATGTAGATTCTTTGTAGTACTGTAAGATTTCAGAGTCCTACTGCATTGCCTGAATTTAGCTGCTAGATGAAGAGAGAGAATGTGTAAGACTGTCCACAGAGTTTATGGCCAGGCCTAGAAGTGACAAGTGTGTGTGTGTGTGTGTGTGTGTGTGTGTGAATGTGTGTGCCTGTGTGCTACATTGGTTAAATAGTGCTGGTGAGATGCTGGTGGTTATGTGGGGGTATAGAAAGATTCACTGAAAATGATCAATTAAAGCAAACTGGGGAACTTCATTTATTTTAGAGTTTCAATATTATTCAGAAAGCTTTTTTATTCCTTTCAAACCACCCTGTCATATCTTCTCTTTGGATTTATTTTGCATTATCTAGGCAACTTGTACATGGATGTCCTTAGTCTCAGAAGTCTTCTGCTTTAACTATTTCTGCAATTTGGAGGCTTTGCATTTTTAAATAAAAAAGCACAGTAAGATATGACTCTCATTTGTGTTAGAAGAAATAAATCACAAATAAGATATGTATTAATATTTCAGACCAAGATTTTTCATAGAATAAAAACTACTTGTGTTTTTCTTGCCCTTCATGTTTCTCAAGAAATAATACACTTGGAAAAGGTACATTGAGATTTCATTTATTTTCATAATTATATTTTTGACCATTATTAAAACACATTTTGACATCTGTCTCTTAAGAATTGTTTTAATAAGAAACACAATGGTATACATTGAGTATTTGTATTTATTTGAATAAAAAGTTGGTAACATTACAGGTTTTAAAAATTTAATCTTCCCAACTATATTAAAGAAAGCAAGCAGAAAAAGTAGATCTAAAGCATCCTTAATCAAACATAATTAGGTGAACCGGTGTAAAATATTTCTTGACACTCCCTTTAATAATACCTGTGTTCCAGTTAAACAGATTTTTTAAAACTTACTTCCATACTGCCACACACTCTCATTTGTGGCTCTAAATGTGAATATACCACCTCATATTTCGTACCAGAAAAACAGAACTCCTACTCATGAGTCAATGGCCAGATCAACTGTTTTTTCCTCTGTGGAATTATTACTGTTCCTTCATACAGATTATTTTTGACAATTAAAAAATACAAGTAGCTTTTAATAATGACAGCATCTTACAAAATTTCAAAATAAATAACATTTTTCTCCTGCTCAAATAAAATCTCCATTTGTCACCTTTCCTTGGATCTTTTGACTTGATGTTCATCAGCCCTCCTGGGATCAGCCTGACCCCACAGAGTTGGATTCTTCTCTTTTCCGTCCTGGTCTGCCACTGGCCTTCCAGGTTGCCTTAATGCCCAGATCACTTGGTTTATGCTAAAAGTATGCTACTTGATAAAAAGTTTTCTTTTATCTTGGAAATATTAATAAGCAAACCAACTCTATACATGTTACATAAAACCAGAAAACAGTGATTCTCAATTAAGGCAATGTTAGTAATTATATAGTCTGCTATACCAGGACATACATGGGTGTCCTAAATTCTCAGGTATAAGGAAGAGCCAGGATTGAGGAAACATAGAAACTTAGGTAAGAAATAATAAATAGAACAAACTATAATAATGAACAGAGCAAGGTGTAAGTTTTTATATGTATCCATAAGATTAGCAACTGAGAATCTTGGCAGAGTAATAGGACTATATATAGGGTGACTATATAATTTATTGCCAAAAGCAGGACTCTTTTGAGAGTGAAAGGTTGTGCTATTAACAGGTGCCCTGCAGGATTACAGGCATAAATCAGGACTTTCTGTGGCCAACTAGCCCCAGATGAACATATGGTCACCATAAATTAAGCAGATGATGAAAGAATTAGGTGACAGCAAGTAGATCTGAACAGGTAGATAGAATTTATTTAACCTAAAAGCAAAGGTCATGGGAAATTTTTCAGAGCAAAGTAGGGAAGAGAAACGGGAACAAGGGCAGCCAGTTCTAAGCAAGGTGCATTATTAAGCCCGCTCAGTAGGTGACGGAAGTTCAATCCCCTGGACAAACTGAAAAACGAGGGAGCCAAAACTTACGCTCTAGAATTACCCTACCAATGAAGTGAGGGAATTGTGGTATTAAGACTCCAACTCTTAAGAGTCATTGAGGGTTGCTCCTGAAGGAGAATTCATCTTTGTTTGTTGGAAGCTTTCTGAGGTTTTGAGAAAAAAGCCCTCAGGCCCAGAACTGCAGACGCTGGCAGCTGGAAGTCTGTGACAGAGGTATGAGTGTGTCCCCCAGAACACCAGCTATGTATTTCTATTTCTGTGGTCACAGCCCAAAACAAAGTGGCCATGAAGGCTAGTTGTAGCTTGAGAAAGATAAACTATCCTAGGTAAAATGATGTTTGCTAATCATTTTTGATTGATCAGTATTCCTGGGATGACACAATCTTTGCTTGTTACCTCGTCTTGTCCTAGAAATTGGTCCTCGTTTTAGGAGAGTTTAAAATAGACTGGTAAACATTTAAAAATATTTCAAAGAAGTTTTAAATTCAAATTTCATAATTATATAACTGAATATGAGGCAGTTTTCTTAGGTGATTCTTTAGAGTTTTAAAAGAGTTTTTTTAATGTAGAAGAAAAGCAGGGGATTGGACTAGAAGGAAATATGACAACTGTTTCAAAACACCCACATATTGAGGGGACTATGTGGGAGGCCTGTTGGGAGGCTTCTCTATTACATTTCTAAACTGATAATTTGCTTAATTCTGAGACTACTCTTAAACTCCAGTGAGAATTTGGACATTGTTTTTACTGTAGAAAAAGATTTCAAATGAAATATTTTTTATGGCCATCTCCAGTATGGTGTTATTTAATGTTACCACAGTATTTGAGACTGTTTTTTCCAGTGTAATTTTTAAAGGAAAATAGTTATATTGAGTGTAATAAGTGAATTTAGGAATTATATTCTTTTTTTTGTTTGTTTGCAGTTTTCCTTTTCAAACCAATTTCTTTAGTGCCAGACCAGTGGTGTGGGACTTAGAAGGGTATAGGACATATTTGATCAGGAAGAGCTGGGGACAAGGGACCTAGGGAAGCCCAATACAGTGAGAATATGAATTAGGTACAGATCTCATTGCTAAAACTGAGAATTCAGACATGCAAATAGAATCTAACATTTATTCAAAGGATATGTAGAAGCTAACAGGACTATGTAATTGTACAGATAAGTCAGCACCAGGTATATGCAGCCAAGGTAGAGAGAATATTTATTATATATGGAGATCCAGAATTACGGTGATTGGCAGGATGGACTCTAGCCTCAGAGCTAGAATACAGAGTTGGTCTCTTGGCCAAGGAAGAGAGTTTGGAAGAAATCATGAGTACAACTCACAGCTCCAGTTCTTTTCTTTCGACCTAGGTACAAGATAGCATGATTGGAAATCATTCCTGGAGCTGGATTTGAGCTCGGTAGTTTGGCAGAAGCCCAAGGACCAGGATTGGAGCACTGGGGGAATGTCAGGAAGAGCAAGACGAGTTGATGTTGAATCTTAACTCTGTCAGTATCTAGAGCTAAGTCTGGCTTTATGGATTAAATGTTCCAGCTGAGTGTAAAAGAGAATATAGCAGCAGGGAGGCACACATGCCGGTACATTTGGTTTTAGAATACTTGCCTCAAACAGCATTTCCCTAAGGATGTTTCATGGGTCACTGTTCTTGTGAGATGCTCTGTGAAAGAAGAGCTTTATTCCTACAATCAGACTGGGAAATGCTACTTATCTTATCCCCTTTTTGAAGAAGCACACTGCACATTTCCATGTTAAAAGTTCTGAGAATTCCTGCAGTAAAGAAAGATTTTTCCATCTGGTACCTGGGATATTGCCATCCTACGGAACCAGATTTCTGCGTAATACACATTGAGAGTGGCTGGATTACAGGACCCTTTTTGCAGTGGCAGTCTTTAGAGGCTGAAAGTAGCTTTGTAAAGCTTTGTAAAGACTTAAATGGGTAAAGGCTAGAAACACTCTATCAATTACATCTTGAAGAAATTGAGATTTGGTAAGTCTATTAAGAGAGGAAAACAGAGCCTGATTCAAAAACACTTTTGGGTTGTCATTAAGATAAAGGTCGTCAGAGGTAAAAGGAATGGGGCATCCTGGTTTTATTCTTTGCTAATAGAAATCAGGAAACAAAAGATACCAGCTAGATTGCATTGGTGTGGCTTTAACTAGGAGATGAACAGAAATGGAAAGAGGCGGATGTTTCAGGTGCTTCCTATTTCAGCATGTTATCTCTATTCTTTATAAGAACCAGTCTTAAGTCAACTGAGCTGAACACTGGAAGAAGACAATAACTAACGTTGAGCCTGTGTTGGGGGTGTGAATAGGGATATCTGGAGACCTTGATCAGAGAGCACTCTCTGTTAGTGGCATTTATAATACACAATTAAGCCATTAAAACGGGATAGCACATATTCAACTAATATTTCTCTAGCATTAACCTAATATTAAGTTTATAGGCTGTTCTTATTAAAATTTTTGAAAATCAATGTTTCCTAGAGACATACTAGAAGAATTGTTACTGACTTACGGGATCATTGGTGTACCACGTAAGATATAAGCTGTTTTTGTTTTGACTGAATTTTTCTTTTTTAAATATAATTTGCATTATTTTGAGGATTCATTATGCTTCGATTTATCTGACTTGCATCAAGAATTATGAAAATATCAATCTCTAAAATTTTATATTTAATCAAGCCACTGTAGGAGTGTAGGTATCATGAGTTTGTCCACATATCTATATATCAATTAGATATTTATATTTGCAACAGCATCTCTCTTTCTCTGTATTTACAAAATGTTATAATTTGACTGGGAAAAGCTCCCCACTTGTTTTGTATTCAACAAAAATGATTTTGTTCTATTAGAGATATTAATCTAAATAGTCATTAATATTACTATTATAAATTCTCTATTATTTATAATCTAGGCCCAATTTTAATAAAGGCATTTTAAGTATATATATGTGGGCCTTATATATCAGATATATAGGATATATATATTAAGATATATGTATATGCACTTAAACTTTATCAGGTAATTTACAGATTTTATAGTGTTAAATTAGAAAAGAACCATCTGATTCCCTCACTGAAGGTTATTATTTTTTAATAAAAGCACTGCACTGATGTGCATGTTTAGAATTAAATTAACTATTAAATGAGCCCAGGGAGAAGCAGCTTCTTTATTCAATATGGTTTCAAAAATCTTCATGTAAGAAAATAGGTAACTTTTGTGCTAGCATCTGAGGTGTAATTCGAGGAAATTGTTCCATAATTCAGAAATCATCCTTGCTTTAAACATGCTTCCAAAATTTGTGTTACAATGAATATCTCTAAAATCTGAACACTAAATGCTTCCAAAATTTGCAGCATTCATGATGTCTTTTATATGCTTCCATTCTTTATGTCCTTTCATTTCTCAGTGCAAACAGACAAACTAGATCAGTTTACTATCATAGAATAAAATAAAAGGGCTTTTGGAGCCATAAATTATCTTTAAGAATTTTTAAGCTTTTGGCAAATGTTCATTAACTGTACCTCCTACCAGCTCTGTGAGTAGTCACAGTAAGCATGTCATAACACCCATATTATGGAGAATAAAATTGAATAAACATTTGAAAGGAAAAAGATTGAGTACATAGCTTCTCTCCCTGTAAATATTTTCACATATACATAGAATAAAGTTGTATTTATTTAATACACTGAATTCCAAGCCTAACCTACTTTTTGCATAAAGCACTTTTATAATGTCTTGAGTTCAAAAATTTAAATTTTATTAAATTTTATGGAGCCCATCTTGTTGATAAAACTATAAACCTGTCAGTTAGTTTATGCTTACTAATATTTGACAGTGAGAAGGCAGAGGGCAGAGGTGGTTGACAGCAAGGTGGAAAAGATGGGACAAGTAAAACACAGGCAGAAGATGGTTTGCAGTGAGGTAGAAACATGTATTCAGCAGGGAATCAGAGTAAGAGATGAAACATATTTCTTGGAGTTTGGACAAGGTGGGAAAGGTCAGATGTTGGACGTGGTGATCTTTGCAGTTAGTTGAGTGTGAGCAGCCCAGTGTGAGAAAAGAGAAACAGGGAATATGGCAGAGGTGGTTCCAAAGAACAAGAGTTAAAAGGAGAGCAAAAGGGAGCCAGTAATGAGGGAGAGGGAGGAGAAGGGAAAGGAGAGATTAGTGCAACTGTTAGGATTTCAGAATTTTCTGATTTGTATTGTGTTATATAATTTTCTCATCACTCCCACTTCAAGAAAAGACAAAGAAAGATCCGTGCCCTCGCCTTTTGTTGTTGTTGGGTGGGAAGGGGTTTGATTTATGTTTTTTTCTTATGACACATCCATGCTGAGGCGAGCCTTGAATTAGTCCAGTCGTGAGCATTTTGAATTTGTAAGTTCAGAGAGCCAAAGAAACTCATGCATGAAATTTCAGCCTGGAGATTAGATTTTCCTCCAACCTCCAAAGCCTTCTTAAATTGTAAGAAATCGAATGACTTCTGAAATGGGAAGTAGAGAATGACACTTGAGGATTTTGGATTTTTTTTTTTTCTTTGCACGTTCCTCTGGGGAGAGAGCTGCAGTTGTGAGCATGCCAATTAAGTCAGTATCAGAACACCTAATGGAGGTCTCATTCTCAGGAAATGGGACAATCTTGTGGAGAGTATAATATCAGCAGAACAGGAGGAAAAAATGAATTTTAGTTAGAATACCCTCACTGGAATGTAATAGAGGAAGGAAGTCTGAGAGTTGAAAAAATGCCAGGAATTTAGTAAGAGTCTCCCGGTGTCCCTCACTGGGGATTTTTGTGACCTCAAAGACACAGAGAGCTTTCATTATGTGCCAGAATGCCTGATGGTCCAAGAATTCTTACAGAGCAACATAGAGAGTTATTGAGAATTTGGTGACGAATGAGGGTAGAATTAAGAATGCAAAAGTTTTATCAGTGGGACAGGCGCATTAATGGAGGACAGAGATAGGCAAATTTCTCCTCTCCTACTTCAGGACTTACAGGAGCCAGCTTTGGGTTTGGGTTGCAACAGTGGCTATTGATTAGGTATAGGAAATGAGAGACAGAGAGAAAGAGAGAACTCAAAGGTCACTCATAGTTTTGAGCATTGCAAATGAGGATAATAGTATCGCCAGTTATAACACACAGAAGACAAGAAAACACTTTGTTGAAGAAGGGTGATTTTGATGTTGGATAGATTGCTTTTGAAATTCTGGTTGGCCTTCAAGGGGGAGCTCTCAGGCAAGTCAAATTTGGAAATTGATGAAAAAAAATTAAAGCTAGAACTCTCATAAATGAGATTCTTGGAGCTAGGTATAAGATCACCAGAGAGGGACTGAGGGACAAAGGTGGAAGAGACTGAACATAAGAACTTTGGGAAGAGCTGCCTTCAGGATACCACTAAGGGAGTGAAAAGAAAAGCTACAGAGCAGGAGAAGATAATTATAACATGTGTAACTGACAACAGATTCTTATCCAAAATATATAAAATACTCCTAGGAATCAATAAGAAAACTACAGTAAACCCGATAGAAAAAGGGGCAAAAGTCTTCAGCACATTACAAATGGTATGTTTGTATAATGGATTTGTATCCATTAATTGGATCCACATGGCCAATTAATATATGAAAAGATATGTGACTTCATCAGCCATTAGGAAAATAAAGATTAAAACTGCAATGAGCTAAAACAGAATGGAAAAAAGAATATACCAAATGTTAGAAAAGATGTGAAAAAATAGAACTCTCATACAGTGTTGTAAATTGTCATAGTCATGTTGGAAAACTGTTTTGCTCCCTTTCCTACAGCTGAATATATGCACATCCTATGACCTGGCAGCTCCTTATTTGTATATATACAAGATAAATATGTTCATGTTCACCAAAAATCATGTTATGTTTTTAGTGGCACCATTCAAGTTGAAAATTATCCAACTTCCCATAAACAGTAAAATGGGCAAATAAGTTTTGATCTATTCATACAAAAAAATATTTTACAGCACTGATAATGAACAACTATTGCAATACCTTCTCCTACTAATGTGTCTCAGAAATGTAAGATCGAGGGAAAGAAGTAGGTAGAAAAAAGTATATCTTGTATATATTTTTAAAATTAAACACAAAAACAGGGAAAATAAATCTACGGTGACTGGTGGTGAAGCTAGTTGCCCTTGAGAGGAAGAGTGACTAAGAAGAAATATGGGAGCAGAAAGAGGCAGATGTTTGTGTTATGCTGCTCTTTTATTTTGTTGAGTGTGTTCTGGTTATTCAGGTGGGTTTGGTTTGGGAAAATCCATTGAGCTCTACTCTTATGATTTGTGTAATTTTCTGATGTATGTTTTACTTTAACAAAAAGTTATTGTGTGATTCCCAGCAACATAAACATAAGAATTAGGAAACAGCACGTAGAAAAAAAATCCTAGTTTCCTTTTAAAAACTGATAGTAGAAAACATTTCTTTTAAAAATGATAGTAGAAAACATGAATTCTCATTCACTCATTCGTTACATAATAAAAACAAATTGAATAAATGTGATATGATTTTCCCCTCCAAACTCTGGGAAAGTTTGGTGACATTATGTGAAAATAGAGTCAGCCTTCTCTATGTGTGAGTTCTGCGTTCACAGTTTCAACCAACCACAGATTGAAAATATTTGAAAAAAATATTGTGTATATACTGAACATGTGCAGACTTTTCTTATTATTTTCTAAATAATACAGTATAACTATATAGCATTTACATTGTATTAGGTATTATACATAATAGGCACATATTTAAAGAATATGAGAGGATATGCATAGGTTATATGCAAATACCATGCCATTTTATAACAGGGACTTAAACATCCACAGAGTCAGGTATCTGTGGGAGGTCCTGCAACCAATCCCACGTGGGTACCGAAGGACAACTATACCTGAATACAAAAGCAGGGTATTCCATAGTGTGACTCAAAATTCACTGTGTATATTTTTAGGCTATAGTTGACACATACATTTTATTAAGGAATTTAATGGAAACATTAGGTAATGAACTGGTTAGAGACAGAAGATTAAAATGTGAATTACAGTAATCCCTCCTTACCACAGGGAATAGATTCCAAGACTAGTGGCTATCTACAACAACGAATTGGTACCAAGCCCTATACATACTATGTCTTTTTCCTTACATACATACACACATGCCTATGATACAGTTTAATTTACAAATTAGGTACCGTAAGAAAGTAACAATAATAACTGATCCATTATAACACTATACTGTAATAAAGGTTGTGTGAATGTGGTCTTTCTCTCTCTCAAAATATCTTGTGCTGTACCATGGGTAACTGAAACCACAGAAAACAAAACTTCAGATAAAGGGGGGACTACTGTAGAATTTTCTGCGGGCAGTAAAATTTAATTGAAAATTGTTTCTGAATTTACTAGCCCTGTGTAGACATGGTCATGTCACTTGATGCTGCCAGGTTTCCACTACTAACATGCCTTAAAGTAATTCTTGGTTATTTTTGGTGTATAATTCACATATTCAACTTCAGAACCTATGAGATTCCCAGGTTTGTTCCTAAAAACTCTATATGCACAGATCATAATCCTGGGTTGTCCCTAGCTTGGCCAGGAAAATACTTACAGAAATCCATTTGGAGGATAGGTGCTCTAAGTACCTGAATTTACATCTCATGAGGAGAATTGCGGTGTACAATCATCTACATCATTGAGTCTCCTTAAGACAATCTGTGTTTCCAGAGCTAAAGGAAACTCACTGTACCAGGTTCCCTTCTCAGATCAGACAAAAGAAGGCTTGGCAAGTAATGAAAAGCATTGCACAGCTTACTTCTTTAATAAAACCCTGGAAGTGGTGAACAAGTTCTTAAAAGAACTATTCCTTGATAGATGCTGTTATGGTTTGAGTGTCCCTGCCAAAATTCATGTTGCAGTTTAATTGTCAATGTAATGAAGTTGGGATTGCCAATGCAAGAGGTGGTTGCGTCATGGGAGTTTGCCCTCATGAATGGATTAACGCAGTTCTCATGAGACTGGGCTAATTCTTCAGGGAATGGATTAGTTCCTACAAGAGCAGGGTGCTATAAAGCAAGGTTGCCTTTATGTTTTTCTGTTCCATTTTGCACACTCCTACGTCCCCTTCCACTCTCTGCCATGAGTTGAAGCAGCATGAGGCACTCACCAGATAGGCTGCCTGATCTTGGAATTCCCAGACTTCAGAACTGTGAGCCAAATAAACTTCTTTTTTTAAAAAATTACCCAGTCTCAAGTACTCTATTGTAGCAGCAGAAAATGGACTAGGACAGATTAATTAGTTACTATAGTTCTTTTATGATGTAAGTTCCCAGGTTATACATGTTTTAATAATCCAGAATCATATTTAGAAAGAAGAATATCCATTTCTTTCCATGAAAAAGAACCAGGTTGTTTACATACATACATACATACATACATACATACATATATATATGTGTGTGTGTATATATATATGTGTATATATGTATGTGTATATATATGTGATCATCTTTATATATTCTCTGATTCACAGGCTTGCACAAACCTGTAAGCTCAAAATTTTTAAGTTATTTCCCCTTCAGTGAGAATTACTATTTAACCTTTTTGCTTATGTTGTCTGTTGAATTTTAAAGACATGAGAAAAAATAGGCATTAATAAAATTTAAGTAATGCCCACTTCTTAGTTGCCATCCTTTTTAAAGGATGCAGTATTATTTTCTAGTTGAAAAAATAACATTTTAAGAAATAAAAGAGTTGAATTTTGTCCTCTTTTATAGCTTTGCTATTTAGAAATGATTGTTTTGTTAGTTATGCCTCCTGCTGAATCATTTCTGATGTGTCTGTTCCTTGGTTAGCTCACAGACCTGACAGCCTCATTAGTTCTTGATGGTCTGCTTTCTTGAACGTGGTTACCATCAGCTCCCTATTGGGATTAAAGTAATTTTTATCTCTGAAAATCTGTCTAGCATACACAGATCCTCCTGCAGACATCTATGATTTTCAGTAACTACTTTCATAGCCTGTAGGAGTGGCACGCACAATCATGAACATGACTTTCCTTCCCTCCCTTCCTTCTTCTCCTCTTCCCTGTTTATTTCTCTGTAATAACCATAGATCTTTATATGTTCAAATTAGTCAGTTAAGTTAACATTTGCTATTTTGAAGCAATAAAGCAACAGAAAGCCCTAATGATTTTTCTTCCCAATATTCATTTATACATCCCCTCTACCTCTTTCAAAACAGAGCCCAGATTTTTTTCATGTATTTTCTTCTCCACACAAGCTTCAGAGGAAGTTGCTTAATCTCCACCCACGGAGAGGTGGGTACGCTTGTGCTCAAACCAGTTGTTACTGGCCCCATTTCCCTTGCTGGTGATGATTTTAGACATTGACCAATGAAATCAGAGGTGAGGCCTGCTGGGAAGTTTCTGGGGTTGCTTTTTCATTGCTAAGAAGTGTCTTTTTCTTTTGCATGTTATTGTGTCTGAATGTTTGGGCAGGGATTGCTGTGGATGTACAGTATTTTCTTTGTGAGAGGAACCAGGCTGAGGATCAAGTTAACCAATTCAGAAGTCAGAGTGGCAAGTTGATGAGGATCTGGTCCTTGATAACATTATTGAGCCATTGAATTAACTGGTCCTATAGTCACCACACTTCTGGACTCTTTTTAATTTGATGTAACAAAACTTGTTTTTATTTAAACTACTTTTCACTGTGTTTCTGCCAATTGCTGGGAAAGCTTGGTTCCATCCCAGTGCTCCTTGCTAGTGTGTCAGCTTGGATGATCACATGCTCTTTCAGAGCTCCACTCCCCTCCTCTGTGTCTTCTGACAAGTTTGTTGAGAGGATTAAATAACATAATAATAAAAAGAAACATTTATTGGTCCTTACTATATTCAGCACTGTGCTAAATGCTTTGTATATTTCAACTAATTAATGAGCATGCAAAGGCTCAGAACTGTGCCCGTGCTTGTTGATGAGGGAAAGTAGTTTTTCCTCTTTCTTCCCCATTCATTAATGTATTTGGTTTCATGGAGAGAATAAATGTGGGACATGTTCTTTTTTTTAATAATTAATATTATAGGTAGAAAAGAGCTGTTTTAGTCTATTTATATTATATATCACAGTGAATAATATTAGAAAATATATAACTTCTAAATTGGGTAATAAACTAAACTATGACTTGAGAAAAAAATCAGAAAATAATGTTGGGAAGTAGGGGATCAATTTTGGAATATCTTGAAAACTAGGCAAAGTAGACAGGACCTGATACAATATAAACTAAGGGACCACTGGAGGTTTTCATTTCAGGAAATAACATGATAAAAGTGGTGCTTAACGTCAGAGGGTAGATAAAAACTTAAGTTGCATGAATTGATTAGGAAGCTGTATCAATATAATCTGGATAGAAGATGATAAAGTCTAGATTAAATTTCTAATCAACTCTCATTTGCTCAAAATTCAAAAAGCAGAAAGCCCCAGTAAAAAACACTTTGTACATTTTAGTGCAAGGACTATTGATGTTCCCAATAATTACTAAAAGAATTCAGGATGCTTAAGTGACTTCTATCATAGGGATAGAACAATTTATGTTCAGTCCTCTTTGAAGTCTTGTATATTTTAAGAAATAATCCTATATCATACAAATTTTAACCTACTTAGTATTTATAACAATTATCAGGTAGATTATTGAAATAGGAACACCCCATTTCCTTTCACTGGACAAATGGGGAGTAATTTCATTATATTTACAAATTAAACGGTCTCTGTATCTGCTGATTTAGAAAACTTACAGGTAATTTACAAAGCATTTTCATACTTTTTTAAGAAAAGATTTTTCTTCTGTGTCTATTTATTTGATCTAGTGGTAAATATTCCTTGCCATATCAGAGGAGAAAACAGGCCCACATATTTCAGGTGACATTTTCTCTGGTTAGTGGAAAGTAGAATTGTGGATAGAAAATACCTAGAAAAAAGCTATCTGTGTCAGATAACAACAGAGTGGTTTAAAAGAACAAGCCCCAGCAAATCATAGACTGAAAGAACAAAAAAAGAAACAAGAAAGAGATAATGACATGCCACAGAACAGAGGACACCAAGACCAAGGCTGGGCAACTCATTACAAGTACAGACATAAAACCTCCATTGGATACAAGGTCAAAAACAGAATTGTCACTTAGGACCTCAATTTCAGGAAACAAATCATATGTGGCCTAGACGTTGTCATGAAAGGTTATTTCTGGGCTTCTCATCAGATTTTTTATTGTATTTTTTGATTGATTGTCTTGGATGTATAAAACAACAATAGAAAACCAGGCAAAATTACTGGCTATGTATTTAAATATAATAGGATTTAGACTCCAGCATTTTGAATCCTATAGAGCTTTTTATACCCCAACACAGACCATTGTAACTGGAGTTTTAAAGGTTATGCAGAATTTAGAAAAAAACACACATTAATAGAAAAACGAACACATTCTCTCTTTATTCTATCTTCCTTTCTTATGTCTTTTATAAGCAAATGTTAAATGATATCCAGGCCTTTTTGATTCCCAGATTTTGGGAGTGAGATATTTAAATTGTCAAGATGCATGCTGAGGTCAATAAAAGACTGAAAGACTTTGTTATTTTGGAACACTGTTTTCTAATTCATTAACCCTAAGTTTAAATGGCATGGCATTCATATTTTTAGAAGTTTTTGAATAATATGCTATTGATCAACCAAATTTTAACCCATTATATCAATATTAAGATCCCCTTGCATGTGACAAGCAAGATAAATACTGCCCTATTCTTTTAGAATTTATAGCAAAGATAGTTTTCTTCTTTCATTTTTTTTTTCTGGTTCTAAAGCCCATATTCCTTTCTCTGATTTTGTTTTAAATCCCTCAGCTTTATTAAGGTATAATTAACAAATAATAATTGAATATATTTAAGGCACACAACATGACTTTATATACAAATATATTATATATTGATTAACACAATGAAATTAATACATCCTTCACCACACTAGTAAACATTGTGTGTGTGTGTGTGTGGAGAACACTTAAGATCTGCTCTGTAAGCAAATTTCAAGTAAATAATACAGTGTTATTAACTAGAGCTACTATGCTGTGCATTAGAACTTTCTCATCTTATAATTGAAAGTTTGTACTTTTGACCAACCCCAAACCATTCATCTTCTTCATTATTCAAGCCCCTGGCAACCACCATTCTACTCTTTGCTTCTGTGAGTTTGAGGTTTTTAGATTTCACTTGTAAGTGAGATCATAAGTATTTATTTTTCTGTGTCTGGCTTATTTCACTTAGCGTAATTTCCTCCAGGTTCATTCATGTTGAAAATGGCAGGATTTTCTTCTTTTGTAAGGCTAAATAATATTCTATTGTGTGTGTTTATATACACATTTGCTTATCCATTCTTCTGTCAACAGACACTTAGGTTGTTTCCATATCTTGACTATTATGATTAATGCTGCAATGGACATAGGGGTGCCGATACCTCCTCAAGATTCAGATTTTATTTTCTGTGGGGGATACATATACCCAGAAGTGAGATTATTGGATCATGTGGTCATTCTATTTTTACTTTATCGAGGAACCTCCATACTATTTTCCATGATGGCTGTAACAATTTACATTCCCACCAACAGTACACAGGGTTCCCTTTCTCCACATCCTTGCTAACACTTGTTATCTCCTGTCTTTTTGCTATTAGCCATCTTAATAAATGTGACAGAATATTTCATGGTGGTTTTGATGTGCATTCTCATGATGATTACTAATGTTGAGCACCTTTGCATGTATCTCTTGGCCAATTTTATGTCTGCTTTGGAAAAATGTCTGCTAAAGTCTTAGTCTTTCTGTGCTACAATGACAGAACTACAGACTGCCTAATTTAGAAAGAAAATAAATTGACTTTTTACAGTTCTGAAAATTGGGAAGTCCAAGTTAAAGGCACCAGCATTTGGTATCTGATGAGGGCTTTCTTGCTGTGTCCTCACATTGCAGAAGAATAGAAAAGCAAAAAACGCCAAATGCTGTGTGAAGTCCTTTTTAAAAAGCCTTACTCTCCTATTCATGAGAGCTCTACCTCCTAAAGGTCCAACCTGTTTATATTATTATATTTGTGATTAAATTTCAACACATGAATTTTGGACAACATTCAGAACAAAATTATGTTATTTTGTATATTTTTCTGTTGAGTTGTGTGAGCTCTTTCCTTGGTTCCTTCCAAGAATTTTGTGGTTTCAGGTCTTACATTTAAGGCTTTAATCCATTTCTGATTAATTTTTGTGTATGATATAAGAAAAGGGTCCAGTTTTATTCGTATGTGTGTGTATATCTAATCTTCCCACCACCATTTAATAAAAAGATTATCTTTCTCCATTGTGTATTCATGGTGCCCTTGTCAAAAATTAGTACACCTTATATGCCTGGGTATATTTTTGGGATCTCTACTCTGTTCTGTTAGTCTGTGTTTATTTTTATGCCATTACCATATTGTTTTGATACTATACCTTTGTAATGTAGTTTGAAATTAGGAAGTGTATTGCCTCTAGCTTTGTTCTTTCTCAAGATTATTTTGGTTATTTGAGGTCTTTTGTGATTCCATGCATATTTTAGAGTTATTTTCTTTTATTTCTGTGAAAAAATGCCACTAGAATTTTGATAGGAGTTATATCAAATCTGTAAATCGCTTTGGGTAGTATGGGTATTTTAACAATATTATTTTTTCCCATTTATGAACAGAGGATATCTTTCCATTTATTTGTGTCTTCCTCAATTTCTTTTTTTGTCTTTTAGTTTTCAGTGCACAGATTTTTTACCTCTTTGGTTAAATTTATTTCTAAGTATGCTGTTATTTTGGATACTGCTATAAATAGGATTGTTTTCTTAATTTTCAGAGTGTTTTTTGTTAATGTATAGAAACAATACTGGCTTTTGTATGTTGATTGATATTGTATCCTGTAACTTTACTGAAGTTATTTGTAAGTCCTGATGTTTTTATTGGTGGAGTCTTCAGAATTTTCTCTCTATAAAATCATGTTATCTGCAGAGACAACTTTACTTCTTCCTTTCTGATTTTGATGCCTTTCATTTATTTTTCATTTTTCATTTTTTTTATTATACTTGAAGTTCTGGGATATTTGTGCAGAACGTGCAGCTTTGTTACATAGGTATACATGTGTCATGGTGGTTTACTGCACCCACCAACCCATCATCTACATTAGGTATTTCTCCTAATGCTATCTCTCCCCTTGCTCCTCACCCCCCAGCAGGCCCTGGTGTGTGATGTTCCCCCTCCCTGTGTCCATATGTTCTCATTGTTCAACTCCCACTTACGAGTAAGAACATGCAGTGTTTGGTTTTCTGTTCCTGTGTCAGCTTGCTGAGAATGATGGTTTCCAGCTTCATCCATGTCCCTGCAAAGGACATGAGCTCATTCTTTTTTTTATGGCTGCATAGTATTCCATGGTGTATATGTGCCACATTTTCTTTATCCAGTCTATCATTGATTGGCATTTTGGCTGGATACAAGTTTTTGCTATTATGAATAGTGCTGCAATAAACGTGTGTTCATGTGTCTTTATAGTAGAATGATTTATAATCCTTTGGGTATATACCCAGTAATGGAATTGCAGGGTCAAATGGTATTTCTAGTTCTAGATCCTTGAGGAATCGCCACACTGTCTTCCACAATGGTTGAACTAACTTACACTCCCAGCAACACTGTAAAAGCATTCCTATTTCTTCACATCCTCTCCAGCATCTGTTGTTTCCTGACTTCCTAATGATTGCCATTCTAACTGGCATGAGACAAAATCTCATTGTGGTTTTGATGTGCATTTCTCTGATGACCAATGATGATGAGCTTTTTTTTTTCATGTTTGTTGGCCACATAAATGTCTTCTTTTGAAAAGTGTCTATTAATATTCCTCACCCACTTTTTAATGGGGTTGTTTGTTTTTTTCTTGTAAATTTGTTTAAGTTCCTTTTAGATTCTGGATAATAGACCTTTGTCAGATAGGTAGATTGCAAAATTTTTCTCCCACTCTGTAGGTTGCCTGTTCACTCTGATGATAGTTTCTTTGCTGTGCAGAAGCTCTTTAGTTTAATTAGATCCCATATGTCAATTCTGGCTTTCGTTGCAATTGCTTTTGGTGTTTTAGTCATGAAGTCTTCGCCCATGCCTATGTCCTGAATGGCATTGCCTAGGTTTTCTTCTAGGGTTTTTATGTTTTTTAGGTCTTACATTTAAATATCTAATCCATCTTGAGTTAATTTTTGTATGAAGTGTAAAGAAGGGGTCCAGTTTCAGTTTTCTGCGTATTGCTGGCACGTTTTCCTAACACCATTTATTAAATAGGGAATCCTTTCCCCATTGCTTGTTCTTGTCAGGTTTATCAAAGATCAGATGGTTGTAAATGGTTTTATTTCTGAGGCCTCTGTTCTGTTCCATTGGTCTATATATCTGTTTTGGTAACAGTGCATGCTGTTTTGATTACTGTAGCTTTGTAGTATAGTTTGATGTCAGGTAGCATGATGCCTCCAGCTTTGTTCTTTTTGCTTAGGATTGTCTTGGCTATATGGGCCTTTTTTGGTTCCTTTTAAACTTTAAAGTAGTTTTTTCTAATTCTGTGAAGAAAGTCAATGGTAGCTTGATGGGAATAGTATTGAATCTGTAAATTACTTTGGGCAGTATGATTATTTTCACGATATTGATTCTTTCTATCCATGAGCATGGAATGCTTTTCCATTTGTTTGCATCCTTTCTTATTTCCTTGAGCAGTTATTTGTACTTCTCCTTGAAGAAGTTCTTCACATCCTTTGTAACTTGTATTCCTAGGTATGTTATTCTTTTTGTAGCAATTGTGAATGGGACTTCACTCATGATTTGGGTCTCTGTTTGTCTACTATTAGTGTATAGAAATGCTTGTCATTTTTGCACACTGATTTGGTATCCTGAGACTTTGCTGAAGTTGCTTATCAGCTTAAGGAGATTTTGGGCTGAGAAGATGGGGTTTTCTAAATATACAATCATGTCGTCTGCAGAGAAAATTTGAGCTCCTCTCTTCCTTTTTGAATTCCCTTTATTTCTTTCTCTTGCCTGATTGCCCTGGCCAGAACTTCCAATGCTATGTTGAATAGGAGTGGTGAGAGAGGACATCCTTGTCTTGTGCCAGTTTTCATAGGGAAGGCTTTCAGCTTTTGCCTATTCAGTATGATATTGGCTCTTGGTTTGTCATAAATAGCTCTTATTATTTTGAGATATGTTCAATCAATACCTAGTTTTTTGAGTGTTCTTAGCATAAAGGGGTGTTGAATTTTATCAAGTCCTTTTTGCATCTATTGAGATAATCATGTGTTTTTTGTCATTGGTTCTGTTTATATAATGGATTACTTTTATTGATTTGTGTATGTTGAACCAGCCTTGCATCCCAGGGATGAAGCCAATTTTATCGTGGTGGATAAGCTTTTTAATGTGCTGCCGGATTCGGTTTGTCAGTATTTTATTGAGGATTTTTGCACGGATGTTCATGAGGGATATTGGCATGAAATGTTGTTGTTGTTGTTGTTGTTGTTGTGTTTCTGCCAGGTTTTGGTATCAGGGTGATGTTAGCCTCATAAAATGAGTTAGAGAGGAGTCCCTCTTTTTGGATTGTTGGAATAGTTTCAGAAAGAATGGTACCAGCTCCTCTTTGTACTTCTGGTAGAATTCGGCTGTGAATCCATCTGGTCCTGGGCTTTTTTTGGTTGGTAGGCTATTAATTACTGCCTCAATTTCAAAACTTGTTATTTGTCTATTCAGGGATCTGACTTCTTCCTGATTTAGTCTTAGGAGGGTGTATGTGTCCAGGAATTTATGCATTTCTGCTAGATTTTCTGGTTTATTTGCATAGAGGTGCTTATAGTATTCTCTGATGGTAGTTCATATTTCTGTGGGATCAGTGGTGATATATCTCCTTCATCATTTTTTATTGTGTCTATTTGATTCTTCTCTCTTTTCTTCTTTATTAGTTTTGCTAGCAATCTATTCTGTTAATTTTTTCAAAACACCAGCTCTTGGATTCATTGATTTTTTTTTTGAAGAGATTTTCATTTCTCTATATCCTTCATTTCTGCTCTGATCTTAGTTATCTCTTGTCTTCTACTAGCTTTTGAATTTGTTTGCTCTTGCTTCTCTAGTTCTTTGAATTGTGATGTTTAGATTTTTCCTGTTTTCTGATGTGAGCATTTGGTGCTATAAATTTCTCTCTAAACACTGCTTTAGCCTGGTACATTGTGTCTTTGTTCTCATTGGTTTCAAAGAACTTCTTAATTCATGCCTTAATTTTGCCATTTACCCAGTAGTCATTCAGGAGCAGGTTGTTCATTTTCCATGTAATTGTACAGTTTTGAGTGTTTCTTAATCCTGAGTTCTAACTTGATTGCACTGTCGTTTGAGAGACTGTTTGTTATGATTTCTGTACTTTTGCATTTGCTGCGGAGTGTTTTACTTCCAATTATGTGCTCAGTTTTAGAGTAAGTGCTGTGTGGTGCTGAGAAGAACGTATATTCTGTTGATTTGGAGTGGAGAGTTCTGTAGATGTCTATTAGGTCTGCTTGGTCCAGAGCTGAAATCAAGTCCTGAATATCCTTGTTAATTTTGTGCCTCATTGATCTGTCTAATATTGACAGTGGGGTGTTAACGTCTCCCACTATTATTGTGTGGGAGTCTAAGTCTCTTTTTAGGTCTCTAAGAACTTGCTTTATGTATCTGGGTGCTCCTGTATTCAGTGCATGTATATTTAGGATAGTTAGCTCTTCTTGTTGCATTGATCCCTTCACCATTATGTAATGCCCTTCTTTGTCTTTTTTGATCTTTGTTGGTTTAAAGTCCATTTTATCAGTGACTAGGATTGCAATCCCTGCTTTTATTTTGCTTTCCATTCGTTTGGTATATCTTCCTCCATGCCTTTATTTTGAGCCTGTGTGTATCTTTGCACATGACATGGGTCTCCTGAATACAACACACCAATGGGTCTTGACTCTTCATCCTGTTTGCCAGTCTGTGTCTTTTAATTGGGGCATTTAGCCCATTCACATTTAAGGTTAATATTGTTATGTGTGAATTTGTTACTGTCATTATGATGCTAACTGGTTATTTTGCCCATTAGTTGATGCAGTTTCTTCATAGTTTCGATGGTCTTTACAGTTTCGTATGTTTTTTGCAGTGGCTGGTACCAGTTTTTCCTTTCCATATTTAGTGCTTCCTTCAGGAGCTCTTGGAAGGCAGGCTGGTGGTGAAAAAAATCCCTCAGCATTTGCTTGTCTGTAAAGTATTTCTTTTCTCCTTCACTTATGAAGCTTAGATTGGCTGGATATGAAATTCTGGGTTGAAAATTCTTTAAGAATGTTGTATATTGGCCCCCACCCTCTTCTGGCTTGTAGGGTGTCTGCAGAGAGATCTGCGGTTAGTCTGATGGGCTTCCCTTTGTGGGTGACCCGTCCTTTCTCTCTGGCTGCCTTTAACATTTTTTCCTTTTTTTCAACCTTGGTGAATCTGATGATTATGTGTCTTTTGGGTTGCTCTTCTCAGGGAGTTTCTTAGTGGTGTTCTCTGTATTTCCTAAATTTGAATGTTGGCCTGCCTTGCTAGGTTGGGGAAGTTCTCCTGGATAATATCCTGAAGTGTGTTTTCCAACTTGGTTCTATTCTCACTGTCACTTTCATGTATACCAATCAAATGTAGGTTTGGTCTTTTTACATAGTCCCATATTTCTTCAAGGCTTTGTTTATTTCTTTTCATTCTTTTTTCTCTAATCTTGTCTTCATGCTTTGTTTCATTAAGTTGGTCTTCAATGTCTGATATCCTTTCTTCTGCTTGATCAATTGGCTATTGATAGTTTTGTATGCTTCACAAAGTTCTTGTGCTGTGTTTTTCAGCTCCATCAGGTCATTTATGTTCTTTTCTAAACTGGTTATTCTAGTTAGCAGTTCCTGTAACCTTTTATTGAGGTTCTTAGCTTGCTTGCATTGAGTTAGAGTATGCTCCTTTAGCTCGGAGTAGTTTGTTATTACCCACCTTCTGAAGCCTACTTCTGTCAATTCACCAAACTCGTTCTTTGTCCAGTTTTGTTGCTTTGCTGGTGAGGAGTTGTGATCCTTTGGAGGAGAAGAGGCATCCTGGTTTTTGGAATTTTCAGCCTTTTTGTGCTGGTTTTTCCTCATCTTCATGGATTTATCTACCTTTGATCTTTGATGTTGGTGTCCTTTGGATGGGGTTTTTGCATGGTCATCTTTTTTGTCGATGTTGATGCTATTGCTTTCTCTTTGTTAGTTTACCTTCTAACAATCAGGCCCCTCTTCTGAAGGTCTACTGGAGTTTGCTGGAGGTCCACTCCAGACCCTGTTTGCCTGGGTATCACCAGGGGAGGCTGCAGAATAGCAAAGATTGCTGCCTGCTCTTTCCTCTGGAAGCTTCGTCCCATAGGCACACCTGCCAGATGCCAACTGGGGCTCTCCTGGATGAGGTGTCTGTTGACCTCTGCTAGGAGGTGTCTCCTCATCAGGAGACACAGGGGTCAGGGACCCACTTGAGGAGGCAGTCTGTCCCTTAGCAGGGCTCAAACGCTGTGTTGTGAGATTCACTGCTCTCTTCAGAGCCAGCAGGCAGGAACGGTTAAGTCTGCTCAAGTTGCGCCTACAGCCACCCCTTCCCGCAGGTGCTCTGTCCCAGGGAGATGGGAGTTTTATCTGTAAGCCCCTGACTGGGGCTGCTGCCTTTCTTTCAGAGATGCCCTGCGCAGAGAGGAGGAATCTGGAGAGGCAGTCTGGCTACAGTGGCTTTGCAGCACTGTGGTGGGCTCCACCCAGTCCAAGCTTCCTGGAGGCTTTGTTTACACTGTGAGGGGAAAACCACCTACTCAAGTCTCAGTAATGGCAGACTCCCTCCCCCAGCCATGCTTGAGCATCCCAGGTCAACTTCAGACTGTTGTGCTGGCAGGGAGAATTTCAGAAAAGCCAGTGGATATTAGTTTGCTGGTCTCCATGGTGGTGGGATCCGCTGAGCAAGACCACTTGGCTCCCTGGCTTCAGCCCCTTTTCCAGGGGAGTGAACAGTTCTGTCTCTCTGGGATTCCAGGCACCCAGTATGATCCTTTTAATGTGCTGTTGGATTTGCTTTACTAGAATTTTGTTCATCTTTGCATCAATGTTCATAAGGAATATTGGCCTATAATTTCATTATTTTGTTCTTATCTGGCTTTGCTATGAGGGTAATGCTCGTGAGTTTGAAAGTACTCCTTCCTAGTCAATTTTTTGAAAGAGTTTGAGAAAAATTTATATTAGTGTTTCTTTAAATGCTTGGTAGAGTTTACTCAAGCCATCTGGTCTGAGCTTTTCTTTGTTGGGAGATTTTTAACTACTGATTTAATTGCCTTACTCATTAGTGGTCTGTTCAGAATTTTTACTTCTTTATGTTTTTGTCTTGGTGGATTGTATGTTTCTAAGATTTACTCTTCTTCTAGGTTATCCAATTTGTTGGTGTATAATTGTTCATAGCAGTTTCTTAGGATCCTTTGTAAATCTGTGGTACTGATGTAGAAACTCCTTTTTCATTTACGGTTTTATTTATTTGAATAATCTCTCTTGGTTTTTGGATAATCTAGGTAAAGCTTTGTTAATTGTGTTTATCTTTTCAAAAAACTAACTCTTAGTTCCATTGATCTTTTTGATCATTTTTCTAGTTTTTATGTCATTTATTTCTGCTCTGATATTTATTATTTCTTTTTGTCTGTTCACTTTGGGTTCAGTTTTTTTTCTCTAGCTCTCTCTTCAAGATAAAAAGAAAGGTTGTTTATTTCAGATTTTTCTTTTTTAATGTAGGCATTTATTACTCTAAGCTTCCATCTTAAAATTGATATTGTTGCATCCCATAAGTATTGTTATGTTGTGGTTCTCTTTTCATGTGTCTCAAGATAATTTTTGACTTCATTTAAATTTAAAAAAAAATTTTCTGGGTATACAGTAGGTATATATATTTACTGAGTACATGAGATATTTTGATACAGGTGTAGAATGCATAATAATCCCATCAGGGTAAATGGGGGATCCTCCACCTCAAGCAGTCATCATTTCTTTGTGTTACAAACAATTCAATAATACCCTTTTAGTTATTTTTAAATGTACACTAAATTATTGTTGACTGTAGTCACCCTGTTGTGCTATAAAATACTAGGTCTTATTTATTTTATTTAATTATATTTTTATACCCATTACCCATCACAACTCCACCCCCCAACTACCCATCCCACACTCTGGTAACTATCATTCTACTCTCTATCTCCAGGAGTTCAATTGTTTTAATTTTTATCTCCTATAAATAAGTGAAAACATAAATAAGTGAAAAATAAACATAAATAAGTGAAAACGTAAGTAAGTGAAAAATAAGTGATTTTTTTGTACCCTAGAACTTAAAGTATAATAAAAATAAATAAAGAAAACATATGATGTTTGCCTGCCTTATTTCACCTAAGAGAATGATCTCCAGTTCCATCCATGTTGTTGGTAATGACAGGATCTCAGTCTTTTTTTATGGCTGAATAGTACTCTATTGTGTGTATGTACCACATTTTCTTTATTCATTCATGAGTCAATGGACACTTAGGTTGCTTCCAAATCTTGACTATTGTGAATAGCATGGAAATAAACATGGGAGTCCAGTTATCTCTTCAATATACTGATTTTCGTTCTTTTGGGCTTATACTTAGTAGTGAGATTTCTGGAATATATGGAAGTTTTATTTGTAGTTTTTTGAGGAACCTCCAAACTCTTTTCTATAGCGGTTGTACTAATGTACATTCCCACCAACAGTGCCTGAGGGTTCCCTTTTCTCCACATCCTTGCTAGCGTTTGTTACTGCCTGTTTTTTAGGTACAAGCCATTTTAACTGGGATGAGATGAAATCTCATTACAGTTTTAGTTTGTATTTTTCTGATAATAAGTGATACTGAACATCTTTTTATATACCTGTTTGCCACGTGTATGCCTTCTTTTTAGAAATGTATATTCGGATTTTTACCCATCTTAAAATCATATTATTAGATTGTTTTCCCTATAGAGTTGTTTGAACTCTTTATTCTGGTTATTTATCTCTTGTCAGATGGATAATTTACAAATATTTTCTCATATTCTGTGGGTTATCTCTTCACTTTCATTGTTTCCTTTGCTGTGCAGAAGGTTCTTAACATAATATGATCCTATTTGTTCATTTTTGCTTTGATGTTTTAGGGTATCTACAAGCATCTGTGCTTGTAGGGTATTACTCAAGAGATCCTTGTCCAGTCCAGTGTTCTGGAGGGCTTACCCAGTGTTTTCTTTTAATAGTTTTATAGCTTGAGGTTTTAGATTTAAATATTTCATCCACTTGATTTAATTGTTGTGTATTGTGAGAGATAGGGGTCTAATATCATTCTTCTGCAAATGGATATCCAGTTTTCCCAGCACCATTTACTGAAGAAACTGTCCTTTCTTGAATGTATATTCTTGTCACCTTTGTCAAAATGAGTTCACTCTAGGCATGCGAATTTATTTCTGGGTTCTCTATTCTGTTACATTGATTGATGTATCTGTATTTATGACAGTGTCATGCTGTTTTGGTCCCTATAGCTTTGCAGAATAATTTGAAGTCAGATAATGTGATTCCTCTAATTTTGTTCTTTTTACTCAGGATAGTTTTGGCTATTCTTGGTCTTCGTGGTTCCATATAAATTTTAGGATTTTTTTTTTCTGTTTCTGTGAAGAATATCATTGGTATTTTATGGGGACTACATTGAATCTGTAGATTGCTTTGAGGGTAATATGAACATTTTAACAGTATTGATTCTTCCAATCCATGAACACGGAATATCTTTCCATTTTTATGCATCCTTTTCAATTTCCTTTATTAATGTTTTATAGTTTTTATTATAGAGATAATTCACTTCTTTAGTTAATTACTAGGTATTTTATGTGTAGATATTGTAAATGGGATTACTTTCTTGATTTCATTTTCATATTGTTTACTGTTGGTATATAGAGATGTTACTGGTTTTTTTGTGTTGATTTTGTATCCTGCAACTTTACTGAATCTTTAGGTTATTCTAAATACAAGATTATATCTTCTACAAACAAGGATAATATGACTTCTTCCTATCTAATTTGGATGCCTTTTATGTTTTTCTCTTGTCTTGTTACTCTTGCTAGACTTCCATTACTATATTGGATAACAGTGCTGACAGTGGGCATGCTTGCCATGTTCCAAATATTAGTGGAAAGGCTTTCAGTTCTTCCCCATTGAGTATGATATTAGCTGTGTGTCTCTCACATATGACTTTTATTGTGTGAGGTATATTTTTTCTACTCCCAGTTTTCTGAGGGTTTTTATTATGAAGGGATGTTTAATTTTATCAAATGTTCTTTCAGCATTAATTGAAATGATCACATGGCTTTTGTCCTTCATTCTGTTATGATGTATCACATTAATTAATTTGCATATGTTGAACCATCCTTGCATCCCTGGGATAAATCCCACTTGGTCATGATTAATAATCTTTTTAATGTGTTATTGAATTCAGTTTGGTAGTATTTTTGTTATGGATTTTACATCTATGTTCATCAGGGGTATCGGACTGTAGTTTTTTGTTTTTTTTTTTTTGATGTGTCTTCATCTGGTTTTGGTATTAGGGTAATACTGGCTTTTTAGAATGAGTTTGAAAGTATTACCTCTTCCTCTGTGTTTCAGAATAGTTTGAGTAGGGTTGGTATTAGTTCTTTAAATGTTTGATGAAATTCAGCAATGAGGCCATTAGGTCCTGGGCTTTACAGTGAGAATTTTTATTATGGCTTCCATCTCATTATTTGTTATTTGTCTGTTCAGGCTTTGGATTTCTTCATGGTTCAGTCTTGGTAGGTGATAAGTGTATAGACATTTATCCATTTCTTCTAGATTTTTCAGTTCATTAGCATATAGTCTCATAGTAGCCTCTAATGATCCTTTGAATTTTTGTAGTATCAGTGATATCTCCTTTTTTATCTCTGATTTTATTTATTTGGGTCTTTTCTCTTTTTTGAATTAGTCTGGTTAAAGGTTTGTCAATTTTGTTGATCTCTTTGAAAAACTAACTTTTCATTTTTTCGATCTTTTGTGTTTTCTTTGTTTAAATTTCATTTACGTTCTGAACTTTTTCGAAGTTCTTTTCTTCTACTAATTTTGGGTTTGGTTTTCTCTTGCCTTTATAGTTCTCTTATATGCATTGTTTGTTTATTCAAAGTTTTTTTTTTTCTTTTTCGATGTGGGCATTTATAGCTGTAGACTTTCCTGTTAGTACTGCTTTAGTTGTATCTCACAGGTTTTGGTATGTTGTGTTTTCATTATCATTTGTTTCAAGAAATTTCTTAATGTCCTTCTTAATTTTTTTAAAATTGATTTCTGGTTTTCAGTAGTATATTGCGTAATTTCCATGTCTTTGTATAGCTTCCAAAATTCTTATTACTGATTTCTAATTTTATTCCACTGTGGTCAGAGAATACAGTTGATATGCTTTCTATTTGAAAAACATTTTAAAGACTTGTTTTGTGGGCTAACATGGTCTTTCATTGAGAATAAATTATGCGATGAGGAGAAGTATGTATATTCTGCAGCCATTGGATGAAATGTTGTCTAAATATCCATCAGGTCCATTGGGGCTATAGAGCAGATTAAGTCTGACATTTATTTGATGATTTTCTATCTGGATGATCTGTCCAATGCTGAAAGTGGGGTATTGACCCTCCAACCATTATTGTATTGAGGTTTATCTCTCTCTTTTGCTTGAATAATACTTGTTTTATAGATATAAGCACTCCAGGGTTAGGTACATATATATTTACAAGTGTTATATACTCTTGCTAAATTGACCCCATTATCATTATATAATTACCTTCTTTGCCTCTTTTTTGTAGTTTTTATTTTGAAATCAATTTTTTCTAATTTAAGTATGGCAACTCATGCTGTTTCCTGGCTTCTATTTGCATGGAATATCTTCTTCCATTCCTTTTATTTTCAGTCTGTTAGTGTGTTTTTGGGAAAAAGGTGTTTCTTGTAGGCAACAGATTGTTAGGTCTTTTTTTTTTTAAATCTATTCAGCCATTCTGTGTCCCTTGATTGGATAATTTAGTCAATTTACTTTCAATTGGATAATTTAGTCCATTTACATTCAATGTAAATGCATTTATTGTAGGACAGGTCTGGTGTTGATAAAATCCCTCATCTTTCATCACTTGAAAGAAAAAAAGCTTTTATCCTAGAATAGTATATCTAGTGAAAAATGGAGAGAGTCACATGACATAATTAGCAGGTGGCAAAGCCATCCAGGCTTGTGTTCTTCTCTTCAAGATGACAAGTTCATCCCCGGCCCTCCCTGGTCCTAGGTGTGTCCAGAGTTGCTATCTGGGAGCCAGTGTCTAGAGTCAGAAAGCATAGTTTTCTACCTGGTACTCTATTTGGCTGCAGCTTAGCTGGCACCCCAGCCACAAGACAGAGTCCTTCCCACTCTTCCCTCCTGTTTTCTCCAGCAGAGGAGTCTCTCCCCATGGCCACCACTGCTCTAGGCCCATGGCAAGTACTTCATGGTTACTGCCAATGTTAATTCAAGGTCCTGCAGCTTTTCAGTCAACTTGTGGTGAACATTACCAGGCCTACGACTCTCCCTTCATGGCAGTGGGCTTCTCTTTGGCCCAGGGCAGTTTAAGAAACACCGTCCAAGAGCCAAGGCCTGGAATTAGGGACCTCAAAAGGCCAGTTGGTACTCTATCCCACTGTGGCCAAGCTGTACCTAAACTGCAAGACAAAGTCCTTTTTACTCTTCCATTTCCTTTTCTTAGGCAGAAGGAGTTCCTCACCATGGCCACCACAGCTGGGAATGTGCTGGGTCACTCTGAAGCCAGCACCTTTCTGAGTCTTACCAAATGCCCGTGGCTAGTACTGCAAGGTACCACTACTGATTATTATGGGCTCAAGGACTCTTTAGTCAGCAAGGGATGAATCCTTCCAGGACTGGGGCCTTCTTCTCAAGCAGCAGGTTCTTTTCTGGCCCAAAATGTGTCTAGAAATATCTGGAAACTAGCACCTGGAATAGGGACCTCAGGACCCTTTCTGGTGACCTTTCCTACTGTGGCTGAGCTGGTATCCAAATTGCAAGACAAAGTCCTCTTTACTCTTCCTTCTCTTCTCTTCTCAAGCAGAGGGAAGGAGTCTCTCTTTTAACTGTGAGCTGCCCTGCTTGGGTTGGTAAAGGGGTGGCACAAACAATCCTTTGGCTGCCCCAGCTGATGTCTAATTTGGTCATGTGCTCCCCAAGTCTACTGGGTCTGATTCCACCACAGCACTACCACTTGCCTAAGAATTGCAGTCCTTGTTGCCCAGACTACTTTTCAACTTTATTTAGGACCCCAGAACACTTCAGTCTGCAGTGGTGGGGCTTGTGAGAACTCAGGTTCCAACTGCTGGGATGCACGATTCCCCGCTGGGTAGGGCTGGTCCAAATGTTCCCTTGGTGGATGCCAGCTGAATTCTGCCTTATGTTGCTTTCTGCTGTAATGGGGAAACACTGAGTTCCAATGCAAAGTCCCACAGTTACTGTGCTCTCCCTTCTCCAAATGCACAGATTCTTTCTCTGCACCACATGGCTGCTGCTGAGTGATGGGGAAGGGGTGTCATTGATATTTCAAGACTGTCTTTCCTACTGTCTTCAATACCTCTTTCAGTGATACGAAGTTAAACCCAAGTAATGTGCTCATTCACCTGATTTTTGGTTCCTATGAGGGTGCTTTTTTGTGTGTGGATATTTGTTTAATTTGGTGTTCCTGTGGTGTTGTGGAGGCTTCTATTCAGTCATCTTGCTCTGCCTCTTTGACTTCTTGTTTGACTTCTTAGATTTGTTGTTCAGAGTCTGTTGTTTAATTTTCACATATTTGTGAATTTTCCAGAATATATCCTGTTACTAATTTCTAGTTTCATATCATTGTGGTTGGAAAAGATATTTGATATTATTTCAGTCTTATAAAAATTTTTAAGGCTTTTTTTGTATCCCAACGTATAATCTATCTTGGAGAATATTCTGTGTGCATTTGAGAAAAATGTACATTCTGCTGCTCTTGTGTGGAATATTCTGTATATATCCGTTAGGTTCATTTGGTCTATAGTGTTCAAGTTGTTCAAATCTATTTCCTTACTGATTTTATCTCTGGGTAATCTATCCATTGCTGAAAGTGCAATATTGAAATTTCCTACAATTACTGTATTGCTGTCTGTTTCTCCTTTTATTTCCATTAATATTTGCTTTATATATTTAGGTGCTTCCATGTTGGGTGCATATATATTTGTAATTATGATAGTCTCTGGATGAATTGACTTATCAAACAGTGACTTTCTTTGCCTCTTGTGACAGGTTTTGACTGAATGTCTATTTCTTTATAAGTATATCCTGCTCCCACTCTCCTTTGGTCATAATTTGAACAGAATTTTTTTTTCATCCCTTCACTGTCAATGATGTGTTCCCTTGAGGCTAAGCTGTGTCTCTTATAGGCAGCATATAATTAAAGCTTTATTTATTTATTTATTCAGCAACCCTGCCTTTTGATTGGACAATTTAACTCATTTACCTTCAAGGTAATTTTTGATAGGTAAAGACTACTGCTATGTTGTTAATTGTTTTCTGATCATTCTGTAAATCTTTTGTTCCTTTCTTCCTGTCTTTTTGTTTTTCTTTTGTGATTTGATGATTTTCTGTAGTGATATACTTTTTAAAAATACATTTAACATTTTTAAAAGTTAATTTTTTATAAAATAATAGATGGGGTTTCATCATGTTGCCCAGGATTGTCTTGAACTTCCGGACTCAAGCAATCCACTCACCTTGGCCATCCAAAGTGCTGGGCTTACAGGAATGAGCCACTGTGCCTGGCCTTGTAGTGACATATTTTCATTCCTTTCTCTTTCTCTTTTGTGAATATACTAAAAGTTATTTTCTTTCTGGTTACCATGGAGCTTTCATAAAACATCTTATAGTTATTCTATTTTAAGATGATAACTTAATTATAATTGCATATGAAAAGTCTACACTTTTACTTCTGAGGTATTTTTATGATACTGAGGTCTTTACATCTTTTTATATTGAGTATCCATTAACAAATTATTGTAGCTGTAGTTATTTTGAATACCTTTGTCTTTTTACTTTTATTGAAGGATTGAAGGTCATATATACAATACAACATAATTACAGTATTAGAGTATTCTGAATTTGGCTATATATTTACCTATACCATTGAGTTTTATACTTTTATATATTTCATATTGTTGCTTACCATTTTTTTGTTTCAACTTGAAGAACTGCCTTTAGTATTTCTTCTAAGGCAGATCTAGTGGTGATAATCTCCCTCAGCTTGTTTGTCTGGAAATGTCTTTATCTCTCCTTCATTTTTAAAGAATAATTTTGCTGGGTGTAGTATTCCTGGTGGACAGATTTTTTTTTTTCCTTTCAGCACTTCGACTATATACTACTTTTTATTATACTGTATGTTTACTGCTGAGAAGTTCAGTAGTAGCCTTATGGAGATTGCCTTTTATGTGATGAGTGTCTCTTTCTCCTGCTTCTTTCAAGATTCCCTGTTTGTCTTTGACTCTGGACAATTTGATTATAACATGCCTCAGGATATTCTTCAGTTTGAACATGCTTGGAGTTCTTTGAGCTTTATCAATATGGATGTGCATGTATCTCCTAAGATTTGGGAAGTTTTCAACCATTATTTCTTTAAATAAACGTTCCTCCTTTTTCTTTTCTCTTCTTCTAATTGTTCTAAAAATTGTGTATTTGTTCACTTGATGATGTCCCAGAGGTCATTTATGCTTGCTTTGCTCTTATTCATTTTTCTTTGTGTGTTCCTCTAATTGGCTAATTTTAAACCACCTTTCTCCAAGTTTACTGAGTCTTTCTTCTATATGTTCAATTCTGATTTTGAAGCTTTCTATTTTAACTTTTTAGTTCTGTCATTGTATTTTTCAGCCTTAAAATTCCTATTTGGTCATTTTTCATGGGTTTCCTTTCTTAAAGAAACTTCTAATTTTCTTCATGAGTGATTTTCCTTATTCTATTTAGTTGTCTATATGTGTTCTCTTGTGTAACACGGGAATTCTTTAAAATGATTATTTCAAATTCTTTGTCAGGCAATGCCTAGCTCTCAATTTCTTTGTGGTTACTAGAGTTTATTAGGTTTCATTTGGTGGTGTTATGTTTACCTGATTCATTGTTATCTGCGTAGTCTTGTGGTAGTGTCTGTGCATGTGAAAGAGAAAACACATTGTCCAGTATCTACAAGCTGTATTGCAGGTAAAGACCTCTTGCTGGGTCCTTGTGATGATGGGATTGTCTCTGGAATTATAGTCAAGTGCAGTTGGAACAAGGACATGTGGCTGCTACTGAGGCTGCAGTGTGGTCTGTGGTTGGTAGGACTGCTATGAGGTACATGGATAGATGTGATTCCTTCTGGGTCCTGAGGAGAGCTTCCACTGGGTTAGTGGATGGGTTCTTGGGCAGGCAAGACTGGATTGGGAGTGTACCTGAGAGGGCCTTGGACCATGTCACAGGGGTATTTCTAAGTCTACAGTGAAGATCTAGGTCTGCAGGCCTGCCTCTGGGTCATGGAGGAGCATGCCTCCTGTGACGTTCCTGGGCAGGCATTAATGTTCCAATCCTGGCTTAGCAGGGGTGGAGCCAGGACATAGGGCAGCTTCAAAATCTGCAGTTGGGCCAATGTTGGGCCAGCCTGACTCTGGGAGTGCAAATAAGTATCTCATCTGGTGGGTACATGGGCAGGCAGTACCATTTCCAAAACACAGCTAAGAAGGTGTGAAGCTAAGTTATAGGGTTATTTTAAGACCTGCTGTAAGACTGAAGTCTGTAGCCTTGCCTTTTGGGGGGCACAGAAGGGTGTGGGTCCTGTGGTGAAACCCTGGATTGTCAGGAATTCTCTCAGACCCCAGCTAAGAAGGGCTGGGGCCAAGTAATAGGGTTGTTTCAGGATCTACAGCTGGTACAGAATTTGGCTGGCTTGTCATCTGAGGCATGGGTGTGTGTGATTCATACCAGATATCTTGGCAGATGTTTCTAGTGACAAGACCAAAGGCAAGTGTGACTATAGCCAAGTACACAGGGGAGTGAGGTCAGTTCCTTGTCTGTGGCTGAGACTGCCGTTGGCAAGCCTGACACCTGGGTGTGGGCCTATCCTATCAAAACAGTCCTCTTCAGTATTGCATTCCACTAGGGATTTGCAACCTCCTGCCAGGCTCCCAAAGCTCTCACAAAGGCAATTTTGTCCATAGATGACTGCCAAGTTAACACTGCTATAGGGGGGTGGGGCATGAGTTGGGGACTGTCTATTCCAACATCACCTCCTTTTCTTTTTTTTTTTTTTTGAGACGGAGTCTTGCTCTGTGGCCCAGGCTAGAGTGCAGTGACATGATCTCGGCTCACTGCAAGCTCTGCCTCCTGGGTTCATGCCATTCTCCTGCCTCAGCCTCCCGAGTAGGTGGGACTACAGGCGCCCGCCACCACGCCCAGCTAATTTTTGTATTCTTAGTAGAGAGGGAGTTTCACCATGTTAGCCAGGATGGTCTCGATCTCGTGACCTAGTGATCCACCCACCTCAGCCTCCCAAAGTGCTGGGATTACAGGCGTGAGCCACTGCGCCCGGCCACCTCCCTCTCTTGAGAGACTTTTGACCAAGCTCCAAAGACATTGGTTGGGTGTTGCTGTTGTGGGTGGTGTGGGACACAATGTTTAAATGAAAACCCAAATGATGAGTAGAAATTGTCAGATGACAAGACAGGGAAAGAGAAACCTAATTTGGGAGGATGTCTGTGGGCAGAGATGAGGCTGGATAAGTAAGAACTGTTGTTTAATTTGATAGAAAATTAACTTCCTGAGATAGCTGGACAGTTTGTTCATGTGTGTCCTGGCATGCTGCTTCTTCCTTATGAGATGAGAAATAAATTTCTAGAATAGACCCTGGCCTGGAATCTAGCTTAGTTCTTTAATGAATAAGATTTGAAGGTAGGTAGGAATTGGTTTCTACACAGGGTCCTAGGAAAAGGAATTGGTATCGTTGTATCATTCTGGTAAACAAATCCTTCACCAACATAGGTCCTAAAGGATATTTAACAAGAGGGGCAAGAAAATAAGAGTCTGAGTAAATTTCTTTTTTGTTGTTGTTTCTTCATTAGACTAACTACCTGATTTTCTTTAGGAAAGTCTTGATTTCTGTTAATCCTTGGCTTATTAGATGGAGTGTTCACCTTGCTCTGCTACCTACTTTCATGGTGTATTTCCCTTCCTAGCAAATTGAGAAGGCTTATGCCAAGACTCAATTTCTAACAGGAAGTTTATTATTCTCAAGGGAACACACTTTGGGGAGAGAAGCATTATATTAAAAATAATGGATATACTTTCTCATCTTGAAACATACTTATGAGCCTCAAGGGCAAAGTAGAGGTTCCCTAGAAGAGAGCTACAGAAATGAAGAAGAATGAGGACTGAGCTCTTTCTGCGGGTAACCACCATTGATGTATTGGCTGTAATATGGAGCCAGGTTGACATTTTGTTTTAAATATTTTTCTTCTGATGGGTTTAATTTCATTACATTTCCTAGCTCCACCCATGGGCACTACGTTTTATGAAGTCAAAATGAGTCAGTAACCATCTCCCTATAAACATAGCAAAAACTGACAGACACTAGTGTTGGAAACATTTTCAGTCCTGTGATTGTGGTTTGAGTTTTGGATGTAGCTCACAGTAGATGGACCTTGGTAGCCAGGAAGATAATAGTATTTTTTATGAATCAATAATGCCTTAGTTTACAAGTCTAGTTTTAGGTCCTTATAAATGTGCTTAAAAAGACAAGATACAGACTGTAAAGTTGAAAAAGTTAATAACCCAATTTCAGTTCTACTTGTGTCAGTTATGAGCCACATGATCTTGGAAAAATAGTTTATCTGAGCTTTAGATTTCTTATCACTAAAGTAAAAATAATTTTAAAAAAGCAATTGCTGTTTATCTCGCATTCACCATGGGTCTGCTTGTATTCTAAGTGCTTTACAAATATCAACACATTTAATTATAAGAAAATTGTGAGATAATATTATTATTTTTATTTTATTGATGCAGAGACTGAGGTATCACAAGGTAAATCACTTCCTCAGTGTCACAAGAAGTAAGGGGTAAATGGGAGAGCAGGCAGTCTGGCTCACATCTATGTATGTTTTTAACTACTCTAATGTTAATTATGCCACCTTAGAGGGTTTTATGAGGATAGAGGAAGATAAAAATATTTGCACTCTTCATTTATTGCTTAACAAAAGTGCACATGGTTGATACGTGAGGTCTTATCAGGAGCGTGAGCCATTACTTCCTGAGATAGCCGAATAGTTTGTTCATGTGTGTCCTGGCCTATTGCTTCTTCCTTATGAGATGAGAAATAAATTTCTAGAATAGACCCTGGCCTGGGAATCCAGCATAGTTCTTTAATGAATGAGATTTTAAGGTAGGTAGGAATTGGTTTCTACATAGGGTCCTGGGAAGAGGAATTGATATCGTTCTGGGATGGTATCATGGTTGAACATGAATGTGTTATGTCTTAGGATTTGCCTGAATATATGGCCAACACTTTTTTTCTCAATCAGGTAATTATTTCCTTGGATGGTCTACTATTTTAAATAGAATGAAAAAGAAAAAAAGTTGTAATTTAGGATAGCTCATAGAAAGAAAAATGTCAATTCCTTAAAATGGATGTGAAAGAGAAAAAAAAAGTGAGGAATTTGATTTATGGACTGAATCTGATTTATGCACTGAATTATCCAGAACAGTCTAATCCCTGGAAAAAAAATAGAAACCTCGGTGACTCAACACAATAAAAGCTTATTTTGCACCATGGTCTGGTATGGGACCTTTGGGGGCATCTCTTCTCCAAGCAGTGACTTTGGAATTCTGGCTCCTTCTATCTGTGGCTCTGCACTCCCCTAGGTCCTTAGAAGAGAAAGAGAGTGGGAACATTTTATAAGCCAAACTTATCAGTGGCTTACACTGTTCTGCTCACATTTTGTTTATCAGATCTCAGACACATGCCTCAACCTAAGCATAAGGGAGACTGGGAAATGTAACCCACCTCTGCCAAGGAGAAAAAAAGATACAGTTCAGGGGACTACTTATTAGTCTGCCACAGGAAACTAAGCTCAATAATCAAAGAACAAAAGATAGCTTAGTTTCTCTGGTAGATCATATTTTTGGCCCTAATTATTTATTCTTTGATTCCCTCTGAGAGATTAGACATTCTCCCCAATTTCATGTAACTTGCAGAGTCCCCAACTGTGGAAGGAATATACTTGCTCTCTCCATTGAAATTAAACTTGCTATGCTACTTGCTTTAGCCAATAAGATGCAAATTATACCACTTTCTGGCAGAAACTTTAAGAGCCATTGAATTTTTGGCTACTGCTCCTTTTTCTGTGCCATAAGAACAGCATGTCCCCGAAAGAGCTGGTCCTTCAACCTGTACTCTGGAATGAGAAGACCTGTAGAGCAGAGCCAAATAGAGCTGAATAGAGTAGATTGGAGCTGCAGCAGCTGCAGCTAACCAACAGCTTCCAGTATAAAGCAGGAGTTAGGAAATCAATGCTTGCTCTGAAAAGCCACTGACAATTTAGAGTTATTTCTCATATCAACAAATTGAACTAAAAAGTCTTCATTTGGCATATGAGTAATTCCATTGCAGGTAAGAACATTAAAGTTGGAGCAGTGCTGATGAGTAAGAGATACAAACCAATCTTTATTTTTCAGAGCTGACTCTCACAATTGATGTTAGTTTATATTTGAGGTATGTAAAGGCCCTCTACTTATTCTGCAAATAGTCAATCAACTAGCCATGTCATTCTCCTCCAACTGCTTTATTTCTAACTGAAATGAAATTTCTAGCAATAAGGTCACTAAGTAGTCAGAAACTAAACATGTTGTTAATAATGATAATTATGTACAAATTATCATTCTAAGAATAGGTAAATATTATTAAGGGAGAGTGAGAAGGCCTGGGAGCAGGGATTAATTACAGACAGTCTTCCAGTAATTTAAGAACAAATATGGCCAGGTGCAGTGGCTCACACCTGTAAGCCCAGCACTTTGGGAGACTGAAGCACGTGGATCACTTGAGGTCAGGAGTTTAAGACCAGCATGCCCAACATGGAGAAACCTGGTCTCTACTAAAAATACGAAAATTAGCTAAACGTGGTGCATGCCTGTAGTCCCAGCTACTTGGGAGACTGAGACAGGAGAATCACTT
Organism: Homo sapiens; assembly: GCF_000001405.40. Taxonomy (NCBI): domain Eukaryota; kingdom Metazoa; phylum Chordata; class Mammalia; order Primates; family Hominidae; genus Homo; species Homo sapiens. The sequence goes on from NC_000001.11 coordinate 193,659,690, forward strand.
GAATCCAGGAGGCAGAAGCTGCAGTGAGCCAAGACTGCACCATTGTACTCTAGCCTGGGCAACAGATCTATTTATGTCTCAAAAATAAACAAACCCCACACATAGTAAAAATTGCTGTAATATTTTTAATACCTTGGGATATTAAAAGCAAAGTTTTGAGCAAGTAGAACAAAAATAGTTATGTTTTAATAAAAGAAGGAGAATAGGACGTGTCAGGGGCATATTGAGGACTAGCAGGCCTGAGTAGAGCTCTGAGGACTGCTGGGGAGGAAATGGCACAAGGACTGGGGGGTCTCTGGATTGGGACGGTGGGTAATTAGGAAGCTATTGGGGTATAAGAGGAGTACTTTATCCATAGTTGGCCCTATTTACCATTGTTGACAGATTTTACAAATAGTTTGAACTATATAGTGATAAAACTTGGATGAAAATATCATAAATTCATTGGCTATTGGTTATATAAATGGAATCATTACAATGGTTATATAAGTAGATTTGAGATTTGCCATTAGTTTTTTTTTTCTTTAAAATATTAGGCTATACGCTATAATGTAAATTGATGTTTTTCTGGCATATTTGTTTATTAAAATTATGTTGTATAGTGTAGTTACATGTTTGGGCATAAGCTCGGATAGGGTATAAGGTTTAGATGAGCACTAGGTCATCTTAATGATATCACATTTGGTTTGAATTGAATGATATTCTGATGTTGGGCAAACTTTAGGTTTGACCCTGGGTGATGTTAGTGGTAGGTTTCTTTTACTGGTTGCAAATAACAGAAAATCCAACTTGAAGTAGCTTTCATGATAAAGAAAATTTGTTGTTCACATCACTGAAAACACTAGAGCCATGTCAGGTTTCAGGCTTGGTTTAATAATAAACTGGCTTTGACTCGGTTTCTTTGTGATATTGTCTCAGCTCTGCCTTGTGTCATGTGTCTGCTGTCATCTTAGGCTGGCATCCTAAGTATGACTGCCAGCAATAATCTGGGCTGCATGCTTCTTCCTTTGCATTCAGGAGTAGGAGAGTGATTGCTTTTCACACTAAACTAACAAAATTCTTCAACTTTACTCTGATTCTTCCAACCTGAACCTGTCATTGTGTCCAGGGTAAGCTCAGGTGCCAGTCAGGTTTTGCTCACTTCTGAAGCAACCACTGTGATAAAATGAAGGAAATTGGATTCCTTGACTTACGCTACTCAAACTACATGGCTGATACGCAATGGGGAAAGGGTAGTTCCTTAAAGAAAGATTCTTAGGTAGTAGGCAGAGTGGGGATAGTTCTTGGGTAAGCAACTGATGAATGTCCTGTGCAGATGACATGGATTCTGTTACCAACTCTTACTTCCAGGCTTGTTGAGGGAAGTGGAACAATTCAGGGCTTCAGAGACAAGCCCATCTGCATTCTGGCCTCATTTATGTCACATACTAGTGCATAACCTTTACAACTCTTATAAACATCAATGTTCTTATCTGTGAAAAAGAAATTATCAATATTTTCTTGACCTCTAGACATCAGTGCTTTCCAGATTTGCCATTAGCTAATGAATAGCAATAATGTAAAATGTAAGATGCATCTCAATTTCAGCAAATGTAAAATATTTTTAACAACAGTGAATCTTGGATCTGAAGATTTGGTAGTGGTATGGCTTGACATTGAGGTTTGTTTTAAAGATTTGCTAACATGGCATGTGGTAGGCAAGAAAATATTGCATTATTATCCATCTTACTTGGGCCTGGTTAGTTATTTTGATGGGGGTTTATCACCTTGGTTTCAGTATTAAATTTTTCTCAAACTGGACATGAGTATTTGGGCAAGCATTTCTGTGCTTTCACGTATGAAATGAGTGGTTTGGATTGGATGATCTCTAAGTTCTTCCAGTTTTGTAGCTGTGAATGCTGGCACTAATCCACATTCCTACAACTAACCTGAAATTTAAGCAGCCTCTGAGATTTAGAGGGCAAATGGCTGAATGGCCTTTTCCTTCTAAATTATGCTCAGTGTTGGCCCACAGACCCATGAAAGCCAAATCACCTCTGTCTGGTTTGCAATATTGCTGGCACCAAGCAACTCACCTTTTAACAAACCAATGTGGAAAACTTCCAGTGCATCTGCCACTCTAATTTATACTTTAGAGGATAAGGCTGTCTGGAAAGACCATGGAAATGACTAAATTTATTCCCATTTGTTCAATTACAGTGTCCCTTTTAGAAAAGTAGTTTTGTTGTTCAAGATTTGAGTATTCACCCTTGTTCCTGGAAGAGGCATATGCTGTCCATAAGACTAGCAACATGAAAGTAGTTAACACTTTGACAACATCTGCAAATTTTCCCCTAAACAATTTTTCTAAAGAAGTATAAGTCAAAAGTCTGCATGTCAAAGACCGCACTGCTCTAAAGATTCTGCTTTTCTATTTATGACCAAAAGTTCAATGGTAAGAGGGAAAACTGTCCATTTTTTTCTAATCCTTTCCTCATCCCATTCGTTTTAGATGTATGACCACCTTCCTGCTAAAAATGAGATGACTCATCTTATTTCTCCATCTCCTTGTTGATAATGAGCCCTGTTTTCTAGCCATGTAAGAGCCATGTAAGAGCAAGTTAGGCCCTTTGGGAAGTGGAATTAATACTTTTAGGCCAATAATCTCTCAGTAAGTGTAATCAAGCAGCTATTCACCAAGGATTGTACATAACACAACTTTGTAAGTGTACTGAATAGCTCCTGAAGAGTTAATTCTTCTGGAAAAGGAGAGGGGAAGAAAAATATTCACGATAACTATATCAAGTCTTTGCCAGGCATTTTCACATATATTAATGTATTTATTCCATAACAGTATTAGAAAATAAGCAGGATTATCTCTATTTCTGTCTGAGAAAGTGGAATTTCAGATGGAATATGAAACCCAGGGCCAATAAATAAAAAATCATAATCATAAGCATGCAAATTTGGCTACAAAGCTTTTTATGCTCTTCTTAATGCACTGTGATAATCTGAATTTTCATTTTACAAAATTGTGCATTGATCATTGTAATAACAACACATTGAATATTTACTCTGGGTCAGGCATTATGCCAAGTACTTTACATGCATTATTTCATTCAATTCTCATAACAAACCCTTCACTTTTTTTTTTTATTATACTTTAAGTTTTAGGGTTCATGTGCACAACATGCAGGTTTATTACATATATATACATGTGCCATGTTGGTGTGCTGCAACCATTAACTCGTCACTTAACGTTAGGTATATTTCCTAATGCTATCCCTCCCACCTCCCCCCACCCCACAACAGGCCCCGGTGTGTGATGTTCCCCTTCCTGTGTCCATGTGTTCTCATTGTTCAATTCCCACCTATGAGTGAGAACATGGGTGACAAACCCTTCGCATTATCTTTATTTTGGAGATGAAGAAATAGAGCTAGTAAGGAGCACAGTTTCTATTCTCTTCTCTACACTGTAGCCAGATATTTTTTAAAAGATGAAAATCTGATTATGTCATTCTCTTGGGTGAAATGTTTCAGGGGTTTTCCCTTCTCACAGGTATTGTGTTGTTCGACCCCAGCTGGCTCTCCAATCCCTTCTTGCTTCACTTCTCCCCACAGCTCTTTGCGCTGCAGCCTCCCTTGTCTTATAGTGGGGTTCCCTCTTGCAAGAACATTCTCCTCCCCACCACTCTGTCCACTGTATTCACTGGGCTAACTCATTCTTTAATTCTCATAACATTGTTACAGAAATTGTCCAGGCCAACACAGGACCAAGACCTTCTACTTTTATTTTATAGCATTACTCACAGTATAGAACTGTCATTATTTTTATTACTGTAAGATCCATGAAGACAGGGGCTATCTTTGTTTTTATCATTATTCCTAGTGCCAAGCACACTTCTTCACACTTAGAGGATACATAATGTTTGTTAAATAAATAAATGACTAGAACTGAAAGTAATTTTTATTTGACTACAAAGCTCTTATCAATAAGATAAATTGATAGAGAAAACATCTATGCACCAGGGTGGTATATGAAGCATTCAACATTTTATTTTCTTTTTCTTAAATCCAGTCATCCTACTCCATTTGAGCAATATGGAATTTAGGTCATCCATGTCCTAGTTAGGAAGAAAAAATGGTTCCTTGAAGAAACTATAGGACTTAATGTTACAACATTGGTTATTCAATTCTAAAAGCTACAACCAGGTGTAAGAAAGGAAAGACACAGAAAGAAGAATACCTTGGCTTAGTGAGATTAGAGAAGGGCCTCTAAGTTAATGGTAAAGTTGGGAGAGTTTGACCACTAAGAAAGTTAGATACCAGTATGGATTGCTCTGCATTCACCTCCAAACACTTGGGAGAAGATGATTAAACATTTTAGGTCATGAGGATTGAGAAAAGAGGAGAGGATTATTAGTTTACAGACTGTCACAGTTGCCTAGGAAACTGTAAGTATGGCACAAGAAGACTTGTGTCACTCCAGGCAGAGAGAGTAGAGATGACTGGATGGGTGTCTAGGCAGATGGGTCTGAATGCAGTCTTAGAGAGAGTGCCCCAGTGGGGGATGAACACTTAAATATGTTTCTATGGACCCCAGAAAAGCAGGGATGATACTGAGAATTGGTGGTCTGAAGAAGTCTCACAGACATGGCACAGGGATGCAGGCACAGATGGAAGCATGGGTTGTTTAAGCTGGAGGCCAGATGGGGGACATAACAGTCTCTGTGGATTCCAGCAGAGGAGAGTGCAAACAGATGAATGACAGTGGTGGAGATGAGTATAGCCATGATGGAATGATTGAACAGCCTGTGAAGGAATGATCGGGCCTCTCAGTGACAGCAGGCCAGGACAGATCAAAACTAAGAAATATACCCCATCTAACCCACCCTATTCCAGGAAAAGCAGGAGAAAGATTATCTGAAGCTTGGCTGAGTTTAATTCTAGATAATAAAATAGGTTTATCTGGAAGCGGCTAGAGAACGTTTCTTTCTCTCAGGGGAAATGAAGTATGGAGGTAGAAATTATGTTTAATTATAGGGAAAAATATGTATATATAATTTTACATACCTGAATTTGTGATTCTTGAGAAATGGTATCTCCTGCAACTCTATTATACTTTTCTTTTTCAAACATATTTTACAATAATTAAATGGCCATGGATTTTAGGTTGTATGAAATCAATGTGGCTAAAACATACACTGCCCTTCTCTAATTCCCAAAGGAAATACACTTTGCCTTCAGTTCCCAGAATCAGTAAATCCTGTGGTGGTGGTTGCCTTCTTCCATTATATCAATAAGACAATAGCCACTGCATAATTCATATGAAGCAAGTTATTCAGCCCTCAAATGTAAATTGCTCACAGAAAAGGAGAAATACCATTTTTTATTATTTTTCCATATAATCTGGTATTATTGCATTGAAGATAAACTGCCTCAAATTCCAATTTACCAAACCAGAATACTCTAATAAAAGCAAGATCTGTCAGGTGGCCAGATTTAGCCTTTTCATTACTTTGAATCACTGGCAAATACAAAAATTTTCTAATATATAATGTTTTCATTTCACATTCTGTTCTGAACTATAACTAGGGAAAAGTACAAGACTTCTAGATCCAGTTTTACCATTTGGGATGTTGTCCATTTTGTTGTTCACTTTTGTTTCCTCAAAACATAAATGACCTTTTGAGAGCAGAGTCTGGATTTCTGATATTTTGTTGAATGTTCCTTGAACATATCTCAGCTTCTTCAAGGAATAAGATGCTTGTTGAGGTTGTTTGGCAAAATAGGTACATTATTTTTATGTCAGACAATAATTCCTTGATTCTGTTTCATTTAATTACTTACGAACTTTGTATAAAGAGCACATAATATTAAAGGAAAATAATTTTTGCCTTTTTTCTTCCTTCCCCATTAAGAATCCATCTCATTTTTCATTTGAGAGTAACTTAGGACTCTCTCTTCTTCTGTTCTCCTTTTTAATAGGGGAAGGGAGTGGCATAAAGTAGTTTTATTAAACACTAGAGCATTTGTTCTATATTTCATTTTATTACAATTTCTTCCAACCAGCAATGAGGACAATACATTGTAATACACCATTAATAAACAATAAAGACACTTTAAGTTCAAAAGCTGATAAATATCCTTTAGATAATGCTACTTTTAAGCCTGGGTTATTTGCCGTGAGAGTCTCCATTGATCATGTTAACAGGATAATTTCCAAATAGTTGTTGTACAGATGCACTGCCAGATTGGGCATGTGGGCTCTTAAAGATTGAACCAGATTTTTATTTCATGTAAATGACTGAGAAGAACAATGGTAGTGAAATCAAAATTACTTACACTGTTAGATTTTACCCAATTTTGGCCCCTGATGAAAGAGATTCATCACTCAAATCAACTGAGACAAACTTAGAAATATATGTTTTTAATTTTTTTGTTACAGTTGGTAGAAAACTAGTTGATTTTCTATTTTAAAATGTTAAATGCTAATTCCAATATTTATATTTAATGATTGCATTGAGCAGGAAGTGTTTTACAAATTATACAAAGTGTAAGGGAGAAGCATCTTATGTGATCGTACACTGTCAGCTAAAAGTGAAAATTAGATAAACTCAAAATTATCCCTGAAAACCTTTTACATCTCAGATTTCTCAGTCCAGACATCTTTCCTATATTCCAGTCTCATATAGTCAACTGCCTGCATCTCCACTTACAAATCTAATAAACAACTGAATCTTACTATTTCCCAAATGAAATCCCTCAATCTACCTTCTCAAATCTGCTCTGCCTTTCCAAACTCATCATGGGAAATCCATTGTTTCCAGTTGTTCAGATCGAAAGCTTGAGTCTTCCTGAACTCTTATCTTTCTCTCAAACTTCATACACAATTAGTCAAAAAATTTCTGTGGCTTGACCTTCAAAATATATTTAGAATTTGACCTATTTTCACCAGCTACACTGGTTACCACTCTGCAGCAGCATCTTTCATTCGGGGTTATTGCAATAGTCTCCTCGTTGGCGTTTTGCTTCTGCTCCTTCAGTGTATTGTCAACATTGCAGTTGAAATGATCCTTTTAAAATATGAAAAGAGTAGTCATTCTTTTTTCCAAAAATCTGTGATGTCTCTCTGATTCACTCCTAGTAAAAACACCTTTACTCTGATCTTCAAGACTCTACGTGACTTGCCCCCTATACATTCCCATTAAATCTATTAACCCTCTGACTTCTCTCGCTCTCCCTCACTCATTCCCGTCTAACCACACAGGGTGTCAAGGTGTCCCTTAAGCAACCCAGGAGTCCTGTTTTCTTAGAACTTTTGCATTGAAAGTTTCCAGTATCTGCAAAGTTCTTCCTCTGTATAGGTGCATGGGTAACTTTTTTACCTCATTCAAATCTTTGCTCAAAAACCTTCCAATGAGTCTTACCTTACCCTATTTGAAATTGCAATCTACCCATTTGCCTGGCCCTCTGCCCTGGCTCAGTTGACTACCTTTACTCTGTTTTACTCTTTTTTTCTTAGCACCTAGAGCTTTTTAACCTACTATATAATTTACTTATTTATTATGTTGTCTGTCTTTCCATGTTAGAATATAAGCTCCATAAATGTGGGGATTTTTGCTTTGTTTACTTCCAAGCACATAATAAGGTCTTAAAAGCATGTATCCATAAATAATTAAGTAATTAAGATTAATCAGAATGGAATTATTGAAAAGTCAAGGGTCAAGATTAATTATTTTATCATATTCTTATATTTTAGCTTTGGTTTTGCTTTTCCTTGGATATTGGAGAATAAGGTTTAGTTAAAAGGGTTGCCCCAGCACGCCACCCCGTCATCTTAACCCAGCCAAGAAATGAATACCTGGATACTTTTCTGGTTGGTCTGTTAGACTGGTCCCTTGCATGGATATTGGCATCTTCAAGACAATAGTAGGATGGAAGACCATGACTAAGATGCCATTTTCCATAAGACAAAATACTTGATATTCTCATGATTAAATCAATGGGAAGAGGGATATTACATGTATGTTATAGCTGAATAAACTCAAAGAGAAGAGGTTTTTCAAAATTAGAAAGATGCCCAGAGGGAGCAAGAAGAACACCATCCTTAAGAGCAAGTCTTGAGAAACATGAGATATAATAAAGTTACCATTAGAGACATGCAAGTTAGAGCCAGGCTTTGGCTAGGACAAGATGTTTTTGAGATTGGACACACATCTCCTGCCATGGTATAGTGACTAATACCAAAGTGGGGGAGTTTGCGAAACAAGCGTAAATTGAAAGAAGATATTGTTTCTTCTATTCAAATGAGAAAGGCCAACTGAGTTTGAGATTCATCAGGGAAGAAGTCATGGTTTATGCCAGGATGTTGGGTGTAGATCATACTGTAAGGCAGAGAGATTACAATTCTTTAGAGGTGATCATTCTTTACACTTCGAGTCCAAACAGAATATGACATTTGACTGAATAACAGTCTTCAGGTCTCACAGGATATTTTTTGGAGCTTCATGAAGCCTATTTAATTTCTGTCCCTTTTATTATCTATATATTCAACTGGAACCTGGTAAAGGACACATGTCTGCATTGTACCAAATCGCTCTACCGCACTTTGGAAAATGCCACTTTATTTGTAGCTATAATTAAGTTCAAAGGGATATTTTTGTATGAAGACTTGAAGGAAAAGACATCCAAAACTTTTAAAAATAAAATCATACTCTCATTATAAGAAGTAGGCTAACTAGACTACATCAAACATTTATTAGCAGATCAGTACTTGGGAAAAATACTCTTTTTATTTCTTTCCATGCTCTGATGCTTTTGTACATTAAAGAAAAACTTCCTCATTTTCATTCTCTCATCAGAACATCTGTTTTGTATGGAAACTAATCAACCCATGAATATTCCATAAAATATGGAACCAGGTTATTTAAAATTTATTGCTTATGGTGTGTACTAATCATAGGTAATTTTACATTAAAATTAGTTTAATGTTTCAGTTAATAGTGATCTGTTCTACTTGACAAATTACTCATTGGGATTTCATGTATGCCAATATATTAAAAATGATTTGAGGAGCTTCCAGATTGGTGAATGAGATGCTGGGATGATGGTGCCCCCCTCAGAGAGCACAGAAGGTCAGTAATCCCCCTCCCTTGGCCTATACATCTCTTCCATTGAGCTGTTCCTGAATTGTCAACTTTCCACTCTGTGGAACATGACTATTTGGTTCATTAGGGAAAGAACCATAACAGAAAAAAATGCAAACACACGCCAGAACTTTTTACTTTAATTATTAAGATTATAGTGCAATCTTTGATACAATGTGTGTTTTATTTGAAAAGAAAATGCTCAATAAAATGAGAATGACACTTTACACCTAAAATAGTTAAGAAAAGAGATAAATGAAAAGTTCAGGAAAGCTGAGGTTTATTTTACTGTAATGTCAAATGTATTTTCTTTATTCTTCCCTTCATTTCATTGTATTTATACCAGCTTCCCCTTTTATAAGATGCAAGGTATATTTTTTCTATTAAGGTCCTATATACCCAATAGAGAGAAGTGCAATAAACTCCCCCAAAATACTTTGAAATTCTCCCATATGCATAAATTATTATTATTTTAAATTTCCATTTCTGTGGGTAAATAGTAGGTATATATATTTATGGGGTTCAGGAGATGTTTTGATACTGGCATGCAATATGTAATTCATAATGTAAAGTGGGGTATCTATCCCTTCAAGCATTTATCCTTTGTGTTACAATCCAATTGTATTATTTTAGTTATTTTAAACCAGGGGTCCCCAATCCCCCAGGCCACAGATGAGTACTGTCCATGGTCTGTTAGGAACCAGGTGGCACAGCAGGAGGTCAGTGGAGGGCCAGCTAGCATTACTGCCTGAGCTCCACCTCCTGTCAGATCAGCAGTGGCATTAGATTCTCATGGGAATGAAAATCCTCTTGAGAACTGTTCTTGCTAGGGATCTAGGTTGTTTGTTCCTTGTGATAATCTAACTAATGTCTGATGGTCTGAGGTAGAACAGTTTCATCCTAAAACCATCCCCCATGAAACTAGTCCTTGGTGCCAAAAAGGTTAGGGACTGCTGTTTTAAATTATACAAATAAATTATTATTGAATATATTTTATATGTTATTGAATATATTCACTCTTTTGTGTTGTCAAATACCAGGTCTTATTCATTCTTTATATTTTTTTGTACGCATTAACTATTCCCATCTCCCCATCCCACCTCCCCACTACCCTTCCCAGTCTCTTGTAACCATCCTTCTACTGTCTATCTCCACAAATTCAATTGTTTTGATTTTTAGATTCTACAAATAAGTGAGAATTAGAAATTATTTTTCTTATAAGTAGCATCCTTGATTATTTAAAAATACTTCTACATTGTGAAAACACAATGAAATTATCTAGATGTACATCAACTAAGTGATATCACAACAAAATATCTTTAAAAATATATATGTCAAAAAGAGAGAAAGATTTGCTATCACAGTAGTCTCAATGGCTAATCTAAATACCTACACAGGAAAACTTATGGTATCTTGTTTCATATAACTGTTTAATTCTGTTTGCAGTGAAGAACTGAGGTGGTTTTAAAATACTGAAATATGTTAATCTCAAAACTATTTACTTTGAAGAAATGTTTTATTGGATTTAATGATTTAGAAGCAAATTGTATACTGTAGGCATGCAATAAACATAGATTTTTCTATTTTATGGACATATTGCAGAAAGGGAAATACTATTTTTATTTTTGAAGTACTTTTTCTGCTGTCAAAAGTAGCCCCAAAAGGTAAGCAAAGTAATGAATGAATAATGAAAGCCTCTGGAATTAACTTTTTTCCATTTATTTATTTATTTATTTATTTTATTTATTTACAATATGCAGGTTTGTTACATAGGTATACATATGCCATGTTGGCTTACTGTACCCATTAACTGGTCATTTACATTAGGTATTTCTCCTAATGCTGTCCCTCCCCCAGCCCCTCACCCTACGACAGACCCTGGTGTGTGATGTTCCCTGCCCTGTGTCCTTGAGTTCTCATTGTGCAATTCCCACCTATGAGTGAGAACATGCAATGTTTTGTTTTCTGTCTTTGTGATAGTTTGCTGAGAATGATGGCTTCCAGCTTCATCCATGTCCCTGCAAAGGACATGACCTCATCCTTTTTTATGGCTGCATAGTGTTCCATGTGGAATGAACTTTTTTTGGTAATTTTTAAAATGAAGATTGACAATAAAGTAACTAGATCAGTGAGTGTGAGTGTCCTCGTAAGCAAAAATGACTTATAGTAGAGCATGTACTTTAAGTTGTCAGATAATGATACTGAGGGATTTATAATGGTACAGCCAAAGTCTGCTATTGTTATCAGATGCTAGGCATGAGCTAGATGAAATGGGTTTAGAGGTGCAGTATATGAAGCTACTGGCTAACTGAGCCCTCTTAACATAATATTGTAATGATAGATAATTTTGTAATCATCCAAATGTCTGTTAATTTTATTATATTGTTGCCTCAAACAATATCTCTTTCAGTGGTTGGAATTATGGCACATAGAGAGCTACAGATGAATTATAGTACTGGTTGATCTAATTAAAAAACAAATCTCTTCCAGCTTTTTCTTAATAATTATGAGCCATGTAACACATGCAGAATCCTTCCTTCTGGTCTTGTGAAGGCATCACAAACTAATCAATGTGCTGATGCTCAGTTGGTTAAAGTACCGAATCTACTTTCACATACTTCCAGCCCACTGCAGATAGTTTGGGCTATTTGGCTTGTTTTGGCCAATAAGCTGTGAAAAGAAGTGATATCTACTACCTAGACACTAAAGCAGAGAATAGTACCTGAATTGTCAGCTGTCTACCTCCTGGAAGGTCGGAGGAGGTTCCATCATCCAGGTGGTGCAGTTACAGTTTGCTGGAGTCTGTGTCAGCCTATGTTCTATCCCGTGCAACTCCTCCCACCCCTGCAATTGAATTTAAGGATGTATCCTGGCTAACGCAAGTACAATTTACAATAACAACAAAAACAAATGCTAGTAAATGTTAACTAGTAAGAAACACATACATTCACAATTACTTCAAAAACTTAGATTGCTAGTCTATAGAGAACAGTTTGTGTAAAGGCATGGAGTCATGAAGTGACTTGATTGCTAGGGGAACTGCTGCTGGACTGTACTGAGTAGAGCATGTAATTCTTGGGGAGTCATGGCAAGGTGTTAACTAACTCATAGGTTTGCCTGGCTATGCTGTATATGTTTACATTTGTAACAAAATTAAGAGAGCCCATATCATTCAAACTCTTAAAGAAAACCTGAATGAGAACTTCAAAATAGTAATCACTCATTGGTTGCGATGATTACTTATAAGAACTTATCAACCAGCTTTCCACATTACTTCTGACCTCCAAGTATAATAGTTAATGACCCTGTAGTGCATAAGGTCACAATGTCCACATAACTATTTCTTCTAGACCAATAATTGTCAATCTTTCCTAGACATAAGAAATCCCTGGGAGTCTATAAAAAATGCAGGATGCCAAAGCCACACTAAAGACTGATTAAATCAGAATATCTGGGAGAGGTCCTAGTCATCTGTATTTTGCAGAGATCCTGAGATACAAGATACAGCCAAAGTTGAGAACCACTGTTCTAGAAAGGAGAAATATGCTATTATATCATATATGCTTCTTCATCTTTGATATGTATAAAAAATTACAAAAGCCATTATTTCCACCTTAGTAATAACTTTCTACTGGTTTATGGGTATGTGGTATGTTGTCATTTCTAATGACCAAGTTTCCTTGAATGATTTAACTGCCTTTTCCTTAGGAGTGTTATTTGAAAAGAATAGTAATACCTCTGGGGAAATCTTAAAATTCCCGATTTCTATGTTTCAAGGGCTAGATTAGAGTTTTCCCAGGTTTTGATCCATTAATTTACTTCCTCAAGGCCTTAGCTAGACAAGGAAAGTGCCATGTGGGAGCTGACATTCAGATAAAATCACTACATGTGTTTGTTTGAAGGTAATTATTGAAGTAAACACATTTGACATTATTCCAGTGTGCCAGGTGCAGGATATGTGTATGTACAAATGTGTGTGTCTTGGGAACAACAATACATCCTTGGTGTATTAAAGAATTGGTAAAGAAAAATACTTGATATTTACACAGTGGGAAATTTTTTTTGAAGCTTTTGCATCTTTATGAAGTCTTTGCAAAGCCTGAATTTGTTGGCACAAGTAAATTCCATCTGTTGCTCTTAAAGAAATATTGACTTGCACTTTATTATTTGGAAAGACATGGGTGAAATAAGTTTACATATAGGTGTTTGATATGGTTTGGCTCTGTGTCCCTACCCAAATCTCATCTTGAATTGTAGTTCCCACAATCCCCACATGTTGTGGGAGGGAAGTGATTGGATCATGGGGGTGGGTTGCTCCATGCTGTCCTTGTGACTGTGAGTTCTCATGAGATCTGATGGTTTTATATGTGTTTGTCATTTCCCATGCTCCAGCATTCTCTCTCTTGCTGCCCTGTGAAGAGGTGCCTTCTGCCATAATTGTAAGTTTCATGAGGCTTCCCCAGCCGTGCAGAACTGTGAGTCAATTAAACCTCTTTTCTTTATAAATTACCCAGTCTTGAGTATTTCTAAATAGCAGCCTGAGAAAGGACTAATACAGTATTTATATAAATATGTATTTATATCTATGTAGATAGCATCTCAGACTGTGCACATGACAATACATGTTCTCAAGTAATCAGCTTCACGAACTACTGACATGCATTATGTTCTTATTCCTAACATTCCTTAAACACAGCATATTGTCAGTGAGTAAACCATGAACCTTGCAGCTAGACTAGTTGAATCTGAATCCCAGCTATACCACTTACTAGTTGTATGACTTTGTGAAATTTCCTCAACATCCCTGTGTCTCAATTTCTTTATCCTTAAAGTGGGGAATGATAGTCATAGTACTTACTTTCTTTTCCTTTTTCTTTTTCTTTCCTTTTTTTTTTTTCTTGAGACGGAGTCTTGCTCTATCACCAGGCTGGAGTGCAGTGGTGTGATCTCTGCTCACTTGCTCACTGCAACCTCTGCCTCCCAGGTTCAAGTGATTCTTCTGCCTCAGCCTCCTGAGTAGCTGGGACTACAGGCATGCACCACCACACCCAGCTAATTTTTGTATTTTTAGTAGAGGCGGGGTTTCACCATGTTGGCCAGGATGATCTCGATCTCTTGACCTCGTACTCTGCCTGCCTTGGCCTCCCAAAGTGCTGGGGTTACAGGCGTGAGCCACCATGCCTGGCCAGTACTTACTTTCATAGTATGGTGTGAGGCATAAATGAGGTAATACATTTAAAGTGCTTAGAACAGGGCCTGGCACATAGATGATGCTAAAAAATTTTTTTCTTTTATTCTGAAATAATCTAAAATATTGTGTAAGAAAAGTCCATAATGTATATAAATAACTTTATATTAAAAACTATTGTGTAGATTGTATTATTATAAAAACTATTATGTAGATTGTATTATTATAAAAACTATTGGGTACATCATATGTAGACAAGAATTCCTAGGTTACCTCTATCCTCTAAACGCATTTTGTTTATACACACATTGATCCTTAAGCTTCATGCAGTTTTATGATTTTTGCCTCATAGCTTTCACACTGTTGGAAACCCCACAGAGTATTTGTATCTGGTGTGTTCCACGAAATCTTCTCTCTGCCTGTTCAGTTTCCTGGTTGCTTCAATTGTGAAGCCTTGGCGGTTTCCAGTTGAGGATTTATGTTATGATTTGTTGACTCTGGTTATGTTATCTGGTTTTCCTTTACTGTGGTTATATGTCTATTAAGCCTTACTGATTCTGTGGGGAGAGGTGTAGGGATGTTCATTGCACTAGAGAAGCCTATTATGTGGTCTTCAATTACTGAAGTCTTGGTTGTGTGCTTCTGAAGATTTGTCTACATAGATGGTTGGTGGCTAAAAAAGAAAATGATATCTGCCACGTATTTGCTTTCTCGTGCTTTTCACTCAAAATTTATCACTTATCAAAATATACATGACTCATTCTTTTACAGACCAACTGGTGACTAACTATCCTGAGAGACGTTGCCTTTAAATGAGACCTTTAGATACCATATATCATAATTCAATGAAGCAAACATCTAATTAAATGCTGGACGTCCTGGCATAGGGATGAAGCCAAAAAATGCAAGGCATTGCTATCAAGCTTTCCTGGTTACCTCTACTAAAAATCCGCCAGTTTATGTGAGAAGACTATTTTGCTCTAAGGTTTTGTACACATTTTAGAACATTTAGGGTAATGAGCAGAACTTTATGTGTTTTCTGGAATTATTTCAAAAGTATACTTATAAGGGCTTGAACTAGCAATAGAAGAGCCACAGTGTGCCAGAGAGCACAGTTTCTGTAAAACAATTCAATTAAGAGACTTTTAAAAAAAAATCATAGCGATTTAATGTGCCATCAGCTGAAAGAAGTCACCCACTAATCTTGTCATTTAACACTGAGAATTAGGGTAACGCTGCCGGCTTTAATGGAATTATAAATAGGCCACCTTTCCACTAATGGATATTTTATATCAGCATCTCATTTAGAATTTTAGTCAATTAGAGTTTCTTTTGTTACTTGCTCATAGAAAGTAAAAGGAACATATCAAATATAGAAATTAACTATGGCTAACTCAAGGTTGTTTCATTTACTCTCAATGAGAATTTCCTCTGATAGGAAGGGATACAGCAAGTTAAGGCATTCTCTCTCTATGTGATGCTTTAAAAAAAGTCAACCTAGTAAGGAGAAATCACAGTTGTTTTTAGTTGGAAAATTCTATCATTTAATTATTTTTTGAGGTAACTGGCTTAAAAATGTATGAAATGGGGGCATGAGTAAAATGCTAATGTTATGGCATCTAAGAGCCTATATTTTAATTTAGCTTATATCATTTGTATCTTCTAATCAATTTCCATGAATTCTCACTAGTCTTCAGATTACTCATTTATCAGAAAATTATTAATCCCATGTTAAACACTTCCTAAATCTCAGTGTGGTAAACGGTTGCCTGTTTATCAGTTGCAGAATGGTTCAAGGTCCATGGCATTTTTGCCATTGTTTGCTTATAATTGCACCTAAATTACTGTCATCAAATAGGACGGGAGTATGAAACAGGTAGTATATCATTAGAAGACAGTTCTCCATAGGTCTCATGCATTTCTGCATGTCTTGAGAGTTAAGCACTGACCGCTTTTGTTCCCGGCTATTTCTTCAGTATTCCTATAGTAAACAGCCTTGAAAGATGGAGACAGTATCTCCCTCTGGAGCAAAGAATAGGCTCTATTAGTGTTCATTTTAAAAGGCTTGGTTTCACTAACTTCAGTTTTTTTTCTTCTGTAATACAGCCTACTCCATGTGCAGATGTCACCTGAGCCTCTTTATGTCACTTTGTGGGAATTGGAGCTTGGGGAACCAGTGCAAATGCTGACATTCTAGCTACTGCTATTGCTGTAATAAACTATCTTTTGTCTCTGACCCAAGAGACTCATATTCTACCAGCATTCATAGAACTGTAGCAGGCTAACTTGTTAGCTTGTAAGTAGGGTAAAATATCAGACCCTTCACAATTCTTGACCATTCAAAAACCATCTGCTTGGCTCTTCTCATAATATTCAATTAATATTATTATTTTAGTTTTCTCTTCCACATTCCTTAGTTTGAAATCCAGGATTAGCCAGTTATCCTCACTGAGCCTCAGTTTACTTATCTGCAAAATGAAGATAATTATCGCCTTATGGACTATTTGGAGAATTAAATGAAATAATACTTGTAAGAAAATTTTGTGTAAAGCATTGCACTACTTTTAGTAATTTTAATGATTCATTCTGTAGCTTACATTAAGTTTTCTGTTGTAATGTATTGCTCACTGACATGTTAAAAATAATTATAATAATCTGTCATCAGGACACTCTAAAACATCCTTGTGAAGTTAAAAAATAGGGGCAGAATTTTTTCTCTTCATGTTTCAATTGGAAAATGAAGACAAAGAAATATTAAAATGGTTTTCTATAGTTTCACAGGTTTTAGGACTCAGGTATATTAGGAAGCAGACAAAATCCATGCATGGAAATCTATAGATGTTTCTATCCATGAAACATTATTTTCAAAATTTCCTTAGCATAAATTAGAACATTGAATTGTAACCATGGGAAATTATCTTAAAAGTGAAAAGCTGATATTACTGGACACTTTCACATAGGAATATATTGTCTTTGATATCTTTATAAAATAGTTTAAAAACATCTGTAATTATTAAAAATAGCAAACTAGACTGGATGGACACATACTAAATAATATAGAGTCAGAAGCAGAATAAAACCCAGTTAACTAACATCCCTTATGGTTTTTATCTTACCTAACCATAGCTCTGCCATAAGGCATTGCATATTTCCAAAGGTTCAGGGATGAGTGGTGGAAGGTAGGACGGTGAGTCATGAGAGAAAGGAAAAATCCAGGACCTAGTATGTGTGACTTATCCCAGGGAGTCATTTCTCATGAATCCATTGATGCTGGGTTGATTTTCTATAAGTAATTCCTAATCATGGACATCTTGTTAATAACATTCAATAGATAAGATCTCCCATCATAGCAAATACCATTCCTGTATTTGCTCCAAGTTCCAGTTATCATCTTGGTAGGGAGATTAGATCAGTCATCTGTTTTCTTTTCTTTCCTCCAAGGACTTCCTATGGTATACACAGCAAATCTATCTCAAACCGGATATGTTAACTCTTTTCTCTCCAAGTATGTAGAACTAATCTGGATGTCTTTGTTAAGCCTTTACTGAACATTTTGTATGTATTATCTCGTTTCATCATAGAAATAACTCAGCAAGATTGGGGAATACTATTCAATGTTTGCAAAGAGAAAAATGAACTTCAGAGGACCAAATTTTCTCCAAGTTTACATAGATTTAAGCGCTATAATCAAGACGTGAATTCGGATCTCACTTAAGACGTAGTCCATGCATTTTATGTGTATCTTATGTATCTCAAACCTCAGATACTTACCCACAAATGTATTATCCATGTATTGGGAAGTTGGTCTTCTATAACCTGTGTCTGGAGGTGATTTAGTTTTCCAAAAGCAGTGACTGCTCTGGCAGAAACCATCCTCTGGTTTGAGAGAGCAGGTGCTCCAAAATTTTCCAGAGACCCTTCTTTAGTGGAACTGAAGTGTACAGAAAGTAAGTCTAGTGTTACAGAAATGCTAGATTCTGCCCACACACGTTAGTTCACATATCTTTGGACTCACTTGAACTAACTAAAATGACAGTTACAAAGATATGAAACTCTAAAGTCCTTGTGATCAAGGAAAGAATGACTCGTTAGTACGTAGAGACTAATAGAGCTCCACTCATGTATTCTGACCAAACTGTAAATTCTGATAGCAGACAGAGGTTGAAGGAGATTTTCTTAGGGCCCAAGTGTTTTTCTTGGGTGGTTGCTAAGGGCCTCTTCATCCACAAGAATGTCTTTGTGTTTCTTTTCCCTTTTCTCTTTTCCAAGCACAAAAAAACCCTCAAACTTTCATCACTTTCCTGTTATATGTTGAACATGCTAGCTATTATATTTTCTATAGCTCTCATCTTTTCAACAACAGAAAAGTTATAGGCCACCCTGTACTCTTTCCCCTACCTTTTCTGAGATGTAGCAACATAAACTGTAAGAAGTAAAGTACTCAGGGGACGTGTGTGTCTGTTCATATCTGTGTGTGAGGGAGTAGCAAGTAGAGGATAAATAGCAATTTACAAATTTTGAAAATATGTATTCTGATTATTAAAGTACTTAAAGATATAATCTGAGGGCACTCACAAATAAGTACTTATTTTACCAGTGGGTTGGAAGTGGTCCTACCTAGTATACTAGAAATTTATTATTTGTATTATTTTTTTTTTGTAAATCACATTGATTTGATTTGGTTTGAAAATATGTCCCTTCCAAATCTCATGTTGAATTGTAATCTCCATTGTTGGAGGTGGGGCCTGGTCGGAGGTGTTTGGTCATGAGGGTGGATCACTCATGGCTTGGTGCTATCCTCAGGATAGTGTGTCAGCACTTGTGATATGTTTAAAAGTGTGTGAAACCTCCCCCCCCCCGCCCACTCTCCCTCTCATTCTTGCTCTAGTCATGTGACATGCCTGCTTCCCCTTTGCCTTCCACCGCAATTGTAAGGTTCCCGAGGCCCTTGCCAGAAACCAAGCAGGTGTTGGCGCCATGCTTGTACAGCCTGCAGAACCGTGAGCCAATTAAACCTCTTTTCTTCATGAATTATTGAGTCTCAGGCATTTCTTTACAGCAATGCAAGACTAGCCTAACACACATAAACTAAACCATTTATGAAAGAGAAATAATATGTTTATAAACACAACATTTATACAGTTCAGTAGTTACTTCCTATTATCCACACGTTATATATAGTGGATAACAACAATTGTGTTAATTATTTCAAATGCATATTTCTTGCTATACTGTAGCTTATTTAATAGTAATTAATAAAAAGCAAATAGAGTTAATGATTGCATAAATATAACATGCCAAAACCAAGAATTGTAAGTTTCTCATACTACTTGTTTATATATTCTTGGTTATTTATAGTTAAGTCCCCATAATACATTCATAGGATGATTCAACTGACTCAAGGAATGAGATAAATAACTTTTGAATCATTTAACTGTTTTTCTTAATCTTTTGGAAAACCAGACAGAAAAGTAACATGAATTTCATGTTAGGTATATATGGTTATGATCGGGAATTGATAAGAGAAAGCACTGCATTGCCCTGAGTCATGGTTCCCGAGTCATCTTTGATAGTGATATTGGTGGGTGCCTATGGGTAAATATTGAACTTCTTGGAAGCTAATGACTTAACTTCCAAGTCAGTGCTCTTAACTGTGAACTGTGTTAATTTCTCTAAAATGTTCACTTCACTGGGTCACATAGGGGAATAAATGAAGTAATGCCTGGAGTACTGTTCCCTAACTCCTCCAGTGGCTGGTTCCTTTTCATCCTTCAGATCTCATCTCAAAGGCAATGCCTGGGTAAGACCTGCTTTTCTGTTCTCCACCACCCCACATGATGACGCACCCCCATCAATGACTTTCATTCTCTACCATATCACTGTTTATTTCCTTCATAGCACTTACAACTTTCTGAAATTTTCTTTCTTACATTTTTCTTGTTTATTGCCTGCTCCTACAGAATGTAAGTTTCATGGGGTAAATAAAATTTATCTTTCCTCCTGTATGTCCCAGGATGGTACTAAGACATGGTGTGATGTGTAGTAGACATTCAACAAAAATACAGAGGCAGAAAATGGGCGTGCAAAAAATATAAATTGCAAAGCAAAATGCAAGTTGGCAACCTTGATTTCATGCTCAAAACCATGTCTTCTGTTTTATCTAGATGCATGTATAGTTTTTCCTAGTAAGAAAAATTTTCCCCTGTAAGTTTTGGGGGTGTCAATTTTTTTGTCTTTTAAAAAAAGATCTTTGGAAATATTGGCTGGATGAGCAATGGTGAAGACACAATAAGCTTAGCTGTTAGAAGCTAAATCTGCACTTTGTGAAAGGAAATAACATAGGAATGCCCCTGTTGTGCCCAGCCCAGGCTCTGGAATTGATATGGAAATCTTCTAATTACTAATGTGATTGAACAAGAGCAGATGAAGAGATAAAGCTCTGGTCAAAGAGAAGACTTCATCTCCTAGGTTGTAATGAGACACTTTGAATATCCAAGTGTATCTGCTGTGACTTAAACCAGTTAAAGGTACTCTTTCATGGATACCAGCTATTTTTGTGAAAGCTCAAGTTTACCTGAGGAAAATTTACTGTTAATAAGTTTATTCAATACAAGCCACATGGGGAATATCATTTTGACGGGAGAGATAATCCTCAGCCACTTAGCTATCTAAAAATAGAAATACCTCAATTCCTAGATCTGAAAGTATGTACATTTAAAGAAGGCTGGAGGAAAATAATCTTTTTGCTTTGCCTTGAAAGACAGATTGGATGAATGCCTGCTCTGGGGAGGCAGTAGAGCCTGGTATAAATAACATTGGCTCTGGGATCACAGTAAACAGGTTTTGATCATGGCCAATTGTTAACTCTATGATTTTAACTCCATAAGCCTCAGCTCCCTCATCCATAAGATGGTGGTGATGACAACAGTCATATAGGGTTGTTGTGAAGATTAAGAGGGTATGCACTTGCACACACACACACACACAGACACATACATACGCAAAGAGTGATTTCTGACACATGCAAGCACTTTATAATGGTCACTATAAAACTGCTATCTAATCAGTCACTTAAGGAAATAAAGATCTAATTGTTTGCTTCTGTGATGGCCCTCTGCTTCTGCAACAGTGGCTCTTTGAAGTAAAATGTTCCTGCTGTTCTCTCAGAGCTCTGGAGGAGTAAGAATTACTATAGGAGTGTGATATGATAGTGAATAAATTGACAGGAGACAGTTCTGGAATCACAGAGAAAGGGATCGGGGCTGCTGAAGTTACACTGTGAGGCTATAGCTTTCAATGGCAATTATTAAATATTACTACCTTTCGGTGTTTCTTCAGAGGAAAACTAGTGCTTTTGAAATATATTATTTTCACTAAAAGTCTATGTTAAAAAATCTTATCTTTTGGGTACAATAATGTAAGCACACTATGAGAAAGCCAGTTTATATCTGTTGGTTCTTAAGTACTTCTTTTTTTATTGAGTCTTTAAAAATATTAGCAGTATCATTTTTATATGAATAATTTTAAATGGCTCAGGTTTGCTAACCATTGTAAAACCCAGGAAGTAAGGGGGTGTGTGTGTGTGTGTGTGTGTGTGTGTGTATGTGTGTGTATTCCCTATGGGTAAAGGGCAAGGGCAAGTCGTATTCTTCTTAAGTATTTGTTGACATAAAAGAAAATGAAGCTTGGTTTTAATATTTTCCTCATTGTTACAGTCTTATAGTATTTGCTTAGGTAACCCTGCTGCATGAAGATCCAGGTTTTTTTTTTTTTTTTTTCAGGGTATTACTTATTTACTGGCTTAAATCACAAAACATGGTGGTTTCTAAGAATTAATTTTGTGAGTCATTATCAATGTACTCTCTAGAAAGCATGAAGCCAAAAAAAAGTTTTTATATTTAAAAAGATGTCAAAATGATTAAGATTTGGAGGAAAATATAGAAAACCATAGTTAGGAGTCTCATAGAGCTGCTAGTTTAATTCAAATATTCATTAAATATTTATGTTCAACTATGCAGTGGGTTCTTTCCTAGAAAGTGGACATCTGGAGTTAAGTAAATTAGGTCCCTGTCCCGAAAGGAACTTGCAGAAGGAAAAACCTGGAACCATAGAAATACCATAAAATATTTTCAAGTAATTGCCATTATTATTATCCTGGTGAGTAGCCCAGGTTACCTGGGCAGTTAGGTTTATCTGAGGGCTGTCCACATGATCCCTAGACCAATAAATGTTTTGGGATTTTGTCTGCCAAAGCTATTTACAGCGATATATACAGCTCTAAATTGTGTTTTAAAGTTAAATATATAATTATATATGTATGTTTATCTATTTTTCTATTCATGTCTTTTTATTTGGGCCTTTGTTCTCCGGCATCTTGGGTTATTATTGGGTTTACGTTTGCAGGATACGTGCTTATATTCTCGTCCAAGGTGTTCCACACTGTTTGGCGGTGGTCTGTGCTCAGAAATCTGGTTAGTAACTTTTCTGGCTCTCCAGCCAGGGATCAGATGTTTCAGCTAAGCCTTTAATGGATTTTGCTTTAGATCAGCTGCAAACTACAAATGTTGTCTGTTCTGAAGTTGATATATCTTGTAGGAACTTTATTGATGTAACAAAATTTATTGATAAATACATCTTCCTTCCTAAATTATTTGAATTGTTAGATTTACCAAGTATGGATTGTTTAGCTCTATGCTTTTATATGTTTGTTCTTTCTGTTCTCTTCAGTAGAATTGCCTTTGCTATTCTTGACCAGCCTCACAAGTTTAATTATTGTGGACTTCTGACATGTTTTTAATATGTAAGGCAGCCATTCTTCTCTCTTATTGATATTCCCACCCCCCAAATTAAAAAAAAAATCCTGTCTTTTTATATTTTCATATTAATTTTAGAATAATTTGGTCAATTTCTAAAAATTACTTACGTCTGTTGGAATTTTATTAATATCTACATTAATTTGAAAAATACTACATCCTAGTGTTTTTCAAGCTCCTACAAGTCATTTACATCTTTTAATAAAGTTCCTTAGTCTTATTCAAATAGGTCTTCACCAAAACAGGGTTTTGAAGGGTAATTTTCTCTAATTGGTACTGGGAACAAACTGTAAAATTACTGGAATTGTTAAGTCTGTGAACTCAGAGCACCCACCCTGCCATTTCTGCTGAATACTAATCATCACATTAAAATTAGATTTTAGAGAGTACTTTCATATAAAGCATCCTACTTGATCCTCTCAATCATTGTGAAGTGGATGCTCTCATAATCCCCATTTTTACAGATTCCCTCTGCCCAGGATGCTCTTTTATCCCCACTGATGTATCTTTAAATCTTGTATATCGTTCAAAATCAGTTAAAATGTTCCCTCTTCCCCATAGTATTTCTTGATCTCGCCAGCTTACTCAAAGAAGTAATCTCTCTTAAATGCTTTTATCCATGTCTTTCTTAGGAATGTATAATTTCCATTTTATATGTCTTTCCAAGTCTCTAGATCACTATAGCACCCAGCACAGTGCCTGTCACACAGAGAGCACTCAAGTGGCCATATTGTTAATGGCTGCCTGGAAGTCCTGGGAGGCTGCAGAAGCAGAATTTTAACAATTCAGGTGCTTTTCGGCGTGGCTAACACTTCAAACACCCAGACCATCAAGCAGTAACATTCACCTAGTAATGAAACCCACATCTTAGGCTTAGGATACCTATCTCTATTACTGATTTTACTTCATATTTTGTATAATGACCTTGCCATGTAAAAAAAAAAAAAAAGATAGTAATAAGTCCTTCACTGAAAGAATATTAGAAATGTCATATATGCAAAATACTCACTTTAAATCTCCCTTCCTTATTTATTTTCTTTTTTCCTTTTTCCACGAAATTGCACACTGTGTGCATGCTACTGTGCTAGGTATTTTTTTTATAGGAGTGTTTTGTGAAATCCACATCTGTTTACATACATGGTTACCTTTTTTTTAAATCACCTTCAGAAGATTAAAAGACATCTGAGGCTTCAATTTGTTTCATTAGAAAGGCAGTAATATAATGTTTTGCATTGTTAAGTCCATGCAACATCTTAAACATACAACAGAGGACATATATACATCTGTTAGTGGACATATAATGCAAATTTATAAGGTATGCTTAGTTAGAAAATGTAATCTTTCAAATGAACCCTCAAAGACTTTGATGGAGTGAACAGATTGGCGCAATATAAGCCCATTTGTATGTAACAAAAAAGAAGCATGCATTCATTTTTTTAGAGTTTTTATTTGTCAGAATAAAACGTTTTGCATTTTGAAGACAGAACCATTATCAAGCATTAAAATGTTTATAGTATTAAGGTTCTTAGCTTCCATGGAACTTGCAAAGAAAGAAACATTCATCTTTTCATTCTTAAGGAAATACAAAGGGACATTCATTTGCTTTTGTAAGCATAATGAAATAAAAATATTGAACATAGAGTCCTGACTGGTGGGGGAAATACATGTCACAATTTCGTGTCCCAGTATATTTTTTATTCTGCTGTAACCTTTGATCAACACCAGTTTCTTTCCTCTCTCTTCAAACGGAAAGAGGTCAACATAAACATACCGGTCAAGGATCTGACAGAACAGATTTATTGTGCAAGTTAGATTTTGCTGGAGCATTCTCTCCTTACATTATGCCGTAGGTGCTGGATTTTTTCTTTCTTGAGATATATATATTTTTCTCTCCTGAAAGAATGCAAACATAAAACACATAGGTTATTCCAAGAACTTTGAGATATGGTATACTAGATAAAAAATTATGAGAATATTCTTCACTGCTAGGAGACCCTACAGTGATAATGAATAAAACTATGTGAAAAGTGAGACATCTGAGGGCTTAACGGATATATTCAAAAGAAAAATGGAACTCTTGCAAATGCATATTTTTTATAGAGACTTTTTATTTCTAGTTTTTAAAAATGGGGCTGTGTCCATGCATCAAAAGTCTTATGAAAATGGAAGCATTTTTATATACAGGTCAGGAGAAAATACTGCCCTCATGCCTGTTTCTTTTTTGTTTTTTTGTTTTTTAAATTCATCACCTAGATGATTCAGGTTAATTATTTCTATGACCTAAATCTTCTAGGAAATGACTTTAATTATCCAGTTAACCTTGTATGTGTAACAGAGTTTAAGAAAGGCACAAGACCAGAAGAACATATATTTTTTCAAGTGTAAATTAAGTTCGCCTGTTTATTGACATCATGTGGTTAAAAATAAAAGAAAAATGATTTCTCAATTTAACTTGAATTAATGGAGGTCCTTGGCTGAAATCAAGGGCTAACATCGTCCAATGACCAGGAGACTGTGGGAGAGCTGACCAAGTATATTCTGGTTCAGAACTGTCCCTTCTCCTCTGATTGAGCTTTGAGCCCAGCTGAGTGCTGGATCAGCTCCCTAGGACAGCTATAACAAAGTACCACAAACTGGGTGGCTTAAAACAACAACAGAAATTGATTGTTCTACTTCTGGAGGCTAGAAGTCTGGAATACAGGCATTAGCAGGGCCAGGTTTCCTCCAAGAATTTGAGTATTTGAGTAGAATCTTTCCTTGCCTCTTCCTAGCCTTGGTGGTGGCCGTCAATCATAGTTGCTTGTTGACTTGTAGTTGCATTACACCAATCTCTGCTTCAGTCACCACATGGTGTTTTTTCTGTGTGTCTGTGTCTTCACATGGTCATCCTCTTATAATGGCACCAATTGTTTTGAGTTAAGGGCTTACTCTAATTTATTATAACCTCATTTTAATTACATCTGCAACAATACTGTTTCAAAAAATGAGATACTGGAGTTAGAAAATCAACATTATCTTTTTGGGGACCCAATAAAACCCATAACAAGTACCCTTCTTTATTATCAGGATGCTGGTCTGCCCAGCACTGCTGAATTCAACAAAGACCTCTGCATTGACAAATGCAATGGCCATTTTTATTCTCCTTAATGCCCTACTTCTTGATGGCATTCATGGTGTACTGCTAAGTACACCTACCAACCTGAAATTCTCTCCTCCCTTTGCTGCTTGGCAATGTTCCTATGAAGTAGAACTGATAATTATCTAAATGATAAGGCATTTTTGGCTGTCAAATGACTACCTCCTATCCCTACGTTATGTCAAGGCATATCTGATGGGACAAACCCATGTTACTCTTTTACTTCCCCATTTTGGTATTTTGTGGTCTTATCTGTGTTTTGCAGGGTATTAATTTTTCATTTTTTGAGTAGACTTTCCTGAGGTGACATTATCCACTTCTATGCCTTGAATTATCACTTGTATGCTAATGATTGCCTCATTCATGTGTCTAAGATCTTACATCTCAGCTGCGTGCTTAAAGTTTCCATGTGGATGTACCCCAGGTACCTTACATTTTTCATGTCTGCCTCTGAGCATGTGTTTCCTTCACAGGCAGAATTTTAGGTATCACTTTAGAATTCTATTTATCTTGTCCATATTCACTTGATTATTAGTTTTCATCCATTCAATTTTTTTAAACAACTCTTGTCTAAACCCTGCTAAACATGTCCAATTACTGCCTCAGTTTAAAGCCTGCTTCTTTCCTGGACAGAGGTTCTTCTATTCACAGACATATCCCACTTGTAATCAATCTTCTGCACAATGTCTAGGGTGATATTTAAAAACTGCGTTTCTAAACACATCTCTTTCTTGCTTAAAATACATCATCAACATAGTTTATTGATGCATTTTTAACCTCATAGTTTGAAGCCTTTGCCTACTGCTCTGGCCAAGTCCCTTGCACTGCTCCAGCCATGATGACTGTGTGCTGTTCCCTGGATGCAGAATACTATTTTATGCTCTTATGCCTGTGCTTCTGAAATGTGCTCTGCTATGAAAAAACTTCCACTATATTTCATCCTGCTAATATATGAAACTTTAATTCTTTTTAAGTGGTGTTTTCTCAAGAAAATATTCATAACTGAAAGAGACCCTCTAGACTATATTCCAATGGAACACTTCTCTAAGAACCTGAATTATTCGAATTGAACTTAATTTTGGTTTTGTTAGTCAACATAAAGATAAACATTCTCTTTCTGACCATTGCACAATTGATTGGAAAACTCAGTTGCATTAATATAGTTCTTCAGTCCTATTATGATTACAAAATTACTGTGAAACAAATACACATGTGGAGGTGAATTAAAGCAGTCCTAGTATTAAGCTGGATTGATGACTGTTCAACCAGCCTTCCTATTGAGTAGCTATTAAAGCTATTTGGCCTCAAAAATTATTACTTACTCAGAGACAGTTTCATTTCAAATGGAAAAGTGATGTACTGAATTGTAAACAATGGAGTTGATGGAGGCTGTCTGTGAACTGAACTGAAAATCACCTAATCAATCACAAATTTTTGGCTGTCATTAATGACTGAATTACCTGGGTGAACAATACCGCGGTGAAAAAGAACTTGGTTAGGTGGACTGTCTGACCTCTATGCCATCAATTGTATAACCATCTGATTGATTACTCTGTGACTGGCCTAAACTATCTGGAAAACTATCAATTTTCTGTCATGTCTAATGCTGTCCATACTATAATGCAGGCTATTGCTAAGACTGCATTATATTTAATTCTCCATTACTGGTGAGGAAGGTCACTGTAACTGGTGATACATGAAGCCCTTTCTCATCATGTGAATAGGGGGATTCAGATTTAAACAGTGCCTTAAAAAAAAAGGACTCATTTAATTTAATCAGAGTATCTGCAGTTAAGTGGTAGTAGTTCTCTTAAGTAGTACTTGAAAAACTTGTTCTTATCATTTTAGTATATCCATTGCTTACTCTTTATCATGATTTTGAAAATATCAGATGTTTTGACACCTGCATAATTTGACTTTTAAAATTGTATTCTTCTGATACATTCTAGAAAATAAGTGTTAATTTAAAAATGAACAAAGTTGCTGTAACTACAGAGTGGGTCATACAGTAAGAATCATGGAGTGCATGGCATGTGCAAGCTACAGCATCTCTAAAAATAGTAACTGGTCCATTGATAATTAATAGAGTGACTATAAAATACTTACTAAAACAGCTTTAGCTATTTGACATCCTAAAGTATACATTTACACATTTGTTTTAACAGTGGGAACCCAAACATTGGACACAGGCTAAGAAAAAGGCTAATAATAGTCAAGTGCTTTGGTTGACAGATCACTAAAACTAATTTATTCTCACGGGTTGTAAATGAAATATTTAAGATTCACTGGAAATTAACTTACATAATCCTGAAGTCAGGATTTCTTGCAGAGTATGTTAGTAGTAGCAATTCCTTTCAGAAACTCTTTGTGGTTGGAATTTATAACACTTAAGGCGTATGGGTATTTCATCTGCCGTAATCTTCAATTTGTGATGCCAACCATCGATTGTACTAACAGTATATTTCAAAAGAGATCTTCGAGACATAGATTTAAAGAAGATCTGATTACTCTAGGTAAAGCAAACTTACAGGAAAAAGCAGATTTTTGTATTTAAAACTAAGCAGTTATAGAAACCAAAATTTCAAAAATTTTATAGCAAGTGATGGATGCAACCAAAATAAAGTTCACTTGAATTATAAGAATTAAAGGGGCAGTTCTGAAAAATTGTGAAACTATTTGAAATCATTGCTTTAGAATTCAGTAAACTTAGATTCATTTTTATTTTTTGACTCATGATGACTATATTTTAAAGTTATATCAGTAACACTTTAGAACCAGATTTTCATTCAGGCATGTTTTTGTATTTTTTCATCTCAGGTATTGCTTAAGAATTCTGTTTGCCTGGGTTAACTGTGTTGTTATTATTAGTTTTACATCTACTAGAAACACATGAATTCAGGAATCTATTTAGGATGTAAATTAACAAAAGGAACAGAAGCCCTTACATGTAGTAAACTTTCTTACTTTAAATTATTTTAACAAATCCAGCAGTTTTACACCTCTCTCTCTATGTATATTATATACCCCCCAAAAATGCATACATATGAATATCAGAAATTTGTGTAAGAATAAACATAATGTCATTATTAACTCTAAATTGAATATGACCCAAATGTCCCTCAAAAATTACATGGATCAATAAATTGTGGCATGTTCATATAAGAATGTGGAAGAATACTTCACACACACAATGAAAATAAACAAGCTAAAGTTACAAGCAACAACATGGAAGAATCTTACATGTACTTTTGGGCAAAAGAAGCCTAACAATGTAATACATGTTGTATACTTCCGTATGTATGAAGTTTCCGTTACGTTAAGCATCAGAAGTTACCATAGATTGCTTTAGGGAAGAAGAAAGGGGTATTGATCTGGAAGAGACACAGTGGAGGTTCCTGGGAGGCATTCTTTCTTCATCTGGGTTGTTGTTACATACACTTATTCACTTTGTGATAACTTCTGAATGATGTATATAGTTTTCTGTATGCACATTATGCTTTAATAATGTTTTTAAAATTAGGTTACCCCAGTTATAATGGCAGTTACTAAAAAGTCGCAAATAACAGATGTTGGCAAAGATGTGGAGAAAAAGGAATTCTTATATACTGCTGGTGGGAATGTAAATTAGCACAGCCTCTGTGGAACAGAGAGAACTTTTTTTAGTTCTCAAAGAACTAAAAATAGGATTACCATTTGATCCAGCAATCCCACTACTGGATATCTACCCAAATGAAAATAAAATGTTACGTCAAAAAGACGCCTGCACTCGTATGTTTATTACAACATTATTCACAATAACAAAGATATGGAATCAATCTAAGTGTCTATCAATGGATGATTAGATAAAGAAAATGTGGTATGCATACACAATGGAGTACTGTTAAGCTATAAAGAGGAATTAAATCATGTCTTTTGCAGTAGTAACAATGATGGAACGGGAGGCCATTCTCTTAAGTGAAACCGGTCAGACACAGAGAGACAAGCATTGCATGTTCTCACTCATTAGTGGGAGCTAAATACTGTGTACACATGGAAGTGTAGAGTATGGAATGATAGACAATGGAGACTTAGGTGACAGGGTGGGAAGGGGGTGGATGGTGAGAAATTACTTAATGGGTACAATGTACGTTATTTGGGTGATGGATACCCTAAAAGCCCTCACTTCACCACTGTGCAATCTATGCATGTGACATAATTGTGCCTGTACCTCATAAATTTATACTAGAAGTAAGTAAATAAATTTAATTGTTTTTGTTAAAAGAGATACTTGAAAACTATCACCTTAATCTGGAAGAAAAAGCAATTTTTTTTATTATACTTTAAGTTCTAGGGTACATGTGCACAACGTGCAGGTTTGTTACATATGTGTACATGTGCCATGTTGGTGTGCTGCACCCATTAACTCTTCATTTACATTAGGTATATCTCCTAATGCTATCCCTCCTCCCTACCCCCACCCCATGACAGGCCCTTGTGTGTGATGTTCCCCTTCCTGTGTCCAAGTGTTCTCTTGTTCAATTCCCACCTATGAGTGAGAACATGGGGTGTCTGTGTCCAAGTGTTCTCATTGTTCAATTCCCACCTATGAGTGAGAACATGCGGTGTTTGGTTTTCTGTCCTAGGGACAGTTTACTGAGAATG
This sequence comes from Homo sapiens, assembly GCF_000001405.40. Lineage (NCBI taxonomy): Eukaryota > Metazoa > Chordata > Mammalia > Primates > Hominidae > Homo > Homo sapiens. The sequence continues at coordinate 193,690,596 of NC_000001.11, forward strand.
ATGATTTCCAGCTTCATCCATGTTCCTACAAAGAACATGAACTGATCCTTTTTTATGGTTGCATAGTATTCCATGGTATATATGTGCCACATTTTCTTAATCCAGTCTATCATTGATGGACAGTTGGGTTGGTTCCAAGTCTTTGCTATTGTGAATAGTGCTGCAATAAATAACAGGCTAGCCATATGTAGAAAGCTGAAACTGGATCCCTTCCTTACACCTTATACAAAAATTAATTCAAGATGGATTAAAGACTTAAATGTTAGACCTAAAATCATAAAAACCCTAGAAGAAAACCTAGGCGATACCATTCAGGACATAGGCATGGGCAAGGACTTCATGTGTAAAACACTAAAAGCAATGGCAACAAAAGCCAAAATTGACAAATGGGATCTAATTAAAGTAAAGAGCTTCTGCACAGCAAAAGAAACTACCATCAGAGTGAACAGGCAACCTACAGAATGGGAGAAAATTGTTGCAATCTACTCATCTGACAAAGGGCTAATATCCAGAATCTACAATGAACTCAAACAAACTTACAAGAAAAAAACAACCCCATCAAAAAGTGGGCAAAGGATATGAACAGACACTTCTCAAAAGAAGACATTTATGCAGCCAAAAGATACATGAAGAAATGCTCATCATCACTCACTATCAGAGAAATGCAAATCAAAACCACAATGAGATACCATCTCACACCAGTTAGAATGGCAATCATTAAAAAGTCAGGAAACAACAGGTGCTGGAGAGGATGTGGAGAAATAGGAACACTTTTACACTGTTGGTGGGAATGTAGACTAGTTCAACCATTGTGGAAGATAGTGTGGCGATTCCTCAGGGATCTAGAACTAGAAATACCATTTGACCCAGCCATCCCATTACTGGGTATATACCCAAAGGATTATAAATCATGCTGCTATAAAGACAAAAAGCAATATTTTTAACAAGACAGGCAATGTGTCAGTTTTAAGTAGGTTCCTATCATTTATGATAATAATGCTTCTGAAAGAAGAACTATAAAAGATGATGAAACATGTAATTCAGTATGGTGTAGTGATAACAATTAGTGATTTTTAGTCAAATGATTGGAGTTCTAGCACTATGACTGTGATCCTTAATTTTCATGTGCATAAGTTGGTATATACCAATTTTATGTACTTAATTTTGTATACTTATACTTTTTTATTTATGTGTATAAAAGTAGTTTGAAGTACCAAATCAAAAATATCACCTTTTATCAATACTGTTGATATATATATTCAACATAGACATTTTCATTTGTGCCTACATAAGATTAGACAATTGACTGGAAAAAATAATTCAGCCATATCAAGGATATGAAGGATAACATATCAAGTGAATTATTAAAATCCAGATAATCAATGCTATTATCAATTTTTTAATGTGTCAGTTATGTGGTTTTTTAACAGAAGGAATGAGTATCTGATATGATCTTTCTAGTTCATAGACTATAATATTTTGGAAATGAAAACAATCTTAGATATTATCTCAAGCTCCGTATTTTACCATAAACTTGATACTCAATACTTGTTAGATGAATTACTGTAAGTAAACTGTTTATAGACAACAATAAGTAGTACAAAATATGATTCTATGTCTCAAGTTTCTCAAACACATGCAGTTCTTTGCTTAATTGCAAATCTTAAAAGTTTTTGTTTATAACTTTGTAAACTGAGTAATAAAAAATTTCACTTTATCAGAGAGGGAAAAAAGCAGCTTCTTAAATTACTGTACTTAAATTTTATTAATGAATAGACTCCAGATTTATGGAATTCTGTTTTTATTTTAAATTCTTCTGGAATATGATTGATTTCACTTATATTCTTTAGGAAATCTTAATGGAACAGCATTGTGAAATGCTTTCAACGGTCATAGATTTTGGTTGTAAAAAACTTCCTTTATTTCACTCTGAATTGCTGTTGTTTTGACAACAGATGGTTTTTCTCTTTAAATGTTGGAATGCTTTTTCATTCTACCAGTTCAATTAATTTTAATGGTACCTTTAAGGGCTTGTGGTACAGTATCCGTGCTAAGAAACTGTACAATTGTAAATAACGCAGACGCCTTTCCCTTAAGCATTTACAGCTTTCAGCAGTTAAACTTTTGAGAGTCTATTTGAGGAACTGGACTGAGTATATGGCAGGTCAGAGATGGAGGTGGATATTGGTAGGGAAAACAATTATTAGCTGCTGATATTGTGGGTAGCTGAAATCAAAGGCAAAGCTCAAGGCAGGCAGAGAGGTAAAAATCAGGAGAGGAAATCTGGTTTCTGAAAGAGGGAAATGGAGAAATCAAGTCCTCCCCAAACAAAAGTGAAAGAAACATTGCAGTGGTATTTGGAAGACCTACTATAGATTTGTGACCTCGGAATCCAAGGTTCAATTCGGCAATGACAGTGGGGATGAATGTCTTCAGTAAGTCCCGCTGACTGGTCAAAAAGACCAATATTGTTCTTGCTTTTCCTTTGAGAAACTGATCCTTGGGTGACAAGATTTCATGTTCAATATTTACTGAATAACAAAAAATTCATTCCTCTGACTCCCCATTTCTATCCTGCAGCCAGGGACTAATTTAAGTTGTGCTTTATAGAATTGAAAAATACTTGGAAAGGTACACTCCTTAAAAAGGAAAAAAAAAATTAGATCCTAAAGCTTTCCATTGTAGGCTGATCAAGTTCATGAGCATTATTTTTGGACAGAATAGAAGTTGGTTGGGTTACATCTTTTTCTTCTCTCCTAGGGAATATATTTTTAAGCTTTAGAGTTTCTATTTAGTAATGTGATGACCCAATGATAGTGGTTTGTTAACCAAATTAAGGGGTTTTCTTTCAATAAAATTTAGTGAAATTCTTTTATGCTAGGCACTTTTCTAGGTGCTACATGACTATAAAATCTTCAATATATTGACAATGATGGGTTTTGTTGATATGCCTAGGACATTTATTGTTTAAATTGAAGTATATAGAATTTTAAAAAATCCTTAAAATGCTATTTGTATCTGAAGGAGCAGGCTAAAATGTTTCCATTGACAATGTTCAAAAACCTAGCTATGTTCTGTTTTTTGTGTTTGTGCAAATTTGGGTGGGAAATATTTGGTAAGTTTTTTTTTAGAGCAACATTTATTCATTCACTCTTTCACTTAACTAGTATTTATTCATTTTGTGATGTCTGTTGCATTATGCATTGATTATGCAAATGTTAATAAGACATCCTTATCTTGACTCACAAGAAGTTTACATGCCAATCTGCATTTTGATATATAAGATTCCTCAACCAAAACTAGAAAGTAATGATGCCTTGTAGTCAGCTCATAAAAACATTGAAAATTGCCAATTGTCACTTCATGGTGACAGTCATCGGGTATATAGTTCTTGTTCCAGAGATGTTAAATTTAATAAGATCGTGTGTACCTGTGTGTCTGTGTGAGTGACAGGGAGTAAGAGGTGAAGGAGAAGTTTTAAACTTTATTAGTAATGAAAAAATTTACTTTTCATGAAAAATAAAAACAGCACAGTTATTTTCTTTTTTCAAAATGCGGACTTACAGCAATGATATGCTAGAGATGGCTTATACTAGGTCATGAAAGTTGGCTTGTGCCGCTGGCAGGAGATGATTATTGTTTTCAGGAATTTTATGATCTGGTTAAATATAGTCATTATTAAAAGTTAATAAACTTACAATTAAATAAATTTAAGAAAAGTAATAGATTCAAAATAGATCACCTCCTAATTATTTTACTATGGTTTGCTCTTCTCTATGCTCTTGAGTTTATTTACATGTATCTGTATAAAGGAGAAACTATATCATAGTGTTCTGCACATCTCTTTGCAACACTGCATTCAGTGACATCAGTTTGATAGCTTGAAATCCACCTTGGGAGTATTTACACTTCAAAAATAGACAAGCACTGCATTTATGTACCCACTTTGAAACTTCAAAAGGCAGTCATCAGAATGACTATTATTTATAAAAAAGATAAGTCTTGGAGAGGGGTTGGAGAAAAGGGAACCCTTGTACACAGTGGGTAGAAATGTAAATTGACATAGCCATTATGGAAAAAACTATGGAAGTTCCATAAAAAATTAAAAATAGAACTACCCTATGATCTAACAATCCCACTCTGTATACATAACTAAGGAAAATAAAATCAGTACCCCAAAGAGAGATCTGCACTCCCATGTTCATTGTAGCGTTATTCACAGTAGCCAAGATCTAGAAACAACCTAAGTGTTTGCCAGTGGATGAATACATAAAGAAAATGTGGTGTATATACACAATGGAGCATTAGCCTATAAAAAGAAGGAAATCCAGTCACTTAAAACAACATGAGTGGAGCCAAATGGCATTATGTTAAGTGAAATAAGCCAGTTACAGCAAGACAAATACTGCATGATCTCACTTATACATGTAATCTAAAAAAGTTGAACTCATGGAAGCAGAGAGTAGAATGGTGGTTGCCAGGGGCTGAGGTTTTTGGGAATGGGAGATGTTGGTCAAAGGATACAAAGTTTCAGCTATGCAGGATGAATAAGTTCTGAGACCTAATGTACAGCATGCTGACTGGAGTTATTACTGTATTGTGTAGTTAAAATTTGCTGAAAGTAAATCTTAAATGTTCTTGCTATACGTACATATATATACCCAAAATAGTATGTTTGTGAGGTGATAGATATGCTAATTAGCTTGATCCCAATGATTACTTTACACCTATGTATATATGTAAACATCAAGCCGTGTACCTTAAGTATGTAGAATTTTAAATTTTAAATTATACCTCAATAAACCTGGGGAAATAACGCAGTTATTAAATGTTTACCAGCACACCACTTACTCATATGGAAGGCTTACCCTCTGTTTTTGTTTCAAAGGGTAGAATCACAACCTCATTAACATTCATTTTCTTTAGTCCAAATTTGTCTCTTCTCACCTTGTTGGGCTTGAGTGAAGCAGATGGCAAATCTGTGAACTAATTAATCACTGCTCTTGAGGTTATATATTGTGTTTAAGAGAGCTAATGTAGGACACAGATTAGACTAACATTTCCCAGATTAAGCCACAAACATACAGAATTTACCTTGCTAAAGCCATAGCAATGGAGAGAGCAAGTGAACCCAGAATAAAACGGACATAAAAAAGCTTGTTTATTGCCTTGTCAGTGGTGAAACTCCTTGTAAAGACATGGATTAAATGAATATTCATCATAGATAAATATTCATTCAGTGATTGAGCTGGTGCTTTGTCATGATGAGAGCAAGTTAGGAGTCCATCAATAAATTAGCACTTGGGGGACAAATATTTATCTCTAACAATTATGTTATAATGGCTCCAAAGTACAGTACATGAGAGCAAACGTATGGTGATGTTAAGATGCTTTTAGATATATTACAGCTAAGTGTCATGTATTATTTTTATGTTACATATACTAAACTCTTTGTCATTGTTACTTCACATTTATTGGGCTGTAATGATTTTTTTTTTTTTTTCATTGAGGAAACCTAGAAGACTAAGTGAGCTTAGAATCTTGATGGAAAATTATATATAAAATAAACGTGAAAAAAGGATAAAATGATATTTAAGAAGAAAAAGCATTTTTGTAAAAGATTGTAAGTCGGTGAGAAATGTTTTTTATAGGATTAATATTTAGCTTGGTTCTGCGTAAAACTGTGTATAAATTTATCTAACTACATCAGAGACTGGCAGTATTTCTATTAAGGGCCAGATAGTAAATATTTTAGGCCTTCTAGGTCATAGAGTCTCTGTTGCAGTGTTTCAACTTTGGCACTGTTGTTGGGCAGAAGCAAGCAGAGACAATATATAAATGGAGTGGCTGTGTTCCCATGAACTACCAGGATTGTAGTGTGCCATGCTTGATCTGTAGCAATAGAGATTTGGTGATCACTCCAGTTACTTTTCTCAAAACAGAAGTTCTCCTTTAGCACCTGAATTGTTTTACCAGAAGTTTTATTTTGATCATATTATTTGGGAAATTCCCAAACTTTACTCTGTTTGCACTATGGAGATCAACTGTGGCAAAGAAATAAGGGTGCATCTTCACTATCAGATGGGGACTGAGATAACTATCTAGATATTTTAAACTCCAAAATATTTCCTCAACTCTCTGCATGTACTATGTGAAAATATTGTTTATCTGGATATGCTCAAGCTGTTCATGTAGTTTTCGTATTTAGCAGTGTAATGTCAAATTTGTTAGTTATAAGGTAACTATTAGATTTCTTGGTTAGGAAATTTGACTGCATTGGCTTAAGGACCTTTCTTTTTAAACATGAAATTCTAACAGAAAGTAAGATAAAAGTTTGGAAACCGAGGCCAAAATAATTAACCCATACCAGGACACATGGTTCCTATGTGAAACTGTACTGACAACAAGCAAACATAACTTAGCCACTAACTCCTGGACGATCACAACGTGAATCAACTAAAGTAGCTTACTTATCAAGAGTGATGGTTAATTTTATGGATGAACTTGACTGAACCACAGGGTTCCCAGGTATTTTTTCAAGCATTATTCTTGGTGTTTCTGAGACTTTTTTGATGAGATTAACATTTACAGACTGAGTAAAGTAGATTGCCCTGTCATATAGGTGGGCCTAATCCAGTCAGTTGAAGGCAGGAAGAGAACAAAAGGCTGTCCCGCCCAGGAGTAAGGGAGAACTTTTCCTGCCTGGAGGCTTTCAAATTAGGATATCTATTGTTTTGCCAGACTTCTGACTCAACAGAAATGCCAGCTCCTCCTGGGTCTCAAGGCTACTGGCCTTTGAACTGGAACTGTTCTGTACTCAGACTGGAACTAAACCATTAGCTCTTCTGGGTCTCCAGCTTGCTGACTCACCTTGTGGATCTCAGGACGTGCCAGCCTCCATAATTTAATCCTTATAATAAATTTATTTATTATATAATAACATTTATATATTTAGATACATTTATATATTAATCTAATAATATTTATTATATAATGAATTTATTATATAATGAATTTATTATAATATGCAATATATATATATTTATGTATTATACACACACACATCAAGACTTGTTTCAATACTTGCCACACTGCACTCACTACTTCAAAGATATTATGTCATAAACTGCCCAATTCTAACAGATTCCCTGCCTTGAAAGACTCACCTTAAAATCATTCAGGCGAGGCTATAAACTCTATAAATATATTCCTCTATAAAGTTCCTCCTCTGGACAACACATGAATCTATCAAGATAGTATTCTCCCTTAATGCAATAGGTCTACTAAACATAGCTTTGTTCAAAGCTGATTTTTCTGGTGGTTTTGAAGAGGTGATGGTTTCATTTACTGGAAGTTTATTTGTCTGAATTAGTTACACATTTATCATTATTCAACAAATATTTACCAGGCATTGTGCTTGGTGTCTCGGGCTGCATGCATTATTAACAAGAGAGACCTAGACTTAACGTTTGTGTCCTAACAGAACTTAGATCCTGTGAAATTCCTTATACTACAAGGACTCTAGGTAGAAAAAAAATGGTTTTCCAACTACTCCAAAGGTAGTTGACACAGGTGGTTGACAGTTGCTCTTGAACTTTTTTTTTCTATAGGAACTTGTAAGTAAGTAGTGATATACTGACGCATAATAGCACCTGCTTGCCATATGTTAAGAATGTACTAAAACCATTTCTGAGTTCAGTTCTCTTAGGCCATTTTTTTCTTATTCATTCTTGATCTTGAGCTTTTTTCACCACTCTCCTCTAAATACATAGGTGTACCTAAATTACATAGGTGTATTTTACCATACACTTATGAGAGGGAATCTAGGATTTGACTTTACTCATATACAGACCTGTTAACTGTGAGTCTGAAGAGAGCCAGTGGCCTTCACTTGACTCACAATTAAGATACAGACGACAGCCCTTAGATTTATCCGGATGAAATAAATTCTGCTTTGGCTCCAGTATATCATGGTTCATTGACACTTCATTCTTGTGAATGTAATAAAGATAAAACAAATCTCACATTAAATCAATGGCATGCTTTTGTTGTTGAGGTAATGCAAAAAGGATTCAATCCTTTACTTCACTAAAAATAAGAAACCAATTTCATAGTTACAGTTTGTGGAAAAGAAAGCTGACATTTATAATTATTAGAGTAACTGTTTCCACGCAAATGCCCTTTCCATATTTGTTCACAAAAAGATTCTCAGCAGAGTTGATCTCATCACTCATTCATAGAGAATGGTGACGATTATGAAAAGCAGCAGGTGCTAGGGAGGAGAAGGCAACTTACTGACACTCCCAATGTATTTATTAAAGAAAGGTAAATTAAAAAATATATATATAGCTGTGTTTGAAGTGAGAGGCAAACTACTGAGAGTAAATTTTTGAAAGCACCTACTGTTTTTACACACGTGAATACAAATCCATAGGTTCAGAACTGCTCAAGTGCAAATAAGTGTGCCTATATTTGATCCTACAGTAGGGCAAATAGCCAACTATATAGCTAATTAATTACGTTAAGGGACAATTAGTTCAATATACAATTTTTGTTGGGAGGCCTCGTTTTTTGCACATAGTTATTGAGAAACCTCTGGAGATGTGACCAGCTTTTTTCTGAAAATGTTTGGCCTTGCTTCTGAAACAGTCGTGCACAAGCAGCTTAGTGCACCTGTGCTAAAAACCAATGGAAGGCATTCCTTTTCGGAGACTCAAATATAACTAAACATCTAGCTTCATTCTCTCAAAATGAGTGTAACTAATTAGAATAGCAAAAACGTTACTTTTTATTACAAGACTGTGTTAACGCAGTTGCTTTAGTTTGCCATTATTCCTTAATAAGATACAATAAAATCACCATAATGCATGTAAACAACTATCCTCTCTGGGATAAAACTGGATTAATGACATATTTCGTGTTTATAGAAACAAACACCATTAAGCAGCCATTCCTCTCAAGAGATTTTTCTTAACCAGGAACCAGGTACTTATTTTAGACATGAAAGGAAAACATAGTTAATAATATTGAAATGTTATTAGTGCAATAGGATACTTATCATCCTTGCACAATGGAGAAAGCAGGTTCATTTAAAAGAGTCATAAAGAAAATTTGCGTATTTATATGAAACGTGGGACTGTTGGCTTTCTATCTTTCAAGGTTTAGAGGTATTTTTAATTATGAATTCCCTTGTGATTAGGATCTGACAAAGAAGAAAAGAAATCATTTCTAAATTGAATACCTGAAGTATCCTTTGTTAACAACTACATTTTTGAACAGCAAGATGGAAAACTCAGATGGTGAGAAGGCATTTCCAGCTTAATTAACTTTGGCTTAAAAGTCATAGATAAATAAATTCTCCCCTTAGCATCATCCAGATATACCACTTGCACCTCTCTCTGCATTATATACATGATTAGAATAAGCAGTATTCTTTAAAATGGACAGGCAGACGATTTCACATATTTCTTTGTGTTCTTTTGCTCACACTCTTCTTATTTTCAAATGAAAATGATTCCTCTTTATTAAAAGCAGATTTGGAAATCAAGAAGTAATAGCCCAGTATATTAGTTTCCTATTGCTGTTGTAACAAACTACCACAAATTTAGTAGCTTAAAACATTATCCTTAGCAAACTAATGCAGGAACAGAAAGCCAAATACCGCACGTTCTCACTTATAAGTGGGAGCTAAATGATGAGAACACACGGACACACAGAGGGGAACAACACACACTGTGGCCTATTGGAGGGTGGAGGGTGGGAGGAGGGAGAGGATGAGGAAGAATAACAAATGGGTACTATGCTTAATACCTGGGTGATGAAATAATCTGCACAACAGACCCCCATGATACACGTTTACTTTTGTAACAAACCTGCACATGTACCTTTGAACTTTAAAAAAAAAAAAAACAAAAAAAAAATCTTTCTAAATCTTCTGTTTTTGGAGGTCAGACATCTGAAATGGGTTTCACTGGGCCAAATCAAGGCATTGGCAGGATTGCATGTTTTTGGAGGCTCTAGGGGAGAGTCTTTTCCAGCTTCGTGAAGCTGCCTGCCTTCCTTGGCCGGTGGCCTTTTCCTTCATTTTCAAAGCCAGCAGTGGCATCACTCGGACCCCTGCTTTTGTCACTACATCATCTTCTCTGATTCTGTCATTCCTGCCTTGCTCTTACAGGGATCCTGGTAAACGCTGGGTCTACCTGTAAAGTCAGGATAATCTTCCCATCTCAAGAACCCTAACTCAGTAAGTTAGCCTATTAAGTCCTTTTTGCCACAGGTTTCAAGAATGAAGACCTTGGGCATCTTGGGGAAAGTAGTATTCTGGCCACCACACCCTAGACGATACTTATTTAGTTTCTGGTTGTTCACTTTATTCACATACATTGTTTTTCTTCTTCTATTTCTTGGTGCTTTTGTCAGAATGTGACATTTATCTTACGTGGGGTCTTAGTGGGTTTCTGGTGAATATAACTCTTCTAATGATGAGTAGTATGATTCATTCAGTTATCTCTCCATTTTCATTATTCATTCATGAAGCTGATATTTACTCTCTATTTGGTGCATCCTGCTGGGTAAAAAGAAATGAATCAGTGATGAGTCACATCAGGATTCTTTAGAGGTGGACTAGTCCTTCTTTTTAAATGACTGCAAATTAGTTCTAAGATACAACATAGGATAAAAAACCATTACTCCCTTCCAGTTCCTTTGATTTGTGAAGTTACCAAGGTTACAGTGATAAAGGGAAGACAGCCTAAGTAGATGTTAAAACGTTAGGTTAAGAAAATAAACTAACACTTTACCACGAACCTGAAAAAAAAATCCTTATTAAACATCTGCATGTTACCTTTTCAGAGCCATCATCGATTGAAAACTCATTTTTTTAAATTAAGTATTTCATGGGAAAATCAAACAAGATAATCCATTATGAGGTAGGCCTTCTGATATCAGTAATTTTCAAAAAAATAAAAAGCAATGCTACATGGAAAGAGGAAGGAGTGTATTTTGTGTGCAGCTCAATACAAGACAAACATTTATTTTAACATTTCATGAACTCTATCCATAAGTTTTATACAGACAGTTTTTTAAATGTGCTTTGATATGCTGTACAATGCAATAAGGTTTTCTAAAGGACCTAATGAATTTTGCAGTGTTCTATGTGTGTTGAATTTAATAAATAGAAATCTATGAGAAACTTTGAATCTTAAAGGTGACTGTTCAGTAGTTCTGCAGAAATTCTTTGAGTTTCAATCAAATGTCAACTGATTGAAGCACCTTCTGTGATAAAACTGTGAAGCTCTGCACTTTCTGTTCCTTTCAAGCATGTGGCTTTGTCTTCTAGTAACTCCACTAAAAGCTTCCAGTTCAATGGATGAACTTCTTCTTTTACTTCACCAAGAAAAGGTCAAATTCTATTTTCCCCTCCAATCACCTCTCACCACTTGCAAGCACTGTGATGCAGGGTGAGTTATTGAAAATTCTATTTTACCTTGAGATGCTGCAGTTAGTGCTTTCAAGGCTTCTAATCAGAGTTGGCACTTTTCTGTCCCTGCTGATTCTTTTACTGCTGAAATCATTTCTCCTTTATTCTAGGTGTTTAAAGCAGTCTCAGAAAGGTTTCCCTCTGGATCTTCATGCATATTTACATGTTACTGTCTGAGCATATCTTATAATGGGCTGATCTGAAGATTGTTTTTATTTGGCGAAATGGTAAAGATATGAAATAGCTTACTATAAAGTAATGTAAGAGGATATCATCAAAGATACATACTCAGCACCTACTTGGCTTACAGAAAAAAGTGCCACAAGTATGCAAAATTATTTTATTAGATAACATATACATAACATGTAAATGTATGTGTATATGTTTGCATGTGATATATATGTGTGTATATGTGTGTGTAAATGCAATGTTTGCAAATTGTTTGCATTTCAAAATAGCTTCATTTGGGAGATGGACAAAGAAGATTGAGATGGTGTTTATGACTCCACTATTTAAACATTTTGGTTAAACAAATTTCTCTTTTTTTGCAACATAGGTAATTATGACATCAATAATGTTAATTTAGGGGTTTGGTGAGTTTAGCTTAAGATACATATTTGTAAGGAATCCTTACTATTCAAACCAATTGACAACAATTAAGTCTATGGCAATCAATTGGTAGTAATGCTTTAGTTTTGGTCACAATCATTAAATAGCCTCATGTTTGCTATAAGAAGATGATCACTTGTTCCAGCATAAAAATATTTCAATTCTTTCTAAATCAGCTAAATGCTACATTAATTATTTAACAGATGACACATATGGAGCCAAATTTTAAGCAACATTTAGCTGCATTGAATTATAAAATTATGAGGTCATTCTTAATCTAAACCCATTCATTTATTCATTCTTTATTAGAGAACTCTTCCTATAATGCACTCCAAATGCTATCATGGAATTGCAACTATTCTAGGAGATAGGAATAATTTTATGGCTCTGCAGCATTAACTGGATAAAGTTTGCATAGTTTCAATTACAGTACAGGCTGAGCTTCCATTTCTGTTGTCATCTACTTTATATTGACTTCCAAATACATTGAAGAAACAAAGCAGAAATAAATACATGAAAGTAACTTAGACATAGAAAAAATGTTTATAAGCAGCCTTGTGTAGACATTCTTTGAATACCTGCCTGAGATATGTCCTTAAACTGTCAAGACTGGTAAGTAAACCAGTAATTTTACTCACAATCTCAATGCTGAGTTTATTCTGACAAAAGCTTCTAGTGATAATTTATATAAGCCTCACTGTGACAAGGTTCATATAAATGTATTACTGTGATTCTAATGTAATCTCATGACTGTGATGTTATTTTAAAGACAAATTCTGGAACATGTGAGTTCAAAGACATGCTGAAATCTATTCTCTCCTCTTGTGTCATGAGCTCTGGCTTCTAATGAGAGACAGTTATTTAGATGACACCTGGGGTTATGTGGTCAATTGTCAGGTTATTTAATAATATATATTTAGGAGGTATTTCATAGTATTAAAGGAAGAATAGAATTAAAATCTGAGGATTTTGTTTCTAATCTAGATCTGTCACTTATTGACTTATATAGTCATGGTATTTGTCTAAGGTTTCATCATTTCTAAATCAAGAGGCTGTACTCAGTGATATCAAAATATTCTTCCAGCCTTTTTAATGGTTTTTGAATAATTCAGGCCCCTATTATCACATACTTGGCAGTAGCTAATAACATGTTGCCCTGCTTCCAATTTTCTGTCCAATTCATCCTGCATGGCGCCTTCAGAATAAGCATTGCAAAATATTTTATCTTGCTCTTTCCTTCTGAAGTTGTTGAATCCTTGATGACTCTAGGAAAATGTTTAAACTCACCACATTCTCCTATCTGCCAACTTTACTTTTATTACTGAGTTACCTTATATACATCTTCTCTGCTACAGCCAGTTTACCAAAAGGAAAGCAAAGCAAACCAAAAACCAAATAACCAAACAACCAACACAAAAAATAGCTTTTCAGCTTTATACCTTGGATCAGTATAACTTTTCTCCTTCTTTCTGCATACTCAGTCTTATTTCTCCTTCACTTGTTTAGCACTTTGATATATAGAAAATGTTTCCGAATCTTCCCAGAATCTAGCCAGTAATTCTTTGAGTGCATAACACTTGGGATCTGTATTGTTCTCTTGACATGTCTTATGAAGATTCTTCTGTTCTTGGCTTAAATTGTAATCTGACCCTCATATACTTATGGTTTACAGTACTCCCTTCTTATCAGTGATTTCATTTTCTGTAATTTCAGTTACTTGCAGTATAGTACACTAAAATGTTTTATGAGACACAGAAAACATTCTCAAAATTTTATTATAGTATGTTGTTATAATTGTTCAATTTTATTATTGTTAATCTCTTACTATGTCTAATTTGTAACTTAAACTTTGTCATACATGGCTATGTATGTATAGGAAAAAATATCACATACATAGGTTTTGGTACTATTTGTGGTTTCTGGCATTCCCCGGAGGGTCTTGGAACATATCCCTCAGGTATAAAGGGGAGCTACTGTACTTGTTCATATGCTCATTCCTTTTCTTCCTAACTAGAATACAGGTGTTTCAAGGAAAGAAACAATATATGTACTTCTTTGTTTTATTCTTGGCTCATGCAGTGCTTTTATAAAAAAAAAAAATTCCATTCAGTAAATATTTGTTGAAGCGATCTACATCTTAGAACTGTTTTGTTTTCATAGAATTAACCTATTTTTGATGCAGAAAATAAAGTTGAATGAAATTCAAGCACACTTTTTTTTTTCTAGCAAGGTATTGTGAACTGTGAAGTAAAAAGATGTGGCTCAGAAAATGCTAATAAGGATTTACATGTGAGATCCATGATTAATAATCAAATACTATTCTATCATTGTGTTCTTATTATTTGAGATTCTATCCATTAGATTATTGTTAACAAGCACTCTGTTTAGTTTGGTGCAACCCAAGTAAAACTGGGTCATCTGGCTCTTTCTTTAAGGCCCATTTAGCACAGCATCATGTCTAAAATAAACACAAAATTTATACAAAACACTGAAAAATAATGTCTGAATTTCCAAAAGCTGTCTTGAAGATACCGAGAAATGTTTTCAAGATACATAGCAATAAGATACATAGCAAAATGTTCTAAATTTGTATCCTAAAATATGTTTCTTAGCAAACATTTCTAAAATTTCTTTGTAAATATCTGAATATTCTCATTCTCTAGGAGTCTTTGGTGATTTTATTCTCTTTGTTTCTTCTTTTTTCCTATACTGCATTTTTTACACATTACCTTGATCAACACCACAAAATCTCCAGAGCAAGTCAACACAAAGACTCCCAAGCAGCGTTGGGGAGGGAGAAGCTGTGAATACCTACACTTTAATATCACCATCTGTGTCATCTATTCTTCCTCATCTCTGTGTTATAGGTGCTAGTATCCCCAAGCTGAAGACAGAAGTGTGAAGGTTAGACTATATTACTCGCCCAGGGTTACTGTTCCAATTAATATCATTGCACAACCACTCTAGAGCTTAGTCATACACAACAACTACTTCATTAATCTTACAGATTCTATGAGCAGGACTTTGGATGGAATGAAGCAGGGATCTGATATTTGGGGCTAGGGTGACTGGATGTCTGGGCTATAATCTTTTGGAGACATCTTCACTCACGTGTCTGGCAGTCGATGTTGCTGTTGGTTGGACTCTCAGCTCATCTCTTGGCAGGAACACCTACCGGAGGCTTCTCCATGAGCTCCCTTTACGTGGAGTAGTTTGGGCTTCCTCACAGCATGGTGGCTGGGTTCCAAGGATAAGCACTAGAAGAAAGCAAAGCAGAAGAATGGGCCATTTTTATGATCAAGCCACAGAACTTATACGTGTTACTTTTGTCATAGTCGGTTGATTGAGCAATCATAAAGATCTGCCCAGTTTCAAGGGGAGGAAATATATACATCACCACTCTAATGGATGAAATTCAAGATGCATTATATGAAGATCATGAGGGATGGGAAATATTACTGCAGTCAGATCTTAGAAATACAATCTTCCATAATCATAGAGGATTGAACAGCAGAATAGGGCATTTTAAAAACCACTTTATTGAAATATGATTGGCATACAAAAAGCTGTACATATTCACTCTATATGACTTGATGAGTTTGGAGATAAGTATACACAAGTGAAACTGTCACCACAGTGTATGCCATAAACATATCCATCACCTCCAAAATGTTTCCTCCTACCTTATGAATAAACAATTTTTGGTATGATTAGTTAACACTTAATATACACTCTTAGCACATTTGTAAGCATATAACACAGTATTGTTATTATAGGCACTATGTTGTACAATAGATCTCTGGGAATTATTCATCTTATATTATTAAAACTTTGTACCCCATGACTGGTATCTCTCTTTCTCCCTTAGAGTAGGAATTTGAATCAAGTTTTTTCTGACTCCAATTCCTAGCACTTTTAATCAGTATTCTAAAATCCATTCTTGTAGTGCCAGTAAAAATTCTGTTATAATATAGAATTTTATTCATTACATTTCAGATATCAGTAAATAATTCAGAATGATATGTATTTGCAAAAATGTTGAGTTAAACTAGAAAAATTGGCCAAAAATTATTTTAAATCTAACATTTCTTAAATAATTATGGGTAAGACTTTATCTTCTTTACAAACCACATATTTCTAAAATGGTTGTGGAATTTTGGCTTACATTATGTTACTCTGATATTTTTAAATGCAATGTCAAATATACTTTAGTGCTTAAAACATGAAGCAAGCTTGAGTACATTCAGTTTGGCAGCTTTGCTGTGACTCCATTGTTATCTATTCACTGGGTCAAATACTGTGGTTAGTGGAGAAGCCTATTAGGAGATATCTTTGATGCATGTACACATAGGTTACTGATTAATAATAATAGTGTTTATTGGGTACTTACTGTGTGCCATGTTTTTCTAATGATTTATCATTTTGAATCCTGTTAATAACTGTATGAAAAAGGTACTTTTTTTTTTTTACTTTTTATAGATGCAAAAGCTAAGAAATATTTTGATAATTTATTCAAGATCCCACAGCTGGGCAGAGGTGGGATTTGAACCCAAGCAATTTGATTCAGATTGTGTTTGTAAACCGAGAGCAACACACACAAACACTATTTTATCTGCTTCTCAGTATGTCTGAAATATAAAGGAGTCCCATTTACCTTTTGATTATTTAAACCCCAAATATTTCCAAGATGACAATGATCACCCCTTGCCTATCTTGCCTTAAGGGGTGAGATTGTGCAATATTGTAATGATTCAATGCTCAAGAACATCTCTATGAAGTCACTGTAGTGCAGTAAATATTTGGAATATACAATTTCTTTTGTTACTCATTAAGCTCTATGGGTCATAGTTATCCACATTTTATAAATGAAGAGCAGCTTCAGGGCTACAATGGGACACAATTTATTACTTTCATTTCACAAAGTAAAGTTAATTGTGCCTTTTCACTTTTGTGCCTATTTCACTTTTTCTTGCCCCTCAGTGCCACTCCCTATAGTACACACACACAAACACGCACTAGCACTCAGAGTGAGGGTAAGAATGAGGACTGAGGAATGAGATCACAGAGTTGGACTGATTGTTTATTTTAGCTATGCTTTTCAGGCTTCTTAAATTTATACTAATGTCAAACAAACTGGTCATGGAAGATTAAAATACAAATAGCCTATGCTCAATTTCAGTTTAATCTGTCAGCTAACCTCTTACATATTATTGCAGCCTCTGGTGAGTAATGAGTGTTAACACCGGGGTGATTTGAAAACCACTGCTTCCTTGACTTAAACTTCCTGAGAATAAATACAGGATTAATTATAAGCAGTGTTATATGACAGTGTAAGGAAATGGCCTGTAGAATACCACCCCTGAAATGTCAAAAAGGTGGTAAATTTCCTTTTCTACATAGTCCAATAAAAAGCTCTCCCTACACCTCATTTTTAATCGACAAGAATCCCTTCTTCATCTACAAGCACTCTTCATTGATTCTAAAATCTGTTTCCAAGGATCTAACCATAGAAATTTTTACCTGAACCATGAATGATTAATTTATGTCAGGGTATTGTTTTCAGAACATTTTGATGAGCTATTAGCATTCAGGTTAACACAGGTTACCCTCGCAGCTCACCACTCACATGTTACTTGCAGACTATACTACTGTCATTTTGAGCTTTTAACTCTGGATATCGTCTTGTAGTGCTACCTAGAATGCTGCATACAGTTTTGGTTGCTGCACTGCAAGACAGACACCATAGCACTAAAGAAGGTCCAGGGTAAATAAATGAAAATGGAAAGAAAAAATCTTTCAAATATGTAGGTACTAAGAAGATCAGACAATGTTTAAAAATAAAAGTGTTAAAAGATATGGTGAATGGGGGAATGTGGTTGAAGTCCAGATGTAAACAGGTAAATCCATAATGAAAAAGGACATTCTATTTGTGGAGGTAACTTTAGGGATTTTTAAAAAATGGTAGTGAGGTTTGAGGGTCCTGCATCATGTAGTTAAACCTAGAACTGACTAAAAATATAAATTGATTAAATAATTTTAAGTAACATTAAGAATATTATATACATAAGTTGTTAAGAGGAAGCCAGTCGGATTCAGGGCACGTTTCTAATGTTTTGAGATCAACAGCGTGGTGGATGACCATCGTGTTCCATCACAAAACGTCTTCTGATGACACTGTCAGAAGAACATGTTTACCCCACATGATACTGCTTATGTCTTTAACTTCCTTGACTCCTCCTTTGTTGCTAGGTTTGAATGTTTTTGTATATTCTAAAACTCATGTTCAAATTTAATTGCCAAGGTAACAGTATTGAGTTGGGACCTTTAAAAGCGATTAAGCCATGAATTAATAAATGCTGTAATAAGAAAAGGCTTACGGGAGTGGGCACTCTTTCTTTGCCCTTTTGCCATGTAAACATGAAGCCTTTCTTCCCTCTAGAGAACATAGTATTCAAGGCACCATCTAGGATTGGAATTGGCAAACCTGCATTGATATTGCACTTCCCAGCTTCCGGAACTGTGAGCCAATAAATTTTTATTCTTTGTAAGTTACCCAGTCTATGGTGTTCTGTTATAGTAGCATAAAGGGGATATTACATTCACTCTTCTCTACATGGTAATATTTACAAATTACTTATAGCCTCATTTATTATCTGATTCCTTTCTCTTCATAGTCCTGACAAAAGAATGCATAAGATTTTGTAATTGATCCAAAGACCAGTATTATCAAGAAAAAGTTCATGGAAATGGTTATAGCCAAGCTCTATTGACAAATGTAATTCAACGTAGCGTATTTGATCTATATTTATGTCTGCATCTATATTGATATCTATACTTCTATGTCAATATCTATACTTCTAACCTCTTAACCATAGTGTCAGGAGATCTATTTCTTTGGCTTATGAAAATAAGTCTTGCTAAATTTATACTAAAGGCTTATATTTTTAATCTGACTCTTTTGCATTTCTTCCTTCTATTGACTCTAGCTCACTGAGTGCCTAGGGTGCATCAAAAGATCAGTGTACTGGGACACCTGACATAAGAATCTGCTGAATGTGCCAGCAAGGAGCTAATGATTCAGCAGAAATGCCATGAATGATGAAGCCAGGCTTGCCAGTTGCTGTGCTTTAGTTTTCCTGTTGACCTTGAGTAAGTTCAGAATCAGCATTAGGCAATTTAGCACTTACCTGCTGAGTTCCAAGTGCTCATCTTACCTCATGTGATACGGTAAATTTGGCAAGTGCTCTGTACTAGTAGTTTGGCATTTAAGGAAAATCAAGCTATAATCATGTTGAATAGCAAAGATATTAGGACTGAGAAGCAAATTTTAGACTTTAATACATAGAAAGAATGTTATGGTTTATCATTTTGAATCCAGTTAGTAACTGTATGAAAAAGACACTATTATTTTTTTAATTTTTACAGATGGAAAAACTAAGAAATATTTTGATAATTTATTCAAGATCACACAGCTGGGCAGAGGTGGGATTTGAACCCAAGCAATCATGATGAGACAGATGATGTTGATGGTTGGGTATCCTTGATAGTTGAAAGGGTTTTTGGCCAGAATCTTTTGGAAGAACATTATAATCAGAAGTTGTTGTCTCCTTTCAATTCATCAATGTATTGCTGCAGAGGTTGTGACTAATGCTGCATTCCATCGGAGGATCTTATTCCATAATTTTGTCCTTTAATGTCTGCACAATTTGAAGCACTTTGGCACATTTTCATAATATCCACATTGCTAGGTCTGCTTCAGTTTGTTTTTATCTTTATCTTCCTCTGTAGATGATTCAACAAGGTTTTCCAATTTCTTACATATTTTTAACACTTCTCAATGGCCTTCAGTGTGTTCTTCCATTTCTTCATGAAGCATGTTGGCAAATCTTTCTCCACCAACTTGTCTTGCTGCATGAATGATTTTACTAACTCTTCCACTGATCCCTGGGCAGCCTTTAAAATCATTCCTTACTTCACTCCACCATAAGTTCTTCCAGCAGGCACTTAACAGTTTCTGATTTTAATTCAAAGATTGCAGCTTTGATGAATGTTACTGCCTCAGCAATAGTGAATGATTTCCAGCACTACATTACTTCCAGATTAGGGTCTGTATCAGGTGCTGATCAAATGCAATCACATACTAGGTAGGTGCATATGACCCTGACAATCTTAAGGATGTCCTGATCAAGGGACTGAAGTGATGAAGTTATATTTGGAGGTAAAAACACAACTTTGAGTTTTTCATTTTCATAGCAAACATGTTAAGGATGACCAGGTGCATTGTCTAGTATTAATAAGACTTAAAATTCCAACCCTTCCTTGTCCAAGTATTTTTTTTACATCTGAGATGAAGCATTGGTCAAACTGTTTGATAAATGAGATGGCTGTCATCCAGGCTTTCTGATTATAATGCCAGAACATGGGCAGACAACTTTTGTTATTGTTTTCTAGAGTACATGAGTTCTTCACCCTGTACAATACATGTGGTTTTATCATATACCTTGCAGCGCTGCCTCAAAGTACCAGTGTTAATCTGTCCTTCCATGTCTGGTGCTCTGGTATTTCCTTTGCACTTTAATGAATGTAGGTTCCACTGGGCATCATCTTCTGGAAAAGCCCAGTTTCCTTGCAACTGAAGAATTGCTTTAGATGGTATTCTTTCTCCTTAGTCAACTGCTTCAACACTGCTGGAAATATGGCAGCAGCTTCTTGATTGGAAAATACAGGCTCTCCAGTAATTTTAATATTTTTCAGTCCAAACCTATTCCTGAGTCTACATAACTATCTCTAACTTGAGTAAATATCTTGGTGTCATTTGCTTTGGGAAATCCCTTGCTGAAGTCTTCTTATAGGCTGAATGCTTTCTGACACAATACGTTGCTGTCAATTAGAACACATTTTCTGTTCATGCCTTCCACTCACAAATTTAATGCCTTTTTTTTTTTTCTTTGAGATGAAATCTCTCTCTGTTGCCCAGGCTGGAGTGCAATGGCGCGGTCTGGGCTCACTGCAACCTCTGCCTCCAGGGTTCAAGCGATTCTCCTGCCTCAGCTTCCTGAGTAGCTTGGATTACAGGTGCACACCACCACGCCTGGCTAATTTTTGTATTTTTAGTAGAGACAGGGTTTCACCATGTTGGCTAGGCTGGTCTCAAATGCCTTTTTCCATCGTAACTAAGCACTTATCATGCACTGAGGCTGTAGCTGTAACTTTTGCAGTTTGAAGTGCAACAGCAAAACTAGCAGAAATTTCCTTTTCTCTCCTCAGTTTCACAGATAGAAGATTTGTTCTTACTGTAGATCTTAGCAACATTTAGCCTACAATTTTTTTTTCATTCCTTATTAAGTCAAGAACTTTTAGCCTTTTCACATAACAGAAGCAATTTACATATTTTCTTTGGCATATCTGAATTGCCAGCATCACTATTCTTGTGCTTTGGGGCCACAACTAAATGAAATAAGGATGACTTGAATACAAGCACTGCAATTCTAATACCAAGATAATTGATTTGATGATTGAGATGGCTACTAAATAACTAATGGGTGGGGAGCATATAGAGCATGGATATGGTGGACAAAGGGGAGAATTCGTGTCTGGGCAGGATGGAGAAGAATGATGTGAGATTTCATCATGCTACTCAGAACACTGTTCAATTTAAAATTTATAAATTGTTTATTTCTGGAACTTTCTACTTAATATTTTTGGACTGCAATTGATTGCAGGTAACTGAAACTGTGGAAAGCAAAGCTGTAGATAATGGGGGAACTACTGTAGATAGAAGCAAAACAAATACTGAATAAAAATAAGTTCCTGTGATTTAGTCAAAGCATTTCTGATGAGTGTCAGAGAAGACAGTCACATGTTGACAATTGAGGACAAAAGCTGGGCACAGCAGAAAATTATGCTTGCATCTTATGACAGGATATTACATTTGCTTCACTTGCTCCTTATGTCTGAGACATATTGAATGTTCCTTAATATGTCTTTGTTCCCCCAAGCAAGTGTGCCTTGACCCAGTTACAGAACATTTGTGGCAATTTTAGATGAAGGGTTGAGAGAGAGGGTCATGGGATGGAGATAGTAACAGAAAATTTAATTTACTTTGTAGATCTTCATGCTTGTTCCAAGACTTCTGGCATAGTGTTGATATAGTTTTGCTTAGCCTGAGTCTTTATTTTAGCTTGAGAAATAGCATTTATTAAAATATAACAGTTTCACTGGGCTATCTTTGGTGAAAGATTTTATTTGAAAATAGGGATTAATCTAGTCAAACTTAATTCATAAAGTGCTAAAAAATAAGCAATAGTTACGGATACTGTTCAATTTAATATAAGCAAAAGGATGTTATTGGGTTGTGACTTTACGGAAGACCCCTTGTGAGGTGCTTTGGGGAATAAAATACTTTTAATAAAAAAGCAAAAACAAAATCCCATAACTTACTGTTAAAACAATGATGTTGGCCAGGAGCGGTGGCTCACGCCTATAATCCCAGCACTTTGGGAGGCCGAGGCAGGTGGATCACAAGGTTAAGAGATCGAGACCATCCTGGCTAACACGGTGAAACCCCGTCTCTACTAAAAATACAAAAAAAAATTAGCTGGGTGTGGTGGTGGCCACCTGTAGTCCCAGCTACTTGAGAGGCTGAGGCAGGAGAATGGCATGAACCCGGGAGGCGGAGCTTGCAGTGAGCCGAGATGGCGCCACTGCACTCCAGCCTGGGCAACAGATTGAGACTCCGTCTCAAAAAAAAAAAAAAGATCTTGTCTCTCATTTTTTTTTTAATTAAAATGATCTTAAGTAATTCTCATTTATCTCCAGTCTCCAAATAACTACATGTACATAGAATCTTAACATGGCAGAGAAGATAGAGCCTGTCCATTTTGACTTGGAAGATATTACATAGGTACACTTACTAAAATTCATACCCGAGCTGAGTAAACTTCAGAATTGTGCTAAAAAGTGAAAACTGGCACTCAAATTGGTAGGCAAAAGAAGTTCACTGAAGTTATTTGTTTTAGGGAGGTAGAAAAGTATTTTTCAAATTTTGCTATGCCTAGAATCACCTAAGCTCTTGGTAAAAATGCAGATTCTGATTCAATAGGTCTGAGATGGCACCTGAGTCTGTGTGTCAGACTTCCAGTCAGGGGCAGTGCTGCTGGCCTGAGGATTATACTTTGCGTAGGAAGGGACTGTAGGAAAACTCATCTATGCATATCCTAGGATTAAGTCCTAGTTCCATTTATTAGCTGATTTGCCTTGGGCAACTCTCTGAATCTCTCTGATCTGTAGTTTATCAATAAAACAGAACACAAAACCTATTTAATAGGAAAAGTAGAAACATAACAAAATATAGGTAATTTTTTGCATTACCTCTATGAACCATGTCAATAACTATAAAAGTAAATGCTTTTTGAGATTAAATAAAATTATATAGAGCATTATCATTGTTTACTATTTTTGATGGGATGTGGCCATTTTTGGCAAGAATCTGTTGAATTCTTCCAGATATAGGAAAAAATAGAATTATATATTAAATTGGATGGAAATAACTGAGAGCCTCAATAATCACAGACCTTCATCTAGAGCTGTTGTAAAATGTGGACTTGACTAGCAACACAAGCTTCAACTGGGAACTTGTTAGAAATGCAGATAGTCAGGCCCTCCGCAGCCATGCTGAATCAGGTGCAGCCCAGCAGTCTGATTCAACAAGCCCTCCAAGTGATTCTGATACATACTAACATATGAGAACCCTGATGAAGGGAAAGAAATTGCAAACCTATGAGGGTTCTGTGGTTGTGGATTTAGGAAAACAGTTCTGGCTATGTGCCCCAAAGTGACCTGATTCCATTCTCTTGGGCCAGCTCTACATATCAATAAATGATTCGGCTCAGAAAGTATTAAATATGCATTACTAATGAAATAGCGAGACGTTAAATAATCAGGAGCCGAGGCGAAAGGTGTGACTGGGATGGATGCAGGGCAGAGTTTAATAGAAAAGAATAATAGGAAAATTTGGTAGAATCTACGGGGTCAAGGGAAGCTGATCTGAAGAGAATTAGATCAGTGGCAAGCATCTGAAATATTTAAACTAAAAATTAACAGGCACAATATATTTGTAGTTCTCTGCCATATACACAGTAATAAAGTATAAATCAATTATTGTTACTCTGGAAAAGGAAGCTTTAAAAAAATCACAATTTTCTAACAATATTAGAGTGTCAAGAATAATACATACTGAAATATCCATAAATGCAGGATCCTTCAGTGCACCAGGGGAAAAATAGTTCTTAAAAGATTGTAGATGAGTATAGTTACTAGAAGATTCAACTACTGATGCACCTGTAAATTTGAGTCTGTGATATCTGCGTTTTAAAATCTCTCTCAAGTTCTTGAAATCTGAGTTTGTCACACACTGCTTTCAATAAGGCATCTAGTTATATCTGTCTATCTCCACCCACAAGGCATGACATTTTAAAGAAACATTTCTTAAAATAGAAAAAAGAAAGCCAGTTTTATGAAAGATGATGTAACGTCTCTTGGTTTTCCTAACAGAATGTTTTGCATTTCAACAAGGTCTAAGAAATCAGTGACTATTATTGTGTACAAGCAATGATTTCAGATAAACTATGTAAACCAAATATTTTAAAGTTTTTATATTTGGTTTGAATCAGGTTAGTGGGGGAGAGAGCGAGGGGGAAGAAAATAAGGGCATATACACAGTGTTTTGAACATATTCACTGAGTTTTAGAAGGTGATACGCTGTCTATCTTAATTAAACAGGCATCATAACCATTTTTGCACGTGGCCCAGTGTGAACAACCTAGGAGAGCCATTTGTTCAATTAGTGGAGATACAGACTCGGGTCTGTTCTATGCAGGTTGAGGCATGGTCACTACTGTTTGCCTATTTCTAATCACTGAAAAGAACTTAAAGCACTGACTATGGCTGTGAGACTACAAAGAACGAAGTTAAAATTATGCCTTATATCTTGAGCACAATTTCCCCATTCTATAATTTTCCTTGGTGTTATATCTTGCATTTTTCTAAAAGGGGAAAAGAGAGTGAAAGAGCAAAAACCTAATTATTGAAACTCTGTCCTCAAACTCTTTTCTGAAACTTGCTCTAAGGATGAGGGGTATTTTTCTGGCCTCATGAAAGGATGCCCTTTCTTCCTTGGCCAACATGAATGAGAATTTTCCTCTTTCTTGTAAAGAAGAGAGACTTCTTATGAATGAGGCTTTTTAGGGAGGGGGAAGGGGGTTGTCTAAAATCTTGTGTTTATACATCAAAAAATCCAGTTTAACTTAAATAATTTATTACTTTGAGTTTCACTTCACTGCATTAATTGTATTAATTTTATACACGACTAGACAATAAGGCCAAAATTCAATGCCTTTATTCTTTAAATCTGTTTCTAGCATGTTGACTGGCACTAAGTGAATGAATAAACAGTTAAACAAATCAATGAATTCAATGATTCTTAAAATGACATTGTAGAGTTAGTGGGTGATGGAACTATTTTTTAATAACAATTGTGGCAGACTGGGAGAAATAGAAAATTACATTGTTTGGAGCTGGAATGAATATTGTAAATACTTGTTGAATGAATATGAATTGGATTCTATCCATTGTTTCACCAAAGAGGAAACAAAGCACAAAAGATATTGACTGATTTTTTTTTTTTTTGAAACGTAGTCTCGGGCTGTCACCCAGGCTGGAGTGCAGTGGTGCGATCTCTGCTCACTGCAAGCTCCGCCTCCTGGGTTCACGCCACTCTCCTGCCTCAGCCTCCCGAGCAGCTGGGACTACAGTTATCCGCCACCACGCCTGGCTAATTTTTTTGTATTTTTAGTAGAGACAGGGTTTCACCTTGTTAGCCAGGATGGTCTCGATTTCCTGACCTCGTGATCCGCCCGCCTCGGCCTCCCAAAGTGCTGGGATTACAGGCGTGAGCCACTGCACCCAGTCGACATTGACTGATTTTCTGATGGTTCTATGT
The DNA here is from genome assembly GCF_000001405.40 of Homo sapiens. Lineage (NCBI taxonomy): Eukaryota > Metazoa > Chordata > Mammalia > Primates > Hominidae > Homo > Homo sapiens. The sequence goes on from NC_000001.11 coordinate 193,716,683, forward strand.
CTAGTTAGTCAAAGAACTGGTACTAGAATACATTTTTGAAATACTCTTTTTATAGACAATTTCAAATATTTTTTAAAGTCCGGGAGATATTATAACAAACTCCATGTTTTCAGCAGCAGCATCAGACATTTTAAATTCATAGACAGTATTGTTTTATCAATATTCACCCATACACATTGCTGTCTCCAAATTATTTTTATGAAAATACCAATAAAGGTATAATTTTATTTGTAAGTATTTCAGTATGTATCTCTAAATGATAGAGGCAAAATATACATGGTACCATAAGGTATCACTATTACATTTTAATGTCACATCTTGATAATTTCTTAATGTCATTTAATATCCAGTCAATGTTCACATTTCCTTGGTTATCTTATACATTTTTTAACCGTTTAGTTGTTTGGACTGGGATTAAAATAAAGTCCATGCATTGTGATTGCTTATATCTCTTACCTATCTTTTAATCTATAAGTTCTGCCTTCTACACCCCTCTTTCTCTCTCTCTCTCTGTTTTTCAGTAGTTGTTGTTGTTCAGAAAACCAGGTGTATTAGTTAGAATTTTCCAGAGAAACTAAAACAATAGGAGATAGACAGATAGATAGATAGATATAAGAGGTGATTTATTATGGGAATTGGTCTGTGGAATTATGGAGGCCAAAAAGTCCCATGATATGCTGTCTGTGAGCTGCAGACCCAGAAAAGCATATGATACAATTGTTTAGTCTTGGTCTGAAGGTCTGAGGATGCTGAGAGGCATGGGGTTGCAGGTGGAGGGAAATGGTATAAATCCTGGAGTTAGAAGAAGGTCCGAGAACCAGGAGTTTCAATATCCCAGAGTAGGAGAAGATAGATGTCCCAGCTCATAGAGAGACAGAATTTGCCCTTTCTACCCAATTTTTCTTTAATTTGGGCCCTCAAGGGATTGGAGGATACTTGGCCACATGGGTGAGAGTAGATATTTTTAACTCAGATTACTGATTGAAATTCTAGTCTCTTCCAGAAACACCTACAGTGAAACAACCAGAAATAATGTTTTACCAACTGTCTTGACATCCCATAGCCCAGTTAAGATGACACATAAAGCTAACCATCACACCAGGTAGTTTGTTCTGTTTTCCCAAGTCTGGACTTTGCTTATTGTCTAGAATACAATTTTCTTTTTTTTTTTTTTTTTTTTTTAATTTTTTTTTTATTATACTCTAAGTTTTAGGGAACATGTGCACATTGTGCAGGTTAGTTACATATGTATACATGTGCCATGCTGGTGCGCTGCACCCACTAACGTGTCATCTAGCATTAGGTATATCTCCCAATGCTATCCCTCCCCCCTCCCCCGACCCCACCACAGTCCCCAGAGTGTGATATTCCCCTTCTTGTGTCCATGTGATCTCATTGTTCAATTCCCACCTATGAGTGAGAATATGCGGTGTTTGGTTTTTTGTTCTTGCGATAGTTTACTGAGAATGATGGTTTCCAATTTCATCCATGTCCCTACAAAGGACATGAACTCATCATTTTTTATGGCTGCATAGTATTCCATGGTGTATATGTGCCACATTTTCTTAATCCAGTCTATCATTGTTGGACATTTGGGTTGGTTCCAAGTCTTTGCTATTGTGAATAGTGCCGCAATAAACATACGTGTCCATGTGTCTTTATAGCAGCATGATTTATAGTCATTTGGGTATATACCCAGTAATGGGATGGCTGGGTCAAATGGTATTTCTAGTTCTAGATCTCTGAGGAATCGCCACACTGACTTCCACAATGGTTGAACTAGTTTACAGTCCCACCAACAGTGTAAAAGTGTTCCTATTTCTCCACATCCTCTCCAGCACCTGTTGTTTCCTGACTTTTTAATGATTGCCATTCTAACTGGTGTGAGATGATATCTCATAGTGGTTTTGATTTGCATTTCTCTGATGGCCAGTGATGATGAGCATTTCTTCATGTGTTTTTTGGCTGCATAAATGTCTTCTTTTGAGAAGTGTCTGTTCATGTCCTTCGCCCACTTTTTGATGGGGTTGTTTGTTTTTTTCTTGTAAATTTGTTTGAGTTCATTGTAGATTCTGGATATTAGCCCTTTGTCAGATGAGTAGGTTGCGAAAATTTTCTCCCATGTTGTAGGTTGCCTGTTCACTCTGATGGTAGTTTCTTTTGCTGGGCAGAAGCTCTTTAGTTTAATTAGATCCCATTTGTCAATTTTGGCTTTTGTTGCCATTGCTTTTGGTGTTTTGGACATGAAGTCCTTGCCCACGCCTATGTCCTGAATGGTATTGCCTAGGTTTTCTTCTAGGGTTTTTATGGTTTTAGGTCTAACGTTTAAATCTTTAATCCATCTTGAATTGATTTTTGTATAAGGTGTAAGGAAGGGATCCAGTTTCAGCTTTCTACATATGGCTAGCCAGTTTTCCCAGCACCATTTGTTAAATAGGGAATCCTTTCCCCATTGCTTGTTTTTCTCAGGTTTGTCAAAGATCAGATAGTTGTAGATATGCAGCATTATTTCTGAGGGCTCTGTTCTGTTCCATTGATCTAATCTCTGTTTTGGTACCAGTACCATGCTGTTTTGGTTACTGTAGCCTTGTAGTATAGTTTGAAGTCAGGTAGTGTGATGCCTCCAGCTTTGTTCTTTTGGCTTAGGATTGACTTGGTGATGCGGGCTCTTTTTTGGTTCCATATGAACTTTAAAGTAGTTTTTTCCAATTCTGTGAAGAAAGTCATTGGTAGCTTGATGGGGGTGGCATTGAATCTGTAAATTACCTTGGGCAGTATGGCCATTTTCACGATATTGATTCTTCCTACCCATGAGCATGGAATGTTCTTCCATTTGTTTGTGTCCTCTTTTATTTCCTTGAGCAGTGGTTTGTAGTTCTCCTTGAAGAGGTCCTTCACATCCCTTGTAAGTTGGATTCCTAGGTATTTTATTCTCTTTGAAGCAATTGTGAATGGGAGTTCACTCATGATTTGGCTCTCTGTTTGTCTGTTGTTGGTGTATAAGAATGCTTGTGATTTTTGTACATTGATTTTGTATCCTGAGACTTTGCTGAAGTTGCTTATCAGCTTAAGGAGATTTTGGGCTGAGACGATGGGGTTTTCTAGATAAACAATCATGTCGTCTGCAAACAGGGACAATTTGACTTCCTCTTTTCCTAATTGAATACCCTTTATTTCCTTCTCCTGCCTGATTGCCCTGGCCAGAACTTCCAACACTATGTTGAATAGGAGCGGTGAGAGAGGGCATCCCTGTCTTGTGCCAGTTTTCAAAGGGAATGCTTCCAGTTTTTGCCCATTCAGTATGATATTGGCTGTGGGTTTGTCATAGATAGCTCTTATTATTTTGAGATACGTCCCATCAATACCTAATTTATTGAGAGTTTTTAGCATGAAGGGTTGTTGAATTTTGTCAAAGGCTTTTTCTGCATCTATTGAGATAATCATGTGGTTTTTGTCTTTGGCTCTGTTTATATGCTGGATTACATTTATTGATTTGCGTATATTGAACCAGCCTTGCATCCCAGGGATGAAGCCCACTTGATCATGGTGGATAAGCTTTTTGATGTGCTGCTGGATTCGGTTTGCCAGTATTTTATTGAGGATTTTTGCATCAATGTTCATCAAGGATATTGGTCTAAAATTCTCTTTTTTGGTTGTGTCTCTGCCCGGCTTTGGTATCAGAATGATGCTGACCTCATAAAATGAGTTAGGGAGGATTCCCTCTTTTTCTATTGATTGGAATAGTTTCAGAAGGAATGGTACCAGTTCCTCCTTGTACCTCTGGTAGAATTCGGCTGTGAATCCATCTGGTCCTGGACTCTTTTTGGTTGGTAAACTATTGATTATTGCCACAATTTCAGAGCCTGTTATTGGTCTATTCAGAGATTCAACTTCTTCCTGGTTTAGTCTTGGGAGAGTGTATGTGTCGAGGAATGTATCCATTTCTTCTAGATTTTCTAGTTTATTTGCATAGAGGTGTTTGTAGTATTCTCTGATGGTAGTTTGTATTTCTGTGGGATCGGTGGTGATATCCCCTTTATCATTTTTTATTGTGTCTATTTGATTCTTCTCTCTTTTTTTCTTTATTAGTCTTGCTAGCGGTCTATCAATTTTGTTGATCCTTTCAAAAAACCAGCTCCTGGATTCATTGATTTTTTGAAGGGCTTTTTGTGTCTCTATTTCCTTCAGTTCTGCTCTGATTTTAGTTATTTCTTGCCTTCTGCTAGCTTTTGAATGTGTTTGCTCTTGCTTTTCTAGTTCTTTTAATTGTGATGTTAGGGTGACAATTTTGGATCTTTCCTGCTTTCTCTTGTAGGCATTTAGTGCTATAAATTTCCCTCTACACACTGCTTTGAATGCATCCCAGAGATTCTGGTATGTGGTGTCTTTGTTCTCGTTGGTTTCAAAGAACATCTTTATTTCTGCCTTCATTTCGTTATGTACCTAGTAGTCATTCAGGAGCAGGTTGTTCAGTTTCCATGTAGTTGAGCGGCTTTGAGTGAGATTCTTAATCCTGAGTTCTAGTTTGATTGCACTGTGGTCTGAGAGATAGTTTGTTATAATTTCTGTTCTTTTACATTTGCTGAGGAGAGCTTTACTTCCAACTATGTGGTCAATTTTGGAATAGGTGTGGTGTGGTGCTGAAAAAAATGTATATTCTGTTGATTTGGGGTGGAGAGTTCTGTAGATGTCTATTAGGTCTGCTTGGTGCAGAGCTGAGTTCAATTCCTGGGTATCCTTGTTGACTTTCTGTCTCGTTGATCTGTCTAATGTTGACAGTGGGGTGTTAAAGTCTCCCATTATTAATGTGTGGGAGTCTAAGTCTCTTTGTAGGTCACTCAGGACTTGCTTTATGAATCTGGGTGCTCCTGTATTGGGTGCATATATATTTAGGATAGTTAGCTCCTCTTGTTGAATTGATCCCTTTACCATTATGTAATGGCCTTCTTTGTCTCTTTTGATCTTTGTTGGTTTAAAGTCTGTTTTATCAGAGACTAGGATTTCAACCCCTGCCTTTTTTTGTTTTCCATTTGCTTGGTAGATCTTCCTCCATCCTTTTATTTTGAGCCTATGTGTGTCTCTGCACGTGAGATGGGTTTCCTGAATACAGCACACTGATGGGTCTTGACTCTTTATCCAACTTGCCAGTCTGTGTCTTTTAATTGCAGAATTTAGTCCATTTATATTTAAAGTTAATATTGTTATGTGTGAATTTGATCCTGTCATTATGATGTTAGCTGGTGATTTTGCTCATTAGTTGATGCAGTTTCTTCCTAGTCTCGATGGTCTTTACATTTTGGCATGATTTTGCAGCGGCTGGTACCGGTTGTTCCTTTCCATGTTTAGCGCTTCCTTCAGGAGCTCTTTTAGGGCAGGCCTGGTGGTGACAAAATCTCTCAGCATTTGCTTGTCTATAAAGTATTTTATTTCTCCTTCACTTATGAAGCTTAGTTTGGCTGGATATGAAATTCTGGGTTGAAAATTCTTTTCTTTAAGAATGTTGAATATTGGCCCCCACTCTCTTCTGGCTTGTAGGGTTTCTGCCGAGAGATCCGCTGTTAGTCTGATGGGCTTTCCTTTGAGGGTAACCCGACCTTTCTCTCTGGCTGCCCTTAACATTTTTTCCTTCATTTCAACTTTGGTGAATCTGACAATTATGTGTCTTGGAGTTGCTCTTCTCGAGGAGTATCTTTGTGGCGTTCTCTGTATTTCCTGAATCTGAACGTTGGCCTGCCTTGCTAGATTGGGGAAGTTCTCCTGGATAATATCCTGCAGAGTGTTTTCCAACTTGGTTCCATTCTCCCCATCACTTTCAGGTACACCAATCAGACGTAGATTTGGTCTTTTCACATAGTCCCGTATTTCTTGGAGGCTTTGCTCATTTCTTTTTATTCTTTTTTCTCTAAACTTCCCTTCTCGCTTCATTTCATTCATTTCATCTTCCATTGCTGATACCCTTTCTTCCAGTTGATCGCATCGGCTCCTGAGGCTTCTGCATTCTTCACGTAGTTCTCGAGCCTTGGTTTTGAGCTCCATCAGCTCCTTTAAGCACTTCTCTGTATTGGTTATTCTAGTTATACATTCTTCTAAATTTTTTTCAAAGTTTTCAACTTCTTTGCCTTTGGTTTGAATGTCCTCCCGTAGCTCAGAGTAATTTGATCGTCTGAAGCCTTCTTCTCTCAGCTCGTCAAAATCATTCTCCATCCAGCTTTGTTCTGTTGCTGGTGAGGAACTGCGTTCCTTTGGAGGAGGAGAGGTGCTCTGCGTTTTAGAGTTTCCAGTTTTTCTGTTCTGTTTTTTCCCCATCTTTGTGGTTTTATCTACTTTTGGTCTTTGATGATGGTGATGTACAGATGGGTTTTCGGTGTAGATGTCCTTTCTGGTTGTTAGTTTTCCTTCTAACAGACAGGACCCTCAGCTGCAGGTCTGTTGGAATACCCTGCCGTGTGAGGTGTCAGTGTGCCCCTGCTGGGGGGTGCCTCCCAGTTAGGCTGCTCGGGGGTCAGGGGTCAGGGACCCACTTGAGGAGGCAGTCTGCCCGTTCTCAGATCTCCAGCTGCGTGCTGGGAGAACCACTGCTCTCTTCAAAGCTGTCAGACAGGGACACTTAAGTCTGCAGAGGTTACTGCTGTCTTTTTGTTTGTCTGTGCCCTGCCCCCAGAGGTGGAGCCTACAGAGGCAGGCAGGCCTCCTTGAGCTGTGGTGGGCTCCACCCAGTTCGAGCTTCCCGGCTGCTTTGTTTACGTAAGCAAGCCTGGGCAATGGCGGGCGCCCCTCCCCCAGCCTCGTTGCCGCCTTGCAGTTTGATCTCAGACTGCTGTGCTAGCAATCAGCGAGATTCCGTGGGCGTAGGACCCTCTGAGCCAGGTGTGGGATATCGTCTCGTGGTGCGCCATTTCTTAAGCCGGTCTGAAAAGCGCAATATTCGGGTGGGAGTGACCCAATTTTCCAGGTGCTTCCGTCACCTCTTTCTTTGACTCGGAAAGGGAACTCCCTGACCCCTTGCGCTTCCCAGGTGAGGCAATGCCTCGCCCTGCTTCCGCTCGCGCACGGTGCGCACACACACTGGCCTGCGCCCACTGTCTGGCACTCCCTAGTGAGATGAACCCAGTACCTCAGATGGAAATGCAGAAATCACCCGTCTTCTGCGTCGCTCACGCTGGGAGCTGTAGACCGGAGCTGTTCCTATTCGGCCATCTTGGCTCCTCCCTAGAATACAATTTTCTAACATAAAAATTGTCATGTAGACCTATTTTGTTTTTTAAAAATTTGAATGAATGATACAGATATATTGAAAAATACTTCCATAATGTATGTATTTTAAATTTTGAAAACTTGTGCACATCATATTTACTTTTTATTGGAAAAAAATTAGAAAAACCTTCCAAAGTAACATCTCAAGAAAGTTTTCCACAGGATTCGTTAAATGACCTTATTAAATTTCTAAAGTGTTTGTTTTTCTTCATTATCTTTGATACTTGGATTAAAACCAATTTTTAATTAATGCAGAAAAATACAAATCAGAACTGTGACAGGAACTTTCATAATGCTTAAGTGTTTCTTTACTGATTAGAGCAAATCCAAAGCAGTTATATTAATTTTTATAATTGTTCAGTTTTTTAATTAACCATTTAGAATATAAACCAAATTGATATTTTTAAAAAACCCAGACACCTAAGATCTTATATAATCAAACTCTAACTACTACTTGCTGGTGACATTTCTGGATCCACAAGCATCATTATTTGACCGCTCTGATTTATGTAACTGGTCTAACTTCAGATTTTATCTCTGTAGGCCTCTGGGAATACTTTTAGAGATTCACAGTGAAAAATCAGAGTCAACTCATGAATTTCTACTTTATTGCATAAAAACAAGGGGACTATAAAATGTGTTCAAAGGGTATAGGATGGAAATATACAGAAATATAGATCACACATAACCTGAATCAGTTGATTCATCTAAATTATAGTAATATCTAAACAATTGATGTTACATTGACGATCCCTTTATTTTTATTTTTATTTTTTTGAGACAAAGTCTTGCTCTCATGCCCAGGCTGGAGTGCAGTGGCGCGATCTTGGCTCCCTGCAACCTCTGCCTCCCAGGTAGGAGTGAGTCTCCTGCCTCAGTTTCCCAAGTGGCTGCGATTACAGGCACCTGCCACCAAGCCCGGCTAATTTTTGTATTTTTTTTTTTTTTCAGTAGAGACAGGGGTTTTACCATGTTGGCCAGGCTGTACTCCGACTCCTGACCTCAAATGATCCACCTGCCTTGGCCTCCCAAAGTGCTGGGATTACAGGCATGAGCCACTGCACCCAACCTGAAGATCCATTTAAAAAGTTATCTCCTTCATTAGAGATTTCCATTCTCCTCTTGCTCTTTTGTTGACCTGAGTTTCCTCTGGGCACTTTAATTTCTGCAGTTGTGAAAACAGCTGCATCTTAAACAGAGCCACCAGAGAACTACAGAGGAAGCTACATTTGATTTCTTTTCATGAGACACTTAAGAGGGAAAGCTGGGTGAAGAGTATATGAGGACTCTGAACTATATTTGCAAATATTCTGTAAATCTAAAACTATTCAAAAAGAAAATTAGGAAACTTGGGTTTTATTACCTCTAAGTAGCCAAAGGCTCTAGGTGGCTGATTAAAGCATCGAAGCTTTAAAAATTACTATAGCAATTTTGAATTTGTTACGTTCCTTTCTGACAATAAATTATTACTTAATTCTTTTCTAGTGAGTCTGGATTCTTAGTCTTACCCTGTCTACAGTCTTAAACATATGGCAATTCCATTTTCCATAAGACATCCAGAGGCATCTTACTAAATAGCAAAACTTTTTGGACTTCCTTTCAAATATAAAAGATATAACAGACAAAGTTCTCTTCCTTCCTCCTTCTCTTCTCTCATCCTGCAGGCTCCCACAGAACATGGATGACTGCCATCACACTGTTTATGATGAGTATTGCACTTGACTGGTCATTTGTCATCCTTATAATGTGGTAAATGTTATGGACATAGGGGCCACTTGTCACTGTTTTCCCATCATCTACTATAGCATCCTACGTATAAGGAGAAAACAGTGAATGATGATGGTTGTTGAATGCAAAACTTATGATATCATAATTATTGGAATTTACTGAAGAATGTAGGGTTGTATTACACAAAATCCTGTGCTTTTTAAACCAGTGAGTTTTCATGTTTTAGTTCTGTACACTGTTCTGTTTGATTGCCATTTGTCCCTTCTTGATCTTCTGTACCTGACTGTGTATATGCCTGTTGTAGCTATATCTTCTTCTGATTTGATGATTTTCATATAATTTTTGCTTTCTTCTCAAAAGAATATGAGACTATTCTATTTGTGGCTAGAATTGTTTGATTCTAACTACATTAACTAATTCTATTAAAGAGCTGATTAATTAAATGCGGTTTAATTTTGTAATACTATTGGTTTGGTATATCTTCCTTGAATTCTTATTTTCAATCCAATCACCCATTGTTTTTATATTATTTAATAATAGCTTCATAATAAAGCAATAATTACTTTTCTAGAGCAAACTGCTATCATATACTATAAGCATGAACTTATTAAAATAAGCTTAACCATGTCTATTTTAATGTTAAAAGCAAAACAAAACCAACAAAAACTTTAATAAGTAACAAAGATAAGTAAAAAAGTTTCACCAGAAACCTCTAGTCTTGCTTATGGAAAGATTAATACATCGAATTATGTTCTATCAAATAATCAGAATATTTGTGTAATAAGAATTAGAATGATTTTTTTTCTAGAAATCATAATGGCCAATTTTTAAAAAGTGAAACCATGTGAGTGCTGAATATTTTTTTCCTAGCTTATAGATGAGGAAACTGTACATGAGAAACTAAATATTTGTATTCAACTCCCAATTTTGGTCATTTTTAGTTATAATACCACCCCTTTTTGTTAACTCTGTTTTTAAGGTAATAATTATTTAATTCTCCCCTCCTCATAGCTTGTTTTTTTTTTTTTTTTTAATGGAAGAATCTCACACTGATGTGCTTTATCACACAATAGATTTAGCTGTGGTTTTCTCGTGAGGGTGTTGTGTTCTTGATGGTGCTGTGAGACTGACATTTATCTCCTCAGTTTCCTTGTTAAACATTCTCAGCAGAGTGCCTTGGACTGACAAACTGAAATACATTTTGATTAGGCAACATGAGCAGAAGGAGTGTGGGGAGAGGACTGTATAAATCTGTTTTACTCAACCTTGAAGAAATGTTAAGTGTTAATTCCCTGCGTCAAATAAAGTACACCAAGTATATATGCAGCGTTCCTGAGAGCTTCCTAATGAACTGAAAAAACAAACAATCTGAGGTGGGAAGAAGTATATTTCATCAACCCCCTGAGCAGCAATGATTTGCCTCAGCTTGTCATACATACTTGATTCTGATTAAAATAAGGCAAATGAACTGGTTTAATCTTTCTTGATAAAGAAATTGCATTTGTCATTACTAGAATTTCAAATTTCACATAATATGGAATCTGTATGTTGATTGTTATTATGGAGACCAGCAAGGCACATGAAACTATTGAGCTGAGGAACATATTTTAGTGACTATAACTGGTTTGAGAACTGATTGTTTTTAAGTGACCCAAATGACCGTGGTGATGAGATTGGATATGAGAAGCCTGGATAAAGAGGCATTCAAACTTGTAATTAAAATAAAACCTTCCTCAAATTGCTCCACTCCATTTCAACATTTCTTGTAGTTTGATTAGTAAAACACTATGATGGTGTCTGATGTTTTAAGTAAGAAGTTTCTGCACTGTTGGGGAAAAACAAACAAAGGCAATGCAGTGATTTCTAGAGTAAAAGTCCTCTGCTACAAAAAAGAGATGAAGGGCAATAAGATAAAAAGTTAGGTGCAGGGATGAATAAGTAGAGCATAAAGGATTTTTAGGGCAATGCAACTATTCTTTGTGATACTTTAATGATGGCTACATGTCATTATACATTTCTCCAAACCTATGGAATGCAAAACACCAAGAGTGAACACTAAATGTAAACCATGGACTTTGAATGATGATGTTTCAGTGTAGACTCATCAACTGTATAAAACAAAACAAAACAAAAAACCAAAAAACCATGTACCACTCTGGGGGGGGATGTCAATAATAGGGGAGGCTGTGGGTGTGTGGGACAGATGCTACATGGAAACTCTCTGTACCTTCCTCTCAATTTTCTTCCTAAAATTGCTCTAAAAATTAAGCCTATTTAAGATGAACTTATCACTTTTCAGTAGAGCTTCTACAAACAAACAAAAAAGTTGGAGATAGTTCCCAGGCCCCCTTAGTTTTGCTATTCATGCTGTGAATCTGAGTAGAAGGCCATTTGGAGGCTTGTTTACATACTCTAGGGTGGCAATTAACAAAATAGCTTCCCAGGTTGTGAAGCTAGTTGGCATCTACTGGGTATAGAATAACTTTTGAGAAACGATCTATATATGATTTTGACCAAAACTCTATTTTGCCTACATGATAATAAATTGAGATGATTTTGTATTTAGTAAAATGCTTTATGTTTCAGAGAGCAAGTTCAACATATAATCTCATATGATCACAAGAACTAGTGTATGAGTATCCTCACTTTATTGATGAGGTTCACAAAGTTTGTCACTTGCTAAATAACTAGAACATAAAACCTGACTTTCTGATTTTAAATCCAGAGGTATTCTACCATTTTGCTGCTTGAATTTTTACCTGATGTCATAAATGGGAGTCACCCTGATGGAGAGCATCTTGTAGCAGTCAGACAAAATATCTACTCCTATATTCTGTTATTGACTCTTGCAACTTGCAAGCAAGTGGCTTTTCCTCTTTATGCTAATAGATGGACACATATCATGCATTTCAAACCCATGTCATACACTGTGATAAAAAACAAATTTTAGCCTGGTGCAGTAGGTCATGCCTGTAATCCCAGCACTTTGGGAGGCTGAAGCAGGTGGATTGCTTGAGTCCAGGAGTTCAAGACCAGCCTGGGCAACTTAGCAAAATCCAATCTCTTCTCTCTCTCTCTCTCTCTCTCTCTATATATATATATATACATATATATTTAGGTATTTATAACTTAAAAATTAGCTGAGTGTGGTAGCACATGCCTGTAGCCCCAAGTACTTGAGAGGCTGAGATAAGAGAATAGCTTAAGTCTGGGATATTGAGGCTGAAATGAGCTGAGATTTTGCCAGTGCACTCCAGTCTGGGCAACAGAATGAGACCCTGTCTCAAAATCAAAACAAAAAACCCAAATATATATTAATATATAGTGGGGCCTTCTATAATTCCATCCTCTAATTTCATGCTGGGATTGTTTTGTGTGTGAGATCAAGTAATTCCCTTCCCTTTGTGTGATTTGGTTATGAAATCATTGATTTCTGGTTATAGATTTTGGAATGTTGAGGATTGTGCTAAAGAAAGACATTTAATGGTTATATAATTTTTATCGGAAGAAGCCAACATGTTTTGTCAGTGGAATAATATTAACATTATCAATGATTATTTATTGAGCTATAAATAGCTCATCCTTTTCAGGAGAAATGTGACATTTTATTTTTATGATATATAATATATTATGGTCCATTTTAATTACCTGCTTGTCCCACTCTGCGCTACTCCCAAGGTTTAATTCAATTTAGTTAATACCTCTATCTTTAGGAGGGATATTTTATATTATGAAGATATGTATTCTCCCTAAGTTAATAAAGTCTATAGTGTCAAGGCAATGTCAATAGCATTTCCAAATAGAATTGTTAAGAATAAAAAAAGTTTAACTGAAATATATATACAAAAGTGGCTGGAAAAGAGGAGTAATACAGGCAGAGAATGGTCTTATCAAATGTTGAATTGTACTTTAAAGCTATAGGATCTTTGGCACTGGTGCAGATAGTGACTCAGCAGAGCAGAGTAGTCCAGGAACAGACCCATATGTCTATTTGTGTATGCGAGGTGACATTTCAATTCAATAGCTGAAGTTGGGATAACAATGGCTCATGTGGACAAATAAAGATGGATCACAGTTCTTACAAGTGAGACTTCTGCTTTTCACTTATATTATCTCGTCCTACTTCACATTTTTACTATGTTCATATTTTATTTTTATAGTAAAAGTTGTTTATTTTTTAAAAAGCTAATGACCTCATAATTTGTCTACCTTCTGTTGTGTTAATATCCACTAACTCTGTTGTTACATGAAAATGAGTAATTTGTCCTATGTATTTTTCTCTATGTAAACCTTGACTATTTATTTTTAAGCACGGACTCTTATGTTGATTACAACATATTTTGCTTAAAAAAATACAAGACAGTCAGGTGCTTTTGACAGGTAGTTTTAATCCCCTAATTTCCTTATCTTGCTTCTTGTTGACAGCTCTTGATTCCACTTTAAATCTCTGATTTTATAAAAGTAGTTCTGTCTTGTGATGCAATACCCGTGACCTTCATTACTGGCAAAGAAGATTCTGCTTACCATTTGATCTGCAGATTTGTAGGTTCCTTATCTGAGCTGAGCTTCTTACAGCTATGACTCAGTTGTCAACGTGGTACAACTTCCACTTCATTAAAATCTGGATGCCACTGGCAGCGCTTCAGAATCACTATGTCTTCATCAAATAATGATTTGAAATGAACTTGCATAACTGAGATTGTTCTAGGATATCAAGATACCTGAATCCCAATGGAGAAAAAATTTTCTAGAAATAAAGTGTTACCTGCCTGTCTCTTTTGGTGATATAAAGAGGTGCTTTACTTATCTTACATACCTCTAATTTATCCTATAATGGATTTTATATAAAATAGGATAATTTTCTTTAGGGAGGGATGTATGCACATACATATATGTGAATTTATGTGTATTTGTATACATATATATGTGTAGTTACACACAAAATATACACACGTCACCTAAAAAACAATTTTACATTATGTAAGATGCTTAATAATTTTTCTTTTCTTTTTTTTTTTTTTTTTGAGACAGAGTCTCACTCTGTCACCAGGCTGGGTTGCTGTGGCATGATCTTGACTCACTGCAACCTCCAACTCCTTGGCTCAAGTGATTCTCCTGCCTCAGCTTCCTGAGTAGCTGGGATTACAGGCACGTGCCACCATGCCCAGCTAATTTTTGTATTTTTAGTAGAGATGGAGTTTTACTGTGTTGGCCAGGAGGGTCTCGATCTCCTGAGCTCACAGTCCACCCGCCTCGGCCTCCCAAAGTCCTGGGATTACAGGCATGAGCCACTGTGCCCAGCCAATAGATATTTATTATAAAAATGGAATACAAAATAAACTACTAGCTTATAGTAGGATTCTGACCACAACTGAATTATTGTTATGCTGGGAATTTACATTGCTGTATTTAACTACTTAACTCTCACATTTACTATTTCCTCATCATTCTCTCTCGTTTCCTTCATCTAAGCTACCACCTCAGTGGGCTTTTTCAGTTGTAGGAAAGGAAACGGAATAAAAATGCCGCTGGGAAATTTTAACCTTTCTGTAAGACCTCTAGATGACATGAACCTCTAGTGGAGAAAGGCAAATAAATGTTTCGGACTGAATTGAGGATAAATGTCTGCTGCTTCTAGTAGATGTAAGCTTCATATGGATTTATCCACCATAGAAAAGCAAATCTACCTTCAAAATCCTTGATAAATATAGATGTATTTTTAAGCTAAAAGTTTTGTGTTCATTGCTGAATAGCAAAAGAAAAATTCACATCTAAAACTGAACATCTGGTAAAACAATCTATTTCAAAATATTTAGGAATTATGCAGTTACACGTAGTAATGGATATTTATTCTGTACTTTATGTAATAACAAACAGCACCTATGAAGTGAAATGTAAGATTGGACTTTCTAGCTTATTAGTTCTAAATATCAATGTGGCTTGCATTTCTATCCATAATTTTAACTGTATAAATGTTATTTTATAAGAATATACTAAATTTTGTACCTGATATTTCTTTACAATTTCCTAGTTGAAAAGATTATCTTCACAAGATTCAAGATTCTTTAAGTGGATAGTATTACAAAAAAGTGCAAATTGTGTAAGTATAATTTGTAACTTTGTCATCAGAACACTGTCTGACACAGATATGTGCTTCTTAATTTTGTTTTAACAAGAAAAAACACTCAGACTGCATCCTCCCAGAGGAAGGGAAGAGCGATCATCAATGGCAAATGGCATTTTCAGTGAAGGAGCACCAAGAGCCAGCTTCACGCTAGTGAGGGAACCCTGCACCTTCTTCTGGTTTCCAGTGCTCTACATTAGCAATCCCCAACCTTTTTGGCACCAGGGACCAGTTTTGTGGAAGACAACTTTTCCAAGGACCAGGGTGGGGGTATGGTTTTGAGAAGAAACTGTTTCACCTCAGATCATCAGGCATTAGATTCTCATAAGGATCACGTAACCTAGATCCTTTGCATGTGCAGTTCACAATAGGGTTTAAGCTTCAATGTGAATCTAATGCCACTGCTGATCGAACAGTAAGTGAAACTCAGGCCGTAATGCTCGCTTGCCTGCCATTCACCTCCTGGTTCCTAACAGGCTATGGACAGGTACTGATCTGCTGCCCTGGGGTTGGGGACCCCTGCTCTACACATTCAGAGAAACTTCTCTAGTAATGAACTGTGGAAATGATCCCTGAAAGTATTGTCTTATTAATTTTTGTTGAATAAATCAATATATCCTTATATCTGTGGTTGAACTGTCAGTGAATAATTAAGTACTTGGCATTTTCACTGCTAAGTATTATATGCTGTTAGGATACAAAAAAGAATAACGTGTGGCCCTTGTTTCCAGTTCAGAGCAAAACCATATAGATATGAAAAGATTTGACGAGAAATAGCTTTTTAAAAATATTAACCAGTATAAATAATAGATGAATTTTACATTTCTTCTATTTTCTTCACATTCATCATTACATTAGTAGTCATTATTATTTATGTTCATGTAAATGAATTAGTTCATGTATCAGATGTAGTCTGATTTTAAAAGATTCTCATTGGGCCCTACTAGTTGTAATTCTAGACTGTATGCACAAGTGAAAAATAGTATGTACTATATACAAATAAGTGAAAATAATACTTTCCTGGAAATTCTGAAGTTAGACTTCATAGCTGAAGATGCTTGGGGTAAGGCTTAGGCCAGCTCATTCTTAGATGAAGAATATTCAACTTGTAGGGCAAAGAGAAATATTTCAAACCTTGGTAGCCTAGAAGTAAAGCAGGCTTAAGAACTTGATTTTTCTATCTTTTTAACTTAAATTTCAAACCTGAATTTGATCACTTTGATGTGAGCAGAGATCAAGTATTTATATAGCAAGCAAAAGAAATCAAGAGTAATTTGCCCATGTGTTGAGGACCCCACCTGTGCCAAGTGTTCCTTGGATTAAGGATGGAGGGGAAGAGGTTGTTGTTCAGGCAGCTGCACCCACAATTCAGGACTAATGCACCTTGCTGGGTAAATATCTGAAGAGAGCCAATTATTAGAAATGAACTGTGACTATTAGTTACCCAGGGAGGTTAATTACTCATGGTGACCCATATAAAGTTTTAAAGCCTATTCAACTACAGCAGCACTTTTTCTCCTTAAAGACAGTGTTGCATGGTGGACAGGGTGGATGGAGAGGAGCCCCAAGTTTTCCTTTGAATTGCGCTCCTCAATCATTTTTTTCTAACCCAAAACTTGAGCATCTGACACATGGCCATCAGTGAAAATGAATCTCAGTGGCAGTAGTTTCTAGTAGGAAAGAAATTATACTCTCTCGGATAAGTGAATCAGATTCTGAGGGAGGTATATGTAGTTTGAAAAAGTTCCTTCCTGCCGGGGGGGATTCTGATGCACCATGCCTCCCTCTAATTTAGTAGGAATCCTGCCTTAATTTTGTCCACAGTAACAACAACAACAAAAAAAATTCGAACATAAGGAAGGTGGAGAACATAAATAAAATAAAATCCCTATTATCATATTCTGAGTTATCCTGGATACTAAAACTGAGATGAATGTACACATATAAAAAAATAACGGGATGGAAGAAAAACATAACTAAAATGGAAAAGGATATAATAGCCTGACCATATATGGTCTAACAAATACCAGACTGTGGGAGGTATGTTGACATTTGTCAGTAATCAGTGTATAGATTACTGCACGAGTCAGTGTGATTTCTGTCATGTGTGACAGGTTAATCAAGAAAACTCTGTGAGAAATTGGATGATTCTGTGAAGTATATATAAAGATTTTTTATTTATTCGGTGGCACCATTGATTTTTTTAAGATATTCTCAAAATTTTTTGGTTAAATCATATTTGTCTGTTTTGATCATTAAAATATTTTATAAGGATATTTTCCCCTTTTAAAGTTAGGAAAGTGACAGTAAAAATCATACAAGTATATTTGACAGTAATTCAATAGTTTGTATAACTTCTCATTCTGCAATAAAGTGGTAATATGCAGATCTTGTAGAACTGCCCCAGGGAAAAGTTTATAATACTAGGAGATTTCTGTGCTCATTTGGATTTATCCTGAGGAATAAAATTGAATCATTGTGAAATATCAGACAATTCACTGAATGATTTCATCTTACTATAAGATTCCTCACCAGAGCATTTCATCCAATTCTTGGCTGATGTTATTATTTGAGTGACATTGAGAAAGGAAATGAAACAAATTCCTTTTTGTATATTTATGGACTAGACAAGACAGGTCTCTGAGAAAAATAAGAAATTTTGAAAACTACAGCTATGTATACATTAAAATGCCAACATTCTGGAAATAACACACCTCACATTGGAGACTTTGTTAAAAGTCTACATCATTTAAATCTCTAAATATTTATGGTAACTTATTAGTAATTACCACATAGTAGGCTTTCATTTTTATAGTTTTTATTGTGCTTTTTAATCATTCAATTCCAAGCACATTCTGGTTATGGGCACTATTGGATTCTTACAGTACAAAGATGATTGATATTTATTAAATATCTCAGAGGTACCATAAAAAGTTCTCTGTGTCATCAAAGAAACATAAAACTGTGTTTAAAATAATTTTGTAAAATATGCTTTATTATTTCTATTTTGAAAATTACAATTTTTATAAGTTAACCGGAATTCTCTACTACTTGACTATATCATATAATGCAATATGCTATGCTGATTTGAATTACTGTATGTGTTCTTATTACTTTTTAGTCCAAAATGACTTTGATCTAGCAGATTGCTAACAGAACAAAATGTGAGGTATTCACTTTGAAATAAGAGAATGGAGGTTAGTAAGACTAGTGTAGATCTTATAATGAATTGAATAAATTTTCATAAAAACTCAATAAATGCTATAGTGCATGATTCTAGAAGAGTTTTATATATATAACTAAAAGGAATATGTTTATCATATTGTATGGTGATTTTTTTCCTTTTGAATATATAAAACGTCCTTTACTAATTTCAGAAACAAGGCATAAATGTAATCATATATTTGTGCCATTGAAGATTGGTAACATATCAAGGGGAAAAAAATATTGTTAAAACTTTTGGGTTTTTTTTTTTGAGATGGAGTCTTGCTCTGTCACCTATGCTGGAGTGCGGTGGCATGATCTTGGCTCACTGCAAGCTCCGCCTCCCGGGTTCACATCATTCTCCTGCCTCAGCCTCCCGAGTAGCTGGGACTACAGGTACCCGCCACCACTCCTGGCTAACTTTTTTTTTTTGTATTTTTAGTAGAGATGGGGTTTCCCCGTGTTAGCCAGGATGGTCTCGATCTCCTGACCTCGTGATCTGCCTGCCTGGCCTCCCAAAGTGCTGGGATTGCAGGCATGAGCCACCGCGCCTGGCCTTAAAACACATTCCTTAAGGGAACCGTTAATATATCCTTCACACCACATACTAAAATCTGGTTAGCAATAATTGGGTGTGGTTTGTTTGGCAATAACTGGAGGATTAAAAAAATGCTTCATGAAAGTATCTGAAGAACTAGCATTAAATGGATGACTTCACAATGTGGAATGAAAACTATCGACATTTTCTACAAAATTAAACCTAGTTATATACCAGTACATATAAATCACAGCTTTTCTCTCAATTTAGGCTAAACTATGCTTTGGAAACTGGCAACCCTGAAATCTTAGTCGATCAGCATACCAAACTTTATTTCTTGTCTTACTGTGTAACATGGGCTAGCTTTTCCTTTGCTCTATTTCATCTTCTCTCGAGCACCCAGCCTGGCTCAGTAGTTCTCTCTGGGATATTGCTGGTCTCAAGGCAGAGGAGAAAAAAATGGCAAACCATGACCTTTAAACTTTAAGGTTCAGCTCAGAAGAAACACACATCTTTTCTGTGTATTTCATATTTGTGTCTGAGTTAAATAGCTTGGGGATGAATAATCCTCCCACAGTTGAGAGTCATTGGTGGGGAAAAGCAACAAATATTTTAAACAATAATACAAGCTAATATATATATTTCTCATTAATCTTCATTAAGGAGTTGATAAGCAATTATTACTCCAGGTATGGTTAAATATGATTTAATTCATATTAATATGTAATTTCATTTTTTGAGTCTTATGCTTTTACTGCCTAACTGGTACACAGCTGATTAAACAATTTTTTTTCTTATTGCGGAAAACTCTAGAACCGTATATATACATAGCTACCCCAAGTGTATTTTGTTCAAGAAATGTTTAATATCACTCTTATATATTTATGAATATTACAGAATTCCTATCCCCCAGAAGCTCAGAGTTTAGTTGATGAAATAGATAATTATGCTGAATATTATGATCATAATAAAATGGAAACGTGATTTATTTATTGAATATTATTTTTAAAATATTATAAAATGTGCTTTATGTAGATTTTCTCATTTAATACAACAATACTACCTGATAGATATCAATATTTTTGTTCCTGTTTACAAATGAAGAAACAGTCTTAGGGTTATTAAGTAACATGCCCAAGTTCATGTAGCTATGTGCAACTCGAACTACGTTATCTGCTCTAAAGCCTAAACTCTCTTCAGAGACACTGTCAGCTCCTATTTTTAGTTCTCTAAAAATGTCCTATTTTCATTCTGTGTGATCCTGAAGTTATTGTCTACTCTGCATTCAGTGTCTGGGTTTTTGACAAGGTTGAGGGCTATTTTCTATTTTGATTTGATGAGAACCTTCTCTTTTAAGGTCAAAGCTGAAATGTACATTTCACTGGGCAAGACATGGGAGATATAATACCCCCTGTGTATCTTTACTCAAATTTTTCTGTGGTAGCAATTGAGAACTCTTTCGCCATTTATCCACTTCAAAGTGGTATTGGCTATTGTTGCATAGAGTGTAATCTACTTGTCTAATTAATAAAACAATTGTATACTTTTCTGTTGGTCTTTGTCAAGCGCTCATGCTGTGGATTACTGATCAAAACTGAAAAACTCAAAACTATTTTTATAAATTCTGATGACTTGAGGGCCATAATAGTTGCCTTTATATATTTTTTAAAAGTCGAAGTATATTTTTCTATCTAATTATAGAGAGTAAATTAGGAGGCAGCTACAACAAGCCAAATCTTAAATATATGAAAGTTTTTGTTTTAATATATAAGAGCTTTTTGCCAGAAAAAATGAACACCTTTGGAGGTGGAGAGTTTTTTTTTGTCTGTTTTGTCATTGTATATGTCAAGTAGCATCTAGATATCTACATTGTAGAGATATCATGGAGGTAATTCTAGCATTAGACAAAACTCAAAAGATATCAGCAGTCTTTGCTTGCAGACTCTGTTTTTCATTCCTGAAGCACAACTCAGATCCCATGCCCTTACTCTCCTAAGGCAAATTTACTTACCAAACACAAATGAATAATGGAGATTTTAATGAAGATTTCTTGGGATGAGAAAGGGGAAAATGTATGTTACCAGCCACATAGCAAGGAACTTTATGAAATTTTCATTACATACTTTGTTTTTCCAAATCCTTTCCTCAGCTTTCATCTGCCAGGGTGTTTTCAGCTCTCTGTGCCTACCATCCTTATTCATTCAGACTCCTTAATTTTTAACTGAATGTCAACAAATATTCTCTGCAAGACTCTATCCCCCTTTTGAAATCAGAGCAATATAGCTCTTTATTTCTCCAATCATGTATATTTCTAGTCTCTTCACCCTGCTGTACTAAGAAAGCACTCACTGGCTAACTATATCCACTCTTTCTTAAACTTGGGGAATTATTAAAAATAACTATAACTTTCTCCATGATATGAATACATATATGCATACTTACATGTATCTTGAGATTAGAATGTCTTAAACATTGATGAAGACACCATTTGGATTAAGAAGACTGCAAGTACAAAAAACATTATTTCTGCTGTCAATAAGCTTAAAATTTTGTATATATATGTTATTTTTTGTATTTGGACTGCACATGCATAGAGGGAAATCAGAGATTTGACACTAGCATCCATTATCATGTTGTCACAAATATAGCATATATTTTTTAAAGAAAATCAGTTAAGACGTACCTTGCTTTTTTTTTTTTTTTTTCCATGTGCAATATAACCAAAGTTCCTGGAAGTCACAAATAAAAATGCATGTGGAGAAAATTGGACTCCTTTTTCTCTTGTTTGTATTTAACACATGATAACATGGCTCTTACTACATCCTTTGTGGTAACAAGTTCTTGGTATTTTGGTAGCTGCTGAAGCTGCCTCACTTTTTCCTTCTCTTCTCCCTCTGTTCTTCCAAAGTTCTTAATTGAAGGACAACCTGCAAGGCCACAGAGAAATGGTTTCTGTAAGTAATTGATACTCCAAGAATTCTGAATTGCACAGATGAGTTAGACACCCCAAGGAATGAAAAAAACTTCACAGAAAGTAAGAGAAAATGAAATGTTTAGAGAGAAAGAGTATGTGAGTTGGATTTCAAGGGAAAAAGTGAAGATAGAAGCTTCTGCCTTCCCTCGTGCTCTTTCAAGCTCTTTTAAATATACATTAACAGTTCTTGGTTTTACCTTATAATATTGGGGCAAAGTCGTAGCCATTAAAAAAAAAATCCCACAATTTCCTTTGAAAAGCAGTGCCACTTTTAATTTTAAAACATCTCATGTTTGTGTTTATATGAAGTATTGAATGTATCCTACAGTTTCTTATGAATCTTGTAAATCTACCAGTCTGATGTTTTTCTACCTCAAGATTCACGAGGTAATGTACAAAAAAGCATAATGAAGTAGTTTTATTAAAACAGGAAAGTATTATGATATTTGCAAAGTGACAGAATTAAAAAATAATAATATGACTCCTAAAATTTAGATGTCTTCTCATTTGTTTCATATTTCATGAAATGAAAATATCCCAGAAATGCCATGGGATAATGTTCTATTCCCTGAAAACTATTATATACGACCTTCATACAATAGATGTATAATCTTCATTCTTTAATTTTTAGTATATCCACAGTTGTATTATTTTGCTCTCTTATATATAGATTTGTTTTATTTTCCATTGTAGAAACTTACCTTCTTAGCCTTTAGGCATTTTGGGAACATGTGGTGTCATTAAACTCTGTTTATTATAAATCTGTCCATGGTAGTCAATATTTTTGTTACCTTGTGACATTTTCATTTTCTTTTCTAATTAGATGGTAAACTATTCAAAATCAAAATAAAAACTCATAGAAAATACTAGCATTCTAGCTTATTTTTTTTAAACTGGGGTGAGGTGCTAAATAAATAATTTGTTTAGGACATACAAGTGAGTTCAATAAACTTAAAAATAAACTGGAAGGGTTGATGTTGATAGTAAATAATAGCACTAAGCAATCTTAATTTTATAAAACTTAAGGAAATAAAGTGCACCCTTTTAATTCTTTAGCAACTTACATTGCTACAAAATTGTCATGAGTTAGGGAATCCCAGTACAGATTCTTAGAACATTTTAGGATTAAAGAAGAAATTTTGTCTGCAGTGAGGAATGTCTCATGTTAGTGCTTTACGGTATTTTTATATTGTAAATTCACTGCTTTTAGTGTTCTATATATGCAATGCAAATATCAACAGTTAAATATAGATTTCATGGTTAATTTCTTCAGTAAAACATCAGTGTCCCAAACTCTGAGGGACTGAAATACTTTGGATAAATTTATTTACTATGTATTTGAGGCTTAGTAATTATGATGATATCTAAAACTGTTATATGCATTTAAATCTATTTGATACATGATTAAATTTTGAATTCTTTTTCATTTTGGAGTATATTGAACATAAATTGATATTTAATTTGACTCTTAACCACACTGCAAACATTCCACTTTATTTGATACTTTTGGAACTTTTAGATATAAATCTAGATTGGCTTAGGCCTGTGAACCCATTGGTGAGGGCTTGATACCGTCTCTGGCTTTAAATCTTTGTAAGTAATTGTTTAACATAAAAATTATTGAAACTTTTTTTAGTGATTGACTCGCTAGGTAGACTGAGCAGATATCATAAAAATGAATCTCTTTTAACTAAATTATAAGATATTAAGAAATTATGTATATTTGCATTCAGAGTGCCTGCCACATAATATGTGTTACAATAATTTGTTAACAAAATGAGCACATGAATGCATCAGTAAAACAAACCTATTCTGTAGAAATACTTTAACCATTTTTCTTCCTTGCAATTTTCAAGTCATTTATAGATATTTCTTTTTGGTAATTGCTGTAATTTTTTATACATACATTTTGCCTTTTATTAAAAGCATATTGCTTTGCTATGTTGCTTATTTTTAAACTATAATAGAGGGTATGTGATTACTATACAGTTTTATAGTTTATTTTGTTGTGCATTTATTCATTTAATCAGAATGCATTATTTTCTACATGCCTGACCCTTTGCTAGGAGGAAAAGATGCAAAGATAAATAAGACATACCCTCAATTAATGAGGGAAACAGAAAGCTACATATTTTAAAACAATCTGTAATATACGTGTTATGTAAAACCTAGAGTATGTTTTGGGGTATCAGAGGAAGAGTTTATGGAATAGGGAGTCTGAGGAAGATGAGTAGAAATTTCCTAGAAAAAATGGAAGACAAAGAATAAATCCCAGCTTCTGAGGACTGAGTAAGCACAAACATGGAGATAAGCAGAAAAGTAGACATGATGGACACTGTAAAGAATCAGGTCTAAGTTTGAAGGAGGAAGCATAAATATAAGAGGCTTGAAAGAGGTAAAGATACCCCGGAGTTCCAAGAGAATGTTGGAGAAGGGAGCCTGAGTGGAGACTTGTCTCTTTCTATAAACTATGGACCCAGGGTGTTCAGAGAGATTTGCCTCAGACATAGCCTAGGAGAATGACATGAAATGTTCTGTGGAATACTGGAGAGGTTCTGTTCTTCCAGCTTTATCATATTTCTATATCTTCTAATTACAAAATTTAATGAAATTTTAATCTTTTGATATAAATTCAAAAGGAGTTACATACATTGCAAAGGGAGCCCTCCCCAACCCGTCCCTCTTTCTTGTATAGTTTGACATTCCTCTCAGCCTTCACATGAATTCAAATTCTGGTGTTCATCTAAGTTGGCAGGAGTATGGGAAGCAAGGGAGTGTGCAGGTAGAGTGAAAGGTGGTGGGGGCACTGTTTTTCTTAATTACATGTTAATATGCTTTGTCTTGTTAGCTTTGGAGGATTTACATCACTGGAGCACTTAGGTTGGAGCATTTACATCTCATTGCAGCTTTACAACTACCTTTATCTCTTATTGTTTTTCTTGCTTCCTGCTGGGAACCTACTGTGAAGTACAGTTGACTCTAGCTGCATGAGTTTGAACTAGGCTGGTCCACTTTTAAGTAGATTTTATTCCACCTCTGCCATATCTCTGAGAGAGCAAGACCAATCCCTCTTCTTCCTTCTCATCCTCAGCCTACTCAACGCGAAGACAATGAGGATACTTTTATGATAATTCACTTCCACTTGATAAATAATAAATATGTTTTCTCTTCCTTACAATTTTCTTAACACTTTCTTTTCTCTAGCTTACTTTACTATAAGAATATATTATATACTACATACACAAAATGTGTGTTAATTGACTGTTTATGTTATTGGTAAGTCAACAGTAAGCTATCAGTAGTTAAGTTTTTGGGAAGTCAAAATTATACGCGAGTTTTTACTACACTGGGAGTGGTGGGGCTCGGTGCCCCCCGGCCCTTTCATTGTTCAAGGGCCAACTGTTAGTGTCTAATGAAATATTGAAAACTACTTGTTACAATAATGAATTCATACATAGATGAATACATGAAATAATACTGTTTATTTTCCAAGTCCTGGAAAATTTTAGACTAGAACATAAGCTTCTAATTCCCTGCACACTTTTAGTCTCACTCTAGTTATGAGTTTTTTTTTTCTTTTGCAATTGTGAACAGTTTATTATTTCCTATACTATGGAACCACTTGTAAATTATCCCAGTTCTTTTCCTTGAGTTCTCATATTCTCTCTCTCTCTCTCTTTTTAATTTATTTAAGCTCTGGGATACATGTGCAGAACGTGGAGGTTTGTTACACAGGTATACACATGTCATGGTGGTTTGCTGCACCCATCAACCCATCATCTACACTAGGTATTTCTCCTAATGCTATCCCTCCCCTAGCCCCCCACCTCCCGACAGGCCCTGGTGTGTGTTGTTCCCCTCTCTGTGTCCATGGGTTCTCATTCTTCAGCTCCCACTTATGAGTGAGAACATGCACTGTTTGGTTTTCTGTTCCTGTGTTAGTTTGCTGAGAATGCTGGTTTCCAGCTTCATCCATGTCCCTGCGAAGGACACGAACTCATCCTTCTTTATGGCTATATCATATTCCATGGTGTATATGTGGCACATTTTCTTTATCCAGTCTGTCATTGATGGGCATTTGGGTTGGTTCCAAGTGTTTGCTATTGTAAATAGTGCTGCAGTAAACATACGTGTGCATGGGTCTTTATAGTAGACTGATTTATAATCCTTTGGGTATATAACCAGTAATGGGATTGCTTGGTCAGATGGTATTTCTGGTTCTAGATCTTTGAGGAATCGCCACACTGTCTTCCACAATGGTTGAACTAATTTACACTCCCACCAACAGTGTAAAATCATTCCTATTTCTCCATATCCTCTCCAGCATCTGTTGTTTCCCGGCTTTTTAATGATCACCATTCTAATTGGCATGAGATGATATCTCATTGTGGTTTTGATTTGCAATTCTCTAATAACCAGCGATGGTGAGCTTGTTTTCATATGTTTGTTGGGTGCATAAATGTCTTCTTTTGAGAAGTTTTCATATTCTTCACTCACTTTTTGAGGGGGTTTTTTGTTTTTTTCTTGTAAATTTGTTTAAGTTCCTTTTAGATTCTGGATATTAGCCCTTTGTCAGATGGATAGATTGCAAAAATTTTCTCCCATTTTGTAGGTTGCCTGTTCACTCTGATGATAGTTTATTTTGCTGTGCAGAAGCTCTTTAGTTTAATTAGATCCCATTTGTCAATTTTGGCCATTGTTGCCATTGCTTTTGTTATTTTAGTCATGAAGTCTTTGTCCATGCCTATATATTCTTTGTGAAATTATCAGCTTGTTTACACATTTCTGATTATGAGTGAATCTAGGTATTCTTACATGCCTAGAAAACATTTAGTTTTCTTCTCTGTAAACTATTCATGTCCTTTATATATTCTTTAAATTCTTCTATTCTTACTCTCCCTCTTTTTTTCTTTTGCTTTTCTCACTTTGTGGACTTTAAAAGTTTATATGTTAAGGAACTTAATCTTTTGCCAAATATATTTTCCTAGTTCGTGTTTAGTATTTTGAATTTTCTTATGATATTTTTACTTTTGTGGAATGAAATTTGTCAGTCTTTTCTTTTGTAGCTTCTGATGGTAAAGCCTGACTATATTGAAGGTAGGCTCTTCAAAAGACAACTAGAAAAGATACATTAATCATGTGAAGTTAACCTAATTAGTTGAATTAATGCAGTAAGGCAGAATGCTAACTTGACAGAGTAAAGTAGTATCTCAAAATGTGGAAACTAGGGCAGAGTAATTTATAGGGAGTGCCAGAATGGGTGAATTAGGGTGGGTCATTCAGGAGGAGATTTGCCTGAGATTGGGCAAAGTATATGACCAAAAATTGCTTTGGATTGATGGGCATAGCAAAATGAGGATCTTAAAGTGAGCCTTGGGAAACAAGCTATCGGTCTTGATAAGTAAGTTCACAGTCTTATCTTTTAGGAGCTCTTATTTCCTGGAGAAAGAAGCTAAGATATTTTTGCCTGGTCTAAATATTGTTTAGTACAGAAACAGAACAGTAAATTATGTCTATCTATATTGTTTAATACAAGGATAGAGAATTATGTTAGGTTCACTTCTCAGTTACGAAGAAATTCTCCTGTAATATCTGTATTACTTTTATAATTATTTTTTATACCTGACTCTTTCTTGTTAATATTAATGTAGTTTATTTTCGTGAATTGTGTAAGATTTGTATATCTTTGTTTTTGCAAAACGGCTACCTGGTATCTTGGTACTATTTATTGAATAACAATAAATGTTTCTCCAATAATTTAAAATATCATCTTTATGAAATATGATTTTTTTCTACATATTTGGCTCTTTCTGTATTTTTACTTCTATTTCACTGATCAGCCTTTGCATGCATTACTATGCCACTGTTTAAATTATGAAAGCTTTGTATGTTTTGAAATTTGCAAGCAGTCATTCTGTCTCATTGCACTTCCTTTTCAGAGATTATTCTGGCTATTCCTAGCACTTTATTTTTCCACATGAACTTTGGGATCAGCTGTTATTTTAAATGAAATTTTAGAATAGAATTAAGATATTGTCTAATATTTTTTAAGAAAAATATTACTTGATATTTGTTGTGGAAATGGGTTCGTTTAGAAATCAGTTTAGAAGAAATTGTTTAATTTTTCACAAGAAAAGATAGCATCTAAGACCTTATGTACTCTTCAGAGTGCCTTGATATGTTCTTTATATAATACTGGCATAATTCCTTAAAACTTTAAATCTAGCTTTAATGGCTTTTAATTTTGGCATAAAAATGAGGGCTTCTCTATTGCTATAGCTATATATTCAAATTCATTATGATTTCACTAATCGAAACTATTAAATTTATGTCAATTTTTTATCCTACCGTGGTTAGTAATTCTCTCATTGCTCATGTAGTTTTTCACTTTACACTTTTGATTTTGAAGAAGTACCATTGTTTCTTCAGCAAATAGTGTTTTACATCTCTTCACTTCAGATACCTTTATTTTCTTGTCTAATTTAATTGGCTAGTACCTTAAATACAACACTAAATAGCAACAATGATAGTGGGCATTGACTTGTTCTCAACTTCTTTAGGAATGAGTCTAGATTTTTCTCATTAAGTGTAAAACTGACTTTTAGGCACCATATCAGTGTTTTATAAAGTTAAGAATTTTTGTATTCCTATTTCGATATCTTGTAACTTGACCAAGTAACGTCTTCAGCAGAAAGTTTCAGGTATATTTTCTCTCCTGTAAGTCTTTTATAATATTACTGGATTCGAATCTTCTTTTATTTCACAGTACTATTTTTGAAGTATAAGTTGTAATTTTTTTTATCTTCTGTGCATTTGGTTATATTTGAGAACTCCAAGAATATCTATGTTGAGTTGGTTTTACATATCTTTTACATAGCTTTTTTTCTATTTCTTTTAATTATTCTTTATTTGCTTAATTTTTTCAGTTGTGACCATTTTGTGCTTTCTTCAGCATTTATTCTTTATGCAAATTCCAGTTATTTATTACTGTGAATTTGTTTTCTTTGTTCAATGTCTTTCTGAAGTTTTCATTTCACATCTCTTCTCCTATTCATTATTTCCATACTGAGTTCCTGCATTCAAGTTGTGTCATCTCCATTTATTAATAATTGCTTATTTTTTAATGGAAGAATGTAGTCATAAATTTAATCTGCGTTGTAGTACATTTTTTCTCTTCCATGTTTCTCCATTGTAGATAATTTTGCTACTTTTAAAATAGTTTTCTTGTATAGTATCTTTGTACAAAATCTGTAACATGTTATGATTTCTATAGATTTCCCTTTCATAGCTTTTTGAAGGAGGTTCCTTTGGGGACAAGGGGGATAGATTTGTACTCTTTAAGCTTCCCTTCTCCCCTTACCCAGATGACACAGAGACAGACTTATTCCTGCATATATGGTTGTATTTTGTGTGTGTGTGTCTGTATGTGTGTGAAGCTCCATCTCTTGTTGTTCTCTCAGGCACACCAGGTATGGGAAAGCTCTTGTTGACATTCTTTTCTTCTTTCTACATTAGAGCTTACAAAACCCATTCTCTGAACTAAAAATAGATTAGAGCCAAAGTGATATGGGACTTCTGAACCTAAAGCTCAAAAAAGGTTGCAGCTTCTGCTCTTTCTGTGGAACTCCGCCACCACCATATGAAGATGCTGACTTAGCCTCCTTGAGGGTGAGAGACCGTGGGAGAGAGAGGTCCAGCTGAAAATCAGCACTAATTGCCAATCAAGTGCTTGAAGCTATTTTAGACCATTCAGTTGCAATTGAGCTGCCAAGGGATTGATATGAATGACTCCAGGTGAGACCAGTAGAGCATCTGCCCCTTTGAGTTCAGTCTAAATTGCTGATCCATAGAATTGTGAACAAATAAATGCTGGTTGCTTTTAGCCACTGTATTTTGGAGTTGTTGTTATAGAGCAATAGAAAGCTGATGCCGTAGTTTAGTATATTTAATAAATATTTCACTGCATCTATGCCGTACATTATCAAATATGATATGAGACTAGCTCATGCATTATTACAATTTTTAAATAATGGAGTATACTACATTTTAGAGTAAGGTTTTTATTGATGTGCCGAAAATTAGCCCTTTGATAGTGCATAAAATAAGACTTGTTACGGTATTCAGAATTGCTCTATCTTAAATCAGCATTTCAGCATTCTAAATTATTGCTCTCACTCCAGTCATTTGGTTGGAGCCCTGTGACAATATACATAAATGTGTCAAAAATTTAACAACTTATCCAATACATTTCATATTTGATTAAAAACCTATTCTAAGATTATAAAATAAATTTCATATTTATTAGTTGGTAAACATATCAGTGACATATATCAAGTTTTAACTTGTCTCTAGAAGGCTTTCAGTCATTTCAAACAGCAAGATCTTAAGTTGATTTCTAGATAGTATTTCTTTGAAGAGTGTAGGGTTTGTAGTGAGTAAATAAAAATTTGAGTTGTAGGGCTAAGATCAGGAAATTATGAAAATGAAAGCAAGCCTTGTCTCTAACATATCTCCTTCACATGTTAGATTTATTTTAAAATTGGTTGCTTTTTTGTTAAGAAAATTATTTTTAAAGATTATGGTTTTATGTGTAGTGTAGATAAATAAAAATAAAAATTGCATTCATTTTTAGTGTGAATTTGAAGAGTTTTAGCTAAGGTATATACCATGTAGCCATGACTGTAATGAAGATATAGAACGTTACAATCACTTTGGGGGTTAATCTCCACCACTAATCCTTGGCCTTACACAACCATTTATCTATACTCCATCACAATCTACTATAATATCTTTCTTAGAGTTCCATATAAATGGAATCGTATAGTCTTTACTCTTTGTTTTTGACTTCTTTGCACATAATGTTTTACAGAATCATTTGCGTTGTTGTGTGTATCTGTAGTTTGTTACTTTTTACTGTTAAGTAATATTCCATTGCATGAATATACACAGATTGTTTATCCATTCCCCTGTTGACGAGCATTTGAATTGCTTCCCACTTTTGGCTACAATGAATAAAGCTGCTATGAATATTTGTGTATGAGTGTTTGTATGTAGATAGGTTTTCATCTCTTTTGGGTAAATACCTAGGAATTGGAATGTGTAACATTATAAAATACTGCCAAGATGTCTTCCAAAGTGGTTTTACTGTTTTAAATTGCTGCAAGCAATGTATGAGAGTTCTAGTTGCTGTACACCCTTTCCAACAAATACCATTACACACTTGGCATTTGTCGGTCTTTTAAACTGTATTCTGTCTGGTGGATGTGCAGTGACATCACATTGTGGTTTAAATTTGCAATTCCCTGATGACTAATAGTGTTGAATATCTTATTTATGTTCTCTTGGACACTTTATCTTATGTTGCAAAGTGTCTATTGAACTGTTTTACTCTATTTACATGTCAATCTTATTATTATTGATTTGTAAGAGATTTTTCTATATTCTGGATAGATACCTGTAGAATATTTTACTGATACCTGTAGAATATAGTAATATTCTCCTCAGTAACTTATCTTTTTATAGTTACTTTATGTTTAAGGAAGAGCTGAAGTTCTACATTTTAAAAAGTCAATTTTATCAATGATTTTCATTTATGGTTTGTGCTTTCTGTGCCGTATTTAAAATATTTTTGGTTATCCCCAAGGTTGCAAAAATTTACTCTTATGTTTTCTTTTATATATTTTTAATAGTTTTAGCTTTAAGATCTAGATCTGTGATTTTGAGATAATTTTAGTGTATTGTGTGTGGTAAAAATTGAGATGTATTAATTTTTTATATGGTCATGTAGTTGTTGAAGACCATTTATCTGAAAATACTCCTGCATTGAATTCCCTTGTCCATTTGACAAGGGAATCAATTGAATGTACATCTGCAGATCTCTTTCCACATTCACTATTAGCGCAAGATTTTTAAAATGAGAGTAACACCTCTATTTTAGTTTTAATCCATAAAGCAACCTGGGTTAGCTCTTAACATTTTAGTCACATTGAGGGACTGATTAGCTAAGGGAATGAGAACGGAACAGGAGACATTGTAAAGATCTAAACATTGTGATGGGGCAGCCGCAGTAATCAACGAAGGTGTGGAACATGTATGCATTGAACATTGGCCAGCAGGAGAAGGGTATTCCATAAAAAAGGTTTGTCCATGTCCTTTGCCCACTTTTTAATGGGGTTGTTTTATTATTGTAAATTTGTTTAAGTTCCTTGTAGATTCTGGATATTAGACCTTTGTCAGATGGATAGATTGCAAAAATTTTCTCCCACTCTGTAGGTTGCCTGTTTGCTCTGATGATAGTTTCTTTTGCTGTGCAGAAGCTCTTTAGTTTAATTAGATCCCACTTGTCAATTTTTGCTTTTGTTGCAATTGCTTTTGGCAATTTCATCATGAAATCTTTGCCTTTGCCTATGCCCTGAATGGTATTGCCTAGATTTTCTTCTAGAGTTTTTATAGTTTTGGGTTTTACATTTAAGTCTTTAATCCATCTTGAGTTAATTTTTGCATAAGGTGTAAGGAAGGGGCCCAGTTTCAATTTTCTGCATATTGCTAGCTACTTCTCCCAGTACCATTTATTAAATAGGGAATCCTTTCCCCATTGTTGTTTTTGTCAGGTTTGTCAAAGATCAGATGGTTGTAGATGTGTGGTTTTATTTCTGAGTTCTCTATTCCATTCCGTTGGTATATATGCCTGTTTATTTACCAGTACCATGCTGTTTGGTAAACAAACTTCTCAAAAGAAGACATACATGTGCCCCAAAAAATATGAAAAAAAGTCCAACATCACTGATCATTAGAGAAATGCAAATCAAAACCACAATGAGATACCATCTCATGCCAGTTAGAATGGTGATTATTAAAAAGTCAAGAAACAACAGATGCTGGCAAGGTTGTGGAGAAATAGGAGCACTTTTACACTGTTGATGGGAATGTAAATTGGTTCAACCATTGTGGAAGACAGTGTGGCTATTCCTTAAAGACGTAGAGCCAGATATACCATCTGATCCAGCAGTCCCATTATTGAGTATATATCCAAAGGAATTCTATTATAAAGATACACATACACATATGTTCATTGCAGCACCATTCACAATAGCAAATATGTGGAATCAACCCAAATGCCCATCAATAATAGACTGGATAAAGAAAACATGGTACGTATACATCATGGAATGCTATGCAGCCATAAAACGGAATGAGAACATGTCGTTTGCAGGGACATGGACGAAGCTGGAAGCCCATTATCCTCAGCAAACTAACGCAGGAACAGAAAACCAAACACTACATGTTCTTACTTATAGGTGGGAGCTGAATAATGATAACACATGGACACAGAAAGGGGAACAACACACAATGGGGCCTGTTGGGGGAGGCTGGTGGGTGGGGAGCATCAGGAAAAATAGCTAATGTGTGCTGGGCTTAATATCTAGGCAATGGGTTGACAAATGCAGCAAACCACCACTGTACATGTGTACCTGTGTAACAAACCTGCACATCTTGCACCTGTACCCCGGAACTTAAAATCTTTTAGCAAAAATAAATAAATTAATTAATAAAAAATAAAAAATAAAAATAATTGTCTAAGATTAGATTCTTAATAAATATGTATTTTAAATAATGAATGGATTAATAGATGAATAAATGTGGGAAGGTGGAATGACAAATTTTGTCTTTATAGATTACCACTATTTATTTCTACTTACGTTTAGGTTTTCAACAGGTTTCATTCTAAGGAGCCATTTTGTGCAGTGTCAATAACTGCAAATTTAGATTTCATCTGGTGAAAGTTTCTCATTTTACATATTAAGCAGAAATTTCAGCCACTAGGGAGATAGATAATGTTTAAGGTACATAGCAAGTGACCAAAGGAAAAAATTGATTCAGATCTTTGAATTTTTTGTATATGGTTTGTGCTCTTTCCTTTACACTAACAGTTTTATTCCAAATACCAAAGAATATAATGCTTTTAAATAAATAATTGAATCCGTAGGCTAAGAAGGAGTTTAAAAATCTCTGAAGAAAATCTAAAAAAAAAAAAAAAATGTCCAGGGGAATTAATGCTTTACTGATTGTTAAGTCTACCTCTTTCTTCTATCAGTTTGGGTTTATATAATGCTTAGCAATGTTGTGGTAGTATTTCTGGGTATAATGCCTAATTGCCTAGTTCCCACATCAAGCAAGAGAGATACAGACACAATCCCAAGAAATTAGACACCTTCCCTATCTTTTAACAGGGCTATTCCTGTAGACATCACCTACTTGTTGTAGTGATAGGAAAGTAAGAAGTTGTAAATAGTTTGTTGTTTCTTTCTAACTTTTAACCGAATATAAACTGTTAAGTTGGTTGTTTCCTTCTATCTTTTGACTGAATATAAATTATCTTTACTGACATATTCCTCCCGTGGATATGGAGTGTTAAGGCTGCTTTTTGCAAGCTAAATTACATATTCAATGCATAATGGATCAGAACAGAGATATTAAAAAATCAGCTTTAGAAAACATAATGGCTTTAAGGCCAAAGCTAGACTTGAGACTAAACTAATTTGAAGGCAATAATCTATTTAAAGAATGAATGTGTTTGTCATTCAGGAGAAGCATTGGCTAGCAGTGGAAGAATAGGCAAAGAAAGTTAGGGATGTAGACACATGCAGAGCTCATCCCAGAGGTGCCTAAAAAGAGAATGTTGTCATTTGCAGGTGTGATGTGTCTTATTTGGGTGTCTGGTATAACCCTGTGTAGGGAAGGATACTTTAAGTTATCTGATGCCATTAAACATATGCTTTTTATGGTCCGCTTCTCTTGCTCTGATTCTGTGCTCATCAAGTAATCTTAAATTGATACTTTGGTTTTCTAGAAGCACACTGAGGTTGACAGTATACTGACCACAGGATATTAGTTTCTGGTTCTATTACTCATTAACATTCTGAAAGTAATTAAGTAAAATGTCACTTTAATTTTATAACTCAAACTCAAATTTATTTAGATTGAGTTTGCATCTATGAATCCAACAGCAGCTAGGGAGATGAATGTCTGTTAGTCTACAAGGGAGAAATAGGGACAGGGTAAAAAGAAACTCTACTTTGTGAAAGATAAATTATGACATCATGTCGTATGTTGTGTAGTCAGCCAAGAAGGATTCCATCTGTGAAGGGACATTGAGAGCTGTAATATTTGGAATCCAGATTTAAATTATTCTTATCTGTGTTATAATTCACTTACACAATCTTCTGATATTCAATATGGAGCTTTTCTGGATGTGCATTGGAAAGAAGGGAACATAATTTGTTCACCTTTGTAGCAAAATGGATTAAATTCAGCTGCAGAAGAGTAGTGGATTAGTTATAAGAAGGGCCAAGAGAGAAGACTGGAGCAGCTATCTGGAATACCTTACTATCATTAGGTATAGATTTTCCAGGTAACACAGCAAAAGGACTAGTGCCCTTTCATCTTCAATAAGATTGTCCAATAAAAAGAGGTATTGGATATATTGTTTCATTATTTCTATTTATGTATCAGTTGTCTTTTAGGAACTAGGTTGAATAGGTAGTCACATAGAGTTGCTTAAAATAATCTCAGGTAGCATTTATATCCTTCTGTAAAAATACAGTTACAAGTAAAAATGCTTATATGGTTAAAATAGAAGCACAGATGATTTTTTTTTCCTCAGGGGTGTCATTTGATGTGTGGAAAAAAAAATCAGAGTTGTCAACTGACATTGGTGATAGTCCTTTGTCACTACTCAGGTTCAAATAGATATATTTTAAACTTAGATTTTAAAACATACAGCTATGAAAAATGATATTTCAACAGGATAATCTTCAGTGATTTTTGATAACGATAAAGTCTGACAAAGTATTTCTATTTAAATACACTCTGTGAAGTAACATAGTATAGAGTCTCGCTAACATAGTATAGGGACCTATTATTCTCTCACTAAGTAGGATTTAAGCTTCTGGTGAGTGCTTCCTTTGGATAGAGTAAAAAGTTATATATCTGTAGACAAATGAAGTAATTCTCTCTACTCAGTTAAAAAAGAAGAAAGAATGTATATCTTATTCTATTTGCTCATTGCAGATGAAATCAGGCATTCTCCTATCTCTTTAATAATGTATAGACTGTACAATGTCATGGATTCTGAGGCAGTGTTTGGTAAATTAATGAAAGTGTAAGCTTTAGCTCTACTTCTGTAAAAATTAAATGTGGAATTCAATAGAGTGTGTCTAGACTGAACAGAGCATTAAATTAAATTTGTACTTCATTTTGGCTTGAGAAAATAAGGAAATTATTGGTGGAGCATAGAACGTGGACTATTCATAGAACTGGAGCAAATTATTAGTTTTCGATGGCAGGCTTATTCATATTTAAAAGAATGCTTGGATATTATGTAAGCCATAAGTTTTTAGCTTAAGCATATAGCAAGAGCAAAAATATATTAAGGCCAAAAGATTGACAATTGTATTTTGTATTTACTCTCTATTTGGATGGAGGAAATCTACACAAAAAAAGTAATTATAAGATAGATTCTCCATGGAAAACATAGATCAATGATTGTGGAAAGGATTTAAGGAGAAATGCTGTGCCCCATAGAAAACCTTCAAATACTAAGGCTTCTTCCACTGGAGGATTTGACTGTGTAAGTCAGGCCATCCTGGTATAAACATCTATAAAACTGGAGAAAACTTATGAAACATCTGTTTGAAGTGTAGAAACAACAGTTAGCACAGGACTGTGACCCTGAAAGGAAGCAAACATGGTGAACTCTACTAATGCCGTGGCTTTCTGACAAGACGAAACATCTAGGCTTCTGTGCAGGGGAGAAGTGGCCAAACAGATCAGGAGGTCTTGCTGAATTGAGGAGCTCAGGGAGGCCATGGCTCATGGTGTTTGTAGGGTGGAGTGTTAGAGAATTCAAATCTACATAGAGAAAGAGAGCTCCAAAAGTTAGCAAGTTGGACTGTCAAATCTTTGTGTAGAGGGAAATTAAACAAAGACAAGCAAATAATAATTGCTAGAAAGTCACAGCTTGCACGTGAGTGGGAGATATCTGCATTCCTATCAGCCAGAGTCAAGAGACATTTCTGAATATCCCAGGCATCTGGTGTAAAACCTGTAAAGGTCTCACATAGTAGTAGCAGGGCTAAATTTGCTACGAAGTAAAGGTTACAGTAGACCCCACTGAGAAAACTTAAATGACAAGCCTTGAAAAGATTAAGCTGATTTGCATGTAGCTGTAACGTAGTGTCAGGAGCTCTGAAGGGTCTGAGTAAAGTTTTACCCTACTTGGATGTTAACAAGTTAGCTTCATGGAAGCTGGCAGGAGACACAAGACTTTTGGAGATAAAGTATAATTTTTCACTTGCAGCAATAGTAGTACCCAGGGTATCGTTATATTTTTGTGTTCGTTCCCCGAGTCCCAATTCCCACCGGCAATGCAGAGAAGACTGGATGATACCTCGCCACGTAGTAGTTTCTTTACAGGAAAGACACCTAGACCTAAAGGAATTTAAATCTTTTATAATGAGAAATATTTCGGTTATTCCCTTTATTATACTGTGCAATGAAAATACCTTACCTTTGCTCCAGAGGGAGGCAGTACTTCTAGTTTTCCAAGGTAGGTTACTATTAAAACATCCTTATAGTACACAAACAGAGGAAATCAGTGACTTGCTCACAATATATGCAGGAATGTGAGAGACTCAGGGAGAATAGTCTTCCAGCAATATCTACCATTTTGTCTTCTGGTAAATTTTCCTATGAGTAAAACAATCTGTTGGCCACTCTGATTAATGTAGCTGATGCAGTCTAGGACCAAATACAGTCTATCTCATGGAGCATTTAATTAGGAACAAATAAATGGTACTTTCCACAGCAGGATGATGCTAACCTGCAATTTTGACCTCAATATTGCCCATAAACAGCTCAATAAATCACCGTAAACCATTAGAGTCTACATTAGAGAGCAAGATGACTTTCTTCTTAGGATCTGTATCAATCTTTCCTCTTTACCTGAGAAATTAATCCACATAGATTTATTGATGATTGCACGTCTACTCGCTGGCCTGCAAGGAGGAAGTCTAGGGCAATTCTATCCTCAACCTAACTTGTGTAAGTTGTTAGTAAATCAAGGCTAACATGAATCCCTCCCTAAGACCAAGGTAGTGTTATTGATCACTTACATCCAGACCTTGGAAGGATTTAACTGTGTAGGACTGGCTATCACGGTGTCAGAGGATCAGAGGGAAAAAGGTTTTTTTTGTTTTTTTTTTTTTAAACTGGGATTCATATGTCTTTCATACAGTGGGTCACCGCAGAGAAATTTGTAGCATATTGTACTCAGTCAAGTGGACATTATCCTTAGGTTCTAGTACCATCCAGCAAGAAAATCCAGGTGGCTGAACTAGAATTAAGTTTAAATCTTATAAGCTCCCTTTTGGCTGGGCTGCCACTAGGAGGATGTTCCAATGAGGTCAACTGGGGTAGCTGTTAGAAATAACAAAGATGCATTATGATTTTTGAATTGGGTCTATTTTATATTTAATTCTGATTATTAGCCAGAATATGACAAAAAATGTATGAAGGCTGATCTAAGGCCATCAAAATGAGGATAGGGAAAACATCTGGAGGTGTTAGCAGGTAATTTGTGTAGGAGATACAGGATGTTTGGCCATCCCTTGCTGTCTCCTGTAAATTTCTTGGTAAGGTTAGAGGGAATAGCATTAAATTTGGTAGAGCCATCTGGTGGGGGATAGCAGAACCAACAGTTAAATTTAATATGTTTGCAACCATTTGGGAATACTGTACCAGAACATTTTCCATGCAGAATTTTTTTTCTATCAACACTTAACTGCCTGAAAAAATGAACTTTAACACCTTCAAAAGAGACAAAAATATCCTGTCTTACTATTCATAATGTACAGCTTCCAATAAAAATTTACAGATATGAGTAATTGCTATAAAATGTGATTCATAATTAAGAAAAATCTATTACAGTAAACAGATCTAGTAATAACAGAGTTGATGGAATTATCAATCTGTAACTTTAAAACAAACTTAAATGCAATAGTTAAAAATTTTTAAAAAGGCAGTGTTTGAAAATAGCAGCTGATTAGAAACTGCAGAAGAAAGGATTGATGAACTTGAAAACACAGCAATAGGAACTATCTAAACTCAAGCACAGAGGGGGAAAAATTGAAAAAATAAACAGAAGCCGAGTAGTCTGTGTTACAATATCAAGCAGTCTTACATGTATGTGATTAGATTGCCCGAGAGAGGAGAGAGAAGAGACAGAAAAACATATTTAAAGAAATAGTGGCCAACATTTTCCTAAATTTGTGAGAATTATACGCCCCTAAATCTGAGCTTCCCAAAGAATCTCAAGCAGCACAAACACTAAGAAAATTATACTAAGGTTCATCCTACTCAAAGTGCTAGAAATCAGTAAGCAGAAGGAAAAATTTTTAAAGTAGTTAGAAGTAAAAAAAAAAAAATTACGGAACCAAGATTTTAAAAAAATGCAGACTGCACTTCAGAAAAACTGCAAGTTAAAAAACAATGTAATCATATCTTCATAGAAAGAAAAAATATATTATTCTAGAATTCTATATCTCATGGAAATACTATTCAATAAGAAGTCAAAAGCTTTTGTACACAAAATCTGAGAAAATTCATTTTTAGCAGAAGTATACTTGAAATAACATTAAAGGGACCTCAGGTTGAAGACAAATGATACCAGGTGGACACTTAGATTTACGCAAAAGAATAAAAAGCACTGGAAATATTCAATTAAAATCCTTTAAAAGATAATTGAATAGTTGAAGTAAAAACAACAGTGTAACATTTATAAAAGTAAAGACTGTGGTAACAGTATCACAAAGGATAAAAGAAGCAAAATTGAAGTATTCTGTCTTACAGTATATGAGAAGTGGTATATTCTTTCAAGGTAGAATGTGATCAGTTGCATACGGTGACTTTAGAACAACTGAAAATAATTAAAAGATGAATAAGCTTTTGGTGGAAGTAAAATTGAATGCTATAGGACAATTCAGAAGGTGGCAGGAAAATGGGAGAGGGAAGGAAAAAACCACATATGACAAATAGAAACAGAAGATGTAGATTTCAACTATTTAATAATTACATGAAATAAATTGCCTGTAAATATTACATATTATATATAAATTATTAATTTTCCCATGGTCTATACTATATATACTATATATAATATATATTTATATTAAATATAAATATATATTTAATATAAATATATATTAAAATTTATATAATATATTTATATAATATATATATTATATAAAATTCATGATCCCAATTTTGTTCACAACATTCAAAGCATTGTAAGGAACCAGTTGAACAGAAGCCTTCTCTCCCTCAGGCTGATTAGCATGTTGACCTTGGCTACATTAATGTCATAGAACTTCTTCACAGCTTGTTTGATCTGGTGCTTGTTGGCTTTATCATTCATAATGAACACAAGTGTGTTGTCTTCTTTCTTCTTCATAGCTAATTCAGTGGTCAGGGGGACTTGGTAATGGCATAGTGGTCAAGCTTGTTTCTCCTGGGGGCACTCTTCCAAGGATATTTAGGGTTCCTCCCAAGCCATAGTGTCTTGGGCCACTGGAAGGTAGGTGATGTGCATATCTTTTTCTGTGTGGCTGTGGATATCTTTGAGTACTGCCTTTTCGGCTTTCAAAGGCTTCGCTTCGGCCTGAGCTTTGGGAGGGGCAGGAGCTGCCTTCTTCAGCTTTGGCACCACCTTGTGAAAAACTGCCCTAGATATTTCAGTTCAAAGTCAGAGACTGTCAGAATAAAGACAAGCTCTAACTACTTACTACTGAAAAATATGCAATTTAAATATAAAAACAGATAAGTGGAAATTTTAAAAGATAGAAAAATATGTATCATGTTGATATTACAATGATCTCACCAGGAATAAAAAGAGGTTTCATAATGATGAAAGGGTCACTTTATCAAGAAGACATAAAGTCTTAAGTGAGTATTTACCTAATAACAGAGCTACAAAATGATATAGAAACAGTAGTAATTCTAAATAAAACCCAATAGAACTGAAAGAAGAAATAAGACAAATTTACAATGATAATTGAAAATTTCAGCACTCATCTTTTTCTGTTATTGATAGAGCTAGTATTGTAAAGTAAGAATATGGAAGATTTGAATAACACTATCCACCACCATGATTAAAGTCATATATCAATATAAAGATCAAATATATATATATTATATATATATATATGAAGAGAGAGCCCAATAAAACCAATAATAGCAGAGAAATAATTATTTTCAAATGCACATTAAATATGACAACTGATGACATATTGGGCTGTAAGACATGTATCAATTTATTTAGAATTACTGAGATCATACACGGAATGGTGTCTGCCCAAATGGAATTTATCAGAAGTAAATAACTGAAAGATATCTGGAAAATTACCAAAGACTTGAAAATTATGGAATACACTTTCAAGCAACCTAAAGCTCAAATAAGAAACCAAAAGGTATATTAGATAATAGAATTGAATGCTAATGAAAATACAACATATAGAAGGCCAAGAAAAAGTTAAAGTCATGCTTGAACACAAATTTATAGTTCTAAATACTTATGTTAAAAGATGAGTAAGGTCTAAAATTGTTGACTTAACCATCCAGCTTAAAAAGTTGAAAAAAGGACAAATTAAACCCCAAATATATAGAAAAACAAAAGAAATTAATGAAATAGAAAATAAAAGAGAAAAAGCAATAAAACTAAAATCTGGTTATTGGAAAGAAATTTAAAATAGATAAGAGTTAAACTGGTAAGGAAAACAGATGACACAAATTATTCATATCAGGAATAAAGGAATACTTAACCACAGATCATAGAAACATTAAATGGAAAATGAGACTAGCATGAGCAACTAACTGTATGCCAATAGACTACATAATTCAGACTCAATGGACAAACTCTTCAAAGGGACACATAATTGACCTGATGCGGGAAGAAATAGGATATTGGAAAAAGCCTATTATTAGTGTACCGGGGTGCCATAACAAAGTACCACAGACTGGGTGGCTTAAACAGAAATTTATTGTTTCACAAATCTGTAGGCTGGAAGTACGAGATGAAGATGTCAATAGAATTGGTTTCTTCTAAGGCCTTTCTTTTTGGCTTATAGATGGTGATCTTTTCCTTCTATCTTCACATGGTCTTTCCTCTGTGGGCATCTGTATCCTAAACTCTTTTTGTAAGGACACCAGTCATACTGAATTAAGGTCTACACATATGAGCTCATTTACATTAATTGCGTCTTTAAAGGCCCTGTTTCCAAGTACTTCACATTCTGAAGTACTAGGGGTTAGTGCTTCAATGTATGAATTTTGAGGAATACA
Organism: Homo sapiens; assembly: GCF_000001405.40. Lineage (NCBI taxonomy): Eukaryota > Metazoa > Chordata > Mammalia > Primates > Hominidae > Homo > Homo sapiens. The sequence continues at coordinate 193,758,899 of NC_000001.11, forward strand.
TTTCAGCCCACAACACTCTATATCTATTAAATAAATCAGGTTTGTGAACAAAAACTTTCCCACAAAAAAGTCCAGTCCAGATGACTTCATTCCTAAATTCTATTAAGAATTAAAGAAATAAATAATAACCACCCTATACAAACATTGGAAAAAAAATTGAAGAGAGATACATCCTATCTTGTTTCATGAGGCCACTATAACCCTGATGCAAAACTCAGAAAAAACCATTACAGAAAAAATAGATACAATATCCTTTTAACAACAGATAAATTGTACTCAGCAATATGTAAAGAAGGTGATACATTATGACCAAATAGGGTTTATCCTAGTAATGCAAGGTTGGTTGTATATTTGAAAATCAATATAATTTATCTTATGAAGAGAATAAAGAGAAAACCCACATAATCATCTCAATCTTTTCAGAAAACAAAGAAAAATTAGGAGCCATTGCCAGATTGTAAAAAGTCTCCACAAATTCAGAATACAAGTAATCTTCTTTATACTGATAATCTACAAGAGTCCTAAACTAACAGCATAATTCATGGGGAAAATTTGAACCCTTTTTCAAGATTAGAAACAAAGGAAGTAGGTTAGCAGTCACTACCTGTATCCTACATTACATAAGGTGTCCTGGCCAATTATAAGGCAATGAATAGATATTAAGGCACACAGATTTTAAATGAAAAGATAACTCTTTTACTTGCAGACATGACCATGTACATGGAAAACAACGAAAGGATCCATAAAATAGCTATTATAGCAAATAGGTGAATTTAACACAGTTGCAGAATATAAGACTAATATAAAAAATCAATTGTATTTCTATGTACCAACAACAAGTAACCCAAAATTGAAATTTAAAATACCATTTCTGAGAGGATAAAAACACATGAAAGAATACTACATTTTAATAAAATATATGCATGACATTTACACTGAAAACTGTAACATTGCTGGAAAAAATTAAATATCTAAATAACTGGAGAAACACGCAATACTTGTGGATCTTAAGACTCGATATTATTGAAATATAAATGTTACCAAAATTGACTTATTGAATCAATGCAATCTCTATAGGCTTTAATTTTGTTGGCATGTACAAGTGAATTCTAAAATTTATGTGAGAATTGAAAGGACCTTAAGTAGTTGCTAAAGTAATTTAGAAAAACATTAGATTTACACTACATAATTTTAAGACTTACTATAAAGCTACAGTAATAAAGACTTTTGCCACAAAGAGATATATATAAAATACACACACACACATACACACACACACACACACACATACACATATAAGATATAATGTATCTCAATAGAACTTATATATATGGATGTATATATATATATATATATATATATATATATATATATATAAGGTCAATTGAGATATTACAAATTTCTTAAGGTAATTTAATAAAGATGGGATTAGGCTGGGCATGGTAGCTCAGGCCTATAATCCTAGCACTTTGGGAAACCAAGGCAGGTGAATTGCTTGAGCTGAGGAGTTCATGACCAGCTTGGGCAACATGGTGAAACCCTGTATCTACAAAAAATATCAAAAAATTAGCCAGGTGTCTTGGCGTGTACCTGTGGTCCCAGCTACTTCAAGGGCTGAGGCAGAAGGATCGCTTGAATCCAGGAGGTCAAGGCTGGAGTGAGCTGACATTGCACCACTGAACTCCAGCCTGGGTGACAACGTGAGACTCCATCTCAAAAAAAAATTATATATATATATAAAATAAAGGTAGGATTGTCTTTACTACAAATGGTGCGTGAACATCTGGAAATCTTAAACCTCAAATACCACACATAATACACAAAATCGAACCATAGGCCTTAGTATAAAAGCTAAATATATAATTTTTGAAAACATAGGCATTTTCCACAACCTTGGGACAGGCAAACATTTTTTAGGCAAGACAGTAAAATCAAAACCAAAGAGGAAATAATGGACAAATTGAACTTTATGAAAGTAAACAAACTCTGCTCTTTGAAAAGCATCTTTAAGAAAGTGAAAAGGTGAGCCACAGGCTGGGAGAAGATAATTGTAAATGATTTATGTATGAATTAGGATTTTTATCTAAAATGTGTTAAGTACTTCTGAAACTCATTAATAAGACAAACAACTTAAAAACAAAGTAAGCAAAATATTTAAACAATTTCCCAAAGACAACATACAAATGGCAAACTGTATATGCAAAGCTTCCAAACATCACAATTTTCAGGAAGATGCAAATTAAAATTACAATGCAATGCTGCTACATAGTTACAAGAACATTGTAAGAATGGGAAGCAACTGCAACTCTCATCCATTGCAGATGGGAATGTATGATGGTACAATTGCTTTGAAATACATTATGGCAGTGTTTTATAAGATTATCTAAACACATGTTATAAGACTCAGCAATTTCTCATTCTCAAAAGGAATTGAGAAATGTCTATACAAATACATGTACATAAAAATTCATAGCAATTTTTTTCTTAATTTCAAAACCTGGACACAGCCCAAATATCTACCAACAAGTGAATGGCTTAACACATTTTGGTATATTCATATGATGGGATACTAAAAATAAAAACAAAAGGACCGCTGATACATGTAACAACATGGATGGGTCTCAAAACCATTATGCTCAGTAAAGGAAGCTAGACACAAAAGACTAAATTCTGTATGATTTTATTTATATAAAATTCTAAAACAGTAAAACTATGGTATCAGAATGCAGATCAGTGTTTCCTCGGAGCTGGAGATGGGATATGGGATTAATAGCAAAAGGGCCGTAGGTGACTTTCTGGGGTGACTGAAATGTTCTTATTGCTATTGCATTATAAAAATATAGCTATACTTTTAAAAACATTAAATTGTATACAAAATCAGTACAATCTAGTTGTATATAAATTACATCTTAATAAAGTTGATTTAAAATACAAAAAAATTTAAGATACTTGGGGTTAAGACAACAATTGCCTTGTCTGGATCTGTTCAAAGTTTTTATAGATAAGATTGCACTTTTTCACTTATTTGAATTTAGAGTTGGCCAAGATTATTGTTGGCTAAGGAAATGTGAGCATAGATCATGGTATTACTTCTGATTGGAAGATTTTAAACCCATTAAGGGAAGGTTTAAAGGGATACCAGGAAATTATGGGGGTAAAAATTAATCTATATCTTGATTGTGGTGGTGGCTATGGAACTGTTTCTTTTATCAGAACTATTAGTGGATTGTAGTGTATATAAATTATATTTCAAGAAACTTTTCAAAAACAATTACAACCCAGAAGTATTTCTAAGTGGCCAAAATATTGCTTAAACATATCCATTTGTAATGTTATGAAAGTTTTTTTATTGTGAAAACTCACGTACATTTAACACTAAAAATTTAGCTTATACAAATAAGATTTTACACACGCTGACCATCAGGATGTGCCTATAAAGATGCATTTGGTTGACTTGGCAGCTTTCTCTCATTACATCTCCTTGTCCACTGTAATGAATCTAAGAATTATGGGGAATAGTCAGGGAACAGAAAGAAGTCAACTGGCATATCTAAGAATAGAAGTCATGACGAAAACCGTATAAATAGATTGCACTCTCTAAAGGAAGTCATGTACTCATATATACAGTAATGCTATTATTAGGATAGTAGTGTTCTATTGTATGAATATACCACTGTTTAATGCATTCAGCAATTGATGGACAGAATATTTATAATTACATGTGTATGATTTTAAGGAACATTTGTTTTATAAAAAATAATTTATAAATTTGTTTTTTGGCATAATGTCAGATCCAGAGCAAGAAAAATACAGTGGATTTAAGATAGATAAGTACTTGATATAAGGAAATTTGTAGTATTTAGAACAGAAAAGTGTGTCAAGTTCTAGTCTGTTCTTCCACAGACCAAGAATCATTGACCTATTAGTTGTCAAATAGTGGTAAAGCACAGTGGTCAAAAGCATAGACCCCCAAGTCAGACCCCCTGAGTTCCAATCCATTTCTACTACTTATTTACTTATTATCACTTACTTATTTACATTAAGCAACCTCTCTTTCTCTCAGTTTTCTCATGCCTAAAATACACAAATGGTCCCTACATCATAGCAGTGTTATGAGGATTGAATTAACACTTGTGAAGAATTTAGAACAGTGTCTACTAGCCACCAGTTATCTTTTATTATTTCTTTTCTCACATTCCTGCAAATATACATTTCAAATCAGCACCACTTTTCTCAAGCCTGCCTCTTTGCACAGTTCGCCACTTTGCACAGTTGCCTGGGGTCATTCTAGCCAACTGGCCAAGGAATCAGTAAAGAATGGCCTTGCTCATTGCAAATTTCTTTATCTTTAGGACTCTGTTAATGAGGTTCTAGCTGGATGAACTTGGAGTCAGATTATACCCTGTCAAAGGCCATTTTTTTTGGCATATTCTAAATTAGCAACTGACTAATTTATCGGGTATTCCATATTCAAAAAATAGCAATTTCAAACCTGATGAAATGTAAATGTTTTATAGTCTACTTTATATTAAAAGTTGGCAAGTTTGGGATAAGATTGGGCCCTAGAAAACAATGATATTTTCTGTATGACTCATAGGGGCAAGCTGCCAGGAAAAATAGATTTTAACTTTTATTAACTTTTGCTCAGTCCTTGATTCTAGGGAGAGAAAGTGTTATGGGCTAAGTTTAATTGGCTCAACATAAACTTTTGACAATCGATGTTCATATGGAGCCTGAATTGTAACAGCTACCTGAGAGTCGTGCTGGCTGTGCCTGTGATATCTTCATCAGTTAGTGATTTTCAGTGACATAAAAGGGGGACATTTTCTGTTTCCCTTAAAATAGTTCCCTTAGTAAGTCAGTACTATCTTATAAATGAATTAAACAGTTATAGTGAATAGAAAGAGACAGGTTCTCTTATTTCTGACAACATTGAGGAAGAAACTTAGAATTATAACTGAGACTTGAAATAAGAAAGACAAAAATCAGGGAAAACATTAACCTTTATAAACTATGCTAGGTGTCTTCCTGAAGACTAGGGGAAAAGAATTCCTCATTCCTAGCTCAGAGGACCCCTAAAAGACAATTTAAGCACTCGTTAATGAACAAAGTTCTTGTGAAAGTTCATCTCCAGAACATCTGATGACTCTGACAAGATTTGATTTCTTTTTATAGTCAAAGACTATAATATGAGATAGAGATATGTGCATATCATTACAGGCATCCAGACCTTCTTTAAGATTACAGTGACATATAATGAAACTTATAATTACCTTTATAAAATTTTGTCTTGTTGGCTCAGTTCAGAGATTGCTCTGTCATTAGAAAAGGACACAGTTCTTTTTAGTGACACAGAAATAAAGCCTTTCTTTACCTCCTAATTCTCAGCATGAACTGGTCATTTCTTCTTTTAAAACCATCAACTGTATGGGAATTTTGGAGGTGAATGCCAGATCCAACTTCCTGTGTCTCCTAAGAGGAATAGAAAGCCTTTCTCAAAAATTCTCTGTTTCAGACCTGAGTGATAGGCCATCCTTCATTTGTGGATCAGCACATGACCCACTCCAAGGTGTAACTTGGGTGATCAGATTTTATTTGTCTGTCTTGTTGGAATAGAGTCAGGCAACTTGAACCCAGGAAAGGCCTCATGACTGATTTGGAATAACTTAATTAGTGGTGAGAAGTGAGACTTCTCTTAATCCTTTTGAAGTCAGAATAGACTTACATTAAGAAAAATAAACAATGTCAAGAAGCTCACAACCCTTAAAGTACAGCTATCAGGGCCAGTTGTGGTGGCTTACGCCTGTAACCCCAGCACTTTGGGAGGCCAAGGTGGGTGGATCATGAGGTCTAGAGATCGAGACCATCCTGGCCAACATGGTGAAACCCCGTCTCTACTAAAAATACAAAAATTAGCTGGGTGTGGTGGCATGTACCTGTAGTCCCGGCTACTCAGGAGGCTGAGGCAGGAGAACCGCTTGAACCCAGGAGGCGGAGGTTGCAGTGAGCCGAGATTGAGCCACTGCACTCCAACCTGGTGACAGAGTGAGACTCCACCTCGGGGGGGGGGTGGGGGGGGCGGTGGAGGGGGGAGGGGAGAAAGGCTATCAGGAATGTAAGTTGGTAAAGAAAGTTAAATAAGAATTCTCTACTTTCTACCCTTGGAATAATTGAGCATTCTTGCTCTCCCTGATTGTCTTGACATGTAACTGTTAATCTTGTGAGGCTTAATTACCCAGGTCCAACAAGTAATATATACTAAACCTTCTTAGATTGCAAACTTACAGCTAAATCCTTCTAGAACTGCTCTCATATTGCAACATTATTAATACTTCTCTTTTCTACCTTACTATTTTCATATATAAATCCCCTACAACTGTTTTTTGTTTTTTTTGTTTTTTAACTATTCCCACAGCTGAGTCTGTGGCATTTTTCTCTCTTTTGACTAATTTCTCTGTTTCTGGGCTGTTCTGAGGCTCCTGTGTCTTCTTTAAGGCTACTCCTTAGAGAAGGAACCTTCTAACTGGGTCAGGTCCTTGGAAATTAAAGCGGAACAAGGAGTGTACCCAGGTTCACAACACACTTAATTGTTTGTGGCCTTTCGGTCATAGCCACTTGATTACTCCACAAACTTTACTCTCCATGCTACTCACAAGTCAAAGAAGCAACATGAAACATGATCAATAAAACCTTTAAAATATTTATGAAAATATAAAAAAACCCATTAAACTATATTGGTTTGCTTCAAATTTAGTGTCATTAATCCATTTCAAATAATTTTACATTATTACATAGTTAACACCTAGTGTGTATGCCTACTTTCCTGATGTCAGCTTTGTAAAGAGCATTAGCGAGTTCTGGATCCCCATTGGTACCCTCCTCAAAGCCTTTTACTAAATTTAATTCAGTGTCCTAAGATTTCATTTAGAATACAGATACAGACTTACACCAGGCGCGGTGGCTCACGCCTGTAATCCCAGCACTTTGGGAGGCCGAGGTGGGTGGATCACAAGGTCAAGAGATCGAGACCATCCTGGCCAACATGGTGAAACCCCATCTTTCCTTAAAAAAAAAAAAAAAGTGCAGACTTTCTAGAGGCATGAAAGTCCTTCATTCAGAAGAGGCAAATTTTATTTTAATCACTATAAACATTCTCAGTAAGTGCTCCTGTCTTATAATATTGTAATAATAACAATAATGCTGCCAACTAATGAGTGTTTCCTCAGTACCTCTATCCAAAATCACTCACTATAAGCCAAGACTACCCAAGACCTGCACTGTATACGTGGAAACCCCTTTTCTTTATAAAAAAGCAGAGACTGAAGTTTTTTCATGAATATGAGCCACTTGTAAATGGTTATACACTAGTGTATAGAATAAATGTGTCTCCAATGACTGAGACTATGTGTAAAAATGAGAGTGTATTCGTTTCCTACAGCTGCCTTAAAAATTATTACCTTGCTAGCTTATTACTTTGTTGGCTTAATTGTTATCTTGTTGGCTTAAAACAACAGAAATTTATTCTCTCTCAGTTTAGGAAGCTAGAAGTCTGAAATCAAGGTATTGGCAGGATTGGCGCCTTCTGGAGGCTGCAAGGGAGAAGCTGCCTCTTACCTTTCTCCTACCTTCCGGCTATTCCTGGCAGTCTGTGACATTCCTTGGCCTGTAGCTGCACGACTCTAAACTCTGCCTCTGTTGTCACAGGGCCTGCTTCTCTGAGTGTCCTTTGTGTCTCTGTGTCCAAATCTCCGACTCCTTTCTCTTATAAAGATACTAGGCATTGGCTTTGAGCGTCACCTTAACCCAGTGTGACCTTAATTTAACTTGATTACATCTGCAAAGACCATGTTTTCAAATAAAGTTACGTTCACAGGGATGGGGGTAAGGGCTTATACATAATTTTGGGGGCATACAATTCAACCCACTACAGAGAAGATAGACAAAAAATATGTCAAATAATTCAATGGAGCTGCAAATCGAAGTAACTTCTTGTTATGAGATGGACTTGAACATTTTGGTTAATAACCTAATAAATTAAAAATCTAAACATCATTTCATAGATAATTTGTAATCATATTATCAGTAGTGTTTTTGTTGGTATCCATTCCTAGACACAGATGGCTCAATCTGGAAGAAATGATAATAAAAGCCAAATTATTATTTTTAATGAGACTCGAGCTTCAAATACAAAACATTTGGGCTCAAGGGATTATTATGTTTATAATTATAGTTAAAATCTTCTTGGCTTTTTTTTTTTTTTAACCAGTACAATAATTTTTTTCAAGGATGTCTTCAGAAAAATGATACTACTCTGAGGGTAAATAGCAAACATTTCCAATTTGCTCTAGAACATCAGTTCCAACAGAATAATTTTTGAGAATAGTTACTGCCAATCTGATCTAGATCAGATTGTTTAGGGCTGGCTTTTGTCCTAAAGGTTAGCAGATTATTAGAGAACTTACTTAACCACCTTTTCCTGTGCATGGGCTTTCTCAGTCTCCCTGTATATTTCCATAAAAAGGCATTCCATCCATTATGGGTTGAATTGTACGCCCCCAAAAGATGTTAGAGGTCACCGGTGACTGTAACCTTATTTAGAAATAGTCTTTGCAGATGGTTGGGTTTAGATGAGGTTATGTAGGTGAGGCCTAATCCAGTATGACTAGTGTCCTTACAGACAGGAGAAATTTGTGTGCAGAGACAGACAAATATAGAGGAAAAGATGACAAGACACAGGGAAAACGCCATTTAATTTACAAGCCAAGGAATGCCTGAGGTTACCAGAAGCTAGAAGAGGGGCATGGAGATTCTCCCTCACAGTCCTCAGAAGGAGCAGAAGGAACCAACCCTGCTGACACAATAATTTCAGACTTCTTGCCTCCAAAATGTGAGAGAGTAAATGTTTGTTGTTTCAGCTACCCAGTTTGTGGTACTTTGTTACCACAGCCCTAGGAAACTAATACACTACCTCTCTTATTATCACTTTTAGTTAGGTGAGTCTGACCAGGTCAAATATATATGTGTATATATTTCAGACATAGTCTCACTCTGTCACCCAGGCTGGAACGCAGTGGCAGGATCTTGGCTTACTGCAACCTCTGCCTCCCAGGTCAAGTGATTCTCGTGCCTCAGCCAGCAGAGTAGCTGGGATTACTGGCATGTGCCACCACGCATGGCTAATTTTTATAGTTTTAATAGAGACAGAGTTTCAGCATGTTGGCCAGGCTGGTTTTAAACTCCTGACCTCAAGTGATCCGCCCACTTCGGCCTACCAAAGTGCTGGAATTATAGGCATGAGACACCGCACCTGGCCAGGTCAAATATATTTATATGTGTATGTGTTTGCCTATATGCATATTTATATTTCAATTGTAACATTCAAATATCATTTATATGTTTCTTGCCTTGTTCTTATTTACCTAGGAACTCTTTTGATGCAATAGTAAACATAAAAAGACCATATTACTTAGAGGCCTAATTCTAGACAAAGTCTCACAAATGCTCTCAGTCACAGCTTCCTACTCCATGACTGTGCTGAAAAATTTTCTGAAACTTTTTGAGATATTGCATGCAAACCAATGAAAGTTAACTAAGCCAAGTATATTCAAGGGGAATTTAAATTAGTCACAATAAAGTAGATATGTTTTAAGAATATAAGAGTGAATTTGTTGAGGACAATATTTGATTCTATAATGACCCTCCTCCAGGGAATAATGGGTAGACTGCTTTACTGAAAAGATTTTTCTTGTTCATTTCTGCCAAAGATGATATTCCTAAAAATTCAGCTTACTGCTGTGTATATTTTATCTTCTTGCTCACAAAAAAAGCTACTGGTAAAATTTAGTCACTAATATAACATTATTTTCTTTTTTTTTTTTTTTGACAGAGACTATAGTATAAAATAGTCACATGTGTACTGTTTCTATAAATGTGTAATATATATATTATATATGATTCTAAAGAAAGACATGAATTGACTTGTATTGACTATAAAATATTGACCATATTCTATTTTAATAATGTAGTAAAGTCTCCTGTAGAACTACAGCTGCAAAGCTTTTGCTTATAAAACAATTCCTGATGTGTGGTTAGGTTATTTTCTGTTTCATGATAAAAATCTGGCTGTAGTATCACAGTCTAGGAATTGCTTTAACATGTAGCTGGACATAATATCTAATTATTACTTCTATAAGGGTTAAAAATAACTACAAGCAAAGATGGTCCAGTATCTTCTTGGGGAACATTACTACGTCTCAGCCTAATTTGTGGCAAATAATGACCATTATAGTAAGGTCACCTTACTAAGATTTTTTTTTTCCGAAATAAAGACTTTCTTGGAGAATTTAGTAGGAAGTGGTACTGTATAAAGCTAGGCATTCTATGAATGCTTTAAGAAAACTATTCTTATGGGTGAGTTAGTCATTTTTTTTTTGCCCCTTTCAAACTTTTGTTAAGCTAAAATTAATCTCTAAATAGTGACCTCTATATCATTTTAAATTTGTGCAAATAATGCTTTTTTTTTCCTTTTTTTCCTAGGAAGTTTCTTATTCTTTGCAGGTATTTCTTCAGTTTAACTTTGAGTGAAGTTATAATATTCTAACTTCAAGTACTTCTTTTTAGTTCTCTTGATTCTCACTAGCAACCGTATTCCTATCATTGAATTTAAATGGCTACCAAGAAGCAATTAAATAAATTCCCTTCATAACAAGATGTGTTAGGATTCTCATGTTCTGATCCTAGTTCACTTGGTCTACTTCATTTCTTATCTCTCCCCCATAGGTAATTGATGTCTAGGTATTCTGAAATACTTGCCTATGTTTGCAGGCCATTGGCTTTTAAGAATATTACTGTTTTTTTCTGAAACTTGCATCAGCTGCCCTCATCACTTGCTCCGTATTCCCACAATAATTTTTCTGGCTAGCTTTTGCATATCGTTTTATCTGAGTCAGCACTTCATCTAGAAAATTATAATTACTCCTTCCCCCTGGTCTGGATTAAGTGTGTGTGCTCCCATGATTATAGCAATCATATAAATTGTCATCCCATCTGGGACACTTTTGAGAGTCAAAGTGGGTACAGACCAGATGGGGCACTGGGAAACAGGCATAAACAGATTTCCTTAGGTAAACTGGGAGGGGTGATCACCCTACAGTGTATTTATTCTGGGGTAGGATTATAATTATTTTTATGTTTTTGTCTGTACTGCTAGCTTCCTATGGATAGTAATCATGTGTTTTAATTCTGGGTCCCCAATGTTTGGTCTTTCATAAGTGCTTGTTGAAATGACACAAGAGTAATATGAAATTAGTTAATAAGTAAATATAAGAAAAAGGGGCTGGAAGAGAAACAATTTAAAGTTCTTTTAAATGATAAAGAAACAAATCTTGCAGTGGCTATGAAAATGCATCATAGCCACTACAATGCAGGGAGCAAAATTTCCTGAGCTTCCTAGCTACTGCCCTTCTGGATTCACCCTGACCTGTGCACCTTGCTTCTCATGTTGCTCCTGGCCAGTGACAGCACAGCTGGGAGCTCATGCAGGCCTGCTGTAGCATGAACCCTGTTCATATTTATTCATTCACCCACTTAATAGGCAACTTTGGTTTGAGCACTCCCTGTAGATCTGGCCAAAATTTTCTTAGCACAGCATTAAACTCTGTGATTTTTTTCTATCCAGTTCTCCTTCCCTCCCTTTTTTCTTCACAGGGGTCAGACCTATGTCCTATGTGACAGTCTGATGGCCATCCCCACTGTTTTGTTGTGGTGGTGTTCTCCCTTTTCCTGCCATAGGCATTTCCTCCAGTAAAGCCTATGTAGATTGTGATAGGCTGAATAGTAGCTCTCCAAAGATGTCTATGTCCTAATTCTCAGAACTTGTGAGTAAGTTATCTTATGTGACAAAAGGGGCTTTACAGATGTGGTTAAATTAAGCATATGGGGAGAAAGAGATCATTGTAGATTATCTGGGAAGACTCAGTGTATTCAGATGGGTCCTTAGGGAGGCAGAAGGGTCAGAGAGAGAGAAATGGCATATGGACAAGCAGAGGAAGAGAAGGAGATGTGACAATGGAAGAAGAAGTTGGAGCAATGCAGCCAGGGAACAAGGAATTCGGGCAGCCTGTAGAAACTGGAAAAGGCAAGGAATGGATTCTTCCACAGAACCTCCCAAAGGAAGGCAGCCTTTTTAATTTTAGGGAGTAAGATCTGCTTCAGATTTCTGACCTCTGGAACTGTAAAATGAGAAGTCTGTGGTGTTTTAAGCCACTAAATTTGTGGTAATCTCTTCCAGCAGCAATAAAAAAGTGACATACATCCACACTAATTCTGTTTTGACATCTACTTCTCAGCAGACCCAAACTAACGCAACTGTAAGTGTTTAATCTTTGAGTTTCAGATGAAAAAATACAAGTATTGATTTAAGGGATATTCATAAAATTATTTCATTGGTTTGTCACTTTTGAAAGTCTTTTAATTTTTAAATAAATAAAAGTTCGTGAATGGAATAAAGTTCCAAAGAGAAGATAATCTGTAACTACAAATGACAGCCTGAATCATTTAGAAATATTACATATAATATCTGTTGTTGAGGAAAGATGTTTCAGACACATATACGTAGATAAAATATTAAGAAATCATCCTAAATAATGGATGATGCCAGTTACAGGGAGAAAACAATAATCTAAATCTTTGTCATGAAATATAGTGTAGAGTTTTATCTATGATTATTAGACTGAAAAGCATAAGTCCTAGGAAGGTTATATTTGTCCATAAATGTAGAGAGACAGAGAGAATAGGAGAGAGTGCCTGCTAACCGTTCAGCCTGTATGCCTGCAATGTGTACAGTACAGCATTGAGCCTATTCTACAATGCTATCATTGTTCAAATTCATGACTTTACTCCATTTGAGAATGTATGCAATATTGAAAATGTTATATTCTTCACAATACTCTTTGTCATTGTTAGCCAAATCCAAGATTAATTGGTCTGTTGGTTTTTCAGATTTCCTCAGAGGTTTAAGAATCAAACTTGCTGTTAATCCAAACAAAAGGCTATAAAATATGTTATCTTCATAGCTTTCGTCTCTTTGAACTTGGCATAGTTTACCCTGTTGTCTGCTCAGGTTAGAATGCTGGTATTCCATTGCATTCTGTGGAGTGTACCTGTTACTCTGGTAGTCTGAATTGAATTAACTAATCATTAATGGCTCATATTGTCTGAGAAATTACAATTTAAATTGATGGGGACTAATAAGATTAATCTTTTCTTTAAACGAAAGAAACAAACTCCAGGAAAACTAGAATTACAGTCAGAGCATTTGCAAAGCATTTTAGCTCAATTTCTCATAAAACATAATGCTAATGAAGTAAAGTTCACTTTTCCAAATAGCATTTTGATATCCCTGTACTTTTCTACTACCTGACTACAATTTAAATCTGATGTGGCACCTGCATATTCTATCTCACAAAGGGAATTAGGAGAAAGGAACAATGGACAGATTGATTCAGCTCCATCCCACTATTAATTAACTCATTAATTATTTATTTGGTGTTCCCATTTCTAAACACAACTTCTTTGAGCATTTATGTTTCAGAATATTTATGCTAGGCACAGACAAAGCTGTACTTCCTTCCCTCAGCTGCTTCACAACTGAATGAGGGGTGCAGAGTTAAGTCAATACATTATGATAAAAGTATGGGGAGGTAGAAGCCTAGAGAAGAGTGTTAAAATCTGACCATCCAGGTGGACTTGAAAAAGCTTCTTGAAGAAAGTTGTGCCTCGGCAGAGAGATGGATGAATAATGAGAAAGCCAAGTGAAGGAAGCAGGAAGAGAAGGGTTCATCTACACATAAGGAACAGAATATGCAAGATGAGAAAAATCATGCTGCATTTTAGAAAGTACTTTGACATTGCTGTTGCTATAAGTGATATAACAATGGCAAGAGGTGAAAACAAAGTGACACAGAAATTTAGTCTTCTCAGGACTGTTAGATGTTCCTTTTGTTCCCTTCTAGCACACACACAAAAAAATCCTTCATTATATATTATTTATTAACTCTAAATTTCTTGATAATCTTCCAATTTTACTTGCTATTTCCTACCCTATTATTTTGTTTTGGAAGACAATTTAGTTCATATTCATTTCCTTCTTTGTGGATTCTCTCTTGGTACAGCTCTTGAAACTATTTTTTTCTTTGCTTGAGTTTTCCATTGTGACTTTTGATTTGTCTCACTCTCCAGTGTGCAATACTGGCACTGCCCACTTCTCTGTTCTCCCAGGTCTGAGAACCCAGCCTGGATGCTTGTGGTAAAATGAGGCTAGAAAACAGAGGGGAGTCTGAGAGGCTGGTGAACCATGCTTAATTTACTCAAGACCATGATACGAGATTTTAATTTTAATATGATTACCTTGGTAATACTACCTGGCACAGTCAGGAATGGTGGAGCTGGAATGGAGGCAAGCAGAGCAATGAAGAAGCCAAAGCAGAAATTAAGTGAAGAAATAATCATGGTAAGAGTGAGGAAAGTGAAGAGAGGATGGATTTAATAGTGGAACTAATAAGATTTCTCACAAATTTAGTTTGTTTAATTTTCTAGCTTGGGAGTCTGAGTGGATACTGATAAGATTACCTAAGCTAGAAAACATAAATAGAAAAAAAGCAGATTTCAGAAGAAAGATGGTGCCTTCCTTTTGTCAGTAATTTGAATTTGAATTTCTGGGGATATCTAGAATGGAATTGAATATATGGCTCTGGAACTCATGAAATCAGACTTAAAATATGGATTTGGGTATGATCAGTGAGGAGGTGGTGGTGAAGATGTTGTCATAAACAATACTGATAGAGTTAATAACTAACATATAACAATTACTGTATGCCAGGCACTGTTCTGTTTTATACATGTTAACTAATGAAATTATCACAATTCAGTGAGGCAGGGTCTATTTTAACATCCTGATTTTATAGGTGGGGAAACTTAGACACAGAGATGTTAGTTAACTTGCTCAAATTGTATTTAGATGTGGAGGAGCTGGCATTCAAACTCAGCCTGTCTAGATGTAGGCTCTGCTCCCTTGACCATTACACTACACTGTCAGTAGAAACAGAATATAAGCTAAGTCCTTGGATATCAGATATATGAAGATCTGGAGAAACACCAATATTATGAGTTGATGAGGAAAGAAAAAACCATAAAGGAAACTGAGAACAAACAGGAAGTAAGCAGAGGTAACCAGCAGAATTTTTTTTATGGAAATGAATGGAAGAAAGTGCTGCAAGAAGGAAGTGATTAACAGTATGAAATATTGGAGGAAAACAAGTAAGTTGCAGCTGAAAAGCCTTGTCAAAGTTTGCATTTAATACTATGGTCTTTGCCTTGGGAAGTGCACAGTCTTTTTTTTTTTTTCTTCCGGTGATGAAAAAAAAGGTCATGTAAACAAATAGAAAACAGTGAATCTTAAAAAAAATTACTTTTATTATTGTAGATGAGATGTTCATTAGAGCTGTTCCCAAATGCTTTTTTTTCTCTTTCTGGACACTAGATAGAATTTCACTTCTCTGCTGTCTTTGAGGTAGATGGACCCATATGACTTTCTATGGACATTGAATACTAAGTAGGAATGATTTTGGTCAGTTCTACATTTAACTGCCTGTGCAAATTTCAGTGTTCCCTTTCTCTCTCTTGGCAAGCTTGGAACCAGGAAAGAGCTTCTGTTAGTCTGGGCATTAAGTTAGTGCCCCACCCCATTTCATCCTGTACTACACGTGTAAGGTGAGGTGTTGTATATCAGATCACTATAATCCAGATCATCATGCTCATCAGTGGATCGATGATGTCATCACTTCCATGGTTTTTTGTTTTATTTGTTTTAATTCTGATACTAATAATAAGCCTGTGTTGGAGAATACATTACATCAGAGAATGAGCATATATGATTCATATGGTCTTGGATATTAATGTTAACTATAGATATATTTGACTAATAAAAATATTCAAGAAATTAATTTAAAACAATAATAGACATATTTCTGAGTTAAGTTTTTTTTATTCTAAAGTTTATAAATTGAGATATATAGAATATCAGTGTATTAGTCTGTTTTCACAGTGCTGATAAAGACATACCCAAGACTGGGAAGAAAAATAGGTTTAATGGACTTATGGTTCCACATGGCTGTGGAGGCCTCACAGTCATGGTGGAAGGCAAGGAGGAGCAAGTCACATCTTACATGGATGGCAGCAGACAAAGAGAGAGCTTGTGCAGGGAAACTTTCATATTTCAAAACCATCAGATCTCATGAGACTCATTCCTGTCACAAAAACAGTGCAGGAAAGCCCCACCCTGGATAATTCAATCACCTCCCACTAGGTTCCTCCCATTATACATGGGAATTGTGGGAGTTACAATTTAAGATGAGATTTGGGTGGGGACACAGCCAAACCATATCATTCCACCCCTGGCCCCTCCCAAATATCATGTCCTCACATTGTAAAACCAGTCATGCATTTCCAACAGTTCCTCAAAGTCTTAACTCATTTTAGCATTAACTCAAAAGTCCACAGTCCAATGTGTCGAGACAAGGCAAGTCTCTTCTTCCTATAAGCCTGTAAAATCAAAAGCAAGTTAGTTACTTCCTAGATACAATGGGGGTACAGGCACTGGGTAAATACAGTCTTTCCAAATGGGAGAAATTGGCCAAAACAAAGGGATTACAGGCCCCATGCAAGTCTGAAACTCAGCAGGGCAGTCAAATCTTAAAGCTTCAAGATGATCTCCTTTGACTCTATGTCTCATATTTAGGTGACGCTGACGCAAGAGGTAGGTTCTCATGGTCTTGGGTAGCTCCACCCCTGTGGCTTTTCAGGGTACAGCCTCCCTCCTGGCTGCTTCATGGGCTGGCATTGAGTGTTTGCAGCTTTTCCAGGTGCACAGTGCAAGCTGTTGGTGGATCTACCCTTCTGGGGTCTGCAGGACAGTGACCCTCTTCTCACAGCTCCATTAAGTGGCTCCCAGTGACTCCACATTTCCCTTCTGCACTGTCCTAGCAGAGGTGCTTTATGAGAGCCCCACCCCTGCAGCAAACTTCTGCCTGGACATCCAGGCATTTCCATACATCCTCTGAAATGTAGGTGGAGGTTCCCAAACTTCAATTCTTGACTTCTGTGCACCTGCAGGCTCAATACCACGTGGAAGTTTCCAAGGTTTGGGGCTTGCACCCTCTGAAGCCACGGCCCAAGCTGTACCTTGGCCCCTTTTAGTCATGGCTGGAGTGGCTGGGACACAGGGCACCAAGTCCCCAGATTGCACACAGCAGAGGGACCCTAGGCCTGGCCCATGAAACAATTTTTTCCACTTAGGCCTCTGAGCCTCTGGAAGGGACTGCCATGAAGACCTCTGACATGCCCTGGAGACATTTTCCCCCTTGTCTTTGGGATTAACATTTGGCTCCTCATTACTTATGGAAATCTATGCAGCCAGTTTGAATTTCTCCTCAGAAAATGAGATTTTATTTTCTATCACATTGTCAAGCTGCAAATTTTCCAAACTTTTATGCTCTGTTTCCCTTTTAAAACTGAATGCCTTTAACAGCACCCAAGTTACCTTTTGATTGCTTTGCTGCTTAGAAATTTCTCCTGACAGAAACCCTAAATAATCTTTCTTAAGTTCAAAGATTCATAAATCTCTAGGGCAATTGCAAAATACTGTGATCTCTTTGTTAAAACATAACAAGAGTCACCTTTGATCCAGTTCCCAACAAGTTCCTCATCTTCATCTGAGACCACCTCAGCCTGGATTTCATTGTCCATAACATTATCAGGATTTTGGTCAAAGCCATTCTACAAGTCTCTAGGGAGTTCCAAATTTTCCCAAATTTTCCTGTCTTCTTCTGAGCCCTCCAAACTGTTCCAACCTCTGCCTGTTACCCAGTTCCAAAGTCGCTTCCACATTTTCAGGTATCTTTACATCAATGCCCCATTCTACTGGTACCAATTTATTGTATTAGTCCACTTTCACAGTGCTGATAAAGACATACCCAAGACCGGAAAGAAAAATAGGTTTAATGGACTTACAGTTCCACATGGCTGGGGAGGTCTCACAGTCATGGTGGAAGGCTAGGAGGAGCAAGTCATATCTTATCTGAATGGCAGTGCAAAGAGATCGCTTGTGCAGGCAAACTCCCATTTTTTAAAACCATCAGATCTTGTGAGTCTCATTCCTATCACAAGAACAGCACAGGAAAGACCCACCCACATAATTCAATCACCTCCCACTGGGTTCCTCCCATGACACATGGGAATTGTGGGAGTTACAATTCAAGATGAGATTTGGGAGGGGACACAGCCAAACCATATCAATCAGGTATATGGAATATGACATACAGTCATGTACTACATAATGATGTTTCAGTCTATGATGCACAACATATATGGTGGTGTTCCCATGAGAGTATAATGGGGAGCTGAAAAATTCTTATGTAATGACATTGTAACCATTGTAATGTTGTAGTGCAACATATAATTCATTTTTTATGGTGTTACTGGTGTAAACAAACCTGTGATGTGAGTTGTGTAAGAAGTAAAGAAAAATGTATAAAAAATCTTATAAGGATAGAAAGCATTTTTATACAACTATATAATGTGTTTGAATTTTAAGCTAGTGTTATTACAAAATAGTTGAAAAACTTTTAAAAAATTTAAAACTTTATGAAGTAAAAACATTACAGTAGCCTAAAGTTAATTTATTATTGAAGAAAAAATATTTTTTATAAATTTGGTGTATCCTAACTCTAAAGTGTTTATAAAGTCTACAGTGGTGCACAATAATGTCCTAGGCCCTCACAGTCACTCACCATTCACTCACTGACTCATCCTGGGCAACTTCTAGTCCTGGAAGCTCTGTTCGTGGTAAGTGTCCTATACAGGTGGACCTTTTTTTTTTTTTTTTTTTTTACCTTTAATACTATATGTTTACTGTAACTTTTCTATGTTTAAATGTGTTAGCTACACAAATACTTACCATTGTGTTACAATTGCCTTCAGTATTCAGCGTAGTAATACGCTGTACCGGTGTGTAGCCTAGAAGCAATAGGCTATTCTATATATCCTAGGTGTGTGTAGTAGAATATACTATCTTGGTTTGTGTAAGTATATTCTATGATGTTTGCACAATGAAATTTTCAAATAACACATTTCTCAGAATGTATCTCCATTGTTAATTGACACATGACTATATAAAATATAATAATGGTAGTCAAACTTTTTTATGAAGCTCAATTGACAACTTTAAAAATTCTATTGGGAACTTAAAATAAATGTGATAAAATAACCACTCTCTTGTGATGTGAATGTCTTGATTGATAAGTAAAAATGTTTCACTGTAATTCCTACAGTCATATAAAATTCTAAGTAATGTATAAAAATATCTTTGTTTTCTGCCTGAGACTTATATAGAGATTTTAATTTACAAAATACCATTGATATATTATTTTACTTAGCCAACCAACATATGTGGCATTTTATTAGTTATTTTAATGAGGAAACTGAGGATAGACATTTACGTGTTTCGTTTAGAGAGACAAAATAAATTGTGTCATTTAAATGAATACCATATAAAGTATTATTCTCTATAAAAATTATATGCTACTATGTGGATACATTAATCACTCTAGCATTACCATTCAGTGGATCTTGCCATCATGGGGAAAGGGCCACAAAATATCCTGTCATGTGTGTAATAAAATAGTTGGTATTTATAATTGATAAACCTAGGCAGATGGGGTTTTAAAATGTGTGTGTGTGTGTGTGTGTGTGATTACACAGGTAATAACATGAAGTTCAAAACCATTAAAATATGGAGTCGTGTTTTTAAAATAATTTTTTACTCTGTATCACTCTTCTCCCAACGTTGCTTCCAAGAGTTTACTTTTAAATGAGCATCCGATATGAAGTCCGAGGAGCATGAATGTTTAACTTTATCAATTCCTTTTTTGAGTCTTTTTTTTCCTGGGATCTTGATTTTTCTGGATTCACACTTCTTTGAGAAATCTATTGACGTTTTCCACCTGTGAAAGTGTGAAAAAGAGAGAGAGTTAGTTGGCAGTTGTGAATGTCTGGTGAGAGGAGTAGTCTAAGTGGTTGTTTGGCAGATCTTAAAAGGGAAATATGGAGAAAACATAACTGCAACAAATTAAATTTCTATAAATGGAACCTCTTTATTAACTAAAGGTAAAGTTAGAGTTAAAGTTTGAGCAATGTCAAGGACAGGAAGAAAACATCTTGTGTCTGTAAATAAATTCATGGGAAGACATGTGTCCACACAGGGCTCTCAGGTTTTCGGGGACCAGGTTGGTGGGGAGGAGTAACAACTGCAGAGTAATGGGAATAGAGGGTAACTGAAAATGAGAGTACACAGTGATTTATAATAAAGAATATTATGAGTCCTCCAGGTAGTGAGATTACTCTCACAAGTTTGTTCTTAGTGAGGCATACAGCAGGAAAGCAAATAGTCCAATGATTCCTACACCATTATAGGGAGGGAACACTTTAAGATTAGGAGCCATGTCTTATGTATCTACCTAATTCCATTCCTGATTCCTAAGTAAAGGGTGGAAGTACATGTTTGATTATTTGACTATTAGAACACATCAACTTTAATAAACTGGTAACTTAGTGGTACCAAAGAAATGGAGGAGGAATAAACATTTTACTCAAATGTATTGCTATTTAGAGTTGTCATATTTATAAAACAAAACAAAAATAACAGGATATGTAGGAAAATTGGAATTTTAGATAAACTTCAAATTTTTTTAGAATAAACATATCCCAAATATTGCCTCCTGTGTTTTATTTGGCAAACCAAATAGTATCAAATTTCTCAACACCACCTTGCCCCTTGTATATTTGGCTACATTTAATGTCTGGTTTGTTTCTTCTAAACATTCTTAATTAGAACTGGTTAATGGATTGAAGCTGTAACTTTAAGTTTGAATTTTGTCAACAAAAATTACATTTTATTTTATCTTTTCTCTCTATGATATAAAATGTAGTAATACTTTGAGGCCTGTACCATTAAAAAATGATAATGTCTACACTTTTGAGGACAACGTAAATTGACATCCTATTGCAGTTTTTATGGAATCAAACTGAGTTCACTGAATACAAATATCAAAATAACATGAATCATATCTTATATTATCCTGCTTAAGCTGACAAAGGGGATTCATAGACACAGCTGCCATTCCTTCAGGCATTTATTCAGCTCTCTTTTTACAAATATAAGTACCTACTCTCATCATTTTTATCATTTATCTCTGAAAGCTGAAACTGGTTGGACCGTATTTTCCTGCAACTAGAGTATAAACAGGATTTTCTAATAGAACTTGGAAATATGCACTCATTGTAAGTTTTATTATTTCTCCGGTTTCTTCCTGTAGAGTGAATTGGTTTAGGAACCTCTAGGTTACAAGAATCACGGCTTATACGTCTTTGTTTATATATTTAGAACTTTAGTTATAGAAGGCATTCTGAATGTATATTGTTGATAATGATGAATAAAACAACTGATTCCCTTAATAAATGACTAAGACCATTTCTTATTTTTTAGCCTTTTATGTTTTGACATATTCTAAAAGTAGTTATCTTCCTTACATGCACACACAGATACATGTAAGCAAAGTATATGTGTAGTGCAATTTTAAAGTTTAAACCCTTTACATGTAATGTCATGAAGGAGCTCAAGTGTGCTTATTTCTTATTAAACATTTACTTTTGAAGGTTTTACTTGTAAAACTCTGTTTTAACATCATTTTCATGATGGAGTAACAATTTATGGTTTTGACTAATAGCTAGGTAATATTCCCTATTTCTCATGAGTTAGGAAAATTGGGCTGCATATAATAGTAATATCAAAACAGTGTGTTAAATTATTTTTTAAAAAACATTGATTATTCCACATAACAGAAACAGTATCAGTGTTGGTTCAGTAGCTCCGTGACATCCTTCTGCACTGCCATCATCAAAGCATCGGGCTTTGCTTTCAGGTTTGTTGCTTCATGATTACAAGGTGACTGCTACAGAGCTAAACATCACATCCTCCCTTTACCAAGTCCAAGGCTTATGTAAGCCGTGGGGTTAGAATGGCTAAAGAGTTCTCTAAATGTTTCTGTTTTAATCAGAAAGCAAAACATTTCCCAAATGTTTTCCAGCAGATTTCCTTTCCCTGCAGAATAGATTCGGGGACCATGTTTTGCTTTCTGACCTTTGAGAAGCCCACCACCTCAGTTTCTTAGGCTCCATTCTAAGTCTCATTCTAAGTGTTAAAAGGAAGATAACTACTTTTAGAATATGTCAAAACACTGTTGGGAGGTCATTCATCCCAACAGTGAGGTTTAACTCTTGCCTTTGTGCTTGCAGACTTTAGAAAAATGAGACTGTGATGGAAAAGTCTCATTCTAAGTGTTAGTAGATATTTCTTTAGTTCTTGAATTTCTGTGTTTGTGTTGGTTTAATTTTGAATGAAGTGAAGTGTGAGAACATTGTTATGAGCTGAACTTCTATCATGCTAATGAACCAAACTGAATTATGCAATTTTATTTATGTGACATTTCATGCTTATGATGTAATGATATAAAATAGGCTAATAATTGAGACCAACATTAGGATTATAAAGAAAAGATCTTTACAATCTTAAATAAAAACTTTTTCTTAAAAAAAACACATTTAGCACTTAAAATGTAATACCTGAAATTATGAAACTACTAGAAGCAAACATTGGGGAAATGTTTCAGGACACCAGTCTGGGCAAATTTTTTTTTTGGGTAAGACCTCAAAAAGTACAGGCAACAAAAGCACAAATAGACAAATAAGATTATATCAAGCTAAAAACTTCTGTACAGAAAGGGAAAGAACCAACAGAGTGAAGCGACAACTTACAAAATAAGAAAACATATTTTCAAACTCTCCATTTGATAAAGGATTAAGAACCAGAATATATAAGGGACTCAACTCAATAGCAAAAAACAAATAATTCAATAGAAAAATGAGCCAATGATCTGAATAGACATTTATCAAAAGAAGACATACAAAGGGCCAACAGACAGGAAAAAGTGTTCAACATTACTAATCATCAGGAAATGCAAATCAAAACTACATGGAGATATCTTCTCACCCAAGTTAAAATGTTCATTATCAAAAAGGTAAAAAAAAAAAATACATAAACAGATGCTGAAGGGGATCTAGAGAATGGGGAATGCCAGTCCACTGGTAGTGGGACTGTAAATTAGTACGGCTACTATGGAAAACAGTATGGTGTTTCCCCACAAAAATTAAAAGTATAACTGCCACGTAATCTTAGCAATTTCACAGCTTGGTACATATCTTAAAAAAGGTAATATACCTAAGAGATATTTGCATACTCATGTTTATTGCAGCACTATTCATAACAGTGAAGATATGAAATCAACCTAAGTGTTTGTCAATAGATATGTGAATAAAGAAAATGTCTGTATACACAAGGCAATACTATCCAGCCATAGAAAGAAAATAAAATCTGTCATTTGCAGCAACATGGGTGGAACTGGAAGTCATGTTAAGTGAAATAAGCCAGACATAGACAAATATCCTATATTTTTACTCACATGTAGGAGCTATGAAAGCTGATCTCATAGAGGCAGAGAGTGGAATGCTGGTTACCAGAGGCTGGGGAGGGTAGAGGGCAGGGGATGAAGGGAGGTTGGTTAATGGGCACAAAAATACAATTAGAAGAAATAACTTCTAGTGTTTGATAGCACAGGATCGTGGCTATAGTTAATAATTTATCATATATTTCAAAATAGCTGGAAAAAAATGATTTGAAATGCTCCCAACACAAAGAAATGATAAATGCTTGAGGTGATGAATAGCTTAATTGCCCTGATTTGATCATTACACATTGTATACATGTATCAAATGATCACATGTACCCCATAATATGTATAATTATTATGTATCAGTAAAAAATGTGGCTTTATTTTTTGTGATTTTTTAAATGCAGATTTTTAAATTTGGTTTTATGTTCTTGTGTTGGGTGTTGACAAGAGTAGAAATGAGAAGGAGGTGGCTTAGTGAAGGTTAGTATAGAGGAAGAAATGGTTTCTAAAAAATTTCTAGCAAGAACTCTTTTTGCTGGGTTTGGAAAAAATAACAATGTTGCCATTATATTTACCTGAAGTTAGGTGATTGACCCTTCAACATTGTGTACCAGAGCCTTAAATTATTACCAGAGCCAAGGAAATCTGTATTTGGCAAGATGAGAGGTATTGTCTAGTGGGTGCCAGGATAAGAAAACTGAGTAATTATCTTCATAAGACACCATGGAAAACAAGTCAAAATTTAGACAGGCATGACAAAGTGAGAAAACTCATGTAAAATGAATTCTAGAAGTCATTTTAGGATGTAAGAGACAGTTATACAACAGAAGACAGATTAGCAGCCCAAACATATAGGTAGATAAGGAATTGAGTGATGTCACCAGTTTTCCGAATGTTAATGTAATTCTCATGCAAAAACTGTGGGTGTATGAGAAAATTGATAGCTATAACTCAGTTTTGAGTAGATATGCATATTCTGGAGGTTGTAAGGAATAGGTTTTGTTCTAAAAATATAAACTGAAGCAAAATAATTGTAATTATTTCCCAACATAAATGTACATCAAATCATATTGTACACTTTGAATATATATATAATTTTTGTCAATTTATATTATACCTCAATAATACTGGGGAAGAAGAAGGAACTTCAACAGGAAAAAATAGTATCATAAAAGAAAATATAGGATGAAGATTTCTCTCCTTCCCATCTCTTTATTTTCATATCCTAATTATTTTCTGGTATCAGAAACAGAAACAAAATGAAGAGGTGACTTAGATTCTGGAGTATGTCATATGGTATTGTTATAGAAGTAACTATAATCTTATCAAGTTGCTCAAGTTTACAAAATCAAGTAGCACTAATATTCTCTAACAAAATATAATAGAATTCAAAAGGAAGCATTTGAGTTAAATATATAGTAATATATAACATGGAAATATAAATCAGATTTTGCTTTTATGGAAATGTTATGTCAACATATTTATAAGAACTAGATGCCTATGTTTGGCCTGATAATTCATTATGGACTTGGTGAAATAAAAGAGCTGATGACTTCTGCTGTGAAGAAGCTTACAGCTGAGGAGGAGAGATGCAGTCAATTGACAACTCTGAAGTAACCTGTTAAGTTGTAAAGCACAAGTTCTGGCTTCTATAAACTCAGTTTCCTGTGTGTAGGCCTTGCTCTGAAAGGTTCCATTTAGACTGTAAATTACATTACTCTTGAAAGAAAGGCAGAGTATCAAGTATATTAATCTCCCAGAAAGCATCTTGGGCCTATGCATGATGAACAATAATGGAGTAAGTAGAAAGTCACAAGCGATATAGTATCTGAAAATTTCTAAAAGCCAGAGGGAGAAACAGGCTAGAGGTGTGGTTGTATATTTTAAGAGGGCAGATTTTGATGGTTTTAGAAAAACATTGGTAAAGACTCTAGATAAGCTCTTAAGACTAAAATTTTAATAAATATATTACAAATTAATTAGATGAGAGAAAGACATTTGGTGAAACTCATTTAACAGAGTAGATAATTTCTTTGCATAGCGATGTCATGCAATATTGAAGAGGTGGCATTTGGGTGGCTCTAATATATATTCTAAGAATGATATCATTAAGGTAAAGACTAAATTTTTAAGTGGAAAGAAGCTTATAAAAATGTTAAAAACAATAAAATAGATTAAAAAAATTTTTCACTATCAAAGAGAAAATAAGGACAAGCAAGACCATGGCTAGAAATAATAACAGCATATGAAGAGTTGATAGTGAGAAAGGATACCTACTAAACTCTTAGGTTGCTTCAGTTTGTTCTATTGTGGCAACTGATTGTCAAATTGTTAAGGCCAGGAGTATTACTGATAAGATGAAAATAAGGTCCAAAATAGTTGAGAAGAGTGGGAGGACTTACAGAACTTTATGTGGACTCATTTCTTCTAAAGGGAGTGGGTGCTATCACCAAGCACACAGAGAACCTGGAGATGAAATTGGTGAACTGCTATCAGTTATTTTGGTGGGATGGTGATAAATAAAAGGAGCTCCAGATTAGAGATGGATCACAATTTTACTGGCTTAAATATGTGTGTAAACTTTCCATAAAGACTGAGTGCAATATAGAGTTGTTAAAGATAATTTGTGAGTTTTCAAAAAAAGTATCGATTTCTTATTTAAAAATGGCAGTCTGAGTTCAAATAATACATTTCTTTGTTTTTGAAATCTTTAGTAAAATGACGAGAGGGATATATTAAAAGAGGAGACTCAATATTACTGCTAGACCATAATGTAGAGTGTCATCTACATGTAAGAAACTTTGAGGAATTCTTCAATATGCAGTGCAGGAAGGTTCACATTGAGGGAAAGATCAAACATGCATAATTGTTAACGTGTAAAAAGGAAAGTTATCCTAGAAGAACACCCCAGAATAAACCTAACAATTCTGCCTAGTAAGGGAGGCAGGAAAGAAAGTACATATAAGGGAAGGTCAGGACAAAAATAATTGAGCAATTATCCATCCTGCTATGATCTGTAGCATGTATCAACTGGTGGAGCCCACAGGTGAGAAACCGACATTACCTAAGTAAAGTGATGGCACTCTAAATTAGGTAAAAAAGGTAAAATTATGCATTATAGCTGCTTCCACTTTAGCTACTTCTCCAGAATGCTGCATCTTCATTAGTTAACTTTAAACTGCAGTAATCTGTATTTTTCCCTTATTCTTTCATCTGGACCTGAAATCTTTGATTAGAGACCACACATTGTCAAGTGTACACCCAGGAAAGTACACTGTTTTTTGATATACGACAAAAATTTTAAAAAAAACCCTTAGTCTGTAAGATAAGCAGTGAGAAAAAAATGTGGAATGTCTAAAAATATTGAACGCTTCACAATATTGGCAAGTTTTAAGAAATAAACTTGTTTCTCTTTTATAGAAGTGAAGACGATGAGGCAGTGACAACTTCAGCTATAGATGCTTTGGGATATTATTTCTTCTCTCAGCTAGGATAGTTCAATTTACATTCAGGATTATTAACATAAACAAACTGGAAAGCTGGAGAGGCCAGAATTAGAAATGATTTTCTTCTGTTGTTTGGTACCAGCAAGTCTCTGTTATGGTCTTTAGAGACATTTGTAAGTACTCATTCTGGGAACATAGCTTTCCAGAACTAATTGCTGTAGAACCAGAAATGGCATGTTTTCTAAGCTTTTGGCATGATGGGTCAGTGCTATGATCTTTATAGTGTAAGCATGGCATGGAACCAATTCAGTTACTGAGTTGCTAAAGAACTACGCCCATTCCAATGAGAGGCATCTCAGGATATAGCTACTAAAAACAATTAATTCTGCCTGGTATCAAGAGCTCCACCAAAAGTGGGCAGAAAGAAAATATTTGGGAGCAAAAATTGTGGCCTTTATTTAGACTTTATTTTGTTTATTCTATTCTTGTATCATTATTGTCTGTTAGGTATGTAGGCAGCACATAACTTGTCACTCAGTTCATATCAGTTTACGTGGTTTTTTGTTTGTTTTTTGTTTTTTATTGTAGAGACAAGGTCTTGCTCTGTCACCCAGGCTGGAATGCAGTGGCACAATCATGGCTCACTGAAGCCTTTTACAACTAGGCTCAAGTGACCCTGCCATCTCAGCCTCCTGAGTAGCTAGTAGCTAAGACTATAAGTGCGTGCCACCATACCCTGATAATTTTATTTTTGTAGAGACAGGATCTCACTATGTTGCCAAGGCTGGTCTCAAACACCTGGCTTTAATCTGCCTTGGCTTCCCAAAGTGGTGGGATTACAGGTGCAACCACCACATCCAGCCTACAGGTCTTTGATTTGGGAGGAAACAAACTCCAGGAGAAAATGCAGAAGTCTCATTTCTATACCTGGTCCTGAATTACACGATGAGATTGCAACCAAACCCAGGTTCAATTGCTCATGGCTCCAAAGCCAGACTAGAAAGACAAGAGGTGATGAGAGGAAAAGCAGGTTTATTCAGGAGCCAGCAAACTGAGGAGATGGCAAACTAGTGTCACAAAGACTATCTCAGGTTCTTCAGGCTGGCCAAAGGAGTTTTAAAGGAAAAGGGACTTGGGAAACTATGTGCAGGTCAGCATGTCTTGTTCCAATGATTATCTTAAGCAATAGGCCTCCTGGTGGTCTGACTGGCATCAGCTAAACTGCAGCCAGATTATAGATTAACTGATTACAGATTAACATTTACTTCCAGGGGTACGCTGGGGAATGTTTTACAACCTTGGTTTTATCTCAAGTTTCCTGAATATTTAAGCAAACACATGGGCGTTGTAAAAAAAAAACTACCATTTACTTATATAAGGGAGTGACTGCTTCAGTTGCAAGACTTTGGACCTTAAGCCTGAACCTGAGGTGGCAATGGGATGAGGCTTTGGGGATTTGGGGAGGGGATGACTATGTTTTGCAAGTGGAGAAAATGCAGATTGTGTCCAGAGGGTAGACTGTGGCAGATTAATGATGACATTCTTTGATATTCCTCTCATTAAAATATGGATCTTGTGTCTCCTCTCCTTCATTTGATCCAGGCTGGGCTAGGACTCTGTTACCAGTACTATATGGTGAACTGATACTAGGTCAGTTCCAGGTCTAGCTTTTAAGAGTTCTGGAAGTTTCTGTGTCTTTCCTCTTGGGACCCTGAGCTGTTATGTAACCAGTTCAACTATCTTGCTATAGAGACCATGCAGAGAAGACTTGAGACTACACAGACAGGGAGAAGAACCTGGCTGAGCCCTGCCTTCCGACTGTCTTTGCCCAGTCTAGAATGCAGTCCTGGGAAAATCTACATGCAGCTAGGGTAGAGTAATGACTGCTGTAGACAGAATGTTTGTGTCCCCCAAATTCAAATGTTGAAGCCCCAGTCCCTGATGTATTTGGAGGCAGAGCATTTGGGAGGTAATTAGGTCATGACAACATGATCCATATAAATGGGAATAATGCCTTTATAAGAAGAAACACAAGAAAATGATCACTCTCTCTCCCATGTGAGGATACAGAAAAAAAGGTGATCCTCTGAAAACCAGGAGTGGGGGGGCTTCACCAGATACCAAATCTCCTGGCACCTTAATCTTGGACTTCTCAGCCTTTGAGACTGTAAGAGGGAAATGTTTGTTGTGTAAGCCACCCAGGCTATGGTATTTTGTTGAATAAGACGATGACTCTACAAGATTCCTCACCTTCACCCTAACCTCACCATACCATCCCTGTTTGACTAAAGGCATAATAGTTAAGTCTAATGTGTTCAGAAAATAATTTGAGGGAATATTGATGGTACTCTCATTCTGATTTCTTTGGGGGCAATATCTTCCTTAACACTCCCTGGCTTTTCTTCACCTCACACTCTAATTGGAAATTTTGGTGAGACGAACTTTGTTTGTGTGGTTCACCCTTTTCTGCCTCTCATTATTTTGTATAACAGCTGCCTGTAGGGAGCACAAAATTGGTTGGTTCTCTATACCATGAGTGGGAGACCTCAGTTTGTTCTTCTAGTTGAGAATTCTAATCCTGGGATTCTGTGTTGAAACCCATTGCTGGTACATGAATAAGCCACATCCTCTTCTTTAGCTTTTATCAGTTATGAAGGTGATGTTTTGATCTCTAATTGCTTGATTTATTATGTGTTTCTCTCAATTGATCCTAAACTTTTGAGGAGAAAAGTGTGTTATTTATTGGTAGCTTCAAACTGAAATATCTACGTGCTTTTGTCAGGGCCCACCTGCTTAAATACTAAAGTCAAAATAAATAAAGGTACACGAGGAAGGTGGGGTTTAGAAACAGCATATGAGAAAAAGACATGGATCTTTCACTTATTTAAATTATGTGCTCTCAGTAATGCTGTTGCAATTTTAGCCTATTAGTAGAAGTAAATCATCTAGAAAATATTCTTTGTGCTAGTCAGTTCATAGTGGAACTATTTTTGCTAAACTCACAGGTGATATACTCTAAGGGGTGATTGGTTAAATGAATAGATTTAAAAGAAAGTGACTTGGATAATGCAAGATAAACATTTTGGCTATTGAAGAATGATTGAGAAAGTTTGAGATGCTTAGCTTTGAGAAGGGCAGACTCATGGGGATATGAAAATTTTCTTCTGATACTGCAGGTTTGTCATGTGAAAGAAGAATAGACCTTGTTCAAGCAGTCCCTGACTCTGTTTGCAAGTTTCAAGGAAGCAGATCTGGCTCAAATCTCTCATTTTTCATAAAATGAGAAGAGTATCCTTGGGAGATGGTGAAAAATCTCCAGAGGTTTTCAAGCATTGATTAAGCAACTGTTTGCAAGCAATATTTTAGAGGGCATTCAAGTACCAGATAGCCACTTGGAAATCTCTAAAATCTCTTCAAACCCTGAACTTTTTAATCTTTTAATTCTATGATTTAGACTATGTGATACAGTCTAGGGTGCTGTGGAAATGCAGGCATAGCACATATCAAGATAGTGAGTAATGCTAATGGAGGTTTCCTCAGCTATCCCAAGGAGAGGACTCACGATGGAACATTACCTTTGACATCCACCCTAGTCTAAGCCTCAGTTCTGCATAGCAGGAAACATGATTTTATCATTCTGTCAGGGTATATCAGACTCAAAAGAGCTTACGCACTCTAATGAAGTTGACATGAGACTGATATATGCAACCTGAATGCCAATTTATTCATTTATGAATAGAAATAAATCTGTTAATGGAATTTATATTCCATTCCTCTGGCCAAAATTTCTCCTTGTATACACAATACGATAGAAGCCAAATTAAAGTAAGACTACTGTTTGGTGAGCATGGGATAGAAGGAAATGAGATAACTCTAGGAAGTTAAGGTTTGATCATTCAAACCATCAGCTTGATTATCCTTCTGTATAATAGTGGTATAAACTGCCTCCTGGATATAGCAGGTCTTCTTGTATTATTGCAGCCTTTCCCTTAGTCTGCATTTACTGGAACTGCCCGTGCTTCTCATTCAGCTATTCTTTTTCCTAGGCTTCCTGGAATGAGCAGTTGCTTTTATCTTTCCTTAATGGTTAAGAATACAGGCTGTCTGTGTACTAACCCAGGCTCTAACACTTACTGCTGAGGTTTCTTTGGCAAGTTGCTTAACATTTTTATTGTTGTCACATCTATAAAGGCATAATAATAGGGTCCATCTCTCAGGATTGTTGTAATGATTAAATGAGAGAATATGTATAAAAGAGCTTCGAATAATTCCTGTCATACATTAAGCACTCAAATATTAGTGATCATTATTATTAACATTATTATTACTGAAATTTCAGCCAAGTTACAGTTAAGTGATTTTGTTCTGAGGGACATAGGGTTTATTTTGCAAAAATATTTTGTGTTTTTGTGGATATTTTGATTTAGTTTTGCATGATAAAGTTACTGGCTTTATTTCAGTATTCTTGAAGGGCATTTCACTATTTCTTACCCACCTACACATATACCAACATCAGGTGTACAGGTAGTCAGAGAAAGAGAAAATGTTACTGTAGGCTATAATTTGTCGAGGGAAATTGCAAGATTAAATAAATGTTAAATTTATGGCAGAATTGGAAAATATCAAACAAGTCATGTAAAGTGCATCAAACTTTCTTTTAAAAGCATTTTGAACAGAACAAAAGATAAAATTTTATGACATTGAATTTTTCTTTAAACAGTAATGCTATATCTGGAAATATTTTAGTTGGAAAGTGAGGTTCCTTTGGTGATCATTTCTCATTTAGCCCAACTGATTAAATAAATATCAAATTAAACAAAAATCCAATAAAGAGTTTCTATAACCAGATTATTTTATATTCTACCTGATAGGTGAGGCACTGGCCACTGACTTTGCCAACTTATTTGCCTATAGGTGTGATCCTCCCATCTAATGTGAATGGCATGACTACTTATTTACTATGCTGTATATATATAAATATATATATGAATATGTATAGGATATATATTCAATATATAAGTTAGTCCTGGCTTTTGACAAGAGAGAGAACCAAAAGAGATGCAAGAAATAAAAGAAATTCTATTTGGAGTGAAGTTGAATTCTGGTTTTTTTTTTTTTTTTTTTTTTTTAGAAGCAGGAATTTGGTTAATACAGAATAGTAGTCAGATTACAGAAGTCTTAGTCTTAGATATTTCTTAGGACTCATCTTCTGTATTCATTTCCTAGGGCTTCCACAACCAATTGCAAACTGGGTGGCTTAAAACACGAGAAACTTACTGTCTCAGAGTTCAGGAGGCCAGCGATCTGAAATCAAGGTTTTGGCAGGGTTGGTTTCTTTTGGAGGGCCAGAGGGAAAAACTATCCTATGCATCTTTACTATTTTCTGGTGGTTGCCCGAAATCACTGGTATTCCTTGACATTTCAATCTCTGCCTTCATCCTCACATCACCTTCTTCTCTTTGTCTCTCCTCTGTGTGTCACTGTGGCCTCTTTGTTTCTTGCAAGGACACCAGTCATTGGATTTAGGACCTCCTCTACATCCTGGATGAGTTCATCTCAAGATCCTTAACTAATTTTTTTTTTTTTTTTTGAGATGGAGTCTCACTCTGTCACTCAGGCTGGAGTGCAGTGGCACGATCTCGGCTCTCTGCAACCTCTGCCTTCTGGGTTAAAGTGGTTCTCCTGCCTTAGCCTCCCGAGTAGCAGGGATTACAGACATGAGCCACCATGCCCAACTAATTTTTGCATTTTTAGTAGAGATGGGGTTTTGTCATGTTGGCCACACTGGTCTCAAACCCCTGACCTCAGGTGATCCACCCACCTCAGCCTCCCAAAGTGCTAGGATTACAGGCGTGAGCCACCACGCCTGGCTGATCCTTAACTAATTTTATCTGCAGAACCCTATTTCCAAATAAGGAACATATTTATGTTTTGGCAGGAAAATAGAAGTCACACTCTATTAGGTGCCAAGACTTTCCAGTTGCACATGGATTTCCTGGCAGGGACTGGTGAGGGTGCTATACAACACACTGCATTGTTCACTGTACAGATGGGAGTAAGGAAAATTTGAGTGCAGACAGGAGTAGGTATTTCGGTAGAAAGTTTAATACTGATGATTTCTATATTTTTTGGGAAATAAGTTCATCAAAAAAGCCTACAAAGTATGTAGATTTCAGTCTAGTTGACAGAAGGCTGGAAATAGTTGATGTGAAGAATGGAAGAGATTTGACTGACAGGATATATTACAGTTGAGGTTTGTAATCATAAATTTAGAGTGACACTCATCTGTTACTCTAAACTTGAACATCAGATTACTGGTATGGCCTGCAGACCCCTCCATGATCCTAACACAAGTAACACCTTCAACTTTTTCTGTTTTATTTTCAGATACAGCTACACATAGTTATTGCTGTTCCATAATATTTCCTATCAGAATCATACGTGCATGCCCTTAGCCCCTTTTTTTTTTGTCAGTTTCTTTTCTTTCTATTGAGAATTTATCCCCGAAGATCTCTCATGTATAGTTATCTCAGACAAGCTATTTTTAAATTAGTTACTTCTTTTTCCATGTTTCCACAGAATGGCTTATTTATATTTAGTTTATTTCTTTCTTGCATCTCTTACACTTAGTAGTCTACATGTCTGTCACACCAGATAGACTGTAAGACCTAATAAGGGAAGGATTTGATCACGTTGACTTTTAGATATCTCTTGCATCTAGTCCATTGCATTGCACAAAATGGAAAGATGATAAATGTTTTTAAAATTGAGTTGGTGACAGCTTGCTGTTACATTTATGTTTTACAGTTCATAGAGGATGATAAATCTACTGACACAAAATTGTTACAGCTATTTGTTTTTCTAGTAAAAGAGATAGATTAATAACAAGCAATCTCTTCTATCTTGCCAACTATTCTTTGACCATATTTTGACAATGCAAACTAATAGTCTTGAAACACAACTGGCTTATATATGAATTTAATTTGTGCCTTATTACTGTAATAATATTTTCAAGACAGTTAACTTGTTGCTAGCAATATTGTCTCCAAAGATTGGCATTGCTTATTATTATGAATACATTGTTGCATTTTTTTCTAAATAATTGCTTAATGAAAGGCCATTTTTTTAACTTAAGCCTGTATCCATACACTTGAAATCACTTACTGAATGCTCTCTTTGTATAATACCTACCTCTGTGTTGTGGGGAGGAGTACAGCAGTGAGTGTAATACATGAATCCTGGCCTCTGGGGGTTTATGTTCTTAAACACATAGAACGACAAAGACTGATATCACAGGGATTATGTATGTGCCAAATGACATAAAGAGATTCTTTCATGATGACTCTAAAAATGTTGAACTTACAGGAGTAGAGAGTAGAATGGTGGTTACCAGAGGCTGAGGGTTGGGGTGGGGAATGGGGAGAAGGTGATGAAAGTATAAAAAGTTTCCGTTAGAAAAAAGAAATAAGCTTTCAAGATCTGTTGCACAGCCCGGTGAACAGAGTTAATCATAGTGTATTGCATATTTTAAAATATTAAAAGACCAGATTTTAAATGTTCTCACTACAAAAGAAAAGTATTTGGGGTGATAGATATGTTAATTAGCATGATTTAATCATCCTACAATGTGTACATATATTAAAACATCACATAGCATTCCATAAATATATAGAATTATTGTATGTTAATGAAAAATTTTACTTATCTTAATTTATCAAGATGTACCCTACATGTCATTATTCCTGGAAGGCAGATTCTGGTTTCTATTTGTATTGACCCAACCATCATATGCCATCTCCAGATTTTTTAGTTTCTAGCAAGCTAAATGTATTGATAAAGGCATTTGTAGCTACTTAAAAATGGAATACACACACACACACACACACACACACACACACACAAACACACATACTTTTCTTCATTCTTCATTTGGAATTCACTCATAAGGGAAAATGTTCAATTAAACAAAACTTGTAGAGAACTAAGAAAAATTCTAAGAAAAGCAACTGTTTTTCTTAGAGGACAATTAAAAACCTAAAAATTTATCTCATTAAATGAATGTGTTAAATTTAAAAATAGATTCCATTTGTTATTTGGGAAATAGTTGCTTCTGGATATTAATGTTTAATGGCTAATGAATAAGTACCTGAAACCTATTAAAAGCATTCTTTTGAGACCTGAATTATTATGTAAAACAAAAGTAAGCAGAAAGTTTGGGTAATATTTAGTGTGCTTGATAGTATTCTCTTGAAAATAGTAAAAGGCAATTTCTATCTCACAATGTGTTCATTCACAAATGTTTTCTCAGGGCCGAGCAAAGTCTTGGTCTCACAGAATTTAACTGTGAATAGCCTCAGAATTTTCCTACCTCCCGAGAGCCTGCATTCTAGTGGCAGAAGATGGTGTAATTACAGACTACATAAATGCTCTCAGTAAAATAAGTATGATTATGCAGTTGAATGTAATGAGGAGGCCTAATCTGATAGGATTGTCGTTTAGCCACAAGCCAAGACCTAAAGGTTGAGAAAGAGCCAGCCATGCAAACAATGAGGGAAAAACAATCCTGTCGTAAAGTAGCTTTCTCTGCTTCACAGTAGAGTTTATTCAGCTAGATCCAGAAATGTACATGCAAAAGGGTATTTATGTT
Source organism: Homo sapiens (assembly GCF_000001405.40). NCBI lineage: Eukaryota > Metazoa > Chordata > Mammalia > Primates > Hominidae > Homo > Homo sapiens. Next base: position 193,794,613 of record NC_000001.11, read on the forward strand.
CTTATTAGAAAGTAGAAATCACATTTCATTATATACCTATCTTTACTTGGTATGAACACGTTTTTTCAAATGATCATATGCTTAATAAGGTGAAAAATATGCATTTTTAAATGAAGAGTAATTTGCATTAAAATAAAATGGAGCTTGTAAAGTTCAATTGCCTATAATCTCACCAAGACATTCTAACATGTACTTTTATTGAGTCTCAATGTGTTACAGCATGACTGCATTAAGCAGCACACCCTCAATGAAGAAAAAAGGAAACCTTTGAAAAACACATCCAGAAAGATGCTTTATGTAAATGTAATGACAATACAAAGTAAGTTAATGATGGAATTTGGAAAAGAATATTCATTGAAAATAGTTTTTTCTTAATTATGCATTTTTCCATATTGTGTACTTCTGAATATTGTATTGGGCCAACATTGCACAATATGAGTTTTAGTTTCAACTATGTTCTTCAGTCTCTACACCACAATAGAATTATTTAGAAAAATGAGAAAAGAATTTTGCTAACTGTGATTAGGTTTCTGAGAAAGTGTCTGCCCAGTGTTTCTCATTGTGACATTTTGTGATATACTTCTGGACAAGATGGTGAAATACAGGCTGGTTAATGGTTAATACCGTTAGGCAGATATAACTGATGAAATCACCATACATCAGATTTATATTTATTACATTGTTGTCTCTTTTGAGAACTATTTAAAAATTGTTGCAAGTCTCAGAGAAATAGAGTTATCTAATTATTTTTGAACACGTAGATATTTGGTTCCTTTGATTTAAAGACACACACATATACATATAGAGTGTTTGCAATGATCAAGGCACCTTTGTACAATATTTCAAGTCAATATAATCTATTATATAATTTAATCTCCACAACAAATGGATGAGATAAACACATTTTATACTTATTTTGCTAAATCACTAGATTCGGGTAATCTTCCCACAGCTGTGTCTGTGGATTTTTTAAAAATAAATACAAAGGTTTAAGGAGGAACAGTCCACTTTGAATTAATTCCTTATATAGCTTCTGAAGACATGCCTCTGAATTCTTCCTTCTTGATGTGACTTAGATACATTTTCTAACCTCTTAAATAAATATTTTCTTTTTAAAAAATGTTTATTTTTTATTTTGCTTTAAGTTCCAGGATACATGTGCAGAATGTGCAGGTTTGTTACATAGGTATACATGTGCCATTGTGGTTTGCTGCACCTATCAACCGATCATCTAGGTTTTAAGCCCCGCATGCATTAGGTATTTGTCCTAATGCTCTCCCTCCCCTTGGGCCCCACCACCCGACAGGCCCTGTTGTGTGATGTTCCCCTCCTTGTGTCCATGTGTTCTCTTTGTTCAACTCCCACTTATGAATGAGAACACATGGTGTTTTGTTTTCTGTTCCTGTGTTAGTTTGCTGAGGATGATGGCTTCCATCTTCATCCATGTCCCTGCAAAGGACATGATCTCATTCTTTATTATGGCTGCATAGTATTCCATGGTGTATATGTGCCATATTTTCTTTATCCAGTCTATCATTGATGGGTATTTGGGTTGGTTCCAAGACTTTGCTATTGTAAATAGTGTTGTAATAAACATATGTGTGCATGTGTCTTTATAGTAGAATGATTTATAATCCTTTAGGTATATATGCAGTAATGGGATTGCTGGGTCAATGTAAATGGTATATGTACAATTGTATATGTATATATACAATGTATATGTATTGTATACAATTGTATATCTATATGTACAATGTAAAATGTAAATGTAAAACCCAAAACCATAAAAACCCTAGAAGAAAACCTAGGCAATACCATTCACAACATAGGTTTGGGTGAAGACTTCATGACTAAAACACCAAAAACAATTGCAACAAAAGCCAAAATTGACAAACGGGATCTAATTAAACTAAAGAGCTTCTGCACAGCAAAAGAAATTCTCATCAGAGTGAGCAGGCAACCTAGAGAATGGCAGAAAATTTTTGCAGTCTACCCATCTGACAAAGATCTAATATCCAGAATCTACAAGGAACTTAAATTTACAAGAAAAAAACAACCCCATCAAAAAGTGGGCAAAGGATATGAACAGACACTTCTCAAGAGAAGATATTTATAAGGCCAACAAACATAGGAAAAAAAAAGCTCATCATCATTTTTCATTAGAGAAATGCAAATCAAAACCAGAATGAAATACCATCTCATACCTGTTAAAATGGCAATTATTAAAAAGTCAGGAAACAATAGATGCTGGTTAGGCTGTGGAGAAACAGGAATACTTTTACACTGTTGGTGGGAGTGTAAATTAATTCTACCATTGTGGAAGACAATGTGGCAATTCCTCAAGAATATAGAACCAGAAATAACACTTAAGTAAATATTTTCACTTAAAAAATATGGATGTTAATCTCAATCATATAAGCTTTTAAAAAGTTTATGCTAAAATCTATGTAATATGTATAGAACAATTATTACAATGCTGATTATGACAAATAAAATATGTGAAACAACTATTGCAATGCCTAACTCATAACAGTTTGTAGTTTCCATTTTCTGATGATGACATTGATGATGATACTGAAGGGAGCAAAATGTGATGATATCATAAAGTCTTCCCACCTATACAATCTCTTAGTACAGCATCTGAAATAGCCTTTGGTTTTGTCTGCTCTTCTGTTATCATAGCCAAGTAAAAAGTGCTATGTAAAGTTTAGGAATGTTAATGATAACAAAGCATCCTTTTTACTTAGCTACCTATGTGCTTTTAACATATTAATCTGAACCACATCACCTTACTCATAGACCATGTTTTCTTTGAAAAACGATTCCAATCTCACTTCTTAGAGAAAAGATTACTTAAAATTGGTGTAAGCAATTCTGACTGCAATACTTTCTCTCTGACAGTGGTCTTTGGAAATTAAATGAATAATAATGTGAGTAGCTCATAAAATGAACCCAGCACCTCTTGCCTCATGGCGTGTCAGTAATTGAATGTCAAATGAAGACACTACAAAAATATGAGACTAACAGGCATCTTCAAAAGGTAAACAGTTAAGGCATATTTATAAGCAAGAACACTATCTAACCTAAATTTATAAACAGGTTTTTTAAATACACTTGAAATTGAACTTACAAGATAGATGCTTTTAAGTCTTTTATTGAGATAGACCAAAATATATCTGGCTGTTGACAGGTGAGAGAAAATTATTTACAAATAAAGCAAGCCTTCACAGTGAGTGGTGGGTATATGGTGATTTAAGAAATATGAAAGGGCTATCAAAAGATGCAGTACTACACTGTCTAATACACTGGCCATTAAGCACATGTGACTGTTAAGCATTTGGAATATGCTAGAACAAACTGAGATGTGCTATGCATGTGAAAAACATGCTGAATTTCAAAGAATAAGAATAGAAAATATCTAATTTATAGTACTTTATATTCATTTTGTGATAAAAATTTAATATATATTAAGTTAAAATATATCACTAAAATTCATATCACCTGTTTCTTTTTTATTTTTTCTTTGTGGATGTTAGAAAATTTAAAATACCACATGTAAATTAAAGTATAATTCTATTGAACAATGCTGGACCAGAATCTAGGAATTGTGCTTGCCACTAACAAGCTCCTTGTCCTGGCCTCCATGACTTAAGAGTACAGGTCTAGTTGACTTCTAATGCTCTTTCACTTCCCAAATGTTCCATGATTCAAATGTAAGTCTGGCTTCATGCCCTTATAGCTTAGAGAAGTACAGTCCTTAGCCAATATTTTATTCTACTTGCCTATTTGTTTTCTTGTCCTGGAATAGTTTGCCTACATGGAAAAGATTTTTGTAAAGATCTTTTCCAAACTTGTATATTTTAACAGAATTTGCCTTCTAAAAAACCAGTTGCATAGATTAATAAAAATGTATTCTTATTGTTTCTTCACTTTGAAATTGTTATACCCAGCCAAAGGTAAAATTTTTCACTTAAGTCTTGCTATTCATGCCACAGGATTAATGTCAGGTAGCACTAGTAATGACATTCAAATATTACAAAAACAATTCCATTGAAACTGTCTTTTGTATTTTATATTTAAGCCATTAATAAGAAAGATTACTTTCTTTGTAGGCCATGGTAAAAAATAAACTTGGAGTGTAATTGCTTTATGAGCCAAAGGCCTTCCTTTTTAATTCCTCATAGATTTTAGTTAATAAAAATCTGTGATTAAGGCATTCATTGAATGTGTATAGGCTTTGTGCAATGGGCAGAAAAAAAATCAACAGCTTATATTATCCTCTAGCAATGAAGTTCAAATATAGTTAACAGATTGCTTAAGTAGATAATAATAAAAGGAATATTACATGGACTAAGCCCATACCTGCATAATGTGATTTCCACTGCTTATTCAGTGTCATTATTTGAAAGAAAAAGTCAAGAAGATAAATGGAAACAATTAGATGAACTAAAGTATTTGGAAGAAAAATGTTTCTATTAAGTTCCCTTATAACCCTACTTCTTTGCCTATTTCTTATTTTTTTTTTTTTTTTTACTTTTTAGTAATAAATGAGTGAACGTGATCCCTGAAGCATCTATTGATCATTGAGGATGTCAGTACATGTATACTGAAATCATACTAATTAAACATGGTCTAATATGGTGTGTAAAAATACTATAGTGTATGCATGCTCTCATTTTAGGAAAATGCCCTTCTCAATGAAGTTGTAAGGGATTGGATTAAATTTACCAGGAGAAAGCAGATTCTGAGACAGAGTTCAGTGTGCAGGATATTTATTAGGGAGTGCCTTTGGGATAAATCCCTATGGTTAAAAGGGTAAGAGGACAGAATTTGACAGAGAGAGAAGCCAGCTAAAATGCAGTCCTGACAACATTCTCAGCTGGACCCATGGGAAGCTCTCATACTAAAATAGCCTTTTAGAGATACCTATGCTAGGCCGGAATGGCTGGGCCTTTCTATGCCTGTGTCAATATCCATTGGATATGGGCCACCCTGGAAGGGCGTAACTTTGGGTAAAGTGGCTCTCTGTTACTGAGGACATCCCTGAAGGTGCTGACAGCTGAAGGCTGTCTGCTGACAGTATTCTCAGTTATTGGGCCCACCAATTATTACATAATTTACAACAAAGCCTGTGACATCTAGTTCTTCATGACATTTATGTATTCACTTATATAATAAACTTATATTGAGTGCTCTGTATATGCCAAGAATCATGCTAATTTTTCGGGATACACAGAAAAAAAAGTGGAGTCTCTGAACCTCCAATCCTGGCAGTTCAGGTTGCTAATACTAGTTCTCCTATTTCAATAATTCTCGGATTCCACTAGAACTTCTGATCGATTGAGGCTACTATCACCTCATGATGCATCATACCTTTAGTGTCCTCTTTCCTTCCCAACCCAGCATATAGTCTATGATTCATTATAATCACTCCCTCAGTTCCCTTGTTCCTCCCTCCCTCTCTTGTACTCAGCTAACAAAACTGGAGATCTGGCTAAATTTATCATTGCAGAATCTCACCAAAGCAATTAGAAATGACTGGGGAAAAGATTAACACATGCGCACATGCACACACTTACGCTGACTCATCTCACTTTAAATCCACGACTGTGAACTTCAAATGAGCCCTCAGTGCTACCAGGCACTTCTTTCTATTTATTGTATACTATATTATTCATATGCTATACTATATTTCCTTAATAACTTTATTCCCTCACTGACCCAGATGAATAATTTCGATCATGTGCTGGTAAAAGTTTCAATACTGGCTCTTCAGGGGGAAAAAACTTTGATATGTAACACTTGCTGATTTCTGTATTGTAAATATTTCCACTAAGGTTGGTTTCAAGTTATCAGTGTGACATCACTGAAGGTGGAGTTGGGAAGAGATGAGCACTCTCAGCTCTCCTGAGCTCAACGGAGTCAGTTCCAGCATATACTGAGTGTAACTAACTTTTTTTTCTCCCTCTTCAAGCCTAAAATTTCCCCTCTTCCTCACTTTCAGAGGATGACCTGCCTTCTTTTCCACTGAGAATGTAGAAGCAACTTGAAGAAAACTTCTATATGCTTGCACTACCAAATCTACCAATTTAACTGTGACTGCCTTTTCCCCATACACCCAGCTTCCCTCCTACTGCCATGATGAAGAGATCTTTCCTCATGGTTAAAGCTAACCACACTTGTGCCTTGGATCCCACCCCCTCTCTCCTGTTTAATGGCTTTGCTCCTATGTGTTCCATCTCACCCTGCATCATTGTTGCTTTCCATTTTACTGTTTTATTGTCATCATTGTACACATATGCTGTTACCTCCTATTGAAAAGTAATACTGCTAACCCAACAGCCCTAGAGCTAACTAACACACCATATCTCTTTCCCTTGCAGAGCAAAACTTAAGAGCAGGTTTACCCATTTTTTCTAGTTTTTCTACTCCCAATTTTTAAAAAAGTTTTCAGTTCTGGGGTATATGTGTGGGATGTACAGGTTTGTTACATAGGTAAATGTGTGTCATGGTGGTTTGTTGCACCTATCAACCCATCCATCACCTAGGTATTAAGTACCATATGCATTAGCTATTTTTTCTGATGTTCTCCCTGCCCCCAACCTACCCCCCGACAGGCCCGAGTGTGTGTTGTTCCCCTCCCTGTGTCCATGTGTTCTCATTGGTCAGCTCCCACTTATAAGTGTACTATTCCCAATTTATTTTGAATCCTTTCCAGCCAATTTGAACCCTCAACGCCTTTTAATCCTTTGCCCATTACAATGAATGTATTAACTGTGTAACACACTGTCCCAAATAATTGAACCAGTCTTAACCTCTCAGTAGAGGTTGGAATATCCCAATAATATATGCAAAGATGATGAGTCAAGTTTGGCATCAGTTAAATCCAAAGTTACAATGAAATATCCAACTAGACATATTAAGTATGAAATTATATATGGCTCATTTAAGTCTCTCTGTAAACCATTTGGTGTATTACTTAGATATTTTATAGATGAGACTGATATATAGAAGGATCAAGTAATTTTTATTTATTTATTTATTTATTATTTATTATTATTTTTTGAGACGGAGTCTTGCTCTGTCGCCCAGGCTGGAGTGCAGTGGCGCAAGCTCAGCTCACTGCAAGCTCCATCTCCTGGGTTCACGCCATTCTCCTGCCTCAGCTTCCCGAGTAGCTGGGACTACAGGTGCCCACCACCACGCCTGGCTAATTTTTTTATATTTTTAGTAGAGACAGGGTTTCACCATGTTAGCCAGGATGGTCTCGATCTCCTGATCTCGTGGTCCACCCGCCTTGGCCTCCCAAAGTGCTAGGATTACAGGCGTGAGTCACTGCGCCCAGCCAGGATTAAGTAATTTTCTTAAGTTCATATGAATAGTAAGTGGTAGAGCAGGAATCTGAACCCAAGTAATCTCTCTAAAGTCAGGGGTTTTTCTTCACTTCTCCTTGAAATTACTTTCTTCACTTCTTGAAATTACTCTTTTCAAGTTCACCACTGGCTTTTATAGTGTCAATCTGGTGACTAAATTCTCAGTTCTCTCCTACCTTGATCTTTCAGCATTGACCTTTGAACAGCTGGTCACTTTTCCCTTCTTTACTACATCACTGCAAGAACCTTCAAACCTTTCTCTCCTGCCTCCTTCCATGACCTATTGCATTCTCCACTCCACAAGACAGCCAAAGTGTTATCTTTAAACATGTCAGGTAATGTTTTTTCTGTATTCTCTGGTTTCCCATTTTACTCAGACTAAAGTCCAAACTGCATAACAATGGATAACCAGGAACTTCATGGTTTGGCCTCATCTCATACCACTCTTCCTTGTACTTACTCAGCTCTAGCTGGGCAGGTATCCTTTCTGTCCTTTAAATATGTCAAGCACTCTCCTATCCCCAAGTTTTTCACTTGGCATTTTCCCCTTCACTTGTTAGACGCCTTCACTGGCTTCAGTATCCACACGACACACCCTCCCAGTTCATTTGAGGTGCTACTCATAAGACACCTTCTTTGTGAGGCCTTCCTGACCACCCTGGCTAAAATCACACTTCCTCCCCTGTCTTTTGTTGTCACATTACCATCTTTGTTTCTTGATGGTATTCATTTCTCCTGATTTTATATTATATAGATTTTGTTTATTGCCATATCCTTACTGACTTTTGATGGCAGAAAATCTGATTGGATTATTGCTCCATTCTCAGCATCTGTTTATTCCACACACTAAGTACTCAATAGATATTTGTTTAATGAATGAGAAATGAAGTACATAGCTCAGGAATGTGTTGGTCCCAATGTTTACAAACTTTTATATTAGGGCTTTTATTCCTCAAGAGATCTAGTTGTTAAACATGTAGCAGCACACTACTGATAACAAAATAAGTAGGAAAATATAAGCACGAGGTAGGGTATTGTAATATAAGGGAAGAACACCTAATATGGAATTGAGATGGAGAGGAGTTGGGATTTTCCTATGGGATATTTTTGGAGAGAATGTTAAAGGGTAAGCACAAGTTAGTAAGATGATAAGCAAAGGAAATAAAGGGCCTAACAGGCAAAAGAAATATCAAAGATTTTTTATGGTATAATACTCATTTATCATGGTTTCTGAATAAAACGGAATTAGAAGGAAGAGTTGATGGTTTAGAGGGATGATCGTAAAATCTTGAAGGACTGTGTGTGCTGAAAGTCATGAAGAGATGGAAATACACTTGGTTAGGACCTCAATTTTGTAATCTTCAAACAGTCACTTATTATGGTTGTGACTTCCCCTATGAAACCTTTCAGAAGGCTGTATTATAGAGGACAAGGCAGGATAAAAGGAACTGATGTTTTAATCCCAAATTCCAGCATGGTATCATGGTGAGCTACAGTGGACCAAATGAGAACAACTAAACATTCCTTAGAAATGGGGAAAGGATTCCCTATTTAATAAATGGTACTGGGAAAACTGGCTAGCTGTATGTAGAAAGCTGAAACTGGATCCCTTCCTTAAACCTTATACTAAAATTAATTCAAGATGGATTAAAGACTTAAATGTTAGAACTAAAACCATAAAAACTCTAGAAGAAAACCTAGGCAATACCATTCAGGACATAGGTATGGGCAAGGACTTCATGTCTAAAACACCAAAATCCATGGCAACAAAAGCCAAAATTGACAAATGGAATCTAATTAAACTAAAGAGCTTCTGCACAGCAAAAGAAACTACCATCATAGTGAACAGGCAACCTACAGAATGGGAGAAAATTTTTGCAATCTACTCATCTGACAAAGGGCTAATATCCAGAATTTACAAAGAACTTAAACAAATTTACAAGAAAAAAATCAAACATATCAAAAAGTGGGTGAAGGATATGAACAGATACTTCTCAAAAGAAGATATTGATGCAGCCAACAGACACATGAAAAAATGCTCATCATCACTGGCCATCAGAGAAATGCAAATTGAAACCACAATGAGATACCATCTCACACCAGTTAGAATGGCTATCATTAAAAAGTCAGGAAACAACAGGTGCTGGAGAGGATGTGGAGAAATAGGAACACTTTTACACTGTTGGTGGGACTGTAAACTACTTCAACCATTGTGGAAGACAGTGTGGTGGCGATTCCTCAAGGATCTAGAACTAGAAATACCATTTGACCCAGCCATCCCATTACTGGGTATATACCCAAATGATCATAAAACATGCTGCTATAAAGACACATGCACACATCTGTTTATTGTGGCACTATTCACAATAGCAAAGATTTGGAACTGACCCAAATGTCCATCAATGATAGACTGGATTAAGAAAATGTGGCACATATACACCATGGAATACTATGCAGCCATAAAAAATGATGAGTTCATGTCCTTTGTAGGGACATGGATGAAGCTGGAAACCACCATTCTCAGCAAACTATTGCAAGGACAGAAAACCAAATACCGCATGTTCTCACTCATAGGTGGGAACTGAACAATGAGAACACTCAGACACAGGATGGGGAACATCACACACTGGGGCCTGTTGTGGGGTCGGGGGAGGGGGGAGGGACAGCATTAGGAGATATAACTAATGTTAAATGACGAGTTAATGGGTGCAGCACACCAACATGGCACATGTATACATATGTAACAAACCTGCACATTGTGCACATGTACCCTAGAACTTAGAGTATTAAAAAAAAATTTCTTGGTACCTCTTTATATAAGCAAATTGAATAGTCATTTTGGTCTTCTACTTTAAGGCCCATTAGTAAGCACATTCTTTATATATTATCCTAGATGTCAAGAAGAATTTAGAAAAGATTAATTTAAAAAAATCTTTTCAATTAAAGAAAGATTATTTCTTCCTAAGGCTTAGCAAATCTTCCAAGTGGGTGAATGTCTTAGGATCAACTTTCCAAGTAAGTGGGAATAAAATCCCTTAAAGAGGGATGTAAAAGAAGACAAATCTTAAGAGAATTTGAGTTCAAAAGACAAAATAACATCAAGAGAGCTGAAGTCAAAGACAGAGAAATTATTCTGAGGTCTCAACACCTTTTAATCCTTTGCACATTACAATGAATGTATTAACTATGTAGCATACTGTCCCAAATAATTGAACCAGTCTTAACCTCTCAGTAGAGGTTGGAATATCCCAATAATATATGCAAAGATGATGAGTCAAGTTTGGCACCTGTTAAATCCACAGTTACAATGAAATATCCAACTAGAAATATTAAGTATGAAATTACATATGGCTCATTTAATTCTCTCTGTAAACCATTTGGTGTGTTACTTAGATAGTTTATAGATGAGACTGATACATAGAAGGATTAAGTAATTTTCTTAAGTTCATATGAATAGTAAGTGGTAGAGCAGGAATCTGAACCCAGGTAATCTCTCTAAACACACACACACACACACACACACACACACACCAACCACACACACACGTGAAACACAGTTGGGTTCAAGATTGGAATTTGGAGCTCATTCACATATAAAGGCTATCTTAGCCCAGTTGTGTTTCCATAACGAAATACCCGAGATTGGGTAAATTATAAATTATTTATCACAGTTCTGGAGGCTGTGAAGTCCAAGATCAAGATACCAGCAGGTTGCGTGTCTTGTGAGGGCCCAATCTCTGCTTCCAAGATGGGACCTTGTTGCTGTATCCTCTGGAGGGAATGAACACTGTGTCCTCACATGGTGAAAGGAAAAAGGGCAAAAACGGCTGAAAACTATGTGAAGCCTCCTTAATAAGACCTTAATCTCATCCATGAAGGAGAAGCCCTAATGACCTATTTACCTCCTAAAGGTCCCCATTTGTTAATTCAATTGCATTAGGGATTAAGTGTCAACATGTCTTTGCAGGGGGATACAAACATTAAGCATGGCACAGGATAAATGAAATTTAGGATGAGGAATGAATTACCCAGAAAAAGTGTAAAATAAGAAAATGAGGCATGAGAAAGTTCCGTGAGGAACACCAACATTTATGGAATAATTTGAGCAAGAGGAATACATAAAAGAGTCTTAGGAAAAGCTAGACAAGTAGAAAAATAAAAGAAAGAATCTGAATTTAGAGAAGCTAAGAAAAGGACAGATTTTTGGAAACAAAATGAATGGCCAACAGTATACAATATTACTGATGTCAATGAGATAAGGCCTGGAATAGATTTCTGTAGTCAGCAACGAGGCTGGGCTCTTTGTGTAAGCAAAGTCATCACAGTGGAGGGAAAAGAAACCACAGTTCAATGAATCAGATTTTAACAAATCGAAGGCATGAGGAAAGTAACTCTTTGGAGAAGTTTAGCCACAAAAGTTAAATAAAGATAGGTCAAATATTTGAAGGGAGATACAATTTCAAGGGATAGCTCATTTTATTTTTATGATCTAGAGATGAGCACATTTAAATATTGCTGGCATGTATATAGAGAGGGAGAGGTTGGAATATTAAAAACAAAACCAAATGATCAATGAATGAAACCTTGAAGAGTCAGAAACAAATGAGTCAGAGTGGAAGGGATAAACCTCGGTGTTTCTGATATTGAGGAGACAAGTCAGGTCATCTTACATTGCCCTGATTTCCTTACAGTGAGCTTAAAAACATAGTAATCAGTACTATTGGGAAGTTAATCTCAGCCATTTTGGAGTCCTCTTCTCTTGAGAAGGGAGGCATCTTTGTCCTTTAGTCCCTGTTTAGGTTAGCTTGTTTTTCACAGTTTTCCTAAATGATTAACCTGAACCAGAATTCTCACAGCCATTTCCTCTGACTACCTAAAAAGGCTCATATCTCAGTTCCCAAAATACATGTAACATTTGTGCTTATTCTCAGATCCCCCCAATCCACCCAGGGTTGGGCACATAAAATGATCTGGAAGCAGTGCATAAATACACAGGGGTTAGTAGAATCAGCAGCTTCTACTTGGGAGGGATGAAGAGAAATGTGTCCATAAGGAAAGCTCAGCTTTTTATTAGGTACTGAAGAGACAGAGGTGATACCAAGGTGGGGAGGAGAGGTTGGTTACTATACATTGAGGGATTCACAGGAAACTATATAAAATTTTGGGAAAGAAAGAAGCAATGAGAATTTGAGCCAGCTGTAAAAAAAATACAGAAGAATATGGAAGAAGTTAGATAACTTAGGGGTGACCAAGAATAACACTTGACATGAGAGGTCCCAAAGAATTTCAAACATTTATCCTGTCCTTCTTTTGGTATATAAAAGCTAATTGTCAAGACTTCTGAAATTCCAAAATGTCTTAAAGGTAGCTCCACTTACCTGGCAACCTTACTATTTATTTTATTTATTTATTTATTTATTTATTTATTTATTTATTTATTTATTTATGGTTTGTAAGTACTAAGGCAGATTATCTTTTTCAGTGGAAGGGTATGTCAAAAATACAGCTTAAAAAGTGAATCAAAGACCACTAAGGGACCGGGGTATGTCTCTTGTTGAAAGTAGCACAACACAAATACAAGTTAGGTCTTTGGGTACATATGTTTAGGAAAGAACGTTAAGAGATTTGTTATATTATATCCTGTTTCCTCTGTGACTAAAGATGCCAAGATTATCTGGTGAGAGTGAGGGGAAGTAGTAGGAAAGGAGTGTGAAGAAATTCTAAAATAATCCCTCTTACTGAAGAAAAATGTGATCAGGAGAGGGTGATTTTGGAAAAATATGGTCAGCATTTATGTCCTGGGGAAGTTTACAAATTTGTGGAGGCACTGAATTACCTGCTTTGTTATTTTCTCCAACATCACTCAGTAGTTTTTATTTAACAAACCACCCTGGTTGGGGTTTTGCCAGGAATATGTGGAGCAGAAGGAAGATGGAAATTGAAGATATTGGCATGGATAGGACTGATGTGACTGATTCTAAATAGGGAAAGAGAATGAAGATAGAAGGACACCTACATTTATGGAGAAAATGAAGGAATCCAGGACTCAAAGAGTTAGTGAGGGCTGGGGGATTGAGGGTCAGGAGATAACCTTGACCAAGCATTCTGGAAGTATGGCATGGGTCTGAAAGTAACAGGCATTTTAACCAAGAATAGAGATAAAATGATCTGGAAACAGTACCTAAATACACAGGGTTTAGTAGAATGAGCAGCTTCCACTTGGCAGGTATAAAGAGGAATATGTGTCCATAAGGGAAGTTCAGTTTTTAATTAGGTGCCAAAGAAACAGAAGTGATACCAAGGTGGAGACAAGAGGTTGGTTGTCATACACTGGGGGATTCACAGGACACTAGAGAAAGGTTTGGGAAAAGAAGCAGCAATGAGAATTTGAGCCAGGTGAAAAAAAAGTGCAGAAGAATATGGAAGAAGTTAGGTAACTTATGGATGACCAAGAATAATTTGACATGAGGGGTCCAAAAAGAATTAATCTTCACAATCTTCTGGTATTTGAGACAGTGCAGAAAATAGTTCGAGTTTGGAGAAAGGAGGGAAGACTTTTCTCTCTCATAGGACAGCTGCTTTCTGATGGGATTTAGTTTTTGAAGAATTCTAATTTATGTGAGCAGATAGGCCATGGAATTATCTGCTTTTCCATTTTCTTAAGCTATCTTGGGCATATCAGGAGTCTTCGGCAATATAGGTCTGTCTTTCTTGCTAGGTTATGCCTACTTCAGTTGGGTTCTTGCATTTTGCTGCATGCTGGAAATAGCATAGTTGCTTTTCAGAAAGTTTGTTCTGTTTATTTTGATCCCAGTAGAAATATCATTGAATTTGTAAGTGGTCAAAATTGATCTTCCTGCCTCTGACCTTTGTATCTATAATCACAGGGGCCTTGTAATTAGTAGCTGCTTTATAATACAGTTTTGAAAATGCTGAAGAGTTCCTTATGTGCACCTAGTTTCCCTGCTACCTAACTCCCTCTGTATTAGTCCGCTCTTACACTGCTATAAAGATACCACCTGAGACCAGGTAATTTATATATATAAAAAAAGTTTAATTGACTCAATTCTGTGTGGCTGGGGAGGCCTCAGGAAACTTACAATCATGGCTGAAGGCAAAGGGGAAGCAAGGCATGCCTTTTTTTTTTCTTTTTAGTATTATTATTATACTTTAAGTTTTAGGGTACATGTGCACAATGTGCAGGTTAGTTACATATGTAAGGCATGTCTTATGTGACAGCAGGAGAGAGGGCACACAGGGGAAACTGTCAGCCACTTATAAACAACTAGATCTCATGAGAACTCCCTTAGTATCATAAGAATAGCATGAGGGAAATTGCCCCCATGATCCAGTCACCTCCCACCAGGTCTCTCCCTTGACATGTGGGGATTGCAATTCAAGATGAGATTTGGGTGGGAACACAGAGCCAAACTGTATAATCCTCTAAACATTTCAATATACATTGGTGCTATGGTTTGAATGTGTCTCCCAAAGTTTATGTGTTGGAAACTTAATCCTCAATGTAGCAGTGTTGAGAAGTGAGACTTTAAGAGGTGGTGAGGTCCTGAGGATTCTGTTCTCATGAATGGATTAATACCATTATTGCAGGAGTGAGTTTGTTTTTGAGGGAATAGGGCCCTATGAAGAATGAGTTTGGCCCCTTCTCTCATTCTCTTTTACTCATGTGATATTTTCTGCAATGTTCTGAAGCAGCAAGAAGGCGCTCACCAGATGCATCCTCTTGATCTTGGACTTCCCAGCCTCCAGAACTGTGAGAAATAAATTTCTGTTACTTATAAATTACCCAATCACAGGTATTCTGTTATAGCAGCACAGAATAGACTAAGACCATTGGAGAGTACTTTTTAAATTCCTTTTAAATATCCAAATTTACCATGGGAAAAGAGCAATAAGTGTAGTCTTATTGGGCATTCACACTTTAATTGGTGACATCATTAAATCTTTTTCTGAGATAGAGTATGTCTTTTGGAAATGCTAAGGAACATGGGAATGAAGGAGGAATAACATGTGCAGAAATAGTATACACCGGATGTTAAAGATAAATTCAATTAGATAACAAAGAGTAGCATAGTTCTTTGTGTAAGGCTCTTTTTTAAATGTTCTGCAAATATTAACACATCCATTCCTCATAACAATCATATGAGGTAGATACTATTATTATCATTCCCATATTACAGATGAGGAAAATGAAGCGTAGAGCAATTAAGAAACTTATCCAAGACTGCACAGCTGACTAGGCTGGAGTCTATCTTAGGCTAATTGAGAAGCTGCTGAGCATAATGGTTAACTAATGCCATTCCCAGCATATTCACTCATTCTGATGGTTAATCAGTCTTGGGCTTCTAAGCAATGTATAAGGGATGATGCAGAGGACTATTTAAAAGAACCAATAGCATCTGCATAATTTAGAAGAGAATTGAGAGTGATAAAACTGTCAGTGCCCTCTCCTGTGGTGATTATGCAAGGCAGAGAAACTCAATTACATCCAATCAAATTTCCAACTCTAAATGTAGTACGGAGTTTTCATTAGTAGTAGTGAAGGCAGAAAAGTACACATTAGATTTCTGAATATGAAATTAATGAGACACATAAAAATAAAAACTTAAGCAGAAAATTTTCAAGCCTGTGTTCTAATTACTTTCCTCATTGTGTTTAACATTGTATATTTCCAAATCATGTAACAAGTGATGGAATCTGTAGCTTTGTAATATGCTGAATGGCTTGGGAAGATCCCACCTGGAATCAATAGCGTTCTCAGATCATTTATAAAGTAATTTAAACAGTGGTATTTAATCTAAACAGCCTATTACATTTAGTCTCATATATAAACACATTTAATTATTAAAGCATTGTAAAGTAACTTATTATATGATAAATATGCAATCTCACATCAATTGGGAAAGAAGAAATTAGCCAATAGATGATTCTCGGACAATTAGCCTAAAGTGATCCAAGTAGGATCTCTACCTAATTCTACACACCAAGATACAGCTTATATTTAACTACAGCTTTCCAAATGTCATCAAAGAACTTAGCATATGAAAACAATGGAGTTTGAACTGGTCCCCAGGACTCAACTCAGGGACATAGGTTATCCTATCACTTCTAATGTAGTGTCATAAAGCATCATTATGACCACTGGTCTTGAATGGTGGTAAATGACCACTGCTGTCATATTAGAGAGCAAACAATGACACCTGAAATAATGTCATAACACAGTTATTTGGGCCTGTATAAAGATTAATTGTTGAAGAGTCTATATTGGAAATTCTGGCAGTCAGCAGTCTACCCATATGAAGGATTAATTCATGAATTACTCTTTTATAGAATTCCAAATAAGTTCTGGACCCCTTACTAATTTGGTCGTTGCAATTGGTTTTGAAGGAAGTATGACTTCATTTTGACTTGAAGGCTTATATAATGATTTAGAGTGAACAGCTTAAAGATCAATTTGGAGTTAAATTCAAGCTCCATCACTTATTAGCTGTATGTCCCTAAGTTTCCAAACTTTTAAAAATGTTTAAAAATTTGGGTCTCTATTTAAATAGATGTTCAGTCATTCTCTTGATAAATCTAAGTATTATCTTTAAAAAAATCAGTCTCCTTTCCTTTTTTCTTCTGACATTCACTAGGGGCAATAGAATTTCAATGTGGTTTTAAAAATATTATTATGTTTGAGAATAGAGGACAACATAACCCTGTTGATGACTGCATGAGAAATAGGCTATCTCTGTACCACCTTCATGCCCCATACAGACTCTACCTTTCCTCCAATACTTGTCTTGTTGGGATGATATTGCTTTGTCCCAAGCAAGCATAAGCACTGCATCTTCCAACCATGCCTTTCGGTCTCTTAAGTCATATCCTTGCTTGTCAGCCAGTACTTAGATCCCTCCTTGTCCTTACCAGAAGCACTTCAGTTCTTCCCATAGTCTGACGTTTTGCTCCAGACCTTGATTTCTTTATCCCCTCAGTCCTCTTCCTTTCCTTGTACCATCAAGATTAATTATTTCACAGAATAATTAACAGTGGATTTATCAACTTCCCTTCAGGGCAAACATTTTCATCATTTAGCCTAATGGCTAAATCACAAAATTTAGACCAACTTTAATATATTTGGGTACAAAAACTTAGTGTGGGTTTTTCAGCCTTATCCATAGTTACCTTGTTATGCTCAAATAATAACTTTCATTTGTTAACTAAATGTCAGATATGATGTTATATGTTCACATACATGATGCCTATCCTAATGAACACCCTGTTTGTGACTACTGTCCTCATTTTAAAAGTGGTGGAACTAAGGCTAAGAGTTTCAATAATTTGCCTAAGATTATATTTTTATTAATGTCAGGGTGAGAATTCAAACAAAGGTAAATTTTACTTGAAAATCTGTTACTTCTCCACTTAGAAAAATGCATTCTTATTTTTTCCCTCACTTAACTATAATACATGTTGGAATTTTTTAAGTATCAAGCACTTTTACGAGCTTTACTTAGCTCTAAGTAGGAATCAATTATTAATATTCTGTTTTGCATAAAGAGAAAGTAAAATGAAATAGCTAGGTTTATTTGACCAAATTGTTTTGATTATTTCTCTGATTTTATTGATTGCATGAACAAGATAAATAATAATCAAGTCTAGTTATAAGAAAACATGAATTTTCTTTACATTGATTAGATTAATGAAACCAAAACTCAAAGAAATCCACTTATAAAAAGAGCTTTAATCATAGAGAATGTTGAAAACTTGATCATCATTGGATTAGAAAAAGTTTTCGAATACGACAATATCTAAATCATATTTGTCCCATGTATATTAAAGGGTCTTTCTTCTGCAATTATTAATGATAACTAACGTATTCTAAATATTGGTGTCAGTGATGTGTGCCTTTCTCTGAAATGTATAGAGAAAATGTTCTAACCATAGTGTATCCAGAATAAATTTGAAAATCTACAGTTTCAAATATATTTGATGTTTTATAGTATTTTTTTACATTTATTCTTACAATATATTCCTAATGAGAAATTTTAAAATCTTCTGACCTTTAAGACTGCTGAGTACAGCAATATGAATGCCATTATATTTTAAATAATGTTTAAAGGATGGAACAAAGTTATATTTGTCACAGTTGAAAATATTCCAATGTAATCTCTTTTGATTTATGAACCCAAAGTTCTCTGGAGAATTTTGTAAGTCAGAGTAATGCTATGAGTGTTCAAATTTGCTTTTAGATTTCTGATTCACATAAAGATTTGTAATGTCACAATTTGACAACATTTATTTTGACCTACCATCACAGAAGATATTCTGATTTGGTATGTGCTATTATAAATGTGAACACACTACTAAGTGGGCAATTTATGTGATCTGTAAAGCAAGGGCAAATTCCAGTGTGAAAAGAGGAAAAGAGGATGTTTACAAATTATACCTTCATACTCTAACAACAGGATTTTGATCATGAAATGACCATTTTTAAGTTATCTTCAGATGAGCCTGAAATTTCATAGTAAATCCTCAACGTACTTTTAAATAAATTTTTAGAAAAGGTAGTTGATGCTTTTTCCATTGAAGACCCTGATAGGAAGGGTGCTAATCCCCAAAATGTACCCCCATCCAATTACTGGAGCCCAGTTTCATTATTTTATAGTAGAGAATAGATGGATTTTTTAGATCTTCTCCTTTTTTTTTTGTTTTATATTCCAGCATGGTTAGAGCCCACAGACAACATTTATAAATATATTAATCTTTCTTGAGGTACCTGAGCATGATGAATGTGAAAGCATGTTCATAGCAAAGAAATATGTGCTGTACATGAGAAAATGTGAACAAACACCATCCAGATGTTCAGGAATAAGCTCTGACCAAACCAATAGTTACTTGGGTGACTTCCTTGAGACATATTATCTTCAAAGGCAAGTAAAACCCATCAGAGAATAGGATAATACGCAAATAACATGCATGGCACCTGGACACCAGATTGGGAATGAAATCACTCTGATGACAGTGAAAGAAGATTTAACTTCAGTATGACTTTCCCAAAACTATAGGTGGAATTTTCTATCCTACGTTCCACGTATAACTTTTGGTTATTTTAAAAAAATTTCCATAATGGTGTCAAAAGCCAAACCTTGATCTTATTTTTTCTCATATTTAGTACTGTTTTCTTCAATAAAGAGATTTGTTGAACATAAGACTGTCCAGTGTTCTCCTTCTCACCTCATGGAAGTATGGAAGTAGGAGACAAAAAAGAAGTGTTATATCTTAACAGATGAAAACCACTAGTGTTTTCCAGGGAGGGTTCGATCGATGGCCTCCTGCCCAGTACATCTCAGCTACAGAAGGTCTGAAACCTTCACACTGTTTCCTCCTTTAAATTAAAGCTTTGAAAGACCATGTTCAACTGTAAAGAATATTAATTCAGAAGTGACATTTAAAGCTACTGAAACATTAACACTTTTTATAAAATTTGTCAGATTACCCCCTTAAAGGCCTTAAGTAAATGAAATGAGGATCGGAAAGCTTGAATGAAAAAGGAGACAGTTTATACTCACAGTCTCTTATTATTTTAGATCTTTCACTTCCCTACTCTAAACTCATGGTTCAACAACTTCTGATTTTATCATTTTCTCAAACACACTCACCTTTTAAAAATGGGCCTCTAACTTCTTCTAGACCATCTGTCTTTTTATTCTGCTTGAATTTCTCCCAAAACACTCTCACAAACAGCCTCAACTCCTTTTGTCTCTAGCCCTTCCATACTAGCCAAATTAGACATTTTTAATTTATCCTCTGCACTCTCTGATACTTTATTTGGATGCCTCTAAATGTTTTGAGAACATCACCAAGACCTGTGGATGTAGTTATTTGTGGTTTCTAATATAAATTATAGTTAATTTGTGCTTTCTAATTTCACCTGGACACTCCAGCCCACTCTGCAATCCTCAATATTTATTTATTTATTTTTCTGAGACAAAGTCTCACTCTCTCGCCCAGGCTGGAGTGCAGTGATGCGATCTCGGCTCACTGCAAGCTCCGCCTCCTGGGTTCACGCCATTCTCCTGCCTTAGCCTCCCGAGTAGCTGGGACCACAGGCGCCTGCCACCATGCCCGGCTAATTTTGTTTTTTGTATTTTTAGTAGAGAGGGGGTTTCACTGTGTTAGCCAGGATGGTCTCCATCTCCTGACCTCGTGATCCTCTCACCTCAGCCTCCCAAAGTGCTGGGATTACAGGCGTGAGCCACTGCGACCGGCCAATCCTCATAACTTTTATGACTGGCTTCCTGTCCTAATGTTCACAGAGAATATTTCAACTTATAATCACTTTTCTCATCATCCTTACCTCAGTTGTTCTCACTTTCAGTGTATGTTCTTGTATTTCATAAAGGACCTCTTCAATCACCTTAATTTATTATACTTCACTTTAACCTTCAAACTTATCTACATCTGCTCCCGTCTTTACCTCCTTTCTTTCGTTTTCATGGAAAAGAGCCCTTCTTTTACTCCCTAAGAAAAATCTCTTTACTTACATTCTAGTTTATGTGCCTACCTGTATCCTCAGAGATTTTTACTCCATGATTCACCTTGTCCTTCCTACATTTTAGAACTTTTTTTTTTTTAACCTCTAGGCTTCTCCTTTTGAGTGACTGAGTAGCTACCATCCAAATACAGCCTGCCTAAAAGTCGATCAGCTCTAGTTATTAACAAATTCCTCTCTTTCACAATCAAGTACTTGTAAAGAGAGTCTATCTCACCATCTATATTTTTCAATGTCCATTTAAATGTATGGAAATTTGGCTTCTGCTCTTATTACTCCATTAAAATTGCTTTTTCAATCTCAGTAGTGACTTGCTCATGGATACTTCTTGGTTTTTATCTTACATGACCTCCTCAGGGCATTTGGCCTTATGATCATAATCTTCTCATTAAAGTAGATTTTGTTTTACTAGTTATTTGTGATTCCTCAGTTAATGCTCAACCATGCAACTAATAATGAGGAACTTGGTAGAAATGCTTGTCTTTTCTCTCCATTACACTGAAATCAGTGCACTGAACATTGCACTGAAATCAATGCAATCTCAAATATTGTTTGTTATACTCTGATCCTAAACCTTTCACATAAAGGCATACCTTGGAGATCTTGTGGGTTTAGTTCCAGACCACTGCAATAAAGCAAATATCACAATAAAGGAATCACTCAACTCTTTTTTTGTTTGTCAGTGCATATAAAGTTATGTTTACAATATACTGGAGTCTATTAAGTATGCAATAGAATTATGTCTAAAACACAAGTTACATGTCTTAATGTAAAAATGCTTCATTGCTTTAAAATGCAAATCATCTAGCCTTCAGTGAGTCATGATCTCCTTGCTGGTGGAGTATCTTGCCTCAATGTTGTTGGCTGCTGATTGATCAGGGTAGTGGTTGCTAAAGGTTGGAGTGGCTGTGGCAATTTCTTAGAATAAGGTAACAAGGAAGTGTGCCACATCAGTGGACTCTCCTTTCATAAAATATTTTTCTATAGAAAAGCTGTTTGATAGCACTTTATCCACAGTATAGCTTCTTTTAAGATTAGCCTCAGTTTCCTCAAATCCTGCTACTCTTTATCAGCTAGGTTTGTATAATATTCTAAATTATTTGCTGTTATTTCAACAATGTTCACAGCATTTTTACCAAGAGTAGGTTCCAACTCAAGAAACCACTTTTTCATCCATTAGAAACAAGTCCTTATCTGTTCAAATTTTATCATGAAGTTGCATCAATTCAGTCACATATTTAGACTCCACTTCTAATTCTAGTTTTCTTGCTATTTTCACCACATCTAAAGTTAATTCCTCCAGTCAAATCTTGAACCTCACAAAGTCATCTGTAAGAGTTAAAATCAGATTCTTAAAAACTGCTGTTGATGGCAATATTTTGACCTCCTTTGATGAATCATGAATGTTCTTAATGCCACCTAGAATGGTGAATCCTTTCCAGAAAGTTATCAATTTTCTTTGCCCAGATTCCGCAGAGGAATCACTATTGATAAAAGAAAAACTTCAGCTGAATTAAATTTAAAGGAGTTTAATTGAGCAATGAATGATTCCTGAATCTGGAAGCCCCCAGAATCACAGTAGATTCAGAGACTCCAGCGCAGCCATGTGGTGGAAGAAGATTTATAGACAACAACAACAACAACAACAACAACAAAGGGGTGGGGGCGGGAAATGACATACAGAAATTGGAAGTGAGGTACAGAATGGCTGGATTGGTTATAGCTCAACGTATGCCTTATTTGAACACAGTTGGAACACTCAGCAGTGTATGAGTGCTTGAAGTATAGCCGCTGGGATTGGCCAAGACTTAGATATTGTTACAGGTGCATACTAACTTAGGTTAGATTTTCAATTTTGTGTACTTATTAAGCTAGGTTATAGTTCATCCATAAAGACTCAAATATAGAAGTATAGAGTCCTCAGGCCATATTTAGTTTGCTTTAACACTATATATAGCAGTTATAGATTTGCAAAATATATTTCTTACATAATAAGACTTGAAATTAAAAATTACTTTTTGACTCATGAGCTGTAGAATAGATGTTGTGTTACCAGGCATTAAAACAACAATAATCTCTTTGTATATCTGCATCAGAGCTTTGGATGACCAGGTGCATTGTCAGTTAAGAGTGATATTATAAAAGGAATCTTTTTTTTTATTTTATTTTAAGCAGGAGGTCTCAACAGTGGACATAAAATATTCAGTAAACCATGATATAAATGGATGTGCCATCATTCAGGCTTTGTAGTTCCATCTATAGAGCACAGGCAGAGTGGATTTAACATAATTCTTAAGAGCCCTAGGATTTAAAGATGGTAAATGAGCATTAGCTTCAACCTAAAGTCACCAGCTACATTATCCCCTATCAAGAGTCAGGTTGTCCTTTGGAGCTTTGAATCCAGACATTGCCTTCTCCTCTCTAGCTATGAAAGTTTTAGATGGCATCTTTTTCCAGTGTAACGCTGTTTCATCTACACTGAAAATCTGTTGTTCAGTGTAGCCACATTCATCAACAACCTTAGCCAAATCTTCTGGATAACTTGCTATATCTCCTGCATCAGCGTTTGCAGCTTCACTTCGAATGTTTTTAAAGGAGATGACTTCTTAAACCTTATGAATTAACCTCTGCCAGCTTCTACTTTTTATTATATAGCTTCCTCACCTCTCCAGCATTCACAGAATTGAAGAGAGTTAGGGCCTTGCTCTGGATTGGGGATTACCTTAAGGGAATGTTGTGGCTGGTTTGATCTTCTTTCCAGACCATTAAACCTTTTTTCATGTCAGAAATAGGCTGTTTCGCTTTCTTATTATTTGTGCATTGACTGAAGTAGCACTTTCAATTTTCTCTAATAACTTTCCTTTCTATTCAAGACTTGGGTAACTGTTTGGCACAAGAAGCCTAGCATTCAGTCTAGTTTAGCTTTGGATGTGGCTTCGCACTAAGCTTAATCATTTCTAGCTTGTAATTCAATACGAGAGACACATAACTCTTCCTTTTACTTGAACTTTGGAGGCTACTGTAGAGCTATTAGCTTAAGTTCAATTTTGTGTTTCAGGGTCTAGGGAGGCTCAAGGAGAGGGAGAGAGACAGTGAAACTGGCAGTTGGTGAAGCAGTCAGAAGACACATACCATTTATGAATTAAGTTCACTCACTGTCTTATATGGGTGCAATTGTTGGCTCTCTAAAATAATTATAATAGTAACATCAAAGATCACTGATTATGAATTACTCTAAAAGATATAACAATAATGAAAAAGTTCAAATTATTTCAAGAGTTACCAAAATGTGACAGAGACACAAAGTGAGCACATGCTGTTAAAATACAGGCTCTGAAACCTTCAGTTAGTGAAAAAGTCCATATCTATGAAGTGCAATAAAGTGAAGTACAATAAAATGAGGTATGCCTGTACATCGCTGCCTGTTCATCACCAATATTACTTTCTTAGATAAAACTATCACTGTCGTTTTTGTTAGCTTACTCAAATAGTCTATTAACTGTTCTTCTACTTAAAAAATAGAATCTGACTTATATCATTCTATAAATGTGTGCTGATTTGTTTAAAAACACCAACCTAATCACGTTTATCTTTAATTTAAACCACTAATATTGTTTATGTAGTGGTTCCCAAATATTGGCCTGATGATCTTTTTGTAGTAGACACTGTTGATTTTCTGACCAACAGCAATATCTCATATCCTTATTTTAACAGAAATATGACTTTTTTTTTTTTTTTTTTTTAGATATTGGGTGTCCATCTATTTCACTGAAGCTCAGGCTTCTCCTTAGTATTAAAGGATGGATATTGATTAGCAGTCATAGTTAAGTCTATTGCCCACAACATGAATGTTTTAAGAGTGACTATCAAATGCAATTTTGAACAGTGAAACATAAGGAAGTATCTGTTTGTTGGCAGAGGCATCTCTGTGACAGTTTTCCTTTCCCATAATAAGAGAAATTCAGGGATGAAAAGAGAATTCTTTTTCTTTGGGCACTGTGGTATGAACATATAATGCCTAGGGCTATTGAACTCATTTCAGCAGTAGCTAACACATTGTAACATGCAAAGCATAAACCAAAAATAATCTGAATCCTTCTTGACAGCATTGAGTCCCTAAATTATTAAACAATGGAGCTATTCTATCTTGGAAATACTTAATATATGAGATAATACATTTCCCTTTAAAGCCACTTCTGTAAGTTTTTTGTTGCCTGTAGCCCAAAGCATCCTAACTGATAAAATTTGTATCAGAATTATCTGGAAGCTTATTAAAATTATGTACTCCAAGGTTATTCTGATTCAGTAAGTCTGGAGATTGGGCTCAGCAATTTACATATGAAAATTTGCCAGGAAATTTTTATGAGCAGGTATGGTTTGGGAACCATTATAGAAAAAAAATTTTAATAGCTTTTTATGTGGCTAATACTTTCTAAGATATGACCCTTTCAGATCTCCCAATCCTCTCTAACCTCATTTTTTGCTACTCTGTAAAATGCAAGTTAGGCTGAATTACTTGAAGTTCACATTTAGCCTTTCCTCATCCTCTGTTTTTTTTTCTGGAATTTTTTTTTCTCTTTTCTCATTGGTAAACTTCTACATTTTTAAAAACTCACCTTGGCCCTTTTCTTCTTTATGATTTCTACACATAAATGCAGTTTATAACTGTTTTTGTGTTACCATTTTATCCAGAAACAATCTTTTTATTATTGTATGTAGATACCCATAATCTAATTGTGTTTACTTACTGTATTTTCTATATTAGGTTCAGAGTTCCTTCAGAGACAAGGTGATGTTCTATTTTAATTTAACCTTATTTTAGTCCTAGTTAATTACATGGAGAAGTATTTGTTAAAAGTTTATGGGGTTGAATGAAAAAGAAAGAAACTGGAGCCCTTTCTACATGTGAAGGAATATGTCAGAAAATGGTGGTGAAATGACAGTATCTTAACAAATCCTTGGCAACCAGAAAATAGCTGGAACATACAGTTACCCTTTGATTAACTCGTCTTCATAAAAAGTTATTGATGGAAAATAATTTTTAGGTGAAACAAAATAAAGCGATACTATGATATATATCACATATATATCATATTTAAATTCACTCTAGTAAAAAGTTATTTGGCTATGAAGTTTTATAACTGAAATTAACAATGAGAATCTTTAAAAAATCATAGTTCTATGTCATCCATTTATGACCGTAGTATGCTGGACAAGTTATCCTGACCAACTTTTTCTGCAAGAGACCTAAATTTATAGAAAAACTATAAAAATTCATTGTTAAGTACATCAGTGGGCTGCCAAGACTGTAAGAAATATGAATCCAGATAAATATTAAGTCAATTGAGGAATGTAGAGTAGTAAACAGAGCACCAAAGCCAGTTTAGCCTTGAATGCAGTTAACACATCTGATGAAACTGAACATTGCTCTTCAAGATTCTCAGAGCTTACAGGAAAAGAAAGAAAGTAACATGCCCACTGAATGACAATACTCTAATAAGAGACCCTCGGTAATAAGCAGAATAATGGCCCCACGCAAAGATATCTAAGTCTTAACTTCTGGAGCCTTTGAGTAAGTTATATTACATGATGAAAGGGAATTAAGGTTGCCAATTAATTGATCTTAGAGAAACATTCCTGGATCATTCAGGTGAACCCAATGTAATCACAAGGGTGCATAAAAGTAGAAGAAGGAGGCAGAGGAGTCAAGGTTAGAGTGATGTGCTATAAGGAAGACTATACCAGCTATTTCTGGCTTTGAAGATGGAAGGGGCCACATGCCAAGGAATCTGGGCAGCTGAAAAGGACAAGGAAATGAATTCTCCCCTAGAATCTCTATAAAGAAATCCAGCTCTTTGGATACTTTGATTCTAGTTAGATCAGATCCATTTTAAACTCTGGAACCACAGATGTAAGATAATAAACATATATTGTCTTAAGTACAAAATTTGGAGAAATTTGTTACAGTAGTCATGGGAAACTAATATACTCACTTTGACCTCAATGACAATTATAACATGAATATAAAGGATCTTTTCAAAATAAGTGTCTCGGTCAGTTTGCAAGGCTGCTATAACAGAACACCACAGACGAGGTGGCTTAAACAACAAACATTTATTTCTCAAATTCTGGAGACCTGGTGGTCCAAAATCAAGGTGCCAGCAGATTCAGTATCTGCTGAGGGCACTCTTCCTGTTTGCAGACAACTGTCTTGTTTTATCTTGACATGGTAGAGAGCTGAGTGACAACAATTCTGTGTCTTTTTTCTTTTTTTTAAATAAGGGCTGTACTTCCATTCATAAGAGCTCTGCCCTTATGACTTAAATACCACCAAATGTCCCCACATCCAAATACCATCATATCGGGGGTTAAGATTTCAACACATGAATTTTAGGGGGACAGAAACATTCAGTTTGTGACAGTAAGCTCTTCCTTACCATCAGCTTACTGTCACCCTTAAGAACTAAGCGAGCCTACTTACTGGTGTGAATCAATGAATGAGAACAATAATTTCCCCATATATTTGGTACCAGCTCCACCACCCTCAATAAATAGATCATGCTACATGGGTAGCTGGTCCTAAAATCTTAAAACTAAAACGTTAATTTTAATTGGATGTGTTACTGTGTGACAAAAGCAAATACATATTTCCTCTGGAAGAAACCACCTTAACACTAAATCTCAAAGAATCTCAAAGATAGAGTTTCAAGAAATATGGGCTCACTGTCAAATATCACAAAAATAAACAGCAAAACAGATAGCCATGCAAAGAAGCAAGCAGGAAAGCAGGCAGAAGAATGAGGCCCATAAAGTAGCATGATACAGGAATTGTAAGACATAATAATGAGTAGGTTAGAATATTACAAGAAATAGGTGAAAGCATTGAATCCTGAGGAATGAACAAGATGATATAAAATTAGACAGATTTGAAGAAAAACCAGTTGTTATTGTAGATGAAAAAAAGTAATTGAAAACTCAATGAGTTTGGTTAAGAGTACTTATGATACAATTTACGAACTGAAAAAGAGATTTAAAGAATGTATCCATTATTCAGCACAGAGAGATCATAGAATGAAAATATTAAAGAAATATTAAGAGAAATGGTACTCTTTCAGACCACAGTGGAATAAAATTGGAAACTAACTCCAAAACAACCCTCAAAACCATGCAAATATGTGAAAATTAAATAACCTGCTCCTGAATGATCATTGGGTCAACAATGAAATCAAGATGGAAATTTAAAAAATTCTTTGAACTGAACAATAATAGTGACAAAAACTATCAAAATTTCTGGGATACTGCAAAAGCAGTGCTAAGAGGAAAGTTCATAGCATTAAATGCCTACATCAAAAAGTCTGAAAGAGCAAAAGTAGACAATCTAAGGTCACACCTCAAGGACCTAGAGATACAAGAACAAATCAAACTCAAAACCCAGCAGAAGAAAAGAAATAACAAAGATCAGAGCAGAACTAAATGAAATTGAAACAAAAAATAAAAAAGATAAATGAAACAAAAAACTGGTTCTTAGAAAAGATAAATAAAATTGATAGACTGTTAGTGAGATTAACCAAGAAAGGAAGAGAGAAGATCCAAATAAGTTCAATTAGAAATGAAACAGGAGATATTACAACTGATACCACAGAAATAACAAAAGGTCGTTCAATGTTACTATGAACACCTTTATGCACAAAAACCTAGAAAACATAGAGGAGATGGATAAATTTCTGGAAAGATACAACTCTCCTAAATTAAACCAGGAAGAAATAGCAACTCTGAACAGACGAGTAACAACAAAGAATTGTTACCAATCCTATTGACACTATTTCAAGAGAGAGAAATAGGGAATCCTCTGTAAATCATTCCATGAAGCTGGTATCACCCTAATACCAAAGCCAAGAAAGGACATAATATAAAAAGAAAACTACAGACCAATGTTCCTGATGAACATAGCTGCAAAAATTCTCAACAAAATACTAGCTAAGTGAATCCAACAGCATATAAAAAATGTAATCCACCATGGTCAAGTGGGTATCATATCAGGGGTGCAGGGATCATCTGCAAGAAAGCAAATGTGATACACCATATAAAGATAATTAAAAACAAAAATAACACGATCATCTCAATAGATGCAGAAAAAGCATTTGACAAAATCCAGTATCCCTTTATGATTAAAACCCTCAGCAGAATCCACATAGAAGGGACATACCTTAAGATAATAAAAGTCACCTATGACAAATTCACAGCCAACATTATACCAAATGGGGAAAAGTTGAAAGCATTCTCCCTGAGAATTGAAACAAAACAAGGATGTCCACTCTCACCAATTCTATTCAACATAGTATTGGAAGTCCTAGCCAGAGCAATCAGACAAGAGAAAGAAATAAAGGGCATCTACACTGGTAACAAGGAAATCAAACAGTTGTTTGCTGATGACATGATTGTTTACCTAGAAAACCCTGAAGACACATCCAAAAAGCTCCTCGAACTGGTAAATGAATTCAGCAAAGTTTCAGATTACAGAATTAATGTACACAAGTCAGTAGCTCTGCTATACATCAACAGCAACCAAGCTGAGAATCAAATCGAGAACTCAACCCTTTTTACAATAGCTGCAAAAAAAAAAAAAAAGATAGGAATATACTTAACTAAGAGGTGAAAGCCCTCTAAAAGGAAGACTACAAAACACTGCTGAAAGAAATCATAGATGACACCAACAAATGGAAACATCCCATACTCATTAATGGGTAGAATTAATATTGTGAAAATGAACGTACTGCCAAGAGCAATGTGCAAATTCAATGCAATTCCCATCAAAATACCACCATTATTATTCATGTAATAATGTAAAATGTAATATGTAAAAACATCCTAAAATTCATATGGAACCAAAAAAGAGTGCACATAGCCAAAGCAAGCTTCAGCGAAACAACTCTGGAGACATCGCATTACATGACTTCATACCGCAAGGCCATAGTCACTAAAACAGCACAGTACTGGTATAAAAATAGGCATATAGACCAAAGGAACAGAATATAGAACCCGGAAATAAAATCAAATACTTACAGTCAACTTGATCTTCAACAATGCAAAGAAAAACATAAAGTGGGGAAAGGACACTCTATTCAACAAATGGTGCTGGGATAATTGGCTAGCCACATGTAGAAGAATGAAACTGGATCCTCATCTCTCACCCTATATGAAAATCAACTCAGGATGGATCAAAGACTTAAATATAACACCTGAAACCATAAAAATTCTAGACCATAACATTGGAAAAACCCTTCTGGACACTGGCTTAGGCTAAGACTTCATGATAACCCAAAAACAAATACAACAAAAACAAAGATAAATAGATGGGACTTAATTAAACAAAAGCTTCTGCACAGCAAAAGAAACAATCAGCAGAGTAAGCAGACAACCCATAGAGTGGGAGACAATCTTTGCAATCTATTCATCTGACAAAGGACTAATATCCAGAATCTACAAGGAACTCAAGCAAATTAGCAAGGACAAAACAAAAAATCCCATCAAAAAGTGGGCTATGGACATGAATAGACAATTTGCAAAAGAAGATATACAAATGGCCAACAAACATGAAAAAATGCTCCACATTACTAATTATAAGGGAAATGCAAATCAAAACCCCAATGCAATACCACCTCACTCCTGCAAGAATGACCATAATCAAAAAATCAAAAAATAATAGATATTGGCATGGATGTGGTGACAAACTGTGGATGGGAATGTAAACTAGTATCACCACTATGGAAAACAATGTGGAGATGGCTTAAAGAAATAAAAGTAGATCTATCATCTGATCCAGCAATCCCACTCCTGGCTATCTACCCAGAGGAAAAGAAGTCATTATGTGGAAAAGATACTTGCACATACATGTTTATAGCAGCACATTTTGCAATTGCAAAAATATGAAACCAGCCCAAATACCCATCAATCAATAAGTAAAGAAAATGTGATATATACATTAATATATATACCATGTATATGGTTTGGCTGTATTCCCACCCAAATCTCATCTTGAATTGTATTAAAAATTCCCATAATACCCATGTGCCATGGGAGAGACCTGATGGGAGGTAATTTAATCATGGGGGAGGTTACCCTCATGGTGTTCTTGTGATAGTGAGTTCTCAAGAGATCTAATGATTTTATAAGGGACTTTTCCCACTTTTGCTAGGCACTTCTCCTTCCTGCCACCATGTGAAGAAGGACGTTTTCTTCCCCTTCCACAATGATTGTAGGTTTCCTGAGGCCTCTGCAGACATGCTGAACTGTGAGTCAAACCTCTTTCCTTTATAAATTACCCAACTTCACATATGTCTTTATTAGCATTGTGAGAATGGACTAATACACCATGGAATACTACTCAGCCATAAAAAGGTACAAAATAATGGCATTCACAGCAACCTGGATGGAATTGGAGACCATCGTTTTAACTGAAGTAACTCAGGAATGGAAAACCAAACATTGTACGTTCTCACTCATAAGTGGAAGCTAAGGTATGCTGACGCAAAAGCATAAGAATGATACAGTGAATTTTGAGGACTTAGGGGGAATGATAGGAGGGTGCTGAGGAATAGAAGACTACATATTGGGTACAACGTATACTGCTCAGGTGATGAGTGCACCAAAATCTCAGAAATCAACACTAAAGAACTTATTTCTGTAACCAAACACCACCTGTTCCCCAAAAATCTATTAAAATAATAATGAGATAAAATAGAATATCTCAAAAAAGAAGAAAAAAGAGAAATATTAAGAGAAACGAACAAGGTTTAATTATGTATGCAGCATACTATGTAGTACAAAAAAATTGTTGACAATTTACCATATTCAAAGTTTTTTGGTAGATTTTATGGTAGGTACAAAGACATACAAGTCTTGATCCCAGCTTTCAGAGAACTTTCATAAGGACTAGAGTACAAATTTATGTTACATCTAAGAGCAATATTACTTTTAAATAAAACTGGAAGTAAGATATTGATGCCATTAACCAATCCAATTTAAGGGATACATTGGATTTCGAATATCATTTATCACTGTGTAACTTGTATATATGCCAAATAATTTTCTCATCTATCATTTTTTGGTACATTTTTTGCAATTTTTGTGTTATTTCTATCCTCTCAAAAATGGTGAGAGAATTTATGAACTGAAAAAGAGATTTAAAGAATGTATCCATTATTCAGCACAGAGAGATTATAGAATGAAAATATTAAAGAAATATTAAGTGAAATGGTATTCTTTCAGACCACAGTGGAATAAAATTAGAAACAAACCTGAAAAAGAACCCTAAAATCATGCAAATACATGGAAATTAAATAACCTCCTCCTGAATGATCATTGGGTCAGCAATGAAATCAAGATGAAAATTAAAGGCTGGGCATGGTGGCTCATGCCTGTAATCCCAGCACTTTGGGAGGCTGAGGCGGGTGGATCACAAGTTCAGGAGATCAAGACCATCCTGGCTAACATGGTGAAACCTCATCTCTACTAAAAAAAAATACAAAAAAAAAAGAAAATTAAAAAATTTCCATATTGGAATTTGGAAAGCATATGCAGAAAATTGAAACTGGACCACCTCTTTACACTTTATACAAAAATTAACTCAAAATGGGTTAAAGACTTAAAGGTAAAACCCAAAACTATAAAAACCCTAGAAGAAAATCTACAGAATACCATTCAGGACACAGACATGGGCAAAGATTTCATGACAAAATGTCAAAAGCAATTGCAACAAAAACAAAAATTAACAAATGGTTTCTAATTAAAGTACATAGCTTGTGCACAGCAAAAGAAACTGTCATCAGAGTGAATACACAACTTAACTAAATAGCTTGTGTATAGCAAAAGAAACTATCATCAGAGAATAGACAATTTACAGGCTGGGAGAAAATTTTTGCAATCTATCCATCTGATTAAGGTCTAATATCCAGAGTCTACAAGGAACTTAAACAAATTGACAAGAAAAAACAAACCCATTAAAAAGTAGGCAAAATACATGAACAGACACTTCTCAAAAGAAGACATTTATGTGGCCAACAAATACATGGAAAAAAGCTTAACATCACTGATATTAGAGAAGTGCAAATCAAAACCACACTGAGATACCATCTCACACTAGTCAGAATGGCTATTTTTAAAAAGCCAAGCAACAACAGATGCTGGCAAGGCTATGGAAAAATTGGAATGCTTTGACACTGTTGGTGGGAATGTAAATTAGTTCAACCATTATGAAAGACAGTGTGGTGATTTCTCAAAGACCTAGAACCAAAAATACCATTACTGGGTACATACCCAGAGGAATATTAATCATTGTATCATAAAGATAAATGCATACGTATGTTAATTGCAGCACTATTCATAATAGCAAATACATAAAATCAACCCAAATGCTCATCAATGATAGACTGGATAAGGAAAATGTGGTACATATACACCATGAAATACTATGCAGCCATAAAAATGAGAAAAATCATGTCCTTTGCAGGGACATGGATGAAGCTGGAAGCCATTATCCTCAGCAAACTAGTGTAGGAACAGAAAACCAAACACTGCATGTTCTCACTTATAAATGAGAGTTGGACAATGAGAACACAGGGACACAGGGAGGGGAACAATGCACAACTAGGGTCTGTTGTGGGGGCTGGGGAGAGAGAACATCAGAAAAATAGCTAATGCATGTTGGGCTTACCACCTAGTTGATTGGTTGGGAGGTGTGGCAAACCACCATGGCACACGTTTACATATGTAACAAAGTTGAACATCCTGCACATGTATTCCAGAACTTAAAGTAAAATTAAAATGGTGTGCAAGGACAAAGGGAAGATGTAAACTCAAATAGCCATTATAATGCATAATTGCATTAACCACTGAATTTATTGACCAAATCAAATACTTTGAATTATACATATATCTGATATCCATGCTATTTTTTCCTATTTTCATGTGTAAAAAAGACCATTATTAAACCTTTTGTACTTCTTATCACTTTTGATATATTCTCAGGGCTATTGATATAGTTAAAAATAAAAATAAATATAGTACATTTAACTAGTTCAAGATTAATATGCTTTATACAATTTTCTTTTCACGGTAATTTGTCTGGCATGTGGATGGAATTGTCATAGAAGATGATAAAGTATACACTGAGTGTACATTCAGCAAGTTAAATAGAATTTTAGTTGATTATGTATTATATCATTCACAATCTCTCTGCATGATGTTTTTGCTGCATATTGCATTCATACCAGGTATCTAAATTTATCCTTCATTTAATTAAAAGTAATCATAACATACTTGCAGAATAACACAGAGCAGACTAGCTGTGCTTGATGCTGCTTTCCACCTTACAGTGTATCCCATAGGGCACTCTTGCACAACAATGCACATTCCCTGATCATTCTTCTTCTGAGAATCTAGAATGAATTAGTTTGCCTCCACTCTCATAGCTTCTTTTGAACAACACTTGCATACCTTTCAAAAAGAATTGCAATTTCTCTTATTTCTCTCTGCTACTAACTTGTGAGTTGTTCAATGACAGGAGTTATTTATCTTTGAACTCTTCATAGCTTAGTAAACTGGTAGATAGAACAACATATCCTAATATTTAAATCAGCTTTATTTACAAAACATTATCCTAAGAATTATAATTCAATAAAGCTTTAACTTGGGTAAAAGTATAAATACTAAATGTAAGCCATTTTCTTAGTAAAATAAGAGATAATTCAAAGTTACTTTTGAAGAGGGGTAAACATGTCTCAAATTTCTTGCTGTGATAGTGAATGTTTAATAGCAGATTTGTTTGAAGGTTGAAGCAATCTTGAAGCTCATATAATATTGTTTTCAGGATAAGGAAGTGATGGGGAACATTGTTCTTGTATTCTAACATGGTTGTATTACTATAAAGTATCCTTATTAATCTGTGGCAACTCTTCTTGTATGTAAGTTTAATTTACGCAGTATTGATATAACTGTACTTTGTTATGATTAGTTCTTGCATACTTTATCTTTTCCAGCCTTTTCATCTATATCCTTACATTTCTGTATGGCTCTTATAATCCCTACACTTTAATTGCAGTGTTTAGTCTGTTTACATTTAATATGATTAGTAGTATACTTAGATTTAAGTCTACCCTCTTTCAGTTTGTTCTCTACTTGGTTATTTATTTTCTTTGTGCCTCCTTTTCTCACTTCCTTTGAACTAATTGGATATGTTTGTATTCTACTTTATTCTTCCACTATCTCTTTTACTGTTTATCCTTGTATTACGTTCTTAGTAGTTATTAAAGAAATTAAAATTTATCATGGCCCACTTTGAATTAGTATTGAATTATTCTGCTTCACAACATAAAAACTGTGTAGCATCACTATTCTTGTTCTTTGTGCTATTGTTGGCATATAATTCAGTCCTACATTTGCTGTACATACCACATATAATATATGTTTAACAAGCCAATCTTGTTCTGAATTCAAATTTTAAATAATAATTTATATTGATCCATTTATTATCCATTTCTGGTTTATTTTATTCCTTTTTCCATCTGCGCTCTTTTCTCGGATTTTTTTATGACAGAAGAACGTTCTTTAGGAGCTCTAATAGTATAGCTATCTGGTGGCAAATTATTTCGGTTTTTATTTGTCTGAAAGTTTCTTGAATTGCTCTCATATTTGAAAGATATTTTCATTGAGTATGGAATTCAAGATGAACATTTTTTTTTTCACAGCATTTTAAAATTTTAATTCTCTTTTAGCTTTTATTCTTGCCATCTTGAACATGATATGCTTTCTTCCTGGCTACTCTTAAATTTCTTTATTTTTGTATTTCAGATGTAGTGTTTCCATGAGTCTATTTTTGTTGGTTGGTTGTTTTATCCTATGTGGGGGAAGGGGTCACTGAGCTTCTTGAATATATGGGTTGATTACTTTCTTTAATTTTGGAAAACTGGAAAAACCATAGCCATGATCTTAATATTTTTTTTCTTCCCTATGCTCTGTTTTTTCTCTGAATCTGGGGCTCCAATGTAAACATATGTTGAATACAGAAACACATACACAAACACAAATACTTGGCTCTTTTCTGGTTTTTATTCTGTACTTCCAGTTAAATAATTTCTCTTAGCTTCTCTTTGGGTGTATTCACCCTGCTAATTCCATTGTCTGGGTCTGGGTTGTTGTTGGATCTACTTCTGTTAACAGTTTTTGCTCTTGATTATGGGTAACGTTTTCCTGTCCTTTCATATGTCTCATAAATTTTTATTGTTTGCTATTGATTGTCCATGAAAGAACAATAGTGAATGAAGTAGATAATATTCAGAAATATCTTGTGCTTTTATCTGGTAGCTGGAGTGAAAACGTATCTTTCTGATCTAATGGTGAGTTGAGCTAAATCTGGTTTGAGTTAATGATTTTCAGTTCACCTTTGGTTTTAAACGTCTCAGAGGTAGCATTAGGCTGCCTCCACTTGCACCCTAAGACTATAAGATTTCCTTCTGTCCAATTCTTCTCTTGGTATCCTTCAATATCACTTATTCCATAAATGTCTTGTGGAGTAAAATTAGTGAAAATAGACGACAAACTCTGAAATTTCTTCAGATTGTTAGTCGTCATACCAGAAAATGTATAGCTATTAAAATTCTACTTCCTCCCTTTACAAGCAAAAGTTTTCTGTTTAAAGATGGCTAACTCCTTCTGGATGCACAGTCAGATTTAGCAATACCCCATGCTTAAAAGTAGCCTCCGTTGCTCTAAAAGATATCATCTCTTACTGTAGTTCTTTGCATCCACAGTTCTTCAGTGGCTTGATGCTGGCAAGGCACTGGAAAAAAGGGAATGCTTATACACCGATGGTAGGAATGTAAATTAGTTCAGCCCCTGTGAAAATGAGTTTGGAGATTTCTCAGAAAACTTAAAACTA
Source organism: Homo sapiens (assembly GCF_000001405.40). Taxonomy (NCBI): domain Eukaryota; kingdom Metazoa; phylum Chordata; class Mammalia; order Primates; family Hominidae; genus Homo; species Homo sapiens. The sequence goes on from NC_000001.11 coordinate 193,831,475, forward strand.
AACTACCATTTAACCCAGCATTCTCATTACTGGGTATATATCCAAAAGACAATACATTATTTTACCAAAAAGACTCATGGGCTTATGTGTTCATCGTAGTACTATTCACAACAGCAAAGACATGGAATAGACCTAGATGCCCATCAATGATAAACTGGAAAAAGAAAATGTGGTATATGTATGCCATGGAATACTACACAGCCATGAAAAATAACTAAATCATATTCTTTGCAGCAACATGGATGCAGCTGAAGACCATAGTCCTAAGTGAATCAACACAGGAGCAGGAGACTAAATACTCTGTGTTCTCACTTATAAGCCAGAGCTGAACATTGAGCACACATGGGCATAAAGATGAGAATGATAGACACTGGGGACTACTAGATGGGGAAGGGAGGGAGGAGGAGGTAAGCTGAAAAACTTCCTATTTGGTACTATGCTCCCTGTCTGGGTGATGGGAGTGATCATACCCCAAACCTCAGTGTTACCCAATATGCCCATATAACAAACATGCACATATACCCCTGAATCTAAACTAAAAGTTGAATCTATGTTTATAAACTTAAAAAATAAAGCTTACAACTTAAAACATACGTAATTCTTTATCTAGCATTATTTCTGAATTTAATTCAGAAGTGATAATCTTTTGTTCACGTCTATATCCAAACTAAATGCTGAACTCTTAATGTCACACAGATGCTCCCTGACTTACAATGGGGCTACATTCTTGAACATTATGTATCCTTTTCTTAGCTACTTTTAAGTTTCTTTATTTTTGATTTTCAGACTGTGATATGCCAATAAGGTCTGTTGCTGTTGGTTGTTGAACCCATAGTAAGTTGAAAATGCATTTTATACAGTCCTACTGAACATCATAGCTTAGCCTAACTTACCTTAAATGTACTCAAAACATTTGCATTAACCAAAAATTGGGCAAGTTCATCCAACACAAAGCATATTTTATAGTAAAGTGTTGAAAATCTCATGCAATTTACTGAATACTATACTGAATGTGAAAAACACATTCAGTATGTGTGTATGGTTGTATGAGTACTCTTCTACTGAATGTGTATCACTTTCAACACCATTGTAAAGTTGAAAAATTTTAAGTTGAACTGTTGCAAGTAAGGGACCATCTGTGTTTTTAAAATGACCTAAGTTAGTAAAACTCTGACAATTAAATTAATTAATTTACTAAACTTCTACAAAACATTTTATGTACTTTTTCAACTTTATTTTAGGTTCAAGGAATACATGTGCAGGTTTGTTACGTGGGTAAATTGTATGTCGCTGAGGTTTTATGCATGATAATCTTGTCAACCAAGTAATGAGGATAGTATCCAGCAGGAGGTAGTCTTCCTTCCTTCCTTCCTTCCTTCTTTCCTTCCTTCCTTCCTTCCCTCCCTCCTTCCTTCCTTCCCTCCCTCCTTCCTTCCTTCCTTCCCTCCTTCCCTCCTTCCTTCCTTCCTTCCCTCCTTCCTTCCTTCCCTCCTTCCCTCCCTCCTTCCTTCCTTCCTTCCTTCCTTCCTTCCTTCCTTCCTTCCTTCCTTCCTTCCTTCCTTCCTTCCTTCTTTCTCTTTTTTTTTTTTTTTCGGAGTCTCGCTGTGTCCCCCAGGCTGGAGTGCAGTGGCTCCATCTCTGCTCACTGCAAGCTCCGCCTCCTGGGTTTACGCCATTCTCCTGCCTCAGCCTCCTGAGTAGCTGGGACTACAGGCACCTGCCACCACGCCCGGCTAATTGTATTTTTAGTAGAGATGGGATTTCACCGTGTTAGCCAGGATGGTCTCGATCTCCTGACCTCGTGATCCGCCTGCCTCGGCCTCCCAAAGTGCTGGGATTACAGGCGTGAGCCACTGTGCCCGGCCTCCAGCAGGTAGTTTTTCCACACTCCCCTCCCGTTTTCTCCAGTAGTCCCCTATGTTTATTGTTGCTATCTTTATGTCCATGTTTAACCAAATGTTTGGCTCCCCCTTATAAAAGAATATGCAGTATTTGGTTTTCTGTTCCTGCATTAATTTGCCTAGGATTATGCTCTCCAGCTGCATCTATGTTGCTGCAAAAAGCATGATTTCTTTCCTTTTTATAGCTGCATGGTATTCCGTGGCATGTATTTACCATAGTTGCTTTATCCAGTCCACTGGGCATCTAGGTTGATTCCATGTCTTTGCTATTGTGAAAAGTGCTGCAATGAACATACAAACATATGCATCTTTTTTCTAGAACAATTTATTTTGCTTTGAGTATACACTCAATAGTAGGGTTGCTGGATAGAATGGTTGTTCTGTTAATGATCACTGACTTTGTATCAGTCACTCTTCTAGGTTCAGGAAATATATAAATTAACAAAATACTCTTGTCAATACCCTCTAATACCTACAATCCATACATTCTAGTGGACCAAAATATTGATTTTTGAAATAGCCACTCAGATATAGCATGTTTAAAGTATTTGACCTGGAGACAGAAATACATTTCCATAAGTTTCACAATGGATCTGCCATATTCAGTTGTAATTATTTTAAAAATGTTGATCGAACCAGAAATTATATGATTCTTAAATGAACTATTTCAGTGATCAAAATTCCTAAGCCATACATTCTCTTATTTAAGTAATATTTGTTACCTAGAAATTCAATATATGAAGAGATAAAGGCTGAGATGCCCTGGTTATAGTAGATCTGGGGTATCTGAAACCTTACTTGCCTAGCTTCCCGTTTATGCTAATTCTTCCTTCTTGAAGGCCGCCTCTGAAGAAACTCCAAGGATGCCCTCTGCTCTCTAGAGATCTGAAAAGCACAAACTGAAAACCATTTAACTAGATCATGCAGGCAAAGGATTTTTCTGTTTCCTTTTTTTATTACCATTTTCTTCAAATTTCTGAGACAAATTAAATGCTTAGATGAAGTTAATGGTTCGTTTGAAATTAACTGCTGTTATATATATCGGGTATACAGAATTATTTAATAGTTCTTTGGGGTTTTCCTCAAGCTCCACTTCGTTGAATTATAGAATCTCAGGAGTTAGAAATAGCCTTAGAGATAATTTAGCATAACCTCCCACTCAATGAAAGGCGTCTTTCTACAACATCCCTGACAGATGGTCATTTAGCTTCTGCTTGAGCATTTCTACTCACTGGAGTTCATTACTTTCTGAAACTGTTTCCTGTTGAACAGCTTTAATGGTTAGAAATTTCTTTGTTATACTGATCCCAGGCATGCATCACGGTGATTTCTAATAATTGACAAAATTATTCCCCAGTTTTCTTAATCTCTTCTCTACCTGACCTGGTTCATAGTAATATATTTATATTCCTCAATATGCATTCTACTATAGCAATATTTATTTTTTCATTCTCATTGGAGAATTGTGGATAATGTATTGACTTCAGAAAATATACATGTGTAATCAGTATACAGGTAGACTACTGTGAGGGCCACCTTAGAGGGCTGTTTTTGGAAGCTCAGGATCCAATAAATCTAACACCCAAGACCCATGATTAGCTCTTCATGGGTAGTTGAGGTCTTTCAGGGGGGTTTATTTTTGGTTAGTTACCTATCTTAATCTTTTTGGTTCATATCTCTTATGGGGAGAGAGGTAGGGAGGGACATGGAAAATATCCTATCAAACCTCCATTTATAATTGTGCTCACTATCTTATAAATAAGACAAGTAAATTTTTCTAAAACTTCGGAAGTTTTCTTGATAATTATATAGTCATTTAAGGATTAATGAATTCTCTAAAGTTTAGCCAGTTATCCATATTAATGGTAGCTAAAAATTGAGAATGCCACAAAAATTTCAGACATCTGACTTTTTAAAAATTAGAATTTTTTGGCAGGGTGTGGTGGCCTGTAATCCCAGCACCTTGGGAGGCCGAGGCAGGCAGATCACTTGAAGTCAGGAGTTCCAGACCAGCCTGGCCAACATGGTGAAACTTTGCTCTACTAAAAAATACAAAAATTAGCTGGGCCTGATGGTGCACACTTATAATCCCAGCTACTTGGGAGGCTGAGGCAGGAGAATTGCTTCAATTTGGGAGGCAGAGGTTGCAGTGAGCCAAGATGGTGCTACTGCACTCCAGCCTGGGTGACTTGTGACTGGGCAACAGAGAGAGACTGTTAAAAAAATAAAAATAAATTTAAAAAAAAGCTGGTGCAGTGGCTCACACCTGTAATCTAAGCACTTTGGGAGGCCAAGGCGGGTGGATTATCTGAGGTCAGGAGTTCAAGACCAGCGTGGCTAACATGGTGAAACCCTGTCTCTAGTAAAAATACAAAATTAGCCAGGTATGATGGCGGGCACCTATAGTCTCAGCTCCTCAGGAGGCTGAGACAGGAGAAGCACTTGGATCCGGGAGGTAGAGGCAGTAGTGAGCTGAGATCATGCCACTGCACTCCATCCTGGGCAAGACAGAGTGAGACTCCATCTTTAAAAAAAAAAAAAAAAAAGAATTTCTTCATGTAAAATGTCCTCTTTCATTTCTAAAAATTCAAAGTGTAGTTATTGTCCATGAATTTGTATAAGTCCTAATATTTTCTTAAGACTTTTCCTAACTTGTAATTTCCAGGGACCTCAGCTTCTTCACATTCACATTCCCACCATATTTGTAGCCTAAGTGACCATTTATTGAGTACTTAATTGTTTACCAGGCTTTTAGTCAAGTACAATGAATAAAAAGATAAAAACACGGTCTTCAAACAACTTAAATTAAGGGGGGCACACCAATAAGACAATTAAAAATTATAACAGTACGGAAAATGCTATAATAGAAATAAGCACAAGGCTGTGAGGAAGAGACAAAGGACAGAACTTTTTTGTGTGCATTTTTGGCAGATGGGGAGTAATCTAGTGAAATGGTGCCAGAAAAAAAGTCTTTTGTGCCAAAGCCCAAGTAAAAAATTTCTCATTATATTATAACCATTATATTTACTTTAAAATATTATCTACTCATCTGACAAAGGGCTAATATCCAGAATCTACAAAGAACTCAAACAAATTTAAAAGAAGAAAACAACCCCATCAAAAAGTAGGGGAAGGATATGAACAGACACTTCTCAAAAGAAGACATTGATGCAGCCAACAGACACATGAAAAAATGCTCATCATCACGGCCATCAGAGAAATGCAAATCAAAACCACAATGAGATACCATCTCACACTAGTTAGAATGGCGATCATTAAAAAGTCAGGAAACAACAGGTGTTGGAGAGGATGTGGAGAAATAGGAACACTTTTACACTGTTGGTGGGACTGTAAACTAGTTCAACCATTGTGGAAGTCAGTGTGGTGATTCCTCAGGGATCTAGAACTAGAAATACCATTTGACCCAGCCATCCCATTATTGGGTATATACCCAAAGGATTATAAATCATGCTGCTATAAAGACACATTTACACATCTGTTTATTGCGGCACTATTCACAATAGCAAAGACTTGGAACCAACCCAAATGTCCATCAGTGATAGACTGGATTGAGAAAATGTGGCACATATACACCATGGAATACTATGCAGCCATAAAAAAGGATGAGTTCATGTGGTTTGCAGGGACATGGATGAAGCTGGAAACCATCATTCTCAGCAAACTATCGCAAGGACAAAAAACCAGACACTGCATGTTCTCACTCATAGATGGGAATTGTACAATGAGAACACTTGGACACAGGAATGGAAACACCACACACTGGGGCCTGTCGTGGGGTGGCGGGGAGTGGGGAGGGATAGCATTAGGAGATATACCTAATGCTAAATGATTAGTTAATGGGTGCAGCACATCAACACGGCGCATGTATACATATGTAACAAACCTGCACGTTGTGCACACGTACCCTAGAATTTAAAGTATAACTAAAAAAATATTATTGCTGGCAGTAGATTAATGGTAATAGTAATTAAAGATCTTCTGTCCCCAATATGAGTAAAATTTATAGATTATCTTATCTTTAGGTGTTTTCAAGCTATGTTTGCAAACATGTTAAGCATTGAGTATGACACTGAAAAGATAAACTTTTAAGTCCCTTCCAAATATAAGCAACTATAATTTTCCTATTCTCTATTAAGTTAGAATCTTATATTGATCTTTCTAGTGTTTGATTTACAGTATTATACCCTCCAGAGACTTTTTAAAGTTATACTGAAAGATTGTTATTTGGTCCAACTTTTTCTAGCTGTTGCTGAAGTTTGGTTGTTCTATCTTTAAATGTTTTATATTTTATTTTATGACCAAGGCAATTTTTATCTTTCTTGTTGATGTTTATACTTTTCCAGTATTTATAATGGGTTATCACAATTTTAGATGTCCTTTACCCAAGGTGTATATATTTAAGGATTTAATCTAATTCATAAATTATTTATTCTTCCCAAAGTCATTTTTGCTTTGCCTCTGAATTTCCTCTAGGTCTTTTCGAACATCCTGGTTTTGAGATACCCAGCTGAATGTATTTCAGCTCATTTACACACATGTGTATTTTATATATTGCTTCCTGCCCTGTAGCTCTTTGTTTTGGTTATGTTTATTCCTAAACTATGGGAAGGGTTATGTAGCTGCCCAGTAAACAACAAAAGGCAGGCATGCATTTTCTAAGACAGACAGTGACAAACAAACCCTTTGCTTACTCTGAATCCCAGGTTAATATTACAAACCAAGTAATATCCAATATAAGAAATTAAAAAATTAAATTATAGCCGCTAGCTAACTCAGGCATAATCAAATCATTATGTAGAAAGATTTCATATTATATTCACTGGAGCTCTCAAACAAGCTTTATTTGATATCAAACTATATTTTCACAAATATTTGTTGTTCTCATTTGACCAAATAAAATATGAAAGTTGAGCTCAAACGTTGTTTATAATAGAATGACCTCTACTTGGGAATGCCCCTTTAAACAACAGATTTAAAATTTAAAACATGTTTGCCAACATTTGAAATTCCCCAAAGCTCGGATTAATTACCAAATGTTCCTGCAAGCTCAGCAGCCATAGCACCCTGAGCTCCACAGACCTTATTTTGTACAGAATTGGCCTGTTTTGAACTTTATGAACTCTTTGTAGATTTCTTCTTCACAGCATTCTTGCTCCTTTATGAAAAGTTCATTTTGCAGTCAGTAAATGTTAGTTTAGGTCTATCATCCGCACACTGTAAGAAAATACTAGAAATTACCAAACAAATTTGGCCAACATAAATGAATTGCATAATTCATTTATACATGAATTTCTTTAAAAGGAATTATATTCATAATTAGGCTTGTTCATTCACCCAGTCTCACAATAATTAACATCGACTAATTTTTCATAATAAACATTTATGAATTCCTAAGAGTTTAGAAATGTACTCATCCTCAGTGATGGGTAAAATTCAGTCCTAATACTCATTATGAGTCACATATACTCATATATTATATACTTCAATATGAGTCCTAAGCTCAAATTTGTGTACATCGCAATGCAAGTGTTAGGTGCTGGAACAAAGGTTTGTACAAGTTGCCAAGTGAGCACTGAAGGGGAACCCCCAACAGTTCCTGAAAAGGAGGACAGATTAAGGAACACTTTACAAAGAAGTCAAGATTAGAGCTGATATTAAAGAATAAATGAAGGACTTAGAAGATTAAGGATGGACTATGGCAAATGAAGAGGTAGGGAGGGAGGAAAAGGGAAGACCACATGGAACGATCGGCATGTGCCCAGTGCTCTGAAAAAGGTTAGTACAGTAACCAATCGTAGGTAATTTGATATGGTTTGAACTGAGGGTTTATATTGAAGAGTGGCAAGAGTTGAAGCTAGTAAGTGGGCAGAAGTTAGGTAACGGAGGATTTTAAGTTTTATACTGAGAAGAGTAATTTTTATTTAATCCATGCCAGCGTCAATGACATGTTTTCAAAGCAGAAATATGTCTTTAGTAGATGGTGCTCAGTTTATCCTAGGGAGCTACCTACCTTCTCTACCTTCCTTTCTATCCTCTTTGCCTCCTCCCACTCTCTCTCTTTTCTCTCCTATCCCTTCTTCCTTATCTACTCCCCTTCTTTCTCCATACTCTCCATTCTCTCTTATTACCCTTCTCATACACCTCCTAATTTTCTCCTGCCTTCATGGGTTAATTTATAGTGCTTTGATTTTCTCTATCAAATCTGATATTTTAAACACTTCACATTATGCCAACATACCTTTTGAGTTTATCAGCTTCAACTATTTTTTTAACCCAGACAGTTTAAAATAAAAACCAGTTATTTAGCCATTCTAAGATAGAAGTTCTAATATGGAAGTTCCTCCATCTATAACCAAAACACAGTGGAAAACAGATTATTCATCCAGACTCACTATTTGAAAATATGGAAACAAGAAGAAAATGTTCTTTTAATAAAGTACATGTTATATTTTCTCTGACTTTAGGCAAATGACTTAAAACAACTTTCAATAGAATTAGAATATATAGCTCATATCTTCTAGCACACTTCCCTAATACATGGTGATTTTAGTGCTAAATCTTTTCATTTATGTGGTGTCTTAATCTGTTTTGTGTTGCTATGGAATACCATAGACTGGATGACTTATAAAGAAAAACAGTTATTTCTTATAGTTCTGGAGGCTGACAAGTCCAAGGTCAAGGGTCTACATCTTGTGAGGGCCTTCTTGCTGTGTCATTCTATAGTGGGAGGCAAAGGGGCAAGAGAATGAGAGAAGGTAAAAGAGATATGTATATAGAGAGAGGAGAGATGGGGAAGGGAGACAAACTCATTCTTTTATCATGAACCCACGCCTGCAATTACTAACCTCCCTCACAGGGATAATGGCATTAAATCCATTAATGAAGGCAAAGCCCTCATAACCTAGTCTTAAGGTTAGGTTAAGATCTCACTTCTCAACACTGTTGCATTAGGGATTAAGTTTCCAACACATGAACTTCAGGGGACATATTCCGATCATAGAATACCTCCACTGTAGCCCTCACATTCATATTCTTTTCACATGCAAAATATATTTATTTCATCCCAATAGCAACCCTACTCCCATGGCTCCAGTAGGCATTGCCCTAGTAGGGGTTCTTTGTGGTGGCTGTGTCCCTGTGACAAATCTTTGCCTGGGCTCCCAGGCTGTCTATGACATCTTTCAAAATCTGGGTGCAGGCTGACATAACCCCACAGCTTTGGCACTCTGTGCATCTGCAGAATTAGCACCATGTGAACACTGCCAAGGATTACTGCTTGCATGGCCACATCTGAGCCATCTTGAACCATGGCTGGGGCAGGTGAGCGGTGGCACTGTGCTGGAATGCAAGGAGTACAGTCCCAAGGCAACCCCAGGAAATGAATGCTGAGATTCCATGGTTGCCTTTCTGGAAATCTTGCCTCCAAGGTCCTGGCTTGTCTCAGATGTGTGAAATACCTTCAGAGCTATTCTCCCATCATCCTCATGAATAGAACCTGCCTTTTTTCTATCCATATTCATCTCTTTAGCAAATGGTCCCTTTGCCACATCCTTAGTATTCTCCCCCAAACACACTTAAAAATTTTTTTACTTGGCCAGGCTGAGAGTTTTCAAAATATTTCCACTCTGTTTCCTTTTAATAATCATGTCTCATTTTTCTGATTTTACTATAAGTGTCTAGAAGAAGCCATGCAGCACCTTGAATACTTTACTGTTTGTATATATCTTCTCTCAGATATCCTAGTACATCACTCTTAAGTTCTGCCTTCCATAAGTCCTAGGCCTTGGACACAATTCTGCCAAGTTCATTGCAACTCTATGTAAAGACATACTTTACTCCAGTTTCCAACACTTTGTTTCTCATTTCCATCTGAGACCTCATTAGAATGGCGTTTACTGTCTATTATTTCTGCCACCATTCTAATCACAATCATTAAGTAATATCTAAGTTCCAAAATTTTCCTACAGCTCTTCTTTACTTCTGAGCCCTCACTAGAATTGTCCTTAATGCTTCATTTATAGCAACCTAGGTTTTTTCCTAGCCCATTTCTCCAAATTCTTCCACCTTCTACCCATTACCCAGTTCCAAAGCTTTCACATTTTTAGGTCCTTCAGTTTAGATCCCCCACTTCTTGGGATCAATTTTCTGTCTTATCATGTTTTGTGTTGTTATGACAATACCACAGACTGGGTAATTTATAAAGAAATAAATTTGTTTTTAAACAGTTCTTATTTTTATAGAGACAGGGTCTTGCTCTGTTGCCCAGGCTGGAATGCAGTGTTATAATCATAGCTCACTGCAGTCTTAGTCTCTTGGGCTCAAGCAGTCCTTCTGCCTCAGCCTCCTGAGTATGCCTGGCTAAATTTTATTTTTTGTAGAGATAGGGTCTCACTATATTGAAGAAATGTATTTCTTACAGTTCGGAAGGATAGGAAATCCAAGGTCTTACATCTGGGACTTACATCTGGCAAGGGCTTTCTGGCTGTGTCATCCTATTGTGGAAGGCAGAAGGGCAAGAGAATGTGTGTGTGCACATGCATGGGGGAAGTCGGGGGGCGGGGGGAGAGAGAGAAACAGAGAGAGAGAGAGAAAGAGGGCTCAAACTAGAGCCCACATGACCTAATCATAACTTTTACAAGTCCCCCCTCTCAACACTGTTGCATTGAGGATTAAGTTTCCAACATGTGAACTTTGAGGGACACATTCAAACCATAGCATGGTAGTCTTTTGGAATGCAAACATTTAAATGTATCAGTGATTCACCAAATATTTTACATACTATCAACAAATGTGCTTGAAATTATATTTCTGTATTATACACAGTTTCCACAAGTATTTATATATTTTTGGATAGAAGGTTATTCAACTGAAGGGTTAAAGAGAAATGTTAGAGTTATTTCTGTTAGAATAAATCAATATGTGTTCAAAGACCATCTCAAGTACTCAGTGAAGATTTAATGGGGAATTTGGACAGGAAAATTTCAAGGTTGGAAAAGGTGAATATAATGGCAGGGAAACTAAGATGTTATTTTTTGAGAGATTGTGTGAATTTCAGTTATGTATTATGAACTCGGTTATTTAATTCTGCCCTCTTATTCAACCTGATGTCAGATTTTATACAGATAAATGCCATTATGCTTTTATTATTCAACAACCATATATTTTAAGATGGCTCCCCTCCAATTATTATTGCTGAGTCTTAAACTAGGTTCCTTGGCACGTTTGAACCCAGATATTTTATTTCTAAAGTCTTTAATGAAGTTGCCTGTTAGTGCGACAACAGTGCCTGATAGGAACAGGATAGTGTCTAAATATTGATTGTTGTGTCTTTCACAGCTTTTGATGTACTTCTATTTAATTCAGTTTAAAGAAATCAGGAGCTACAAACTGGCAGATGAAGAGAGCACATTTAACTTTTTAAACATAACTCAGCTTATTTATATATAATATTAAAAATGAGAACATATGCAAATACTATTTATGGTGTTGGCTTGTACAGCTGTTGGTATTATATGCATAATATAGGTACATTTGAGAATTCTATATTTTTTACAATAAAATTTTATTTTCAAGACTCAGTACTCAGTGAATAGAGAAACAAAGTGTATAATAAGCATAGTTGTCTTGAGGTCTGAATACATTCATTAGCCAATTTCTGTTAAGCAATTACTAGCTCTATCCTTGGTGTCTTAATCAGTTCAGATTGCTATAATAAAAATTCCATAGACTGGATGTCTTAAACAACAAACATTTCTTTCTCATGGTTCTGAAACATGGAAGTCTGAGATCAAAGCACCTACAGTTCCAGTGTCTGGTGAGGGCCCTCTTCCTGGTTTTCAGATGTCTGTGTTTTTATTATGTCTTCCCATGCCAGACAGAGAGATCATTTCTCTTGTGGCTCTTGTAAGTGTTCTAATCTCATGCATGAGGAGGGCTCTCCCCTCATGACCTAATTACCTCCCAAAGGCTCTACCTCCAAATATCACACTGGAAATGAGGGCTTCAACATAAATATTTTGGGGAAAACATTCAGTCAATAACCCTTAAATTCGTAGAATTATATAATCTAAAATGGTTTATTGGCTCAGATAAATGAAAAGCACATTAAACATTGCTGGTATATAAAAGCTTCCATATAGAATGATTTAGGCATTGCATAACAAAAAGAAAATCAACACAGAAGAACTGAAACATATATTCTAGAGTAGGTATAGAAGCCTCTGTTTCTTCATGTGTGAATTGTTATTTAGGAGATCAAACTTGAGTATTTGGGCATTCAATTTTTTGAATTACTTATTTTTAAAGTAATTCAAATACAATACAAAACTTAAATCAAATAGTACCCACAGATGTATGATGAAAGGTCAAGGTATTTCTAATGACTTCTGCCTTTGGCACTATGGTAGATTAACTAGCTGAAAAACCTTCTGTTTTTTATTTTTCTATTATTAAAAGCTAGATAATCTGGATTAAAAAAACACTTATAGTAGAATATTTAAGCTTATAGAAAAGTAGGGAAAATTCCCTGGAGAGAAAAAATAAAGTAAACATGAGAAGTTGACTCTGAATTTTAGGAGCATTAGATGAATTCAATAGAAGTTTAGATATTAATAGCTGTGCAGAGGACAGGAGAGACAAAGCTTTGGTCAAGTAGAAAGTAGGAAGTTGGAAGTAAAATATCTGCATGGGGCTGGTAATTTCCAAGCTCTTCATAACAAAAGAAATTAAGACCTCTACTCAGAGAAAAACAAACGTAGAAAGAAGAAAGTCTAAGTAAATGGGGGAACATATTAATATTATGTTTGTGGATTAGAACACCAAATAATTTCAATATGTTATTTCTTTACAGATTTTCTATAGTTTCATTTCAATCCTTAATTTGCGATGAGACTGTTCTTTTTTAATATTAACAAGTAGATTTTATAATTTATTATATGTGGAAATTTAATAGGCTATGCATAGCTGATAATCTTGAATACTGTGAATAAAGGAGACTTTAATATATTCTTGATATATTAAGAATTATTATAAATATATAGTATTATAATTAAGAAAGTGGAACTTTTAATAGGCCATACAGATAGAAAAACAGAAGAATGGAAGTCCAGAAATAAATGCATGCATATGTAGAAACTTAACTTAACCAGGACTTAATGACCAAAGTAGCCATATAGAAGAGTAGTGAAAAAGCGGTCTTTTAAAAAGTGATGATATATTAATTGGACATCCATATGCAAAAAAAAAGAATCTTCACTTCTACCCCACACCATATGTAAAATTATAAAATTAATAAACACACATACATATCCTGTTAGAGTGTATATCTCAAATTCAAATCTAAGTGTATGTCTTTTAGATGCAATAGAAAATGTTATAAATTTACAAGGCAAACATTTCTGAAATAGGACATCATTAGCACTGATTATGAAGGAAAAGATTGGTAAATTGGCCTACATTGACATTAACAGCTTGATATGGTTTGGCTGTGTCCCCACCCAAATCTCATCTTGAATTGTAGTTCCCATAACACTCACATGGGCAGGTAATTAAATCATGGGGGAAGTTACCCACATGCTGCTCTTCTCATGATACTGAGTTTTCATGAGATCTGATGGTTTTATTAGGGACTTTTCCTCCTTTGCTTGGCACTTCTCTCTCCTGCCGCCATTTGAAGAAGGACATGTTTGCTTCCCCTTCCACCATGATTGTAAGTTTCCCGAGGCTTCCCCAGCCATGCAAAACTGAGTCAATTAAACCTCTTTTCTTTATAAATTACCCAGTTTCAGGTATGTCTTTATTAGCAGCATGAGAATGGACTAATACATAGCTTCTCTTCATCTAATGGCACCATTAAAAAGTAAAAAGGGCAACAAATTTGGGTGTTGTTGCTACCAAAAAATAAATAAATATGGGTCATTAACTTAACCAGGAAGACAACATACATCAGAGACTTTATAGACATTGATTCATGTCACTGAGTGACAAATCTTATGTAAAATAATTACCTCTAGCAATATGGGAGGCAGCCTATGTATGTAATGAATTTTTGATTGTGAGGTAAAGTTAAAAGCAGAATATTGCTAGTTTCTCTTATTTGCTATTGGCTGTATTTAACATGGTATCATGAGAAAAATGAAATTTGAAGGAATTGGTTAATTTTCAAGCAGTAATGAAAAGGATACAAAATACTCAGAAAGCTGAGGATTTAAGAGGCTTAAAAAAAGCAACTGCTTCTTAAACCTAACCAGTAAGAGGGTATAAGAAAGACTTCAGAAAATTTTGAGTGACCTTGGCTCAGCATTGTGACAAAGACCAAATTAAGAGTACAGTTTTCACACTTACTGTTAATTACCCTCATTGAATTATTGTGCCTCAAGGAAAAGTTCAAGTTAAGAGAATGTGGTCAAGTAAAAGTTTTTAATTAGATAAAATGATTCAGGGGAAAAGCTCAAGGTTGTATTAGGTTGGTGCAAAAGTAATTGTGGCTTTTGCCATTAATTTCAATGGCAAAATTCAGTAATTTTTGCACCTACCTAATAGTTCTTCCACTGAAGCCCAAAATTTCAAAGTAATTTATCAGTAATTTGAGAGAGAGGCATGAGGGCAAGAGGGAAAAGAAATATAGCTATTTTGGTGCGTATGTCAAGAAACTGGAATTCTGAATGTGATTATTGGAAGTAGATTAGAATCAGGTAGCTATAAAGACAAATTTTTGGAAGGGTTGTATTTCCAAAATGGATTAGGAATTGGAAACTCATGTGTGTATCCCCAAGTATTTCCCACACGTTCATAACAAATTCCTATTTATTATTTAGGATCACCTATTTCACATACTTAGCTAAGGCATGTAAGAAAATGAAGTGCAAGTGGGGTTGTTAGCCAGAGAGTCTAAAAATTCCCAAACACAAATTAGATAAACAAGAAGAGATGTAAAATACTATGATGGTGCAAGGTATAAGAACTAGACTAAAATCCAGTGGCTATACAGTTTAGTCTTTATGCTCTAGTGTTAAATTTTATGCCTCTGTGTTCTTGGCTAAGAATCTTTCTATGCCACATTGCCCTTGCTGGCAATGATGTAATAAAGATATTTATGTTAACAATTTCAGAATTTTGTTTTGAGAATAAAATGGAAGGGAATATTTTTTGAAAATGTTATAGAGTGATATAAAAAATTGAGTCACACAGGATATCAGATGTCTGCGGTATCTATCAAGCTGACATGATGTGACTTGCTGGAATACTCACCTTATTTGGATTCTGTAAGATATGTGTACCTAATTATTTTACAATTTAGACACAAAGCATTTTAACAAAAAACATATTTTTTAAGAGTTTCTAGATGAAATTATTTTTAACACCTAAGCTAGATAAATTTATAATACAAAAAAGAGATGATCAGACCGTTCGTTGTCTTTCTAGATCATATTAAATTTTAATTGTGGCAGATCAAATAAGTAATTAAGGACAAAAGCAAAATAAATAAAATTGGAGTTCTTTTTAAAAGATAAACATCCAAGGAAAGCTCAATAGAAAAATGTTGTCATTTAAAGTGAATTTACATTCTGGGCACAGCAAATTCTAATTTTTTAAACCACAGACTAAGTGAAGCATAAGAAGTGAATGTGCATATTTTCCCTAATACTTCATCAATGTATTCTAGGGCTCCTTCTAAGGTCAAAACCACTATAAGCAATGCCATGTCAATTAAAACTGTCTACAAATTGAAGTGCACTTTGGCTTCCATTCAGTTAATTGAATAATAGGGAATGCCTGAAAGGGTCAGTCATCCGTAATAATCTGAACTGGGGGCCAATTTCCCAAATTTGGTTTCTGATTAAAAATAGAGGCGATGCTGTCTTGACACATTTAAAAAGACAACAAAAATTTATTTCTTGCCCATGCACTAAGCATATATGAGCTGGGTGGGGATTCTCTTGGGTTTCATCACAGCCCTCACTCTGGGATCCAGAATAAGGTGTCAGCTATTATCTGAATATTGGCAGAAACCATGGCTAAGGGAGAAAAGAAATGATCAAAGCATGAACTGGATATTATAGTGTCTGCCAGATGTGACACCTAATCATTTCTGCCCTCTTTTCACTGACCACAGCAACTTACATAACTATGTCTGAGAAATAAAGCCAAGATGGTTAAGCCTCCTGCAGAAAGGATAAACAATGAAATATATTATGTTCAACATATCTGGGTGTTTACAGGGGATATTAAGCACATACATTCCAAATGATTATTTCTGTGAATAGAATATATATATTTTACTAAAGCATAAGCACTTGATGTTGTTTCTCCACATCCCAAATTTTCTCAGTATCTTGCAAATGTTTGAGTTATTAAGTTAAAAATAAATCAACATTTCAACAATCTATGGACTAAAATACAATTTTGTTCATAGACAATTTTTGTGCTGCTGCTCCTTATTCTCATGAGACTCTGATTAAGTAATTAGAAAACATCACAAGTGCAAAGGGCTGGGTTGGGGGTGTCTCATTTTCACCAGAAACTGGTGCCTTTAAAAGTGCTCACCTCCTAACACCGATGCATTAGTGTTGGCACAGACTAGAATCCCTGCAGCATGGGCTGGCAGGCAATGCCAATTTGGGATAGCTTGAAAATATCATTAGAGAGCTACTGTATGAAAGCTGAAGGTAAGAAAGAGAATTCAGATGTCAGTGTGCAAAAATAAGTGTGGGTTTTATTAAAGTCGACATCTGAAAATTAAAGATAATTTGTGTGTGTGTGTGTGTGTGTGTGTGTGTGTATATGTGTCTGTTTATATATATATAGATGAAATCTCACTCTGTCACCAGGCTAGAGTGCAGTGCAGTGGCGTGATCTCAGCGCACTGCAACCTCCACCTCCCAGGTTCAAGTGATTCTCCTGCCTCAGCCTCCCGAGTAGCTGGGACTAGAGATGTGCACCATCACACCCAGCTAATTTTTGTATTTTAGTAGAGATGTGGTTTCACCGTGTTGGCCAGGATGGTCTCGATCTCTTGGCCTCATGATCCATCAGCCTTGGCCTCCCAAAGTGCTGGGATTACAGGCGTTTGCTACCACACCTGGCCAATTTGTATATATTTTCATGCTATGTTATTCACTGTATAAAATGTTCATTCATCATGTATAATCACTATAGATTAAACTTTGTATCAACAGAACCTGATTCATTCAAATCAGATATTTTAAAAATTTAATGACTTTAATCTGGATTCTCACTTTAATATTAATATTCTGCTTTTTGTTTACTTTATTTTGACATACTTTATGCATTTTCAGTCTCCCTGTGCATTTTTATCGTCAGTTTTTCTTGTACATAGTATATATTTTAAGCTTATTTGAGAAACTTCATCTTTTATAAAGGGAATTTAAGTAATTCATATTTATTTAAATAAATAACTTTTGGTATTGATTCTAATAGGTAATAATTGATATATTTCATGATTCCTTTCCTTTTTTCTATTATGCTTTATAAATTATGCTTACTTTTTGGCTCTGTAGTTATTTGCAAATTAGAATATTTAAAGATAATTTATATTAGATAACATTTTAAATATTCTAAAATTGTTTTTTCCTTCCTTAGCACTTCTAATCTTAGATTGGTTTTCCTTTATTGGCGATTTCATTTTTCTAATTGTTCTAGTCATAAATCTTTGAGTCATCTTTGGCTCATATCCTTCTTTCACACACAACATATAATCTGTAATGAGTTCCCATTGGCTCTAACTTTATATTTAGCACAAAATCCAACCACTTTTTGTCACCTCCTTTGTTAGGACCTTGGTCCAGGGATAGGAGAATAAACTGTTACCAATTGTGAAGAGTTATAAAGTATCATGGAGATATTTTCAATCTACCATAGTGTATAAGGTTTTTTTTGTTTCAAAATGTATTTAGTCTAATATTAACAAAGCACAATAGACTTTGAAAAAATGTTTCTTGTTAATACTTTCCTGGTCTTGTTTTGATCATTTTTCAATCTTTATTTGTCCTTTTTGTTTACATAGCATACATATCATTTAGGTTTGCTAAAATATGTATCCAAATTATACTTGTTAAAAATCTTTTATTTCTTACATTTTAAGTGTATTAATTTTTTGAACACTCTTTCTTATTTTTATCCTGTGAACTAGTTTGGATGTTGGGACATTATTCTCATTCTGCTGTTATAGTATATGCTATACCTCTGTTGCTTAGATTCACTGGTAATTCTAATCTGTGATTGGATTGGACAGAATTCCAGGATAAGTGTTCATTTTTTTTTCTTGGATTCAGCTGTCATGTTTTCTAGTAGAAAGTACAGGAAACTGTAGATAAGTGTGTTCTCAGGCAGTATTAAAGAATTTTTCTTTTATCTAGGAGAAAAATATAACCAAAAATTTCTGTTTTATATTTATTGGCTGTTATTCATTTCCAGTTATTTAAATCATACTATTGGTAATACTATTATCAATAAAAATATAATACTATCTCCAATAGACATTTTTGAACATTAATTGATTTAATTATATTTTATAACTATACATCACATTTTCTCATATTAAATGGAAGTTTTCAATAATACAAAATATCATTATGTAAAACATTTTCTCTTTGATTTTTTTTAAAAGTAATTTTATTAGAAATGTTTCTTCACTAGATTTGACTACTTAAAATAGTCTTACTTTTGAGGTTGAACACATTTTTGCCCTTGTTTCTGGCTACATTTTTAATGTTGCCAGAAATTTTAAGCAAAATATTTTCTTAAATTTTAAGACAGTGGGCAAGTGTTATTTTTACAGTCAGAACTATTTTTGAATTTTTGTTGTTTTAGTTTTCTTAAATTAAACTTATGTTTCTGGCTGGGCATGGTGGCTCACGCCTGTAAACCCAGCATTTTGAGGGGCCGAGGTGGGTGGGTCACCTGAGGTCAAGAGTTTGAGACCAGCCTGGCCAACATGGCAAAACCCTGTCTCTACTAAAAATACAAAAAGCAGCCAGGCGTGGTGGTGGGTGCTTGTAATCTCAGCTATTAGGGAGGCTGAGGCATGAGAATCACTTGAACCCAGGAGGCAGAGTTTACAGTGAGCCGAGATGGATTGCGTCACTGCACTCCAGCCTGGGGGACAGAGTGAGACTGTCTCAAATAAATAAATAAATAAAAATAAAAAAAACCTATGTTTCTTAATTTATAAGCAATGGCTACACTAAAGTAAACAACTGTGGTAGCAAAGCTAAATCTGAGAACATGAGCTATGACAAAATGGTCTCATTTAGCAGAGACATTAACTGTGTAACAACTATGCCATAGACACTAACAAAATACTAGGGTAAGAACAGCAAAATGGATATCATAATTTAATATTTTCTCTTGAATATTACTGAAATAAATCACATTACTTTTTTTCCCCAAAATACACTTGAATATATTCTTTGTTAGATATTAATCAATATTAATAACCACAAAGTCTTGTTCAATGAGTAGGCACGAGGAGATCACATGTCATGGAAAAGTGGTTAAAATGAGGCCAATGCTTTCTTTTCTGAGGACATGATTGGGGTGGATTAACAAACGTGTATATTTACTTTGGCTGGGGCACAGCAGGGTCTGGGAGTTTACCTCCTTTGGAGAGGCATAGAAGCAGTCAGTGGCTGACTGAAATTTAGATCAAGTAAGTAGCTTGCTTTCCTCTCCTCCTTGACACTTATGGGAGATATTAAAGCCTAGCCTCTGGCTTTGACCTTCTCAAGGACAGAGGAAACACATGCGATGTAAAGAAAGCTAGGCAACCCAGACCTTCCAGCATCAGCCACAGGGTCTCTATACATGGGTCGATGTCTTTTCTGCTTCCTGAGTTGGTTCTTTAAGGATCAGCCACTGCCTTAAGCCACTACACAGTGCAGGAAAGATAAAGGGGCTTCCACCCATTTTGACCACAGTTAATTCATAAATCAATTAATCTGCTCAAGTAGTTGAGAGTTGACCATATTTATGTATCTCTATTATACTGTTAGACTCCCAAATATTCTTATTAAAATGTTGGTCTAATAAACTCCACCCTGACTAACTTCAAAACACACACACACACACACACACAAGCGCTGACTTCATTATCAGCAAACTACAGGCTTTACTTTAGTCCCTGGAGCAGGTGACAATTTGATTTTTAAGTGTCTTACTGATACTTTGCATTGATGTAGCACCATTCAAACCAAATCTCAAAGTGCTCTACAAAACATTAATTAATGAGAGCTCATAATATCCCATAGAGGACCGGTACATTTTGCAAGCTACCCATTCAGAGATGAAATTTCCAGGGGTTAAGAGGCTTAATAAAAGTCACACTTCAAAAGCAATTGTACAGCTATGAAATGAGTTCAGAATTTGAAACTATCAATTTATATCACTATCAACCAGGACTCATTTCCTCTTACTGTGTGTCAATAACCAGTAATTGACTTTTTTTTTTTTTTTTGGTTTTTAAAGCTAAAGTAGCATAATTCAGAAAGCAAAAAGGCCAACGTTTCAGAAAGGCTTTCTAAATAGATGTGCTAGTGGCTATACGATTCTGTGCTAGTGTTGATACAGAAATAGTTGAACTTTAAAAGTGGGGGTGTTTACTATAAAAGACGCCAACTATTTGGGAAGATCATATTATTGGGAGATAAAAAGGTTGAATTTGGCAATTTGGCATTGAATAGCAATTTAAAAGTTCAAAACTAACATTTTGAGATATTAGTTGTGACGAATTTTTAAAGAGCACCTGCAATATGGTAGTTAGATCACAAGCTTTGATGTTAAATAAAATTGAATACAACTTTAGGCTCTGCTATTTAATTGCTGTGAGACTTTGAGAAAATTACTGAATCCTTCTGAGCTTCAATTTTCTCATTTGTAAAATGGAGACTCAGTTAATGCACCCACACACACACACACACACACACACACACACAAATGTATGAAGAGGAATGCCAAACTTTTTACTTATCACAAATATACTTCATTTCTCTGAGCAGTGAATCAGGAAAAAATTAACTGGAATTATTTTCCTCTCTAAATTTAATTTTCGGAATATATAATTCATGCAAATGGTATAAAATTTAAAATTTAAATACTTTTAAAAATGTACCTCCCTTCCTTACTTGTTTCCCAGCCATCTAGATACTCTCCAAGAGAAACCTCAAAATTACATTCAAAATGTATATTTCCAATGGTTGCTATGAATTTAGACATATTTTATTTACACATTTGTTCATGCCACAAAGATTATTATATCTAATACATGTTGTTAGGATACTTAAGATTGATTATCACTTATATCTTAGAAATCATTTTATGTATGTTTAGATACATTATTTTTAATAGCTGCATTTTTTAGTGAATGATTTATTAACCAGTATCATATTGCTCAGTAAATTTTTTCCCAGGTCTTTGCTATTATGACTGGTTTGGCATATACAGTAACTACTGTGCAACATAAAATATGTACAAAGATATATTTATGTACATTTGCTATAATTATTTATCTTACATGTAGGACAAATATAGCAAAATCTCTGTGTCAAAGTTGTATGTATACTTAATTTTGATAGATATTGCTAAATTGTGCTACATAGAAGTTGTCAAATTTGCCAGTCCCACCAGTTTCTCCTAATGATACAATGATAGAGGCAGGAGGAAGATTAATTCTAAGCACACAGGGGCGTGTCCCTGGCAAAACCCCACCTGCAAGCCTAAAAGCCTGAAACCTGCAGCCCAACATGAGAACTTTCATCCCTGTTTTCCTGCTTGAATGTTGCTTTTTCCTAAACTACCCATGGCACCTCTCCACGCCCCCATGCTGTGCCTCTAAAAACTCCAGACTCAGCTGGCAGAGAGGAGAAGCAGCTGGATGTCAGGAGGAAGTGGCTGGGCATCAGGGAGAGGCAACTTGACTTCCAAAGACAGAGGCAGAGAGGCAGTTTGACTTTACAGGAGAGTAACCTTCCCTTTCCATCCTCTTTCCTGCTCCCCTCCCTGCTGAGAGCCTCTTTCATCACTCAATAAAATTCTCCACATTCACCATCCTTCAATTAGTCCATGTGACCTCATTCCTTTTGGGCACCGGACAAGAATTCAGGATGCACTGGGTAGGGGTACCCAGGAAGGCTGTCACACTGGCCCTCTGCCCTCACTGGGCTGAGGGCAACTGCCCACGTGATGAGGCAAAAGCCCCACTGAGCTGATAACACTTACGCTGTCCGCAGATGGAAGAGCTGAAAGAGCATCATAACACACCCTCTGAGGCTTCCGAGATCACAGGCATCCCTACCTGGACACTGCTGCAGGCCCGCATGGAGTTTGCTCCCACCTGCGCCCAAAAGCGGTCAGTTGGATCCCATACCCATAGCCTATACGTCCCCTCCCACAAGGGGTTGAGAACAGTGAGCCAAGTAAATGGAGTTTTTTTCCTGCCAGTGCCCAAAAGCACTCGCTCCAGTTCCTGCACTTGTTGGCTCACATGCTCCCTCTCATGAGGGGTAGACAGGGGCAGGCTGAGTAAATGAGGCACCCCCCAACCAATCCCAAGTTCTGCAAAGGGGTCATGAAAATATCCTGTATCACTTACCCATGACAATACTGTATACTACTGAACTTCTAGACATTTGTCAATCTTATAAGCATAAATATGTTTTATTAATTTAAGAATACAAGTATTAAAATGAGGATACATTTAGATCAATAACAGCAACAAAAAGAATAACTTTCATGATGTCTAATTTTGACTAGATTTTTGTGTGTAATCATTAATACTTTAAGTATACCACCTAGCCAATATCATTTCGTGAATTTAGAGACATGCTGGTTTATTCTGTATAGGTAAATGTAATTCTCAAGTTTCATTCCAAAAAACATGATCAAACTTTAAATGATTTAGTACTTCTGAACTTTTGAGTGATGTCTATATAACATCAGACTGTTTAGTCATTGATATGGTTTGGTTCTGTGTCTCCACTCAAACCTCATGTTAAATTGTAATCCCCAATGTTTGGAGGAGGGAACTGGTGGGAGGTGATTGAATCATGGGGGTGGATTTCCTCCTTTCTGTTCTCACAATAGTGAGTGAGTTCTCACAAGATCTGGTTGTTTGAAAGTGTATGGCACTTCCGGTTTTACTCTCTCTGTCTCCTGCTGGCCATGTGAAGATATGTCAGCTTCCCCTTTACCCTTCTGCCATGATTGTAAGTTTCCTGAGGCCTCCTCAGAAGCAGAAGCCTGCACAGAGCCATGAGCCGATTAAACCTCTTTTCTTTATAAATTACCCAGTCTCATGTATGTCTTTATAGCAGTATGAGAAGGGACTAATACAGTCATCCTGCAGCTATTAAAATGTTCCTAATTTCATTTACAGATGATTAAACATTAGCCTAAATTATCAGGATTAATATTGAGATATTTGGTACAAATTTCTGAATATATGTTGAAGCTTTGTTAGAATGAAAGTTTGGTTCTCCTGGGTTGTGTGTTCATCTGCATTTGTCTGTTTGTTGAAAATCAAGTTATTTTTTACTTGGTCACAAATGCAATCTTGTGTGTGTGCATGCATGTGTGAGTGTGTGTGTTTGTGTGTGTGTTTATACAGTCATGCATCACTTAACAATGAAGATACGATCTGAGAAATGTGTCTTTAGGTGATTTCATTATCGTGAGCACCACTGAGTGTATTTATCCAAACCTATAAAGGATAACCTATTGCTCCTGGGCTATAAACCTGTACAGCATGTTATTGTACTAATACTGTAGGCAACTGTAATAAAATGGCAAATGTTTGTGTATGTAAGCATAGAAAAGGTAATGTCTTGTCCTATGATTTTATAAAAGCTACAATGTCACTAGATAATAGGAATTTTTCAGCTTCATTATAATCTTAAGGGACCACTATCACATATGTGGTTTGTGATTGACTGAAACATCTTTATGCAGTGCATGACTCTATATGTAGTGAGTAATGCTTACAGTATTATATTCTTGACTTCCTAATTGAGATAGTAGAAAATATGTTAATCAGTGTCACCTATGTTTTTATGAGACAGCATATTGATTTAACATTACTATTTTACTAACAGATTGGAGTTGACATTTATGAAATTGATGTTTATTTTACATGTATACAAGAGAAAAGTGTTTAAGAAATTATTACTATATTTCTTTGACCTCAATTATCCTGATAGTTCAAGCACAGTATTCTTTACAGACTTGAGAAGCTCTATGACTGAACCACTCCTTTACATCATTATTCTTTTTCATATTATTGTGAGCTCAAACTTTTCTGTGTTTCTACCTGCATTGATAAAGGAAACTTCATATGAACATACAGAAATAGGGGTGGGATATGTGAAAGGGATTAGTTATAAATCTCACACTGGGCAACACAAGCTTGAGGTTTTTCTAATTTATTTAAATCTCGTATTATGTTCCATTTACTCTCCTTGTTTTAAATGTATTCACACTCATTGCACACAATTGATGCTCTAGTATTATGTGCCATGTTTATTGGGTGACTTCTCATATCCTTACCACATATAAGCCGTTTACACAATTTGAGTAGGGCTAGAATATGTTAGGGAAGTTAAATGGTCAATTCACTGGACAATTTTACTGATTTAGCCAAGGCCTGTTTGGGTATAGAGCTGGCATGTTTTTCTACTAAATAATTAAATCAAACACAATTGATTTAAGTTAGAAATATATTTCTAGCCCAATATGGCATTCAGTCTGTTCAATTACACTTTGGCTCAGATTTTGCAAATTTAAATAGAGGACCAAAACAAAAACAATTTCCCTAGGTATTTGCCTTAAACTAGTGTGCTATACTAGGATTGTAAGATCATTTATTGTGATGATAATCAGTGTTTGTGATTAAGCTTTGTCCTTTTTTGTCTAAAGCGAGTTTTATTCCCTAATAAAAAGTAGACATTCTTTGAAGACAATAACTTGCTTGTCTAGGTTTTGAGTTTCTCAAGCTTGAGTTCTCAAAAACAAAAAGGGTAGGAGTGCTATGAGAGAAGAGAGAACAGCCCACGAGTTTCTTTCTATTGTTCCAGAGCAGTGGCTGAATCTGATGGGGATGAGGAGGAAAACGCTGTGCAACGCACCGCTATACTCTTGACTTCAAGATGCTCAGGCTTCATAGACATTTTTCTGGCCAGTTTGGCAGAGAAATATTGAAGACACAGAAATTCCAACGGACTCATGTTTGTGGTCAATGGACACAATTGCAGTAACCAGTTGACAATAACCGGAGGGAACTCCAAGTGTTTTGGTGTCACCTGTGTGTCTTGTATAAGTGCACACACACATATACACACACACACACATATATACACAAAGATGTATATACATATACATACATACATATACTACATATACCTCCCAGGTGATTCTAATGATGATCCTCATAACAGTTTTTGAGGCTGATGTTGTTTCCTTTGTTCAGCAGTAAAGTTTGTTGCCAAACTTTAGGATGCATTAAAATTACCTGGAGTGCTTGTAAAAACACAGAGTGATGGGCCCAACTTCACGGTGGATAATTCAAGGGATCTGGAGTAGTGCCTCAGAATTTGCATTTTTAAAAAGTTCCCAAGTGATGCTGATGTGTTAGGTTGGAGACCACACTTTGAGAACTACACGTATGAAGGATGAAAGAGGTTCAAGGATTTGAAGCAACATAATGACTTTTCCAAATTCACAAAGCTAAAAAAGACGAGACTTGAAACTGGTGTTCTGATTTTAAACACATTGATTTTAAAAGTATACTAGTGTGTTACAATTTACAAATTTAGTTTTGTATCTATTATCTCAAATGATGGTTGAAAGAACATGGTAGGCAGGGGACACTGCTGTATAAAGATAAAGAAATTTAAGCACAAATAACTGAAGTACTTCTACATGGCTATATAGCAAGTAAACAAAAGATAATAGAAATTAATCAAGATACCTACCTTTAAAATCCAAGTTTTTTCATTACTTTAAGTTGCTCTAATCAACCAAAGTGAAATGGTCTCATACTTCAGGTACCTTCTCTTTTTATAACACACCAAAATGTTGAATTAACTACATTCTCATTCCACATAGTGACATAATATTGAACTATCTATGTGACTGAAATTTGCAGCAACATTTAGTTATAATATTTTTGTCTTAACTTCAGATTCTGTGTTATTAAAATAAAGTGTGCAAAATTTTTCCATTTCTTGGAAATACATTTATTTGGTAGATTTCCAACTTCCAAAATGTCTCTTGTCTGTGATGAGTTGATTGGAGATAGAAAGATTGCCTAATTTATTTAAGGCATAGATTCTGTTTTTGAAACACCAATATGTAGGCACATACGGTTTTTTTCCAGGCTATTGTATATTTTCTAGACAGTGAAAATAGCATATCATATAGAAGAGTTGTTTAAAGACCATCAGTTCGGGTGCAAAAGTTTTATATACTGGGTCTTTTTCACTCTTTCTTTGTATTTGGCAGAAAAAGTAGAAGTGTTACTTCTTTAAAAACTGTTCAATTGCTGTGCCTGCCTGAGGCCACATCTTTCTACATATACTTTAGGCAGGCAGATCACCTGAAGTCAGGAGTTTGAGACCAGCCTGGCCAACATGTTGAAACCCCATCTCTACTAAAAATACAAAAAAATTAGCCAGGTTTGCTGGTGCGTGCCTGTAATCCCAGCTACTCCAGAGGCTGAAGCAGGAGAATCGCTGGAACCCGGGAGGCAGAGGCTGCAGTGAGCCGAGATCACGCCACTCAACTGCAGCCTGGGCGACAGAGTGAGACTCTGTCTCAAAAAATATAAAATAAAATGCACATTTGTTCTTTTCAAGGAACTATCTTTGTCAACATCTGCAGAAAACTTTAATGAAACGTATCCAGTGATTACGTGGACTTCATTTGTACAGAAACTGCCAGGAACCCAGAAACACAGCTGCTTTCTTAACCTTATCAAAAATAAGAGTCACAGTGTCAGCATTTACCCGCCCCCCCGACAAAAAACACACACTTCTATTGATCTAGAAAGGTATTTATATTTTGATGACCCACAAGAAATATTTTTGGAAATAAAGTTTGGACTAGCTACCTATATATTACAGATCTGTTTTAATATTTACAACATAAATAAATAGATATTACCCTGTCCAAAACAAAAATAGCACTGACAAAAGATCGACATACTCAACAAGACCACACCCCAACAAAGGCCTGCAAACGTTGTATGTACAGGCTTTTGAGGAAAATGCAGCAGAAAAAATTAGCTTTAACAAGATAGAAACACAAACATATTTAATTTTAACTAAATAGAAGTCATTTGAATGTATTGAATAGTTGTTAATATTATTTTTAACAGCAAAGAAATAGCTGAATTTTATTTAAGAGCTAACTATGCTGCCAAAATACATGCAATTCTACCTGGTGCTTAAATGGTTCTTTTTCACCATCAATAGCTTGTAACCTAAACAATACCATATTTAAAATCTACATATCTACCATTCCATATCTAGAATGAGGTGCCGGGGTGGGAAAAGCATAACCCTTATTGTTGTAATGGTAAGGCAGACTAGCTCCCCATGCTAGCCATCCTTGTACGCTGCTGAGCCTGTGAATTTACCAGGAGGTGTTCTGCAGAAGACACCCCTCACTCTCTGCTAGCTAAATTTATGAAGCTCGTTCTTCCAAATTAAGGCCAAGATTTTTCTTACTACCCCTAGAAATCTCTCTTGTATTTTCTACGGCATGAAGTCTCATTTATTCATTCTGACTTAATTTCAACACCTCATTGTCTTCCAGGTTAGAGTGTCAACTTCTTACGTGCCAGACTTCATCT
This sequence comes from Homo sapiens, assembly GCF_000001405.40. Lineage (NCBI taxonomy): Eukaryota > Metazoa > Chordata > Mammalia > Primates > Hominidae > Homo > Homo sapiens. The sequence goes on from NC_000001.11 coordinate 193,859,255, forward strand.
TACATTGTTTGTACTATGTTGAATCTAGGAAATTCTGGGCACCTAAATAGCCAACAGGTGGATAAGACACCGGTTGTATGTAGATCTTTTGTCAGTGCTATTTTTGTTTTGGACAGGGTAATGTCTATTAATTTATGTTGTAAATATTAAAACAGATTTGTAATATATAGGTAGCTAGTTCAAACTTTATTTCCTTACTGTGTTCTGAAAAGTTATTCTGGTTTAGAAGAGTCACAAGTAGAAAGGGACTGGATTCTGTAAGAATCTTTTACATATTTGTAATAATGCCTGAAATAAAATTGTATTTTAAGATGAAATTACGAAATATTTACAAGTGACTATTATTTGCTGTAGATAGAGTACCTTTGTTTCAATTATTCTGCCATGAAAGAAACAAGATTAATAACTAGGTAAGTGTCCTGTGAAATGTTTTAAACTTACAAATATGTCCTATTTAAAATTGATTACTTTCATAATTGTTAATTGATCAAAGCATTCATATTAAATAAGGTCTATAGAAACTTTTTGTTGTAGTCAGAGTAAGGAACTCAATTAGAGGCCCCCAAATGAAATTACTAATAAGCCCATCAACAAATTATTGTAACTGAACCCTTATCTTGGCAGCTGAGAATTAAAAGAAAAGTTATTTGAGGACAAGAGATATAATTTTTAAAATTACCAGAATTGACAGGTTCTGAGGTCCTCTAAGTCCCCCTTTCAGACAAAGGGCATTTATTTTGTTATCATTATTATTTAAGACATCTTTCTCTTTGAAGCCCTTGAAACTAATTTATTTCTTTCTCCCTCCTTTCCCTCCCTCCCTCCATCCGTCTGTCCCTTCCTCCCTTCCTGCCTTCCTCCGTTCATATTATTCTGATCTTCTGACTAGGGGAAAAATAAATAGACTATGCATCCCCAGCTCTTACATTATTAGGACACAATTCGTATTTCTTCAGGGTTTTTTTTTGAAAAATTTTTAAAAGAAGGAGAGTATGAAGATTAATCAAAATTATTATCTATTGAGTAGGCTGCAATCAGGGAATTATCCAAGGTGTACTTAGGAAGAGTCCAAGCTTTCTCACATTCAGTGGTCTCAAATTAGCAGCAGCAGCAGCATCACCTGGAAACTTGTTAGAAACACAATTTCCTGGGTCTCACTCCAGAGCTCCTGATTTAAAAATTCTGCAGGTAGAGCTCAGGAATCTATGTTTTCACAAGTCCTCTAGGTAATACTAAATGTATTTTAGAATCCAGTAATTTATTTCTGGGCAGAATAAAGGACATGGAAAGCCTCATTCAAAACCATTTTTTCTCACAAAAGTATGTAAAAATATGTTGGAAATGCAAATAGTATGGCTGATTGTAGAGGGAAATTAATACAATTTTGCTAGTTCAGGTCTGATTCTTCTATTTTGTTCCACATGATCGAGGTGATTCTACTCATCTCTTAACAGGACTAAAGATAGTATGTTGCCATATTAATTAGAGTTTGACTGCAATCAACATTTATTAAAGAGCATAGAACAAAATTCAAATAATTTATGCTTCTATAAAGGTATCTTTAGAATCTCGGGTGGAAAAGTTTGAGAAGGGATGAGTTATGGCAGAATTTTTTTTTTAATCTTTAGGTAATTTAGAAGCGGAATCACATATAAACATTTCCAAATTGTATTGAAATATGAACACAATTCCACTATCTTTCTCCCAGTAAAATTTAATAGTCATTTCTCTAAATTCCTTTTCTGTTATGGAATGCTCTCTGATTTACAGACATGTATTATGTATAACTAAGAATAGAGGCTTTCAGAAATTGTTGACTCTAACAAACAAACTTAAAAGTTCTTAACATACGGTTGTTGTTGATTGGATTTATCTATCATAACAAGAAACTAAGATAAGGTTTCATTCGGCAAAAAACACCATGAAGTATCATTTCATGGAAAGTCATTAGCTAAGACTAAAGTATGAAGTAACATGAGAAATGCAAATAACAGCAATATAAATAAACTATCAAATGTGAAAGCAAAATTGATGTGAAAATGCATGTAGCCTCAGTGTTCTTTCCTCATCCCCTTCCCTCCCCCTGTTTTTAAGGCAACATCAAAACAGTTACTTCTGAGAATATTTATAACCTGTCAAGAGAAAAGAGTAGAGACTATGTGGCTGTGCATCCCTGAAGGAAAATGTTCATTTCAAAGCACCATTGATGCAAATATTGCCTCTTTTCTGTTTTGCTGAATGGGTTGTTACGCTGATAAATTTAATTGTGTTAGAAACATAATTATCTAAAAGCCACTGGCATTAAAAACACCAGTGTACTTCTGTAATAGAATTATAGATGTGGGATCATCTTTAATATAGGGGACATGAGTCTTAATATGACTTGCTTTATTTTATTTTATTTTTTTTTAGATGGAGTCTCATGCTGTCGCCCAGGCTGGAGTGCAGTGGCAGGATTTTGGCTCACTGCAAGCTTCGCCTCCTGGGTTCACGCCATTCTCCTGCCTCAGCCTCCCGAGTGGCTGGGACTACAGGTGCCTGCCACCAGGCCTGGCTAATCTTTTTTAGTTTTTAGTAGAGACGGGGTTTCACCGTATTAGCCAGGATGGTCTCAATCTCTTGACCTCGTAATCCGCCCGTCTCAGCCTCCTAAAGTGCTGGGATTACAGGCGTGAGCCACCGCGCCTGGCACGACTGTTGCTTTTCATGTGAGGAAATAATAGCACGATAACAACAACAATAAAAATGCTTCAGAAGAAGTTTGATATGGTTGATGGGAGATAGTGGTAAGAGATTCTTGCAGATGAATATTGCTATTTCTACTAAGCTGTTAAAAACTTGAGACATGGCCGGGCGCGGTGGCTCACGCCTGTAATCCCAGCACTTTGGGAGGCCGAGGCGGGCGGATCACGAGGTCAGGAGATCGAGACCATCCCGGCTAAAACGGTGAAACCCCGTCTCTACTAAAAATACAAAAAATTAGCCGGGCGTAGTGGCGGGCGCCTGTGGTCCCAGCTACTTGGGAAGCTGAGGCAGGAGAATGGCGTGAACCCGGGAGGCGGAGCTTGCAGTGAGCCGAGATCCCGCCACTGCACTCCAGCCTGGGCGACAGAGCGAGACTCCGTCTCAAAAAAAAAAAAAAAAAACAAAAAAAAAAAAAAAAAAAAAAAAAAACTTGAGACATGTCTAAATCTTCATTGTCACACACACACACACACACACACACACACAAACACACAATTTCCTCCCATTGGTTTTCATTTGGTTGTATTTACTGTACACTGAGATTTAAAAAAAATATATATGAAGTGGCAAAATACCTCTGCAAACAAACAAAACAAGTACAACAAAAAAATTACCAAATTACATTATGTGTAACTGAACTAATAGGAAATGTAAATATTCTGAAAAGAGGGAATTCTTAATTAATAGGAATTAAATATTGTTTGTCCAAGGAAAGAGATGTCAGAGATGAAATGGGTAGCTTGAATAATAATAGACGGAGGAGAGAGAAAATGAATGTGCATATCTGTGACGATGTTTTCTATTTAAAAATACAATTTTTAACGGACCCAATAGAAAATCTTATCTCAGTAAACTATCAACTGTTTTTATGAAATGAATACAAAAATCTATGCTTGAAGCTCAGTTTTGTAATGTGCTCTTATGACTTAGTTTCAATTGTTCAGTAATTAAAACCTCCAAATAATAGCAATTTTTACAAAGAATATTGTGAATATTTTACAAATAATTATTGTGAAGTATAAGACACTGTATATATCTCTTATATATGAAAGTGCACATATAAATTACTATTATCTCCAGGCTTTAGAAGAAAATATTTTTCAATATTTCTAGATATGAAAAATGCCTCTAATGCCACCATAGGATGAGAGTCTAGGAGATGGACTTTAAGTTGTGGCTGTTACACTGACCCAGATCACATATGTTTATTAATTCAATGAAGAAGATCAATTATACTGCAGTTTTCAGAAGTATTAATATATGTTTATCTTTCTTAACAAAAACTGATGACCTAAAAAAAGGGAGGGAAGGCAAAAGAGAGAGAGTGATATGGTTTTGCTGTGTCCCCACCCAAATCTCATTTTGAATTGTAACTCTCCCAATTCCCCTGTGTTGTGAGAGGAACATGGAGGCGAGTGATTGAATTATGGTGGCGGATCTTTCCTTCACTGTTCTCGTGATAGTGAATGAGTCTCATGAAATCTGATGGTTTTTAAAAGAGGAGTTCCCCTGCACAAACTCTTTTTGCCTGCTGCCATTCACATAAGATGGGACTTGCTCCTCCTTGCCTTCTGCCATGATTGTGATGTTTCCCCAGCCCTGTGGCACTGTAAGCCCAGTTAAACTTCTTTCTTTTGTAAATTTCCCAGTCTCGGATATGTCTTTATCAGCAGCATGAAAGCGGACTAATACAGAGAGAAAACGAGAAAGAGAGAAAAACAAACAGAAAAGAAAGGAAGAGAAAAGACTGATTTTTAATTTTCTATTATGATATAAAAACCTCAGCTTACTCAAACCTAGGAATCATCCTTGCTTCTTTTTTTCTCACCTCCATTTTATTTCCCTCACACCCCACTTCTATTTCATAATTATTCTGTCTAAGAAACCACCCCAAAAGACAGTGGCTTAGTACACACACACCTGTTCCCAGGTTATGCTGTGAAAGTAATTTCTGTAGTTCCAACTGGATGTCTTTAATTTTTCCCAGGAAATTTGTCACCAGTTGTCTTTTATTTCTCTCAGGAAAATTGTCACAGAACCTTTGTTTATTATAAAGCGAGGGGTGATAAGAATCCTTCTCGTGTGCTTTCGCATATTTTCCCCAAATTCATGTTGAGTTCATTCTGACCAACACATTGTTGCTTAATATGAGAGGACTGGGGATTGGAAAAAGGGTCCAGTATCTGAATCAGTACATTCAGCCCACTGAGGACATCTTCATCCTGCCACATCACTCCTGCAGCTTACAGATGTATAGCTTCCCTTCTCTATTAGGAATTAAAGGAGAAGTTTGTATCCTGTGAACAAAGTGTGCAGCTGCATGTGTGAACATACCTTGCCCCTCCCCACTGCACACAGATGTAATGAGAGGTTGTGTTAATTTACATATCCCAATAAGTCTTCATAATATTTACAGTGGTTCTGTGGCTCAGCATTTGGATTAATAACATAGTTAATTTTGGGGCTTTATAATATTTTAGATTCCGCCTTTGCTGCACACATATTTTCAATGTCAGTAGCACAGAGACATCCACATGCTAATTTGAAGAGGTTTGTTAATTTAGGTTTGTTTATTCTGAAAACTCTACTAAAAATGAAATTTTAATGTACTTATAAAACCTATTACTTTTCCCTTCAAAGTGATATAAGACCCAGTAAAACCTGGGTAATAAGCTTCAGCAACTAATGATATTTGTAGAGGCTTTTGAAATGCATATTAGGTGATAATATTCCATCTCTCACTGTTACAGTATTATTATGATCCCAAAACTAGTAACACTGTTGAAGTGAAATCCATATAAAATAACAAAATTCTTAGAACTTTCAGGCAGTGTGTTTGACATTTTCTTACAAAAAGTCAATCCAGTTTCTGTGCTCTTGGTTCATTTTGTTTGTCTTCTAAGTGAGTCAGGATCAATAGGATCACTATGTTTATCTATTCAAATCTGAGATATTGACTTGCAAATAGACAATTTCATTATCCTCATGGGCATGATTTTCCTATTGGTGTCATTGGTACTAACTGAGCCTTTTGGGATTTCTACTGAAAGGTATGATAGCTTGTGTTCAACTCAGTGAGAGTTTACTAAATTCCTCCAATCATGCCTAGAGGTACTACATACAAATATGTGGTAATAATATCAGTGTTAAAGAGTAATGTGAATGAAAGGGTTACAAAATGAACTCAAGGATTATACAGAGCTGTGCAGAACACTCACTATAGCAGACAAGATCAGATGGCACACTGTGCTTGGGGTTCATACACAATTTTCAAAACAGCAGGGCTTTGTTCTCAGCTCTTCAGTTCTTGCAGGCTTATGAGCTCTTCATCAAGATGGGAAATACAATCTTTTTGCTCCTTCTGAAAATGAGAAAATCTTTTGAAGTTGAATTTGCTTGTAGTCAGTGCAAATGGTAAAGAAAAGTGAAGGAATTTAGTCAAGCAGTTTGCAAAATATTACATGAAGGGTTATTTGGGAGATTGATTTATGAATTTATGGGACTACAGGAGAGTCATTAGAAGATTTTGTAAAAATTTTAATTAAGTTGCAGTAAGTTTAGCAGTAACCCATTAGATAAATCATATAATTCTTAAAAAACTTTTATGTAATGAGAAAATTTTTTTGTCACAATTATGTTTTTGTTATGTTAATTGTGGGTTTGGAAAAGCAAAAACAAAAAGCAAAAACAATTTATAGAAAAATCTATCTACGTCAAGATAATACCTATGGACAACAACAAAGTGTGTCTTGCTGGATTTGTCTTCAGTTCTTAATGTCACGTGGTTTCCTTTGGCAGCCTCCATGTCACAGTCTATACTCTCATTAAATTCAAAATTGTGAAAGTAGTGAATTTATCCCTTTTTCACATATTTCAACATCAAGTCTATTGTTTATTACTCGTTAATTCTCTTTGCAAATACAGTGAAATTTTATATTTTAGATTAGAGATTTGGAAGTAGTAAATTTAGTGGCTTGCCCACTTAATAATTCAAACAATTATTTTTATTTGTATTATTTGAGTGTCATTTTCAAGGCATTGGAGATCTCTGTATGAAGGGAACAAATCTAAACTTCAAAAATAATGCATTTTATATATTTTACTGTTCCAATTTCAAATTTTAAATATGCTACTTTTTCTATCAATATTCTTCTGGAACTATGTATGAACTTTCTGCTACTGATTACTTGGTAACTATTTACTTTTTATGTGGCCTTTGTATAGTTCTGTATACTTGCTTAAAGTTGGAATTGTAAAAGTACTTACTAGATTTGGGTTTGTGAGAACTACCAGAATAATTCATGTAAAGTGCATTTGCAAAATTTATTCAGTATGTTATCAAGAATTTAGGCTTTACTAGCATTTTTATTACACTTTATACTCTTATAAATTTGTTCATACATACTTTCTTGTTTGAGCTTCTTATGAGCTTATGAAGTAGACAAGAGTGAATATGACTATCCTAATTTGAGAGTGAAAGAACTGTTTAATTTCTTTATTTCTAGAGGATCTGAGTCCTCTTATAAAAAATAGGTTCAATAAAACAAAAGTTATAGCAACATTATCTGATTTTCAACATTGCAGAATTAATTTGTGACAATCCTAGGGCAAGGCCTCAGGTATCTGGAGTTCCAGACTAACTTTTTGCTCTATCACTGTCCCTTATAGACATGATTCTCAAATTATGTAATTGCATTCTCTCCTAAAATCATGAGAAAAGTTGTATAACTGTAAGTAAATTTTGATAAAAATGTCTTTAGAAAAATTTCCTCATTTTTACTTTAGTCCCAGTAAGTACTTGGAAAACATTTTTGGATCAAATTTCCTTAATTGAGCATTAATGATTGACTTTGAGGTGAAGAAAGGAAAAAAAATTAAAGCTTCTTGATTGACTATATGCTAGACAAAATTGTATTCCCAACTTGCCTACATTATTAGTTTTTCTTCAAAAATGCCGATAAACTGACTTAACTCAGTTAAATATTCTCAACATGGGCAATAATTTTTAAGGAAAACCCATATCTTAGTGTGGTTTCTGTATTCTTAGAAAGCATACAACTTTACAGAGCACAGGCAAGGATTTAGTGCTAACGTCATGTACGGTGACGAACCTGATACAAGACCCATAAAACACAGATTCTTTTAAAATCTATTTTTTCTTGGCAGGGGAGAGGTTTTCCTCCATCCTCTGGCAGTTCCCTCAATGTAACATAAGAAGCTCTGCAGACACATGCACACGTATGTTTATTGCGGCACTATTCACAATAGCAAAGACTTGGAACCAACCCAAATGTCCAACAATGATAGACTGGATTAAGAAAATGTGGCACATATACACCATGGAATACTATGCAGCCATAAAAAATGATGAGTTCATATCCTTTGTAGGGACATGGATGAAATTGGAAACCATCATTCTCAGTAAACTATCGCAAGAACAAAAAACCAAACACCGCATATTCTCACTCATAGGTGGGAATTGAACAATGAGATCACATGGACACAGGAAGGGGAATATCACACTCTGGGGACTGTGGTGGGGTCGGGGGAGGGGGGAGGGATAGCATTGGGAGATATACCTAATGCTAGATGACACATTAGTGGGTGCAGCGCACCAGCATGGCACATGTATACATATGTAACTAACCTGCACAATGTGCACATGTACCCTAAAACTTAGAGTATAATAAAAAAAAAATAGAAAAAAAAAAAAGCTCTGCAGATTGCTAATTAGGAGAACAGGATTAATAATATAGGTAGTCAATTTTCATTACCTGTTTTGCTAGCTACTCTTCTGTGTAGCAGCCTTAGCGCCTGGGAGATATAAAATAGTAAATGTCAAAGATACAGGGAAAACAGGGTGTAGTCCCAGTTTAAAATAAGCATCTCACTTTAGAAAGAAGTTTCCCTAAATAGTCCATGATAGCAGATTTACAAAAAAGTAGACTATAAACAATATGAGAGTGTTCTAAAAGGATTTCAAGAACTGAAAGTGTAAGTGAGCAGGACATGTGGTATATAAGATAGGAAATACTTTCATTCATTTTCTTTTGGATCATTTTACCCATTTGATGGCTATTTTTTTTTTTACTTGGGCAGACCAAATGGCGTTATGGGGTTTGGGATTTGAAGAGGGAAGATGATTTACAGATAACCAACAATTCTCTGATTACTTGTAGTTCTATTAAAAATTTCCAATATCCTATCATATAGTTCAGCATAAGAATAAAACCCTTCTTAGTTCACTTAAAGCTTTTTCCTCTCCCTATCTCAGGCCTGTTGCAGGCTATAAAGTTGTCATGAAAAAGGTAAGCATGGTAGATTCCTGTCCATCTTCCCATCTAACATTTCTACTGCTCTGTCTCTGTGCATTGGGCTAATTGAGGCTTCTCCAGGATTTCAAATAAGGGAAAGGAGGAGACACAGGAGGCAAGGAATGGTCTCCATTAACGCGAAACCATCTGTCATTGGTTAGTTTCCTCTGGCTATGGTATTGGTACTTTTTTGTTCTCTCTCTCTCTCTCTGTCTCTCCCTCCCCATCCTCTCCATAAAATTATCTTCACTGGAGATCTCACATCTGCGGTTCCTTTGGTACAGTTGCTTTGGACAAGTTCCTCTGACTGGTCACATAACACATGGCCCTTGGCACTGGGACACCTGATAGATATCTATCTGATTTCTTTTGGGATGTGTCTGTGTGTTTGTCCCTCAATCGAGCCCCCTGGAGAATGATGTAATATAGTGCTAAGCTAGCTTATTCTCTCTTTTCACGCCCCTCACTTTCTTACCACCCATATGAGAAATGTGCATTTTTTGCTCCTACAAATTCTGGGGCAGAAAGACTGCTTTTTATTACTTTACCATCAGAAAAAAAGACTTGTGGCCATCTATCATCTCTTTTACAAAGTCGCTGTTACAAGACTTTTCCTTTATTTGAACTTAGCCTACTAAATGAATAGGAGAAAAGTTCATTTGCCTTACATACATTTGGAGGGACTAATGTTTTGTATATGAGAAAAGAAAATATAAGTGCTTTCTAGTATGAAAGTTTTTATTATTAGGTTTATCTGAAAAACAAAATTCTCACTATAGAAAAGAGCCAGGAATTTTATGGTTCCCTTTACAATTATTCAATCCCTCATGTTACAGACCTTCAGTTCCAAAGAATGAAATGTGCCAAATGTCTTTCACTGAATGTTCCCAACAGTATTTTGTGTATCATTCATGTCACTGTTCATGGGAGGAAAAGGTTATGAGACTTGTTGCCTTGTGTGCTCCAAAGGTGAAGCATGAGATGCTGTAAGGCACATCCACCAAGGTTCCAATTAGACTGAATTTGGATAGATGAGATGGTATGCGGGGCAGGAAAAAAATGTTCAACAGATATCATTTAAGTAAACACTAGAAACTGGAGAGGATGACCCCTAAAAATTGCCATCCAAAAAATATTCTTTTAAATAAAAATACAAATTTTGAGAGTTTTGTGTTTTTTAGTTAAAAAACTAGTGTGTGTGTATATATATATAGTGTATCTATGTGTGTATATATGTATATATATGTACATGTGTATATATGTATATATATGTACATGTGTATATATGTATATATATATATGTATGTGTGTGTCTGTGTGTGTGTGTGTGTGTGTGTATATATAGTTTGTTTGTTTTGTTTTTTGAGAAGGATTCTTGCTCTGTCACCCAGGCTGGAGTGCAGTGGTGTGATCTTGGCTCATTGCAACTTCCGCCTCCCAGATTCAAGCAATTCTCCTGCCTCAGCCTTCTGAGTAGGTGGAATTACAGGTGCCCACCATCACACCTGGCTAATTTTTTTATTTTTAGTGGAGACAGGGTTTCACTATGTTGGTCAGCTGGTCTCAAACTCCTGACCTTGTGATCCGCCTGCCTTGGCCTCCCAAAGTGCTGGGATTACAGGCGTGAGACACCGCGCCTGGCCAGACTAATGATATATTAATGAATTTTAATATATCTCATATGTGAGATATATTAAACTTCTCAGTGAACACTAATGAAGTAGATAATAAGGAATACTAAGGTAGATGCCGAGCATGACCAACAATAGGACTATGAATATCTGGAATCTTGTAAGTCTGGATTTAAATTCTGGCTCAAGTACATACAGACCAAGCAAGCCACTTAAACTATAGGACTCTTATCTATCTTATTTATAAGACAGGTGGAATAAGATTAATTCATTAGGTTGTGGTAAAAATGAAATAAGAATAATGCAAAATGATTGGAATAGTGTAAGTGCTAAACAAATGATAGCTATCATCATTATCATCACTATTTTTTGTCATTTTCATTTTATTATTTATAAAACAGCTTTACTGAGGAACAATTGATATACAAAGAACTGCACATATTCAATGTGTACCATTGGATAAGTTTAGACGGTGCAAACCCTGTGCCTTTTGCCGTCATTTTCATCTTGAGCAAACTGCTTTCAAGAGCCTTTTGTTTACCATACAGTGGTTTCAAGACCTATATCTGCAGAAAAGATATTTTTCAAAGGTAATTAAATTCATATTTCAAGTGTTTTTTTTTTTTATTTTATTCTAAGTTCTGGAATACCTGTGGAGGATATGCAGATTTGTTACATAGGTAAAAATGTGCCATGGTAGTTTGCTGCACCTATCAGTCCATCATATAGGTATTAAGCCTAGCATGCATTAGCTATTTTTCCTGATGATCTCTCTGCCCCAGACCCCACCTGCTGACAGGACCCAGTGTGTGTTGTTCCCCTTCCTCTGTCCACATGTTCTCATTGTTGAGCTCCCACTTATAAGTGAGAAAATTTGGTGTTTGGTTTCCTGTTCCTGTGTTAGTTTGCTGAGGATAATGTCTTTCAGATGCATCCATGTCCTTGCAAAGGACATGATCTCATTCCTTTTTATGGCTACATAGTATTCCATGGTATGTATGTACCACATTTTCTTTATCCAGTCTATCACTGATGGGCAATTGGGTTGATTCCATGTTTTTGCTATTGTGCATAGTGCTGCAGTGAACATATGTGTGCATGTATCTTTATAATAGAATGATTTATATTCCTTTGAGTATATGCCCACTAATAGGATTGTAGGGCCAAATGATATTTCTGGTTCTAGGCCTTTGAGGAATCGTCACACTGTCTTCCACAATGGTTGACCTAATTTACATTTCCATGAACAGTGTGAAAGCGTTCCTATTTCTTTATAGCCTCACCAGCATCTGTTGTTTCTTGGCTTTTTTAATGATCGCCATTCTGACTGGTGTGAGATGGTATCTCATTGTGATTTTGATTTGCATTTCTCTAATAATCAGTGATGTGGAGCTTTTTTTCATATGTTCTGGGAAAGCTGGCTAGCCATATGCAGAAAATACACATAATGAAAACACATAATGTCTTCTTTTGAGAAGTGTCTGTTCATATACTTTGCCCACTTTTTAATGGGGTTGTTTTTTTCTTGTAAATTTGTTTAAGTTCCTTGTAGATTCTAGATATTAGAACTTTGTCAGATGGAGAGATTGCAAAAATTTTATCCCATTCTGTACGTTGTTCACTCTGATGATAATTTCTTTTGCTGTGCAGAAGCTCTTTAGTCAGATCCCATTTGTCAAGTTTTGCTTCTGTTGCAACTGCTTTTGACATTTTTGTTATGAAATATTTGCCTGTGCCTATGTCCTGAACGGTATTGCCTAGCTCTTCTTCTAGGGTTTTTATAGTTTTGGGTTTTAGATTTAACTCTTTATTCCATCTTGAGTTAATTTTTGTATAAGGTGTAAGGAAGGGGTCCAGTTTCAATTTTCTGCATATGGCTAGCCAGCTTTCCCAGAAACATTTATTAAAAAGGGAATCCTGATTTTTAGAATTTTCAGGTTTTCTGCTCTGTTTTTTCCCCATCTTTGTGGTTTTATCTACCTTTGGTCTTTGATGATGGTGACGTACAGATGGGGTTTTAGTGTGGAGCGCCTCTCTCCCTCCAAAGGAACACAGCTCCTCGCCAGCAACGGAACAAAGCTGGACAGAAAATGACTTTGACGAGTTGAGAGAAGAAAGCTTCAATGATCAAACTTCTCTGAGCTAAAGGAGGAAGTTCGAACCCATCATAAAGAAGCTAAAAACCTTGAAAAAATTTAGACGAATGGCTAACTAGAATAACTAATGTAGAGAAGTCCTTAAATGACCTGATGGAGCTGAAAACCATGACATGAGAACTACATGACGAACAAGCTTCAGTAGCCGATTCAATCAACTGGAAGAAAGGGTATCACTGATTGAAGATCAAATGAATGAAATGAAGCGAGAAGAGAAGTTCAGAGAAAAAAAAGTGAAAAGAAAAGAACAAAGCTTCCAAGAAATATGGGACTATATGAAAAGACCAAATCTACGTCTGATTGGTGTACCTGAAAGTGATGAGGAGAATGGAACCAAGTTGGAAAATACTCTGCAGGATATTATCCAGAACTTCCCCAACCTAGCAAGGCAGGCCAACATTCAAATTCAGGAAATACAGAGAACGCCACAAAGATACTCCTCGAGAAGAGCAACTCCAAGACACATAATTGTCAGATTCACCAATGTTGAAATGAAGGAAAAAATGTTAAGGGAAGCCAGAGAGAAAGGTCGGGTTACCCACAAAAGGAAGCCCATAAGACTAACAGCGGATCTCTCAGCAGAAACTCTACAAGCCAGAAGAGTGGGGGCCCATATTCAACATTCTTAAAGAAAAGAATTTTCAACCCAAAATTTCATATCCAGCCAAACTAAGCTTCATAAGTGAAGGAGAAATAAAATCCTTTACAGACAAAAAAATGCTGAGAGATTTTGTCACCCCCAGGCCTGTCCTACAAGAGCTGCTGAAGGAAGCACTAAACATGGAAAGGAACAACCAGTACCAGCCACTGCAAAAACATGCCAAGTTGTTAAGACCATCGATGCTAGGAAGAAACTGCATCAACTAACGAGCAAAATAACCAGCTAACATCATAGTGACAGGATGAAATTCACACATAACTATGTTAACCTTAAATGTAAATGGACTAAATGCTCCAATTAAAAGACACAGACTGGCAAATTGGATAAAGAGTCAAGACCCATCAGTGTCCTGTATTCAGGATACCCATCTCACATGCAGAGACACACATAGGCTCAAAATAAAGGGATGGAGGCAGATCTACCAAGCAAATGGAAAACAAAAAAGGCAGGGGTTGCAATCCTGGTCTCTGATAAAACAGACTTTAAACAAACAAAGATCCAAAGAGACAAAGAAGGCCATTACATAATGGTAAAGGGATCAATACAACAAGAAGAGCTAACTATCCTAAATATATATGCACCCAATACAGGAGCACCCAGATTCATAAAGCAAGTCCTTAGAGACCTACAAAGAGACTTAGACTCCCACACAATAATAATGGGAGACTTTAACACCCCACTGTCAACATTAGATCAACGAGACAGAAAGTTAACAAGGATATCCAGGAATCGAACTCAGCTCTGCACCAAGCAGACCTAATAGACATCTACAGAACTCTCCACCCCATATCAACAGAATATACATTATTCTCAGCACCACACCACACCTATTCCAAAATTGACCACGTAGTTGGAAGTAAAGCACTCCTGAGCAAATGTAACAGAACAGAAATTATAACAAACTGTCTCTCAGACCACAGTGCAATCAAACTAGAACTCAGTATTAAGGAACTCACTCAAAACTGCTCAACTACGTGGAAATTGAACAACCTGCTCCTGAATGACTACTGGGTACATAACGAAATGAAGGCAGAAATAAAGATGTTCTTTGAAACCAACGAGAACAAAGACACAACATACCAGAATCTCTGGGACACATTCAAAGCAGTGTGTAGAGGGAAATTTATGGCACTAAATGCCCACAAGAGAAAGCAGGAAAGATCTAAAATTGACACCCTAACATCACAATTAAAAGAACTAGAGAAGCAAGAGCAAACACATTCAAAAGCTAGCAGAAGGCAAGAAATAACTAAAATCAGAGCAGAACTGAAGGAGATAGAGACACAAAAAAACGCTTCAAAAAATCAATGAATCCAGGAGCTGGTTTTTTGAAAAGAACAACAAAATTGATAGACCGCTAGCAAGACTAATAAAGAAGAAAAGAGAGAATAATCAAATAGATTCAATAAAAAATGATAAAGGGGATATGACCACCGATCCCACAGAAATACAAACTACCATCAGAGAATACTATAAACATCTCTCTGCAAATAAACTAGAAAATCTAGAAGAAATGGATAAATTCCTCGACACATACACCCTCCCAAGACTAAACCAGGAAGAAGTTGAATCTCTGAATAGACCAATAACAGGCTCTGAAATTGAGGCAATAATTAATAGTTTACCAACCAAGAAAAGTCCAGGACCAGATGGATTCACAGCCAAATTCTACCAGAGGTACAAGGAGGAGCTGGTATCATTCCTTCTGAAACTATTCCAATCAATAGAAAAAGAGGAAATCCTCCCTAACTCATTTTATGAGGCCAGCATCATCCTGATACCAAAGGCTGGCAGAGACACAACAAAGAAAGAGAATTTTAGACCAATATCCCAGATGAACATCTACGCAAAAATCCTCAGTAAAATACTGGCAAACCAAATCCAGCAGCACATCAAAAAGTTTATCTGTCATGATCAAGTAGGCTTCATCCCTGGTATGCAAGGATGGCTCAACATATGCAAATCAATAAAAGTAATCCAGCATATAAACAGAACCAAAGACAAAAACCATATGATTATCTCAATAGATGCAGAAAAGGCCTTTGACAAAATTCAACAGCCCTTCATGCTAAAAACTCTCAATAAATTAGGTATTGATGGGACGTATCTCAAAATAATAAGAGCTATTTATGACAAACCCACAGCCAATATCATATTCAGGGCAAAAACTGGAAACATTCCCCTTGAAAACTGGCACAAGACAGGGATGTCTTCTCTCACCACTCCTATTCAACATAGTATTGGAAGTTCTGGCCAGAGCTATCAGGCAGGATAAAGTAATAAAGCGTATTCAATTAGGAAAAGAGGAAGTCAAATTGTCCCTGTTTTCAGATGGCATGATTGTATATCTAGAAAATCCCATTGTCTTAGCTCTAAATGTCCTTAAACTGATAAGCAACTTCAGCAAAGTTTCAGGATACAAAATCAATGTGCAAAAATCACTAGCATCCTTATACACCAATAACAGACAAACAGAGAGCCAAATCATGAGTGAACTCCCATTCACAATTGCTTCAAAGAGAATAAAATACCTAGGAATCCAACTTACAAGGGATGTGAAGGACCTCTTCAAGGAGAACTACAAACCACTGCTCAGTGAAATAAAAGAGGATGCAAACAAATAGAAGAACATTCCATGCTCATGGATAGGAAGAATCAATATTGTGAAAATGGCCATACTGCCCAAGGTAATTTGTAGATTCGGTGCTATCCCCATCAAGCTACCAATGACTTTCTTCACAGAATTGGAAAAAACTACTTTAAAGTTCATATGGAACCAAAAAAGAGCCTGCATCGCCAAGTCAATCCTAAGCCAAAAGAACAAAGCTGGAGGCATCACGCTACCTGACTTCAAGCTATACTACAAGGCTACAGTAACCAAAAAAGCATGGTACTGGTACCAAAACAGAGATATAGACCAACGGAACAGAACAGAGCCCTCAGAAATAATACCACACGTCTACAACCATCCGATCTTTGACAAACCTGACAAAAACAAGAAATGGGGAATAAATGGTGCTGGGAAAACAGGCTAGCCATATGTAGAAAGCTGAAACTGGATCTTTTCCTTACACCTTATACAAAAATTAATTCAAGATGGATTAAAGACTTACATGTTAGACCTAAAACCATAAAAACCCTAGAAGAAAACCTAGGCAATACCATTCAGGACACAGGCTTGGGCAAGGACTTCATGTCTAAAACACCAAAAGCAATGGCAACAAAAGCCAAAATTGACAAACGGGATCTAATTAAACTAAAGAGCTTCTGCACAGCAAAAGAAGCTGCCATCAGAGTGAACAGGCAACCTACAGAGCGGGAGAAAATTTTTGCAATCTCCTTATCTGACAAAGGGCTAATATCCAGAATCTACAAAGAACTCAAACAAATTTTAAAGAGAAAAACAACCCTATCAAAAAGTGGGTAAAGTATATGAACAGACACTTCTCAAAAGAAGACACTGATGCAGCCAACAGACACATGAAAAAATGCTCATCATCACCGGTCATCAGAGTAATGCAAATCAAAACCACAATGAGATACCATCTTACACCAGTTAGAATGGCAATCATTAAAAAGTCAGGAAACAACAGGTGCTAGAGAGGATGTGGAGAAACAGGAACACTTTTACACTGTTGGTGGGACTGTAAACTAGTTCAGCCATTGTGGAAGACAGTGTGGTGGCGATTCCTCAAGGATCTAGAACTAGAAATACCATTTGACCCAGCCATCCCATTACTGGGTATATACCCAAAGGATTATAAATCATGCTGCTATAAAGACACATGCACCCATATGTTTATAGCGGCACTATTCACAATAGCAAAGACTTGGAACCAACCTAAATGTCCATCAGTGATAGACTGGATTAAGAAAATGTGGCACATATACACCATGGAATACTACGCAGCCATAAAAAAGGAAGAGTTCATGTCCTTTGTAGGGACATGGATGAAGCTGGAAACCATCATTCTCAGCAAACTATCGCAAGGACGAAAAACCAAACACTGCATGTTCTCACTCTAGGTGGGAATTGCAGAATGAGAACACTTGGACACAGGATAGGGAACATCACACACCAGGGCCTGTTGTGGTGTGGGGGGAGGGGGGAGAGATAGCATTATGAGATATATCTAATGTAAATGATGAGTTAATGGGTGCGGCACACCAACATGGCACATGTATACATATGTAACAAACCTGCACATTGTGCACATGTACCCTGGAAATTAAAGTATAATAAAAATAAATAATAAATAATAAAAAGGGAATCCTTTCCCCATTGCTTGTTTGTGTCAGGTTTGTTAAAGATCAGATGGCTGTAGATGTGCGGTCTTATTTCTGAGATCTCTGTTCTGTTCCATTGGTCTATGTGTCTGTTTTTATACCAGTACCATGATGTTTTGGTTACTGAAGCCTTGTAGTATAGTTTGAAGGTGGATATCATGAGGCCTCCAGCTTTGTCCTTTGTGCTTAGGATTCTCTTGGCTATATGGGCTCTTTTGTGGTTCCGTATGAATTTGAAAGCAGTTTTTTCTAATTCTGTGAAGAATATCAATGGTAGTTTAATGGGAATAGCACTGAATCTTTAAATTGCTTTGGGCAATATGGCCATTTTCATATTGATTCTTCCTATCCATGAGCATGGAGTGTTTTTCTGGAAAATTTGTTTGGTGTCCTTTCTGAGTTCCTTGAGCAGTGATTTATTGTTCTCCATGAAGAGATTCTTCACTCCACTTGTTAGCTGTATTCCTCGGTATTTTATTCTCTGTATAGCAATTGTGAATGGGAGTTCATTCATGATTTGGCTCTCTGCTTGTCTGTTGTTGGTGTATAGGAATACTTGTGATTTTTGCACATTGATTTTGTATCCTGAAATTTGCTGAAGTTACTTATCTGCCTAAGAAGCTTTAGGGCTGAGACAGTGTGGTTTTCTAGACATAGAATTATGTCATCTGCAAACAGAGACAGTTTGACTTCCTCTCTTCATATTTGAATACTCTTTGTTTATTTCTCTTGCCTGATTGCCCTGGCCAGAACTTCCCATACTATGTTGAATAGGAGTCGTGAGAGAGGGCATCCTTGTCTTGTGCCAGTTTTCAAGGGGAATGCTTCCAGCTTTTGCCCATTCACTATGATATTGGTTGTGAGTTTATCATAAATGGCTCTTATTATTTTGAGGTAAGTTGCATCAATATCTAGTTTATTGAAAGTTTTTAACATGAAGGGCTGTTAAATTTTATCAAAGGCCTTTTCTGTGTCTATTGAAATAATCATTTGGCTTTTGTCTTTAGTTCTGTTTATGTAATGAATTACATTTATTGATTTGCATATGTTGAACCATCCTTGCATTCTGGTGATGAAGCTGACTTGATCATGGTGGATAAGCTTTTTGATGTGCTGCTGGATTCGGTTTGCTAGTATTTTATTGAGGATTTTTACATTGAGGTTCATCAGGGATATTGGCCTGAAGTTTCCATTTTTTGTTGTATTTCTGCCAGGTTTGGGTATCAGAATGATGCTGGCCTCATAAAATGAGTTACAGAAAAGTGTCTCCTTTTCAGTTGTTTGAAATAGTTTCAGAAGAAATGGTACCAGCTCCTCTTTGTACCTCTGGTAGAATTCAGCTGTAAATCCATCTGTTCCTGGGCTTTTTTTTGGTTAGTAGGCTATTTATTACCAGCTAAATTTCAGAATTTGTTATTGGTCTATTCAGGGATTCAACTTATTCCTGGTCTAGTTTTGGGAGGGGGTATGTATCCAGGAATTTATCCATTTCTTCTAGATTTTCTAGTTTATTTGCATAGAGGTGTTTATGGTATTCTCTGATGGCTGTTTTTATTTCTGTGGGGTCAAAGGACATCACCATTATTTTAAAAGTTCACTAAAAGTAACTTTCTGAGTTGCATCTGATCTATCTGTCTATCTATCTATCTATCTATCTATCTATCTAATCATCTTCAATATTGATAATAATATTTAGCATCAAAGTTGTACACATTTAAAAACTAGAAGCCAAGAAGTAGCTGTCTGGAGAATTAAATTGTCTAAGAAATTATTAAAGAATACTAAACAATAGTTTAAGTAATTATGATTTCTAAAAATAATAGCAGAAAGAACAATTTTATGAGAAAGTATAATGTGAAAACTGTTCATTTAGCAAAAAAACAGGCATTTCAGTTTTTTAAAATAAACTGCAAGAACTAGTGTCAATTTTTATGTAGAGACCAATCATCTTTTCCTGATACTTTAAAGGATTTAGTGACCAGAAATAACTGGTCATTAGTTACATTCAGCTCCAATGATTTACAATCTTCAAAGCAGCAGCTTCAGCAGAATGAAGATGAATTCAAGAATTAGACAATTAACATTACTCTTTGGCTAATTCTGATTAGACTTCACACACATTTTTTTCTATTGTACAAACGTTTTTGAGGTTGAATAATAAAATTTAAAAAAATTGTTAATATACTTAATAGCTGTAATATTAGACATTAAAATAAAAAATCATGATACATTTCTGAAGTGTCCTTTGCGGTCAACTAGTCTCTTCAACCAAATGTACTCATACTTTATAATTATAAGCAGTAGCCCTATTTTGGAAAAAAAGAATTCATTTTCTGAAAGCACATGATGAATTCAGGAGAACAAAAAAAGTAAAGATTCTAATGCTGAACATGAAGAACTTGTACTTAATCTTATTGGAATTAGTTGTGAAATAATTATGCACAGAAGAAACCTGTTGAACCATGTGTCTATAATTATCTTTTGACCATAAAATATTGGATAGTTTTGTTCCCTTAAACATACCCCTTGGATATGAAAATGAACAGACAAATGTGTGGTGGTTACACCAAGAGCATGTGAATTCAGTTGCCAAGTTTCCTTTAGATAATGTATTATTTGCCCAAATAATATTTTTAATTATTATTTGCCCAGAGGTTAAGACAAGAGTGATTTAAGAGTTTATTACTTGATTTTCTGAAAATTTTTTCACACAGTCTAGATAGAATGACTAATTGAAAGTTAATAGTTTGGGCCAGTTGTGGTGGCTCATGCCTGTAATCCCAGCACTTTGGGAGGCCGAGGTGGGTGGATCATCTGATGTCAGGTGTTCGAGACCAGCCTGGCCAACATACTGAAACCCCCATCCCTACTAAAAATACAAAAATACAAAAATTAGCCAGGCGTGCTGGTGCACACCTGTAATCCCAGCTACTGGGGAGGCTGAGGCATGAGAATCGCTTGAATCTGGGAGGCGGAGGTTGTAGTGAGCTGAGATTGTGCCACTGCACTCTAGTTTGGATGATGAGTGAGACTCCGTCTCCAAACCAAAACCAAAACCAAAATCAAAACAACAACAACAAAACAGCAAAACAAAGTTAATAGTTTGAAAGATGTGGGACATTTGGTGATGGATTCTATTTTCCTTCAATAAATGACTCCCACATTGACCAATGAAACAAAAAGACTAGACGATTATTGGATTATTTAGAAAGGCACCAGCACTTGGTTGTTTCATGCGTGCAAAGCTCTGTCAGAATTTGTCACATTGTCCACTTCAATTATAGTTCAATAAAGTTACGAAAAAAGTATGAAAAAAATCAAGTGTGAAATAAAAAAGATTGAGGACTATATGAAAGCTGTGCCTTCTCCCCCAACACAAGATAAGGTATAACTGAGTCAGGCTGAAAGAAGAGAAGTTTGGAAGAAGCCAAGTATGTAAGAGGTCTCTTAACTGCTTTCCTTGTCTCTGGTAATTGCTGGGAGTGGGCTGGCAAGAAAGTGAGGAAAAGGAAATGAAACTGACCTATTTGTCCCATAGAACTGATGTTATAGTTTTTTTTGAATAAGCATAGAAATTCATCCTCCCAGTCTTGAAACTTGAGAAAACTATACTGAGTTTCCTTCTCAAGAAACCAATAATCAGTCTTCCCACATAGTATCAAGTGAATGAAATTTACTAGATAACTGTATCTGGACAATTAGACATCAGACCTCTCATGGATCATGATTGCTTAACTAACCACTTGTTTTTCTGTTGAACCAACTTCTCTTCTTTACCCCTCCCTAATTCCTGTTTGCCTGTGTGTAGTTACATTTCTGCTACATAAGCTCCTAATTTTAGTCAGGTAGATGGATTTCAGACTGATCTCTCATCTTCTTGACTGCAACAACCTGGTTCAAGCCTTCTTCCCTGATGATAATCACTGTATCAGTGATTGACTTTCCATGTAGGGAGTAGCAGGACCTTTAACAAATCCCTGGTGCTTTGGTGAGCAGCAGGACCTATAACAAATCCCTGGTGTTTAGGTAACAGACTTTGGTCCCCTGACCAGGAATGCATTCGTTGTTGCTCCACTGTCATGTCAAGGAGAGTTTTAGAAGCCCCCCTAAGTAGCTGCCTGAACCTTTTTTGGTAGGAGGTGAGTTTCGGTCTCTCTCTGGTTTCACTGCTGTAGGCCTCAAACACGTTCCTAATTTCCTAGGAAGAATAGCCTTTGAAATTTGACATCTGCCTCCAGATAAGTGAGTGTCCTATGTGGGCCCAGACAGCAGGATCTGTTCCTCTCAATTTGGGAAGTTTTTGAAGAAGTTTCCATTTGTAGATTACACAAGCCCAACTGAGTGAGAGAGGGAAGCACCCTGACTGTTTCAGTTTGGACACTCTTGGGGGCTTGTTTGTAATTGTTGTGTGTATATCTGAGCAAGTGATTGTCTTTTGTGGGTGCCAGACAGAGGGATTGGTTCCTCTCAATTTGGGAAATTCCAAAGGAATTTTCAGGTTAATTGAGTACAACCGAAGAAGAGAGGAAGCACCCCAACTGTTCCAATTTGGACACTCTTGGTCTTGTTTGTTGCTGCAGCAGTTGGATTGTATTTTGGTGATTGTGTGTTTGTTGATAGAGTTATGAGAAATCAGGATTCAATATGCTGATATTCCTTTGTAGTATTGTTGACCACAATATTCTTTGGAATCTGGAGAGGTTTGGCCTCTTCATGGACCTCATTTTGCTGTTGAATGGGAAAGCAGGGTGGAGTTTTATGTATCCCAGCTTTTATGCTGCTGTTCTGAACAGGGTCAGGCCTGGTTACTACATGATGTGCTCCTGTGGTACTGTTTGGCTCCAGTGTTCATTGGAGCCTGGAGTGGTTTGGCCTTTAAAAATCAAAATGCCGTGGGAACTGCTTTACCCAAAATTTTGGTTCACAGCTTTCACTGGGTTACTTATTGGGGCAAAGTTTAGCCATGTGAATATGTTCACAGACTGGTGAGTTTGTATCAGTCTATGAACTGTAACTGTATCTCACAGCTAGAGTTCCAAAGAAAAAGCTATTGGATCTCGTGTGTGTGTGTGTGTGTGGGGGGGGGGGGGTGTGTGTGTGTGTGTGTGTCCATGCTTATATGTGTTTATGTGTGTGTACATTTATTATGTTATATATTATGTCTACCACATTGGCTTATGAATAAAAAAGCACTCATAAATTGAGTAAACAAGTATAAAATATTTTTCAAGTTCATGTGACTTAAGTCAATCTTTAATAACCAAGCTGTCTTTAAAATTGTTGGTAAGATAAAAATATGAACGTCTTCAGAAATGTTAGAATACATTTTTATTTGGGTTTTATATTTGTCTCTGCTAGATATTCGAGGTGTCAGGTTTTGGCATAGAAGGTAATAAAATTATAATCCCAGTCAAAAGAAAATGATCTTTGTAGTATTTTATTCTGATTAATGAGACTAATTTAATGTTGTTAGTTTAACAAAAACAGCTGACTCTTCTGAGTTATTAGCAAAAAAATACCTAGCATTTAACTTAAGGTTCTTACTTAGGTGAGTACCTCATACTCCTGGCTGTAAAAATAGTTAACAAGGAAATAACTTTACATAATGACTAGCTGTGTCTAATATCTCTATTTTCAGAAGTAATCTAGATAAACTAAAAAAATGAAAGAATTCATTTTTTAAAAGTACTTTTGAAATTCATTTTTCAAAAGTACTTTGAGTACTTTTGAAAAGTACTCAAAGAATTCCCATTGAGTACTTTCCAATGGGAATAGATGTTGTAGGTAAACTGTGTGTAACTTAAAATCTTAAAATTATTTTTGATGCTTCTTGGATGTCTGAGTCATTTCCAATTAAGATAGGGTTATGATATGGGGAAATATGTTTCTAAAAATTGTGGAAAGTTCTCATCTATCAAATGCTAATATCTGATTGTTAAGAATTTTTTGCTTCTTAGGTTTTCATTGAAATTTAAGATTATTAAAAATAAGAATTCTAGTTAATATATAATTCTGTATGTAAAGTGTGCCAAAGAAGATATGTTCTTATTGAGAAAAAAATAATTTTATCCAATTCAGAAGTTACCTAACAGTTGATCCAAATTATGGACTACGGTAACATTTTGTCCTAAGGTAAAATGACTGGCTATTTTTTTTAAAAAAAAGAAAATATAGGACAAAAGAGAAAGTGCAAGCATGTTATAGATATTTGTGTAAGTCATATGTAATATTTTTCCCCTTTTCTCTGTATGTCTGTCTTCATGCACACAGAGAGAAAATAGAAAGTTGAAAAGGCTTAGGTAGTAAAATGGTTTTTAAAACCTGATAGAAAATTAGAGAAATTTGCCTAATTAACATTGCTCATAGTTAAAGCCCTTAGTTTTCATGAGGGTAAAATAAGAAATATTGTAAAGAAATACATTGGCAGTTTTGCAATTCTATTTTAATACAGTTAAGCATGAGGCCAGATTTAACATGGAGCCAAATTTCACAGACATGCTTGCACTGCTTCACACTATATTTGCTATTCTGCATAGATTGTACTTGCACTAAAGTGCTTAGTGATCATGTGACTACGGTGAATTTCTTAATTCCCCAGAATGTATAGTGGTATTGGTGGACTTAAAGACATTAATTTGTATACTATGAATGAAATATCTATCATAAGCTTTTTAGGCTCTGAGTAACACTGTAGCCTCCAAGGTAAACTGAGTAGGAGAATATTTGAGGTTTTGTTTCTTGTTTGTTGTTTTTGCTTCTAATTTTCATTTATTTGCCATTTGTTCTCTCCTGAGTTTTACTTATATATACATATATAAAACCATTGATGTTTTTAAGTTTCTCGTGGAAGGCTTGTATTTAGTTCTATAAAGAGTCATTCTGTTTCATATGCATTTCCAAAATTTCATCATTTGCTCTATTTATCTAAAGTTCCTAAGATACCACTGTTAAGCCTGCAAAAACTTATAGAACACACCAGCCATTTAAAATTTGATGGGTTTTGCTTACCCCGGATGATCAACAGAGCTGCAAGAGCTTTAAGGTTCCTGGCAAAAAATAAATAAATAAATAAATAAAATACTTATTTTTATAAGCTCTGAGCAAAAATAGTACAGTATATATTTTCTCATTTGGAAAAGTAGGTGAGAATAAAAAATTTTTATATAGTGTTTATTTCCAAGGCAATTCAACTCAATTAATAATTTAAGTTGCTTTCAGACCTTTTCCTTTAGGTAATGAGGAACAACTGTGATATGGGTACAGTGTTTTAGTGTTCAGGAAAGATTAGCTTTGTCCTTAAGAAAATTATATTAATTGGAATTTCTTTCAAATAATTTAGTTGTGTTTGTTATTAAAATTAAGTTACATTCATTTGGATGAAGTCGTAATAAAAATTGTGAGACTTTCTAGTGATTTTGTTTCAAGATCTCTAGGGTGTCTATTTTTCTGGCCAGAAACCTCTGTGGCCATGGCACCGTTGCCCAAGTTCTTGTCCTGCATCCAGGAGGAATGAGGTATGCAGACAAGTGATGGGTGAAGAAGAAGAGTTTTATTTAGTGTTAGAACAGCTAAGAAGAGTGCGTAGCTCCTCTCTGTAGGCAAGCCATCCTGTGGAGTGTTCAGCTGTCAGCAGAGAGGAGGCCCTGTAGAGGGTGGCTCCTCTCTGCAGGCAAGTCATTCAGACGTTTCTGCAGGTCTCAAGCTTTCAGCCAAGAAGTTAGACCCTTTCTGCCAGCAGGTTGTCTCTGCAGCTCTCAATGGAGACAGTAAGCTGGTCGTCTCATCGTCTCCAGCTATCAGCAGGAGGGTACCCGTCTCTGCAGTTGGTCTTCTATCCCATTCTCTCTCTGCCTTCTTCATCCTCTGGCCATCCCCTGCCCTGCTTTGACTGAGCCCAGGGCTTTTATAGACCTCAGAGGGGAAGAAGTGCTTGTGATTGGTCCGTGGCCAGCCACGGATGGCCAGAAGAGGCACCATGGGCCCCCCTCCCATCTGTAGGACTGGCAGCCCAGCCCCCAGCCTTCAGGCCCTCTCTGACATGAAGGTGGGGACTTACTGGCCAGCTTCCGCCCAGAAATCCATCTGCCTCCAGAGCTGCCATTCATGGCCCCAGGGCTTGGCCCCAACTCCTGCTCAAGATCAGAGCAGGCACCAGGAGTGGAGAGAGGCCAGGCAGTGGGAGCAGACACCGCCAAACATGCAGGGACTGGGGGAGTCCTTCCTGAGGCCCCTGAGGGTGCAGGCTGCAGAGACGCTGCGGTTCTGTGCCTGGGAGGGTGGCCACAGCTGCATCTGGGAGCTCTTGCCCTGCCATCTCGGAAGGGGCTGGGCTCCCGCTTGTCCCAAGCTCTTGCCTGCTTCCTGGAGTGGGAGGCCCAGGTCTGCAGCCAGGGGGAGTAGGGCTGCAGCTGCACCCAGGAAGGTAGATCCTATCTGTTCCCAGCTCCTCCAAGAGCACAAGGAGGCAAGGATCCATAGCTGCAGTTTGGAAGGCCGTAGTCCTCCCGGGAAGGCAGGGCTCCTACTTGCTCTATAGAGCAGGAGGCCTGGGTCTGCTGTTGCATTTTGGGTGACTGTAGCGGCTCACAGAGCTCCTATCCCAACTCAGAAGGGGCAGGACTCCCACTGGCTCCATGGAGTGTGCGGTCCCAGATGCACTTCGCTGCTGCAGCCGGCAAGATGGTAGCAGCCGCTGCCATTAATTTTTCATCCTAAGCCATTTATTGCTCATGGGCCTTCATGTGTGTACTTGAAAACAAAATATGCACAAGTATTGCACTGGTTTGAAGATTCTAGTGGCAGAAGTTATCTAATCAGTTTTCAGTATTGTATCTAAGAACCAGTCTTAGAAATATGTGATGGTGCTCTTTTAAATAGCTTAAATTATTGTGTGCTTGTTTTACTTTGTCCTTGTTTTGTTGTATATAATTTAAGTAAGTGAAAGAAAATTGTTTATCTTCATACTGAGTTTCCAAAACTGATACTTGCATTTAACATTTTTTTTGTTGATGGAGAAAAAAGTTAGTTGTTTTTCTCTGAAAAGTTTGGCACAGGACCTATCACATTTTTGATGCTTTTGGTTGCAGTTCTGTCATTAGAATGCTAGCAATTAGACATATGCAGTGAGTAACTTTAATACAGTGGTTTGAATTGAAGTGCTGCAGGCAGTATCTACTAGACACCAAGTCAGCTTTTTCATTCGTGACATGTTAGAGAGAATGATAGGATTTTGCAGTCTAAATATCCTATTAACAAATCCTTTTGTTGTTTAGTTACAGAGCTTTCACTCTAGCATCTGAAAAAGGAACCAACTCCTGCTAAATCTTGAGAATTGACACATTGAAGCCTTATCTTCAGACTCTGAAAAAGGTGATGATTAAAATAAACTACTTTACTAAGACATAGTGCTAGAGAATAAAACTATTCAATCCCCCTAGGCCCAGAGACTATAGCAGAAGAGGTGGGTTCATGAAATTGTAAGGGCCGATTTTAAGGGATAAGATTAGTTGAGAGGTTTTTTTATAAATTAAAAGTTAATATCAAAAGCACACTGATGAAAGGCCAGCATCTAGGCTCGTGTGTTGAAATAACAGGGTTTTCTTAGAGCATTTATTTGTTCTTTAAAAGAAAATTGTAAAAGGTAATAAAGGTTTATGAAAATTGTACCTTATGGTCAAACTGATTAAAATTAGATAGATTTGTTTATAGGTTTTATTAAAATTAGCTTTCACATTAATAACATACATACAAAGGACAATTTTTTTTTGAACAAAATTTTAATGTAAGTGATAATAAAAGATTTTTCTTTATCTTATGAGTAAAAATACAGAAGAAAAAGAAGAGGGAGAGGGAGAGACAAATTCAATAGGCCTCATGCTGTCTTTATTAACGAAACTGAGTTTCCTCTCTATAAAAGTGTAAACGTTTCTGTTTTATCATTTTGGCTAAATGAATGACTTATAGTAACCTGTGATCCTATTTGGTGATATCAAATGCCTTAAACCCTTGATTTTTGCCAGAATTTTCAACAGCAAAATTTTGAGTTCTAAATTCAGTCTTTTTGACCTCAAACTAACTTTTATGGGTATTGCCATCCCCCAAAGTCCAAGAGAGATATATTATGCTTATCTGGTATGTTAGAACTCCAAAGAAAGCATTGTAAAATGTGAGGTGGTCTTTAACATTCTTTGGGTTATATTTCTGTATGTGTTCCAGGATTTTATGACATTTCTGAAATTCTGATATGTCTTAATGTATGTTGTCAGTAATGATTATGATTATTATGTTAAATTATTGTATGTCACAGAAACAACCAAATTTTCTTGTCAACTTGATATGCTTAGGCTTTGTGTCCCCACTCAAATCTCATCTTGAATTGTAATCCCAGGTGTTTAGGGAGAGACCTGGTGGGAATTGGTCGGATCGTGGAGGTGGTTTCCCTCATGCTGTTCTCGTGGTAGTAAGTGAATTCTCATGAGATCTGATGGTTTTTTTTTTTTTTTTTTTGAGACGGAGTCTCGCTCTGTCGCCCAGGCTTGAGTGCAGTGGCACAATCTCAGCTCACTGCAAGCTCTGCCTCCCAGGTTCACACCATTCTCCTGCCTCAGCCTCCCGAGTAGCTGGGACTACAGGTGCCCGCCACCACGCCCAGCTAATTTTTTGTATTTTTAGTAGAGACGGGATTTCACCGCGTTAGCCAGGATGGTCTTGATCTCCTGACCTTGTGATCCGCCCGCCTCGGCCTCCCAAAGTGCTGGGATTACAGGCTTGAGCTACCGCGCCCGGCGAGATCTGATGGTTTTATAAATGTTAGTTTTTCCTGTGGTGACACACACTTGCGCTCTCTCACCTGCTGCCATGTAAAATGTGCCTCTTCCCCTTCCGCCACGATTAAGTTTCCTGAGGCCTCCCCAGCCATGCAGAACTGTGAGTCAATTAAACCTCTTTCCTTTATAAATTACCCACTCTCTGGTTGTATCTTTATAGCATTGTGAGAATGAACTAATACACAACTGCATCTTTACTTATAACTGTCCTAGGACTTTTATCATCCACAATTATTCTTTTCTGTTGATTCTTCTCAAAAAGTGACTTATAATCATCTGCAGCCCAGGGCTTCCTTCTTCAGGGGAGTTCATGAAAAGGTCTCTAGAATGCAGGTTTCTGATAACCCTAAATGTTGTGCCATGAGATTAGAGGGAAAACTTTCAGGACTCTAATTGAACGGCTGATGTGTTTATAAAGATTCCTAATAAAATATGAAGCAGAGCAGAAGTTGATTGCATGGACTGAACTAATGAATAACTGAAATAATTTTTATGGCTTTTTTCTTGTTTGAAATGTTGCTGATTCTTTTTGCTTTGTTTCTCAGAGGCTGGATCATGTTTTTCTTTTGAGCTATTTATAGACTTTAATGATTGAGTAGAGTATACTCTTGTAAACAGAAGTTGAGGCCTATTTCTCTTTCCCTCTGCCTAATATCTAGAATTTGTAAACTATTTATGAATATTATTAATTCATGGCAATGTGCTTGTTCACATATGTTTAATAAGAACCTATGGGATGCAGTTGGGGAACTGGTTTTCTTCCTAAGGCTTTAACTGAAATGGC
Source organism: Homo sapiens (assembly GCF_000001405.40). Classification (NCBI taxonomy): domain Eukaryota; kingdom Metazoa; phylum Chordata; class Mammalia; order Primates; family Hominidae; genus Homo; species Homo sapiens. Next base: position 193,888,659 of record NC_000001.11, read on the forward strand.
CTTGTGAGAGGTTCCAGCAAAGACAATTTAGGAGAACCTATATGGACAATGATTCTTGTTGCAGATTGTATAGGTAATCAGGCCAAGTATATGGGACTAAAGCTTATTTGGCAGGTGGGCTGGTCTTGTGATTTGTCTTTGGTGGCAGTAGGATACTGGAGAGAGAAAGATTGTGTTTCAAAAGGAAACTATAGTAGTAGATTAACCTTTGTTTCCTGGGTAGCCACGTGGACAGCCATGGCATGGAGCTGCCCACAACACCCCTCCTCAGCATGAAGCAGCTAAAAGATTGCCAGGTGGATTCCTCATGATTGAGGAGTTGAAAAATAGAAAGGTAGGGGTGAATTGAAACTGACCTAATTGTCCCACAGAACTTAGCTTTATAGCTTCTGTTGAATACACATAGAAATGGATTCTCCCAGTCTTGAAACTTGAGAAAGTTCCTTTGTTTTATTAAAGTTTCTTTCTCAGGAAACCAACCTTCAGGCCTTCTAGATAGTATCATGGAATTGAAGTTTACTAGGTCACTGCATCTGGACAATAAGATGCTAGACCCTTCACCCATCATGATTACCTATCTGACCACCTGCTTTGTGTTGACCAAATTATCTTTCTTACCCTTTCCTAATTCTTGTTTTTCTACATGTAGTTACATTTCTGTCATATAATGCCGTAATTTTAGTCAGTCAGGGAGATGAATTTGAGACTGAACTCCCATCTCCTGGGCTGCAGCACCTGAATAAAACCTTCCTCCCTGGCAGTACTTGTTTCAGTGATTGGCTTTCTGTGTAGCAAGCAGCAGGATCTAGACCAAATCTATGATGTTTCAGTAATAGAAAGAAAAAAAGAATTCATTTAAGTTGCAGGGACTGAAAGAGTACAATACCCTGGGATTTTGTTTTCTGGCTAGAGTTTGAAAACAGAAGCTTTATTATGTGTTCAGCAACCCTAATATAAGGGAAAGAACAAGTAGATTGGAAGCATAATTCTCCTAGAAGTTTCCTTGGACCCTGAGAAGGGCATAGATTAGACATAAACATTTCTGTGTGCCCAGTAATGAGGAAGAAGTAAGTTGGTAGAAGTAAAATGGTAGACAGATCAGATGTGAGCATGTATGCATGAGCACAGTTAGAACATCAGAGTGATGGCTCTTTTGAAGGTATCTATGAGAAGTCTAAAGGTGTGATTACACAAATGATTGCCATCTGTTAGTTCCAACACCGGATATCAAGAAAAGAGAGTATAAGTGTTATGATTGGCCACTTCGAAACAACTAAAAATGACATGAGCTCCATAGTCACTGCTACTTACCTGCATGAGTGATGGTCTGTAAACTTCACCTCTCTACTTGGAGACGAAGGAGAAAATCTTTAAATTGAGGAATGGGCTTCAAAATTAAAAAAAGTATATAATCCATTGAGACTTGGATTTTTCTTTTTAAATTCTAAATGGGCTTTTTACTTTTATATCTAAAAACACACGAATTTTTGCTGCTGAGGTGAATTTCACTTAGGAAAATAAAGACAGAATCATTCTTGAATTCTGTAAACAATCATAACTGAAAAAGGATGCCTACTACCAATATTTTTATCTTGGAAGAACTTATTGGAGTGAAGAGAAAGCAAAGAAATAAAGGAGAAAAGTGAAAGAAGCAAGCAAGCAAACAAAAGAATCCCTGCAGCTACAGATACCAAAAGAGTAATTTTTAAAAACTGCATCTGTATTAAGCTATATATCTTAACACTGTTATATTGTTATATTCTGTCTTTCCTTGCTATGTTTATAGTTTCAGTTATATGAAACTATATTTGAAACAAAATCATATACTATAATTTGTTTGTAATAAAGAGTGAAATGAGAGAATAATGTATATTTTCATTTTACATGCTCTATCAGTAATAAAACCAGGAAAGGAATGAACACATTATATGAAAGGATTTATGTGGGAAATATATTATTCTTATTTCAAAATTCTTTCAGAATTAAGCTAAATATTTTTATAGTAATAGTATTGATAATAAATCCTGTTTTTAACTTTTGTATTTATATGTATATGCTAAGTAAGCTACATGGGTTCATATATATTTTTCTCTCAGTATCTATAGACACACAAATAAGGATAATATATTTTTTAAAAGTTTATATTATAAAATATTGTATTTAAGTCTTTCCTTAATAGGCTTGGTCCAAAGTCTGCTAATATTCTCTTGAGGCTTTATTTTTTTATATCAGCTAAATAAAAATATAAAATTCATTAATACAAGGAATTAACATAATAGGCCTTTAATAAGTCTATACCAGAGTTTGAATTCGATGGTAATCATTTTTTTAATTGAAGATGAGAAATTAGCTCTTTATGTGTCCTATTATGCTGACATTTTCTTCACATGACCCTAGATTAGTTCCCTTGAAATTCCCAGCTCCTATGTTTTGCCATTATTCAGTATATGAAGCTTTAAAGCAGCTTAGTATTCTCTTAAATCATTCTGTCACTTGAGATCCACCCCTAATTCCTCACATTTTACTCATTAATGTGCAGCCTTTCTAGTGTAATAAGTCCTAGGGAAATTCACACTCAAATGTTCCCTTTTCTATGTTTCTCTCACTTATTGGAAAAGTTTTCTGAAATTTGCCATTTAAATAGGTAGCAAAATTTAAAACCAGAGCTATTGAAATGTTGACAATGACTAAAATTTGTTTAAAATACTTATATAAAAAATTCTTTTTACCTGTTTCCCAATTATAAAAAAGTGAAATGAGTATTTTTCTAACTTCAGTAAGTTCATCACACTATTACATAATTTAAATTATCAAAATCTGTCCCCACAGCACATTATCAATATTAGTATTTTTCCCTGCTAGACATTTCCCCTCTTTCTGATGACTAAGAAGAACTACATTGATTATCACAAACAAATATTTAAATATGATTTTTAATTTTTCTACCAGTACTTTTCACTTGCTTAGTGGGATCTGAACCGATTTTTTCTAACAGCAGGAATATATTTGGTCAAAATATGACCAAATACATACTTAAAACCTCAGAAGTGTAAAAAAAATAAGCTGGAGAGTTATTTGGTTGTTATGACTAGAGAAGTGGATTAGAAAAGGTTTGATTTTGTATGAGTGGTGCTATACTCTAATATCTTTCCCTAGAGATCTTCTAGCTTTGACTTGACTCTCCTCTTTACCTAGAACACTTAGGTATTTCTATGATTTTGTTGGGAGCACATCAAGGGCAAGAGATATTTTAAGCATTTCTGTGTTTGGCTCATAATGGGCGTTCCATAAATGTTGAGTGATGACTGAACAGACTCTTGAATGCAGAGAGGCTGAGTGATTACCAAAGGGTCAAGATCTAGAGGTCTCAGGATAGGTTGTTCATCTGGGATGGAGAAAGATTTGGGTCACTGAAGGCAAAGCACGTCATCATTTTGCTTGAGGTTGGTGCAGGTTTTAGAATTGAATAGTAAAAATGGGAGGATAGAAAGAGAATGTTATATATGCTTTTTACTCTGCTAGACCATTAATGAGTGGTATTTTAATTACAATTTACAACCTTATTGAATAATGATAATAATATCTAACTTACACAGGAGCAAATGAAATGACAAGACTTGACCAGAATAATATTAGTGAAAGGGTCTTTCAGACTGTGTTTATTCTTCTTTCATTAGATAGTGCTTCTGCTTGTCAGTCCACTAGCAAGTGACAAAAGACTTTACCTCGTGAAAAATTTTTAGCATCACTGCTACCAATATAATTAGTTATAGTTATATACTGCTTACTATTTGTAAACCATTTTTATAAAGCCCTAATATACATTATCTCAAATTTTGTTACAACTCTATGAGGCTCAAAGGACAATTATTTCCACTTTATATATGATACAAAATTAAGTTGTAAAATAATAAAATAATTGATAAGTTTACATGCTGATAGTAGAATGTATTGAACTCAAATTAATATTCTAGTTCTAAATCCATTGTTCCCTTAACATCATATGAAGATCCTTACAATAATTAAAGAGTACTATTAATTACATATTCTCTATTAAATATCTTCATCCTGGAAATGATCTCCTAGCATAATCTTATGCATAATTCCTGACTTTGTTTTATTCCCTCCTTATCTCCTCTTCTTCGTCCTCAGATATATTATCTATTATAGCTCAATATCTTGGCTAATATCCATTAATGGTGGCAGCTATTAGAATATTTATTAAGTTACTATTGTTTTGCTTAAATGAATATTTATGCCTTCCATTATGAAATGTCATTTTGTGAGTCTAAATAATTGCCAAAGTTTACAAAAGTGTGTACATAAATAATAAACATTATATGTTTAAGATCTAAGCTAATTGACAGAAATAAGTGACTATTTCACTAGAGACCTCTTAGGAAAAAATAATCAGAGATGACATGAACATAATTAGGGTCCAATTTGTTTCCAGTATTTATTAACCTTAAGTGCATAGGCAGTGAGGTGAGTTACTTAAATCAAAAGGAAGAAGTGAAATAAAATCATGAAAGGTTAAATGTGTAATATTCATATTTACATGTTTTATAGAGAGCCAATTATGTGTCAGGTTGTGGGGATAGGTAATCATTTAAGCTTTATAATATCTTCAAAACATAAAACAAATTTCTTTAAAATATAGATACTTTAATATTTTGCAAATAATGAAACTTAATCCCATTGAAGTGATATGACTTTCCCAAGGCCTTCTAAGTAGCAAATGGTAGAGCCACTCTCCAAACCTAGGCTTTCTGGTCAGCAAGATTATTTTCATTGTACTACATCATATTTTATCATATAATGGAAAGGCATAATAGGTGAGGTTTTTTCTTCTTAATCAACAGTTTGGTATAATTCATGAACCTGAATATTTCTCTCTTTCACTCTTTTCTTGATTATAAACTCTTGTCTGTTCTTTACTTTGTTGCATGAGAGTTAATACACCCAAATGAGGAAAAGTTTACTTTCCTTGTACCTTTAGCCATAAAGTATTCTTTGATATTTCATAAGACTACATTCTTATAAAACTAAATTATACCGAATGGAGAAAACAAATTTATTTTGTCTGTTGCAGAAGAATTTACAGTAAATAGTGATGAAATTACCACATCTGTCAACTGGCTGCTGAGTATATATGTGAGATATTGATGCCATTTTCCCTCCTAAAGTAGTATTTCCCATTGATTTATGGCTAAGTATATGACTAATAAGAAACTGCCAAATGAAAACACCTGAGCTGATAATTTAAGAAAATACTCAAAGTGAAAATAGAGTCACCAAAGCTTCACAATTAATGTAGTCATGGCTGGATAATTTTTAAGTAGCAAACACGCACACATTTTATTGTTTTACGTGAGGGGATGCAGGATATATAATACTGATTGAGCTCTGCACTAGTGAAATAGAGGCTTCTGGGAGAAAGACACATTTCACACCTCAGGGGCTTTTTGCAAACTGAAATTCATGCTTTTTTTTTTTTGTCAGAGAATTCTGGTCCTAAAGGTTTATCTTTGTCAGATATATCCCATAAATGATTTTATATCTTGATTTTTAGTTCAGCTTCCTACAGAAAAATTTAAGGAATATTTGCATCAAATTATTTATTTTCTTATTTTTATTCTTTTAACATTTAGAACAATTCTGAAGCTAATATCAAGAAACTTTTTTTTTTTTTATAAACTGAGATGAATATGCTTTTACCCACTGGTGATCAGCAAGAAAAGGCCCTCTCTTTGTAATTCTTGGCTTGAATAATTCATTTTAGTATTTCTGTTTCTATCCTTTAGGAAATATTTATAACAAGCTTGCTGCACTTAGTAGCACTTCACATAGCTAATTACTGATATTACCATAGAAGCTAAAATTAAATTTGAAGCAGTAAACAACTTCTTATACAAGTATTTTTCATATGTTAAAGAATTCTGCAAGTATTCTGAACTTGAAATCTAACCTAGGTCTTTGTAGGAGGAATGTTGGGAGAACAATACACATTTATAATTAAAGCTGGAAAAGTAGCTTAAATAAAAGGGAAAGCATTTTGAGCTCTGGTATTTATCTTGAAAATTATATTGGTTATTAGAAGTTTATTTCCTTTGAATACATTTCCATCAATGGAAAGGGCAAAGGAAGAAAAGAGCAGTGGAAAGAAGATATGTTAATGAATTAGACTTCTTAAAAAAGTGCTCACTATGTGCAAAATCATTCTGCTAATGCTTTATGAGCTGGCTCTTATCTGAACCTATTTATGAAATGATAGTAATGTGTTACATAGCAATTGAATCTCAAATTATTTTGTGGCTGAAAATATCCTTCTCCTCTCTGTTTTTGCATAGCTCCAGAGCTTTCAAACTTCAAGTGCTTAAGCTCCAACTCTTCCATTATGCATTTTGCTCCTCTCTCTCTCTCTCTCAAATCCCTGTTGAGGATCGTCTCCATGTACTGGCAGTTTCCTCCAGTCCCTGTGATCATTTCCCTGTGATCATTTGAGGTGATTTAATGACTGGACAAATAAAGATAATTATTTGATAATGTGTTATTTCTCAGATAACATTTCCAATTAAATAGTAATTTTAGTGGGAATTTTAGCAAGTGGAATTAGTGAGAAATGCTCTTGCCACTCAAAATATACTGCAGGAAGCTGACGATGTTGTATAAACAGTCTTGTAGTTTAAAAATATTAACATGTTAATCAACAATATAATAACACATAATTGGGGTAAATTTCAAAGTAAACAAGGTTCTATCATGACAAACTTTCCCCTCCTTCTAGATATCTGCTCCTGGCAATACTCTCCTTAGGCCATCTAGTCCCCTTCTGCACAGTTGATGTCCCCTGGTAATACCCACTTATTGTAGACTGCCCCATGTAGACCTTTTTTCCTCGGCTGCCTTCTTATCCTCAAGTTCACAGTCTGGTCGCTGCTGTATTCCAAGGCAGTGAAAAAAGACTTGTTGAACAGATGAAGGCTGTCATTGTTTTATACAATTGGATCAGTGTAGGTCAAAGCAAGAAAGCAAGGCTAGGTGAGATTTAGTGACTGGTAGGAAATGGTTATCATAGGAAATTATGCCTGTATGAGAGAAAGTCAAGTTCAGGTAATTCAGTATCAGTTGGATTGCTGAAAGGCAAGGAAAATATGTAAGCAAGGACATGCATAGTAATAAAGATGTCTTTTCTGTATCATTTTAATAACTTGTGATGGCATCTTTTATAGCATTTATTACACTTCAGTAGAATTACTGAATTTCTTATCTCTCTCCTTCAAGAGACACTGAATTCCTTGAGTTCATGGATTGTGCCTTTGGTCTTTGCATTCTCAGTGTTCACCATTTAATAATGTCAAGTAAATACATACATATTCAATAATTATAAGTGAATTATTGTTTTAGAAAGATTTCTCTGCCGGAGAGGTTCTTTTATTCTGTACTCTTTGAGACATTGCTTTGTCCTCTACTTGGAAACTTGACTTAGTAAGGCTTACATGTTCATAATTTATACAATCATCAATCATACTATATGTGTGTTGAGGGTGAGGGACCCTAGAGAAAAAAGTGACTCAATTCACATTTTGTAATAAGTTAAATCAGAAAAAGAAATTAGGGATTTGCCTTGAGCCTGGTTTTTCTGTTCCTCCAATAACTTTATAGTCAGGTAATATCCAGTGTTACATAACTTTCTGCTTAAAATAGTTAGAGTGAATAATTCAAAATGGAGAGTAATTATGATCTGCTGGGATTGGATTCAATAGTAAAAATTATAGTCTGCCAAAGTGACCCCTTGTATTTTCCTGCTTGTGTTCTCTACATCCTTACTCCCATTCACTTAGAATCAGATAACTCATGTCATATAAAGTACTAATTTTGTTAATTCAAATAAATCCTTTTACATTTGAGATTAGGATAATTTCTTTTATATATATATATATATATATATATTTTTTTTTTTTTTTTTTTTTTTTCTAGCAACAATGTACTGCCTGGAATATAGTGACCATAAGGGAATTGATAAGGCCTTTTAGATTATCGTCTTAACTAAAGTTAGTATTGGGTTTCAAGACATAAGAGCATAATATTTCTTATGCAATTTAAAAGTGTTACTCTAAAAGAGAGAATTTAGTCCTGGAGAAAGAAAAACTCTTCTGGAGTCAGTGCTTCTAATATTACACTATGTTGCTTAGTCACCATTCTACTTTTTTATCCTTGTGTAAGGAAAACCATACCATCACTGGCATTGTAGAGAAAAGAAACCAAAAAATAATGGCCAAGGCAGCTTTTTGAATATTTTAGAAATTAAATGATGAAGACAATAGGCAAACTATTAGTCTATTAAAATCCCTTTATAAAACTTGAACTCAGATTTTGAAAATTTTATAAAGTTGGATGTATTCGATCTACTTACCCAAAATTTAAAAACTTCACGTGAAGTTTATAACTAGAGTATGTAATTGAGTGTTTCCTGACATGTCTCCTTGAGATGCAATGTTGGATGAAGACATTTATACTGGAAATCCTACAAAGTATTTTTCTGTCCCCTAATAATACTATTGTGTTATTTACGTAAGAGCCATGATTGAGTAGGGACTAAATTTATAGTTAATATATTTGGATAGGGATACACTTTCCTAATCAATTTAAGATTCTCAGTTCCTGAAACATATAGATATGTTTTCTTATGTTTTTTGACCCATTAGGGATTTCAGCAGCAAAAAAAAAAAAATTCAGTCTCTGAAAAATATACTGTTCTTAGTTGGTGTGTAAAGTGCTACCTCTATACTCAACTCTACAAAGTGCAGGAGTAGTTTTGCCTAAAATGGAGTATAATGAAAGTTAAAGAAAATTTCAAATGAGTCTATAATTCTGCTTTTATCAGAAAAGACAAAAACTTCAGACTGTGTGTCAGGATAAAAGACAAGGGGAAACAATATGCTTTAAAAAAAGTTCAAGTCTCACTTTACAAATCACTGAATATCAGATTTTTTTCTGGGAGATGTAAAAGATATTTCATCTAAGTGCATTGCGTATTGGAGAAAGAATGAACTGAAAGAGTTTTATTCAACTTGTTACAACATATTCGTGCCCTGGGAGACTCTTCTATTTACATGAGAATGCATTAAAATATATCTGGATGGAGAGCAGAAAAATCAGAGGTAACTAAAAATCCATTTCTAGTGATTTTGGAATTCAGAAGGCTACTGTTTCTGCTTTCTCTCCCTTCTTTTCTTCCTTCACCTCCAAATCTCTTCAACATTTAATCAGGACATTCCATTTATTACAAATACTCTAGATTTGATAGTTTGTTAAAATTATATTGATTACCAAAGTATCTTTTTGTATCTTCATAAACTGGAGGTTCATTATGTCAGAAAATTGTGTCTCTCTATATAGCAATATATTATCACATGTGAAAACATGAGTTTGTAGCACAATTAATAGGTTATTTTCTTTGTTACTGCATTTTCTCATTGGTGATCTTGCTCTAAGTATTTCCCATTTAGTATTATAACTTTCCATCTTTAAAAAATAATTGTGTTGAAAGAATTCAGGTAATTTGTGCTTTAAAAAAGAATATCTTTTTAAAATGTCGTATAATAAAGCATGAAATATTAAATACCTTGTTTAATTACATTTCTAATTAAATTTCTTCAGATACTCTAAGTATCTACTATATGGCACACAATTATAAAATGTCTGTGATTAAAATAGGTTACTGTTAATGTTAAAAGGATGCCTGCCTGTTTTTTAAAAAATATATTCAATAATTTTAGCAAATGAGGTACTAAGTGGTCCAGATGTGTGTTTACATATTCCCCCACTCCCTGTCATCCCTCCATATCCATGGGCGATTGATTCCAGGACATTCCCTGTGAATACCAAAATCCATGGATGCTCAGGTCCTTTATATAAAATGACAGTATTTGCATAGGATAACATAAGCATATCCTCCATATCTTTTAAATCATTTCTAAATTACTTATAATACCTCATACAATTTAAATGCCATGTAAATATTTTATATACTGTATTATTTATTTGTATTATTTTTTATGGTTGTATTTTTAATTTTTTTCCAAATATTTTTTATGAGAAATAGATTGAATCTGCAAATGTGGAAGGTATTATTCCATTTTCATGCTGCTTATAAAGACATACCTGAGATTGGGCAATTTACAAAAGAAAGAACTTTAATGGACTTACAGTTCCATGTGACTGGGGAGGCCCCACAATCATGGTGGATGGCAAGGAGAAGCAAGTCACATCTTACATGGATGGCAGCAGGCAAAGAGAGAGAGCTAGTGCAGGGAAACTCACATTTTTAAAACCATCAGATCTAGTGAGACTTATTCACTATCATGAGAACAACATGGGGAAGACCTGCCCCCATGATTCAATTAGCTCCTACCTGCACTCTCCCACAACATGTGAAATTATGGGAGCTACAAGATGAGATTTGTGTGGGGACACAGAGCCAAACCATATCACCTAGCCTATGGATACTGAGCAGGAGGGCCAATAGGCATGTTTGTATTTTTCTGGTATTTTCTATCTTTTGTGTTTTACCCACATGTAAAGTTATTTTTTAGCCATTAATTGCCACATATTGTCTTTTTCAGGCTGGAAGCTTATCATGGGCCTGGATCTTGTGCTATTCAAATGTTTTCACCGATGCCTACAACTGTATTTGGCACATAGAAGTAAGTAAATGAATGCCAAAAGAAAGAATCAGTTTGTTCTCCTACATAGTGTAACAGATACTGGGAATTGACTTGCTTAGTGTGCATTGAGGAAAAGTAACATGACTGTGTCATATAAGTGGAAATGTGACCTTTTGGAAGCATGATGGCCATGACATTCTATTTTTGTGGGAAAGCTTTGGTAAATTTCTGTTACCCAGTCCCAAATGTTATATGTCCAGAGCAGCAGGGGTAGAACAGTGGTGTTCTGAATTGTGCTTGGACACAAGGCTAGTCAGTATTTATGGCTGTTAGTATCCAAGTTCAATTTTCTGGCCCTTTCAGAGATTCTGAAAGCTACTTGATATGTTTTCATAGACAGGTTTCTGCTTAATTAGCCCAGTTGGATTCTGTTGTTTGCAAATATGAACACTAATCAATAATCAGAAAGAGTGTAAAAATGTGATTACAGCAAATTCTCTTAATTGGAAGATGGGGAAGATGATAGAAATGTGGATGAATGAATGTGTTTTATTTTTGCATAAATTCTGACAAACAGGTTTCTGTTCTAAAGTGCAGAAATGCAGTTACTTTGTTCATTTGACATATTTTAATCACAGAATATAAATAGTAATGCCTCATATTGTCTGCATTTCTAACGTTTCTTTAGTGCTTTCACATTATTTCATTTTATAGTTATAATAGCCCTAAAAAGTAGGTATTGCCCATGACTTCCATGCTAATAAGAGGAAAATTCAGAAGTAGATGTGAATGTCTCATTTTTAATTCATGCTCTATCTGAAGGTTTTTCTCTGCATGCTTACTTAGGCTATGACTGCCATTAAATATGTGGATGGCCATATAGCGGTGATGTATACTTTTGTTTCTACATTTATTTAAGGGTCAAAAATAGTAACTGTCTGGATGTTTTCAGCTTGAATGACAGGTAGCCTCTATACATTGATTACATTATGAACTGGATATATGTCAAGTCATCTCTAAGATGTGGAAGGAGTGATAGCTTTGGACATTACTAAATCTATTTAGTTTTCAGTTTAGAAACATCTAGTAATAAAATTTTCAATTCTCAATATTATATTTCTTAAAAATTAAAAATATATTATCTAATTATTTTCATTTAGACCAATTTTATTTTAAAATGGTTAAGAGAAATGGTTTTTAAATCTTGTTGGTTCATATAGTCTCAGCAAAGGACTGAATTCATTTCCCACTAACAGTGTCCTTAAAAGAGATGATATGATGTGAAACCTCCATTAATAATATTTGCACTCATCATTGCTATGAAATCATAATAATAAAATAAATGTATGGTAATAGACTTCTGTGCTCACCAGTGCATTATGGTATTCCATGATAATTTGACAAGAGCTTTTCCTAAATTCTAAGATTTAACTTTGCAAAAATGTTTCTGTAACTTACGAATATGCTGTGTAATAAATTATAAAAAGTAGAAAATAGAATGTGAAAAGATTTTAGTTTCCAGTAATACTTAGAGGTCATATATTTTCAAAAATCACAGTGTATTTTATGCTAGTTGAGGTAATATTTGGAAAGCATGCTAGTGATTACTCTTTATTTCTCAAGATTTTACATTTAAAACCAGCTTTGATCTGAATGGCATGGATTTTTTTCCCAGAAAAAAACGCGTTTGATGGTACCGATGTCATGTGTTTAAGTTTGTAGCTTGTATTTCTGAATAATTGGTTTCTCAGGTAAGAGGCATTCAGAAACACATTAATATTCTCATGTTACTAAGATGTGAATGATGCATTGTGATGGTAATTTCACAAAAGATGTCCCAGAGTTTTCGAAGAGCTAATGCCATCCAGCTAGTAATTAATAACATCCGGAAAAATGCGTAATATTTCACTTGATTATAAAGTACTTAAAAATAAAATTACTTATGGGAAACAATATGGAAAAATGTACTGTTAATAAAAACATGCCTAAAGTTAGCAATGCTGAATTGGCATCATGTTAAAAATGTTTTTTTTTTAAATCTGTAGATATTGACACTGAGTTTTTCATTATTGATGGGAGTTTAATCTTTTTCCAGAGACTTGTTGAAACTTTTAATGGATAACAAAAGAATTATCTTTACACATGGTGGTATGTAACATAGGTGATAAAGGAGGCTTGGTGTGCTCATGGATATTGATTAGATTGGGCTATCAGTTGGGTATTTCAGAGCATTGAAAGTTGATGGTCCATTGCAAATTTTAATTTTTAAAATGTTTTGTTTTACACTGGTTGTAAATAACCGGATACAAATGTTTATATCATACCACATAAATTAAAACTTTATAGTGAGAGAAGCATTTTAAAGATGTGCAATTGTATTGGCCATTATATTGGGGATAAATCTTTATCGATCTGTGTTATTGAAATATATTAGTCCTGATGAGATTGATTTTGTTTTTTAAGGGAAGAACAACATTAAAACAAGGCAATGCTAACTGGCTCAGAGCTTGACTAGTATATAGAATACTCTGAAATGGGGATGATAATGTGAGTCATTGCTTACTCTGTTGGTTATACAGAAAAATCAAATAACAAACAAAATCAAAGAAGGCGTTTGTCCTGTAGGCATATTAATTAGGGACAGAATAGTATGAATATTTTGAGGACCATCATACATACTGGACTTACATGTTCACGTCTTCTCCCCTCATCCTATTGCATATCTAAAACACATCCATCTGCTACTTGGTTCACTGATTTCTAAAAATTAAATTTAAATGCGTATTTATTTTCTTGGTTAAAATCTTTCTTCTTCTTCCTGTGTGGATATCACTGGTGAAAACAAGCACATTTACTCTATTAGGCATTTTTACCTACACTTTCATGAATATATTAGACACCTAAGAGATGATGATGTGATGCAGGAGGCCACTGATTCTCCTGTGAAAATGGATGCTATTGGGGGAAACTATGTGAATGATTTGGGGGTTGAGGAAGAAAAACAATGAAGATGGAATATTGTGGGTGACAAGGAATTAATTCACATATCTGCCTAGGACTGAGTAGGATGGATGAATGTCTGGGTATTCATTGTAGGGTAAATGAGAAGGACATCCCACCTGATACCTCCATTAAAATGATATGTAGACTCAAAGTGCTTAATAAAACAAGACTGTAACTACAAGAAATAGTAAATGAATCAAAAGAAAAAAGTGTAAGAAAACATATTACCTTTTAAATATCTCATTAACTTATTTATTAGTTATTGGACAGTGGTAAAAGCATATAAATCAGAATTAAGATGGAAAATAAAATAGAGTAATAAGAAGTATTTCTGAATAAATAGTCAAGTATTTTATTTAATCCTTGGCTTCTCCTTTTTACTTTTATGTTCTTTTAAAATTTAAAGAGATAGTGAAAAATGAAATAATCAATATAGTTAAGATCTTTTGACTCTTTGAGGCATTTTTAAGAAAAACTTCTGATTCATCAAAACATTCTGAAAGAATGGGAGCGACAGCTCTGGTTTCTGCTTTTACACTAACTTTTAAGGAATTCATTGTAAATCTATAAGTTTGCTCAGACCCAGTTACATTTGTTGAAGGCAAATGATAATTATATTTGTTGAAGAGAAATGTTAGTTAAATATTCATTGTTGTTCACCTATTCTTTTCTTTCACAACTCCTAGATCCTTTCTAACCTTTCAACATATTCTTTCAAATTTTGTTAACTTTTAACTTTCCTTTTAATTTAAAGGTTCTGCAATAGCTTCTGCAAGATATTTCTTTGTGTGTAGGGAATGTAGGATTACAGGTTAATGTTCAGTATGGAACTTACAATTTATCATATATGATGAATTATATCAGAATTAAGATGATTGAAAATAGCATCTAAGTGGGGAGAAGCGTGACTAGATAAATAGAGAAAATTCAGTATCACTTGAGCATGTAAACTGATACTGATAGGCAGACAAACAAACTGTTGCTATGAACCTTCAGAGACACCAAGTATTCTTAAATGACAAAGACCTGTTGTTGTTTCAAATCTCTTAACCATTTTTTGAGCCATGAAAATCTAACATGATTTTGTTTTAGTGATTATTTATTTACATGTTCTTTCCTGTTAGGTTACGTGTTGAAAAATAAAAAAATATGAACATAGTAGAGTACAGTAATACGCTACATCTGGGTTTTTTGGCTGTTATGGAGATATTTCTCTTTAAGTTCTAACTCTAGATATAAAGGCATCTATTTAAAGAAGGTAACTTCTCTATATCTAACTTTAGATACAAAGGTATTCTATTTAAAGAAGAATACATGGAAGTGTGGTTACTGAGGACTAATTACCTTCAAGAATGTAGTAAGTAGTTCAAGCAAGTAATGATACCAAATAAGCAATTCTACAATTTTTGCAAGTATGATTAGCATGTGATAGGAATATACATATTTAAAGCTGACTATGTCATTCCTTTTCTCAAGCCTTTTGCTGTGATTATTTTTAATGTCACTTGAAATTCATTTGGCTTGCTCTTCTACTAGCTCAGGAAGAAGTTTGAAAATGTTTAATAAAGTTTCTTACTTTAGATGTCTCAAGAATATGTACTAATTAGATTTGTGTCATAAAAAAAGATAGCAGAAAATGTTATAACGCATCACAAAATAATTAATGCACTTTTATTATTTGAAAAACAGCATATGTCGAGATTTTAGACAATGATCTATTGGCATAAAGTAAAGGCACCCACAAAAAATGACCAGTTTATGGCCAAACTGATTGTTTTTAGGAAAGCAGATTTATCTTGTTGCTAGGTCAGAAGTGTGAATTATTCTTCCCAAGTCAGTTTTTGTCTCAGAATGTTGCAAGTGGCTGATTTTAAGAGGTTTATATATAGCTCTGGGCTGAGAGTTACATCCCAAGGATTTGGAGTTGAAATTTAAAGAGACTTGACACTGATTTCTTTAAGAGACACCATTCAATATTAGTGAGACCAGGAATCACCATTTATTAAAAGATAACCAAATTGTTGATTTTCTGTATATAACTGTGATATATAAACACTTTAGAATATCACAATGGGCCTATTTTAAAAAATAATCAGTTTTGTTTTTAAAATTTAAATTAGATTAAAGAAATATTTATTACATTCCTAGTATAGTGTAGGCACCGTGTCAAATCTTCTTTTTTATTTTTATTTAGTTTTTATTTTTATTTTTATTTTTTTTTGAGACTGAGTCTCGCTCTGTTGCCCAGGCTGCAGCGCAGTGGCGCAATCTCGGCTCACTGCAAGCTCCGCCTCCCGGGTTCACACCATTCTCCTGCCTCAGCCTCCCGAGTAGCTGGGACTACAGGCGCCCGCCACCACGCCTGGCTAGTTTTCTTGTATTTTTAGTAGAGACGGCATTTCACTGTGTTAGCCAGAATGGTTTTTCATCTCCTGACCTCGTGATCCACCCGCCTCGGCCTCCCAAAGTGCTGGGGTTACAGGCGTGAGCCACTGCGCCCGACTCCGTGTCACATCTTAAGTCAATCAAAATATTTATTAAAAGACTACGCCAGGCACGGTGGCTCATGCCTGTAAACCCAGCACTTTGGGAGGCCGAGGTGGGTGGATCACCTGAGATCAAGAGTTTGAGAGCAGTCTGGACAACATGGCGAAACCCCGGCTCTGCTAAAAATATAAAAATTAGCTGGGTGTGGTGGCACACGCCTGTAATCCTAGCTACTCGGGAGGCTGAAGCAGGAGAATCCCTTGAACCCAGGAGACAGAGGTTGCAGTGAGCCGAGATCGCACCACTGCACTCCATCCTGGGCGACAGAGGGAGACTCCATCTCAAAAAATAAACAACAGCAGCAACAACAACAGCAACAACAACAAAAACCTACTGGTTAACCGTAGGCATTGTATCCACACTGAGACTACAGCTACAACAGCAAAATTTGACAGTTTTTGAATTTATGAAGCTTAAATAAAATAAAGCAATTTGAAATTATGGTAAATAATTTAAAGCCAAACAAAAAAAATGATGAGAAAGAAAAACGAGTTTATAAGAGAAGGTTTCCTTGGGAGATGGTATTTAAACTGATATGAAATATGAGACATAGAGTCTTGAAGATGAACATTCCAGCGGGCATAGCATGCAAAACCACCTCGAGGAACTGAAACAAAGCCAGCATGGGGAGGAGATGACTGAGAAGCAGGATGGCCAGGATTGGATTTGAGAGGCAGGAAGGCAGGGAGCAGCTGCTGCAGGATTCAGACTTATTACAGGTTACAGACCTTTATATAAAATTGCCTTCTCTATATTTCCCCTTAGATATCCTCTAGGCTCCTTAAGCTCAAAATGCCTGACCCTATGCTTCTCCTTCTTTGTTCCTTATATCTGAAAATAAAATCTTGATCTACCCGGGGATGTCAGCCCAACACATTCTTGGAAGTTCTCTTTATTATATCCCCTGAGGGGATATGTTTTGTTCTTCTTTGCTAACAACTCTGGACTCTGTCCTCTACTCACCCTGCCCTCTTTCATCATATTCAGTCATGGACACCAGCAGTTGCTTAACTAGTTGTTGTGGTCACCTCACGGAGGGCAGCATCAAACACCCATTTAAAATTTGGTTTGAATGCAGACTAATGATACCATACATGCACCAAGAGGATATGAAAAGAGTTAAATAATGAGGCCTTCTAAGGAGGTCAGGGCAGCTTTCCAAGTGGGTATAAAAATGACTTGAGAAAACAGAGAAGGAAACTGTGTTATGTTGTCATGTACTTGCATGATTTGAGTTCCTTGCTGACACCAAGAGAATGAATGTGGGCCTTCTTTTCAGCTTGCCTGGATGTTAGGGAAAAGGAGATGATGGAAGGGTGGGACTTAAAAGTTGTGAGTGGCCAAACACAAAATATGGAATCAGATACTTTATTACACTAGTCTTTCTGACTCCAGTATTGATTCCCTAAATCTGTTCTCCATGCTTCAATCTGTGACTATTCTAAAATTTAGGTGATCTCATATCTTTTCTTCACTTAAAATTTCATTGTCATAAATACAAGTCCGAGTTCCTTAATGTGGCATCTGAGGTCCTTCGTTGCTTGTCTTCTCACATTTTCAAGTTTTTTCTTAATATTCCTACCTTCACATTCCATTTTCCAGCCACACTGGTTAGCTGGAGCACCATAACATGCCTTGCTCCCACACTTCTAGATTTTTGTTTGCTTTTTTCCCCAATGTCTGAAATACTGTTTTCTCCTCTACTCCCATATGTTTCTTTATTAATTTCAGTTTTATGAAGTATAATTTACATAAATAAAATTTTTACCCTTTAAAAATGTACAGTTCATTGAAGTCTGACAAATGCCTATAGTAATATAATTACTATCTCAAAGTAGAGAATGCCTCACCAACCCCAAAAAGTTCCTTTGTACCACTTTACAGTCACACTGTCCCTTTATACCCAGCCCCTACAGATCTGTTTCTTTAGTTTTGTCTTTTCATGATCTTATAAATGGAATTACAAGGTAGGTGGCACTTTGCTTCTGTTTTTTTCCACTAACATAAGACTTTGTGATATTCATCCGTATATTTGAATATATCGGTTGTTTATTTCCTTTTTATTGCTGAATTAGTATTTCATTGCATGGCCATAGCATAATTTATTTATCCATTTACCAGTTGACAGACCTATGGATTACTTCCAGTGTTGGGCAATTATAAATATATTTGCTATAAGCATTGCTATACAGGTCTTTGTGTGTGTACACAAGGGTTTATTTCTCTTAGAAAAATATGTAGGGATGAAATTTCATATTCTATGGAAACAATATGTTTAAATTTATAAGAAACTTGAAGACGGTTGTGCCATTTTGAATTCCTACCAGTAATCTATGAATCTCCACTCTCAAATACTCATCTTGGTATTTGTTAAGTTCTAAAAATTATCCATTCTAATAGGTGTACAGTTATCTCATTGCATATTTTTAAGTAATTAATGATGATGAACATCTCTTCACGTGTGTTTATTTGCCATTTATGTATCTCTGATGAAGAAACTTCCCAAATCTTTTTGACCATTTTTAAAATTGGGTTGATGGACTTTTAGTATTGAATTTAATGGTAAGAGTTCTTTATATGCTTGGAAAGGTCCTTTTGATCAGATATGTGATCAGATATGTGCTTTGCAAATATTTTCTCCCTGTCTGGGGCAGATAATAACTTTGTTTCTACCCTTCTCCCAGCAGCAGTGGTCTTTTGCCTGGATCCTCTGCCCCACCCAGCATCAGAAACCTATTGACTCTAGTCCTCTACAAAGGGCAGCAGATTATTCTCTGGGACCACAGTACATAGGTTTTCCTACCTTTCCACTAGTGGCTTATGGCTTTCGCTTATATTCAAGAAGGATCCATGAAATGTTGGGGATTATGTGGTTTTGTGCCATGGAGGTATGGGGGCATGCCAAAGTCCCCTGTCGTGCCTGATATCTTTCTCATGAGCACTAGTGAAGTGCTAAGGGGGGCTAGGGAATGAGCGCAGACAACTCATGTATCTGGGCTCCAAGAATCTAAACTCAATCTAGCCTATACTTGACATTTGTAAATTATTTAAAAATTAATATTTTTCTTCTTTCCTGTTTTCATGGAGGCTGCTTCTTCCTCTTTGACCATGCCAAAAGCAAAATAGTAAAAGAGTTCATATATCCTACCTCTGCTCAGAGCAAGATCTCATCTTAGTCCACAGTCCTACCTGCCATCTTTTGGGATTCAGTTGACAAGTTGCTTGGTGTTGCATTCTTGGTGTCATTGCCAGGTCTTTTGTTTTTGTTTTTGATGTGTTGTGACACAAGAGTCCTGTTGTTGGTAGAAGAGTGGTTAGCTGAACAGATTATGTTGCTCAGAAAATCCTATGGTTATAAGAGAGGGTAAGGATAGATCATAAAGGGAAACATGCATTGTCTTTGTCTGTATAGATATCTGTGGGTTGTTTTTTGTTTTTTTTTTTTGTTTGTTTGTTTGTCTTTTGAGACAGAGTCTCTCATTCTGTCACCTAGGCTTGAGTGCAATGGCGCGGTCTCGGCTCACTGCAACCTCTGCCTTCTGGGTTCAAGCGATTCTCCTGCCTCAGCCTCCCAAGTAGCTGGGATTACAGGTGCCCACCACCACACACAGCTAATTTTTGTATTTTCTGTAGAGATGGGGTTTCACCATGTTGGCCAGGCTGGTCTCGAACTTGTGATCTGCCCGCCTCGGCCTCCCAAAGTGCTGGGATTACAGACTTGAGCCACTGCACCTGACATCAAGATGTCTTGATGCACATTTTTATGTACTGCTAATAAAATAGTGGGATTATTTATAAGGGTCTTTGTTTAATGCCAAATCTTTATGTTAATCAGGTAAATTTAATGTTTTAAATGCTAAAAAATGTCAGACTTCAGCACTATATGATTCATTCACGTAACCAAAAACACTTGTACCCAAAAGCTATTGAAAAATAATTATTTGCAATTTACTTGCTACTCATTTAAACTCCAGTGACTGAAAGATAAGAAAAATAAAATGCCTAGTGGAACAGTTTATTCTGTGATATCTCTAGAATTTAGTAGTTATTGCACAAACCAAATAAACTTATACTGAAAATTGAATTTTCATATTACATTTATATTGCATTATATATATTGAATTTATAGTTCGTAAAGAGCATATATACGATTATAGTCATAAATTCATTAAAATGATATATTGGGTTAATTTCCCACTGAGGTCTGGTAGAAATAAATGTATTCTAAATAGTGAATCAAAAGTTTATTAAAAAATTCATCAACAATTTACTTGTTATTGTTTTCTTATGATGTGAATCTTGAATGTATCTCGAATCACTCTGCTTCTAAGAATTCAGCCAATTAGTAAAATGTCTGACAATATTGAATGGTTTTGAAGGATTTGTCTTATAAATTCTCAATCTTATACTGGAAGTTAGCCTCAAGTAAATGTAACTGTATTCACACAGATCTATTCCTTTGTTTACAAAGATATAATGACCAAATAGACTATATCAACTTAGACACAAGGAAGAAAGTCAAATTACACATAAAGAGCTACCACATTTGACTTAGAACATACATCATTAATTATTTCTGAAAATAAAAATAGCCAAAGAAGCTATATAGCACCCTAAACTGAAACGTCAGGTTGTCAGGACCCCTATGGAAACTCTCTTGTCATTCCAACAACTACCTTCTACTTATTCCAGGACCTGGTTCATCCTTTGTGGATGGGAAGTATGAGTCAGACTTGAGCAATCGACAGCTACACTTTGATGTCCCATGCCATTCTCCACCCATTCCAGCACTCCCTGACCAAAAGAACGTTCCAAAGTGGGCTTCGTTATGCCAACTCTGGTTCCCTTCAGCATCTATGATATTAAACTGTGACGTAGAGAGAAAACATTCTTTCTGAATTTAGGTGGAAACAATTTAGTTATACAAACACACAGGTCCACAAGCATGTCTGCCCCCGCTCTGCCATACAGATGCACATATCTCCAGAAGAAAAGCACTAATTGTGCATAAGCGCACAGCCTTAGTCAGAGAGCTTCAGCTGGGATATGCACAGAGCACTGCTAATAGACAAAATAATTTTGTGTGGTATGACAAACATTCTAATTTTAATAGTATATTTATTTTAGTTTGGAAATAATATAACAGGATATTTATGGTGAACATACAGAAGGATCATTGGTGGAGGGATCATTGGTGGGTGATTGAGAGAGAGCTCACAGAAAATCCACAGATACTGAGATCTTGGAGACTGAATTGGAGTGAAGGCTCTACCAGAGTGTGTAGAGGTAGCTACCATGTTATGCTAGGAGAAGACCACTATTTTAGTGGAGACAAGGATGTCTATGGACAGTAGAACTGAAGAGGCAACATCAAAGACTATGGCTATAGGTTTTAGATACATGTTAGGCAACATTTTTTCATTTGTCTGAGGGCTGAATTGAGGGACATACAATAGCTTACCACTTTTTTTTTTTTTTTTTTTGTAAAACAAGTGTTGAGATCAGATATATTCTTCTACCATTTTTGAACCCCCACCAACTCTGTTCCACAGGAAAAAGGTATTAAAGAGGTACACTGGAGCAATTCTCTATTCCAACACATTCCCTCTTTTCTGCTACAAAATAAGTGTAGGAAACAACTCATAGAAGAAGGGAAGTTCAGTGCCTCTGGGCTTTATCTTTGCACAGTGCGTTCCTATGGATCCAACCTTGTGATCTTGTCCTACTGCAGAGATCACAGGATTTGGTCTTATGAGGAGAGAGCCAGAGTGTTAGGTGTTGGAACCAATATATTTGGTTGTGCTGGAATTCCCAATGCTTACACAAAGTCTCCTTCTGGTTCCACACTCTGACAAGATGAGAGCAAAGTGCCCTGGGTGATCCCAAGACTCAGGCACTATGAATCTATACTTACATATACCATCCCCTAGTCTAAATCAGGGCTGTGTTTCTTGTCTAACCAAGAATCTCTTCTCCATACCTCACCTTGCTGCAGCATGTAGTAATGGAGTGGAGCGAGGCAGCCAAATAGAGGCCCTGCTCAGGTGGCATCTTGTAGTGTGTTTGTATGACCTGGCCAGTGAAAGGCATTCCCATTAGAAGAAGAGAGAGTCTCACTTGACCATGAACTCAGACACTCAAGAGGCTCTAGTACAGAGTTGGAAAGACTTTAGTGATTTGCTAAGTGGGGGCAATAGGAGTATGAGAAACAACTGTGGGAAGATCAGATTTGTGGCTCAAATCCAGTAATTCTTTAAGGTTAGACTGTTGGTTTAGATCAAAATTTAAAAATAAAATAATCTTAATAATATGGAACTAACTTCCATATGTTTAGTAAAAGTAAGAATATTCAAACAAATATAAATTCATTGCTGGTTATATCAGTTGCATTCTTCTTATTGGAAATCTTTTCTTTTAAGAAATTGCTTTATTACTTGGGTTTCATTTTTATTTTTTTGAAATGCAATAACATTACTTTCTTTTCAGTATATTTATATTAATGGCTATCTTCTATTTAAATGCTACCAGTTTTCCCTTTGTAATAGTAATATTTAGCTTGTCTTAAAAATAAATTTGTTCAAATATAAAATTTTAATTAAATACAAACATTAATTAAATACTAATAAAGTCAGACTAGGACATGGCAAAAATCATGAAGGTTGTTTGAGAATTATAGGCAATTTGAAAAACACTGGCTTTAGAGGGAAACAAGTTTAAATATGAGGTAGTGTGAGCAAAATTCTACACACAATTGGAAGAGCACATTACCTGGTGATGCAGGGTAGGTCATTATTAAGTGCCCATGTCTCTCTGAGTAAGACAAAGCGAGCATCCTCCCATTGAAATTTACTCAAGAAGGCAGATGTTACACACGACCACGTCTCTGTGCCTTGAGCGAAATCTCATTCTTAGTTAGGGCATCTTCAAACTATTCTTCCAAAAGGTGTTGGAGAAAGAGTCAGTCACTGGATAAATTGGGGAGTTTCTTTGAAGGAGTCTGCAATTTAAAGTGAGCAGAGTATCAACTTTGAAATTAATAGCTTTGGGCTGAATTTCAGAACTCCGGCTTTATGTCAACTGTGAGGGAACTTGGGAAAGATTAAACACTCTGCTTCATATGTATAAAATTAGAATAGTAATCCTAAAGGAAGTAAGGAATATTAAATGAGAATATGTATGTATATGCATGCGAGATATATATGTGTGTGTGTGTTTGTGTGTGTGTGTATGAAATATATTTCTTGGGGGAAAAAAAGAAAGGATTTCTTCCTCTTTTGATTAAAGGGAGCTAGATGGAGTGATCATAAGCTTTCTTTCAGTATGGAAAGTTTGACCCTACCACCCTTAAGTCTGAACATGACCTAAGAAAAAGGTGGATATGATATGATGGAAATCCTTGCTAGAGAGACACAATATGTTGAGAGCTTTTTTCGTTCCAGCCAGGTGGATTCAGGCAAGGGTAATGTAGCAATGTTGAAGGGAAGCAGGAGCCGATAAAGTGACCCACATGATATATCTTTAAGCCAAACCTCTTTGGATGAGGGATGGAAGGTGAAGATATTACATAGCTTGAGGGAAAATTGGAAAGAAAAGGATGATGACTGTACCCTATATAATACACTAGGACAAGTCCATAAACATGCCCGTTGTCATCTTGAGTTTGGTAATATAGCAGTGGTGTCTAGGTAGATGAAACTGATGAGACTGAGATGGTTTTCCTGTGACCTGCATATGTCAGACAGGAGGGGCAGAATTTCTCCATGCACCAGTGACCAGCTACTGCAGTGCTGGAGTCCGTATGAAGAGGCTGCCTTGCTTGACTTTGTGACTAAAGGCAAATGCCAGCCATTATGGGCTTGACTAGAGTGGTCTTCATTCTAGTGAATGACCTACTGTGTGACCACAGTACATTAACTGTCACCATTTCTGGAACTAGACAAGGGCAACCAATTTAACAACAGCCATTGGGATTCCAGAAGACACACAATAATTCAAAAATTCAAGACTCACTTTTTCCCATTACTCAAGGTCATGTAAGTGACCCTTCTGGCATACATTCAGATGCCATGTCTGAGAAGGTGAGGGAGAAGGAAAGCAAGTTGAAAAAAAAGTTATTTATGAAAAGAAGACTTTAAAAAAACAAGCCACTTAAAATAGCACTGAGAATTCGATGAACTTCGAGTAGACTGACTTAGAACATAGAATTTTTAAATGTGCAGATGCTGAGATACTAGTAATTGGCAAGTTTAAGTTTCTTCTCTTCCAAAGGGAAATAATTATGAGAAAAAGGATGATCAGATTATAACTGATCAGATCAGTTATGGAAAAATATAGCTGCTACATTTTCCTTGCTAATCTGAGTAATAGTTTGATTAAATTCTGTCTATGTCTCACATATATCACAATGCTAGACCTATAACAATAAGATATTAATTATTCTACTCTATACCATGCTAAAGGAATCAAATGAAGATATTCTAATAAGAAGCTAAACTACATCCACAACACAGGTCATAAAGTCATGCCATCTTATATATCTTACTTACAGCATTGGTAAGTGTGTAGGGATAAGATTGTATGAGGTGGAGAATAATAATAACATGGGTCTTAACAGTTTCTCTGTAAATTTCAGAATGCCAATGGACCTTCCATACTGACAAGCAATCCTACCATGTTTCTCTGGTTATTTCTTGGGAAAGACATAACTTCTTGTAGAAATAAAGCTGAAATGATATGAATTCTCTGCAACAATCTCTCACCCATTTGCAGAGAGCAGACCTAAAAATAGGGGTACTAGGAAAAGAATCCAAGAAAAATTGGATGCCCTGATGACAACTGTTGAGCTGCTAATAAAGCTTTGTGTAAAGCTAGCTCTGTAATGGGACTTTTCAATCATGTGAAATACTATATTTCATTTATTGATATGCTGGCTTACGTTAGGTATTCTGTCACTTTTCCTGAAGGACATCTGATAATAAAAAAAAAGATCCATGGCCAGAGCAAAGGGTACACAGTGTTGGTTAAGACACCAAAATTAAGTTTAGGTTAAATAGCATTGTCTAATATTCCCCCAAAGGATCCTATGAGGATGGAATCTTGAAGGTAGGGAAAGGAATCATAGGTGGTCTGGACATTAGTCCTGTCCTTTATCATCTCCTTCAGATTTCTGTAAGTTTTAGAGTATATTGAAATTCATAATTTTAAAAGAATAAATGAATCATATTTGAGGAAATTTATGAAAATTAAGCTGCCTGAGTTTCACTCACCTGTTGTACTTTGCCAAAAACATAAAAAACATAAACATCCCCCATTCACACTTAAATATTAATAATGTTTTAATTTACTGTTTACTTTTTATTAAAGTATGTTTTTCTTTCTTAATTCTATTATATTGAATCCTTTTATGTTTGCTTTTTTCCCTAACATGGCCTGCAAAAAGTGCTTGGCTATAAGATTTATTGTGTGTTTGTTTCAGAATCTTTTGTGACGATTTTCAAGCAATCACTCTTGAATGAAGCAGAGGATGCAGCCATATGCTGTACGTTCAGTATTTCCCCATTAAGTAAGGAAACAGAATGGCATTCTAGTGTCCTTCATTCTTTCCTCCATGTTGGCATTATGTGCTTCCATCCTAGGAGATTTAATGAGAATGCTAATTCAAGAGAATGCTTCCAATTAAGCATTTGAAAACTAAGAAAGCAATACAAGACACAAACTCTTTTGAAAGTCAACTTTTATTTCTTCACTTCTTATTTTATCCTTTTTACCATTGGCTACTTTATGAATGCCTATGGCTTTACCCATCATTGAGAAATGACATAAACTTACATCTCTACCCCAGTATTATCCTCTAAGTCTCAAATTGGTATAGTCAGCCATTAATTCTTCTCTCCTTCTAAGTGATTAAAAAGTAATCCAAACTCAGCTTGTCTCAAATTGAACATATTTTCATCCTCTTCTGTGATGGACAGGCTCCTAAGGTTTTTGTTAAATAGCTCAGGAAATTAAAAGGTATCTGTGCTGAATGCCCACCCCCCTCAATATTTAATCCATTAAAGCTCAATTTTACCACCCATGTATCTTTCAAATCTGTTTAGTTCTCTCTATTCCCATGGTAGCCACGGTTATGTTCGTAATACAAATCTAGTCATCTGACCACCATCCCCATTCCCCGCACAGCCCATGCTTAAAATATCAAATGTCATGTCACTGTTACTAGGACAAAGGTCACTAACCTTAAAATTGTCTAAAAGATAATTCATGTGTAGACCTGCCCTGTGTGATATGGTGGCTAGTAGGCATATGTGGTAATAGAATTGGGACTAGTCCAAATTGAGATTTGCTATGTGTGTATTTCAGAAACTCTGTATGAAAAAAGAAGCATATAAAATATCCTATTAATATTTTTATACTGACTATATGCCAAAATGGTAATATTGTACAAATATTGGGTTAAATAAAATAAATTCTTAAAATTAATTTAACCTGTTTCTTTTTACATTTTAATCTAGCTAATGGAAAATTTAAAATGATGTGAATTTCTGGCATGGTATTTTTATTAGACAGGGCTGGTCTAAAGTAGAATTATGCTCCCACATGCTTTCTGTTCTCCAATTTTACTGTACTTCTTTCATTGCCTATAAAGTGCTACACTTGGGCTTTTCATGTACTTTCTTTTGTCTGGAGCACTTCTTTTTCTTCAACTCTATGCAACGATCTTCCTATCACCCTGTGTACTACTTTTTCTTGAGATCTCAGTTAAGTCATCACAGACTCAGGAAAGATTCTCTTTATATCTCTGAGTAAGTTAAATTCCTGGATTATGGAACCAGGTGTTTCTCTGTCATATAGCTCACAGTAAAAATTTTATATATTTTTGCATAACTCTTTGTTAGTTTTTAGATTCTCTGTGATAGCATAGACCATCTCTGGTTTTGATCACCCTTATATGCTCAGCAACTAAAGCAGTATCTGCTATGTGCTAAGAGATTAATAAATATTTAGGAAATTTTTAAAAAATGAATGTCTGTTGACTTAAAAATATGGGAAACCATCATTATATATTCATAACCACCATTCAGTTACAGATTCTGAATGTCTCTGGCCAGACATATAATGTTGAAACTTAGAAAGAAACCTATTTGGATACTTTAGATTACTATCTAGAAAACACTCACTCCTACTTCCCTCCACACTCTCACCCTACTGTGGTCAGAACAGAGTATACTTCTGGTATCCTAGACTTGAACATCAGCACATGACTTGATTTCTTCAAAGGGAAATTAGGAGGCAAGAGAAGAAGAGACTTGAATTGTGTCTGCACAGGGGGCTCATCTTCACACCTCCACCAATACCATGTGGACGATCTTTGGAAGAAAGTTCCTGCCCCTTCAGCCTGGGCCTAATCCCCAGTGCAACTCATAGCTTCAGCCCAGTCTAGATCAGCTGAACTTGAGCAAGAATAAATTGTTGTTTTAAGGCACTGAGCTTGGAGGTGGTTGGTTACACAGCAATAGCCAATTATTACAGTTCCCATCTCAGGGCCCTAAATGTACTTTTAATAAGCAAAGATATAATATTTTGAATAGTGGAATTTTTGAAGTGGACCATTAGATTTTATACAGACCAAGACATTCTTAATGTTCCCTCAGACTGACTAAATTTTAGAATGTTTTCTTTCCAACTATAAGTCCCTGACCACTCTTTTCTTAGAGCATTTCATTCAGAAAGTTTTCTATTGTTAATACTTTCCCTACCCCTTTTACATGTAAATTTTCTCCAAATGTCTTCCCAATTTTACAACCTAGGAATGTCTTTCCCAAGGACCTTAGAACGATCCCTTTTAAATGTAATAATCAAGAAATGTAGGGCCCCTTTCTCCCAGTCTCTGTGGAAGGGCAGAATTCTGATTTTGGTAAGCATCAATTTAGCACATGTAGATAGCATCATCACTTTGACCAACTCCCCACTAATATCCTTCGGTGCTTTTCCAATAGTTCATCCCAGAAGTTAAAAACTTGCTTATCTTTTGTCTCAATAGAGTTGATAATCTCGCTCTCCTATTGCAGTAGTCTTGATCCCAACTGCAATAGTCTTGAATAAAGCCTTTCTTCCCTGTTTACATTTATCTGGTACAATTTTTCTTGAACAATGCACATAGAATTTCTTTCTAGGGAAGAAAATATAGAACAAGTAACAAGTATGTTTATGAACAATATAAACATAGGCTTCCCTGCTTTAAAGAGAATATTCATTTGTAATACATGTTATGTCCTTACTTTGATAAAGCCATATGTTTCATGAAATAATGAAAGTGGCTGATAATAACAGTAGCAGGTAAAATCTATTGCATATTTACATTAAGCACCATCTTAAGGGTTTAACAATGGGTGACTTTTAAAAACAATAAAAATATTTTGATATGGCTACTATTATGCCCATTTAATAAGTGAAGAAAATGAAGCTCTATGTGTTTAAATAGGTTCTCTTATGTCACAGTTTATACATAAGGAATTTCATATTCTGGTCCATTGCTTGTAGGGCCTACCTTGCTGACATCTCTTGCAAGCTGCATCTGTATACCTGGGTTAATCCTGTGCAATTTTGTGAACTGTTTATCACCTTCCCAAAGATACTCGAGAAGAGAATTGTGAGAAGTGCAAATGTGTTTCTTTTGACTTGTGTTAATGGAAGGCAGACTAAAAATATATTGAAACCTAATTGAAAATTTAAACTAAGTGAAAGGCAGAGAAAAGCATTTTCTCTTTACCTTGGAACAAATATCTTATTTGGCTCAAGGCCAAGCTAATAGTCCTAAGATTTATAAATGATTTTTAGATTTCAAGAGTTTCAAGAAATCTAAGAGATACATGACTCTGTCTATAGATGAGCATTTTATATATATATAGAAAGTATACAATATATTCAAAGGCTTTAAAATTCATCTAAGTGAAACCAGTTATTTAAATGTATTTTGTTCAAATAGGTGTTACACGTTACATATTGTCCATCATTTGGACACCTCTTATAAGAAGTTAAAGCCTGAAAGACACACTGAACATGGTCATTATCTCTGTGAATCACAGAATACTAGTACAATATATTCTAGGATATTAGCAATTTGGGTTTGAAATTCTTTTGGCTTAATCCTCGTGTGTCTGGAATTGGTGGGTTCTTGGTCTCACTGACTTCAAGAACGAAGCCGCGGACCCTCGCGGTGAGTGTTACAGCTCTTAAGGTGGCGCATCTGGAGTCTGTCCCTACTGATGTTCAGATGTGTTCGGAGTTTCTTCCTTCTGGTGGGTTAGTGGTCTTGCTGGGCTCAGGAGTGAAGCTGCAGATCTTTGCGGTGAGTGTTACAGCTCATAAAAGCAGCGTGGACCCAAAGAGTGAGCAGTAGCAAGATTTATTGCAAAGAGTGAAAGAACAAAGCTTCCACAGTGTGGAAGGGGACCCGAGCAGGTTGCCAATGCTGGCTCGGCAGCCTGCTTTTATTCTCTTATCTGGCCCCACCCACATCCTGCTGACTGGTAGAGCCGAGTGGCCTGTTTTGTCAGGGCACTGATTGGTGCGTTTACAATCCCTGAGCTAGATACAAAGGTTCTCCACGTCCCCATCAGATTAGTTAGATACAGAGTTTCCACACACAGGTTCTCCAAGGCCCCACCAGAGCAGCTAGATACAGAGTGTTGATTGGTGCATTCACAAACCTTGAGCTAAACACAGGGTGCTGATTGGTGTGTTTACAAACCTTGGGCTAGATACAGAGTGCCGATTGGTGTATTTACAATCCCTGAGCTAGACATAAAGGTTCTCCACGTCCCCACCAGAGCAGCTAGATACAGAGTGTCGATTGGTGCACTCACAAACCTTGAGCTAAACACAGGGTGCTGATTGGTGTATTTACAATCCCTGAGCTAGATATAAAGACTCTCCACGTCCCCACCAGACTCAGGAGCCCAGCTGGCTTCACCTAGTGGATCCCGCACCAGCGCTGCAGGTGGAACTGCCTGCCAGTCCTGCGCCGTACGCTCGCATTCCTCAGCCCTTGGGTGGTCGATGGGAGTGGACACCGCGGAGCAGGGGGTGGTGCTCATCGGGGAGGCTCGGTCCTCACAGGAGCCCATGGAGTGGGTGGGAGGCTCAGGCATAGCGGGCTGCAGGTCCTGAGCCCTGCCCCGCGGGAAGGCAGCTAAGGCCCGGAGAGAAATTGAGCGCAGCGCTGGTGGGCTGGCACTGCTGGGGGACCCAGTACACCCTCCGCAGCCACTGGCCTGGGTGCTAAGCCCCTCATTGCCCGGGGCCAGCAGGGCTGGCTGGCTGCTCCGAGTGCGGGGCCCACCAAGCCCACGGCCACCCGGAACTCCAGCTGGCCCGCAAGCGCCGCACGCAGCCCCGGTTCCCGCTCGCGCCTCTCCCTCCACACCTCCCTTCAAGCTGAGGGAGTGGGTTCCGGCCTTGGCCAGCCCAGAAAGGGGCTCCCACAGTGCAGTGGGGGGGGATGAAGGGCTCCTCAAATGCCACCAAAGTGGGAGCCCAGGCAGGGGAGGTGCCAAGAGCAAGCGAGGGCTCTGAGGACTGCCAGCACGCTGTCACCTCTCACTTGTGACATATATTTTAAGGCATTATCTCTAGTTTAATGTCATCTAAACTAAGGTTGTACATATATAGTAAATAGTGTATATTTATAGTTCCATAATATTATAATACTGAAGGATACTAAGTAACATAAATATATATGTATATATCAGTTATTTTATATATATATATATATCCTTGTTTATCTCTAAAATAAAATCCCACAGAAAGTCATCAACAAACATAGCATAAATTAAAAAGAAAATACTAAGCCCTCCACTAACTGAATGGACCCCCTCTTGACCCATGAGATCCCAGAGAAACCTTAAATGCTGAGTTCCTGGCTACGATGGGAAGGGAGGTCAGACACGTTTTGTTATACCATCTCTCTTTCGGAGTTTAGACACAACTGACCACAATTAAGGTTAAAATGTAGATAAAAGACTGACAAAACAGACTCTTTGTGGCAATAAGGTATCATATTATAAACAAAACTTAAGGCCATGCAAGGCAGGGGTAAGTCACACTTGTAGGACATCAGTCTTGCTAAATAGGTCATTTTGACCCAGTATATTGTGGCTGAATCTGACATAACATTCTTATCTCAACTTAAACATTCCTTTCTGCTGACTCCAAGTTTTAGACAGAGCCTTATTCCTTTAACCAATTACAAATGAAATAATCTCTGAATCCACCCAAAATCTGTAAGCCCTGGTTCAAGATATGTCACCTTTTCAAGCCAAACCAATGTCTAACCTCCATGTATTGATTTATGTCTTTACCTGTAACTTCTGCCTCCCTGAAATATATAAAAAACCAAACTGTAACCTGACCAACTTGGGACCACTTACACAGGCTTTTTGAGTTTGTCTTTTCTGCAGGCTGTGATCACTCAGATTGGCTCAGAATAAACCTCTTTAGAATATTTTACATAGTTTTTCCATGAACAATAAAAAGAAAAGAAGACATAATTTCTGGTGTATAAAATGAAGACAAATAGCCAAGCAAAGACTAATTTGAAACTTACAAGAGAAAAGTAGGGGGAAAAGAGAATAGCACAAACAGCATGAGCACAGTTAGGACATAACAGGTTGGGGTGGTGGGAGAAATTTTCCTGGAGTGATCTGAGTTTTAAGATTAAAGCAATGCATGTCATACTCCACACAAACATTGAAAACGTCCATTACCTGATAATTATCCAGAGAAGGGACTCTTGGTAACAGTAGGGCAGTTCTGAAGCAGATGGAACAATAAATGCAAAAGACCAGATATAGGAATGAATGGATAATTTGAGAGACAGAGAGAATAAATTAGTAAGTTAATAGGCTGGACCATAGTACACAAAAGGATAATTAGTAATAGATGAGGCTATGGAGTAATATGTGTCACATTAATAAGTGTCCTTCTAATCCTAAAGGCAATGAGAAATCTTAGGAGGGCTTTAATCAAGAAGAGAAATTAGACATATTTTAGAAAGTATATTATGGCTACAATGAACAAAAAATGTACTGGACTTCTGGCTTCCCTGTGGGATGCCGAAGGCTGAAACATATCACGATGTTAAAACAACAAGAAAAAATATCTGACGTTCTCAAGATTTATAATTTTTCTTGAGCCTATTAGAGAACTGAGATCATAGGACAACTAATTGATGTGGAATCTAAGAAAAGACAATCATTTCTAAGAAGAAAAGGGAAGCAACCACTTGTTTAACTGGGGAAGATGCTGTTGGACACTAGTAAGAAAAATTCAGCTAAACCTTTTAACAAATATTAAAAGCTGAATGGAGGCTAAGAAGAGAATATAAAAGCCCTGAGGTCAAGACACAAGGGGAATTTGCATGCAGTCAGAGGTTCTTTTTCTCAGGCCTTACAAAAAAGATTGGAAAAATTTCTGAAAAAGTTTCCTTCATGGTACAGACTAGGGGGTTGAAAAAACAGCCACTATAATAAAGGTAGGAAATCTCACCTAGATCCTTTCTACCTATCTCTCTGAAAGAAGAAAACACTGAAACTCCTGAGGGAAGGGTCAACATTATTGTCCTTAGGGCACCCCTGAAAACCATTTTCAGCTAGGTAAAGGGAAGGCTAAAAAAATCCTCTACTGCAAGAACAGTGGCAGGAAATTGTGCTGGATCTAAACCTACAGCTCTAGGTAAGGCAGGACCACTGAGCAGCCCCATTCCTAAGATCCGTGGACACAGTCCTGGGACTGAGGTTGAATTAGAAAAAGAGAGAACACTCACCTTTCTGCACCTCAGTAGGCTACAAGGTTTGTGTAACAGTTAACAGTAGTCTGCAGGACAAGTAGCAAGGAAAGAGGCAATAGTATGTGATATAGTTTGTATATTTGTCCTTGCCCAAGTCTCATGTTCAACTGTAATTCCCGCTGTTGGAGGTAAGACTGGTGGGAGGTGATTGGATCATGGGGGTGGATTTCTCATGAATGCTAAACCATTCATAGTACCATCGTTTTGGTGCTGTCCTCCCAATAGTGAGAGAATTCTCAGGAGACCTGGTCATTTAAAGATATGTGGAATCCCCCTTCCACTCTCTCTTCCTTTATCTTGCTTTTGCCATGTGACTTGCCTGCTCCCCCTTCACCTTCTACAATGATTGTAAGCTTCCTGAAGCCTCCCTAGAAGCTGAGCAGATGCCAGCATGGTGCTTCATATAAAACCTGAAGAACTGTGAGCAAATTAATCCTCTTTACTTTATAAATTACTCAGTCTCAGTTCTTTCTTTATTTCAATGCAAGAATGGCCTAATACAGTATGGAAAGTGATCCTTTCTTGGTTCATTTAGTATAAATCATAGAAATGAATCTGGAGTCTAGTTCAACTCCTACCCATTTGCAGAGTGTATATATACACACACACACACACACACACACACACACACATATAAAATGTGTGTGTGTATAAACAATTTTGTGTGTATACACAAAATGCGCATATAAAATGTGCGTGTGTGTGTGTGTGTATACACAATTTCCTCAGTTTTTCCATACCAATAGCAAACTTGCTTTCAACAACAACAAAAATAAGGCATACAGGAAATCAAGAAAAAAGACTTGTAAGAGACATGGCAAACTGAAGGAACTAGATCCAGATATAACATAGATGATGGAGTTTATCAGACAGAAAAGCTAAAATAAATATCATTAATGTGCTACATTGTCTACTGGAAAAGTGGACAATATACATGACCAGATAAGTAATTTCAGCAGACAGGTAAAAAGTATAAGGAAGGATCAAAGGAAATGCTAGAAAACCAAAAACAGATTAATAAAGCAGAACCGCTTGGAAAGGTTAATTTGTAAACTTGAAACAGTCAAGGAAGGAATCAGTGAAATTGAAGAATGATTAAAGAATTTATCCAAATTCAAATGCAAGGAGAAAATAAAAAGAGAGAAAATAGAGCATTCAAGAGGTACTGGACAATATCAAACAGTCTAACATAGGTATAAATAGAATTCCAGAAAGAAAACTGGCCAGGAAAAATATTTGAAATAATGGTTGACAAGTTTCCAGAATTGACAGCCATAAAACTATAATGGGCCAAGAAAACATAAAGCTGAATAAAAACCAAACCAAAACAGAATACAAACAAGCCCTAGATATATGATATTTAAACTTTTAAAAAATAAAGACAAAGACAAAAAATCTTAAAGCAGTCAGAAGAAAAGAACCACCATATAAACAAGGAAAAAAAGATACAAATCATAGTAGTTTTCAACAAAAACGCTTCAAGCCTGATGATAATACAGTGACATCTTTAATGTGCTGAAACAAAAAATAGTATCTGTCAACAAGAATTCCATACCAAGTGAAGATAATTTTTAATAACAAAAAAGAAATACAGATTTTTTTTAGAAAACAAAAACTGAGACAATGCATTATCAGAAGTTCTGCATTACAATAAATGTTAAAGAAAGTTCTCCAGGCAGAAAGAATACAACACCAGAGAGAAATGTGGGCCTACAAGAAGCAATGACAAGTACTGGAAATGTAATAAATAAAGATAAGTATGCATGCCTTTTCAAAGAAAATGTAACTGCTCTATAACATAACTGTGTAAACACACAGTGTCTTGTGTATTAAAAGCATATATGAAGGCAAAATGTGTTACAAAACAAGCATTAAGGATAGAAAGGAAGAATTATAAGTATAATCTTCTAAGATTATTATACTATAAGTGAAACAATATTATATTATTTGTGGTACACACTAATGAATTAAAGAAGTATATTACAAAATGTAGGGCAATCATTAAATTTTTTAAAAGCCATAAAAATTAAGCCAATACTGTAGGTAAAGCAGAATCATAAAATATATTTAATAGAAAGGAAGGAATAAAAGCATTTTTTAAAGAGAGTGAACAAACAGAAAATTAGAAAGTTTATTTAATCATTTGAAAATTACAACAAATTTATAAGGTTTAAACACATCAATTAAAGGAATTGTGAGATTGGCTAAAAAGTAAAAAAATAAAATAACCACTGTAAATATAAAGGCAGGGTTACACTAAAGATAAAAAGATGGAAAAAACATAATCAAAGCATATAGTATTCAAAAGGAAGTTGGAGAAGTTTCAATAAAATTTCACAAAGTAGATTTCAAATCAAGTAATATTGGCAAGAAAAATGAAGAATATTACATAATGACAAAAGAGTCAATTTATAAGAAGATATAAAGTCATAAATGTGTGTATACCTAACAAAAGTGCTCAAATACATTAATTGAAAACTGATAGGACTTAAAGTAGAAACAGACAAAACCAGGAGTATAGTATAGGGTTCAACATTCCTCTTTCAGTAACTGATAGAAGTAAACAAGAAATAATAATACTTGAGCACAATGAAAATTATGACTTCTGTAGGAATTTTGGTAGAAACATGCAAGTTGAATCTAGAATTTATATGGAAAGCCAAAGAAAATAAACCATCCAACACAATTTTGAAATAAAGGAATAAAGTTTGACACCTCATAGTATCTGATTTCTAACCTACTAAATCTAGAATAGTTAAGTGGTTCTGGAGACAGGGAAAATATATAGATTAATATAACAGAATTGAGTTCTGACATAGACCTACACATATGCAGTCAATTGATTTTCAATGAAGGTGCAATGACCACTCAAGGGAAAATAATTTTTTAATACATTATGCTAAAGAAATTGGGTATCCATTAAAAAACATTGTCGGCTGGGCGCGGTGGCTCATGCCTGTAATGCCAGCACTTTGGGAGGCTGAGGCGGGCAGATCACCTGAGGTTGGGAGTTTGAGACCAGCCTGACCAACATGGAGAAACCCCATCTCTACTAAAAATACAAATTAGCCAGGTGTGGTGGTGCATGCCTGTAATTCCAGCTACTTGGGAGGCTAAGGCAGGAGAATTGCTTGAACCCGGGAGGCGGAAGTTGCGGTGAGCTGAGATTGCGCCGTTGCACTCCAGCCTCGGCAACAAGAGTGAAACTCCATCTCAAACAAAAACAAAAACATTGTGACTGATATTTTGCAGCCTGATTAAGATCAATGCATCGTAGACCTAAATGTAAACCTAAAACTATAAAATTTCCAGAAAAAAACACTGGAGAAAATCTTCATGATCATGAGTTAGGAAAATATTTCTCAGACAAGGTACTAAAAGCATGATTTATAAAAGAAAAAAATGACAAATTGAACTTCATCAAATCTGAGAACTAGTTTTTGAGAGACACCATGAAGAGAATGAAAACTATGAGATAAAAATGAGAGAAAATATTTGAAAATCACATATCTGATAAAGGATTTGTGTCTAGAATATACTATTACCCAAAGTCAGTAGTTTAGGGTTCACTTTTGCTGTTGCACATTTTGTAGGTATAATAACATATATTCACCATTATAATATCATACAGAATATTTTTTTTCAGATACAGGGTCTTGCACTGTCACCCATGCTAAAGTACAGTGGCATGATCATGGCTCACTGCAGCCTCGAACTCCTGGGCTCAAGTACTTCTCTAACCTCAGCCTCCCTTCAGGCACATGCCATCATGCCTGGCTACATTTTTTTATTTATTATAAAGATGGAGTCTCACTATGTTGCCCAGACTGGTCTTGAACTCTCATACAGAGTGTTTGTTTGTTTGTTTGTTTTGAGATGGAGTCTCGCTCTGTGGCCCAGGCTGGAGTGCAGTAGTGTGATCTTGACTCACTGATATCTCTCCCTCCTGGGTCCAAGCGATTCTTGTGCCTCAGCCTCCCAAGTAGCTGGGACTACAGGCGCAGGCCACCACACCCAGCTATTTTCTTTTGTATTTTTAGTAGAGACAGGGTTTCACCATGTTGGCCAGACCGGTCTTGAACTCCTGACCTCAGGTGATCCGCCCACTGTGGCCTCCCAAAGTGCTGGGATTACACGCGTGAGTCACTGCACCCAGCACTCCATACAGAGTATTTGTAATGCCCTAAAAATCTACTATATTCTGCCTGTTCATCACTCCCTCTCCCCAATCCCTGCCAATTACTTATCTTTTTTACTTTTTCCTTTGTTTTGCCTTTTCCAAAATGTTATATATTTGAAAATGTACAGTACAATGCCTTTTCGAGTTGGCTTTTCTCACTAAGTGATATGCATTTAAGAATTCTCCATATTTTTTAATGGCTCATTTCTTTTTAGCACTGAATAATATTCCATTGTCTGGATGTACCACAGCTTACTTAACTACTTACCTGTGGAATGACATCTTGTTTGCTTCAAGGCTTTGACAATTATGAATAAAGCTGCTATAAACATCTTGTGCAAGATTTTGTGTGGACATAAATTTTCAACTCCTTTGTGTACATATCAAGGAATATAACTGCTAGATCATATGGTAATAGTAAGTTTAGTTTTGCAATAAACTGCCAAACTGCTTTCCAAAGTGGCTGTGCCTTTTGCATTCTCACCAGCAAGAAATGAGGGTCAGCATTGCTCCATGTCATTGCCAGAATTTGGTGTTTCCAGTATTCTGGATTTTGGCCATTCTAATGGATGTATGGTGGGATCCTCTATTTAATTTGCATTTCCCTTATAACATATGATTCGAGCATCTTTTTATGTGCTTACTTACCATCTGTATATCTTCTTTTGTGAGGTATCTGTTAAAGTCATTGACTCACTTTCTTAATTGGGTTGTTTGTTTTCTTATTGTTAAGCATTATATTTTCAATATGTTAAATTTTGCCTAAATGCTTCTTTCATAATATTTAAAGGTTTGTTCAGAAGGAGGTTCTGTGGAGAGAGAGAGAGAGAAAGAAAGAGAACACAAAAGAAAGATCAGTAGTATGCTTTAAAAAAATCTAATTTTTCCTAAAGCAGAGTCACAAAATAATGCTAAAAGGAAATGGGAATATGCAAAAAGTAAAAGAACTAAGAACAGCTGGTTTTTCTGTTGTTGAGACTACATGGTAAAGTTTTCCTTTTGTTTTTGGAGGGTAATATGATTAATAATATTTAAACATACTGTCACAGGATCCTTAGGGTATCACTTCCCCAGCCAGAAACCTCTGTGGCTGGCAGTTTCTGTGCTTAAGTTTTGCTTGTGCCCGCTGGGCTCATTCTACCCACTCGGCCCAACAGGCTGCACTTGGCTCATGCTACCGGCCTGGATCCCATGCCTACCAAGGGCAAGCCAGGCTTGGAGTGGCAAGGGGTGTGTGAGTGAATGAACACAAGATCTGGTCACTGGGCACAGCCAGGCACGCTGGCAGCCGTGGCAGGGCAGGCAGCTCCAGGTGCTGGCACAGATGTCGGCTCCCTCTGAGGCTATATCTGGACCAGACAAATCGCAAGTGGCTTCTGCATGTGATTGCTAAAAAGCAACTGGATGAGGGGAACATGGTGGTGCCCAAAATCTCAGAGACACCAGGAACTGCAGAGCCCCAAAAAGGGTGTTACAGCATGTCACACCCTGGCTCAGGGAGCCCTGAGTTCTGGGCTCCCAGAAGAGCCATAGCTTTTGTCTCCTTCTCATTGCCTGCAGCCAGTGACCTGGAGTTTCACGGCGCTGTGTTTCAGCCTGTTTTTGTTATAGCTCTTTCAGTCCCACCTCACCACTCTGGCCCATGGCTCCTGGGCTGGCCTGGCTCAACTACTGTTTCCCATCATGTCGGGTAGCTACCCAGCGCTGGCAGAGAACAGGAGGGATATAGTGTTATAGCCCCCTTAGCTCCCACCTGCAGCTAAGCAAGCCAGCCAGGAAAGTGTTACAACCCCTTTAGCTCCTGCCATTTGGCAGGTCCCCAGTTCTTGTCCCACGTCCAGGAAGAATGAGGCTATACAGACAACTGGTGGGTAAGCAAGTAGGAGAGGAGATTTATTTAGCTTCAGAACAGCTCTCAGTGGAGAGGAGACCCAAAGTGGATAGCTCCTATCTGTAGGCACATTGTCCTGAGGAGTGTCTGAGTCTGGCTGAATCCAGGGGTTTTTATGGACTTAGAATGGAGGAAGTGCATACTCATCGGGCAGTGGGCAGGAATGGAGAAAGCACCACTTGATTGGGCAAAAGGCAACAAGGAAGTTCTTGCTCCAGGTTGCGGACTTCACCCGGAACTGGTAGCCCGGCCCCCAGGCTTTAGGCTGTCCCTGGCTTGAAGGTGAGGTTCACAAGGGACCTGTCTCTTCCCACCTAGAAAATTGTCTGTGTCCCACTACCATCAATACCACATAAAATTTAATTGTTGAATATTCAAAACAACAATGTTGGGTTTTTGCTTAGAAGCCAATTTAAACCTAAAAAGCACAAATAGGTAGTAAAATATTGCATGCCATAACCTTAGGTGTCATATGCAAATAATCTTTTATAATTTTATTTTTTTCACCCTCCAGCAAGTAATTTTGTAATGATCTGAGGTCATTCATCCAGATACCAGGAATTGGCACTAATTTTCACATGCCTAAATATTGGAGTTAGCACAAGAATTTCTTTCTGACTTGCAATTTCACTTTTAAAATGAAACTTTTCTTCCTAAATATTTTCTTGTTTTCTTTAGGATGATTGCCATGAGGCATCATATAATTGCTTTCTTGACTCTTTAACCTTCTTTTAGAATCTAAAACCTAAAACCTGCAGAGTCCCCAGTGTACCTTTCTTACCGAAATGCTACTGCTTAGAGTGCTTTAGCAGCTGGACCTAAAACCTAATGATCAGACAAAATAAGATCACAGCCTACCTGAAGGGGCAAATAGTGAAAATTTACTAAAAAGTTTAGAGCAGAAATGAAAAGAAGTGGGGTCCACTTGGAAGAGGGCCAAGCAGGTGACTTGAGAGATTCAAGTGCATGGCATGGTTTGACCTCTGGCTTGGGGTCTTATACTTTGGCATGCTTCCTGGGTTGCGTCCCTTTTCCGCTTATTCTTCTCTTGCGGTGGGCTGTCCACATGTGGCCTGATAGCACTTGGGACGGGACACATGCACAATGTGTTTTCTGAAATTGTGCACATACTCACTTAAGGCATTTTCCCCTTAACCAGTCAAGTGTTCCCAGAGAAAGGTCATATACTATATGCCAGTTAAACTCTGCCATTTTGCCTCTTAGTGTGCATGCTTGAGACCACTTGCC
This sequence comes from Homo sapiens, assembly GCF_000001405.40. Taxonomy (NCBI): domain Eukaryota; kingdom Metazoa; phylum Chordata; class Mammalia; order Primates; family Hominidae; genus Homo; species Homo sapiens. The sequence continues at coordinate 193,929,044 of NC_000001.11, forward strand.
CAACTCCTGAGATCTTATCAGGAAGCTACTTATCACCAGTGTCAAGTGTTTTCTATCTATTGGGAGACTGCCTTTCCCTGGCACTGGCTGTGACCAGTTTTTATTTTAGAGACTGTTCTAAATAAGCCACCTGACTATCACCTCATGGTCACCTGACATTCCTGGTGGTCATAGGGCCTTCTCCTGCCCTGCTTATGTCTGAGTAACTACCTACTGTAACACTTCAGGAAAACAGAAAGACAGTAACATGTATTGTACAAACAGCATTTATGCAAGTTAAATATACACAAAAACAATACATTTTATTCCTAGATAAGATAGCTGCAAAGATAAAAATGCTACATACCGCCCTCACAATTTTCTCACAAGGAGATTTCTTGTGGGCCTCAAGCTCTTTACTCTAAAACAATTCTGTTGAATTTTACCTTGGTAGTATAAACTGATAATTTATCTTCACAAGTAAAGCCAGACAAAGGATGAACAGAATTGAGTCATCCCCCTGCTCACTTGAGACAAATGCATATTGAAATGCTTCCTCTTTCTTATTGTTTATGTAAAAATGCAGATTCACTGAGCCAGACTAAGGCATTAGTGAGTATTCTTCTACCTCCCTCTCACATGTAAATTGTGTATCCAGTAAAAAGCTGATCAAAGATTCAAAAGAATGCAACAATTTGTCTCTCATCTATCTATTACCTGGAAGCTCCCCTTTGAGTTGTTCTGCGTTTCAGACAGAACTGAAGTACATCTTACACATATTGATTGATGTCTCATGTCTCCTTAAAATGCATAAAACCAGCTATCCCATGACCACTTTGGGCACATGTCATCAAGATCTCCTGAGGCTGTGTCATGGTTGCATCCTTAGCCTTAATAAAATAAACTTTCTAAATTGATCGAGACCTGTTTTAGATGCTTTTGGTTCACAACGGGCACAGAATTAGAGAAGAAAAAAAAAAACTTGCAATTTCAAAGATATACTCTTAAGAATACTTACTGTTTTTTAAAACCACTTTGTCTTACATTTCACTGATTTCATCAGATGACTTCCATCAGCATCCATAAACTAGTGTTGAGACCATTCCAGATTAATGTTGAAGAGAAGTAAAATATTTTACCCCAAAATATATTTCTTTGAAATATTTTGAAGTAGCTGCCACTTGGCCATCCTGACAGAAGTGGCCTTGCAAAGCTGTCTTAAGTGAGGGAAATTTGCATCTGTAGAGAATCTCCATTAATGCAGCCATACCCCCTACCTCCCTTTCTATGCCTTTCCGAGGATCCAGGAGACACTGACACCTTTTAAAGTTCAAAAAGAAATATTTACCCTATATGCTCTCTCAGGGAAGCTTCACCAACATCATAAGGCTACCTTTGCTAGCCAAGCTTCTTCCTTTCTCTCTCTCTTAACCTGTCTTGCCACTAAACCTGACTTACTTGTATCTGGCCATGCTCTTGAGTCTGCATTATTTACTGTGGCCTCAGGATAATATATAAGTTTCTGTATCTCATTGGGCACTTGGGTTTTTATTCTGAGGCACCCTTGTATACATGTGAAATAAATTTGTATGTTTTTTCTCCTATCAATCAACCTGCCTCATGTCAGTGATGGTTAGCAAATCTTTAGGGGGCCAAGAGCCTATGAACCTCACAGTATAGTGGAACAAGCCAGGCGATTATCAAAACTGCTCTTCCCTTCTGGAAGGTGCAGTGAAGAGAAACCAGGAAGCTGATCTGCTGGCAAAGGGGTAAAAATTTTTTTACCTGCCAGGCTCCTGGCCTCTCTTTCTCAGTGCACTCCAGCGGAGTGGATGGTAAAAATTACTGTCTCATCTGCAAGGTTTTGATTAATGTGACAAAAGGATTTGTATGACTAATCTTGTGTCGTAGTGGCTCTGGTGTACTTTTGGTACTTTGGAATATGAATATTCATATTGTTTGGCCCCTTTTTGTCTCAGAAAAGGCCTTTTGTTGTTGCCATTTTCCTTTGTCTTTTTGTGTAATTCTGTTGTAAAGAGGAGTACCATAGGGTAGAAGATGGACCTAGAATCCCTATATGCCACTGTTCTTCTAGCCAGCCTTGCAGACTGCTCAGTTTTGGTTTTTTGTTTGTTTGTTTGTTTTGAGACAGAGTCTCACTATGTCACCAGGCTGGAGTGCAGTGGCGCGATATTGGCTCAATGCAACCTCTGCCTCCCAGGTTCAAGTGATTCTCCCACCTCAGCCTCCTGAGTAGCTGGGATTATAGGCAAGCACCACCATGCCCAGCTAATTTTTGTATTTTTAGTAGAGACCGGGTTTCACCATGTTGGCCAGGATGGTCTCGATCTCCTGACCTCATGATCCGCCTGCCTCGGCCTCCCGAAGTCCTGGGATTACAGGCATGAGCCCACATGCCCGGCCGACTGCTCATTTTGCAGTTCTTACTAGACCAATGTCTATTAAGACAAATGCTGTGGGTCCCTGACATAAAAACTAGATGAGGTTTTCCTTTCATGTTGTTTTATGTCTTGGGAGCTTGACTTTCTGACTCTGTGGGTGTACTCTTTCTTAGTCTCCACTATCCAGAGGGTGTGAATTTTTCGGTTCATGTCTGAAAGAACTGGGAGTCTGAGACACATAATATTTTAAGGAGCACACTTTTCATACTGAACATGTCAAGCTATTAGAGGAGTTTTGTTTTAAAAGGCCCGACATCTGTGGGTCTTTTTTCATCTTTTATATCTTAGGTTTATTTCTGACAATAAATTTTTGGGCATCATGGGTATGTCTCCTGTATGCCCTCTCTAGTTATATGATAAAAGCATGGAAAATTACCACTGAGGCTTTAAAAAGACTTTTGGATTAAGTCACTATTGGAATAAATTATACCATTGAAAATTCTAATTGTCAGTGGCCAAAAGGTAGATAGAAAATATTTTAGAGATCTCTTATTCTAGACAATTGATGGGAAGGTTAAATTCTTAAAAAGACGTATAATAGTGCCATGACTAGCCTTCAGAATTCTCTTGAGAAAAAAAATGTCCATGGTTAAGTCAAACCTTAGTTAAGGCATATTGGCTTCATTTGGGAGGCTATGTTTGGTAAAGAAGTTCAAAAGGCAGAAAGATCATATGCTTGTCCTTGCTAAAATCTAGTAATAAGGGATTCAAAGAATTTTTAAAGAGCTCTATAGTCAAAATATGACTTAATTAAAATGGATATTTAGGACATACATACACACACACGTGTATACACCCACACCCACACACACACATATATATCATATAAAATTACATATGACATATATAATTTTAGGCCTCTGTTCTCACTCTGTAAAAACTTCTCAGTCAACTGAACTCTGTTTAACTGTCTACTTCTGCTTGTTTCTCTTTCTACTTGCCACACTCTATGCCATATGTGGGACCTAAAAAAAAAACAAAAACATAAAACAAAAAACGAAAGGAGTTTCTAACAGCCTGAGTGAGATTCCTTGGGAAAAACAGAAAAGGTGTCAGGCCCCTATGATTGAGAGGAGCCTCTATTTTTCCTCATGGAATCCCAAGATTTGTAAGCAGACAGGTTCCACTCAGGTCTAAAAACTCCTCTCCTTTTTATTGCATTATCTAATCTTTCTGGCTTTTGAGGATATCAGAAAGTACTTTACATTATGAGAAAATTTTAGACCTTGGTATATGTAATAGCTAGGTGATAGATATACTTTCAGAGATGGCTAGTGGTAGTTGCTTACAGTAAATAATTATTACTCTAAGGGCTACTCTTTGCATGTTTTAGTCAAGAAAGTATGCAGTTTAAATACTTAGAAAAACGTCTTTGTAACAAAGTGCACTGTAAAAGCATGATGTGGTCTGGTCCTGTGGCAGTTCTCTCTCTTTGGGGACTCAAGATTCAGTGTGGGTCTTCTCTGAGCTCAGTGGTCCAATTAAAAGATAGAGGCTAAATTAAATACCTATGTAAATAAAATTGCGTTTATAAAATTCTATGGTAGACTTCTATGATTTTGTGTTGCCTTGGTATCTATTTTTAATCTTCCTCTAACACACCCAAGCTTTTTCTCTCTCTCTCTGGTTTGAGGCATAAATTTGCAACCCTGTTTTCTCCAAACCTCAGTGAGGGCATTGACCATGGCCTTGTGAGGCACATGAACTTTAACCTTTTCACAATTTAATCCAACCGTCCTTTAAACTAGTGAGTTTATCTGTCTTGTGGCTAAAACTTAAAAATCAAAACCAGAAAAGCCTTATTTTGGTGTATGTCTTTATGTATACATGAGTATATGTCTATGTACTGTATACATGGATATCAAATTGACTTACTCATAAATTAAGTAAATAAGCCAAAATGCTTTTCAAGTTCACATTATTTTATTAATTTTTGGTAAATAAAGATGGTATTTAAATTATTGGTAAGATAAAGTAGAAACAACTTCAGAATTTAGACATTTGGTCTGAATTAGTCACTGTCTCTACTAGATGTTTTAAGATATAAAACTTTGCTTCTGACACTTGCTTAACTTATGTATAAACTTATGTCCTTAGATTTGAGCCTTTAGGATACCATGAAGATTAGCTCCAGGCATTGTCTTTTGCCCTTGGCTCTGCAGCTGGTACCTAATTAAAATTGCTTCCCTCCTAAGTTTCTCACTAGGAATAGGAGTTACTTACTAACTCTTAAGTTAATATTACAATTATGTATGTAATTAAAACTCCTAGACACATACAAAGTGTATTAAAGAGGTAGGATTTGTTTTTTGGTAAGAAAATGTTAAAAGAAGATGTGGGAGTGTGGTTCTTTTTAAGAGAAAGTAATTTTATCTAGAGGTGTTTATTGTTTTAAGATAAAGAATAATAGGACAAAACTAAAGTTTCAAGCAAGTTGTAGAAGCTTTGTGGAAGATTGACCTTGTCAAAGGAATTCTGTATGTGAGCAGGCTGGTTAAAATTTAAAGAGGATTATCTAGTTTTTCTATAAATTAAACATTAAAGTAAAAAGCACACTGATGCAGGGCCATAATCTAGGCCCCTGGATTGAAATAACTGGGTTTTCTTGGAGCATTGATCTGCTGTTTTATAGAAAACTGTGAAAAGGTATAAAAGGTTTGTAGAAATCTTACAAATCTTAGAAATCAGTTGAAATCTTATGATTCAACTGATTAAAATTGAATTTATAAGGATTTATGAAAATTAGCTTTAGCATTAATAATACCTATAAAAGGTAAAATTTGGTTTTCTCTTGAATAAGGTGTAATATTGAGAGACAGTGAAAGATTTTTGTTTACTTTTTCAGTTAGCTGCAAAAGAAAAAAAAAGAGAGAAAGGGAAATGGATTTAGTTGGCCTTGTGCTGCTTTTATTTGGTCTTATTGTTTTGGAAAGTGAATCTCCTCTATACAAAAAAGTAAGGTTTTTGCTTAATTGAAATTTTTGAGTTCTCATCTTGGTTAAATGAAAGACTTATTTTATATAACCTGTTATTCTATTTTGTGATATGAAGTGTTTAAAACCATTGATATTTGAGAAACTTTCCAAAATCAAATTCTAAATTCAGTCTCTTGGACCTCATTTTTTTTTTTTAGATATAAAGTCCCCTGAAGTCCAAGAGAGACATATTGGGCTTATTTGATATGTTAAAATTAGACAGAAAGCATTTTCAAATGGGAAATGTTTAACTTTCTGTGGGTTATATATATATATATATATATATTATTTTTTTCTTTTTTTATGGAACAGTGCAACCTGACCCATCAGAGACATAAATTCCCAAGTGTTTTTAATTTGTTTTCTCCATCAGAATGGTACATGGCAGATAGTAAAATTCAGCACCAGGTTGTGGCTTTTGATGTAGAGCCAGCCACAGGCTGCGCTCCTGCCACTCTGGGTGGGCCTGGCAGCCTAGGCAGCCTAGGCAGCCTGGGGTGCGCTAGAGGCAGGCTCCATATCCACGGACTACCCAGGACATGAGGCTCCCAAGCTCCAAAAGAGATCCTAAGCCAGGGCCGGATGGGGGTTCTGGGCCCTTGGTTTCTTAAGGGGTCTCAGGGCATCTAAATCTCCTACCTCTGAGTGTCTCATTCCCTGACTTCTGCACAGGGAAATCAATGGCCCCAAGCCCCCTAGGTTAATTGAGGTGTGAGTGCTGGTAACCACCCATAACAAGGTTTGTATATTACAAAATTGCATGTGATTCCTATGACTCTGATATGCCTTAGTATGCATTATCAGTAGTAATTATAATCACTGTGTTAAATTGTTATATGCTATATAAACAACCAAATTTTCTTATCAGTTGTGTCTTTGACCATGGCCGTTCTAAGACTTCTGTCATCTACTATTGTTGTTTTACTTTGATCCTCATCAAAAGGTGGTTTATAGTCAGCTATTGGAATCTGATGGGTATGCTTGAATGCAGGTTTCCAATAACTTTGGAGATTTTGCCATTGAAATAGAGAGAAAAACTTCCCAGACTCTAATGGAGAGCTAATGTATTCATGAGGAATGCTGGCCCAGTCATGAGCAGAGCAGGAGTTAATTGCATGGACTGAACTAATAGATGACTGAAATAATCTTTCCATGACCCTTTTATTTGAAACATCGATTTTTTTTAGCTTTGTTTTTACAAATCAAGAAAACTTTTTACTTTTAAGCTATTTACAGCTTTTAACATTTGGGTAAAGTATATTCTTATGAGTAAAATTTGAAGCATATTTCTTTCTTTCTACCTGATTTCTCCAAAACTTGGAAAAACTGTTTGGTATTCTTAATTTATGGCAATGTAGTTATTTGCATAAGTTCAGTAAGAATCTGTTTCCTACTGTAACAGGTCACAATTGATGGCGCTAGTTATGTTACCAAGGCTTTGACTAGAATGGCATGTTTTCAGTATGAGGAAGCTGCTTTGAGGAATTGAAATTGACTTTATAGAGCTGATAAAATCCCATTGTTAAAACTGGCCTCATACCTTATCCTTTACTTACTCATAGCAAGTAAAGAATCTTACTTTCTGACAGGCCCAGGAGCTTCAAGTTACCTTAGGTCCTCAAAAAGAGGAATTCTCCCAATTTATGCAGATATCTGCAAGGACAGATAAATCGTTGGCTGGGCTTGAGGCTTCTAAAAGATCTAATTTTGGATTCATTATGGGAAAAAAAATGTTCCAGCAAAAGCCAATTTAAAAAAGAGCCTAGATGGCAAATAATTATTCTCGTTGCACTTTGTGCAAATAATTAGGCCAGGTATAACAGAATTAAAACTTATTTTGCAAATTGGTCCTACTATGATTTTGTGTTTAGCAAAATTGGGGAATTAGAGAAAAATTATGTTTCAAAAGAAACTATGTACACTTGTTATTAGATTCTAGTCTTGCCCATTTGTATTCAGTTTTTATTATTTTCTACAATTTGGACTGAACCCTGAATTTTTTTCCTGGGTACAAGTCTCCAAACTAATGTTTTCGATTTCTTTTCTCTCCCATTTTTCTGACTTGAAAGACCTAGAAATTAAAACTGCTTCTCTTAAAGTTCTGCAAATGTAAGCTAGATAAACTTTGGGAGAAAATAACAGAACTTATATATAAACAACCTTTTTGCCTGTCTGCTGATGTATGGGCTTCTCAGAAAGTGCACTTGAAGGCCTGGTTTGAACTACAGTCCAGAAGAATCTGTCAGATTGCCGCTGCAATCTGAAGAAGCCTCAGAGACTCTAGAAAAACTAGTGTAGAGACTGCTCCAGACATTAACTTTTGTTTATACTTCTGTCTCTATAGAAATGTGTCTTATTAGAGATATGATTGTTTGCATCATATGCAGAGGCCTAGCCCATCTGCAATGTTACCTCCTGGAATGGGACACAGCTGTTTAACTTAACTGATCTATTGTCAGGACTAAGAGATTGAGTAAAGAAGATATGGGATGATATATTTAAATTGGGTCCTTTCTATTGATCCTAATTTGTCATTCTACTCCTTTGTCTAGCTCTATCTCACATCCTGTAACCCAAATCTCTCCAAAGCTATCACCTTGGCTTTTGATAGGTTAAACTTCTTTAAAGTGTCAAAGTGAGGACTGGAGGAAATTAAAATATTTTACCCCAAAATATATTTCTTTGACATATTTTGAAGTAGCTGCCACTTGGTCATCCTATATTTCTTTGACATATTTTGAAGTAGCTGCAGCTTGGTCATCCTGATAGAAGTATAATTGCAAAGTTGTGTTAAGTGGGGGAAATTTGCATCTGTACAGACTACTAATGTAGCCATCCCCACTTTCCCTTTCTATGTCTTTCCCAGGATCCAGGAGAGATTGAGAGTCTGAGACCTTTTAAAGTCCAGGGGGGAAAACACATTTACAATTTTTTTTTTTAATTTTTTTTTTGCTTTGTGGAAGTCTTCATCTATATAACAAGGCCAACTTTGCTAGCCAAGCTTCTTCTCTCTTTCAAGCCCTCTTAACCTGTCTTGCCACTAAACCTGTCTTACCTGTTTCTGGCAATGGTCTTGAGTCTGCATTATTTACTGGGGCCTTAGGATGGTATATATGTATCTGTAATTCATTGGGAAGTTGGGTCTTCATTCTGAAGGCTCCCAAGTATACAGATTAAATAAAGCCGTATTTAATTTAATTGTCTTTTCTTCTATTAATCTGCCTCATGTCAGTGATTTTTAATGAATCATTAGGGGGTCAAGAGCCTAAGAACCCCATAATGTGTCTCCACTAAACTATGTTAAACCATTCAAAATAAATAACTGAGTGAAAAAAAGATATACACAAAATATTTTAGACTAGTTGTATAAGGGGGCAAAGGAATAAAATTGGAAATTAAAACAAAAAAATAAATTCAATGAGGGAGAATCAGCACAGCCAGTGATATAATGTACCATAAATCAAAAGGAATAAGTAATTGGATCCGTAAATTTGGTATAAAATGGACAAAGACTAGGAATTCAGAAAATCAACTTCATGAGTTATCTCTTTTTCTTCACCCTGCCCCACCCTCCCACAGAATTTTTCATTATTAAGCAAAAAACTAATTTTTGGAAGATACACCCTAGAAAATTAGCCCAAATAATAGGGCAAGAAATAAAAGGCTGGAAAGAGTTCATTAATCAAAGAATTACAAGAGAAAATGTTTCTGAGAGAACCTGTCAGAATAAAAGTTTTTATTAGTTGATAAAAGAGATTAATTCAGAAATGAACACATAAATATTCTTGCAAATGTTATGACTTCTAACATCATTTTAAAAATAATAGGAGCAGGTAGAACATGATGGCCAAATAGAAGCCTCCAGTGATTATCCTCCCTGCAGGAAAACCAAATTTGACTACTGTCTACATGAAAAAGCACCTTCATAAGGACCAAAAATTAGGTATATGTTCATATTACCTGAATTGAACTTCATATTGCTAAAAGAAGCACTAAAGAGGGTAGGAAAGACAATCTTGAATTACCAACATTACTTCCCCGTCCCTTGGCAGCAGCAGTGTGGCAAGAAGAGAGAATCTGTGCACTTGGGGAGGGGGAGAGTGCAGCAATTGTGGGAATTTGTATTGAAACTTAATGCTGACAACACTGGGCAGAACTCAGTCAAGGCCCACAGGGGGACATTTTTACCTGCCGTAGCCAGAGGGGAATCACTCATCCCAGCAGTTGGAACTTGAGTTCTGGCAAGCATCAACACCGTGGGCTAAAGTGCTCTGGAATCCTAAATAAATATGAAAAGGCTATCTGGGCCTGGCAGGAACTGCAACTTCTAGGCATGTCCTAGTGCTGTGCTGAACTTGGAGCCAGTGGACTTGGGGGGCACCTGACCTAGTGAGAAGCCAGCTGGGGCAGCTAAAGGAGGGACAGTGTCATTCCTCTCCAAACCCCAGATCCAAAAGAGAATGCTTCCCTTTGCTTGAGGGAAGGAGAGGGATGAGTAAAGAGGACTTGTTTTGCAACTTGGATACAAGCTCAACCACATTAGTATAGGGCAACAGACAGAGTTTTGAGGCTTCCATTCTAGGCCCTAGTTCACAGATGACATTTCTAAATATACCCTGGGTCAGAAAGGAACCCAATGCCTTGAAGGGAACCACCTGCTCCTGGCAGAATTCATTACCTGCTAGCTAAAGAACTCTTGGACCCTGCATAATCAGCAGTGGCAACCAGGCAGCATATGCTATGATTTTTGAGTGGGACTCTGAGATGTGCTAGCTTGAGGTGTGACACAGCATCTTCACAGCTGTGATGGATATGATAAGAGACTCCTTCAGCTTGAGGAAAGAATAAAGGAGATTTTGTCTTGCAGCTTAGGTACCAGCTATTTTACAGTAGGGAAGAGCACCAAGTGGGTTCTTGGGATCTTAGATTCTAGGCGTCGGCTCTTGGATGGCACTTCTAGACCTACACTGGGCCAGAGAGCCCAGCCCTGGAGAGTGAGTCTCAGGCCTAGCAGCATTAAAAACAAGCCAACTAAAGAGCCCTTGGGCCTTAAGTGAATATTGGTGATACCTGGCAGCACTCCTGTTGGCCTATGGTAGTGGTGGACATGGTTAGAGACTCCTCTAGCTGGGGAAAGGGGAGCAAAGAGCAGAAAGGACTTTGTCTTGTGGTTTTAGTGCCAGCTTAGCTGCAATATAATAGAACATCTAGTAAATTTCTAAGTTTTCCAGCTTTAGGCCTTGCCAACTGGGCAGCATTTCTAGACTTTCCTCGGGCCCGGTGGAACTCACTGCCCTGAAAGAAAGAACACAGGACTGGCTAGTGTCACCACCTGCTGATTGTTGAGCCCTAGGACCTTGAGCAAACATAGATGGTAGCCAGGTACTGGTTACAGCTGGCCTTGGGCAAGACCTAGTGATGTGCTGATTTCCGGTCAGACCCTGTGCAGTTCCAGTGGTGGTGGCCATAGGGGTACTTATTTCATCCCTTTTCTGGCTCCAGGCAGCTCAGTACACACACACACACACACACACACACACACACACACACACACAGAGAGACAGAGAGACAGAGAGAGAGAGAGAGAAAGAGAGAGACACTCCATTTGTTTGGGAGATAGTAAGAGAAGAGAACAAGAGTCTCTGCCTGGCAATCCAGAGAATTCTTCCAGATCTTATTCAAGACTACCAAGGTATTACCTCTACAAGTCTGCGAGAAATATGGAGTTATTGGGCTTTAGGTGCTCCCTATACAGCTGCAGTGACCAAAAATTTAGATCACAACACCCAAGTCCCTTCAAATACCTGGAAAGCCTTCAAAGAAGGATAAGTACAAACAGCTCAGACTGCAAAGACTACAGTAAATGCCTAACTCTTTAACACCTAGACACTGAAACAAATATGCAAGCATCAAGACTATCCAGGAAAACATGACCTCACCAAATGACCTAAATGAGGTGCCAGAGGTCAATCGCAGAGAGATAGAGATATGTAAACTTTTAAACAGAGAAGTCAAAAATAACTGTTTGAGAAACAAAAAAAGAAATTCAAGGCAGCACAAAGAAGGAATTGAGACTCCTATCAGATAAATTTAGCAGACATTGAAATATTTAAAAAGAATCAAGCAGAAATTCCGGAGTTGAATAATGTAATTGACATACTGAAGAATGCTTCAGAGTGTCTTAATAGCAGAATTGATTAACAGAAGAAAGAACTAGTGAGCTTGAAGACTGCCTATTTAAAAATACATAGTAAGGGAGGAAAAGAAAGAAAGACAATGAATAAAGCATGCTTACAAGATCTAGAAAATAGCCTCAAAAGGACAAATCTAAGAGTTAATGTAAATCAAAAAAGAGCAGGAGTAGCTATACTTATATCAGACAAAATAAATGTGAGGACAACAACTATAAAAAGATAAAGAATGTCATTATATAATCATAACAGGGTCAATTCAGCTGGACAATATGACAATTGTAAATATATATGCACCCAACACTGGATCACCCACATATATATATATATATACACACACACATATATATACATACACACACACACACACACACACATATATATGCACACACATATACACACACATATGTATAGGTGATAAATGAAATATAATGAAATATATATGTGTATATATGTGAGTGTGTGTGTGTGTGTGTGTGTGTGTGTGTATATATATATATATATATATATATATATATATATGTAAGGCACATATGATTAGAGCTTAGACCCCAATACAATAATAGCTGGAGACTGCAACACCCCACTTTCAGCATTGGACAGATCTTCCAGAAAAAAAATCAACAACAAAAAAATTGGACTTATTCTATACTACAGATCAAATGGACCTATTAGATATTTACAGAACATATCATATGATAGCTTCATAGTACACATTCTTTTCCTTAGCACATGGATGATTCTCATGGATAGACCATATATTAGTCCACAAAACAAGTCTTAAAACAGTCAAATAAACTGAAATAATATCAAGTATCTTCTTTGACCACAATAAAATAAAACTAGAAATCAGTAAGAGAAATTTTGGAAATTATAAAAACATGGAAATTAAACAATGTGCTCCTTAATGACTAATGGGTCCATGAGAAGATTACGAAGGAAATTGAACAATTTCTTGAAACAAATGATAATGGAAATACGATATCTTAAAACATATGGGATATAGCAAAAACAATACTAAGAGGGAAGTTTATAGCTATGAGTACCTAAATCAGAAAAGAAGAAATTCTTCAAATAAACAGCCTAACAATGCATCTTGAAGAACTAGAAAAGCAAGAGCAAACCAAACCCAAAGGTAGAAAAAGAAAATAAATAATAAAGATTAGAGCAAAAATAAATGAAATTAAAATGAAGAAAACAGGCTGGCATGGTGGCTCCTGCCTGTAATTCCAGCACTTTGAGAGGCTGAAACAGGTGGATAGCTTGAGGCCAGGAGTTCCAGACCAGCCTGGCCAACATGGCAAAAACCTATCTCTACTAAAAATACAAACATTAGAGGGGCATGGTGTGCATGCCTGTAGTCCTAACTACATTGGAAGGCTGAGACACAAGAATCACTTGAACCCGGAAGGCAGAGGTTGCATTTAGCCGAGATTGTGCCACTGTACTCCAGCCTGGGGTGACACTGGGGTGACAGAGCAAGACTCTTGCCTAGAAAAGAAAAAAGAAGAAGAAAATACACGAGTCATGAAAACTTGGTTTTTTGAAAAGATGGCCAGACTAATGAAGAAAAAGTGAGAGAAGACACAAATAAAATCAGAGATGAAAAAAGGGACATTACAGTTGATACCAAAGAAATTCTAAGGATCATTGCAGACTACTATGAACAGCTATATGCCAATATACTGGGAAACCTAGAATAAACAGACCAATTCTTAGACACATACAACCTAGCAAGATTGAACCATAAATAAATCCAAAACCTGAGCAGAGCAATTTCAAGTAATGAGATAGAAAAACATAATAAATATTCTCCCAGCAAAGAAAAGCCTGGGACCTGTTAATTTCACTGAAGAATTATACCAAACATTTAATGAAGAACTAATATCAATCCTACTCAAATTATTTTGAAAAATAGAGGAGGAGGGGATACTTCCAAACTTATTCTATGAGGCCAGTATTACCTTGATACAAAAATCAGACAACGGCAAATCCAAAAAAGAAAACTACAGGTCAATATCTGTGATTAACACTGATGCAAAAATCCTCAACAAAATACTGGTAAACCAAATTCAACAATACATTAAAAAGATCATTCATCATGACCAAGTGAGATTTATCCCAGTGATGCAAGAATGCTTCAACATATGCAAATGAATCGATGTGATACATCAGATCGACATAATGCAGGACAAAAGCCATATGACCATTTCAAATGAGGCTGAAAAAGCATTTGATAAAATTTAATATCCTTTCATTTGAAAAACCTCCAAAACTGGGTATGGAAGGAACATACCTCAACATAGTAAAAGCTATGTAAAACAGACCCACACCTAGTATTGTACTGAATGGGGTAAACTGCAAGCCTTTCTTCTAAGATCTGGAATGTGACAAGGATGCCCACTTTAACCACTGTTATTCAACATAGGACTGGCAATTCCAGAGAAAGAAAGAAAAGGCATCCAAATTGGAAAGAAAGACATCAAATTGTCCATGTTTGCAGACAATATAATCTTATATTTGGAAAAACCTAAAGACTCCATTGAAAAACTACTAGAATTGATAAACAAATTCAGTAAAGCAGCAGGATACAAAGTCAACATACAAAAATCAGTAGCTTTTTTTTTTTTTTTTTTTTTTTTGAGACAGAGTTTCACTCTTGTTGCCCAGACTGTAGTGCAATGGCTCAATTTTGGCTCATTGCAACCTCTGCCTCCTAGGTTAAAGCAATTCTCCTGCCTCAGCCTCCTGAGTAGCTGAGATTACAGACATGCGCCACCATGGCCATCTAATTTTGTATTTTTAGTAGAGATGGGGTTTCACCACGTTGTCAGGCTGGTCTCAAACTGCTGACCTCAAATGATCCACCCACCTCAGCCTCCCAAAGTGCTGGGATTACAGGTGTGAGACACTGCACCCAGCCAAAAATCAGTAGCATTTCTACATGCCAAAAGAAAACGATCTAGAAACAAAAATAAAGAAAGTAATCTCACAGTAGCTACAAATAAAATGAAATAGCTGGAATTTACTTAACCAAACAAGTGAAAGATCTCTATAATATAAACTATAAAACATTGGTGAAAGAAATTGAAGAGAAAACAGAAAATAGAAATATATTCCATGTTCATGGATTGGAAGAATCGATATTGTTAAAATGTCCATACTACCCAAAGCAATCTATAGATTCAATGCAATATCTATCAAAATCCCAATGACTTTCTTCACAGAAATAGAAAAAATAATCCTAAAATGTATATGGAATCACAAGAGATTCAAAATATCCAAAGCTATCCTGAGAAAAAAGAACCAAAGTGGAAGAATTACATTACCTGTCTTCAAATTATACTACAGAGCCACAGTAACCAAAACAGCATGACACTGGCATAAAAACAGACACAAAGACCAATGAAACAGAAGAGAGAACCCAGAAACAAGTTCATACATCTACAGGAAACTCATTTTTAGCAAAGGGGCCATAACATACTGTGGGGTAAGGACAATATCTTAAATAAATGGTGCTGAGGAAACTGGATATCCATATGCAGAAGAATGAAACTAGACCTCTATTTCTCACCATATACAAAAATTAAATCAAAATGGATGAAAGACTTAAATCTAATACCTGAAACTATGAAACTACTAAAAGTAATCACTGGAGACACACTCCAGGACATCAGTCTGGACCAAGATTTTCTTGAGTACTATCCCACAAGCCAAGGCAGCCAAAGCAAAAATGGACAAATGGCATCACATCAAGTTAAAAAGCTTCTGCACAGCAAAGGAACAATCAAATAACGAGGAGATTGAATGGGAGATAATATTTGCAAACTATCTATCTGACAAGGGATTAATAACCAGAACATATAAGGAATCCAAACAATTCTATAGGAAAAACACTGATAACCCAATTAGGAAATGGGCATACTATCTGACTAGACATTTATCAGAAGGAGATATACAAATGGCAAACAGATATATGGAATGCTGCTCAGTGTCAGGGATCATCAGAGTAATGCAAATCAAACTACAGTAAGATATTATCTCAGCCCAGTTAAAATGGCTTTTATCCAAAAGACAGACAAAAAGAATTCTGTTGAGGATTTGGAGAAAATGGAAGCCTTGTATACTGAGGGTGGGAATGCAAATTAGTACAACCACTACAGATAATGGTTTGGAGGTTCCTGAAAAAACTAAAAATGGAACTATTAATATGAACCAGCAGTCCCACTGCTTGGCATATACTCAAAGAAATCAGTATATCAAAGAGATATTAGGACTCTCATATTTATTGCAGAACTATTCACAATAGCCAAGATTTGGCAGCAACTTAAGTGTCCATCAGCAGACAAATGGATAAAGAAAATGTGGTACCTATATATGATGGAGTTCTATTCAGCCATAAAAAATAATGGGATCCTGTCATTTGCAATGACGTGGATAAAACTGGAAATCATCATCTTAAGTGAAATAAGCCAGGCACAGAAAGACAAACATCACATGTTCTCACTTATTTGTGGGAGCTAAAAATTAAAATAATTGAACTTACGTAGATAGAGAGCAGAAGGGTGGTTATGAGAGACTTGGGAGGGTAGTGGAGGTAAGAGGGGATGTGGGGATGTTAATGGGTACAAAAAATAGAATGAATAAGATCTTATATTTGATAGTATAACTGGGTGACTATAGTCAGTAATAATTGTATATTTAAAAATAGCTAAAAATTATAATTGGATTATTTGTAACACAAAGGCTAAATGCTTCAGGTGATGGGTACCCTATTTATCCTGATGTGATTTTTTTACACATTATATGCCTTATCAAAATATCCCATATACCCCATAAATATAGACACCTATTATGCACCCACATAAATCAAAAGTAAAAAAATTTAAAAATGAAACATATTACAATAGAAAATAGAATTACATCAGCTATGGGCTTTTGCTCTGAAATGTTAGAAACCAGAAGATTTTTTTCAAATTTGACAGAATTACAAAAATAAGAGTTTATATTCTTGGAATCCTATTATGAGAGAAGCAATTGTAAGACAATTTGGAAATGTAACGATTGAGTATTTTTACCAAGTATTAA
This sequence comes from Homo sapiens, assembly GCF_000001405.40. Classification (NCBI taxonomy): domain Eukaryota; kingdom Metazoa; phylum Chordata; class Mammalia; order Primates; family Hominidae; genus Homo; species Homo sapiens. Next base: position 193,945,739 of record NC_000001.11, read on the forward strand.
TATATATTTGGGGAAAAATACTCAAGTTCTGCCAAATGAAAATTGAAAAAAAAAATAGCAAAACAAATTTACTAAATAAAACAAAGCACTGGTTATTTTAAAACAGACAAAATGAGAAAATCCTTGAAATCATGACCCAGAGAAAAAGAGCAAGAGAGGGCAAAAAGTACAAAATATTAGTTGTTATATAAAAATGTAATGGTCAATGGTATGAATAGGACAGTGCGTCTTGTTGTCCTTGCTTCTAGGGATATGAGGAGGTACTAAATAAGTGAGCTTAGTCTCTCTGCCACAGAATTTAAGAACGCTCAAAGAGACATGGAAGCAGAAATAGTTTCCTTTTGGTGCCTCATTTGGAGAGTAACTCTCGACCTGCTACTGTACCAACAGTCTTCAAGTGCAGACCCCAAAGTGTATGCTTCTCACCAGAATTCTACTGCTTAGATAGCTCTAGCAGCTAGACCTTAAACCTAATAGTCAGAGAACATAAAATCACAATACACGTGAAGGGATAGCTAGAGAAAGTCCTCCTTAGACAGAGAAAGTCACTAACACTTCCAGCAGTCTTACTGGAAGGGATACAGGAGAATCAAACCTAAAAATGAAAGACAAAACACAAAAAAGCTTCCTAGAAGTAGAAAACATAATTTTCAAACTAATAACAGTGAGAATAAAAGTCACTTTTGGAACCCAAATCAGTGGCCTGGAAAATCATGTGAAAGGAGTATTTGAAACTAAGCATTAAACCTTAAAATTATGGATATCAAAAGGGAGATGTAAAGATAGGAGGAGATACCTAGTATACCTATGATATAAAAGCTGGGAGTTTTAGTGGAAAAAAATGAAACTTATGGAAAAAAGCTGTAAGTAAATATGAGAAGAATATTTATTAACATAGAATGAGACTTAAGTCTGAATACTGAAAAAGTTTATCAAGTTCATAAAAGAATTAAAGAAAAAGGTATATTCTAAAAATTCTTAAAATTTTTTCTTAATTAAAACAAAATTACCTAAATAAGTAGAGAGATTACTGTGTTCATGGATCAGAAAATTCAACATTGTTAAGAGGTAAATTCTCTCCAATTTGATCCATATAATACATGGACTCTTAATCAAAATTGCATTAGGTTTTAAAAGAAATTGGTGAACTGATTCTAATATTTATATAGAAATGAAGAAAATAATTCACAATTGTCAAAACAACTTTGAAAAAGAACAAATCTGGAGGATTAACACTATCTGAAATCAAGAATTTCTGAATAGGTACAACAATTAAGGCATTGTGGTGGGACATTGACATATACAAATAGATCGGTGGAACAGAATAGACTATACAGTACTAGCCCCACACATACATGGATAACTGATTTTCCACAGAGGTACAGAAGCAACTCAGTAAAGAAAAGAAAGTCTTTTTGACCAATGGTGCTGGAACAATTAGAAATCAATATGTAAAAAGAAAAAATTGTGTTTCATACACTATGTACAAAAAATCAATGCAAAATGGATGACACATACAAATTTAAAACCGAAAATTATGAAAATTCTGGAAGAATAGATTGTAGAAAACCTTTGTGAACTTGAATTAGATGAAGATTTGTTAGCTATAACACCAAATGAATGATATATAAAATTATGAGTTGATAAGTTAGATTTCATTAAAATTAAAAACTTATCTGTAAAGACATTGTTAAGAGAATGAAAGAAAAAACAAAGGCTGTGAGAATATATTTTTAAATCACCTATCTGATAAGGTACTTGTATCCCAAATATTTAAAAACTCGCAAAGCTCAATTAAAATAGCAAAGACTTGGAACCAACCCAAATGTCCAACAATGATAGACTGGATTAAGAAAATGTGGCACATATACACCATGGAATACTATGCAGCCATAAAAAATGATGAGTTCATGTCCTTTGTAGGGACATGGATGAAACTGGAAACCATCATTCTGAGCAAACTATCGCAAGGACAAAAAACCAAACACCGCGTGTTCTCACTCATAGGTGGGAATTGAACAATGAGAACACATGGACACAGGAAGGGGAACATCACACACCGGAGCCTGTTGTGGGATGGGGGCGGGAGGGTTAGCATTAGGACATATACATAATGTAAATGACGAGTTAATGGGTGCAGCACACCAACATGGCACATGTATACATATGTAACTAACCTGCACATTGTGCACATGTACCCTAAAACTTAAAGTGTAATAATAAAAAAAAACCAAGCAGAATGAAAAAAGAATGGATGAAAGGTTTGAATAACACAGAAGATACAGAGAAGCCAAATAAGCATATGGAAAGTTGCTCAATATCATTAGTCATTAGGGAAATGCAAATTAAAACCACAATGAGATACCACTGCACACCTATTAGAATGGCTAAAATGAAAAAGATTTTGCCAAATGTTGACAGGACTTGGAGAAAGTAGAATTCTCTTACACTGCTGATGGGGATGTAAAAGGTACAACACAGTGGTAAATAGTGGAGCGACACACCCACTTTTTAAATACTCCATTTAGGAAGCAACTTGTGTTATTTCTGCTCACCCTCTATAGGTGAAGGGTTTGAGGCTGTGAGCCTAGGGCACATTTTTTTTTTTTCTTCAGATGGAGTCTCATTCTGACACCCAGGCTGGAGTGCAGTGGCGCGGTCTCGGCTCACTGCAAGCTCCGCCTCCCGGGTTCACGCCATTCTCCTGCCTCAGCCTCCCGAGTAGCTGGGACTACAGGCGCCCGCCACCATGCCAGGCTAATTTTTTTTTTTGTATTTTTAATAGAGTCGGGGTTTCACCGTGTTAGCCAGGATGGTCTCGATCTCCTGACCTCGTGATCTGCCCATCTCGGCCTCCCAAAGTGCTGGGATTACAAGCGTGAGCCACCGCGCCGGGCCGCCTAGGGCACAAAATTTAAGAGGCACTCACTCTCAGGGTTATTTAAGTGCAGGGTCAGCATTTAAAAGACCCAGAGAAGAAGTACATCCTTAAATTTTGCTTCCTAAACCTCACACTTACCTCACCCTGGTTTCCCTGAACAGGGACATACGAGGATGCAAGAGGGGCTGGGAAACATAACTCTCAAATAAGCAGCTTTCTCTCAGTGGCAGTGCCTCATAATGGATACAAGAGCATACATTTTGATGAATGGTTTGTTATTTTTCAATAGTTTGGAAAATAATATCCCTGTTTTTCCCAACAGTTTGAGAGGTCTTTGAAGAAAATTTTATTAGTTGGGATTCTCCAGAGAAACAGAAATAATGGCGGGGGGGGGGGGTGGAGAGAGAGAGAGAGATAAGAGGGCATTTATTATGGGAATTGGCTCGTGCAACAATGGAGGCCAAAAAGTCCCAGTATACTCTGTCTGCAAACAGAGAACCAGGAAAGCCAGTGGTCTAATTCAGTCTTGAGTCCAGAGGCTTGAGAATCAGGGGGCGCTGGTGGTGTAACTCTCCATTTGAGGCCAAAGTCCTGAAAACAAACTTCGCTGGTATAAGTCCTAGAGCCTAAACCCTGAGAACCAGGAGCTCCAATATCTCAAAAAGAAGGTGGATGTCCCAGCTTAAGAAGAGGGAATGATTTGCTCTTTCTCTGCTTTTATGTCCTATCTGGGCTCAGGTACAAATTGGTGAGAGTGGATATTTACTCAGTCTACTGATTCTAATGCTAATGTCTTCTATAAATACTCTCACAGACATTCCTGGAGTGTTCTATTAGCTATCTATCTGGGTATCCCTTAGCCTAGTCAAACTGACACATAAAATGAACCATCTCAAAACAGCTGTATAGCATCCATAATGTTATCCCCAGGGCCCAGGATAGTAATCATTGAAAGAAAAAAAAAATTCCTGGGGAAAAGAAAGCGATAGTAAGAGAGGACAGTGGGGAGGAGGCTTTCATACTATCATAATATTGACAAACTGAATTGCAATGTATAAAAATTATTAATGATAAAATTAATGCAATTACATGTATAAATATACTCTTAAAATCATTTGATTCTTACAAAAATCCTGACAGGAAGAAAGAGCAAATATTTTATCATAATTTTACAAATAGGAAAATTGAGATCTAGTGAAGAATAGTCCTTTTTCTGTCAGAATCTATGACTGTTAAACATTTCTTTGATTTAATGTCTCTATATAATTATGTATTTTAGAAATTACAGTAATTTATATCTTTTACATATGATCATAGTGAAAAGTAGCCCAACTTACCTTTATACCTGGAAATACTCCGAGTTATTAAATATTTTGAATATTATCCTTTAATCATCAAATAAGTTTCATTATCATACAATTTTGGTTTTTTTTTTTGAGACAGACTCTTGCTCTGTTGCCCAGGCTGGAGTGCAATAGTGCAACCTAGGCTCACCACAGCCTCTGCCTCCCCAGTTCAAGCATTCTCCTGCCTCAGCCTCCCAAGTAACTGGGACTACAGGCACATGTCACCATGCCCCCGCTAATTTTTGTATTTTTAGTAGAGACAGGGTTTCACTATGTTGGCCAGGCTGGTCTCAAACTCCTGACCTCGTGATCCACCCACCTCAGCCTCCCAAAATGCTGGGATTACAGACATGAGCCACTGCACCTGGCCCAATTTTTTTAATAACAGATATTTATTTGTATTATCATTACATCTAGGATTTCTCCTAGTACTATATTGCTTCGATTTTCTTCAAATATTAAAAACAAGTCTAATTTTACTTGTTTGGTTATGAAATAATTTAGATAGATATAACATTTGCATAAAATTAAATTAGTTCTATCATTTAAATAATCAGCTTCTTTTAGTGTCCTATATAATGCAGAAACATATTAATTTAAAAGACAAGTGGCAGGTTCCTTAGCATCCTGTTGAATGTACCTCATCTGTTCTACACCAAAGATGATTATGAACTTTCCAAGCCTGCTATATGTCAGGACATTCCTGTGTCTCTTTTAGTCATATCAATTTTAACATAAGGCTTTCATTTGTTTGAATTTTCATGCATGTTTCCTCATGATTTAGAATAATAGGCCTACTGGAAAATTAAGTATATGTGCATATGTTATGAAAAATACATAATATAGACTTCATTATTAGAAACACACAATTTATATAAACTATGCCATGGATTATGGAGCTATAATGTAATGAATATTTATTTCTCCCCAAAATTCATATGTTGAAATATTAACCCCCAGATGATGGTATTAGGAGGTGGGGCCTTTGAGAGGTGATTGAGTTATGAGGGTGGAGCCCTCATGAATGAGATTAGTGCCCTTATAAAAGGTTCTGGAGAGATTCCCTCACCGCTTTCACCATGTGAGGACAGAGAAAAAACCACACATGTGTGTGTGTGTGTATATATATATATACACACATATATATATATATATATAGACTTCATATATATATGTGTGTGTGTATATATATAAATATATGTATTTTCCTATATATATAAATATATATATTTTCCTATATATAAATATATATATTTTCCTATATATGGGCCGTTACTAGGCGCTGAAGCTGCCAGCACCTTGATCTTGGACTTCCCAGCTTCCAGAACTCTCAGAAATAAATTTCTATTGTTTATAAGCCAGCCAGTCTATGGCAGTTTGTTACAACAGTCCAAATGGACTAAGAAATGAGCTTTTCATACGAAATCTTTTAGCAGTAATTTGAAATCATTCTAGTAACTTTTGTACACTATGGTGAATTTAATTGTCATTGTCTTCTCCAGTAATTTAATCACCAGTAGGACACAATCTTCTAAGAATCTTGATTGAAAGCCTGCCTATTTTCTTAGCTAAAATCTATTAACCAAAAAGTATTTGCAGAGTATCTTAGGAAAAGACCAACAGGAGTGTCATTTTGGAAAACACTTGGTAAAAGAAGTGATTTCATGAACACTAAATTAAAGTCTATGTACTTCTCTATATAAATAATTATTTAGAATTGAACTGCTGAAGTGAAGGGAAGAAAAATCTTGAATACATACATAATCTCTAAAATATATTCCTCTATGCAGGACATTTTCATAGAGATATTTGCGGTGACTACACATTAAAAGTGATGTGTGTGTGTGCATGTGTGTGCATGCACACATAAGTATATAATGTATAATTACATATTGGACTGTTGTATATATATATACTTGTAAGAGAAAAGATGTTTTGTTAAGCACTACTATACAGATATGTAAATAAATAAAAATATAATACTGAAAAGAAGTTTAATTTTTAAATAACAGAATGTACATATGACAAAATGGGTAATAAGAATATGAGATGGCCTAGGATAAGTGCCAAATTTGTGGTGTGGAAACAAGTTGTGCAAGAAGGAGCTTTAAGAAGGAAGGCAGCATTCCCTACAGGGCAGAGCAGTTAGAAGGTAGGCTGGGTTAGGCCCCATACAGATTTCTGCACATGGGAAATCAGAGAAGGGAAGAAGCAACACAGGGGCCACAGAGTACGTAGTTGGTAAAGAATGCCAGAGGGACGACCTCTAGCAACATCAGCAAGGCTATGTGGTAAGCAAGAGGTTTGCACAGGTTGTAAAGTGAGCTGTGACACACTGTGGTCCAGTAGGATATCATCTGAATTCAAAGGTCAGAAGATTCAATCAGCACGCTGGCAATACTGTCCTCCCATTTAGAGCTCTTTAAACATACCACTGTGGCAACAAAAAAGCCAGCATGGATTACAGCACCAATGCCAGAGTTTTCTCTGAAACACCTATGTGCTTTGTTGGTGACTGGTCTTCCCAGCTCTTGCAGTCTCCTTAGCATTGCTCTGTGCTCTAGATTTGGCATGTTTTTATAGCTCTTGCCACTATTGATGACTGACTTTAACTCCTCTACTTATTTATGTCTCCTTGCTGCATGGTCTGAGAAAGAGGAATCCTTGCTGGTCCTGGGCTCATGGCACAGACTTCTCACTCTCAGGCCCCATAGGAGGGGAATCCATAATATCAGGCACACAATGATAGTCTATTCAACATTAGGTGTCTAAAACTATAAATAATCAGGAGTAAGGAAACTATGAAATCTCTCATCAACTTTATTTTTGCCTTTATTTTTAAAAGACAAACAATGAAACAGAGAATTGTTTGCCGTTTTTTAAAAAGCAACCCAGTGCCATCCTCTGCCTATATTTTATTTTTCATTCTCTCATCTTCTGCTACTCCAAACTATGCTGCTGACAAGACTACCTACTTACCACAGCTCATGTTCTCTGCTTGCTCCCATTCCAAGCCATTTCACAAATCCTCACCTCTCTCCAAATAGCTTTCTCAATCTTCTTTCCAAAAATATGTCACTAGCTTCTCCAAGAACTTACTGACTCCTCTCCTTTCCCTGACAGTTTCTGAAAACCCTTCCAAAAAAGTTTGCCTGGCACTCCAGTCATTCCAGCAAACACTTTTACTGACACTGTGCCAGATTTCCAAAGTGTCCTCTCCTCTGCCTTCTTCTTGTCTAAAGTGTATCCATTCATCCAATTGCAATACCAGCTCACATTTATCTTCATGGACCTGACCACCCCAGCCTGAAGTTAGCACTCCCTTTCCTGAACTTTTGTAAAATTTATTGTCTGAATAATTCATCTGGCAATGAATCATATTATGCCTTGTGACATCTCTTTTATAATTGTTTGTTGCTGTTATTTAAGCTCTTTTCCCCTTCTTCACATGATTATGTGTATTGTCTTTCCTCACAAAACAGCACCTACATGTTTTATATTCTCGACTGTTCCTAGCTCACAGCACTAAAATGTAGACATTTAGTAAATATCTATTGATCCGAGTTGATTTGTATTTTATTGAAACTTGTATGAAGTCTCTCTCATTATTCTGCATTTTTACTTTTTTTTTTTTTTTTTTCAGACAGGGCTCTTGTAGCCCGGGCTGGAGTGCAGTGGTGCAATTTTGCCTCAATGCAGCCTCAGCCTCCTGGGTTCAAGCAATCCTTCCACCTTAGCCTCCCAAATAGCTGGGACTACAGGCATGTGCCACAACACCTGGCTAAGTTTTGTATTTCTGGTAGAGATGAGGTTTTGCCATGTTACCCAGGCTGGTCTTGAACTCCTGAGCTAAAGCGATCCACCTGCCTTGGCCTGCTGAAGTGCTGGGATTACAGTTCATTTTTCCATTTTATCTTATTTAAGGGGTTATAGGTGATTAGTCCAGTCCCTCAAAGACCTATTTCTGCTTCAGCCTATTTTATCTATGAGTGGAAGGATTTTGAGCAGTTAGAAGGGAGGATCAGAATGAACAGAGTCAGAATATTAATGAGAACAACGTATCTTAGTGTAGTTGAATCATAGAACATGTAAAAGGAGGTAAGAAGATAGTGATGAGGTCATTTGATTAGTAATCTAATGAAAATCTACTTAAAATGCATATACCCAAAGGTTCCAACAAAAATTTAAAAGTATTAATAATTTTAAAAATAAAGATTCTAATATTCAAAGTTGCATAGTTTCTGTCACAGTTAATAGAGTTGCAGTTTGTATAGCATGAATGAAACAAAACCAAAACCTGTCATTCTAATGTTTTTTCATATTGGTCAAGGGATTGTCAGTCATAGAAGTGTTGTAGACATGGTGAATATCAAATCTAGCATAACATCCTTGAGAATGAGATTGAGATAAATGGGGAGAACGGCTGCACAGTTAGATTGTTTCATAGCAGGTGATAAAATGTACCCAAAGTGCTTACTGATGAATCAGTGCCAGGCTGGATGAAGGATTCTGGAGATTTTATGTAAGTGTCCTTCATAGTCTTTGCACTGGTCAACATTTATTCAAGGACTTTGGCATTGTGAAAGAAGGTTTATGATCATCCAGTAGCAAGAAGAGATTGGGTTAAACAGTTGGTACCTGGGGCATAATTTACAGGAGGAAATAAGAAGATAGATGATAGATAGATAGATAGATAGAGATATGAAACCTTGCACCTAGCTTCCATTATGAATTTCACAGATATAGGCTTATTAAGGGAGGGTGTGGTGAGGCTACATATAAACAAACATAGGATTTTAGTTGACTTAAGTTCTGTACAAACTGGAGTATTATCTTGAGTTATAGGTGCTACATTTAAAATTTTTGTTTGGCTTAATTTTGTTTTAATTAGATTTTATTTAGGAGAAATCCATTAAAATATTGAAGGTACTTAAAACTAGTTGGATGGGAGATAAGAAAGGAAGTGGGGTTGTGGGTTATTAATCTTTAAAAGGAGAATACTTTGTAGGATTGAACTGGCTGCCTTCAGATATTTGAAAAATTGCCACAGCAAAGAGCAATTACATTCATTGTGCTACAGCACTGGAAGGCAGAGCAAGAATCGATGAACAGAAGTTATGAGGAGATGGATTTTGGTTAAATGTAAGGAAGAACTAACATTTAGAGCCAAAATCAGGTAAGCTAGCCACTGTTAGCTTTTATGCGCCCTGAAAAATATCATCTGGGGAATCCATTTAACAGAAACCTATTAGATTAAATAGTCCTTCAGATCCCTTTCCCATCTGAGGCTAATTCTAAGACCATTTTCATTTTCAGATGCATGTTGGATGGTATCATCTTTCAATTACTAGTCTTACTGTATGAAAATACAGAAAACCCATCACACACATAGGAAGGGTGTCTTTCCTATGTATCATGGAAGCTTCTTACAGTTGATGTGAGAAATGTACCTAATTTGAGATTTTACTTTAAAATTGCTTCTATGTCTTTCCTTGCTAAAGTATCTATTTTTAGTATTTATAATTACCTATTAAAAATATAAGGAGACTAAAATAGGAAGACCACATATCTGAATTATGTCTTCAGAAAAATTTTCTGTTAGATTATAAGGCTCTGATTTCCCAGTATTTCATTGACATCTTAATTTCACGGAATATTACTATAACTTGGCTTCTTAAATGTTAGATGTCTTTCTAAGTGCTCCTACTGTGTCTCAGGGCCTCTTTACCTCACACTATTATTTTTCTAGTAATGGTTTTATTCAGTTCTTCCCTCAATAATTTACCTTCTATATAACTACCTTGCTGATTGCCATTTAAATATTACTTCATAATAAATCACCCCAAAACGAGTGGCTTAATATGACTACTTAGTATTTCTCATGAGTCTACCAGTTGGCCAGGCTGTTCTAGTGATCAAGGTTGGTCTGAGCGAGATTCATTTATGTGTCTTTGGTCAGTTAAGGACCAGCTAGTTGACTTTGTTGATCTTGGCTGGGCTAATCACATGTAAGGTGTTTCACCTCGGCAACTATGCTGACTTGGCTATGTTCCATGTGGTCTTCCATTCTTCAGCAGGCTAATTAGGGCTCATCCTCATGGAGGTATTAGAGTTCCAATAAAGACAGTGGAAGTGTGGAATTCTGCTGTGATTTAGCTCAGAACAAGTACACTGTCACTTCCTTCGCCTTTTATTGACTACAGCAAATCAAAAGGCTAGCCCATACTCAAGGTTCCACCTCTTGAAGAATGAAACAGCAATGTTGCATTGTGAAGAGTGTAGTTATGCAAGGAGTAGAAACTTTGAGCTATATTTGCAAGCAATCTACTGTAGAGATACCTTGAGAATATGCTAAGAACTAATAATTAATAATTTAACTCTTAAATTAAAGAGTCACAGAGACAGCCAAATGCCTATCTTGAATCAAATCTGAACTTTGCAACCTGAGTCCAAGGACTTCAGTATTTTTACTTAGCCTTTTTTAACAACTCACAGCAATGGGAACATTCTGACTCTAGAAAAGTGGCATGGTTTCCTAGGAAGAGTTGGGGCTGTGGCCTCAGAGAAAAACTGATTATAACTAACTAGACATTATAGCCTATAATCTATAATTTGCACCTTTGTCATTCTCCTTTCTTTTCTTATTTCTGCTGTATGTCTGGTTTACTGAATTGAATTGTGTGGCAGGAAAACTATGATGGCCCCCATGGTTTCTGCCCCTAGGTATTCATGGTTTGTATGATTGGCTCCTCTTTGATTAACTTGCTTTTAGCCAATAGAATAGAGCAACATTGATGAATATCACTTCCATAATTGGGTTACGAAAGAGTGTGACTTCGATATTGCCAGAAGACTCGCTGTACCTTCTCAGCTTGCACACTTTGATAAAGCAAACTGATGTCTTGGAGAATTTCAGGTATCAAAGACCTAAGGACAACTTCTGGCCAACAGTCAGTAAAGAACTGAGGTCCTGAACTCAACAGCCCATTAAGAACTGAATCCTGTCAACAATCAGTTGAACTTGGAGGCAGTTTCTTCTCCAATTGACCCTTAAGATGACTACAGCTCAGCTAATATCTTGGCTGAGTGACCCTGAAACAGAGGAGCCGGTTAACCTGTGCTGAGATTCCTGACCCATAAATGCTCTGAGATAATAAATGTGTGTTTTAATCTGCTAAATTTTGGAGTTGTTATGAAGCAAAGAAATTAATACAGATTGCAAGTATTTTGTGTAAGAAAACTTTTATTTTAATGAGGAGAAGCAAGTGAGTCTGTCACTCACTTAACTTTTAAATTTTCTAAGTCTGTGGCTAAAATTTGTATAAACATACCTATTTTCTAACATTGTTGGGAAAATTAAATGAGGTAACAAATGAACTGTACTGAGTATAAAGTAGTGCAATGAATTTCATCTCCCTTTCTCTTTTTTCTTTACAATGTCTGTTTTTGTCATTTTCTTTTAACATTTCTCTTTTACATTCCATATTTTCAATATATTTGAATGATGAAATTAACTAAAAAAATACTAAAAATGCAAGTAAAGGGTTATGAAGTAAATGACTTCTTTTTTGCCTGAGTAATTTTTTGAAGGATGGCAAATATTTGTCTTCCCTTAGCACACCCCATAGGAAAGTATCAGCATACATGCTTTTGCTTCAGGCTCGACTTTCTAGAGCTCACCGGAAAACCTGCTGTTCATTCCAAGGGATGAACATTGGTAGAGACAAGCAAGGACGAAGAATTGATTTGTTAGCTCCTGCTCCTACTGGTCTAGGTTTTGCCCTGTGGCGCATTAACTTATGCACCCCTTGGCTTGCAAGACATGTGTGGTACCATGGGAATTGTATTGCTTCTGAGGCTAGGAACCAACAGGGAAAACCTCAGGGCAGCAGGTGAAAGATGAGAGGCCTGGGCATGAGATCAGGCAGTCTTAGATTATATCTATATAAAGGAAGACTGAAGCAATGCCAGACGAGATTGCCTCATATGCACCTTGGATTCGAAACAGAGACAGGAGAGCTGAGAAGACCCAGAGTATCACAATGCACATTTAGGTAAAGAGGAGTGAACAGAGTTTAGGAGGAGAATTTCCCTGAAAAGGATATTCAGGCACTCCAGTCGCATATGAGAGGAGACAAGGTTGAATTGTGTAATAACTGTGAAGACAAAGATAGGATTCTGCTAGAGATTAGGTAAAAAGTGAACAATAAAATGCCATCCCCATCAAGCTACCAATGACTTTCTTCACAGAATTGGAAAGAAACTACTTTAAAGTTCATATGGAACCAAAAAAGAGCCCGCATTGCCAAGTCAATCCTAAGCCAAAAGAACAAAGCTGGAGGCATCACGCTACCTGACTTCAAACTCTACTACAAGGCTATAGTAACCAAAACAGCATGGTACTGGTACCAAAACAGAGATATAGACCAATGGAACAGAACAGAGCCCTCAGAAATAATGCTGCATATCTACAACCATCTGATATTTGACAAACCTGACAAAAACAAGCAATGGGGAAAGGATTCCCTCTTTAATACATGGTGCTGGGAAAACTGGCTACCCATATGTAGAAAGCTGAAACTGGATCCCTTCCTTACACCTTATACAAAAATTAATTCAAGATGGATTAAAGACTTAAATGTTAGACCTGAAACCATAAAAACCCTAGAAGAAAACCTAGGCATTACCATTCAGGACATAGGCATGGGCAAGGACTTCATGTCTAAAACACCAAAAGCAATGGCAACAAAAGCCAAAATTGACAAATGGGATCTAATAAAACTAAAGAGCTTCTGCACAACAAAAGAAACTACCATCAGAGTGAACAGGCAACCTACATAATCGGAGAAAATTGTTGCAATCTACTCATCTGACAAAGGGCTAATATCCAGAAGCTACAATGAACTCCAACAAATTTACAAGAAAAAAACAACCCCATCAAAAAGTGGGCGAAGGATATGAACAGACACTTCTCAAAAGAAGACATTTATGCAGCCAAAAGACGCATGAAAAAATGCTCATCATCACTGGCCATCAGAGAAATGCAAACCAAAACCACAATGAGATACCATCTCACATCAGTTAGAATGGCAATCATTAAAAAGTCTGGAAACAACAGGTGCTGGAGAGGATGTGGAGAAATAGGAACACTTTTACACTGTTGGTGGGACTGTAAACTAGTTCAACCATTGTGGAAGTCAGTGTGGCGATTCCTCAGGGATCTAGAACTAGAAATACCATTTGACCCAGCCATCCCATTACTGGGTATATACCCAAAGGACTATAAATCATGCTGCTATAAAGACACATGCACATGACTGTTTATTGTGGCACTATTCACATTAGCAAAGACTTGGAACCAAGCCAGATGTCCAACAATGATTGACTGGATTAAGAAAATGTGGCACATATACACCATGGAATACTATGCAGTCATAAAGAATGATGAGTTCATGTCCTTTGTAGGGACATGGATGAAGCTGGAAACCATCATTCTCAGCAAACTATCTCAAGGACAAAAAACCAATCACAGCATTTTCTCACTCATAGGTGGGAATTGAACAATGAGAACACAAGGACACAGGAAGGGGAACATCACACACCAGGGCCTGTTGTAGGGTGAGGGGGCGGGGGGAGGGATAGCATTAGGAGATATACCTAATGTTAAATGACGAGTTAATGGGTGCAGCACACCACCATGGCACATGTATACATATGTAACAGACCTGCACGTTGTGCACATGTACCCTAAATCTTAAAGTATAATAAAAAAAGATTAAGCATTATATAACTATGAATCCAATTATGAGATACCTGTGTAATGTGGAAATTAAAATTATAAAATATCCATCATTTATTAATTGCTAAAAAAAAGAAAAATAAGTTGATATCAATCATCACTAAGATTGGGGATAAAGCAATATAAGAGGTACAAACACATACCCTAAAAAGTGCAGAAACACTTTGCATGTGGGGGAGGAAAACATCTTGGAAGAGGAGGAAAATTTGACACAAATCTGGAAAATAATACAAAATTAAATATACATAGCCTTCTCAGTTAAAATTAATGAGGGGCATAACTGCTGCTAATATCTGAAGGGTGTTAACAGGAAGAAGAGAGCATAATTACTTAGCACCATACCAGTAAACATAATTAGGAATAATGGTATGCAATTAAGAAAAGAAAAATTTAGTCACTACATCATGAAAGTTCCTCTGTGCTGGCGACATCTATTAAACTATGGCATCGTTTTCCAAAGCAATAGGGAGGAGTGCTGTTCCCTGAAGCACACACTATAAATGACACTAGACTGCAAAAGGAACACCTCATAGTGTCAATAGAAAAAAGGGCTGTAGAAGTCTGAATAGATCTGTTTCACTGATTTTTTGTTTCTTTGAATTGGGGTCTTGGAGAAGAAAATAAAGTACTAGGATTTCTGCTCTTAACTGATGTTATTTGCTGTGTGTGACCTTACTGTTTTGTGTACATATGAAAACCAAGCATTGGTTGAACAGCTGATCACAATGCTGTATCCATCTCTGTTTAAGGCTTTAAGGTCTTTCCTGTACTTCTAAGGTGAAAACTGACAATGGAAGTGTACTTTTAGGGCAATTAGAATGTTTAGTATTCTTTTCTTCCATCTTAAATATCTTGGTGAACTCCTTTTAAAAATAGATGGGGATTAAGTAGCTATCTGTTGCTGGATAAGGGAAGGGCAAATGAGGGTGACTGCTCTCAGCTTTAAGATTCCAAAGTGGTTACTGCAAAAGTGGCAAAAGAACACAGGAATCAAAGGCCTATTAGAGAGACCTCGGGTTGTTAAATGGAGAACTAATGGTAGAGAGAAAAGGGTAAAGGGAATTAAATGGTAATTTTTTTTTTACTGTCTACTCTTTAAAATGCCAATGTTCCAATTCAGTCTTGATGCTTTAATAACTCATAAGACATTTAGGCTTTTGCAGCGAGTGTGCACATTTAAAAAACAGCAGTAGGCTGCAATGTAAATATTCTTTGACTGATTAGTATGAAAATGGTACTTCCTCCTCGCTTCCCTTTGTGATGCTGACAAGAAAGTGACCTGATAGATACATGAATTATGTATTTTCAGAAGACAGATCTGCTGAAAATTGAAGAAGGGAATGCTTATTTTGTATTGTTTTGTGCTTTCCCTACAGTGGATATCTGCTTAAATCGGCTGTGGTTAATTTACGAGAGCTGCCATCTCTCTGCTTAATCTTCAGAACACAGAAATTTGTTCTTCATACCTTTACCTACAGATATTTTAGCATATTTCTGGGAAGCTAGCTGATCTGTGTCTCTTCACAGTTGTAAAAAATAATCAGAGTTGGTATAATCTGGGTAAAATAAAAAAGGGGTATATCCTATGCAGATGTCTTTCCATTCTGGCATGCCAAAGTGTTTAAATTCCTTATCTTAAAATTCAATTTTAATTAACTAATATACCCTCTTAATATCCATATAGTTTGTAACTGATAATAGTATTCCTCTCAGGATTTTGTACAGATTAAGTTGGATAATTTGATCGTATAAAATGCTTATTAGCATAGTGTCTGGTAACATAGTAAAGATTCAGTTATTTTATTATTGTTATGAGGCTTATGATTATGATTATGACTACGATTAATACATTATTGGCACAAGGTGACAATCTCACAGGGATTTTTGTTGTTGTTGTTGTTGTTTTTCTGAGACAGAGTTTTGCGCTGTTGCCCAGGCTGGAGTGCAGTGGTGAAATCTCAGCTTACTGCAACCTCCACCTCCTGGGTTCAAACAATTCTTGTGCCTCAGCCTCCCTAGTAGTTGGGACTACAGGCATGTACTACCGTGCCCGGCTAATTTTTGTATTTTTAGTAGAGATAGGGTTTCACCATGTTGGCCAGGCTGGTCTCAAATTCCTGGCCTCAAGCTATCCACCCACCTCGGCCTCCCAACGTGCTGGGATTACAGGCATGAGCTACTGTGCCTGGCCAACTCACAGTGTTTTAATGCACAGCAATAATTGGCTTGGGACTTCTTTATCAGAGATTAGGACCCTGAGAAACAGGAGACAAGGTAGGAAAATTTTCATGAGGATTTGAAAAAGCAATCTAGATGGCTCTGAAGCTATATTCCTACCCATTTTGCTGAGTGAGCCAAGAATGGGTTCAACTTGACGAGGTAGCTCAACAAAACCTAGGCCAATTTCAGCTATTGGTTTCCCTGGCTGGCTCTACCTTGTGAACAATGCCATTTCTTATTGCTACTTTGTAGTATGAAAGTTCGACTACCTCTCTCCCTACCATGCACACCTGTTCCTCTAAATACATCGAGCATTACTGGTTTGGGATCTTTCTCTTTGGGATTGTTGGCCATGGTGTTTACAGACCATCTGTGCCCAGGCTTGCTGTAGAGTAATGAGAGTTTAGGGGATCACACATATTTCACTCTTTCTCTGCTTGTAAGCTTTGCTCTGGTAAGCCTTGTATCTGTACCACATGTAGTGTAGATCCATGAATGCTTTGCAGAACAGATTGGGGTGGGAATATATTTCCTTAAGCAAGGAGTATAAGCTCTTGGGCAACTCAAACGCCTTGTTCCCTGTAGAAAGAGTGGATGATTGAAAGAACTCAGAAATTGGAAGTTATTAATAGCATAAAATTCACCGTTTTACCTAGCTGTTGTTACAAGTAACATTAGTGTTGATATAATAGCAATTTCCAAGGAAAATTGATGTATGAAATGTCAACTCGACTTATTTCTGTTTTCTTCTGATCTCAGTGTCCTAATGTAGTCTGCTAATTTCCATCCTTTTTAGTTCAGTTGTCAGTCAAAGAGAACATTAAAAAGTTGGATTAATAATAGTTCTTCTCATCAAAACGTTATTATGGTCATTTAAAATATTACCCATGGAGGCATATATTACTGTTATCTATTTCTAATTAGAAATTAATTATCTACCACTAATTGGAAATGAAGCACACAGTATTAAATGAGAGTTTAAATAGAATGAAGTCATACTAAATGAGAAATCAGAAAATATCAAAAGAAATCCCCCTCAAAAAATTTTTAAATGGAAAATAAAAAGAATCAAGATGATCTAAAATGCATTAGAGAAAGCATGTTAGAGAGAGGGAAGAAATCTTTATTTCAAAAAATCACTAAAACAGAAAATATAGAGAGAAATAAAACCACTTCCATCTGACATCGAAGAATGCCCATCTCTTAACAGCAAGTATTAAAAATAAGTAGGTCATAAAGATAAGAATGTAAAATGCTATGATATTGGCTCCTTATCTTTAAATGAAATTCTAATTTGACTCTAGCACAAGGAAAGGGAACGGAATATGGTATGTTTTCCCATGCGAGCTGTCAAAATGATAAAACTGAATACTCTCTAAATCAGCTTTTCCATGGACAGCTGGTTCGTCATCATTAGTATGTATATCCTTATTAATATCTAGGCCACTCAACTCTGTAAGAACTAGATGGCTGCTCTTTGAAATTTAGTACTATTCCAATCAATTACAAAGGTCTGTACACAAATATTATGCTATAATGATCAAAGAAGTAGTATTGTTCTCATTGGCTCTTCTACAGAGGAAAAAATATTTTGCTACACCATTCTGCTTTAAAAACATTCTAAAGATTTTTTAATAGTAGAGTATATGCCTTTCAATTTAGATGCCTTCATGCTTGTGTATTTCTTATTTCCTTAGCTCCATGAAGAGCTCAACATACTGTGTGAGCTGGAATGCTTTCTCAACTGTCTGAAGTGGCCTGCCAGGGAGCAGAGGTTCTTTAATTTTAAAATGAACTGGATTAAAATAATTGGCCATAAGATTTGAGTCCTGTTCCTTAGTCATATTTCTTGTAGTCATTAGCAGCCTATATTTGGAAGCACAGAAATCACATAAAAGGAGATTAAGTGATCAATTTCAACATTCATTCTAAATGTAGAAATTGAGGCAAAGACAATTAAATGAATTACCAATGGAGACAATTACCAGAACTAGGCCAAGAATTTGGATCAAAAGCTCAGAACACTTCTCTAGTACCAACAGCATTTATGAACATAAAAATTTTTTCTGATGGCACTTATCAACATGCCCATATGATTTAACCAATGTTGGTATATAATATCTGCTAACTGGACTCCAATTATATTCTGTGGCTTAGAAACAATAAACTTGTTTATTTCTCTCTCCCCCTCTTTTCTTCCTTCTTTCTTTTCTTCTTTCTTTTTCTTTCTTTCCTTTATTTTTCATCTTTTTTTCCCTCACCTAAATGATCATTTAGGTTATTTGAATAATAGGCTGTGCCTCAGGGGTGCGTTCTTCTGATAAAATACAAAATCAGAGGGATTTTTCTCGTCTAAATGCTTTTTAAGTCTTATTTCCTATTCTTGGACTACAGAAACATTTAATTATTCACCTCCTAAATTTCCCCAATTTCTGGACTGTATTTACTTGCATCTCTCTTATCAAACCAGGAACTCTACCCTGAAAACATTTCTTTGTTGCAATACCTAGATACAAGAAGCAGGAAGTAAACAAAACAAGTAACACTCTTGATCTTTTTAATTACCTCCCAAAGTATGTAATTTTTCTGCATTCAGAGTTATCAGAGTTTTACCTAATGTTTTGACACAGTACATCAGTGCTCTCTAACTTTCCAACCTGCTGAATCTATTTTCTTGTAGATCGTGACTTGTCACTTCCCAACTCTGTCAACAGCTATGCTTATGCATTCAGGTTTTGGTTATTGCAGCATCCCAATTCAAGTTTCCAATATCTGTACAACATATTTGCTCCAAAAGTTTAGAATAACTCAAACATGATAGATATTGTATCTCATATAATAATCAAAACTAGTTGGTTGGAGGTGCCAAAGTAAAAATTGCATGAGACAAAGTTAAACACACAAGGAAGACTATTCAAAACTATTGCAATGGGTTAGAGAGAGACTGAACTTAACTCTTCTAGAACAAATGGCAGGAGGGGTTTTTAAATGCTAGGGTAAGCTACTGAAAAACTGCTGGAGATTGTTAGTAGGAAGGTTGGTTAATGGGATATGTTGAGCGTACTGAGTTATTCCTGAGTTTGAAAATGTTCTTCTCTGATTAGGCCATCTGTGTTTGCTAATTGGCTGCCCAGGAAGTTAGGATCCTACACTCCCACAGAGACTGGGAGATAGAAGTGCTGTCTCTTTCCGTCTTTATATTCAAGGAGATGATTCCCACATCCTTGGAAAAGACAATTTTTAGGTCATAAAACTGGCAGGAAGCTGGGAAGGTTTACATACATTTCAAAGGGATCGAGAAAATGTAGAATTGCAAGTTTTTCAAGGTAAATGTCCTAAATGGAAGAAAGTCAGGGACCTATAGTCAGGAAGAACACTTTCTAAAGTTTAGCATAGGCAAGGGAAACATTAAAAGTGTCTTGGACAGGGTAAGAAGAGGGATGTTTGCCACACATAGTTGTCCAGGAATCTAGGCTGATGGAATCTATGCCATACTTAACATAGGCTTGCAAAATCAAGCTTCATCACCAGCTGAAGGAGAAAGAGCAGAAATTATGATGCATATAAATATTTATTGGCCAGAACTAGCAATGGTGGACATCACTTCTGCTCACAATCTGTTCGCAAGAATTCCATTTCGTTGTTCTGTTTTCAAGGGCAGCTAGCAGTTGTGGTCTTGCTCTAATCTAAGGAAGGAGAGAACTGTATGTTGGTGAACAGCTAGCTGTTCTGCCGTGGCCAAGTGTTTACCAGGCTCAATGCCAAACTAACAACTAAATATATGATATTTTTAAAATACTGTGACAACAACCTGAACAGCAAGTATCAGTGTCTTCACTGAATGCAGTACTAAGATTTACAGTATTATTTCTCTAATCTCTCATAATAACTAATAAGTGCTCGAAATTCTTTTGTGTAAAAGCTTTATGACTAAATAGTTCATGATCGACACCTTTGTGCAACACACATACACACACACACAACTCTGAGGGGGAGAATGTATATATGTGTGATGGTGATGTTAGAAAAGTGAAAGAGCATGAGAGAGATGCGGTTTTCCACTTAATTATTTGTTCCTCGTAGTAGATGACTACATGGTACAATATAAGAAGCACTGGAATTAATCCCATATTCTGTTATATTTTTCCTCCATTCTTCCCCAACAGAATTCAACCTTTCTAAATGCTTCTGTCTCCTCTCCCCTTGATCTCTCTCTCCCCTGTTCTATCCTGATAGTTTCAAATTACTCCAACTTTATTCAAATGGTACTTTTAAAAAAACAGAGTAATAAACCTTCAGGAAAGTAAGCGTTATATACAAAAGCAGAAAGTAAGCGTTATATACAAAAGCATGAATATGTAATCAAGAAGACAGAATTAAGGATCAAAGAAAGAGAAAGCTATAAATTAGAGGAAAAGAATACTGAAAGAATACTGTATCTCCAGTAAGTTAAAAATTTGAAGATGTTAATAAATACAGTGTTTTCAGAATTTGGTAATCTCTTAAACAAAGATGGAAGATGTTAAGACACTTAAAGGAAGGAAAACGATGTTCTTTCCAGTTTTCCCTATTGAACTTCATGTTATGCTTGTTTTATGTAATAGACCGCGGTGCATGATATCAAAGAGTATGAAAGCCCTTTCTAAATGACATGGTGGTTTTCTGCTGCAGAGTGTGGATATACTATACAACACAAGATAATGTCTGCTTTTGATTCCAGGAGAGTGCAGATTTTCTGTCTCTAGGACTGATTTTATGTATCTGCAGAGAAATTGACCTAAACTGCTAAGAACAAACAAGGGGAAGCTTTTTTCCATTTAAATCAGAGGCTATATATACATACACGTACACTTTATCAGTTACTTATAAATCCTTCTATGGAATGCGGGTTTGCTTTTAGTGATAATATGGACTATATTCATAGAGTTCCCATTCAATAAAACATTATAAAGATATGTTTCAGTGGAAATTTAAGAAAAGATTAAATATCAATAAAATTTCAGCAATAATGGTCTAGAACTATAGTATAAAAATATTTTACATAGAAATTATGACTTTGATTTTGTAAATATTTGTGTGTGTATGTGTGTATTTTTTTGCCATAGTAATTATTGATCAAGCCCTGTTGTAAATAATAAAAAAGAGGCCAGAACATTGAAAATCTTCATGGAGCTTTTATTCTAGTCCACGTGTAATTATATATCTATAGTTTTAAAGATACACATCTATTTAAGAGACAGAGCATTAAACTTTGTAATTGATCATGTGTGTATTTTTTGTCTTATAAAAACCACACTAAAATGAAAATGATTTAAAAAAAATGACATTCACCAACAGGGATAAAAACTAACAGGGAGCATGGCAAAGGAGTTTAAAACAAATCAACAATATATTCCAAGAGAGTGGAGGAGTAGTATGTGAAGGAAGCAAAATCATACATGTTTTTATTGTCAGAGATCGGACATGAGGATCTAACAAGTGGGGAAGCTGTTCCTGCATAGTTCTCAAGGTACTCTGTGCTTAGAGATACCAGGCACTGCAGAAAGCACGAAGGAGGGGAGGCAGGTGACTGCTAGAGAGTCTGAAAAGGAAACCTTGAATCCCCAGCACCCTCCTTTCTTCATGCAGCCAAGTGACTACCTCACTTGGGACCTAATTAAATTAAACAGCTTCTACACATCAAGAGAAGCTATCAAGGAAGTAAACAGGCAGCTTACAGAGTGGGAGAAAATATTCACAAACTATGCATCTGACAAAGGTCTAATATCCAGAATCTATAAGGAACTTAATTCAATAAGCAAAACCAAATAGCCCCATTAAAAAGTGGACAGGCCATGCGTGGTGGCTCATGCCTGTAATCCCAACACTTGGGAAGCTGAGGAGGATAGATCACGAGGTCAGGAGTTCGAGACCACCCTGGCCAAGATGGTGAAACCCCGTCTCTACTAAAAATACAAAAATTAGCCAGGCATGGTGGCGGGCACCTGTAATTCCAGCTACTTGGGAGGCTGAGGCAAGAGAATTGCTTGAACCCAGGAGGCAGAGGTTGCAGTGAACTGAGATCACGCACTGCATTCTAGCCTGGGCAACAGAACAAGACTCCATCTCAAAAAAAAAAAAAAAGTGGATAAAGGACACAAGCAGACACTTCTTAAAAGAAGACATAAAAGCAGCTAAGAAACACGAGAAAAGATGCTCATCATCACAATTCATCAGTGAAATGCAAATTAAAACCACAATGAAATACCATCTCACACAAGTCAGTATATGGCTTTTGTTAAAAAGTCAAAAAATAACAATGTTGGTGAGGCTGCAGAGAAAAGGGGACACATGTGCACTATTGGTTTGAATGTAAATTAATCCAGCCAATGTGGAGAGCAGTTTGGAGATTTCTTAAAGACCCATGGGTTGAACTGCCATTCGACCCAGCAATCCCATTACTGGGTATATACCAAAGGGAGATAAATCATTCTACCAAAAGAACACATGTACCTGTATGTTCATTACAGCACTATTAGCACTATTCAAAACAATAGCAAAAACATGGAATCAACTCAAATGCTCATCGACAATGGATTGGATAAAGAAAATGTGGTATTTATACATAATAGGATACTACATAGCCATAAAAAAGAACAAAATCATGTCCTTTGCAGCAACATGGAAGCAGCTGGAGGCCATTAAGTGAATTAATGCAGTAACAGCAAACCAAATATGGCATGTTTTAACTCATGAGTGGGAGCTAAACATTGGGTACTCATGGATATGAAGATGGGAACAATAGACACTGAAGGACTACTTACTGGAGGAGGGGCACAGAGGGACAGGCACAGGAGCTGAAAACTACCTATTGGGTACATGCTCAATACCAGGGTGATGGATTCATGCATACACTTAACCTCAGCATCATGCAATACACCTTTTAACAATACTGAACGTGTACCCTCTGATTCTCAAATAAAAGTGGAACAAGAAAAAAAGTCACTTTTATATTCTTTCTCAACTGTCATTTACCAATTAAACTAGAAGTTAAGAATCAATTTTTATCCCAGGCATTTACCTTATTAATTAGAATAGAGAGATACCTGCAAAAAATTATTTTTTAAAGTTGAGGATGCTTCATCTCTTTAGACCTATTGTGAAGGTTTATGGAATACAGTAAAACTTCAAAAACAGCTCTCCCTGATTTTAAAGTGCAGAGGGCAAGATAATATCAGATTAACAATTACTTTGGGAACCAGCCTGGGCAATAAAGCAGGACCCCATCTCTACCAGAAAACAAAAATTAGCCAGGCATGGTGGTGAGCATCTGTAATCCTAGCTACTTGGGAGGCTCAGGGAGGATGGCTTGAGACCAGGAGTTTGAGGTTACAGTGAGCTATGATCACAGCATTGTACTCCCGCCTAGGTGACAGAGCAAGACCCTGTCTTAAAAACAAACAAACAAAAAAAAAACCCCATAAAACAAAACAAGAATAACAACAACAAAAACTGGTTATTTAAATAAATGTGGTTATATATTTTTGTTTAAAGGATTTTTCTATTGTATGTATTTAATTATTTCTCTGAACAGTCTATTAATAAAATGCACATGATGAATTTCTTCTTCTGTTAGTTTTTTCTTTCCCCTATCCCCTGAGGCAAGTAGTGCGTTATTAGTTAAAAATATTTTGATTAAAGAAGCAGTTTTCATGGAAAATTCCATAAAGGTTGTCACTGAAAAAAACAGCTGGCATTTCCAAAAAGTACAAATAATCTCCTGCTAAGTAGTTCATGTCCCAGTTATGACAGAATGGGCCTAGTTTTCAAAGTTTAAATGCTTAACCCTTAGTTTTTCCAATTTTGTTTTAAATTAGAAAACATTTTGTAACTTATTACTGTGAAAGAGAAGCTCTTAGTTTTAGCCTTTTGGACATTTTAATTGGCACTCATCTTATTCACAGCTATCATAACCTCACACTATCATAACCTTATCTAATGAGAGATTTTCTAGTTGAGTCATTACCTTGTCTGATCATATAACATAATTTAACAGCTTATTTGAGAGCCTCCTTCACTAAGACTCTATGACAAAAAGCTATCATGTCAATGAAAACAAACTCTTCTGCATATGATGGCTCAAAGACAGTCATGGGATGGTATGTCCTATTTGTTTTAGCTTCATTTAAAATAAAAGCCACAATCTAGCAGATGGTTAATAATAGGATCCTCAATTGTTCTGCAGAGATACATGAAATAGAAGATGCTGCTTTGATCTATCAAAACTTTTGTTTCTGATCACAGCTTCAAATATCACCTTAGGCTTTTTTCAAATTGTATAGAATTTCTGTTTGTAAAAGGCTTTCATTTAGTGCATTGCTACTATTTTATTAATTCCAAAGTTTCATTGGTAATATTGAATAAGGTAAGATGTGATTTTATTCTTTGACTTATTTTTCCCATATTTCTTTCTAGAACCTAATTTTATACATAATACATATTTTTCTTTTATAATGCATTTTAAAGAGTGATATTTTTGCATAGGTACCCATACATCATTCATCAAATTTTTTTTTCTTGTAATCCATTTCCCCCTTAGACTTTGTATACATGATTAAAATTGAAATACACTGACCCACTTTTAGAATTCTTCAAGAATGCTATAAAATAATTGACACCATCTGTCTTCCAACTAAATGTGCTTTTTCAGAAGTCTATATGTTTAGCTAAATTTAGGTGGAAGTATCTGAGGCAGATCTGAAACTCACCCTAGCTGAGGGCAGATCCGGGAAACTGACCTTTGGTTGTCATGTAGCATGAATATCCTGAAGCTATTATGGGTTTTTGGTGAGAAAGAGGAATAGGATGAGTTATGTAGCCAAAGCTCAGGGATATTCAGGAGAAAAGAGGGAATAAAACTCCGTGAGGCTGGTGGGGGTAGTATTTCCACAAACTTCAGAAACACCTGATTTTCACTCTGATCAGATGTATCACCACGGGACTTTGGCCCACTGATTTTAGATTCACGGCGATATTTAAACAACTAGAGTACTCCCCTAAATTGCATGAGTTTAATAAAACCTCTGGGAATAAATTGACATGAATTTGTAATGCAAGTGGAGGAGAAGAAGGAATGCATCTGTTTATCTATCTATCTATCTATCTATCTATCTATCTATCTATCTATCTATCTGGAGTATTTTTGTTACCTATGTTCGCTTTGCCTTCACTGTGATGTAAGAGGCACTCAGATGACCAACATTTACCCTTTCTGATGTTTTCCTTATGTGTTTCCTTGCATATTTCCTTTCCTGCTCCTTTTAGTTCTTTAGTATCAGATAAGTGGTATTTGTCTTAGTAAACTACTTTTGATTCATTTCTGGTGGTAAAAATAAGTAAAAGGTAAATAAATCTTACAGTTAATATAAGAGAGTAACAATAAACAAAACTCCTTTCATTTCATGGAATCACAATAAATTAACATATTTCTATTTTCCAAATGACCCAGAAATAGAGTTTTTTCATGTTCATCTATTTACTTATGGTTTTTGAAATAGAATACATTAGTGATTCAATGTATTTTAAGTATGAGCCACTCTTCTCTGCTTTCCCCTCCACTTTATTCATCCCCCCTCTTCTATAACCATATTTTGACCAATATTTCCTTAGTTGAGCCATAAAAAAAACTTATGGTTGTCAGAGGCTCCCATGATGTGTATTTACTTTTCCACAAAAAGAATGGGCAGGAATTATTGTCAGTATTTGGTTGCTAAGTGGATGCACAAAAAAATAACAGGAAGAATTGCCCTTTTGAATACTCCACAAGTGATTAATCACTTGTTGTGATGAATCAGGGGATAGCTGCGCAGTTAACTGAAGATCGGATAGTTACCTACGTTCAGGGAATTCAAGTCAGTGAATGACTCAATGTTTTAATTCCTTTTGTCAAGAGCATTTCTATTTTGAGATGGATGCCATGAGTTATCTAAAGTGCTGATAACTATTCATTTTATTAATACCAGTTTACACTTGCCCTAATTGTATAATTATAAAAGCCCTTAAAAATATACTAGCCAATGTCAATGTTCCTTTGAGGGAATGCTTTATTAGTATTCTAGTACTTTTGTAATAATTTTAATTTTTTATTTTTTACTGATTTCATATTTATGTTGTATGAATTTAGTTAATGGATCTTCTCTGGGTATGTTAACAAGTAAGGATATCTTATGTTAAAAGGTAAAGAACTGACATCATAATATGGTAAATTTATCAAGGTTATGAGTGCTAATATAAGAGGTCAGCTGACCACTTACTACATTTGTAATAATCTCAACATGACCATGAGGGCTCATGTATAAGTATTTATAATTTTAGATAAATTTAAAATGTAATCAAATTATAGTAATGCAGTTGACCCTTGAACGACACAATGCAGATCTACTAATATGTGGATTTTCTTCTACCTCTGCCACCCATGAGACAGGAAGATCAACTCCTCATCTCCCTCCTCCTTCTCAGCCTACTCAATATGAAGACCTTGCTGATGATTCACTTCCACTAAATAAATAGCAAATATATTTTCTCCTCCTTATGATTTTCTTTCTTTTTTCTTTTCTTCTTTTTTTTTTTTTTTTTTTTTGAGATGGAGTTTTGCTCTTTTGCCCAGGCTGGAGTGTAGTGGCGCGATCTCGGCTCACTGCAAGCTCCGCCTCCCAGGTTCATGCCATTCTCCTGCCTGAGCCTCCGGAGTAGCTGGGATTACAGGCATCTGACACCATGCCCGGCTAATTTTTGTATTTTTAGTAGAGACGGGTTTTCACCATGTAGGCTAGGTTGGTCTCGAACTCCTGACCTCACGATCCGCCCGCCTCGCCCTCCCAAAGTGCTGGGATTACAGGCGTGAGCCACCGTGCCCTGCCCCCTTATAATTTTCTTAATACCTTTTTTTTTTGTAGTTTATTGTGAGAATACAGTATATAATACATATAACATACAACATGTGTGTTAATAAAATGCTATGTTATCGGTAAGACATCTGGTCAAGAGTGACCTATTAGTAATTACTTTTTTTTTTGGGGGGGGGTCAAAATTTATACAAGGATTTTTTATTGTGCAGGGTATTAGCAGTCCATTCCCTGTGTTGTTCAAGAGTCAACTGTTACTGTATTTCTATGGCTCTTGTTCTTACTTGCTATCTGTAGGTTCTGAGAATGAAAGTGCAAAATTCTTCTATACAGTGCACCCCCTATTATTTAGGCATTTTCACTGGGTGTATGTAATGAGCTTCAAAACAAATTATAACAGCTACAATTTTGGTCCATTTGTTTTTCCTTTTGCATTCTTCAGTCCAACCTCAGGCCCTCTTTGGAGATATTGGACAATTAAAATCATTTGAGCACTCTTGTGGACATCTTGAATTTACTGATACTATCATTTTCACTCTACTACTCCTTTCTCTTTGCTCTTCTTTTCTTAGTTTCCATGATTTGTGATGGTTATTCCCTCTTATTACTACCAGTAATTATTCCTTTGCAAATATTCCCAAATGTTTTCCCATTCTCCTCTGCAATCAGCAGCCCTGCAGGAACCCAAACCTTCACCATCACTATGCTTGTGCTGTTGTTGCTGAATATTGTTGAAGAGAAACAAAACATCCACTCATGTTGACGTCATTATAAATGCAGAATCATCCGCTTTGAAACAGGACTAAATTTTTTAAATAAATTTACTTTCCTACCAAATCATGTTCTTTTATAACTCATCAAACTTTGTATTCTTTATGTTTCTGTGATTTCAGCTGATGAAATTTCCTTTATTTTATTGGTAAAATAGAACCTCTCATCTTTAAAAGCTTTTCCTTTGCGATCACTAAATCTGTATATCTGTAAGAACCTGAGTCCATCTTCTTCCATGGTCTTAAAGTGTCCCTATCTTATCAAAGGCCAAAATATCCTTATTTATTCTAACCAAATCTCCTTTTTTCCTTTCAAAGACCTCAATTATTGCAATTATTTCCACTTTCTCTTGAATCATCTTTTTCTCCTCTCAAATAAATTGTCCTCAGAGTCCATATATGCTCCAGTATCCATCAATTTAAAACTCATGTTCTTAACAATAGATCCTGACTTCATATATTAATCACCTTTTTTTGATACAGGCAGGGTCTTGCTCTATTGCCCAGGCTGGAGTTCAGTGACATGATCATAATTCACTACAGCCTCAAACTCATGGATTCAATCAATCCTGCTTCAGCCTCCGGAGTAGCTGGGACTACAGGCATGCATCAACATGGCTGGCTAATTTTTTGTTTTCTTTTTTTTTTTTTTTTTGGTTTTGTTTTCTGTAAAATAGGGTTGCCTGTTGCCTGTGCTGCTATTCCCCACATTTTGTGAAAAGAGTTGTTTGTTTTTGCCATCTCTGCTTCCTCACATTCCGTTACGATGTATCTCCATTCATCTCTAACTCCTTGTCCAATCTTGCACTGGTCCAGGTAACAAGGACCTCTTATTGCCAAAGCCAACAAGTTACAACAAATTTATTGGGTGAAATGACACAGAATTATGCTTTTACAGAGGTTCTAGAGGTCAGAAGTGCAAAATGAGTCTAACAGGAATTAAATCAAAGTGTCAGCCTTTTTTTTTTCTTCTGGAGGCTCTTACATATGACTGAGAACATGTGGTATGTTTCTTTCTACACCTGACTTATTTTACTTAACATAAGGCCCACCATGCTCATTCATGTGGCCACAAACAACCGGATTTTCTTCTTTTTATGGCTGAATAGTATTCCATTGTGCATATATACCACAATTTCTCCATGTATTCATCCATTAATGGACTTTTAGGTTGATTACCTATCTCAGCTATTGTGAATAGTGCCGAAGTAAATGTGGAGGAGCATATGTCTTTTTGACATACTGGTTTTATTTCCTTAGGATAAATACTCAACATTGAGATTACTGGATCATATAGTAGTTCTATTTTTAGTTTTTTTGTGGAACTTCCATATTGTTTTTCATAGTGGCTATGCTAATTTAAATTTCCATCACCAGCATATTGGAGTTCACTTTCCTTCCATCTTCACCAGCATTTGTTATTTCTTACTTTTCTATAGTATCCATTCTTACTGGGGTGAGATGATATTTCACTGTGGTTTTGACTTGTATTTCCCGATCATTAAGCATGTTGAGCATTTTTTTCAAATACTTCTTGTCCATTTGTATGTCTTCTTTTCAAAAATGTCTATTCAGATCACTTGTACAGTTTTAATCTTTTTTTTTTTTGCTATTGAATTGTTTATATATTCTGGATATTAATCCCTTGTTGAGTGAATATTTTAAATATTTTCTCCCTTTCTGTCTGCTGCCTCTACACTATATCGTTGTTTCTTTCCTTTGCTGTGCAGAAGCTTTTTACCTTCATGTAATCCCACTGGTCAATTTTCGCCTTTGTTGCCTGTGCTTTTGAGGTCTTATTCATAAAATCTTTTCCCAGACCAATGTGCTGAAGCATTTTTCCCAATGTTTTCTTCTCGTATTTTCAAAGTGTCAGTCTTACATTTAAATCTTTAATCTGTTTTGCGTTGATTTTGTATGTGGTGAAAGATAGGGGTCTACTTTCATTGTTTTGCACATGGAAATCCAGTTTTCCAACATTATTTATTGAAGATAATATTCTTTCCACAATGTTTGTTCTTGGTGTCTTTGTCAAAAATTAGTTGGATGTAAATATATGGATTTATTTTTTGTTTCTCTATTCTGTTTTATTGGTCCATGTGTCTATTTTTATACCACTATCATGCTGTCTTGGTTACTATAGGTTTCTAGTGTATTTTGAAGTCAGGTAGTGTGATGCCTCCAACTTTGTTCTTTTGCTAAAGACTGCTTTGGCTATTTGGAGTCTTTTGTTGTTCCATACAAATTTTATTTTATTTTTCTATTTTTCTTGAAGATTAACACTGATATTTTCAGAGACATTGCATTCAATCCATAGGTTGCTTTGCCTAGTATGGTCATTTTGGCTATATTAAATCTTGTAATCCATAAACACAGGATAACTTTCCATTTGTTTATGTTACAGTTTTTAGTACAAAGATCTTTCACCTTCTTGATTAAATTTACTCCCATGTATTTTATTATTTTTGACACTATTGTGAATGGGCTTGATGACTTACTTTCTTCTTTAATTTGTTGTTTGTATAAAGAAATTCTAGTAATTTTTTGTTGATTTTATACCTTGAAACTTTACTGAATATTTGTCAGTTATTTTTTTTTTTGAGACGGAGTCTCGCTTTCTCGCCCAGGGTGGAGTGCAGTGGCGCGATCTCGGCTCACTGCAAGCCCCGCCTCCCAGGTTCACGCCATTCTCCTGCCTCAGCCTCCCAAGTAGCTGGGACTACAGGCGCCTATTTATCAGTTTTAATAGTTTTTTTCATGGAGTTTTTCAGTTTTTCTATGTATAAGATCATGTCAAAGGCAAAAAGATACAATTCACCTTACTCTTTTCCAATTCGGAAGCCCTTTCTTTCTTTTGCCTAATTGCTCTGGCTAGGACTTCCAGTACTATGTTAGGTTAGATTGGCAAAGTGTGCATCTTTGTCTTATTCCACTTTATAGAGGAAAAGCTTTCTACTTTTCACTGTTGAGTATGATGTAAGCTGTGGGTTTGTCATATATGGCCTTTATTGTGTTGTGGCATGTTCCTTCTATAGCTAATTTGTTGAGAGTTTTTATCTCAACAAATGGATGAGTAGACGTTGAATTTTATGAATTGCTTTTCCTACATCTGTTGAGATGATCATTTCCTTAAAATCTTTCATTCTGTTGATGTAATACGTTATTTATGAAGATGGTCTAGATTTAGTCCCGGTCTGTGAATGGAAAAGTAGTGAAGCCAGTAATGAGAAATAAAAAAGGAAAGCCAAGAGGGTGTCATCTAACAGAAATCGGGGAAAGAAAGCATTTAAAGTGGGGAGTAGCTAATTTTAAATACAGTAAGAGAAGATGTTAAGACTTTCATATCAGTCTAACATTCTTTACCTAATACTAGACTTTAAACCAATTACATTACATTCAAGAATAAATCAATTATTTTGCCTACCCTGTATGCAGAATTGGAAACTTAATTATTCCTAAACTTCTGTTTTATAATCTTGTTACTTTCTCATTGATTTTTACATGCCATTTAAAAATCGTTTGCACTCTTTTTTAGTAATCTTTTTTTCTTGTAATTTTTCAAACACATTCCCAATATCTATTTAGAGAGAACTTGTATTTTAACTTAGAGTTAACAGAATGTCTTCTTTCGCCCATTGTCAGCTCCTGGCAAGTCCTGAAATAATGTAAAAAGCAAGGTATTTTGCAATATTTTAAGTTATTATTTATCATTTAGGTATGTAGAGCCTCCTGGGCTACCCAGCTCTTCAGAGTTGGCCTGGGGGACTCTATGCACAATGTCATTTGCCTAGGTCCAATTCAAGAACATGTAACATTCCCAGCATTACAAATATATATGGTTTCTTCTGTACACGTGCTTAATTATTATAGACTTCTTCTGTAAAGAAATGGCATGGACAGCAACATGTCTCTGGATGCTCCACATTAGTTTGAATGTTATTCCTTCTTTAGGACTTCAGGGTTTAGATATTTTGTAATTATCACTGGTTCCTCCTGTCTTCCAACTGTTATTAATGTTGTACTCCACAAGTATACATCTTCATCTCATTTTAAAACTTATTTCTCTTATTTTCCTAACTAAAAAATACTTAAATGATTATTCTGTCTTAATTCTTCTGTTTAAAAGGTCTGTTGTTTGATTCATTTCCAGACTGACAGCAGAAGGTCCATGCATAGCATATTTTCTGAGCCTTTGCTTATCAGTGAATGTAGTTCCAATGCTTTCACAGCAAATAATAGCTTTACTAAGTATACATATATTTTGCTATATTATTTTCTCTCTGTTAAGCATTATTCTTTTTTTTAAATGGAGATAGGGTTAGGTTCTAAAAGCCTGATATTCCTTCTTTTGTAAGTAACCCATTTTTCGCCTCTGCCTGGATGCCTGTAGAAATTTATTCTTTAAACATGTAACCTAAATTATTGTTTACATTAAGTTTTCTTTCAGCTCAATGATTTTTTTCTTTATATATTTGTGATTTTCTGGTTTTCACTTTTCTGCTTCTTATAAATTGCCTATTTTCTGACTCATTTTAATTTTATTGTCTATTTTACTCTATATAACTGACTCAATTTTCTATGGTGAGAGTTTAATTATTTAAAAATTCACAGAAGCAGATTAAGATCTATTTTAAGATTATTTTAAGATTTTAGGTTCTTTGCAATCTCTGCTTCTTTAAGTTAGCTTCCTTTTTATCTCAGTTGATATGCCAGTTTACTTTCCATTTAATATTTTATTTTCCCTCTTATAGTCCAGTCTTTTATTGTATATTCTCCTGATAACATATGCAAATGATCCAAAGTCCTTTCTTAATATTTAGTATTAAACATTTTAAAACATTATTACTTTTCTTTATATGTAGGATCACAGGAATTTTTTTATGCCCCCCACCACTTTGATTTCTTCTTCCAGTCTGAGAGAAGGGGAAAGAAAGGAAATGAAAGTTAGGTAATTTTCTTTTAAGATAGTTACTCAGAAGTTATAGGCATCATTTCCACTCATATATCATTGTTGAGAGCTTAATTACCATCTCTGCCATTAGCTGAAAGAGAGACTGTCCAATTCAGACAGGCAACTGTATGCTCCATTAACACTGTTAAACTGTGAAAGAAAGAGAAATGGACTTGGATGGCCCCAAACCCTAATGGTTCTGCTCACAATTCTTGCTTTTTTTTTTTCTAAGAAAGTCTTCCCAGATAATATATATCAGCAGTTATTCTCTTTTTCTTAGAAGCACTGCAGTAAATGTTTCCCTAAGCTCTACCTATCACTTTCTCAACTTATTGTTGACTTCACATTTCAGAATATGATGCCTTACTTTCTATCCCCTTACACCATGCCCCATCTCAATTGTAGTCCCTGAATGTGCATTAAAAGGAAAGGCTGCTAGAATGAAATTGCCTTGGGCCCATCAAAGAATAACTGAAAAATCTGCAGCGAGAACAATGAAAGGTGGGAAAAGGGAGAAAGGGGACATCTGCTTTTGTATGTTGAATGACAGCAAAATGACACTACACAATATGGCTAGAGATATTACAGATCAGAAGGAAGAAAAAAATAGCCTTTTTTTGTACTAGGGATAAAAACAAATTTTGCAATCACTGGGGAAAATAACCAGATTGAAACTTCATAACTTAATATCTTGAGGTTCTTTTTTCACACCATTTCTCCACGTAGGGAAATGTCACCTGATCAGTCACTCAGCAATTACTGTTCCCAGCCTTAGAAGGTATTTGCCACAATATTCTTTCAGAGTTACACATTTTGTTTATGCAACTGTTGTAGCTACGGTTAGTGTCTTTTCCCAGGAGGTGGTTTTCAGAGATGAGATTGTGCTTACTTTGTCAGTCTACATGGCAGAGAGCTACGTATTTTAGGGGAAGAAAAATCACAGAAATTTCTGTGTTTTCTGCTTAGAGAAATAGTCTGAGTTTTACAACGCTATTTATATTACTATGCTAGGTGGTGTGGGAGATAGATATAAAGTGCAATAATAACATAAGGGACTAATTTTGTTTTTCTCCACAAACATGTCAGTAAATATATGGTGACATTAAAGAGCTTCTGTCTACAAAGTAGTTGCCTATGGAGAATTTAGTACAGAAAATTACAATACAGTAATACTGTTATTTTAAAAATAACATTTAGAACTCCTCTTTGGGATTGTTTTTTGCATAAGAAGCATATAACTATTCTCTGATGGTAACTTATCTTTTGGGGGAAGTAGCAATGGATTTAATTTTGGAAAGTTGCCAAAAGCCATTCTTTCCACATTTATTAAATATGATATGCAAGCTAATATTAATAGTTACATGTGAGTTGACAACAATATGGAGGAAATTACTTAAGTAAATGCAGAAAGGAAAACCTCATTAATTGATGCTCCAGGCTAGGAAAACAAAACATGTTAAATATGTCAATTATTCCTAATACATTAATTAATGTAAAAATACATTCAAAGCAATGCTATTTTTTAAATTTGAAAATTATTTAACAAAATTTATCTGGTAAATAAACTGCCAAGGAATACTTTGAAAAAAAAGAACAATGATTAGAATCTAATTTTAATTAATAGAAAATTTTATATAAACATATTAATCAAAATATTTTGATAGAGTTGTAAGTATAAACAAATTTGATTAAACAGAATGAAGAGTTTGGAAATAGACTCAAGTATGTATGAAAAAATGTTATATGGTAATTAGAATTATAGAAAAAGATTTTAGATTTCTATTTCATACTACTTAAAAGTAAATCTCGAAGGGTTCCACTTTTAAGCTTTTAATTATTATCTAGTAAAATTTTTCTTTGAAAACCTTTGCATGTTTATGTAAGAATTAAAATGCTTTTATTATTCCAAGATTATATTCTTCCATATTTTTCTAGTACTTTTATAGTTTTCAAATTATTTCTCCTGTGTGAATACTGTAATACAATTAAAAATGAAATCATAGAATTGAAAGAAAACTGATAACATGTGCGAATAGAAGCAACATACATATTACAGAAAATTAATTTTCATGACACTAAGAGATATCCTATAAAAGGAAAAGAAAAATAAATTATAGAAAAAAATCAGTCTAGATTATATCTTTATTTTTTATTCAAGTTAAATATTTTCCTATTAACTGTATATTCAAGTTCTAGATTATACTTTTTAAAAATAAATAACTTAGAAAAAAACAGGATTAAGTTTCTATTGCCATAATAGAAAATTTCATCTCCATATTGAATCTACTCAAATATAAAACATAAACTGCACGTTTTTAAGTGTATAAATTTGTTGCGTTTTAATGTGCATACACTCATGGAATCATCACAGTCAAAATGCTGAACATATCACCCCAAAACATTTCATTAAACTATTTTGTAATTCCTCACCCTCATCCCACACTCTGACCTTCCTTTAAACAACCACAATCTGTTTTCTGTCAAAATAGATTAATTTAAATTTTCTAAACTTTTAAATAATTGGTGTTATACACTGACCTTTTTGGATTGTGCCTGGCTTCTTTCATTCAGCATATTTATTTTAAGATTCATCTATTTCATTTCATATGTAAACAAAAATGTCTTTCTATTGCTAAATAGTATCCCATTGTATAGATAAGCTGAAACTTGATTATTCGTATACTAGCTGGTGGACATTGAGTTGTTTGCAGTTATTAGATACTATAATTAAAACTGCTATGAACATTTGTGTCCAACAGTTGTTTGTATGAACATATGCTTTCCATTCTCTTGGGTAATTATCTAAGACTGAAATGGCCAGATCATATGGCAGGTATATGGCTTAACGTTAAAGAGACTACCGAACTGTTTTCCAAGGTGAAGTAATTATACCATTTTACAATGTTTCCAGCAGTCTATGAGAATATCAGTTCCTTCATTACCTCATCAGTGACTTGAATGGTAATGTTTTTAATTGACTACTGGATTGATTCTACTATGTATATCGTGGGAGCTCATTGTGGTTTGAATTTGCATTTCTCTAATGTCTAATGAGGATCTTTGTGTTTATTTGCCTCTTGTATATCTTCTGTGATGTGTCTGTTTAAATCTTTTGTCCGTTTTCCCCCACATTGGGTTTTTTTTTTTAATTGTTGAGTATTTAGAGTTCTCTTAACAAGCTTCTGCTTGTTTTTTTAATTTATTGTGTCTTTTGAAGAGCAGAATGTTTCCATTTTTATGAACTCTAATTTATAAATTTGTTCCTTTAAAGATTGTATTTTGATGTCATATCTAAGTAAACTTGCCTGTTCCAAAAATGAATATTTCCACTATATTATCTTCTAGAAATCTTAGAGTGTTTGTGTTATATTTAGACATAAAATTCATCTTCAACTAATTTTTGTATTTGGTGCAAAGTATGGATCAGAATTTCTATCTTTTTTTCTGTTGCATATTGATATCCAGTTGTTCTAGCACCAACCATCTGTTGAAAAATTGTACTTTATTTTATGAATTATCTTAGAAACTACATAAAATAATCAGTTCTCTGTTTGTGTCTCTTGATCAATTTGTCTATCAGAATGCAAACACTAAATATTGTTTTTGTTATTTTTCTTGAGTTGTTTTGTTTTTTCTTGGCTCTTTGTCTATTCTAGGTTCTTTGCAGTTCCTCATAAATTTTAGAATCAGTTTGTCAGTTTATTTCTTAAAATTTGCTGAGTTTTGGGTTGGTACTGCATTGAGTCAAAGACTAATAAAGGAAAATTTGACATTTTACTAATATTGAATTTTCCAACCCATGAATAAGGTATATCTCTCTTTTTAGTTAATACCTTTATACTTAATACTTTACTTAATACCTAAAGTTTAATATCTTTAGGTATTCTCAGCAATATTTTATAGTGGTCAATGTATTAATTTCACAAATTTTTTTATATTTTAATGAATCTTATTTTTTGATGCTATGTAATTGATACTTTATCAGTTTCAATAGTTAGTTGCTAGCATATAGAAATAAAATTAATTATTATGTGTTGGTCTTGTATCCTCAAGCCTTGCTAAACAAACACATTAATTTTATTAATATTTTAAATTTCATTTTACTTTGGTAGATACGATTATGTCATCTGCAAATAAAGAGTGTTTTACTGCTTTCCTATGCAGATATCTTTTATTTGTTTTATTTTTATTTTTATTTTTTGGCACTGGCCGTCACCTCCAGTATAGTGAAGAACAGAAATGGTAAGACCAGTCCTGATCTTAGTGGCGAAACATGCCGTCTTTTACCATTGTGTGTAGTATAAGCTGTTGGTTTGTTGCAAAAGTTCTTTATCTAAATTCAGGGCATTATGGTCTATTTCTGGTTTGCTGAGAGGTTTTATTAGGAATGGATGTTTGAACTGCATCAAAGGCTTTTTTTCTTAATATGATATATAATATCAATTGATCTTTTAATGTTAGACTAAACTTGCAGTCTTGAAATAAATATTACTTAGTAATTATATTATCCTTTTAATATATTTTGCATTATATGTGCTACATTCTATCAAGCATTAAAGCACAGTTCTGAACTCCAATTTTCTTTTCTTCTAATGCCTTTGTCTGTGTTTGTTATCAGGGTTATGATGTTCTCACAGAATAAATTGAAGATTATTTGCTCCTCTTTAATTTTCTGCAAGAATCTTTATAGAATTGCTATTATTCTTTAAAAGTTTGATTGAATTCACCAGTATATCCTATGGGTTTTAAGTTATATTTGTGGGAAGCTTTTAACTAGATTTAATTTCTATAGTATATATAGCAATACACATGTGATCTATTTCTTTTTGAATGATCTTTGGTACTTTGTGTTTTTTAGGGTATTTGTCTATTCCATCTAAGTTGAAGTTACTGACAAAACATTCATAATGTTTCCTTATATCCTTTATTATGTCTGTGGAATTTCAATCTGTATTGGTCTCAACTCTTATTCTTGATATTAATAGTTCATTTTTCCCTCTGATTAGTCTGACTAGATAATTATCAAGTATTCTGATTTTCTCAAAGAACCATATTTTTAAAATTTATTTTTCACTTTTTTTGTCTATGTCATTGATTTCTGCTTTAACATTATTATTATTTATTATTTACTTTGGGAATAAATTGCTTTTTTTCTAGTGTCTTAGGGTGAAAGCTACTATTTTTGATTTTGAGATGTGTGTTCTTTCCTAATATAGACATTTTATTCTGTAAAATTTTCTCTAAATACTACTTTGTAGGCAACTAACAAACGTACATATGCTATGTTTTTCATTGTTATTCAGCTTAAAATACTTCATAATTTCCTTTGTGTTTTTTTCTTTGCCATAAAAATTATTTAAAAGTATGGTATTTAGTTTCCAAATATCTAGATATCTTTCAGATAGCATTTTAATATTACTTCTAATTTAAATCCATTGTGGTGAGAGAGCATACTTTTCATGACTTTAATCTGTATAAATTTTTTGAGATTTATTTCAGTTCCCAAATGGAATACCTTGGCAAAAGTTCTCTGATACTTGAAAAGAATGAATATTCTGCTGTTGTTGGTGTGGCGTTCTATAAATGTCAGTTAGATTCAGTTGGTTGATAATGTGGTACAAATATTCCCCAATTTGAAAATATTGTGTCTGTTTGTTCTATTTAATATTGAACCTCTAACTCTAGTTATGGATTAGTCTATTTCTCCTTGCTGTTCTACAACTTTTTGCTTCATGTATTTTAAACTCTATTATTAGTGCAAAAAATATTTGAGATTTTATATCCTCTTGATGAGTTGACCTCTTTATAATTATAAAATGCCCTTTTCTAATTTCCATTAATTATCTTGGTTTTGCAATATACAATATCTGATATTAATATAGCAACTCCAGTTTTAGCATGGTATATCTTTTTCTGTCCTTTTACTTTTAACATCTTTATGTTTGCACATTTAATATGGGCTTCAATTAGACAGCATCATAGAGATGGCTGTTGAATTTTTATTCAGTCTGACAGTCTCCACCTTTTAATTGGGATGTTTAGACCATTTACATTTAATGTGATTATTGACACATCTAGGCACAGCTCCTCAGGGTCCTTTCTTTGTTGAACAGGATGTGCTTTATATTTGGATTATGAATAATTGACTGTGTGAGAGAAAGTTGGGTTTTAGAAAAAACCCAGGCAAAAACTTCCAGCAATTTCTTTAATAACCCTATACTCTTTAATTCTATCTAATAGTCAAGCCAGGCTACGTGATAAGATATACCAGGTAAAAGTCATCAGTTCATACATTTCTTCAAAAATGTAGCCAAATAGTCCTGAATGCCTCCAAGGAGTTTCAAACTTTAAACAGCATATTATAAGTCACCAACTAGTCAATATCAGACTTAAAAGTATCCCAACAGACAAACATAGAGCTCCCAGGTCTTTTCTATTTCAGACACTAGGAGCAAAACATATATGCTTTCAAAATAAAGTAATATGTTAGTTGCAGCTAATTTGTAGCTACCTTTTTTCATTCATAGGATTTTTATTTGAGACTTTATAGAAAGAATATATATATATATATATATATATATATATCTCATGAGAGCATATATCTATAGCTATCTACTATACATAGATTTTGCCAACTATGGTTGGTGAAAACAACAACTCTTCTGAGTGCTGAAAGACATATAGTGAATGTTTTGCTTCAGCAGTCTGGAAAACTTGAACTCTTTCTTCATAACCAGCGAACACTTCTGGGTTTCACCTGAGGTTCCTCTTTTTATGCTGTACCTGGAAACTCTCTTCAGGCATTAATTAGGGAAAATCATAGTCACTTCATTATTTAATTTATTCCATGAATCACTGTACTGTGCTCTCTGTTCAAAGTCTGAAGTCTGTTTTTTTTTTTTTTTAAATATTTGTTCTTTAGTTTTATTGTTGTGTATGGTGGGAAGGTAAAATATATGCCAATTGCTCCATCTTTGCCAGAGTGAAAATCCACATTCCAGTCTTCTTATGCTTACTGTTTACATGGTATATCTTTTTTACCTCATCATTCAATTGTATCCTGTTTGTTTTCTTATATTTAATAAGTATCTCTAGTAATCAGTATATAATTGTGTCTCATATATTTTGACAATCCTTGTCTTTCAATTAGGGTGTTTATATCATTAGTAATTTAATTACTGATAAGTTTGGATTGTCATCCATAATTTACTATTTTATCTATTTGTACCATTTTCCTGCATTTCTCTGTTTCTCCTTCCCTTTCTTATTTTAGTTGATGTAAATATTTTTAGAGTTCCAAGCAACTTAACATTTGGCCTTTAGCTATACCATTTTACCTTTTTATTTTATATTGATTGCTCTTTCATTCTTATTTTGTTCACCAATCTAGTAATTTGTATGCAAATTTTTACATTTTACCTTTTTATTTTATATTGATTGCTCTTTCATTCTTATTTTGTTCACCAATCTAGTAGTTTGTATGCAAATTTTTACAGCTTTCTTCTCAAATACACAAGCATTATTGTAAAGACGCAAGAATTGTAAAAACTCAGGGAAATACAACAACACCAAAAGACACCAACAAAGCTTCAGCAATGGACCAAGAAAGATTGAAGACCTATAAAATATCTGACAGATAATTATTTTAAAAAGTACAACAATTGTCTTTTTTTCCAACTTAACAGGTTTTTAAAAAATGTTTAAGTTCAGGGGTACAAATGTAGGTTTGTTACACAGGTAAACTTGCGCCATGGGGGTTTGTTGTAGAGATTATTTCATTGCCCCAGGTATTAAGCCTAGTACCCATTAGTTGTTTTTCCTGATTCTCTCCCTCCTCCACCCTCCAAAAGGCCCCAGTGTGTGCTGTTCCCCTCTATGTGTCTATGTCTTCTCATCATTTAGCTCCCACTTATAGGTCAGCACATGCAGAATTTGGTTGTATATTCCCATGTTAGTTTGCTAGGGATACTGGCCTCTAGCTGCACTCATGACCCTGCAAAGGACATGATCTTATTCTTTTTTATGGCTGCATGGTATCCCATAGTGTATATGTATCACATTTTCTTTATCCAGTCTATCACTAATGGGCATTTAGGATGATTCCATGTCTTTGCTATTGTATATAGTGCTGCAATGAACATATGCATGCATGTGTCTTTATAATACAATGATCTATATTCCTTTGGGCATATACCCAGTAATGGGATTGTTGGGTCAAATGGTATTTCTGTATTTAGGTCACTGAGGAATTACCACACTGTCTTCCACAATGGCTGATCATTAATTAATGTTTTATTAAAGTTGAAGAGATTTAATAAGTAGTATAATGTTTGGCCTTGAATAATTAAATTAGTAGATAGTATTTAACATTGCATTGACTAATTTAATGATTCAAATTTTCTTTTTAAATCCTTCAAGTACTAAACAGATCTAACATATGATCCTTACAAGAATATATTACCTAAACATTTATGCAAGCCTTTTAAATAAACTAAACAGCACACTAAAGTCTAAATATTCTAATATTATTTACAAAATTATTCACATTTTCTTACCTTCTTTAATATCAAATAAGAAAACCATTTTCCTATTTTACAGGAATTACAAGTCTAATATCTCAGTGGACTAATGTGCCAGATGTGTTTAATTTTGCCTCATTATGCACAAATACACACATACTATCCTGACTCTTACATGGAAATAATTATATTATAAATTTTATATACCTTTCTACAATTATATTTACATTTTTATCTTCCCAAGGTTGTAATGTTACTAACCCAACTATAAAGTTAGTTTTATCATTTAATTGGAAGGAAGATGGAGTTAAAGATCTGCACTGGTATATAAAAGTTTATGGGAACATATATGCCAGGACACAGAATGTGGAGGTCACATGTTTTCAAGATAACACATAATAAGAGATGGACATAGTAAGTCTTTTATTTTCTTTGATTTCATGTAAATGGGTAAACGCTAACTCATTTTTTATCAACTGGGGTAAGTTTTACAATGTTTCCTGATGGCCATTTAAAGTTGCAAAGTTTTATTGGATTCAACTGATTTCTTTATGTTTTATTGAAATTTAACAGCACCATATTTTATGTATTATTTTAAATAGCATTCCATTTTAATTTCAGTTTTATTCTATATTCTCATAGCTGCATGACTTGAGTAATTAATTACTGCCAATCTAATTTTCTTTATATGCAAAAGAAATATGGCCACATAGAAGTTCAGAAGACTGCTTTGAACGTTAAGTAATGTAGAACATGTAGACTGTTCAGTCCAGTGGCTGACAGTTATTAAAATTTTACTAGAGATGTTAGCAAGATGGTGGAATTGAAGATCCTCCAGCATCACTCCCTTTACAAGAATACAACTAGAAACAATTCAGAGACAAGAATACCAGTCTGAATATACCAGAATTCCAGGGGGCCCGTGGCCCACAGAATTAAAAGAAGCCATGGCCAGTAAGGGAAATGTTCATTTCAGACTGCGTGATCCCTTCCCCAAGGTGGCATTATACCACTTACAGAAAAGTTCCCAGGACCCACAGTTGCCAAAATGAGATGAGGGAAATAGTGGTTGACATTTGATTTCCGAAGTGGCTTGGGAATCTTCACTGGAAGCCCACTCTGGTTCTGTCCCATGGGAATCATTGGGAGTACCAGAAGAGCTGAAACATCTGGGATAAATTGAGAACAAAGAGAGGGGCACTGATCACAGCCAATGGTGTATGGATCTTGGTGGATACTCAGTGCTCTGAACCATGAGGACACCATGTTAAAGAGCCCTGCTGGTGCCACAGTGTCAGAGAGAGCACCATCTGTGAAAAGGCTTGAATTCCTAGTTGGATTTTCCACAAAATTCAGGTGCTTATGTAGAGTCTTCACCTGGCCTCAAAACAACGACAAGGTTGGGATTAAGTTCTGTGGCCTGCTTAGGTCTTTCTCATACTGGGAAACAATGACAGGGAAATGTGTTAGTTCTATTTCAGTGTTTTAGTTACTGTGCTCATTGTAAGTCCACCCAAAAATGAGAAGAAACAACTGGGTCAGTGTTTAAATTTCAATACTAAGAAGTAAATGCCTAGCACTATCAATGGACACCTGCAAAACCTGGAAGAGGTGGCTTTCTTCTCAAATATACAATCATCATTGTAAAGACACAAAGATTGTGAAAACTCAGGGAAGTAATGACACCACCAAAAGACATCAACAAAGCTTCAGCAATAGACCAGGAATAATTGAAGATCTATAAAATGGCTTACACATAATTCAAAATAATCCTCCAAACAAAGGGTAAGGAATCATAAAAAAATATGAATAGAAAACTAAATGAAAACAATCCAGGAAAAAAATAAGAAATTTTACAAAGAAATAAAAACAATTAAAAAAAAGAAATCCTAGAAATAAAGAATAAAATAATTGAACTTTAAAGTTCATTAGAAAGCTTTAACAACAGACTTGACAGAAGAATTTATGAACTTGATGGCAGAACACATGAAATTACCCAATCACAAGAGCAAAAAAGGAAAACAAAACAAGTGAAGAAGGCATATTAGACTTATGGCACACAATCATAAAAACTAGCCTCTGCGTAATTGAAATCCCCCCAGAAGATGAGAAAAAAAAGGTTTAGAGAGCATATGTAAAGGAATAATGGCCGAGAATTTTCCAAATATGGAGAAATATGACAATATCCAGTTACAGGAAGCAGAGAGATTATCCATTAAATTTAACCCCAAACAGAATTCCCTAAAGCATATTATAATAAACTGAGCAATAATCAAAGACGAATAATGCTCAAAGTAACAAGAGGAAAGGCACATATCACATTCAACACAGTCACAGTACAGCTTTCAGTGAATTTCTGAGTACAAACCATGCTGGCCGAGAGAGTGGCATGCTATATTCAAAGTGCTAAAGAAAAAAAGAGAAAACCTTCCATCTAAGAATATCGTACCCAGCATAGCAATCTTTCAGAAATGAAGGAGACATAAAGACTTTTCCACAACAAACAGAAGCTGAGAACATTCACCAATGCCAGACCAATCTTCAAAAATGTGTTAAAAGGAGTTATTTAATGTGAAATAAGGGACACTAATGTGTTACAGGAAAACATCTTAAGGTATGAAACTAACCGGTCAAATTTAGAAAAGAGAAAAATTCACAATAATCTAATACTATAATTGTGATAAGTAAACCATTTGCAACTTAAGTATGAAGAGTAAAAGCCAAAACTATAAAAATAATAACTACTACA
The DNA here is from genome assembly GCF_000001405.40 of Homo sapiens. Lineage (NCBI taxonomy): Eukaryota > Metazoa > Chordata > Mammalia > Primates > Hominidae > Homo > Homo sapiens. The sequence goes on from NC_000001.11 coordinate 193,989,857, forward strand.
ATTGGTTAAGAGACAGGCAATATAGAAGATGTAAACTGGAATAGCAAAAAGCTGAAATATGGGGGGATGCTGTTGAAGTGTAGAATTTGTTTTTGATAGTTTTCTATCCTTTGTGATCAAAGTCAAGTCATTATTAGTTTAAAATAACATGTTATATCTATAAAATGTTTTTATAAGCCCCATGCTAAATCACAGCACAAAAACCTATAATAGAAACACTAAAACTAAACAGCATAGAATCAAAATACAATACTAGAGAAAATCACTTAATCACAAATGAAGGCTGTAAGAGAGAAAAAAGGGAAGAAAGGATGTACAAAACAATCCCTCAAAAGTAAAAAAAAAAAAAATGGCAGTAGTAAACCCTTCCCTTATAAAGTTTAATGTAACTGGATTTAATTTGCCCATTAAATGATATAATTAGCTAAATGAATTAAAAAAAAAAAAAGGCCAAACTATCATATATGTGGTCTACAAGGAACTCACTTCACCTATAAATTAACCCATAAACTAACAGTGAAGGGATGGTGATATGGTTTGTCTATGTCCCCACACAGATCTCATCTTAAATTCCCATGCGTTGTGGGAGGGACCCAGTGGGAGGTAATTAAATCATGGGGGCAGGTCTTTCCTATGCTGTTCTCATGATTGTGAATAAGTCTCATGGTTTTAAGTGGTTTTAAAAAGGGGAGTTTCCCTGAACAAGCTGATGTTTTTAAAAAGGGGAGTTTCCCTGAACAAGCTCTCTTCTCTTGTCTGCCACCATGTGAGATGTGCCTTTCACCCTCCGCCATGTTTGTGAGGCCTCCCTAGCCACAGGGAACTGTTAGTCCATTAAACCTCTTTCTTTTGTAAATTGCCTATCTTGGGTATGTCTTTATTAGCAGCATGAAAATGGGCTAATACAGATGGAAAAAAATATTGCATGCAAATGGTAATCGAAAAAGATAATTATACCAAATAGCATATGCTTTGAGTCAAGAATATTAAAAAAATGAAGGAGACCACTGCATAATGATAAAGGTGTCAAAACAACAAGATTTGTAATTGTAATTGTTGTAATCACAATTACAATTGTAATATATATGCACTGAATACCAGAGCATTAGGATATATAAAACAAATATTAATAGAGCTAAAGTGAGACATTGACTGAAGTTCATTAATAGAAGGGGACTTCAGCACCCTATTTTTTGCAGTGGACATACCATCCTGACAGAAAATTAACAAAGAAACATTAAACTGCATTCTTGGCTAAATGGACCTAACAGACATTTACAGAACATTTTATTCAACAGCTGCAGAATGCACATTTTTCTTAACAGCACATGAAACATTCTGTAGGATAGACCATATATTAGACCATAAACCAAGTCTTAACAAAGTTTAAAAATTTAAACTCATATCAAGCATGTTTTCTGAACACAAAAGAAAAAACTAGAAATCAGTAACAAAGGGAATGTTGCAAACTGTACAAATTTATAGAAATTAGTCAACATGCTCCTCAACAACAAATGCGTCAGTGAAGAAATTAAACCGAAAATTTTAAAATTTTATGAGACAAGTGAAAATAAAAACACCACATGTCAAAATCTATGAGATACGAGGAAAGCATTTCTAAGAGGAAAAATGTATAGCAATAAGCATTTGCATCCAGAAAGTAGAAAGAGCTGGGCATGGTGGCTCACACCTGTAATTCCAGCTGCTCAGCTGGTTGAGGTGGGAGGCCAGGCATTTGAGACAGCCTGAGCAATATAGTGAGACCTATCTCTCAAAAAACTTTTAAAATCCTTCAGGTGTGATGGCACAAGCCTATAGTCTCAACTACTTAGGAGGCTGAGATGGGTGAATCACTTAATCCCAGGAGTTCCAGGGTGGAATGAGCTATGATCATTCCACTGTAATCCAGCCTGAGTGAGAGAATGAGACTGTTTCTAATAAAAAAGTAGAAAGACATCAAATAAAGAATCTAATGATGCACCTCAAGGAACTAGATAAAAACAAAAACAAAATGCAAAATTAGTATTAAAAAAAGAAACAACAAAGGTCAGAGTAGAAACAAATAAAATTTACACCTTAAAAAACACAAATAAGATAGATCAATAAAATGAAAAGTTTGTTTTTCAATAAGATAAGCAAAATTGACAATCCTTTAACTAGACTAATAAAAAAAGAGAGAAGACCCAGTTAAATAAAATCAAAAATGAATGAGATACAATTTATATCACAGAATTATGAAACTTATTTAAGACTATTATAAGCAATTACATGCCAACAAATTGGAAAATCTCAAAGAAACGGATAAATTTCTGAACATGTACAACCTACCAAGACTAAACCATGAAGAAATAGAAAGCCTGAACACATCAATACAAGTAACAAGATTGAATCAGCAGTAAAAACTCTCCCATCAAAGAAAAGTCCAAGATCTGACAGCTTCACTGCTGACTTTTAGCAAACATGTAAAGAAGAAGTAATACCAATTTGACTCACACTATTCCAAAAAAATTGAGAAGGAGGGAATACTTCCAAAGTCACTTTGCAAGGCCAAAACTATTCTGATGCCAAAACTAGACAAGGACATAACAAAATAAAGAAAACTACCGACATTTATTTATTTATTTATTTATTTATTTATTTATTTATTTAGAGATAGATTTTCGCTCTGCCGCCCAGGCTGGAGTACAGTGGTGTGGCATGATCTTGGCTCACTACAACCTCCTCCTTCCAGGTTCACGTGATTCTCCTGCCTCAGCCTCCCGAGTAGCTGGGATTACAGGTGCATGCCACCACGCCCAGCTAATTTTTTAATTTTTAGTAGAGACAGGGTTTTGGCACGTTGGCCAGGCTGGTTTCGAACTCCTGATCTCAGGTGATCCACCCGGCTTGGCTTCCCAAAGTGCTGGGATTAAGGTGAGCCAATGCGGCTGGCCGACAGACCATCATTCCTGATGAACATAGATGCAATAATCATCAACAACATACTAACAAGCTGAATTTAACAACACTTTAAAATGATCCTTCACCATGATCAAGTGGGATTTATCTCAGGGATGAAAGTGTGGTTCAAAATATATATATCAATATACATAATATATCAAATAATTTGAATCAATAACAAAAATTATATGAAAATTTCAATAGATTCTGAAAGCAAGCATTTTGTAAAATTTAACATCCCTCTATAATAAAAGCTCTCAAAAAACCATGTATAGAAGAAACGTACCTCAAAACAGTAAAGGCCATATATAGCTTACCCACAGCTAATATACTGAATGGGAAGAAAATTGAAAGACTTTCATTTAAGTTTTGGAACAAAACAATAATGCCTACTACTGACACCACTTTATTCAACATAGTACTGGAATTTTTTATCAGACAATTTAGGTGAGAGAAATAAAGGGCATCCAAATAGGAATAAAAGAAATCATATTATCCTTGTTTGCAGATGATATACGCTTATATTTAAAAAATAACTAAAAACTCCATGAAAAAACTGTTAAAACTGATAAATGAATTTAGTAAAGTTGCAGGATACAAAATAAACATTAAAAATCAGTAAAGTTTCTATACTCCAACAGCAAAAATTCTGAAAAAAGAACAATACATTTACAATAGGTAAAAAAATACTCAGTAATAACCTTAAAGAAGTAAAAGATCTCTAGTGAAAACAATAAAAACACTGACAAAAATTGAAAAGGACACACACAAAAATGGAAAGAAATCCATGCTCATGGACTGGAATAATTGTTATTGTTAAAATGCCTGTACTACGCAAAGTGATCTACAGATTCAATGCACTCTCTATCTGAATGCCAATGACATTCTTCACAGAAATAGAAAAAAAAAATCTTAAAATTCATATAAAACCACAAAAGACCCTGAACAGCCTAAGCAATCCTGAGCAAAAAGAGCAAAGCGGGAATCATCACGCTACCTGACTTCAAAATCTACTATAAACTATAGTAGTCAGAACAGCATGATACTGGCATAAAAACAGACACATAGAACAATGGAATGAACAGAGAACAGAGAAATAAATCTGAACATACACAGCCAACCAGTTTTCAGCAAAGGCAACAAGAACATACCACAGGGAAAGGAGAGCATCTTCCGTAAATGATGAAAGGAGAGCATCTTCAATAAACGATGTCAGAAAACGAAATGTCCGTATGCAGAAGAATGAAACTACACCCCATCTCTTATCGCATACAAAGATCAACTCAAAATGGATTAAAGACGTAAATGCAACACCTGAAACTTTGAAAATCCTTCAACACATTGGTCTGGGTAAAGACTTCTTGGCTGAGACAACAAAACAAAAACAACAAAAACAAAAACAATGCAAAAAAGTAAAAGACAAGTGGAATTATGTCAAGCTAAAACCTTCTGCACAGCAAAGGAAATAATCAACAAAGTGAAGAGAGACAACATCTACAATGGGAGAAAATATCTGCAAACTATTCATCAGACAAAAGATTAATAACCAGAATATATAAGGCCCTCAATTCAATAGAAAAAATAATAATTTATCAGAAAAATGGATGAATGGTCTGAATATAATAGACATTTTTCAAAAGAAGACAATCACAGGGCTAATAAGAGGTATACAAAAATGCTCAATATCACTAATCATAAGATAAATTAAAATCAAAACTACAATGAAATATCATCTCAATCCAGTTAAAAATGGTTATTACCAAAAAGTCAAAAATTACAGATGCTAGTAAGGATGAGGAGAAAGGGCAATGCTGGTACACTGTTGGTGGGAATGTAAATTATTACAGCCACTATGGAAAATAGCATGAGATTCCTCAAAACACTAACAATAAATTTTCCATATTACCCAGCAGTCCCACCACTGAGTATATAGCCAAAAGAAAGAAAAAGCAATATATGCAAGACATATGAAGAGTCCTATGTTTATTGCAGCATTTTTCACAATACCCAAGAATTATAATCAACTTAAGTGTCCTTCAGTGGATAAATGGATAAAGAAAATGAGATATATATAATATATATGTACATAAAATGTACATAATTCAGCCACAAAAAGAATAAAATATGGTCATTTGAGGCAACATGAATGGAACTGGATGACATTATATTAAGAGAAATAAGCCAGGCACAAAAAGACAAATATTACATGTTCTCATTCATATAAAATCTAAAACAGTTGATCTCGTGGAGGTAAAGAGGTAGAGAGTAGAATGATAGCTACCAGAGGCTGGGAAGCATAGGGGCATGAAAATAGAACTGAGAGTTTTGTTTAAGCAGTTAGATTAAAAAGAACAAGTTCTAGTGTTCGATAGCACAATAGGGCAACTATAGTTAACAATAATTTATTGTATATTTCACAATAGTGAGAAAAGAAGATTTGGGATGCTCTCAACCCAAAGAAATGATGAATGTTTGAGATAATTGTTATAACAGTTACCCTAATTAGATTATTATGCATTGTATGTATGTTTTAAAATATCACAGTCACCCCATATATATGTGCAATTTTTACATGTCAATGAAAGTTTAGTGAAAATTGTTATTACAAAAATGCCACTACTTCATATTAAGTCATGGACCTTGAATTTTCTTTTCTAATGAAGGGACTAGATTTATGATGGTATGTTCACACATTTTCCTTCAAGTCTTACTGAGATCAAGGACATATTTTTCATGAATTTACTTGTTATATTGAACCATTTCTTGGATAGATTGTCCTGATATTATCTGGAAACACCCTGTTGCATATGTGTTTTGGTACATTTATTCACTGAATCTCTGTTATAGGTCTGCATTTGTCTTTTCTGTTTACCACTAGAAGTTGCTTTTTCACAGGTAAGGCTAAAATGACCATACGTGCTTCTTTGATTTCACCTTCTGAAATAATTTAACCATCACTAATATAGCATCATTAATTATAGCAGTAAAGGGGTGTAATGCGAAGTACAGTATTTATTCAGTAGAACTAAAAGAAAACTCAGACTGAATTAGTGAAATGACAGTGGCTATTTGTAGCATAAGTTACATTTATAGGATGCTCCGAATTACAAATAGTAGCTGTTTAAAATCATATTTATCTTTCAGTTTTTCTTATTCTGCTAACTTTAGGTAAATAAAATACTTGTTTAATTTTTGATTCAAAATAACAGTTGATTCCTCTTGTTAGAATTAGCTTCTCATTTATTAGAAACTTTGGCAATTTTCAACAGCATTACACAATCGGTCCGTAGATACATGTATGAGATGCCAAATATTTAATTTGTTAAAGCTCACAGAATCATGGAAGTTTTATAACTGGACAGGGCATTTGACACCAAAGCCAAACTCTTCATTTTTTATAAGGGCTAAAGGAGATAACCTGTCCAAACTAGCTAATAATGAAAATTCTACTACAGAGAAGTGTGCATTAATTTAAAAGCTTTTCCAGCATAGTCTGTTATTAATTCTGTAGAAAACAGCAGGGTAGAATACCTGTAAAAGTTTTAACAACTTTTTTTTTAATCGCCATACTTTCTTAAAATAAAATTAATATTTAATTAACAAACTTTAGCAGTTCAGAATATCAATGAAACTTTATATTTAAATAATTCAGTTTTCATTTCTTAGCATTTTAGGCTTCATTGAAGCATAGCAGTGAAAGGATTTTCTATATTTATGGTGTGTGCTTTTCTGTCTCCAGGTTGCATTTGCTTCTGCTCTGAATTTCCACATTTTTGTTTGTCTTAAAGCTATTCTTGTAATACTTATTTAACATATTGAACCTAATAATAGAGGCATGTGGATCTATACTTGAGTAAAGACAATGGAATGGAGCTCATAGCTGAAATTTTATTCCAATCATTTTACAAATAAAGTAGTAAAACTTCCAAGTAAATATAAAAGTTGGCAAACATACCTATATAAAACATGCACTTGTTATCTATCATGCCATGATATGCTTTCTTTTATAATTAAAATTTTAATTAACTATCATGTATTATAAAAATACAGATAAAAATAATGATATGGAAGCCCCTTTTCTAGTTATTTGACACTGTTATTTTGATATTCATGTACCCTTTATTATTAATTTTGAATACTTACCAATTTACAATGCTATCTGAACTTGGAGAGATATTTTTATAAGTCCAACTAATTTTGGCTAAGTGTATACTATATTTTTTCAAGGATTCCTAATCAATTTTTGTTTTAAAAAGGCATCAACTGATGATTTAGTCTCTAGGATGTATCATGCTGAGGTGGAGAATGTACTACTGGAGTAGTGTTTCTACTCAAACAGAATCATTTATTCACAAAGACTCATTATTACAAGTAATCGAAGGCAACAGTGCCTTAATTGTTTTGAAAATACAGTTTCTTTCTCCTAAAAATGTGATTTCCATAACTGTTTTAAGGAATATGTTTTCACAATCTCACAGACATTTTCAAGTCTGATCAAATAGACTACTAAATCTGTCCATTTCCAGTCATTGATGGATGGTGTGTGTGTGTGTGTGTGTGTGTGTGTGTGTTAGAGTAAAGGGTTGTACACAATGAGGAGAGAGAATTTTTTTTACAACTCTATTATTTTCCTAAATTTAGTTTTCTACACTTTTTACCTTTTAAGCTATTGTATTTGATTACTTTAAATTTAGATTCTTAAAATAAATTCAGGTTATCAATTTATAAATACAAGAATTATGCAGAATTGTCCTTAATTTTATATATTGCCTCTTTTCTACTTGTAATTTTACTTATTCCTAATTATACCTATTTGTATATTTTCTTGAATATATTTTTCAGAAGTTTATTTTGTCCTTAATCTTGAAAATATATGCCTTAGTTAAAAGAAGATACAGTGTGAATGGTGATAAAAAATATTGTTTCATATAATTTTGTGATTTGACATCTGAAACTATTAAATGTAAAATTTCCTTTGGGTTATAACTGTAACTATTTCAAATATTATTGTATGCTGAGTTCTTTCTTTTCTTTGAAGGAATTCCATAATATTTGATACACTTACATAGGTTGTTTACTGGGTTTTTTGTTTGTTTGTTTGTTTGTTTTGAGACGGAGTCTCACTCTGTCGCCCAGGCTGGAATGCAGTGGCGCAATCTCGGCTAACTGCAACCTCCGATTCCCAGGTTCATGCCATTCTCCTGCCTCAGCCTCCCAAGTAGCTGGGACTACAGGCACCCGCCACCATGCCCGGCTAATTTTTTGTATTTTTAGTAGAGATGGGATTTCACCGTGTTAGCCAGGATGATCTCGATCTCCTGACCTTTTGATCCACCTGCCCCGGCCTCCCAAAGTGGTGGGATTACAGGCATGAGCCACCACGCCCGGCCTGTTTACTGAGTTTTTTACTTTTCCCATCAGTGAACAAAGCAGCTGTTTCTGGTATATAAAATCACAACACAGCAGTTTGGGACAGCAAAGGAAATCTACTATAGTTAAACGAAACCACATAGGGGTTTAGGTAGACTGAATGTCATTACCCAAGGTGGAATATTCCCAGCCTGGCAACACTAATGTCTATAATCCTGAAAATTCTCTGTGATCTGGAATGGATTCAATTGGTTGTCTCTAGTTTGCCCTCTTTAAACTTGCTTATTCGGTTCTAAGGTGCGATATTATGATGTTAAAAATTATTCAGAATAAAAATACTTTTTGTTTTCACAAAGTATTTGCTACAAAAATCCAAAGCAAATAATGGAGGCATAAGATATCATTTTTCAATTTCTAAAGCAATTTTTCAGGAGAAAATATAACTTGGTGGTTTGAGTCATATTTACCATAAGCTAATAGGACTTTTAGAATACATAAATTAATTTTTAATTTTTTTTTGAGGCAGAGTCTTACTCTGTCACCCAGGCTGGGGTGCAGTGGCGTGATCTTGGCTCATTGCAACCTCCGCCTCCCGCTTTCAAGCAATTCTCCTGCCTCAGCCTCACGAGTAGCTAGGATTACAGGCACCTGCCACCAAAGTCGGCTAATTTTTGTATTTTTAGTAGAGACAGTATTTCACCATGTTGGCCAGGCCGGTCTGGAACTCCTAACCTCGTGATCCCTCCTCGGCCTCCCAAAGTACTGGAATTACAGGTGTGAGCCACTGCACCTGGCCTATATGAATTAATGTTTTTAAGTGTATGAATACTTTCAAATATTTTTCAGAGGGGTAATTAAAATGATATTGATGCTCTTAGAGTACAAACACTGTGATTCAGTAGAAGTTAGAGTGCCATGGCACTTTCTTCCTACACAGCTCATGATAGCAATTCGATATGCAGTTATTTTATTTTGGAATGGAAAAGGCTGCCAACTTAAAAGACAATCTCGTTTCAATGTTGGAGAATTAAGTATGCTGGGGGCTCTTATTACAGTGATAGCTAGAAAATATTAACGTTACAATTTTGATAAAATGTCATAAATAGGCTACTCTTGATCCAATTTTAACAGATACGTCTAAGATACAGAGTACCATTTTCCTCTTATTGACAAGGAGAACCGAGCAACCTCTCAATAGGCAAGCGTAGTCTTACATGTTTATAACTCATATTCTAATGAGAAAAGATGAATTATAGCAGAAGTAAGAGTGAGGTTACACAACAAGGACACTATGACTAAATTTCCCTTTTATTCAGGAAATTCTGAGTTGTTGTGTACCCTTGAAGTTTTTATTTGTCCCCTGTTCTTTCTAGGTTCAATTCTTGTTCTAGTTAGCTAGTCTGCTTTATTCTTTCTGCTCTCAAGTCTTTGCAAAGGGAATAATAGCAGTTGTGATATAATGCAGAGGATTTCAGACTCTCATTCAAGCAAGAGAAACGCTTTTTCTCCCCTAAACAAAGCTTATTTAAAATGCGATGTAAACCATAGTGAAATAAGAACCCAAGTCATCCTCTGCTTAGCCTTCCATTTCTCCTTTCCATAGCCTTTTATGAACCCTGAAAAGGGAATCAATTGTCCCTAGTAATCAAGAAAACACTGTATTTTGGTTTATTTTAAAGCAGAATCCTTTCCTGCAGCTAATTGCACTATTTAAATATACTTTTGAAAAAATTTATTCATCAACCTTTATCTATTCACATAGATGATGCGTTGGGTGAGGGTCATACATTTTGTGTTAAATAAAGTGTGGCACTATAGCTAAACAAGTATGACACATTTTATGGGGAATTTATTTATACCATACCAACTGGCTATTTGGAAATGTCTGCCTTTGAGTGACTATGAACAGAGAATTGAAATGCCATTTTAGTCTGCAGCTTCACCTTTACCATTAGGGATCTCTAGTTATGACAAATAGAAGGACCTTGCTAGGTCAGATTGATTGACAGTTGGAGACATCACTACTTAAAACCGTGTCATCCATATATTCCTCTCTAATGCATAGTACGATGATAACGCACTTAAAACCATCCTATTTCATGTAACTGCTGGAAGTGAGCTTCAATACGCATTTCTACTTTACATGATTTAAACGAATTGTATATACCATCAATAAAGAGCATATTTTAATTTTTAGACAGTGAAACATTGCTATGATAACATATTGTCGAAATAAATTTGCAGTAAAAAATCAAAATCAGAATTAATAATATTGTATCAAGGATTCAAACTCTAAAATGACATTTTCATTTAGAGTTGAGATGGAATCTTGGGGTTTGGTATTATCTCATGCATGTGTTCTATTCAGTAGTATGGAATAGGTAGACAAATTTAATAAAGCAATGACCCTAGAATCGAATCCTTTGATGAATGACATTTGAGATTTATTACCTATTCCCTCTTCTTTTTGATCCACATTCACTTCTGCCATTTTTAAAGTGATGTCCCCATTTATAGAGCAAATAGAACAGATTTGATTTGGCCTTTTTCTATGCTAAGTGATTTTATATCAACTGATGAAATGTCATTAATCATCAGAGAAATGCAAATCAAAACAACAATGAAGTACCATCTTACACCTGTCAGATGGCTATTATTAAAAAGTTTTTTAAAAAAACGATGCTGGGCCGTGTGCGGTGGCTCACGCTTGTAATCCCAGCACTTTGGGAGGCCGAGGCGGGCCGATCACGAGGTCAGGAGATCGAAACCATTTTAGCTAACACGGTGAAACCCCGTCTCTACTAAAAATACAAAACATTAGCCGAGCGTGGTGGCAGGCGCCTGTAGTCCCAGCTATTCGGGAGGCTGAGGCAGGAGAAGGGCGTGAACCCAGGAGGTGGAGGTTGCAGTGAGCCGAGATCACGCCACTGCACTCCAGCCTGGGCGACAGAGCAAGACTCCCTCTCAGAAAAAGAAAAAGAAAAAAAAAAATCAGATGCTGGTGAGGCTGTGGAGAAGAGAATGCCTATATACTCTTGATGGGAATGCAAATTAGTTAAGTCACTGTGGAAAGCAGTTTCAAGATTTCTCAAAGAACTAAGAGTTGAACTACCATTTGTCTCAGCAATTCCATGACTGGATATATACCCGAAAGAAAACAAATAATTCTACCTAAAAGACATATGCATTTGTGTGTTTCTTACAGCACTAGTCACAATAGCAAAGACATGAAATCAAGATACCTAGGTACCCAACAGCAGTGGACTGGATAAAGAAAATATGATACATATACACCATGGAATAGTATGCAGGCATAAAAAGGGACAAATCATGTCCTTTGCAGCAACATGGATGCAGCTGAAGGCCATTATCCTAACCAAATTAATGCAGAAACAGAAAACGAAATATCACATGTTTTAACTTATAAATGGGAGCTAAACATTGGACATGAAGGTGGCAACATTAGAAACTGGGGACTACTAGTGGTGGGATTGGGAGGTGACAGCGTGCCTGCAATCCTCACAGCCCTCACTCGCTCTGGGTGCCTCCTCTGCCTGGGCTCCCAATTTGGCGGCGCTTGAGGAGCCCTTCAGCCCACCGCTGCACTGTGGGAGCCCCTTTCTGGGCTGGCCAAGGCCAGAGCCGGCGCCCTCAGCTTGCAGGGAGGTGTGGAGGGAGAGGCACGAGCGGGAACCGGGGCTGAGCGCCGCGCTTGCAGGCCTGCTGGAGTTCCCGGTGGGCGTGGGCTTGGCGGGCCCTGCACTTGGAGCAGCCGGCCGGCCCTGCCGGCCCCGGGCAACGAGGGGCTTAGCACCCAGGCCAGCGGCTGTGGAGGGTGTACTGGGTCCCCCAGCAGTGCCAGCCCACCAGCGCTGCGCTCGATTTCTCACCGGGCCTTAGCTGCCTTCCAGCGGGGCAGGGCTCAGGACCTGCAGTCCGCCATGCCTGAGCCTCCCACCCCTTCTGTGGGCTCCTGTGTGGCTGAGCCTCGCCGATGAGCGCCACCCCCTGCTCCATGGCGCCCAGTCCCATTGACCACCCAAGGGCTGAAGAGTGCGGGTGCAGGGCGCAGGACCCAGGCAGCTCCACCTGCAGCCCTGGTGCGGGATCCACTAGGTGAAGCCAGCTGGGCTCCTGAGTCTGGTGGGGACCTGGAGAACCTTTATGTCTAGCTCAGGGATTGTAAATACGCCAATCAGCACCCTGTGTCTAGCTCAGGGTTTGTGAATGCACCAATGGACACTCTGTATCTAGCTACTCTGGTGGGGACTTGGAGAACCTTTGTGTCCACACTGTGTATCTAGCTAATCTGGTGGGGACGTGGAGAACCTTTGTGTCTAGCTCAGGGACTGTAAACGCACCAATCAGCGCCCTGTCAAAACAGACCATTAGGCTCTACCAATCAGCAGGATGTGGGTGGGGCCAGATAAGAGAATAAAAGCAGGCTGCCGGAGCTAGCAGTGGCAACCCACTCCGGTCCCCTTCCACACTGTGGAAGCTTTGTTCTTTTGCTCTTTGCAATAAATCTTGCTACTGCTCACTCTTTGGGTCCACACTGCCTTTATGAGCTGTAACACTCACTGTGAAGGTCTGCAGCTTCACTCCTGAAGCCAGCGAGACCATGAGCCCACCGGGAGGAAGGAACAACTCAAGACACGCCGCCTTAAGAGCTGTAACACTCACGGTGAAGGTCTGCAGCTTCACTCCTGAGCCAGCAAGACCACGAACCCACCAGAAGGAAGAAACTCCAAACACATCCGAACATCAGAAGGAACAAACTCCAGAAGCGCCAACTTAAGAGCTGTATCACTCACTGCAAGGGTCTGCGGCTTCATTCTTGAAGTCAGTGAGACAAAGAACCCACCAGTACCGGACACAGGATTAGAGGCAAGAACTGAAAAACCAATTACTGGGTCCTATACTCAGTACCAAGGTGACAGAATCATTGTTACCTCAAACCTCAGCATCGCACAATAGAGCCAGGTAATAAGCCTGTACATGTGCCCCCTGAATTTAAAATAAAAGTTAAAAAAAGAAAGGAAAAGAAAAATTGTCTTCTTCCCTTGCATGTAGAGAAAAAACTCATGTCTGCCTTACATTTACAGAAGATTGTAAACCCCTAGTGGAAATGAAACCTTCTGTGTATTAATCATCTCAAATATCTAATAAAATGACACATATATAAACAAAAAAGAGAGATGAGTTTCTGACAATTTATTCTTAGCTTGAGTGGTTTCATTAGTTACATATCCAACACTGGAAAGAGGATAAGATATCTGGGAGAACAACATGATAATTGTTTTAAAAACTCATCTCAATATTTGGACCAATGGAAAACATGTCATCAGCTTCATTGACACTAACCAGATTCTTATAATAATGATCTAAACTATAGTGTACTGCTTTCTCTAGTCTGCTAATTTTAATTGAAATGGAAATTCTGTGTTAGTATACTCATTTTTTTTACATTAGATTTTGATTTGTGTGTGTTCTAATTTTTTTTTTTTTACTCTATGAGGAGAAATGTGTGTGTATTTGGACATGCTATGGTTTACACACACTCCTTCAAATAAATAGTTGGAAGTTTGGAAAATTTCCATGCAACACTAAATCCATTATTGGTTGGTATTTGTAGTACTCATGTTTTATGAAAATAACTTTGACTTACATTAACATGTTTGATATGTACTTCGTGCAGAATATATTTATCTTTCTTAAATTTGAATTACATTTAGTTACACAATATCATCAGAAATTTAGGTAAGCTTATTATTTTAAACATTTTAATGCAGAATATTTGTTGTTTTCTTATAATTTAAGTTTCAAAAGAAAGGTATAAAGAATACAGAGACATTCTTATTTTTATTTATCTTTTACATGAAGGAGATTTCTTGGAGTTTTCTCTTTGTTTATGAAGTTGCAAAGTTTTGATTTTTAAAAAATTTATCAAGATCTATCTGATGGATGTTACATTTGGGAGATTGGAAATACAAGTGTCTGTTTAGTCTTTTTGATTGGTTTGTTTTTTGCTTTACCATTCAATAAATTGAGAACTCACCACGTTTCAAGGGACTAATTTTGTCCAAATAAATGTATTGAATCTGCTGCTAGAGAGACCAGCGGATGTGAACACTTCATTGAGCCTGTGGGGAACAGCTCCCTGCTGAGCCTTTATAGAAGAACAACTGTTTAAAGAAGAATGGAAAGTAGAACAGACACAAAGTTAAAAGACAAATGTGCAGACTCCTGCTTTTAATGGTATTCAAGGGTTTAGCAAGCCATTAACTTTAGTGCTGTGGAATTGCTGAAAGTAAGATTTAAAAATAAAAACTTGTGGTTATCTAGGGACTAAGTTACTGAGGGATCCAGAAAGACAGTTTGCTATTGGAGGGGACCTCCAAGCATGGAAGGTCAGAGTCAAGTGAAAAGAAATATGGAAATGGTAATTTATTCCCCTTCTAAAACTAGTGGCTATTGCCAACAGTGAGGATAAGTAGGTTGGTAAATCATTGGTGTTTAAATATTCAAGAAGACACATTGTCCATATTTATAGCCGTCTCAAATTTTCTTTTATTTAATAAAGAAGATTGTTTTCACAGAAATAAACTATCAGCAGTTATTAAGGATGAAAAGTTGTGAACATTATTGGAGATTTGATTATCAATCACTGGGGAAAATACCCCATGAAATACCATATATTATGCTGCAAAGTACCTATTTCTGGTACACTCCACATCCTGAAGAATGACTAAGCTTGGTATCTAATTCATCAGTACCTCCTATGGCTTATTTTATCTTTCATTCTCCATCTCTCCCTTGTAAATTTTCAAACAGCATACAGAGCCAGAAATCTTGTTCTTTTGAAGTTGAGACATCTAATTCTAATACTAGGGTTGCCATCAAATTTTCTACTTATCAGGTATGCCCTTAGTATTTTTAATTTCTAAAACATGGAAAGAGATCTGATTTTCCTTTAATAAAAATTAAATTTAAATCTGCTATTCATAAAGTACAGGAAGAAATTATATCTAGGTTTGATTAATTAGCGATGAAGATGATTTGTTATAAATCTTTGCCTGTAATTCTTCATGTAAAAAAATTGACCTGAAGCCAAGTTATCAGCAAGAATTCAATGCTCTTTACTGTTGTACTTATTTGAAGCTAAGTCTTGGATTGAAGCCACCGATGAAAAAGCTGTTGTACATGGCTCATGATGGAAGGGCGTACCGCAGACAATAGGGACACTTGGATCCTATCATGAAGGTGAATGTGAAGTCACGGGACAGAAATGAAGAAAATGGACTTAATGCCTGCTAGGTGTCTGATATTTTCATAAACACTAACCCTCTTAATCCAAATTAAATGCCTCTCAAATACTAAGAAAACAATATCACATGTGACTCATAATAGCCTAAAATATGTATTCTAGAGTCAGACTGACTACTTCAGTTTGGATCTATTCTATCCTAGTAGTTATGTGAGGTTGAGCAAAATACTTATTTTTATGTGCCTATTTCCTCCTTTGTGAAATAGTAACTATAAGGTTTATTTGTGTTAAAGTAGTTAATACTTGTAGGGCTTTTAGAAGAATGCCAAACTAATAAGCGATAAGCAAGTGTTTGCTACTATTATAAATAGAGAATACAGATGTAATATCACAAAGCACTGCCTCATATCTTATAACTTTAAAAAGATGCTATCCAGTCATATTTTGCAAGCAAATGTAGCTAATGTAAGATTAATGAGAATCAATAAAATATTTATTTTGAGTAAAATGATATTTGTAAAATTATTTTCAGCATTACAAAATAACGTATTTGTGATTAACCTAATTATCAGTTGCAGCAAGGCATGATATTGATGAAACACCTAAACAACTGACTTTTCAATTGCATTCTTACTTTTCAATTGCATTCTTACATGGCATTCAGGTTGCTGCATGGTACGCTGAGTTTCAGGTTATTCAGATCCCTAAAAGCGAGAGAGAAATGGACAGCTTTGCCATATCATTGTTTTCCAGGTATTCTGGCTTTGTACAGATAAAACCCAGGAACTCATATTATTAAACATTTCTAAAGATTGAACGAATATCAATGGGCTAGAACATGAAGTTAAAAAAAAAACCTATATGAGAAAAGATTGTAGATGAATATCAGCAAGTCTTAAGGCAATAATGCTGCTTCCTTTAGACATTAACATAGAACGAGGAGTTAACCATGGAATAGGTACAAATTATAAAGCCATATTTATATATCCTGTGGAAGAGTCACCATTTTATAAGTAGTTTCAGTTCTGTAAGACATTGTGATGTATTCTACAATTAAATGTCTTTGAATACTAGTGAATATTTCTGTTTTGTTAAGCTACTCTCTTATATCATTCAAACATTTATTTTCACATGTCAGGTTTATATGTTTTTATTTGAAGGCAATTCTTATGTTTTGAGGCCTATGCATTATTTCTAAAATGGGTCAAGAATGACAACAACTACAATTAACTTGAAATAGCTTCTACTTTTGATGTTGAATAGCTGCTGACATGTGATTTCATAGATAGGCTTTATTTTAAATATGGGAATGTATGGCTTTGTAGTAGATGATAATGGAATCTTACATTTTATAAGCAACTTCTTTTACCGTTTATAGTGGAATAGTAAGTAGGCAAAGACTTGTAATTACATTTCTTCAGCAGATCCGATATTTAGCACATTTGAACATTTATAACTTGCTCCTTTAATTATTCTGTAATATTTTACAGATATAACTTAAGTTTTTAACTACATAAAAACATAATTATTTTAATAACAATAATGTATGAATTGATATTTTTCTTAGCTGTATAGTAGAATAAAAAAGAGATGGTTTAAAACCTTTAAAGGAAACTTATAATTAGATTTAATATTCTTTTACTTGTGCACAAGTAATTACATTCATTAAAGTTTTAATTTCAAGCAGTATTGCCTAGATAAGATTAAGTAAACATCTTCTTTTAATATCTGTTTGTATACTAAACATTATTTGCCTTTTACCCTTCATGCAATCTGCATTCAATTATAATTACTTTTTTACATTTAATGCTCACCCATATTGTAATAATGCTGCATGTACTACAAAATCATACGTAGAGTTGCTAGAAGATGTAAAATTTTTGTTTACATATAAAATAGGCTATACATTCATTTAAATTAATGGACTTTCAATTCGACAAGGACTGTGTCTTTCATAAAACATTTCAATTAACGTCCCTTGTGATAAAAAAGCTTCAGCTACCTTGAGGTAGCTGAACTAGATAAAAGTTTACATATAATTCACCAAATTCAATCAACATTTTTTGCTAATAAAAGATAATTCTTGATGTATAATTCCTTATATTCTACTTTAAAATTCCTAAAGTGGTTTCTTGTCCATGGAGTTGAGGCTTAGTGAAGAGCCCAAGCAAACATGATTCATGTTTATAAATGACATTGGCTCAATTTTTTAACATTTTAAATGTTCAACATTTATAAAGAAAGGAATTACATATTTTAAATCTTCTTCTGGAATCTTTATGTTGTCTCTGACGCTGACATCATTATTATATAGTCAGGCAGTCTTCAATCTCACATATATGTGAAGACAGAAGAACAATAAAACGTGATAAAAAGATATGATAAAAAGAGATTCAGAGAGGGGAAGGACCTCCAATAATATTAATAATGAATATTGGGTATCTCATGTAGTGATAATATAGGGGAAACACAATTAGAAAAACTAAAAGAGGAGACTAGAGGTTAAGTTCCCTGAAGCTGCTCAAGCAAATCAGTTCATACTAATTGAATTTTTTCATCCAATACTGATTTTACTTCTATTATCAAGTTGTAACTTCAGATCATCTTTAAAGCAGATATCTTCATTTTGCTACTTTTTAAAATGTGATAATTACAGTAATCATTGCAACAGTCTTAATCATGTGGCAGTCTAAATAAAATGTTAGAGTAATTTATCATATTTACCACATTTCTCTAGTTATCATATTACCATTATTTTGCTTTTATACTGTTAAATCTACAGAGTATGAGTAGTTTAAGTCAACTGACCTAAGAATTTAATCTTCTCTAATACAAGCAATTGTAGCTTTCAGTTGAGTAGTGTGTTTTTGTTGTCACTTTCACAGGATTTTGAATACAAAAATGGAAAAAGCCATTTGTAATATATCTGTAGTTGGGCCATTTTTAAATGAAAAAGATAAATATATTAGTCACAGATAATGTGATTATAACCCAGAAATTAATATAAATTTTCTTCCAGGTAGGAGGCAGTGATTATTTGTAAATAAAAGAGATGAGGAAATATGGTTTATCTCTGTGTCCCCACTCAAATATCATGTTGAATTGTAACCCTCAGGTGTTGAGGGAGGAACTTGGTGGAAAGTGATTGGATCATGCGGATGGTTCCCCTCTGCTGTTCTTGTGATAGTGAGTAAGTTCTCACTAGAGCTTATCGATTTATAAGTGTTTGGCAGTTCCTGCTTCACTCTTTTTCTCTCTCCTGCCACCTTGCGAAGAAGGTGCTGACTTCCCCTTTACCTTCTGCCATTATTATAAGTTTCCTGAGGCCTCCTCAGCTATGCAGAACTGTGAGTCAGTGAAACCTCTCTTATTTATAAATTACCCAGTCTCAGGTAGAATCTTTATAGCAGTGTGAAAACGGACTAATACAGGCAGAAAAAAAAAATTAGTCAGAACCTTAGAGAAGAGTTTGCTACGCATATAAAATACTTTATTATTTCCCTTTTTTTCTATTTAGTCTATAATGTTTGAACAGATAAATTCAAAATATTCAATGACCCAAACTTATAGCCACATGTATATTTTAGATATTGCAGAAAATCTTATAGATTTTAAAGAGCTGGATCTGATGGCCACAATTTGGTAATGCAGAGGAAGTTACAGAATACTACTACTGCCTGAGACATCATGTGACAGAACCTAGTGGGGAAAAATAAGTAAACAAAAATTGTCTTGCTACTTAAGCTCTTATGAAGGAGGGGAAGAACTTACAGAAGCCTGGGGTTTGAGTAGCAAAGAAAACTGACACCATCAAAATTCATTTGGCTACTGATATGGTTTGGCTGTTTCCCCACTCAAATCTTATCTTGGATTGTACTCCCATAATTCCCACATGTTGTGGGAGGGACCTGGTGGGAGATAATTTGAATCATGGGAGTGGTTTCCCCCATACTGTTCTCATGGTAGTGAATAAGTCTCATGAGATCTGATGGTTTTATCAGGGGTTTCCATTTTGCATCTTCCTCATTTTCTCTTGCTGCTGCCATATAAGAAGTGCCTTTCACCTCCCAGCATAATTCTGAGTCCTTCCCAGCCATGTGGAACTGTAAGTCTAGTTAAACCTCTTTTTCTTCCCAGCCTTGGTTATATCTTTATCAGCAGTGTGAAAATGGACTAACACAGTAAATTGGTACCAGTAGAGTGGGGCATTGCTGAAAAGATACCCAAAAATGTGAAAGCAACTTTGGGTAACAGGCAGAGGTTGGAATAGTTTGGAGGGCTCAGAAGAAGGCAGGAAAATGGGGGAAAGTTTGGAACTTCCTAGAGACTTGTTGAATGGCTTTGACCATAAGCCTGATAGCAATATGGACAATAAAGTCCAGGCTGAGGTGGTCTCAGATGGAGATGAAAACTTGTTGGGAACTGGAACAAAGGCAACTCTTGTTATGTTTTAGCAAAGAGACTGGTAGCATTTTGCCCCAGCCTAGAGATTTGTGGAACTTTGAACTTGAGAGAGATGATTTAGAGTATCTAGTGGAAGAAATTTCTAGGCAGCAAAGCATTCAAGAGATGAGTTGGGTGCTTTTGAAGGCATTCAGTTTTATAGGTGAAGCAGAGCATAAAAGTTCAGAAAATTTGCAGCCAGACAATGTGATAGAAAAGAAAAACACATTTTCTGAGGAAAAATTCAAGCCAGCTGAAGAAATTTGCATAAGTAATGAGGAGCCAAATGTTAATTCCCAAGACAACGGGGAAAATGTTTCCAGGGCATGTCAGAGGTCTCCACAGCAGCCCCTCCCATCACAGGCCTGGAGGCCTAGGAGGAAATGGTTTCAGGGGCTAGATCCAGGGTCCCCGTGTTGTGTGCGGCCTAGGGACTTGGTCCCCTGTGTCCCACCTGCTCCAGCCATGGCTGAAAGTGGCCAATGTAGAGCTCGGGTCATGGCTTCAGAGGGTGCAAGCCTCAAGCCTTGGTGGCTTCCACATGATGTTGAGCCTGCCAGTGCACAGAAGTCAAGAGCTGGGATTTGGGAACCTCCACCTAGATTTCAGAAGATGTATGGAAATGCCTGGATGCCCAGGCAGAAATTTGCTGCAGGGGTGGGCTGCTCATGGAGAACTTCTGCTTAGGGCATTGTGGAAGGGAAGTGTGAGGTTGGAGGCCCCACACAGAGTCCCTACTGAGGCACTGCCTAGTGGAGCTGTGAGAAGAGGGCCACTGTCCTCCAGATCCCAGAATGTTAGATCCACTGACAGCTTGCACTGTTTCCCTGGAAAAGCCACAGACACTCAATGCCAGCCTGTGAAAGCAGCTGAGAGAAAGGCTGTGCCTTTCAAAGCCACAGGGGCAGAGCTGCCCAAGACCATGGGAAACAACCTCCTGCATCAGTGTGACCTGGATGTGAGACCTGGAGTCAAAGGAAATCATTTTGGAGCTTTAAAATTTGACTGCCCCACTGGAATTTGGACTTTCATGGGCCCCTTTAACCCCTTTGTTTTGGCCAATTTCTCCCATTTTGAATAGCTATATTTACCAAATACCCGTACCCCCATTTTACCTAGGAAGTAACTAGCTTGTGTTTGATTTTATAGGCTCATGGAGGGAAGGGACTTGAGACTTTGGACTGTGGACTTTTGGGTTAATGCTGAAATGTGTTAGACTTTGGGGGACTGTTGGGAAGGCATGATTGGTTTTGAAATGTGAGGACATGAAATGTGGAGTGGCCAGGGCAGGAGTGATATGGTTTTGCTGTGTCCCCACCCAAATCTCATCTTGACTTGTACTCCCATAATTCCCACGTGTTGTGGGAGGAACCCAGTGGGAGATAATTTGAATCATGGGGGCAGTTTCCTCCATATTGTTCTCATGGTAGTGAATAAGTCTCATGAGATCTGATGGTTTTATCAGGGGTTTCTGCCTTTGCATCTTCCTCATTTTCTCTTGCCACCCCCTTGTAAGAAGTGCCTTTTACCTCCCAGCATAATTCTGAGGCCTCCCCAGCCATGTGGAACTGTAAGTCCAATTATTTATTTATTTATTTATTTTGAGATAGAGTCTCACTGTGTCACCCAGGCTGGAATGCAGTCTGGGTTCAAGTGGGTTCAAGTAGCTGGGACTACAAGCATGTGCCACCATGCCTGGTTAAGTTTTGTACCTTTAGTAGAGACGGGGTTTCACCTCTTTGGCCAGGCTGGTCTTGAACTCCTGATCTCAAGTGATCCGCCTTCCTCAGCCTCCCAAAATGCTGGGATTACAGATGTGGGCTGCCATGCCTGGCCTGTAAATCCAGTTAAACCTCTTTTTCTCCCCAGTCTTGGGTATGTGTTTATCAGCAGCGTGAAAATGGACTAATACACCTACTTAATATTTATTTTATTCTTTTATAATTAAATTATTTCCAGGGTGCCCTAAATATCATATTTTAACTAGGCAAGGGAAGAAGTTAAAATGCTCACTAACACAATTCTAGATAGTCAGTGTTAGAAGATATAAATATAGCTGGCACAGGTTTAAAACTTTGATTAGAATGTGGTGAAGAAGAGAATACTGTTTTAAAATAATGGGCTCTATTATGAAAAAAAGGATGAGTTAAATGCAACTAAAAGATGGCAGAGATGAATTTCATATTAAATACATAGTGTTCAGAGTGATAGAGCTTCGAGGTAAGTATATGTAGTAGGTTGTTGGAAAATGGAGCTCAGAAGAGCCATCAGTGTTATATCTGCTCATTGATCTCTAATGATTCTCTTTATCTATATAAGCATATACACATCTTCACATACGCAACCAACATAAGTGGCATATCTACAGGAAAATGTGGGAATATATGTACATGCACGTATAAATGTGGATATGTGTATGTTTCTTTGCAGCAATATGTCATATGAACAAGATAAAGGTGAAGCTGAAAAATTTGTGGTGATCCCTGAAGAAGAGATGTAGACTAAGACATGAATAAAACAGACTTGTAGCACATTCATATTTAAGGAGGGTAAGGGACAAATGAAGTAAGAGTGGAGGTGACTGATGATATACGAGGAAAGGTAATATATTGTAGTGGCCTCGTCCCATGGAAACCCAACGAAGAGAAATTTTCAAAAAAGCTAAATGTGCCAAATGCTGCATAGAGGCCAGGATGAATGAGGGAAGAAAAGCTTTTAGTTTTAGTAAGTGGGAGATCAATGGAGCCTTCATAGCAGCTGTTAGAATAGATTATTGAGAGTTGAATTACAGAGCATTAAGAAACAGGGACTGTGAGAAATGTGGGTAGCTGGTATGAATTACTAAATGTAAAAGTTTGCCAGTGAATGAAGAGACTGAATCAAGATGTCTTTAATTTTTTTCTCAATTTCTTATACTTAAAATATTTTGAGATTTATGTTTCAGAGAAAATACAGACCTAGAGTAGCCACCAATCTGAGAACGTCAAATAAATTGTAGAAAGTCATACAGAGAATTCTGGAGCTATATTCTAGCTTGACCTTGTCATGTAGTTATTTGTTAATGTGGGTGTAGAAAGTTCACAACCATCTCAAGGCTTGGAGTTCTCAAGCGTTAAATACGTCCCATTTTTACTGCGGAATTTTTATAGAAATGAATTCCATACATAAAGTTGAGCTTTAACATGAACTTCATTGATAACAAAGAAATATATTCTTCAGGTAGATTCTACAATTTTAGGAATTTGTGGTGAAAATAAGGAAATGAGGATATGAATAAAGGGGATATTCTTAAATTAGGGAGGGCACGACTGCATTATAGGCAATAAGAAAGATCCCTCAATGTGGAAACGATTATAGCTTTAAGACCTAGATTGAATTTTGGTTGATTGGCTGGACGTGGTGGCTCACACCTCTAATCCCAGCACTTTGGGAGTCCAAGACGGTCAGATCACTTGAGGCCAGGAGCTCCAGACCAGCCTGGGCAACTTGACAAAACCCTGTCTCTACTGAAAATTAAAAAAAAAAAAAAAAAGCTGATCGTGGTGACGTGCTTCTGTAATCCCAGCTACTCTGGAGGCTGAGGCTCAAGAATTGCTTGAACTCGGGAGGTGGAGGTTGTAGTGAGCCAAGATCACGCCACTGCACTCCAGCCTGGGCGACAGAGCGAGACTGTCCCCCAAAACAAAACAAAAACAAAAAATAATTTTAGTTGATTAATGCCATTGAGAAAGCAAGAAGGATGGGATTTATAGTATATGTTAAGAATTAGGACAACTTTCATTATATTAATTTATGTTATTTGTTTTGGAAAAATTGTATCTGGAAAATATAGCTGGTGACTAGACAACATCAGTGACTCAGACGTGGGATTGAGACAGGCATTCAGGGTGCTTAATCTTGGATTTCCAGTGTTACATGAATACAACGTTAAACTGTTGATTCAAAATTTTATCCAGGTCATGGCAGCCCTTTTGTTTTAATTCAACCCTAATGATTTAAACTGGCTGATCTATACAGTGACTGTTGTATAGATAGTATAGTTAATACTCTACTGTTTAGATAGTATTAAGACATGGTTAGAGTTGGATGGAATTACTAAAGAGAAAAATGAAATCAGGGATAATCTTTCCTTAGAAACAAGGATAAACGTGAATTATCTATTTGTTAAAAATTTTCAAAAGTGTATTTACTGAAAAGATACACTTATCAAAAGCTTCTAATAATTACTCACTTTCATATTAACAAAAGAGAGGCATAACTGATAATGATTTAGAGTGCAGACAATGTAGAAACTCCCTTTAATCATAAGCTTATGAATCACCTCCTACTCATCCAGCACAAAAAGTGCTAATAAGCAATAACGTGGATAGACTTAAATTTCAGTTGTGTCTGCCTTTTGGAGATATGAATCATAAAAGAGAAAGAAAACACTGAGGAAAAATTAAAGAAGTAATGTGGTGGCCAGTTATGAGTGTTCTCTTGGCTAATTATGACTTCATTGCTTTTTTAAAAAGAAATTATTATTTAATCATTCATTCAAACTCAGTCAATATTTGTTGGTTAATCACATATCCATTTCTAAATCTCTATATATGCCAATATGTCTAATATTTACTAAACCTATATCCACTAATGTTTACTGTTTATTTTATAGCATGAGTTTCTTTTTTTTCTCAACTGATTCTATTTTTCCCCTTATAAAGTTTTCCTCAGCTAAGGTTAAGCAGAGGTATTGCAACTGAGAGAAATACTTGACTTTTATAGTTATAGCAAACTGGCAAAGACCAATCCAGAGCATTGACTTTTACTTGGATGGGACCTATTTTACACGACCATAAACTGAAAACCAATTTTGTTAAGGATTTACATTGGATTTTGTTATCTCTTCGTGTAGTTTCTAATAGAGGTACATACTAATAAATTTACCTTTTCTTTTTATTCTGCTTATAATGTAGTTGTTCAAAATTTGCAAAGCCTATTAGTACTCATTTTAAAATTACAAGTATTACTGGAACCAGAAGAATAATGGGTTTTATCTTGGTTATCATATTTTCAACTAGTCACAAAAAAATCAGTTTTATTGACAATTGTCTTAACCGCATTATGTATCATTCACTTTTACATGCTTAAAATTTTTTAAATGTTACTCCTGCATATTGAGTACGAATATTTGAAATGAAGTCCTACTGCTCTTAGTATTAAATTTTGATAAAGAATGTATCAGGTATAGAAATAGGTTTTATGACACATCAATTAAAAGGAAATCTATTTTGAACTATATCCCCTTATCTGCATTATTAACAAAATTATTTGCAAGAGAATTAATGAATTCCCTAGGGGCAAAACTATGAATCGTAAAATGAACCACACTTCTTAAAATTTCTCACACTTACAACGTTGCCAAAATCATGGGATAGGTAGCTATTCATTGTAGTTTGTTAAATTCTAACTAAATTTCATTAGTCTCCTTGATGTTTCCATTTTCTTTTTTTTTTTTAATTTTATTATTATTAAACTTTAAGTTTTAGGGTACATGTGCACAATGTGCAGGTTAGTTACATATGTATACATGTGACATGCTGGTGTGCTGCACCCATTAATTCGTCATTTAGCTTTAGGTATATCTCCTAGTGCTATCTCTCCCCCCTTCCCCCACCCCACAACAGTCCCCAGAGTGTGATGTTCCCCTTCCTGTGTCCATGTGTTCTCATTGTTCAATTCCCATCTATGAGTGAGAAAATGCAGTGTTTGTTTTTTTGTCCTTGCAACAGTTTTCTGAGAATGATGATTTCCAGTTTCATCCATGACCCTACAAAGGACATGAACTCTTCATTTTTTATGGCTGCATAGTATTCCATGGTGTATATGTGCCACATTTTCTTAATCCAGTCTATCGTTGTTGGACATTTGGGTTGGTTCCAAGTCTTTGCTATTGTGAATAGTGCCGCAATAAACATACGTGTGCATGTGTCTTTATAGCAGCATGATTTATAATCCTTTGGGTATATACCCAGTAATGGGATGACTGGGTCAAATGGTATTTCTAGTTCTAGATCCCTGAGGAATCACCACACTGACTTCCACAATGGTTGAACTAGTTTACAGTCCCACCAACAGTGTAAAAGTGTTCCTATTTCTCCACATCCTCTCCAGCACCTGTTGTTTCCTGACTTTTTAATGATTGCCATTCTAACTGGTGTGAGATGGTATCTCATTGTGGTTTTGGTTTGCATTTCTCTGTTGGCCAGTGATGATGAGCATTTTTTCATGCGTTTTTTGGCTGCATAAATGTCTTCTTTTGAGAAGTGTCTGTTCATATCCTTCGCCCACTTTTTGATGGGGTTGTTTGTTTTTTTCTTGTAAATTTGTTTGAGTTCATTGTAGATTCTGGATATTAGCCCTTTGTCAGACGAGTAGGTTGTGAAAATTTTCTCCCATTTTGTAGGTTGCCTGTTCACTCTGATGGTAGTTTCTTTTGCTGTGCAGAAGCTCTTTAGTTTAATTAGAACCCATTTGTCAATTTTGGCTTTTGTTGCCATTCTTTTGGTGTTTTAGACATGAAGTCCTTGCCCGTGCCTATGTCCTGAATGGTATTGCCTAGGTTTTCTTCTAGGGTTTTTATGGTTTTAGGTCTAACGTTTAAGTCTTTAATCCATCTTGAATTAATTTTTGTATAAGGTGTAAGGAAGGGATCCAGTTTCAGCTTTCTACATATGGCTAGCCAGTTTTCCCAGCACCATTTATTAAATAGGGAATCCTTTCCCCATTGCTTGTTTTTGTCAGGTTTGTCAAACATCAGATGGTTGTAGATATGCGGCATTATTTCTGAGGGCCCTGTTCTGTTCCATTGATCTGTATCTCTGTTTTGGTACCAGTACCATGCTGTTTTGGTTACTGTAGTCTTGTAGTAGAGTTTGAAGTCAGGTAGTGTGATGCCTCCAGCTTTGTTCTTTTGGCTTAGGATTGACTTGGCGATGCAGGCTCTTTTTTGGTTCCATATGAACTTTAAAGTAGTTTTTCCAATTCTGTGAAAAAGTCATTGGTAGCTTGATGGGGATGGCAATGAATCTATAAATTATCTTGGGCAGTATGGCCATTTTCACGATATTGATTCTTCCTACCCATGAGCATGGAATGTTCTTCCATTTGTTTGTATCCTCTTTTATT
The DNA here is from genome assembly GCF_000001405.40 of Homo sapiens. Classification (NCBI taxonomy): domain Eukaryota; kingdom Metazoa; phylum Chordata; class Mammalia; order Primates; family Hominidae; genus Homo; species Homo sapiens. The sequence goes on from NC_000001.11 coordinate 194,017,044, forward strand.
TCACTGAGCAGTGGTTTGTAGTTCTCCTTGAAGAGATCCTTCACATCCCTTGTAAGTTGGATTCCTAGGTATTTTATTCTCTTTGAAGCAATTGTGAATGGGAGTTCACTCATGATTTGGCTCTCTGTTTGTCTGTTATTGGAGTATAAGAATGCTTGTGATTTTTGTACATCGATTTTGTATCCTGAGACGTTGCTGAAGTTGCTTATCAGCTTAAGGAGATTTTGGGCTGAGACAGTGGGGTTTTCTAGATATACAATCATGTCATCTGCAAACAGGGACAATTTGACTTCCTCTTTTCCTAATTGAATACCCTTTATTTCCTTCTCCTGCCTAATTGCCCTGGCCAGAACTTCCAAGACTATGTTGAATAGGAGTGGTGAGAGAGGGCATCCCTGTCTTGTGCCACTTTTCAAAGGGAATGCTTCCAGTTTTTGCCCGTTCAGTATGATATTGGCTGTGGGTTTGTCATAGATAGCTCTTATTATTTTGAGATACGTCCCATCAATACCTAATTTATTGAGAGTTTTTAGCATGAAGGGTTGCTGAATTTTGTGAAAGGCCTTTTCTGCATCTATTGAGATAATCATGTGGTTTTTGTCTTTGGTTCTGTTTATATGCTGGATTACATTTATTGATTTGCGTATGTTGAACCAGCCTTGCATCCCAGGGATGAAGCCCACTTGATCATGGTGGATAAGCTTTTTGATGTGCTGCTGGATTTAGTTTGCCAGTATTTTATTGAGGATTTTTGCATCAATGTTCATCAAGGATATTGCTCTAAAATTCTCTTTTTTGATTGTGTCTCTGCCCGGCTTTGGTATCAGGATGATGCTGGCCTCATAAAAGGAGTTAGGGAGGATTCCCTCTTTTTCTATTGATTGGAATAGTTTCAGAAGGAATGGTACCAGTTCCTCCTTGTACCTCTGGTAGAATTCAGCTGTGAATCCATCTGGTCCTGGACATTTTTTGGTTGGTAAGCTATTGATTATTGCCACAATTTCAGCTCCTGTTATTGGTCTATTCAGAGATTCAACTTCTTCCTGGTTTAGTCTTGGGAGGGTGTATGTGTCGAGGAATTTATCCATTTCTTCTAGATTTTCTAGTTTATTTGCATAGAGGTGTTTATAGTATTCTCTGATGGTAGTTTGTATTTCTGTGGGATCGGTGGTGATATCCCCTTTATCATTTTTTATTGCGTCTATTTGATTATTCTCTCTTTTCTTCTTTATTAGTCTTGCTAGCGGTCTATCAATTTTGTTGATCTTTTCAAAAAAACAGCTTCTGGATTCATTAATTTTTGAAGGGTTTTTTGTGTCCCTATTTCCTTCAGTTCTGCTCTGATTTTAGTTATTTCTTGCCTTCTGCTAGCTTTTGAATGTGTTTGCTCTTGCTTTTCTAGTTCTTTTAATTGTGATGTTAGGGTGTCAGTTTTGGATCTTTCCTGCTTTCTCTTGTGGGCATTTAGTGCTATAAATTTCCCTCTACACACTGCTTTGAATGTGTCCCAGAGATTCTGGTGTGTTGTGTCTTTGTTCTCGTTGGTTTCAAAGAACATCTTTATTTCTGCCTTCATTTTGTTATGTACCCAGTAGTCATTCAGGAGCAGGTTGTTCAGTTTCCATGTAGTTGAGCGGTTTTGAGTGAGTTTCTTAATCCTGAGTTCTAGTTTGTTTGCACTGTGGTCTGAGAGACAGTTTGTTATAATTTCTGTTCTTTTACATTTGCTGAGGAGTGCTTTACTTCCAATTGTGTGGTCAATTTTGGAATCGGTGTGGTGTGGTACTGAAAAAAATGTATATTCTGTTGATTTGGGGTGGAGAGTTCTGTAGACGTCTGTTAGGTCCACTTGGTGCAGAGCTGAGTTCAATTCCTGGGTATCCTTTTTAACTTTCTGTCTTGTTGATCCATCTAATTTGACAGTGGGGTGTTAAAGTCTCCCATTATTATTGTGTGGGAGTCTAAGTCTCTTTGTAGGTCACTAAGGACTTGCTTTATGAATCTGGGTGCTCTTGTATTGGGTGCATATATATTTAGGATAGTTAGTTCTTCTTGTTGAATTGATCCCTTTACCATTATGTAATGGCATTCTTTGTCTCTTTTGATCTTTGTTGGCTTAAAGTCTGTTTTATCAGGGACTAGGATTGCAACCCCTGCCTTTTTTTGTTTTCCATTTGCTTGGTAGATCTTCCTCCATCCCTTTATTTTGAGCCTATGTGTGTCTCTGCATGTGAGATGGGTTTCCTGAATACAGCACACTGATGGGTCTTGACTCTTTATCCAATTTGCCAGTCTGTGTCTTTTAATTGGAGCATTTAGCCCATTTACATTTAAGGTTAGTATTGTTATGTGTGAATTTGGTCCTGTCATTATGATGTTAGCTGGTTATTTTGCTCATTAGTTGCAGTTTCTTCCTAGCCTTGGTGGTCTTTACAATTTGGCATGTTTTTGCAGTGGTTGGTACCGGTTGTTCCTTTCCATGCTTCCTTTTCATGCTTCCTTCATGAGCTCTTTTAGGGCAGGCCTGGTGGTGACAAAATCTCTCAGCATTTGCTTGTCTGTGAAGTATTTTATTTCTCCTTCACTTATGAAGTTTAGTTTGGCTGGATATGAAATTCTGGGTTGAAAAGTCTTTTCTTTAAGAATGTTGAATATTGGCCCCCACTCTCTTCCGGCTTGTAGAGTTTCTGCTGAGAGATCTGCTGTTAGTCTGATGGGCTTCCCTATGTGGGTAACCTGACCTTTCTCTCTGGCTGCCCTTAGATGTTTCCATTTTCTTACATCTCATTTAAATCTCTACCAACTGCATTCTGACTTCCAGCACAGTCATTCCCCTGAAATACCTCACTGAAGTTCCAATGGTTTCCTTATTGCTAAATCCAATAGAAAACGTTTCATTCCTCTATTTTTTGATGTTAATTTATATTTAACTTTTTTTCCATATGTCTTAAATTTTCTGCCCTTCTTTTAGCTGGCAGTGTCTCCTGAGCTAACACCCTCAGGGGAGAGTATGTGGCATGACTGAAAAGAGAAATATAGCCTTTACCTCCAAAATCTTGTCTTACACATATTTGAGAGACATAAGGAAATGGATCCATAGGAGAGACACTATTCTTTGGAGAGGTTGATGGGAAATATTTTGCTTCACCTTTGCAGGTGGAGAAGGAGAGATAGGTCTGTGTGTTCCAACAGCCCCCAGAAAAGAGGGAACCTGTATCCATGTTTTCAGCAACACCATGGGGGATCTGGTACACTTTGAATAGGAAAGATTGTTTGGCATGTCTTGCAGATTTATCCATTTGTGTTGTTGCAAAATAATCTTATTGCCCAAGTGTGGCCCCAAGGTAGCAAAAATCCACCATACCTGCATAGAATATGTGAAAAGGTAAGGCACTGTATGAACACAAGACTCATTAAAGGTGCCATGACCACTGCGCTTTACTATTAAATCTTGGAATTGGAGGATATTAAAACCCGAATTTTTTTTTTTTTTTTTGAGACAAAGTCTCACTCTGTCACCTAGACTGGAGTGCAATGGCACAATCTTGGCTCACTGCAATCTTTGCCTCCTGGACTCAAATGATCATCCTGCCTCAGCCTCCCAAGTAGCTGGGACTACAGGCACATGCCACCATGCCTTGCTAATTTTTTGTATTTTTGTACAGATGAGGTTTCACTATGTTACTCAGGCTGGTATGTAAGTCCTGGGCTCAAGCAGTCTTCCTGCCTTGGCTTCCCAAAATGCTGGGATTACAGGTGTGAGTCACCATGCCCAGCCAGAAGCCCTAATCTTTAATGTTATAATAATTGGAGATGGGGCCTTTAGGGTTAGATGCAATAATGAGAATGGATCCTCAAGAAGGGATTAGTGTCTTCATAATAAGAGACATCTGGGAGCCCTCTGCAATCTCTTCTCTACCACTGGACTTCATAAAGAAAAGGCCCCATGAGCACACAGCAAGATGGCAGCTGCCTACATCCTCAGAGAAGAATGAGACCTACGTTACCAATGCCTTGATCTTAGACTTCTTTTCCTTCAGAACAGTGAGAAATATATATTTGTAGTTTAAGCCACTCAGTCTGTGGTATTTTATTATGATAGCTGGGTAGACGAATGCATTAGGTGAATGGAGTACACTAATATTATGAACAAATTCTTCTGGGAAATGTAATTAAAATGGAGATACAATATTTCTGTGATTTGGAGGATACTATTTCCATGTTGTTTAACATTTTCTTGTGGTATATCATTACATCTCCGTATTCAACTGAGTCTTTGCATTAGGACCCATGCACTCAAGCTGAAGACTGAACATATTCTAACAGGTAATCTTAGTTTTCACTTGAATCTTTTTAAAAACATTGTTGATATTTAGGCTTAGGAAAATAACACAATCATGTACCACATAATGGTATTACAGCCAGTGATAGACCATAAGTACAATGGTGGACATCTAGTAAGCTAAGGTTAATTTATTATCGAAGAAAGAAAAATATTTTTACAAATTTAGTTTATCCTAAGTATAGAGTGTTCATAAAGTCTGCAGTAGTGTACAGCAATGTCCTAGGCCTTCACATTCACTCACCACACACTCCCTTACACAGAGCAACTTCGTGTCCTGCAAGCTCCATTTATGGTAATTACCCTATACAGGTGTAGCTTAAAATATTTTATACCATGTTTTTCCATAGCTCTTCTATGTTTAGATACGTTTATATATACAAATATATGAGTTACAATTGCTTATAATATTCAGTACAATGACATGCTGTACAGGTTTATAGCCTAGAAACAATAGGCTACACCATATAGCCTAGATGTAGTAGGCTAAATGATAAAGTTTGGTTGTTTGTCCCCTCCAAATCTCATGTTGAAATGTAATCGCTAATGTTCGAGGTGGGGCCTGGTGGGGGGTGTTTGGGACATGGGGGCAGATCCCTTATGAATGGCTTGGTGCTGTCTTCATGCTAGTGAGTGAGTTCTCATGAGATTGTGTTGTTTAAAAGTGTGTGGAATCTTCCACCTCCCTCTCTTGCTCCCACTCTTGCCTTGTGACATACCAGCTCTCTGTTGCTCGCCATCATGATTGTAAGCTCCTTGAGGCCTGCACGAGAAGTAGATGCTGAGACCACACTTCCTGTACAGTCTGCAGAAACGTGGGCCACTTAAACCTCTTTTCTTTGTAAATTACCCCGGCTCAGGTATTTCTTTATAGTGTTGCAAGAAGAGCCTAAGTCACTAAACCACCTAGGTTTGTGAAAGTACACTCTATGATGTTCACACAATGAACATTATAGAATTGCTTAATTACTCGTTTCTCAGAAAGTATTTCTGTTTTTAAGCAGAAATTACTTTTGCTCATTTAGGAAAATGTGGAAAATTAAAAAGAAATGAAAGTTTCCATAATTCCTCTACTAAAATGTGTGTATTTCAGTTGAGATTTTTAAAAATCACCCATTGTCATTAATATAAATATGACTAAAATAATAACAAACATTTGATAAACATTTACTATGTTGCACACTTTTCTATGTGATCTACTCGTATAAATTCAGTGGTTGCGCACAACAACCTATAGGGAGATTATATTACTATTCCTGATTTTACAAATGTATAATCTGAGACCCCTAAAGTTTAAATAACTTGCCCAAGATTATGCAGTATGGAATGGGAAAGTAATTGAATATAGGTAGCCTGGGTCTAGAACCTGCACTTTGATCTTCCCTATAGATGTGGCTTAGACATAGATATAGATGGAAAGTTTGTTGCAAAAGCTAATGTACAGTAGGTGCTTTTATTATATGTTTGTATTGTAAAGATCATACTTTAATAAACTTTCAGTTTATTCTACTAATTTGCATATGAATTTTTATTAAAAATAATTAATAGAGCTGAGACCATACTATTCATCAAATATATGAACAATAATTTTAAATTAACGTTATGTCAAAATATTTTTTCTTAATATTATAATAATCTGAAACAAGTCATTTTTACTCCTTTAAAACATCTCGTTCTCTTCTCCCAATAGCGCTCTTACCTCAGATTTGCAAATGGCAGCCCCCTTTCTACTCTTCTGGTCCCCAATCTATTGTCAGCTTCACTGAGAGGCCTCCCAGCTTCAAGACACTCTCATTTTGTTTACCTCATTTTGTTTTCCTCCTGGCATTTATCAGTGTTTGAATGTATTTGTCAAATTGATTAATGTATTTCTCCTTTCTCTAGAATCTAAGCTCTATGAGACCTGATTTTATTTTATTTTATTTCATTTTATTTCATTTTATTTTGTATCCCTAGTGCCTAGAGCAGGGCTCATTAACACAGAAGGTACCCGATAAATATATTTTAAATGACTAAGTGAATCTTGTGCTCTTTGTCAAGCCAATTTAATGCCAGTAAAAGTGCTATTTCCTATCTCTCAGCTTTTTTTCAATGCTATTTTATCTTCACCAAATGTGTTTTAGCATGTCTTAAATTGGAAACTCTTACCTCTTCTTTAAAAATCTTGAGTGTTTCTATAGCGTCATGGTCACAACTTTATTAGAAGACATTATGCTATATACTAAAATTGTGAGTTCTTGTAGTTCCCCTGCTGGCTTCTGTGTTCATATGGAGTGTGTGGTGAATGGAATAAAGGCCCAGCTTTTAGGTCTTTAGGAAGATGCTTTAATCCCTAGTGCCTAACACATTTATTATATTTGTATTTAAAGATCAATGAGCCACACTGGGCTAAAAGGAGGATTGGACTAGGAACAGATGGTGAGAATTTTAATTTTATACATAGTTTTTTGGAGATTCAGCTGATATGACATATTAATGAACAGGCTATAGGGTATAAGAAAAACGGAAGTATCTAGGGTGACTTCTAGCTTTCATTCTAGGTGTTCAATGACAGTGCCACTTGCTGAAAGGAGTAAATCTTGGGGGCTGGCAGGTTTGTGAATAGAAAAACATATAATTCTGTTTGGCGGGGTCAACTGTGAGACATCTATTTGACTTCTATGTGAAGACTTCGAGTAGTAAGCAGTTGTGTAGTATTGTATATGAGAGTTTTGCACTCAACAGAAAGGTTAAGGATAGAGATGTGAATTGAATGTCTTCAGATGACAAACATAGGGAACATTAAAATCCATGAGATAGCATGAGGTCATCTTGAGAGAGAAAAAATACAGAAAAGCTCTTTGGTGAGGTTCTAAGCTCTCAAGTATTTATGCATTTAAAGGTTAAGTGGAGAAGGTGGAAGAGTCATTACTTGAGACGAACATAATTGCCAGTGATGTTTGGGGAGAGGATGTGAAGAAATTAGGTAATATTTTCCTATTGGCTTCAAAAAGGTAACAGTCTCAAATGGAGCTCCCTTTCAAATCACAAATATTTTAGAAAATATAACATCAAACATTTGCAAATAGTGCTAACTTGTGGACTTGTGAACATAAATTATTTCATATGTTCTTCTCTCATTAGTATTCAACAATGTAGTTTTCCAAATAGAGAAGTTCCTCAATCTTATTCACCTGAATGTTAATTGGTAAAGCCATTTTCAGATATTTTTAAAATTCTGCATTTTGCAGTAGAATACAACATTGCTCTTCAGTGAGTAATTAAATTAGCACAATACTAATATATTTTTTCATACAATAAAAAAATCTGTCTTTCCACAGAAAAAGCCGTGGATGCTGCATGCTCCTCACTTGTTTTCCAGGCCATCACTTTTCCTTTTTATAGCTTTTAGTGCTCTCCTTATTCTTAGCTAAAATTGTGTCATGTCTATCCAGTGTAATTTCCATATCTTTAACTTCCCACTTCTGTAATCAGTCTCCTGTGAATTTTTCAATTTCAATTGAGGTCATTGTGGTCTGGATCACATCCAATTTCCTACAAATGTCTCCTGAATCATTTCCATGTACGTCTGACATGTTGAATACTCCAGTTCTTTCCTATCTAAGGGGGAAAAAAATCTTTAGTGATAAAACAGCTTTTTTTTGTTTACAAAAATTTTATGATGAATTCAAAATTATGAATGAATTAGCTTACTCTTGGGTTATTTTTTAATGTTTTACTTCTTAATAACAATGAAGTATTAGATGCACAGTAGAAAATGTTCAAGCTCTGTAGAGCAAAGTAACTTTTAATTATTTAGAAATATATCATTATAATCCTGTTTTGTGTATTGTTGTGGACCTAATTCCTATAATTAAAGTTTATAAATATCAGTCCTCATTCAACTCCAAATACCCTTGCAAGTCTGATGTAAAATCTCAAAATTAATAGTCAGAAGCATTTTGTTATTTTTCCGAAGAAACAAGGTATAATATTAATATTTTGGAATGCTTTTTGGAAATTGTAGTCATAAAGGCAATTAAATTAAGCAATCTTGTCTCAGGGTATTATGTCAAATAGCAAATCTCTTGAATCAATTTATTAAGGATTGTATACCTGGAGGGAATATTTAAACTGTTGAATTAGCTTTCTCAAAGGATCTATAGGAAAGTCAAATAAGTGTCTTTTTATTTATAAATCAAAAGCTTTAAACAGGATTTTATTCTTTTTTTATCCAACAGAATTTCTGATTTGCAGAGATTTTATAGCGGATTAAGAAACATAGTGTTAAGAGAAATCATAAGCATGAAACTTAATATCTCACAGACTTTAAAATTTTGGCTTTATGTTAAATATATACAATTTGGTGGGAAACTAAATGACTGCCAAATACTTTTTAAATCAAGATCTGATATACACAGATTGAAAATTGTCAGATGTTATTTTAGGATTGTATTTTCCAAGATTAATTTAAAGTGAGAATAAAGTTGATATTGTAGCATTTTTAAGAGACAATTATCATTGAGGGATTGTAACATATAACTAGATCTTGAAATCTATCTGGGCCATGTTGAATATAAATTAAGTAACTCTTAAATGAAAGGAAGTAATTGGTTTTTCTCATCATTGTATTGCCAGTACCCAACACAGAATCCAGCACATGGAAAATACACAAAATATGTACAAATTTGTTGAATAAAGATAAAAAGTCACACTATATTTATATTTGCTCTGAAAAGTCATCTCAAAGGCCTCCAGCAACTTCAACATTACCTTTTTTTTTTTTTTTTTTTTTTTTTTTTTTGAGACAAGAGTCTTGCTCCGTCTCCCAGGCTGTAGTGCAGTGGCGTGATCTCGGCTCACTGCAAACTCCGCCTCTCGGGTTCACACCATTCTCCTGCCTCAGCCTCCCGAGTAGCAGGGACTACAGGCGCCCACCACCACGCCCAGCTAATTTTTTGTAGTTTTGGTAGAGACGGGGTTTCACCGTGTTAGCCAGCATGGTCTCAATCTCCTGACATCGTGATCTGCCTGCCTTGGCCTCCTAACATTACTTTTAACATGACTCGTCATACTCTTTGAGAGGCCCTAATGCCCCATCCATCTTTACTTACTAGCAGTTCCAACCCAATCACTACAAACAGCCAGAGTCCAGTCCCAAGTAGGAATTGGAACTCATGATCCATTGAAACAACGATGAGTCTAGATTTATAATGCTGAATAATCAACCCTATTGACCTCAATCATTACGAAATGTCCATGTTTCCCAGGGCATGGTTCATCACTTGGACTTTTATCTCCCTATGGTTCTATTCATGCTGTAAACTGACCTGATTCTGCACCCTTGCCTAACCTCTCTAAACTACAAAAGTGCTTTCCAGAAACTAAAATTTTCTTATATCTTTCATTTATTCTTTGGACAATCCCTTGACTCTCCATGAGTTACTTAGCCTAAGGTTTGTAGAGACTCCCCTTGCTTGTAATTGCCCCCAGCCCCTTGCTACCACTTACTTCCCAGTAAGCTCCTGCTCCTTTGCTGCACATGCAACCATGATTTATCTTCATTGATCATTTTCTCTGAAGTTATCTTTAGTTCTTTTGCTCTATATCTGTATTCCCTTCTCCACTTCTTTTTTTTTTTTTGCATTCCTTTAAATCAGGGCTTCAGTCATAGCCACATCTGAAGTTCTATCCATGCTCTACAACTACCCTCAAAAATATCTGACTCAGTGGATCACTCTCTTTCCTGAAAAAGGAATGAAACAGTGCCTTGCTCATTTTTCCAGGCTGGAGTGCAGTAGCACAAACAGCCTCAACCTCCTGAGAGCAAGTGATCCTCCTCAGCCTCCCAATTGGCTGGGACTACAGGTGAATACTACCATGCCCAGGCAAGTTTTGAATTGTTTGTAGAGACAGGGGTTTCCCTATGTTGGCCAGACTGATCTGGAACTTCTGGGCTCAAGCAATCCACCTCCCTTGATCTCCCTATGTGCTGGTATTACAAGCATGAGCCACCGGCCTGGCCTCCTGAAGCTTTTCTTAATTTTACTCTGAGACTTCTGTTTTTCTCTTACTTTACTGATAGTGTATCTACTATTTGTTAATGGTGTTTTCATCTCTTCCTACATGTTTAGCATTATAATGTCTCATGACTGAGAACTTAGGCTTCATCTTGTTTCCATTTCAGTCTTTTCTCTAAGCCAAGTCATTTAGCCCCATAGTTTTAAATATCACTTAAAGGTTAATGATTCCTAAATTTATATCTCAGGTTAAAGCTGTTTTCCTGAACTCCAAATTCATATATTCAGTTGTGAAGTTGATATCTACATTTGGTTGTCTAATAAACAATTTGAATACAGCAGGCCCAATACTAGTTTGTAGATACACCGTTCCTCAACTCTTATTCCCATTTTAATAATGAATTACCATGCACCCTGTTGCTCAAGGAAAAAATCCTTAGAGAAAATCATGAGTCCCCTCTTTTTCTCAGTCCTTATATCTAATCCACAGCTACTTCTACCAATTATTTTTTCAAAATCTTTCCCAAATCTTTTTATTTTTTACCACTTCTGTAATTACCATACTTTTCAATGTTATCATCATGAATTGTTTGGAAAATTACAAAGGACAGTTTATTAAACTCACTGCTTACATTCTCACATCAATTTATTTAGCACTAGGCAGTCAGAATGATGCCTTTAAAGTGTAAGTGGTTTAACACTTGCCATGATTTTGTATCATATATATAATAGAGTTCTAAATCCTTGCAATGCTTAGAAGGTCTTGCACAAGTAACCTGGCTCAGGCTCTTTATTCTGTTGTAATCTTTAACTTCGTCCCTGGCTTATATCATTTCAGGCAGATGTCCTCCAGTCCTCTCTTGTATCTCCAACAAATCAATCACACTCCCATGGAAGGGGCTGTCATGGGAAAAAGTCTTATCCTTAATGTCTCCATGAATCATTCCCTCAGTTTATTCTGATGCATGGAAACCTCTTCCTGTTCCTTCTCTTCCTCCTCTTCTTCTTCTTTCTTCTCTTTCCTCCTTCCTCCTTCCTCCTCCTTCCTCCCCCTCCCCTCCCCTTCCCCTCTCCCCTCCTCCTCCTCCTCCTTTTTTTTCTTCTTCTTCTTCATCTTCTTCCTGTTCCTCTTCCTCTTCCTCCTCCTCCTTCTTCTTTTCTTCTTCTTCTTCCTCTTCTTCTTCCTGTTCCTCTTCCTCTTCCTCTTCTTCCTCCTCCTCCTCCTTCTTCTTCTCTTTTTTTTCTTCTTCTTCTCTTCTTCTTCTTCTCCTCCTCCTCTTCTTCTTCTTCCTCTTCTTCTTCTTCTTCCTCTTCTTTCTTCTTTCTTCTTTCTTCTTCTTCCGGTTGAGACAGAATTTCACTCTTGTCACCCAGGCTGGAGTACAATGGCACGATCTTGGCTCACTGCAACCTCTACCTCCCGGATTCAAGTGATTATCCTGCCTCAGCCTCCAGAGTAGCTAGGATTAGAGGTGCATGCCCCCATGCCTGGCTAATTTTCGTATTTTCAGTAGAGGCAGGGTTTCACCATGTTGGCCAGACTGGTTTCAAACTGCTGACATTATGATCCACCTTCCTCGGCCTCACAAAGTGTTGGGTTTACAGGTGTGAGCCACCGTTCCCAGCCTGGAACCTTCTTATCTGAACATTCTAACTAAAATTGTATCACCTATCGCTACATATTGTTCACTCACTTTCATTTTACTTTTTATTATCACCCTTCATGGATTTGATTTGTCCTTTGCTGTAACCCCTACGCCAAAAATAGTGCCTGCTATAAAGGAACTCAATATTTGGTAAAATAGTAAGTATTAGTAAATGAAAATAGTTTTCATGTGACACATAGAATATTCTGTTTATATGAATCACATGCTGAATTATTTTTAGCGTAAGTTTTTTTTTTTTTGAAATATAGTGTTTGGCTGGTGTTGTGGGGTGAGACACAAAATAATTCACACCATATGCAGTGTATCTCTTCAGTATCAATATCTACAAATCATTAGATTAATATTCATTTTAATTGTTAATTAAATAATCTTATTAGAAAATAAATCCCAAAATTTTTAAATAACTCCTTGTGACTATTGTACAATATACTATTGTTTTATCAAATTGCTTAATCAAATATATAGAAACAGTAGTCTCTTTGACCCTACTAAACCCTAAATGGGTACAATATTTTCTGGGCATACTTTTGTACTTAGAAAGGCTGGACCAAAGGCTATAGATATGAGACATTGCCTTATTTTTTTGTTTCATTTCCAAGGGTTCAAACTAACAAATAATTGTGTAAATAAAAATGTTTTACAGACTGGAAGAGAAATAGAACACTGAAAAATATTTTGGTCTTATGTAGATAACTAGGAAGAAGCAACCACAGTGTCACACACTATAAATTTTACAATTGGCTCATGAATCCAACAGCCACATGGCAAATTGCATGTTGCTCACATTGAAATAATTTATCTCCACCTGTATAATGTTTTTTTTCTTTGGTATGCAAAGATAGCCAATGCTTTTTTGACCCAGTTATTTTAAAGTGTCTGGTCTTCAGATCATCTTGCTATCTAAAATGCAAATGCAATGATCTTCCTTGCATTTTTGTTTACATTTTATAAAATATAATGATATCTTGTGAAATATTTATGTTTGATTCAGTGCAATTATTGCAATATTGGGCAATTATGTCTCCATCTAATGAGGAAAATGAAGTTTATACCCAAATAAATGAGAACAGAAATAATGTGGCCATTGTTTTGGATCAAAATCATTATCTCTTTTGAACCAATAGATAATTTAGGTGAAAATAATATAATTTGAACATTTATTTTGGAAATTTTAGAAAGTCAGGTTTTATGTCAGACATTATGATAAAACTGATTTTCTTTCATTTGAAGTCCAGAAATGTAATTTAATGGGTGCTTAGTTTTCTATAGCTGCCTTAACAAATTCTCACAAATGTAGCAGCCTAACACAGATTTATTAGCTCAGTTCTGAATACGAGAAGTTCTGATATGAGAAGTCCGACATTGGATTTCGCAGGGAGAAAATGAAGGTGTCCACGGGGCTGCTTTCCTTACAGGAGGCTCGGTGGAGAAATTTGCCTTCAGGCACATTCAGGTTATCTGTAGTTCAGTTCCTGCAGTTCTGAAACTGAGTTACCAGTTTGTTTGCTGGATGTTAAAAAGAGGATCCGACAGACTGCCCATATTCCTTCTCATGCTTTCTATGAGCTCCTAGAGGCCTCTTTCTGGGCTTTGCACAAGAGCCCTTAAAACTCAAAGCTAGTAACAGTGTATCTGGTTTCTCTCACACTTAGAATATTTCTGACTTCTCTTTCAGCTCCATTTCTCTGTTTTCTTCTATTGCATGGTTCTGACTCCAGCTAGAGAATGTCTTTAGCTTTAAAATTTTAGTATTTAGATTGGGTTTATCTGAATAATTGAAGATACTCCCCTTATTGTGAATTCCATTGATATTGTTTGGATATTTGTCCTCTCCAAATCTCATGTTGAAATGCAACCCCCAGTGGTGGGGATGGGGCCTAGTGGGAGGTATTTGGGTCATGGGGCTGGATCCTTCATGAAAGTCTTGGTGCCATCCTCACAATAATGAGTGAATTATCACTCTAGTTCACAGAACTGGTTATTAAACAGAGCCTAGCATCAACTCCTCTCTCTCTTGCTCCCTTTCCAGCCCTGTGACACAATGACTCCTCTTCCCCTCCTGCCAAGATTGAAAGCTTCCTGAGGTCCTCACCAGAAGCAGATGCTGGTGACATGCTTCTTGTAGAGCCTGCAGAACCATGAGACAAATAAACCACTTACTTAACAAATTACCCACTCTCAGATATTACTTTATAGCAATGCCAAACAGTATAATATATCCATAACCTTAATTTCATCTACAAAAGCCCTTTCACAAATTAGTGTTTAACTGAATAAAAAAAAGATGGGAATGTGGAGGAGACATCTTTAAAATTCTGCCTCCTACAATGAGTTTATATTTCAAACCTAAAGCTCAGGTTTCATAGTTTATTAAAGTAATACGGTGAGAAAATATATTACACAGCCTGCTAAATTTTAAAAAATAGAGGCAGACATATTTATCCCATGATTTTCTTTCCAATGATTTGGCAACTTGAATGACTTAGCAATATGAAGTCTGTTGAGTTACATTAAAACTACTATTTTTTTAATAATATGATGTAGTAACTTCATGAGAAATTAATTTCTCCTTTCCCTTGGCTTTCTTTTTTTTTCTGCATTCTTCTTCTGCCTTCTTTTTTTCCCCTCCTTTCCCCCCATCTCTTTCTTCTCCTCCTCCTCTACTTTATTTTTCTTCTCATCCTTCTTCCTTTGACTCTTCATCTTCTTCTCATTATTTTTCTCCCTTTCCAATGAATTGTTATTTAAAATATTTTTTTCTTGGCGAATTTTGAATGCCTTGCATGCACGTTTTATGTGATTTTCACAGTATTTATTGTGAGGTAGACATATTTGTTGCTATTGCTGCCACCTTAGTATAACAAAATGTGAATAATTTTAAATTATTTTACTAAGCCCACATGTATTGTAAGTAACTGAAAAGTCTATAAAAATGTGTGTTTCCTTGTTTTGCAGCATTCTATCCACTCTATCATTCTACTCCAATAAAACTTGGTCTTTGAAGGGTAAATATTAAAATATGTCAATTACTCATGTGATTAAATGCCTAGACACAAAAATTTTGCTGAATTATATAAATATATACAACAAAGCCTTGAAGAAGCTTAAAATTTAGAGAGATATGACTGGAGCATGAGACATAAAAAGTGAATATTATATAGTTAAAGCGTTAATGACATTGTATGAACTTTAAATTGCCATAGGAACTCCTACAACTAGTAGCAAAAAGCAAATATCATGATTTTAAAATGAGCAAAGGACTTCACAGACATTTCTCCAAAGAAGGCATACAAATGTCCAACAAGTATCTGAAAAAAATGCTTAATATCATTAATTAGCACAGAAATGAAAATTAAAGCTATAAAAAGAGATCACGTCTCATCTCTCAGAATGATTATTGTAAAAAATAACGAAAAGATAAGTATTGAAAAAGATGTGGAGAAATTGGAACTTATGTACATTGTTGGTGGGGATGTAAAATGATGTGACAGCTGTGGAAAACAAAATGGAGGTTCCTCAAAAAATTATAAAGGAATACCAAAGACTGGGTATTTTATAAGAAAAAGAGGTTGATTTGTCTCACAATTTTGCAGGCTGTAAAGGAAGCAAGGCACTGGCATGTGCTCAGCTTCTAGGGAGGCTCAGGAAGCTTTTACTCATGGTGGAAGGCAAAGTGGGAGCCTGCATGTCACATGACAAAAGCAGGAGCAAGAAGGAATGGAGGGGTGAGGTGTCACACACTTCACCAGATCTCGTGAGTTCTTACTATTGCAAGGACACCACCAAGTCATGAGGAATCCACGCACATGACCAAAATATCTCCCACCAGGTCCCATCTCCAACACTGAGGATTAAATTTCAACATGAGATTTGGGTAGGGACAATTACACAAACAATATCTTTATGCCCCTGGCCCTCCCAAGTCTCATGTTTTTCTTACATTGCAAAATACAATCATGCCTTCCTGATAGTTCTCCAAAGTCTTAACTCTTTCCAGTGTTAACTCAAAAATCCAAAGTCCAAAATCTCATCAGAGGCAAGGCAAGGCCCTTCCTCCTATGTGCCTGTAAAATAAAAAACAAGTTATTTACTTCCAAGATAAAATGGGGGTATTGACATTGGATAAACATTCCCATTCCCAAAGGGAGAAATTGGATGAAAGAAAGGGTTTATGGGCCCCATTCAAGTTTGAAACCCAGCAGGGCAGTCATTAAATCTCAAAGCTCCAAAATACTCTCCTTTGACTCCATGTCACACTTCCAGGTCACACTGATGTAGGGGTTGGGCTCCCATGGCCTTAGGCAGCTCTGCCTCTATGGCTTTACAGGTTCAAACCCCTTACTGCTATCTGAGTGACATTGGCTTTTTCAGATCCAGGGTGCAAACTGCTAGTGGATTTATCATTCTGGGGTTTGGAGGATAGTGGCCCCCTTTTCACAGCTCCATTAGGTGGTGCCCCAGTGGGGACCCTGTCTGGGGACTCCAACCCAACATTTTCCCTCCACACTGCTCTAATAGACATTCTCTGTGAGAATTCCACTCCTACAGCAGGCTTCTGCCTGGGTACACATATATACTTGTAAATCTACACAGAGGCTGCCAAGTCTCTACCACTCTTGTACTTTGGGTATCTTCAGGTCTAACACCATGTGGAAGCTGCCAAGGCTTATGGGTTGAACCCTAAAGAGCTGTGACCCAGGCTGCACCTGAGGTCCTCTGAACTGAGGCTAGATAGGGAGCAGCCTGGATGTGGGGAGCAGTGTCCTGAGGGTGTGAAGGGCAGTGAGGCCCTGGGCCTGGTCTCTGAAATAATTTAGTACTCCTGGGCCTCTGGCCCTGTGATTGGGAGGGACTGCCTAGAAGATCTCTGAAATGCTTTTGAGGCCTTTTTTTCATTGTCTTGGCTATTAACACTTTGCTCCTTTTTAGTTATGTACATTTCTCTAGCAAGTGGTTGATCCACAGCCTGCTTGGATTCTTCCCCTGAAATTAAGCTTTTCCTTTCTACTGCATGGCCAGGCTGCAAATTTTCCAAACTTTAATGCTCTGCTTCCTGTTTAAATATAAGTTTCAACTTTAAGTCATTTATTATTTGCTCCCACATCTGTGCATAGGTTGTTAGAAGAAGCCAGGTCACATCTTGAATACTTTGCTGTTTGTCTTCCACCAGATACCCTAAATCATCACTTTGAAGTCCAAACTTCCACAGATCCCCTGAGCATGAACAGAATGCATCCAAGCTTTTTGCTTAGGCATAACATGTATGATGTTTACTCCAGTTCCTATTTTCTCATTTTCATCTGAGAGCTTGTCAGCCTGGACTTTATTGTCCATATCACTGTCAACATTTTGGCCACAACCATCTAACCAGTTTCTAAGCAGTTTCAAACTATAAAAACTAAATTAGTTTGTAAAAATGAAAGTATTCTAAGATCTCATTTCCTTTTCATTAGAGATATTGTTGTAGAGACTGGTACTTGCCTACCCTATATAACTTATCTTTTTACTTAAATAAAATAGATTTCATTCTAAGTAGAGATGACCCCAATTAAGAGCCTAAATTTTGTAGACTTCTTTGCAAATAGGACTGACCAATGATAAATAAGGAGAAGTTGTGCCTTAGAGCATCGTAAACGAGACAGACTCAGTAGTATATATATATTTTTAATTTCCTTGTATTTTTGCCTGGAATATTGACATAATGCCTAGAGCTTCCATAACCATCTCTGATCATGAGGTAAATAGGGAATCTGACAATAAAGATGATGGATCCCTAAAGACCATGAAATTGATACAACAATTCTAAGTTGCTTATCCCAGGACTTTTTGGACATAAATAAGACAAAAACAAGATAATAAAATAAAATAAAGTAAATCTCTACTTTTCTTAAACCATTTACTTGGATTTTCAGTCACACACACCTAAACATCATCCTAACTGAAATATCTATTAACGGACAAACAAATAAATAGTGTTTGGTTCCTGCATACATCAAAAACAGCTAATTAGAATTAAACAAAACTTTAAGACAGTGATTAATGGTGTCTCTTATTATAAGATTTACCTGCTCTTCCCTAATCATCACACATGCAAAAACATTTCCTTTTTTTCTTTTTTTTACAGGAAGAGCTAGAAAAATGACGATGTGACACATATCTCTGCTCCAGTCTAACCTCTCTGCACATCTACCATCTTGGCAGCTATTAAATATTTGTTTGCAATGTTGTCAACCATTAGTCTAGCTGATGTTGAAGGCATACAACAATGGGATACGTAGGTGTCCATGATGTCTCCACCCCACTATTTCAGGCTTTATTTCCCTTCCCACCCAGAATTCTGGTTTCCTAGCTCCTTGTTTCAAAACTCCCTGGAAAGCCTCAGAGGCCCCAGTACTAGAATTGACAAAAGCAATCTGAACATCTAACTCTAGCCATGTAAAATTGTACCTTATTTTCAGTTCGGAGTTATAAACAGCTTGGAGTCAATGGAGAAGGGGATTTAAACCACTAACTTCTTCTTTATTTCTCAACATTTTGTGATCTTTTCACAAGGATGTCACGGCTTCTGATAACATCTGGTTTCCCTGTGATTCCCCGCCATCTCCCTAAAATCAACTTATCACTTTTGTCAATTGCATTTGGTTGGATTTCTTCAGCACAGTCACAAAACCAAAGTCAAGTGCTGTCTGCAGTACAATCAAGTGTAGTTGGTCAATAGAGTCAAGTAGTGTAGTAGGTTTGTGTGTGTGTATGTGTGCATGTTTCTTTTTTTTTTTTTTTTTTTTGAGACGGATTCTCGCTCTGTCACCCAGGCTGGAGTGCAGTAGCGCGATCTCGGCTCACTGCAAGCTCCGCCTCCCGGGTTCACGCCATTCTTCTGCCTCAGCCTCCCCAGTAGCTGGGACTACAGGCGCCCGCCACCACGCCCGGCTAATTTTGTTTTGTATTTTTTAGTAGAGACAGGGTTTCACCGTGTTAGCCAGATGCTCTCGATCTCCTGACCTCGTGATCCGCCCGCCTCAGCCTCCCAAAGTGCTTGGATTACAGGCATGAGCCACTGCGCCTGGCCGTGCATGTTTCTTTTTTTTTTTTTTTAAATCAAAATTATTATTTTTTTATTTTTTATTATTTTTTATTTTATTTTATTATTATTATACTTTAAGTTTTAGGGTACATGTGCACAAATGTGCAGGTTAGTTACATATGTATACATGTGCCATGCTGGTGTGCTGCACCCATTAACTCGTCATTTAGCATTAGGTATGTCTCCTATAGCTATCCCTCCCCCCTCCCCCACCCCACAACAGTCCCCAGAGTGTGATGTTCCCCTTCCTGTGTCCATATGTTCTTATTGTTCAATTCCCACCTATGAGTGAGAACATGCAGTGTTTGGTTTTTTTGTTCTTGTGATAGTTTACTGAGAATGATGATTTCCAATTTCATCCATGTCCCTACAAAGGACATGAACTCATCATTTTTTATGGCTGCATAGTATTCCATGGTGTATATGCGCCACATTTTCTTAATCCAGTCTATCATTATTGGACATTTGGGTTGGTTCCAAGTCTTTGCTATTGTGAATAGAGCCGCAATAAACATACGTGTGTATGTGTCTTTATAGCAGCATGATTTATAATCCTTTGGGTATATACCCACTAATGGGATGGCTGGGTCAAATGGTATTTCTAGTTCTAGATCCCTGAGGAATCGCCACACTGACTTCCACAATGGTTGAACTAGTTTACAGACCCACCAACAGTGTAAAAGTGTTCCTATTTCTCCACATCTTCTCCAGCATCTCTTGTTTCCTGACTTTTTAATGATTGCCATTCTAACTGGTGTGAGATGGTATCTCATTGTGGTTTTGATTTGCATTTCTCTGATGGCCAGTGATGATGAGCATTTTTTCATGTGTCTTTTGGCTGCATAAATGTCTTCTTTTGAGAAGTGTCTGTTCATATCCTTCGCCCACTTTTTGATGGGTTGTTTGTTTTTTTCTTGTAAATTTGTTTGAGTTCATTGTAGATTCTGGATATTAACCCTTTGTCAGACAAGTAGGTTGCGAAAATTTTCTCCCATTTTGTAGGTTGCCTGTTCACTCTGATGGTAGTTTCTTTTGCTGTGCAGAAGCTCTTTAGTTGAATTAGATCTCATTTGTCAATTTTGGCTTTTGTTGCCATTCTTTTGGTGTTTTAGACATGAAGTCCTTGCCCATGCTTATGTCCTGAATGGTAATGCCTAGGTTTTCTTCTAGGGTTTTTATGGTTTTAGGTCTAACGTTTAAGTCTGTAATCCATTTGAATTAATTTTTGTATAAGGTGTAAGGAAGGGATCCAGTTTCAGCTTTCTACATATGGCTAGCCAGTTTTCCCAGCACCATGTATTAAATAGGGAATCCTTTCCCCATTGCTTGTTTTTCTCAGGTTTGTCAAAGATCAGATAGTTGTAGATATGCGGCATTATTTCTGAGGGCTCTGTTCTGTTCCATTGATCTATATCTCTGTTTTGGTACCAGTACCATGCTGTTTTGGTTACTGTAGTCTTGTAGTAGAGTTTGAAGTCAGGTAGTGTGATGCCTCCAGCTTTGTTCTTTTGGCTTAGGATTGACTTGGCAATGCGGGCTCTTTTTTGGTTCCATATGAACTTTAAAGGAGTTTCTTTCCAATTCTGTGAAGAAAGTCATTGATAGCTTGATGGGGATGGCAATGAATCTATAAATTATCTTGGGCAGTATGGCCATTTTCACGATATTGATTCTTCCTACCCATGAGCATGGAATGTTCTTCCATTTGTTTGTATCCTCTTTTATTTCACTGAGCAGTGGTTTGTAGTTCTCCTTGAAGAGGTCCTTCACATCCCTTGTAAGTTGGATACTTAGGTATTGTATTCTCTTTGAAGCAATTGTAAATGGGAGTTCACTCATGATTTGGCTCTCTGTTTGTCTGTTATTGGAGTATAAGAATGCTTGTGATTTTTGTACATTGATTTTGTATCCTGAGACTTTGCTGCAGTTGCTTATCAGCTTAAGGAGATTTTGGGCTGAGACAGTGGGGTTTTCTAAATATACAATCATGTCATCTGCAAACAGGGACAATTTGACTTCCTCTTTTCCTAACTGAATACCCTTTATTTCCTTCTCCTGCCTAATTGCCCTGGCCAGAACTTCCAACACTATGTTGAATAGGAGTGGTGAGAGAGGGCATCCCCGTCTGGTGCCAGTTTTCAAAGGGAATGCTTCCAGTTTTTGCCCATTCAGTATGATATTGGCTGTGGGTTTGTCATAGATAGCTCTTATTATTTTGAGATACGTCCCATCAATACCTAATTTATTGAGAGTTTTTAGCATGATAGGTTGTTGAATCTTGTCAAAGGCCTTTTCTGCATCTATTGAGATAAATTACATGTTTCTTAACATGATATCTTTGTATTTTTAAGATTTTGGTTTTTGTATGAATGAAATTTTTAATCACATTTCATCAATTAATTATTGCTTTCATTCTCATAAAAATTCAGTATCCAATGAGCTTTATTCTATTGACTAACTGATTTATTGATCAATTTTTCTGTTTTTCCTGATTTTCTTGGGAGACAAGCCTACTAAATGCAAATAATTGGAATTTCTTTCTTGTATTTCTATCAATTCTGTTATTGTATTAGGAGAAATTCCAAAAGCAGATTACAGTTACAAACATGATTCTGCTGATGATTTTAATGGAAAAATTTTAAATAATACACAAAACCATTTATTAATACATTCATTGAAGTAGGTAGAATACAGAAAGTACAGGGAACACATAAAAATAGAACAACTAAAGTGAACAATGAAAGCTGAGAAAATGAAGTCATCACAGTTTTAAATGATTTAATGACATCTGTATTCTCTGTGCTTGAAAAAATTCCTATATATGCTGTCAGAAGGAGTTATTCCTTATTTTTTCCAAAAACACTTACCTGATAGTTACGAGGAAATTTGCTTCCCATATCTAATAATCCCTTTGATTCTGATTTTCATTTCTACATTAACAGTTGTCACATACTTTTGTTTTACATTTTTCTAAATACTTGTATGCTATGAATGGACTAGAAAGTACTCAGAATTAAAAACAATACCCTATGATTTAGTATTCATTACAGAATCTAGCTTAGTGCTCTGTATGTAGTATACTTCACACATATGTTTTTTTCCGAGACAGAACCCTGTGTTATGGTTTATTTTACAAAATTCAAACAAGTGGCACATTATCATAATCATGATTTTAGGAGCATCCTTTTGTCAAAATATGTTGGTAAGCTCATTTTTGTGACTCTGAGTGGTTCTTCAAAGTTCAGCAAAAACAGAGCCATGAAAAAAGTAGAAGTAGTACAAACTACTTTGAGGACTGTTTCCCTTTTATAAAAATATCTGTTTTAAAAACCTAATTTGCAAATGTGAGTAAATTATAGATTTTTGAATATTTCACAATATATTTAAAATAACATGCTCATATCTGGAATTTCTTCTACATTTATTAACTATCAGGGTAGGTTTTATGTAAAATTGTTCATTGTATCCAGTAATTTGACTCTGAGCAATACATACAGAAAAGTATCTTATAAGGAGAAGACACGTGTTTTTATCCAGAAGGCATTTACATTTATTGAAGTAGACTTCAGATTCCAGAAGAAATAGACTAAGAAAACAGGTCTTTCTTGTGCATGGGTGTGTTCTTCCTGTCTTTTGATCTAGGGATTGTAGTCTGTAGATCTAACCTTCTCATAATGCTTCTGAAAGTAAATGGATACTGGAAGTAGCAAGCCACTTAATGTTAAATAAATGAGACATGGAACATATTGCTCTCCCTTGCACAAAAGACTCAGGTAGAGAAGAGTGTAAAACCTGCATAAATTCTTGGGAGTTAGAAGAAATCTGTAAACTGCCTTTAATTGGCTTTATGACGTTAGACATCTTCTTGGCAAACTGAACTATTTTATGCATGAGGTATTCACGCTCCAATTAAAGTGGCTTATCCAAGTTAATATTGGTAAGGGGCAAGCAGAGCCATGATTGATGTAAACCTCAGTCCCCTGTTGTCAATTCAGAGCACTTTTGTTATAGGAAGACCACATGATACTATTACTACTGCTAATCATAATTACCACTTGCTGAAAAATTTCAGGAGTTAAGTAGCTTACATATATTATTCATTGAATTTTCAAAACAACCCTTGACTGGCATACTGATACGTCATATTATAAATGAAAAAAATTGATTCTAGGTAATTTTAGTTACCAATTTCAAAGGTCACATAGCTAAGTAAAAAAGTTAAATTATAGTCACAAGAAAACAAAGTAACTTATTTATTTATTTATCATCTAATGTTTAGAATTTAAATGTATCTGAATTTGGAAATTGAAATATTACTCATTTAATTTGCAAATTTCTCTTACCTGTATAAATAATAAAGTTTTAAAAATACATTTATTTTGTGACAAAATATTGCATTTTATGCATAACGTTATCAGTCACATGAGGTCAACAGGAACAGAATATCATTTGGAGTTAACTCTATGGGAATACCATTTCTGAATTTATACATGCTGTAGCTCAGTGATTATAAGCAGGCAAGCCACAGAAGGACATTCTGTCTCCCTCATCAAAAGCTCACAACAAACTTCCAGCATATGGAAGCATTTCTGCACTAAAAGTTATTCTGAGAGGGAAACACATGATTTATAAATACTGTCAAATAAAATATGCATTTCCAAATGCTAGTAATATAACAAAATATATCCTATGGTTTAGAAACAGTACCCTTCCACCACTTCTTACAATGATATTCTGAGGCAATGAATGTACTTTGCAATCAAACCAATTTAGGTACAAATCAGACTGCACTGTTTAAGATCTGTGTGATCTAAGGTGGGTTACTTGACCTCTCTCAATCCTTCTTTTACTTATCTGTAAAATGTAAATAACAGTAACTACTATATAGGTTTGTTGTAAGGACTAAATTAGATCATAACTGTAAAGCAATCAGCTCAATGCCTGGTGTTTTCTACTCAGAAAAGGTTCTCATCTTTCTTTTTCTCTCTCAAGCTATTAAAATATTTCTTATAAAAATATATGTGAAATCTGTAATGAAGAATGTACTGTACAAGTCCCTGTTTCCAGGTTCCTCAGTATGAAAATTGATATTCTGCTGTTTATTGTCAGCATTAACAACACAAAAGGCACTATAATGAACAATCATAGCTCACCTATCAGATTGGTGCAAACCCAAAAGGTATTTGACAACATCTCTGTTGGTGGATTGTCAGGAAAGAGGCACTTTCATAGGCTGTAAGTGGAATGTAAATTGCAAACCTCTGTGGGGGACAACTGGACACTTTCTGAAAATACTTAGAAGTTCATATATTATTGGACCTATTCTATTTTTGACCTCCCAATAATTTATATTAAAGCTATGTTTGCATGTGTATGAAGTGACATGTTCAAGTTTATTCATGCAGCAATGGTTGAATTACCAAACAATTGGAAAAGAGCACAATATTCATTAACAAGGATGCATATATATGTATGACATAAATATAAAATATAGCATATATTAATCTTTTATATATATATAAAATAGTAACAGCTTTGTGTACAGTAATAGTGTGTATGCATTGTTTAAATAAGATTAAAAATAACTTTTATTTGCATTTTCTTGATAATACATACAGGGACCCTGGAAGGATACCTAAGAAATAACAGTGGCAGATAAGTGTGGGAAAAACTTTTCACTTTTTGCCGTCATAATTTTTGATGAATTGATTATAAATATATACAACTTAAAGACTAACCAAATGTAGGGAATCAATAGAAGTCTTCTTAATCTTTATAGATATATAATTTACGAAATAAGTAATTTTAGAAACCCAAAAACAACACGTTCTCAACTGCTCAATATTATATTCCAAAAGTACTTTTGTAGGAGTTGTTAGAAACTTGGAAGAAATTTTCTCAGAAGAAAAATATCATATATCATAATTAAGATTTCTGGTCAGTTCATAAAAGCTGATAATCTATCTGTGCAAATCCACTCATAGAACCATAAACCTTAACAACTACTTATATGATTATTTAGGTGGAAGATATTTTTCAGATTCTAATTGCAATATCTGGGAACATGCCTTTTTACCTCAACCCTAAGTTAGGAAATCCATTTCTATTCCATTCCAATAATTTTGTGCAGGTAACAAACTTCCTTCCAGCAAAGGCACTAATGAGAGCAGAGATCAAGGATATATGTACCACAGGAGAGGAAACAGAGGATAAATTGTTTCCTACTGATACTCATATTTTTAGGCTTGATGGGTGTTTCCAGAATGTTCCTGTGGGTGGGAGACTTTCCATCAAAAACTATGATTATAAAAATGTTAGTATATCCCAGAGAGTAAGAGTTAAAGGTTTAAAATGCAAACACTGTTTTAGTAACAGTGGGCCCAGCTTTCCCTCAGAAAGGGGGCAGGATCACTTGCAGGTAAAGTGCTCCTAAGAAAGGGCTTGCCTGGGGTAATTGAATCTATTTTAGAAGTTTCCATCTATTTTATTATTACTCAGAGCTTGGGTCAAGTAAAACAATTTTATTATAGGTAACTGAAATCTGCTATTTTCCACTGAAGAAACATATTGAGACAATTAAATAGATGTATAAAATAGCCAAGAAACAATTGAAAATGAAAAAAAAAATACACCAAAGACTATGGAAAACAGCCTTCTTGGTTGCCAAATAGTTTTAAGTGTTATGGAATAAAGCACATCAGAAGCATTTCCTTTATAATGAACAGCTGCTAGCTGAAATCAAACCTTGTGTGTACACAGAAAGCATTTTCCGTAGTCCTTTTGGGTAGAATAATAGTCAAAATGTTTCTAATAATTGAAATGAAGTAGACTGTACAGTTCCCAACTGTGACAATAAAAACATTATGGAAAACTGGATCACTCACGCCAGCTGAAACATGTAGCAATTGTTTCTATGGAAATTACGCTTATAAGCATAATAAACTGAAAGCAGGGTCCTAACCTAGACCTCTCTTCAAGATTTAACATATACAAGTAAATTAACCTATTGAAAATTCCTCATTTGTTTAAACTGATTTGCTTAAGAAGTTACACAAGGCTTTATTAAAGAGCATTCTGTAAGGTATAAGTTATTACATAGATTATATAATTCATTACCCTGTGGCCACATTTCCAAAAATAGTCATGAAGGGGAAGAACCTACTGTCACAATTTAATATATTTAATATGTACAATTGGGGATAGAGATATATTTACACATATATGAAGGTGCTGTTGAAGTATTATTCAGAGGAACTAAGCTTGTGAGACTTATTCTACATGTAGAGTTTTTATATGACTTCTTATTCTGGATTTAGTTATGCAAAATATTTAAAAGATCTTGTTTCTTTTTTTCATTCTCACTGATTTTTTTTTTTTTGAAACTTCAACATTGGAGGTAACTCAGGTTTTTAGTACTACTGATACTGAAGAATTACCTGTTAAAGCCCTGTACTGTAATGAATAAGCAAGGCACGGTCCTCATCTAAGAGAGCCGGCAATATAGCTCTGAAAACAATGAAAACTCTATTGTATAACTGAAAGAAATGTATAGAATGCTCCATAGGACCAAAATCAGGAGGACCTTACTTATCAAGGCAATTTCTAGTGACATTGGTCTTTGAGTAGTAAAATTGGCAGTGAATAAAAAAGAAACAAATTTTTAAAAAAGCAAAACATAACTAATTAGTAACAAGAAGTCTTGAGTTCTCATCCTGTTCAACAATTAATATTTCTGCTGTTGAGATATTGCATGTAATCTAACTAAATTTCAGTAGCCCTTGTTAATGTAAAAAAGGAGAAGGCCATTAACCTGAGGCTGTTTCTGTACTTTGATTTCCTACATAACAAACAACAATGTGACTTGAGTGTAATTTTTGTAATATATAGCCAGATCTCAGATGATCACAAACAGCCGAGCTTCAGCCAATAACAGGCAGCCAACGGATAGACCATGCCCAAATAAGCAAATGACTGATTACATGGAGTCCAAATAAGGCACATGACTAGCTGTAGCCAATCTGGTGATTCCTCTACTTTGCTTCTGTCTTCAACCTATAAAGCCTCGCTGCTCCTGTTGCTGGGTGGAGCTCTCTGAACCTCTTCTGGTTCTGAATGTTGTCCAATTAATGACTCATTCTTTGCTTAAATAAACTCTGTTAAATGTAATTTGTCTAGTTTTTTAAAAAAATATAATGTAGTGATTACAATAGATATGTATAATCTTCTAATGTAACTTATAATTCTCCAATACTAGAATTTTAGGAAGTGAAATCTTTTGAAGGGGATTAGAAGACACCACAGATGTCTTCTTTGATCATGTCAAATGAATAGCAACTTTTTGTGCTTAAGGAAGACTTCATTCAGAACGAACTCTCCTCAGAATGGTGGAAAACAGCATTTTCTCCTAGCTCAACATTAACTCATGCTTTCATGAGTCATTGTGCTATTACTGTGATTTTCAGGCTATATTACTTTTATCTTTAGGTAGGCATTTCAGAATCTTGTTTTGAGAGGACATTTGTAAGTTGAAAACATATCCTATAAGTTTCACTTATAAAGCTCTTCTTCACTTCCCTTCACTCTGACCTGTGAGTTACTCTCTCGAGGTAGGGTGTGCTAGATATTCTACTTAGGCCACCCCAAATCTACCCTTGTCCTACTTGTTCTGTACTTTGGAAGGCCAACTT
This sequence comes from Homo sapiens, assembly GCF_000001405.40. Classification (NCBI taxonomy): domain Eukaryota; kingdom Metazoa; phylum Chordata; class Mammalia; order Primates; family Hominidae; genus Homo; species Homo sapiens. The sequence continues at coordinate 194,044,823 of NC_000001.11, forward strand.
CTAAGGACAGAGTTAAACAGGCTCTCTATTCTGTGTTTATGGTTAGGCTTTGAGGACAGTGAGAGAACATCAGAGGACAGAACTCACCAAGAGGTAAGGTATCTATTTCCTTAGTCTTTCCTCAGTGAGGTGAAGTTTGACAGTGTCTGGCATTATTTCCATACTTGAGGGTCTCTTCTATATAGCTGTGGCTCTTTTTGGGTGTGGTACATGTACAAAGAAGAGACAGTGTGAAGACCAGGGTGAAGATAGCCATCTACAGGCCAAGGAGCAAAATCCAGAACGGAGCCTTCCTTCATGGCCCTCAAAGGAACCAACTTTGCCCACATTCTGACCTCAGATTTCTGGCCTCCAGACCCATGAGAAAATAAATGTATTTTGTTGAAGCCATGCAGCATGTGGTACTTTACACTGGAGTGCTAGCAAACCAATAGACAATCTCCTTCTCCTAGCCCCTTTAGACCTAAGGATGCTAACTGCTTTTTGTCTGTTTTTTTTTCTTTTTTTTTAATATTCACACAAATTTGTAAATATTCTCTTTCTTATGCTTTCTTCAATTACTCATGTTCAGTGTACCATTTCTTCCTGTAGGTATCTTGACTGAGATATAAAAATAATTCCAAAACAGAGTTGGTTTTACTCTTCTTTAGTACTTTTCTTTCTAGTTCCATTTTTTCGTATCTAGGCCCTTCACATTCTCTTTACCTCCCCCACCAAAAAGTAGCTTCTAGGAAAATATCTAAAGTGTATGACTCATAGTAGATACTACTTTCAGCATACCAATTATTAAACAATGGCATAAATAACAAATAGCAGTGTCATAGCATTCCAGTTAATCCGTGGTGGAAGATGAGTTGGAAAAAGGCTTCTTCCTAGAACCACTGATAATAAAACTCCAATTCTCTCAGCATTTCTCATTTCTCTTTCCTGAATCCTAAAGTACAATAAGTCAACTCAAAAGCAAGAAAGCAAACAAATAGATAATACAGGCACATAGAAAAGAGATCCAAGTAAATAGACTATAGTCAGGTATGAATGGCTATGAGCAGAGAGTTAAATAAAAAACACAAGAACAAAACATTTTATGATGCTCTAATATGTAAAAGGCACAACACTAGCTTTCCGAAGAGAAAAGACTTAAGCAGTAAATGAAAGAAAATCCCATTTTAAAATTCTTGACATGGATTGTCTGTGTTTTGAAGTTGAGGTATAAATTCTAAAGCTGGATTGTCAGGTTACTTGAAGAAGACAAAATAGACAAAAATTGGTTGAAATCCATTTAAGCAATATGAGCAATTGTGTTGGAAGAATACTTCCTATCTTTTGATCAAACAAAAATAGCCTTATTACTCTCAAAATAGTATGCTATGGAGTTCTCCAAGGTTTATTTTTGAAAAAGATTTATAAAGAATGAAAGAAGATAAAACTCCATTATGTCTAAGGTCTTTCAGCTCAAAAAATAAGGTGTCATTTTTTAAACTAATGTAGAAAGGTATTGTTGAAACTGAAGATGAGAGAGGCTAATTCTGTATATGGAAGAGTGTTGAACAACAACCATAACATACAGTCTGTGCATATTTGAATGTTCTGAGAGAATGTACTGTAACCTAAGCTTACTAAACAGATTTAGTAGAGGGCTCAAAATACCTGAGCATACATTTACAATAAGAAAGTCCAACTGTAAAATCTTTTTACTTAGAAAAGTTTTCGACATGAATTGGTTACAGTTTCTCCCTCTTTTTAAAAAAAAATTGTTTAAGAAATCAAGTATTATTCAAAACAAGAAGTCATAAATTTCTTATAATATTTCTTAAAATAATTTATCCATTTTATTCTTTTGCGGCTTATGGATAAACACTATGACCTATTAAATACTCAACTTGAGTGTCTTAGTTCTTTAGGGCTGTTATAACAAATTGCCATAGGCTGGGTGACTTATAAACAATAAAAATTTATTTCTCACAGTTCTGGAGGCTGGAAGTCTGAGATCAGGGTGCAAATACGACTGGGTGTTGTGAGGGCTCTGTTCTGGGTTGCAGACTGATAATTTCTCCCTGTGCCCTTACATAGAAGAAGGGTCAAGAGTTTTTCTGTCATACCTTTTATAAGGAAATTAATCCCATTAGTGAGCCTTCATGACCTAATGATTTCCCAAAGGCTGTATCTCCTAATACCATCACCTTGGAGGTTAAAATTTCAACATAGTATAAGATGACACAAATATTCAGACATAGCAGAGAGTAGATGATGTTATGTTACCCAAACACCAAAGGTTCAGTCTGGGTCCTGCTGCTCACCGCACAGAAAGCCAATGACTGAGATGAGTATTGCCAAGGAATAAGGCTTTAATCAGGTACTGCAGATGAGGAGATGGAAGATCAGTCTCAAATCCATCTCCCTGACCAACAAAGATGAAGGGTTTATATAGCATGGAAGAAATTAACTGTGTGTGGGAAAACAGAAACAGGAGGGGTAAGGAAGCAACCATGATAAATGAGTGGCCTGGCCACATATTGCCAGGATGTAATGATCTAGTGAGTTTTAGTTCTTTGATACTTGATACTCTTTTTGAGAGGCGTGGGAGTCCTTTCTTGAGGAAATAACTCAGGTGAAACAAATATAAACGTCAAGCTTTATGACCAGAAAGGTCAACTTCTATGTTTACAAAAATAAAAAATAAAAACAAAACAAAAACTGTGTGTGGGACTATTGGATCGATTTCAGTTTCACAAACACCAATTCCAACTTTTGAGTAAAAGTAAAAATAAACACATAGAAATTGCAATATCAAGCATTCTGCATTTTTTGTTTGTTTGTTTTTTTAGACAGAGTCTCACTTTGTCACCCAGGCTGGAGTGCAATGGCATGATTTTGACTCACTGCAGCCTCTGTCTCCCGGGTTCAAGCAATTCTCCTGCCTCAGCCTCCCAAGTAGCTGGGATTACAGGCATGCACCACCATGCCTGGCTAATTTTTGTATTTTTAGTAGAGACAGGGTCTCACCATGTTGGCCAGGCTGGTCTTGAACTCCTGATCTCAAATGATCTGCCTGCCTCGGCTTCCCAAATTGCTGGGATTACAGGCGTGAGCCACCGCTCCCGGCCCTGAATTTTCTTATAGGTAAAGTAAGTGCGTGAAATATGTATGTGAGTGTTATGGCTAATGAAGTAAGAAATAATGATGACAAGAGCAGAAAAAGAAATAAAATAGTGATAGAGAAAATCAACAGTTAAAAACAGAAGAAGGAAGAGAGATACTAGGAGACAAGAGGAGAAGGCAGCCTAGGAGAGTGGGGGAGAACCACAATAAGAGGTAGGAGGTAGAGGAGGAGGAGGTGAGAGAGTAAGTAGAGGAATGTGCTTTAGGAGATTATATGTGGGTTGTAGAACAGTCAGCGATGGAATATAAAAGTATTCCATAGGTAGTTTAAAGTATTAATTCTCCTTTATAAATGGGATAGTAGGTAAGCAAGTGTTCATTTTATTATTACAATTTATAACTCATTATTATAGTACATATAATCTTATTTGGCTCTTAAATTACATAATAAAAATCTAGTAAAAATCAGAGGGTTTCCAGTTCAGGCCATGACTGATCAATGAATATTGAAATTACTCTCCTGTAGTAAACAGGAAAAAATGAAACAAAATGTATGAAGTAATCGGCGCTAGGCACCAGGCAACACAGGCATGATCAATGGAAGAAGGAAACCTCTGTATTTTCCACTTGCTGCAAATTCACCCTGAATTTCTACTCAGAGCTACGGGGAGATGAAGCCCAGATATCAGTGATCTTACTGGGCAGAAAATAAAAGGAAACTGGACTTTCTAGGGTAGTAGGAGCAAGGGAAAAAAGAGTGCTAGAAATCTGCACAGGGATACCTTGAATGTTGGCCAAATATTCGGCTGTGCCTGTGCATAGAGGTTTTTATGCTTTTGTGTACAATTACATATTACATATGTGTGCATAAAATATAACTTTGAAAAAGAAATGTAAAAAATGTTTTTTTCAAAAAACTTTACATTTTACAAAGATATAGTAATAAAAATGAAATAAAATATTGATTTATTAGTGGGAAAAGCAATGTTTAGAAATAAAGTTCTCTCCACAGTAATCTGTAAATCCAATTAAGTCCTCATTAATATCTTAGAAAGTTTTTTTTTTAATTTGACAAACTAATTCTAAATTTTATTAGAAGGCTAAATACATCTAAAAATATAAGAACTTTTTTGGGTCAAAGTAATGTTGGAGTGGCTTGTACTACTAGAATATCAAAACATGCTACAATATTGTAACAATTAAAATATTAGCCAGGCACAGTGGTGTGCACCTGTAACCCAGTTAGTGGGGAGGCTGAGCAGGAAAGATCACTGGAGCCCAGGAGTTCAAGGCTATAGAGTCGTATGATCTTGTGATCATACATGTGAATAGCCACTGCACTTCACTCTGGGCAACATAGTGAGAAACCTATCTCTAAATAAATAAAATAAAATAAAAATAATACACAATGGAAATAAGTCACTGATTGTTGATAGTATGGGATTGAGAATCGAAAATGATTTTGAAACTTTAGTTGAATAATTAAGGTAACATTAATTGCAGTATACTAATATAGCAATACATCAATACATATTTATTACATCTTTACTATGTGATATACATTGAAATAGTGCTATTTCAGAAAAAAAGTTACTTTCCAAAGGAGCTCAAAGAGCATAGAGACACAGCTACACAATTTTCAAGACTATTTTCTGAATTCCAGGTAAACACATTTTCACTTTTAAAAATTAGATTATCCAACTCTCTGGGTAATCATTATCATTTAACAGTCATTGCTTACTGAATCCAGTATTTATTTCCTTAGGAACATGCTTTTTCTATGTGAAAACCCTGACTCCTTGGCCATTCTTGGCCTCAGGAATTCATATTCTATCTTCCTCCTTTCTGTTTTCTTCACCCTTCCTGGTTATTTCTACACATTCACTGAAAGTCTATCTTGTTTGCAGTTGGGGAAGTCGCCTAGAGATATTACTTGGAATGTAACATGAGGTTAAATCAAGTTCACCATAGGTGGTTTTGTAGTTTTATTCTGCACAAAATGCGAGAGCTACTGTAATAAATAGGGGCTGAAGTTCAGCCCAAGTCCCAGTCCAAGCCTTGCTACAGGACAGTGTGTGTGTCCAGAAGGGAGACACGTTCTCTTTACACAAATACCCAATCTAGCAAAATCACGTTCTTGAGTTCAAATACAGCCAGACTGGTGATTCCAGATCGTGGATCAAAGAAGAAATATAAATTGACAGTGCAGATTTTTTAGAGGTCAATTAAAAATATGAAAATCCATGATAATCAGCTATAGCAGTGATTAAAGAAAATGGCATAACCATAAAAACTTACGTATATAAAAACTTATTAAAGTTTAAAATTCAAAAATTAAGAAAAAGAAGAACAATGCTAGCCAAAGTAAATAAGAAGGAAGCAACTAATAACAATGAAAAACATTAATGAGAATGAAAACAGAGATACCTTAGCCTCCATCAAAAAAAAAAAAAAAGCTGATTTTTCAGAAGAAAAAAGAGAAGGGATAAAGTACTGCTTAGCCAAATTAGGAAGAAAGGAAGAATGTGAAGCTGTGCAAAATAAGAAATGGCAAAGGCCAAATATCATCAAAAGCGGGTTTCTTTTCAATCTTGTCATAAGGGAAATGTTTTTTCCCAACTTTTTATTTGAAAAATTTTAAAGCAACAGAAGAAAGAAGAGTACATTAAAAACTCACATACATTTCTCCTAAATTCACCAGTGGATTATAATATCACATATGTTGTTACTCTTTCATATGTTAACCTATACATATTTTTAATGTAATTAATACTTACCACAACTCTTCACTTTCTAAAAAGTTCAGCATATATTGCCTAAGAAAACAAATCTTACTGTATTAATATAATCATATACCAAAAATTTCACTTTGATTCAATATATTCAATTTACCTGATTGCATTTTAATTGTTCTTTACAGAATTTTGCTCTTATTGCTTTGTTTGTTTCTCGTTCTAGAACCAAATGAACATTCGTACATTGAATTTGGTGGTCAGTCATGTCCATTTCATTTCCTTTATTAAAGAACAGTGGTTCTTTCTATACATGTTTGATGTATAATTTTATGAGTGCCTTTCATTGATATTGGCATTTTTGAGGAACCCAGACAAGTTTTCTTGTGAAATGTCTTATTATTATTGCACACTGTTTTCTCATGGATAGCTTTGGTTAAATGCTTTTGGAAAGCATCAGAAGATACATATCATTTTATTTGTAGTAATTCTAAGTTTGGTCACTTATTTAATAAAGGTTAAGAGTCTATTTCGAACAACTCCATGAAAATATTAAAAAAAAACCCTAAATGAAATGCATATGTACTAGAAAAAAGCATATAGAAATAGAATTTAATCGATCGCATTGAAGATCACTAAGTCGACTGATTAGCATGGGATAAATATAGAAACTTTTCAAAGGGCTGCTCCTAAAACTACTAGTCAAGTTTCCTATGAAAATTTTGCTAAATCTTTAAAAAGCATAAAATGCTAGTGCTTTTCTATTGCTCTAGAATATAGAAAATAAAGGAAATCCTCTAAAGTTTTTAAAATTGATACACACATACACATGCAACTAGTGACCAATTTCAATCTATATTTTGCAGAAATGCTAAAACATTAACACATAACATTCAAAAATATTTTTTAAAATATGCTCAAGTGAGATTGATTCTAGGAACCTAAAAATATGTTAATAGTATAAAATGTATCGTTATATGATCCATCATTTAATAAATGCATTGGTATGAATTATATGGCTATTTTGTAGATGAGAATAGTACGTATAATTCCACACTTTTTTACCAAAGCCTGAATAAAACAGATTTTATATATTCTTCCCTAAAATAGAATATATCTTTCCTCTTGCTAACTATCTGCCCCAAACCCAGTATCCAACTTAATGTGATTATATTAGAGGCAGTTTTGTAATATCAGGATCAAAAATGATGCCCACTATTACTACAATTATTTAATATTTTACTGTCACATTTAGCCAGTGCAGTTGGACAAGACTAAGAAACTAGATGTGTGAATATAATTTAGAGGAAGAGGAAAAACTATTTCTACTTGCAAAGTAGAACATGTGATACCCAGGAGGTCACAGTGTGGTAGGCTAAATTATGACCCCCATATAGGTCCACAGCCTGATCATTGGAATGTCTGAATATGGGACCTTTGCCTGGCAAAAGAACTTTGCAGATGTAATTGAATTAAGGCTTTTGGGATGAGGAGATCATCTTAGATAATCTGGATGTGTTTCCTGTAATCACAAGGCTCCTTATCAGAGGGACGCAGGAAGAGTCCGTCAGATAGAAGGTGATATAACAAGGAAGCAGAAGGCTAGAGAGAAAGAAATTTGAAGATGCTTTACTGCTGGCTTGAAGATGGACAAAGGGAGCAATGAGCCAAAGGACAAGCAAGGCCTGTAGAAGCTAAAATAGGTAAGAAATCAGATTTTTCCCTAGAGCCTCCAGAAGGAGCCAGTCCTGTCAATACCTTGACTTTAATCCAATAAAATTGATTTCAAACTTCTTGCCACTAGAACTATAATAGCATACATTTGTGGTAGTTTAAGCCACTACTTTTATGGCAATTTGTTACAGTCTTAAGAGGAAACTAATATAGAAACAACCTACCAAGAAACTTCTATAACAATATACCATCCTTAAAAGTAACAGAATACAAAATTAACCTCAGAAATAGGTAGTTTTCATGCATGCAAACTATATCCAGACAGAAGGCATGTTAAAAATGAAAGCACTATTTCCTGTAACACCACAAAAGAGAAAATACATAGAAGTAGAAATTGTAAACACTGTGCAAAACCTCTATGAGGAAGTCTTTAAAACACTACTTGAGAGCTCCTAAGTAGACTTAAAACAAATAGAAGTTTGGGAAGGTGTTCCTTTAGGGAGCAGGGGTGCATGTGTGGGTTCTTTAGAGAATGCTCTGGCGATCCGATTAATTCTCAGGCACTTTCTGTGGTGTGCACTGGACTTGTATGGGAACATATTCTTACCATGTCCCTGGGGGGAATACACAATGCCCACCTGGCCTTCTCTCTCTTTCTGCTCCACCATAACTTTTTCTGATACATTTTTCATGTTTTGACAGTTCCAGGCACTTGAACAACCACATCCACTGACTCAGGAATTCTAATACTGGAAATTATCACAGCATGTGAATGTGTGGGGATATGTGTGTGTGTGTGTTGGGGGTGAGTGTTGTGTTGGTTCTGCCCAAATGATACATCTCAGTAAGTCCTGTGGGGTAGGAGCTGTGCCCAAGGCTAATAATTCACTAGACACAGAATGCATTACTTAATTCCTTTTGTTTTCAGCTGTGAATTCTAGTTGTAAATTTTGGGAACCAAAATGATATCACCATTGCCTTAAACCATTACCACACACATACACATACAAACATACACAAATACAACCCTAATAAACATTTATCAAAATTTTATATAAGGAAACAAGCTTGGAGACGTTATGTAAGTTTTTCAAGGTAAAATATTCAACACATGACAGGGTTAGAATTTAGCTCCAGTCTATCAGAAGCAAAAGCTCATGTTACACTCCTCAAACCATGATACCTCCACTTACTATGTCCTTCCCAAATGATATCAATATGAAATAATAGTTTTAATATTTTTAATACCATTCTATTTTTGCTATCATACCATGTTGAAAAATTCATATTTTTTCTTACTTTCATTGTGCTTTTGTTCTTTTTTCATCTATCATGTTCCTTTTTAGGCTCTTAGAACTTCATGCTTGAAGAGAGAGCTCAAGAGATCATATATAACAAAAAGGGGTGGAGGGAGTGAGAATGAGCTCTCTTAAATATTCCACTATTAGGAAGCTCTGATTTTCATGATTTTAGGAGAGATTTTAAAAATGGAAGGAAAAAGAATGAAAGAAAATTCAGAGAAAAATGTGGACTTAGATAAAAGGTAGAATAAGATTATAGAACCAAGAGAGGAAGAAAGAATTTCATGAAAGTAAAGATAATCAATGCTGCCTAAAGATACATTAAGGTCAAACAGATTGAAGGCACAAATATAGTTGTAATAACAATGTGAGGTATCTTGAGTCAATAATGTTATCTACATTTTCTCTATTGATTCTAGAATACCTTCCAAGTCCATTTTGCCAACTACCTTCTGTATATTTTGTGTACTTTGTTACTAAGATTTCCTGCAAAATCATTTAAAGTTTTCTCAAGGGCGACGTTATGCTTAATTGCGTTCGTAATAGAGACACTGAAAAATAAACAAGTTGAAGTTGTTAAGATCTCATTAAAAAGTTCATTTTTTTACCAGTTGTTGAATTTTGTGATACCAATTTTCTAAAACATTTATATTATGATTTATACTCATAAGATTTTGCTGTTAGAGATACACCAAATTATAAAGAGAAGAGTTAATCTTCATAACCTTGTGAATAAATGCATATGACAGTTTGAAAGTTAGATTTCTTAAGATTATATAGTATCCTCATTGATTGTTACAGTGTTTTGCAGAAGGAATAGAGAGAGTATTACCATTCCACATTCTCTGGAGTATCTAAGGGTCATTATCTTCCAATGTTAAAGTAGCTTATTTTAAGTCTTAATTCATGAATGTTGTCTGCTGAGAGTAAGGCTGTTCAGGACTAAGTTACAAGACATGAATATATGAGTTGCTGAGTGGGTAAAGAGGGCAAGATATAAATTCAGGTTCACTAAAATTTGTTTGAGCAGTGAAAATACTAGCTTTGCTGTAGAAAACTAAATGCATTTTTTTTCTACATAAACTGATAAGCTTCCTTTTTGGTGATATAACAACTCTTTGAACCAGATGGCACACTTTTTGCTGAGCATGTTCTAAGGTCTTGCCTAAGTTGCAGAACAAAAGAGAACAAATTGTGGGAAGATTTAAATAGTAAAAAATTCCAAAGTTTCTTTTGGTTTGATTAAAATAATATGTTAAAGCTGGGCATGGTAGCTTATGCCTGTAATCCCAACACTTAGGGAGGCTGAAGCAGGAGGATCTCTTAAGCCCGGGAGTTCAAGACCAGCCTGGGCAACATAACAAGACCTCATCTCTATTTAAAAAAATAAAAATAAAATATACAATGATTTTGCTTCAAGTAAAATGTATTCCTTTTGTTTTATATCTTTATTGAGGTATACTTCACACACTATAAAATTACCCATTTAAATCTGTAGAAGTCAGTGGTTGGGGATATATTCACAGGGTTGTGCAACCATCACAAGTAAGTTCAGAAGGTTTGAATTTCCCCACAAAGAAGCTCTATGCCTATTAGAAGTCACTCATTACCCACTTCCCACCATTATAGGCAATCTCTTATCTACTTTCTGTATCTATACATTTGTTTATTCTGGACATTCCATATAAATGGAATCAGATAATGTATGGTCTTCAGTGACCTGAGTTTTCACTCAGCATAATGTTTTCAAGGATCATGCTGTAGCTTGTATCGGCACTTTATTCCTTTTTAATGCCTAATAATATTCATCGTGTGGTATACTACATTTTGTTTATCTCTTCATGAGTTGATGGAGATTTGGATTGTTTCCATTCTTTTGGCTATGATGAATAATGCTGTTGTGAAGAGCTTCTGTACACATTTTTGTGTAAATATATGTTTTCATTTTTCTTGAATATAGACCAGAAAGTGGAATTGTTAGGTCATATGGTTATCCTATATTTAACATTTTGAGGAACTGCCCAACTGTGTTTCAATGTGACTGTGCTGGAAAACAAAACAAAAAAAAAGCCCGGCACTTCTGATAGTCTAAAAATAATTCTGCAGTCTACAAGATAAGTCAGCAGAGTTTACTGGAAATTAAATAGGGAAAGGGAAGAATCTGGATCTAGTCCCAGCTCTGCCACTAATTAGTTGTTTGACCTTAAGCAACTCATTTACATTCTCCAAGTCCAAGTTTCTTCATTTGTAAAATGAGTGTGTGTTTCTTCAAACAAGCACAACTCTTGAATACAATTATAGCTACTTTACTTGGGTTTTCCATTGTCTCTTTAAAACTGCTTTGAGACCTAATTTTTTCCTTGCTGAATGAAACACTTTAGCAAAGCCCATGACATTTCTGACTCCTATTAGGCATTATGAAGGCTTCTGGTTACTTGAAGTCACAAAACATAGTCTTAATTGAGTAACAAAATTGCCCATTGTCACATGTAATAAAAACTCTGAACCTAATGTTAATTAGAGGCTTCCTCAAGACCTGGCTTAAATCAGGAATGCTACTGTTAGTGACCCCTCAAGAGTTGGCGTGTCAAAGCCATAAGAGGAAGAGGAGCAGAAAGACTTTGTCATGGACAGTGTAGATGGTCTGGCTTGGACACACTCTGGACTTGGCAGAAGTTTTAGATGATTTTATTCCTGTACTAGCTTGCTAAGGCTGCTGCAATGAAATACCACAAACTGGTAGCTTAAACCACAGAAATTTGTTCTCTCACAATTCAAGAGGTTAGAAGTCAGAGATCAAAGTGCAGAACTGGTTTCTTCACAGGCACTGAGAGGGAGAATCTGTTGGCTTCTCTCCAAGGTTCTGTTGGGTTTTTTGGTGATCATTGGTGTTCCTTGGCGTATAGACATATCATTATAATCTCTGCCTGTGAAGACCTTCAACTTCACCTGGCATTCTAGCGTGTGAGTCTCTGTGTCTAAATTTCCTCTTTTTTGTAAGCACACCAGTCATACTGGATTGGAACACTCAGTGGCCTCATTTTAATTTGATCATGTCTGTAAAGACCCTATTTCCAAATGAGAACACATTCTGAGGTACTAGGAGTTAAAATTCCAGTAGATTTTTTTCTTGGAGGTGGGGGACACAATTCAACCCATAACAACTCCAAAATAATCTCTCTTCCTTGGGATCGTACTATTCATCTGTAACCATTGCCTGTGACTTCCTAGTGCCACCCAAGAGGCACCTCCACCCAATGGCTTTGGGCTTGGCCACACAGTTTACTTTGAACATTGGAAAGGGAAGATGTGGAAGTTCTCAGTGGATGCTTAACAGAGCATGTGTGCCACAGCTCACCCGCTCAAGGGTCTATTGTCTGCTATGAGGACAGCACACCCTCAAGATTTCTTCTCTTCCAATCTGGATTCTGGAATGAAAAGACACGTGGATAGTAGACCTTCTGAAATCTTAGAGCTGATCAAAGCTGAAGTTAAAGTACTGTATACCCATCATATAACAAGATCAAGACATACATTTTCTTATTATAAACCATTGAGATTTGGGAGCTGTTTGTTGCCATGGCAAAAGTGACATAGAGGGCTTTTATTTGTTTTTGGTGACACCTCATCCCTGAGACCTTTCACTTGTTTCACCTGATTCAAGTGATGCATCTCTAGCTTGTTGTTGACAATGAGTTCTTATTGATTTGGTTATATCACTAGTCTCCATTCCAGGTCTGATCACTGCATCAGGCAGTCATCTTTGATGGACAGTGTCAAAGATGACAGGAATATTCCCTGACACTGGCATCCTACTCTTTCTGGCCTACCCTTAGTCCAAGGAAAATGCCCACACATTCTTTGCTAGGACAGACTTTGGAAGTCTTCAAAGCAGCCAGTTCCTTCTTGACTCATCCATGAGCAGGGAGCCAGCCCCGTCCTTGCTCTCCAGGTGTTTTAGGTAAGAATCAGGCACTAGACTACTAGATGTCCCCAAACTTTGTGAAATACATGTTAAATGGGCCAGTGTTTTGCATGTTGTCCACAAGTCTGTGGCAGTCAGGTATGTTGCTCAAATCTTCAGGCTAACCTACTGTGAGGAGCATAGCTGACTGACAGTCCCTTCTGCTGCCTCTTCAATTACAATGTTTGCATCAAGGCTGCACTTACTCTGGTTGCTCTCACGTAATGACTAAGGTACTACTGCTAGTCCATTTCTACCTGATAGGGATTACCTGTAATTAGGGTAGCCAGATAAAATGCAGGATACCAATTAATTTTGACTATAGGTCAACAGTAAGTAATTTTTTTGTGTAAGTATACATACAATATTTGGGGAATCCTTCTACTAAAAATTATTTTTTGTTGATTTCAAAATCAAATTGAACTGGTTATCCTATATAATTATTTTCTAAAACTACCTATAATGACAATGGTTGCTTGAGTGCATCCCACCATCCTTGCTGAAAATTACTAGAAATGCACTAGTGTGAGGCTCTTCTGTCCAACCCTTCTTTACCTCCACTGTTTTACAAATGTCAGACCTGCACGATGGCTTGAATATTTGCTCTGCCAATTCCTGCTTGTTTTCCCTTATCCTTGGCTGGCATTTTCCCCAAAAAAACTCTTGTACCTCTAAGCCCATTGTATTGTTCATTCTCACACTGCCATGAAGACATACCTGAGACTGTGAACTTTATGAAGAAAGGATGAATTGACTTGCAGTTCTGCAGGCTGTAAAGGAAGCATGGCTAGGAGGCCTCAGGAAATGTACAATCATGGTGGAATGTGAAGGGGAAGTAAGCACGACTTACCTTGGTGAAGCAGGAGAGAGAGGGAGAAAAAGAGAAAACAGAAGTGCCACATACTTTTTTTTTTTTTTTTTGAGATGGAGTCTCACTCTGTCGCTCAGGCTGGAGTGCAGTGGCGCAATCTCTGCTCACTTCAAGCTCCTCCTCCCAGATTCACGCCATTCTCCTGCCTCAGCCTCATGAGTAGCTGGGACTACAGGTGCCCGCCACCACACCAGGCTAATTTTTTGTATTTTTTTTTTTTTTTTAGTAGAGATGGGGTTTCACTGTGTTAGCCAGGATGGTCTGAGGTACCACATACTTTTAAACAATCAGATCTCATGAAAGCTCACTCATTGTCACCATAACAGCAAAGAGGAAATCATCCCCATGATTCAGTCACCTCCCACCAGGTCCCTCTCCTGAGACATGGGGATTACAATTTGAGATGAGATTTGGGTGGGGACACAGAGCCAAACCATACCAGTGCACCCCTGGCTTCTTTGAAATCTCATGTCCTTCTCACATTTCAAAACCAACCACGCTTTCCCAACAGTCCCCCAAAGTCTTAACTCATTGCAGCATTAACTTAAAAGTCCAAGTCCAATGTCTCATCTGAGGCAAGGCAAGTCCCTTCTGCCTATGAGCCTGTAAAATCAAAAGCTAGTTAATGACTTCTAAGATACAATGTGGGTACCAGCATTGGGTAAATGCTCCTGTTACAAAAGGGAGAAATTGGTCAAAACCAAGAGGCTACCAGCCCCATGCAAGTCTGAAAATCAGCAGGACAGTCATTAAACCTTAAAGCTTCAAAATAATCTCCTGTGACTCCATGTTTCACATCCAAGTCATGCTGATGCAAGAGGTGGGCTCCCACAGCCTTGGGCAGCCCCACCCCTGTGGCTCTTCAAGGTACAGGTACAGCCCCTGCAGCTGCTTTCATGGGCTGGCATTGAGCATCCATGGCTTTTCCAGGCACGTGGTGCAAGCTGTCAGTGGATCTATAATTCTGAAATCTGGAGGACAGTGGCCTTCTTCTCATAGCTCCACTAGGCAGTGCCCCAGTGGGGACTCTATGTGGGGGCTCCAACCCCACATTTTCCCTTTGCACTGCTCTAGCAGAGGTTCTCCATGAGGGCTTTGCCCCTGCAATAGACATTTGCCTGGACATCCAGGTGTTTTCATACATCCTATGAAATCTCTTGAAGCTCCCAAGCTTCAACTCTTGCCTCCTGTGGAACTTCAGGCTCAATACCACATGGGAGCTGCCAAGGTTTGGGGCTTGGATCCTCTGAAGCCATTGCCTGATCTGTACCTTGGCCCCTGTTAACCACAGCATGAGTTGGAGAGGCTGGGACACAGGGCCTCATGTCCCAAGGCTGCACAAAGCAGCAGGGCCTTGGGCCTAGCACATGAAACCATTTTTCCCTCCTAGAGCTCCAGGCCTGTGATGGGAGGGGCTGCTGTGAAGGTCTCTGAAATGCTCTGGAGACATTTTCCCCATTGTCGTGGATTAACATTCAGCTCCTCTTCACTTATGCAAATTTCTGCAGCAGGCTTAATTTCTTCACCAAAAATGGGGTTTTCTTTTCTACCACATGGCCAGGCTGTAAATTTTCCAAACTTTTATTCTCTGCTTCCCTTTTAAATGTAAGTTCTAATTTCAGATAATCTCTTTGTGAGCATACACTTTTAGAAATAACCAGGTTATCTCTTGAACGCTTTACTGCTTAGAAATGTCTTCCACCAGACACCATAAATCATCTCTCTCAAGTTCAAAGTTCCATAGATCTCTAGGTCAAGGGCAAAAATGCCACCAGGCTCTTTGCTAAAGCATAGCAGTAGCAAACCTACTCCAGTAGCAAGTACTGGAGTAAACCTTTACTCCAGTTTCCAATAAGTTTTTCATCTTCAACTGAGACCACATCATCCTGGAATTCATCACCACTATTAACATTTCGGTCACAACAATTCAACAAGTCCATAGGAAGTTCCAAACTTTCCCACATCTTTCTGTCGTCTTCTGAGCCCTCTAAATTGTTCCAACTTCTGCCTGTTACCCAGTTCCAAACTCAATTACACATTTTCAGGTATCTTTATAACTGTGCCCCACTTTCATGGTACTAATTTTCTGTATTTGTTCACTCTCACACTGCTATAAAGACATACCTGAGACTGGGTAATTTATAAAGAAATGAGGTTTAATTTACTAACAGTTCTGTGGGCTTAACAGGAAGCATGATTCGGAGGCCTCAGGAAATGTACAATCATGGCGAAGGGGAAGAAGGCATATCTTACCATGAAGAAACAGGAGAGAGAAACAGAGAGAGAGAGAGAATGGAGAAATGATCAGAGCTCATTAGAACTCACTCACTATCATGAGAACAGCGAAAGGAAAATCTATCCCCATGATCCAATCACCTCCCACCAGGCCCCTCCCCTGATACGTGGGGTTACAATTTGAGATGAGATTTGGATAGAACACAGAGCCAAATCATATCACCCATCTTGACATCTGCTTCTCAGAGGACATGAACTGACACATAGTCCTTTAGAATCTGATAAAATCCATATCTTTATCACCACTGAAAATTCTATTTTAATTTTGCTATGTGGATATTGTACTAGGTGATTGCTAAAGTCCTTCCAGCTATATTTTATAATTCTAAGTTTCTTCTTAGGTAGAGAGAGATTACGTTTTTAAAAATAACTAAATTTTCCTGTATAAAAATGAAAGTAAGACTTAACTTGTTCAGGACTGATTTCCTGTTACTTTAGGCCTCCTCTAACATGCTATCAAAATTGGCTTTACCAAAATACTCTAAATGATAGTAAAATGAGGTAAGAAATCAGGTCACCTTTCCATTTATCACAAAAGCTGCAACCTACAGACTATACTCCAGCTAGTGCTCCGAACTTTGATTACTAAAATGGTAGAATTGGGTCAGATAACAAGTTTCTGTTTTGTTGGATAGCTGCAGTCTCCTGGCTTGAACCCCAGCCTACCAATAAAGATAGAAGAAGAAACAGGCTCTTCTCCAATCATATAACTAAAAAATCTCCACTACCAATGGCCAGGTTCCTTTCCTAGAATTTATGCCCAGTCCTACTAAATACTAGTTTACTGGGCCATATTGAGGTGGGTGATGGTGTGAAGACACACCTTTTACTTTTTCAGTTTCTGTTCATTTTTTCCAATAAATGCTGTTCAGCGAACAAAATGTGTTCTATATGGCCATTGTCTTTCTGTTATTGAAATAGCTACTATGGCCAAGGCTTTTTTTTTTTTTTTTTTTTTTTTTTTTGAGACTGAATCTCACACTGTCACCTGGCCTGGAGTGCAGTGGCGCAATCTTGGCTCACAGCAACCTCGGCCTCCTGGGTTCATGTGATTCTCCTGCCTCAGCCTCTCGAATAGTAGTGATTAGTGGCACACACCACCACACCCAGCTAATTTTTTGTATTTTTAGTAGAGACAAGGCTTCACTATGTTGGCCAGACTGGTCTCGAACTCCTGACCTCATGATCCGCCTGCCTCAGCCTCCCAAAGTGCTGGGATTACAGGTGTGAGCCACCGTGCCTGACTGGCCAAGCCATTTTTATTGGTGTCCAGCATGGAAGGCTGGTAACAAATCAAGGGACCAGAAATCAGTCTACAAGTGGGAAACGTTTACATGTGGTGGTGTGGTATGGCTGAGATGGCCTGATGCTTCTGTTGTGCTACACAGTTCAGTTAAATGGAAACCATGAAGAAGGGGCACTAAACCCCATAAACCATGTGAACTCCATCATCCCTGACTCTCTAATTAAGGAAATAACCTCAATAAAACCAAGTTAATCAGTGGATCTACCACCTAGGGTTTCCTTATAAAACTATTATTATAATTGTTATTATTTTAGGAAAGAAATGTGATGAAAAGGATATTGTACCCAATCCTACTTAAATCAACTAACCATTTAGTGCATAAGGTAGATAGAATGCTAGGAAAAATATGAGCCATCTGAAGGATGGAGATGAGGAAAGCCCAAAAGTGTGTACCATACATATCAGATTAGGATACCAACACACTTGGTGTGATGGGGTGGCCTATAAGGAGCTGTCTCCTGGGACCCTATTATTGGGCATTGGGAAAGTATAAAAGACACTATTGCTGCCTCACTCAAATCACTTTTACCAGATCAGTGCCTCCAGCCTTCCACTGCTTGGATGTTGGCTATTAACAGCTCATAGTTATATTCTGTTCCTGATAATTGTTCTTGACTAAAGGAAATTACTCACCCAGACATGTCAGAGGAGTAAAGCCTTTCCTCAGAGACAGCTGATAGCCAGTTTTTAATAGATACTGGGTACAAATAGTCACCCCTCTTTCATCAAGTTGAGACAGCTCTCTAGTGTCAGTTATACTCCAGAAAGCCCTGTTCGATCAGGCTAGACTTCAGCTGAGCCCATTTCTTTGCCTAGTTTCTTCCTCAGTTCAATCCTATTACCTGCTCCTGTACTGGATTCAGTTGAGAGCAATCACTCCATAAATCACTTGCTCAAGAATCCTTGTCTCAGGCTCTTCTTTTAGCGAAACTGACTTACGGAAGAAGGGCTTAATGCTCTCAAAGAAGATAAGTAATAATATAGTGAAACAAGGGAGAAGTTCAGTGACTTGCCAAGTCATGCTGTTGTTGGATCCAGCCCATGTTCTCACTAGGATTGAAGTTGCTATTTCCCCAGTCATAAAATGTAAACAAACATTTCCATGTTCAAGGGCCAGAGTTCCTCTCCATGAATGTGATATCTGACAGGCCCTACTAAATTCCTCTATGATCTTTCTGAACCTTGTTGCATAATGAGAAACCACACACCTTATCTTGTTCCTGGTTCTTGGATTTTCCTCTAATACATACTGACCCAGAAAATCTGATGAAAATCATATCTTGTGTTTCTTTGGGCAACAGAAAATAACCCCTATAGTTACTAAGGAAAGGATAAAAAATTGAAAGAAAGTAACTGTGTGACTTCTGTCTTTACATCCAAATTATTTGAGTGGATAGAAAGATTTTGTAGATTAAATTATTCATATTTCAGTCACTCTCAATAACTTGTTCATTTTAATGTAAAATATCTCTCTCTTTTCTTTTTTTTTTTGGCTCTGCACTCTTTTTATTTTTATTTTTTGGATCTGTCTTATCAGTTTTTCACACGTTGCTTGGGAAGTAATATTCAGGTGCTATTATTCTCAGTAAACAAGTGAGAAAATGGAAGTGGAATTTAAATCATGATTTCATGATTTCCCTGGAGTGGAAAGCATGGGTCTAGATATACAAGTATAACTTTAGTTAGAAAAATTGCAAATATAATTTTAGATTGAGCCTCACTAATTAGGATTCGTGGACTCGTGTGTGGTAGATATTTTAATATGCTTTGTCAAAATACTACTTCTCATATTTCTACCAAATAACCCCCAAAACCTCTTAGGATTTAATTAGCTACTGCAGTTTATCAATAAGAAATGAAAGAAGTCAAAGGTAAGTGGAAGACATTTTACAGACCCAGGATTAGAATGAGAGAAGATAGCACCTTGAGATGAGAAGGCGAGAAGCAGCTTGCAGTTTGAAAAAAAATCCAAAGGAAGCTTAACAATGCTTTCCAAGGTATATGTCAGTGTTATACAGGTGCATTAGTCCATTTTCATGCTGTAGATAAAGACATACCCGAGACTGGGCAATTTACAAAATAAAGAGGTTTATTGGACTTACAGTTCCACATGACTGGGGAGGCCTCACAATCATGGCAGAAGGAAAGGAGGAGCAAGTCACATCTTATGTGGATGGCAGCAGGCAAAGAGAGAGCTTGTGCATGGAGACTCTCCTTTTTAAAACCATCAGATCTCATGAGACTTATTCATTATCAGGAGAACAGCACAGGAAAGACCTGTTCCCATGATTCAATTACCTCCCACTGGATCCTTCCCACGACATGTGAGAATTCAAGATGAGATTTGGGTGGGGACACAGTGAAACCATATCAACAGTTTATGGTCATAATATGTTATATAAGTCACTGTCATAATAGTTTATTAAAAGAATCTATAATCCCTTATAGTCTAATAATATTATACTCATCACTGCAAAAGGAAGATGGTATCTTACAGTTATGATGGACCCCATGGCAGGTGGAGATTTTTTCCGCAGATTACACATCCTGGCTTAATCAACAACTAGATTACAGGAAACTGACTATATATCTTTGTGTCAGAAGTTTCCTCTTCTACAATATGGGAATAATGATGGTATAGACTTCAGAGTATTGTCAAATGGAACTAATATAACGAAACTTCAGGCACATAGTAATGGATCAATAAATTATACATGTTTTTATGTTTCTTTTTGCTTTTTATTCCTTTCACTTACTAGTCTTTTAGCTTTTATCAAAATGTTTACACCACACTTGGTTATTTTGAAATATTTTGCCAAAACAATGGTGAATGCTTAGTACTTAACACCATTTTACTTCTTTCCTATCATATTCTCTTCAAATATTAAAAAAAGTTATTCTGGACATCCAGAATACCATATCCTAATCAACAATTTAAACTCCTATAAGGAGGGGAAAGGAAACTAAGATTCTCTGAACAACTATTCTGAGTTATTTCCAAAGTGAAATGACTTTATTTTGTTGTTTTCTAATTATAAACATATCTATGAAAGAGTTTGGCAAATACAAACAAATTTGAAGAAAAAAAGTAAGTCCTCCATAGCCCCACTGATCTATATACCCATTATCAGAGTTTAAAGATTTACTTTAAATTTTTAAAATTAATATTGTCTTAATTATTAGAATAATCTGTTTCATTTTGTTTACTGAATGCATATGCTGTTAAAAATTACTATATAATTAGCAATTCTTTCTCAGCTTGATCTAGCAGTATAATTACCTTATATTTTAGATGTTGCTCCTGTTTTGCTACTCAATTTTTTAGTTAAAGAATTTCACCTATTTATTCTCTTTGTGATTACTGACATATTTAGGCCTATTTCTTTTAGGCTATTTGCTACTATCTATCTGACCTCTCTCTCCCAGCCTTCTCCTCCCCTCCCCTTTCCATCCTTTATTATTCTTTCCTTCTCATACTTTTTCCTCTCTCCTTCTTTTGGGTTAATTAGGTTTCTCTTTTATGTCTTTTTTTTTTTTTTTTACTACTATGACTAGTTGGTATACTTGGTTGGTATACTTGGTTTCTAGTATTTTAAATGTTACCTGAGTGATTTAAATGTGTCTATTTTACTTAACACTGTATAAATTTAATCAATATTTTATCCCCCTCATGAATAATTTTATTCACCAATTCCACTCATCATATAATATTTTGTAGTATTTCTCCTTTAACTTTCCTTTGTCCCCCAAATTAGACATTATTTTTACTGTTATTCATTCAATATTTTAAATATTCATATTTATCATTTACTTTCCTGATCATTTTTTCTTTTATTACAGACTTTGCTTCTGGGGTAATTTTCCTTCTTTACTAAATACATCCTTTATAAGGAGTTCCATTGGTGTGGATCTGTTGGCAGCAATTTCTTGAAGACTCTTCTAAAAATATGCTTATTTAGCTCTTATTTTTGAAAGACAACTTTTCTCAGTGTAGACTCCTAGGTTGATAGTATATTCTATTCTCTTAGTTCATTGAAGATAATATTTCATTATTTTTCAATTTCCAAAAGTTAGTTGTTTGTCTACTTGTTATTCTTTTTCTTAGGAGTAATCTTTTCTTTATGGCTGCATTTAAGTTCTTCCTTTGATTTTTGACCATTTCACTACTGTGTCTACAGGTGTGAAATTTTTAGAGCTTTCTGAATCTAGGAATGCATTTTAAATCATTTTTTGAAAATTTTCAGCCATTATGTATTTCATTTGGGCCTCTTCCCCATACTCTTCTGCTATTTACTCTGAAAATGTAATTAGCCTATATTAGGCCTTTCCAACCTACCCTTGAAGAGTCTTGTCTTTTCACATAGTCCCCTAAGTTTTTTTACTGCATCAGTCTTCCAGCTCACCAACTGTCTCCTAAGTTATGCCCTAACCTTAGGATTAAACAATTATTTTAATTTGTATTTTTAATTTTAATTTTTTCCTTATATAATTTTTGTATCAGTCTGATTAATTTACATAGAAGCTTTTACTTTGTAACACTTCAGCTTATTGTGTTATTTTAAAATCTAATAAGTGTATTATACTTATTTTCAAGCACATTTCTGGTAATTTCAATATCTTCGGTCTGTAGTTTTGTTTCCATAGACCACTTCTTGCTCTTGTCCATGTGAAAATCTTGCTCATGGCAGCCTCTTCTCTACTACTTTTGAAATTAATGTGAGATTGTGGATTCATGCTTCTTGGACCTTAGTTTTTGAGAGTATTTTGAGTCCTGAGTTTAAGGTGAATTTATCCAGGAAGGGTATGGATTTACTTCTGATAGGCTTCCAGAAGTCTTAATGTAAAGAATTAATGTAAAAATTGGTCTTAATATAAGACCAATTTACAAAATATTTGCCTCAAAATTTTACAGCTGATTCATTTTACAGTGAGTAAGATGAATTCTAGTCACAATCCCTGAAATATAAATTTCTTCTTAGGATTTCTCAGGGAGACTTTTATTTCTGATTTTTGCTCTTCAAGTCCAGGCTGAAAAAACAGAGGGTATTCCTGTGCTCTCCCTTCACAGAAGACATACAGAATTGTCTTATGGTTTTCAATCATTATCTGACAGAACCTTCAGATCATGTTGGTTTTATGCAGGTGTCTCTAATTAGACCTCCCAATACATTTGGTACTAAGGCTTTAACTCCTTCACCTCTAATTCCATATATGGTCCCATAAGACCAAGGTTCTAGGAATGCCACAGATCCACTGAATAGAGAAAATGGGGGACAGAAGATTGGATAGCAGGATTTTTTGTTTTTGCTTATTCTTTGCCTGGCTGCAGTTCTAGGAGACCTGCTGCATTCTATGTTAAAAACTCCTTCTGGGTGGCCCTTTTTTCATTATCTTAAGCTATCGTTAGTCTTCTCTAATACCATTACCTGTTTTTGCCCCTTTCGACCCAGAAGTGAAAACACCGTACCACTGTTGTTATTTTCTGGATTCTTCACAGCCCTTTCTGATTCCCCAAACCTGTCCAGGTTTGATAATTAGTACTTCTATTAAATCATCTACCTGTGAGTGTTTCATATATTTTCTGCTATGACCCTGATTATCACATTATTAATGTTCCAATTCTTTTAGTTGAAGGAAGTGAGACTCAGAAAATCTAAGTGTATTTGAAGGAGAGAAATGTGGTGGTTTGAATTGTTTTAATCTGGTTCAGCTGGGATCTATGTTTCCTAGAGTTCTCTTCCCAGAGTGGTTCCAGGTTTGAGTTGGCTGGATGAAAACATTCACGTCACTTGGAAAGCAAAAGTGGAGCAGAGCCTACTGTTCCCTGAAGTTTGTGGTCAGATGTAGTAAGGGACAAATGCAGAGGTACCTGCCCAGTCACGCTTGTCCTTGCTCTCTTCTGTGTCATGCTGCCCTTTTTTCTGACTAATGACTCCTTTGACAAATAGTGGTTACAGGCCTAACACAAGATGCTTTACTGAAAAGTCATAGTATTTGATGGAAAGAGGCAGAAGCTAGCATCTTTAGTGGATAATGCTTGTGATGAAAGTCCATGTGGAACATGAGGTCCAACTATCACAGTCATTCCAATTATTTTAGCTGAGGCCAGAGACCTGTCACCTCCAGTCCCAGTCAAGGCCTTCAAATGACTGCAGCCATATGAGTGTCTCCAGGCAAGAACAACAGAGGAAACACATTCTCAAATCTTGAGAAATAATGCATTATTGTTGTTTTAAGCCACTAAGTTTGGGGATTTTTTAAAATGCAGCACATAGAAATGAATACACATAAGTAGAGCATTGCAATAGTAATAATTTTGAAAAGCTTAAAATATATGACATTACCTTTGGAAAATGACGATAGGAAGAATCTACAAGGGAGTCAAAAAAGCTTCTACTGGAGACTAATAAAGCCCTGAGAAAAGCCATCAGAAGCTCGAGAAAAGGAAATCTTTTCTCCAGCAGAAAATTTGGCAAATGTTGGCAGAAAAATTGGCAAAATATTGCCTGTGGCAACTTGGAAGATAGAAGCTGGTAAGAACTGTTGGATCTGTCTAAGGAAGCTTTCGGGGAGAGCGTTGACAATGCCAATTGGCTTCTTTTAGTGTCATCTGGTCAGATATGGGAAGAAAGAGATAATCTAAAAATAGAATTGTACTGTTTTCAAACAGAGCTTTGAGGAAATAATGAGGACCAATTTTTTTTTGTTTGGAAAAATAAATCATCTCCTTAGTCTCCTCAGTCAGCATAACTTGATTAAAGTGAGACCTAGTGCTACAATTGAAATAAAGGTATATCTATAATACCTTTTGTTAAGACTTTGAAAAATGTGAAATGGTGTCAAGTAAACACTCTTATCTAGAGCAAAAGCATTCTAAAAATCACAGGAGTGTTTTCAAAATGCCCTCACATGCCCCGAAATAACATTGGATAGAACTCCAAGTAGGTAACAGGGCTAATCCCAAGTGGCACTAATATAAGAGCTACTAGATTTCCATCACGACTTTTAGTGTGGTTTGTTATGAAATACTAGGTAACTAATGCAAGCTACTCTTCATAATTATGTGTAACTGGAAGTGGGATTTAATCCTCATTCAATAGTCTTTTAGAATAATAAAATTAATGTGACCCCTAAACTCAATTTTAGAACTACAAACAGATATTTTTAGAGTAAGTCTTCTTGGGAAAATCCCACTCTCCAAAGGGCTTACAATGTCAGTGCTGGTCACTTTTCTTCAGTATTGTAACATGAATCACTTTTGAGAGAATGAGATTCACAGCCACTATCAGAAGCCAGGGACCTGGTATAAGTGAGTATGCTACCCATGCTACTTCCAAATCTGGAAGAGGCATTTTCTAATTCAAACAGTAAACTCAAATTTTCCACCTTTAGATAGCAGCATCATCTCCATCTAACACCAAGCCGCTGGCCCTGCCTGACTGCTGGGTGTTAGATTTAGGCAAGTCTCCTCTAACTCTGCCCGGAATCAAGGTCATCTTGCTCCCTGAGGGGCTACCGCATGGTGCAGGCTGCGTGTAGGCTTGGAGTCACACGTGACTGGCAGGCTGCCATCTTGGAAACCCTCCCCACTCAGTGCTGCCAATCTCCATGTTAGTGCTGCCAAGGTGCTGAAACTGATGGTTTCTGTTGAAGAAAGACAGTCACCCTGTTTTACGTCAACCCTGACCACAGCTGCAGTGATGACATTCCTGGTTTAATAGTGGTTCCTCATGGGGCGCAAGGGTAAAAAAAAAAAAAAGTGAAGAGAAAAACTTCCTTCTTAAACTTACTAATTGTTGCCTTCCACCAAGCCATGCTAATTAGAATGTACGTATAAAAATTGTTTGCCCTCACAAACACAACTGTTGTTTATGAAGCAGATCTGGAGTAACAAAGTAGCTTAAAGCAAGAGAGATGCCCAGCATCTGCAAGAGACTCTTTCCTGAACCAGCCCCACTCTAACTAGCACTGGCCATATCTAGGTTTCTCTTGCCATATGGTGAGTACCTGCCTAGGGGCCCTGAGTATCTAGTTCAACTGCTGAACATAGGTTGTGCCATTTCAACCTAACATATTATAATCTAATACTATTGAACCCTAAAAGGGGCAAAATTGGAGTTTCTTTTCTTTTTCTCAAATGACACATTGGTGTATGTGAAAATGTACTCTTCCCAAACAATGCTTGTGTTCCACATCTAAGGAGGGTAAAAATAATGTGGTCAGTGGAAAGGAAACAAAAAGTGGCAAAAAAATTATTTCTAGCAGATGAGCTATCAGTCTCAAAATTGATTCATTATTTCACAACACCTGGAGTGACTGTCAAGTCTCCCTTAAGTGTTTTATGCTCTTTATGGGCTTAAGATTTTCTTTCTATGTCTAAAGTATGAGAAAAAGAGATACTTAAAGGATATTTTAAAGGCGGAAAAGAAGCCGTAAGGATTTTCTTTCATAAAATCTGGAGAGGACTACTCTGTTTCTGAACTGTCAATCTAACATCTACTAAAACATTTTGGCATCCATTTCCCTCGGAGTTGTCAAATGTGTCATTGATGATAGTTTTGCATCATAGAAGGGAAAGGGGATATTAAGAGCTTAATTCTCAACATTTGTCAGTTAGTGGTGTCACCGATGGCTTAAGGAAGAGGAAGTCTAATTTCTGGGAACGTGTCACCTGAGGTCTTGCAGGGTGACGGAGTGTGTGAAGAGGGAAAGGGAATGGGTATTTATTGAAGGTTTATTATGCGTTTACTGCTTCCATATTTCAAATTCTCCCCAAGTCTATGATAACAAACTTGTCTTCCAGTTTCACAAGAGAGAACTGTCGCCCAAAACGGTCAAGTAAATTTCCAGAGGTCCCATACCCCTTAGAGTACCCTGGGATGGGGGTTCAGGATGAGCTAACTCTAGAGGCTATGCTCTCCTCACTGAATCATATTACTTAGTACATGTGTGGAGACATGTGTATAATGAGAGGACATGAATATGCTATTTCTCTTCATAAAGCCATAGGTAAATAACAAGCATGGTAATCAAGATTATAAGAAAATGAATAGGTGGCCCAAATCCCTAAATGAAGATATTATGTGTTATAAAATATTAAATATTATAATAGTTTAAGCTATTATGAGGAGTACTGCTGCTGCCAGCAAGACTATCATTTTATCCCCAACAGGAAATTATTTTTAAAAATGTGATGTGTTTATTTTAAAGCCCCTGGGCATATGTACAAGAACACAAACAACATTTACATATCTATTATCTATAAACTGACACTGCATTTGCCAGGCATTTGACACAATTAAGCAAATGCTTGACTGAACAGATGGGTCTTATAAGGATCCCTAAGGGCATGTCTACATTAACTATGCCAAGGGGGGCTAATGCACCCATTTGGCATCTGCATGCATTTTCCCATCAGCAAATACACTACTGCTTTGCATGGTTGCAAATGGGTCCATTTTTGTCCCAGAGGACAAAACATAAATGGATTGAGCTATTTCTGGTTTGTTCTACCTTTGTCTTTTTTTCTTTTGAAATGTATTCCTAACAATAGATTACATCCTGTAATTGTTTCTTGTTTTCATTTTCTTCAAAATGGCCCATGCCTTTATTTGTTTTACTAGTGGCATTAGGGAAATAGAACACTTTTCTTAGGCAAGACACACAGCGTTTGGATTTTATGTCTTAGTTTGTATAGCTTCTAATGGCAGGTTATAATAGCTAGAAGAGGGGAAAAGAAAACCAACTTATCTCTTAATAGTGTTAAAAAAGAATTTAACATTATAATACCTGACAAGAAAACTATGTGTCTTTCATCGACTATTTTATAGTGTCTGAAATGAAGAGACAGTTCCTTCATGTGACATCCTATATACTTGTCAGTATTATAGACTCTGTTTACTCTCTGTTGGCTATACATACAAGTCTCTTGGAAATGACCATTTAACATGTCAATTAAACTTTTCTTGCCTCGACCGAGTCTTCAGGACTTCCTTCAAAATTTCTCCTAAAAGGAGTATAGTTCAGGAATTGGTCTGGGGATAACCGATGCTTTAGCAGTCTGTCCATCACAGAGAAAGAGCTGCAATGGGAAACAAAATGTGGGTGGTGTTAAGTGTAAGAGTTAATAATATGCAACACAGCAATGACTGTATTCTTTGAATTTTGCATTGGTCTATAGCTATGTCAACAATGCTTGGCAAAATGGGTTCTGTGCCATCCTTTATAGCTAATGGAGATTAGCACTAAAAGGAAAGCAACCATGAAAGTACATTGCATGATGCAGGTCATTATGTAGGCGTATAAAATTTTAACAAAATGAATAGCTCAACATCATTTCAGCTTTGTAAGGCAGCAAATATATCCAATGAATGAAATTATTTAATAGTCTTGTTAAATCAGGCATTAGGAATGGAAATTAATTTACTTCTATTCTCTCTTCAAAAAAGACTCTTTTAGCAGTGTTTCGTCAAAATACATATTTGATTTGTTGAGTGGGAGATAATCATATACTAGGCAAATCCCCTCTTATAACTTTTCTTTCCAAAGCCCATGCTTTTGTTTCTTCTGGTTACTAGAAAGAAAAAAAGAAAGAAGAAAAAGAAAGATTAAATCCTTTGAGGGTACTAATGTGTAAATATGAACCTGAGGATTTTAGGTTGATATTTGACTTCACTGACTGCACTGCCTACATTCTTAGTTGTCAGTACAGTGAAAAAAATGTATTTCATGGGCACATTTTAAATTTTTGTTAGTGTGTTACCATGTGAAAGAGGGGCAAGATTAATCCAGAATTATTTCATTATTTCTACTTATTGTCCACATTATATTTCCTATTTTGTGAAGATTTTAGGTTAAGGACTTGGCATTGCTGATTCTAGAGTAAAAAGAGATCTTCAAGTTTTCCTACTACAGCACAACAGTTTGAGAAGTCAGAGGCTTCTACAGTTTGTAACTCAGTCAGTTAAATTGCTAGATATTTGTAGTCCTCAATTTAAAACTGACTGTATTAAAACATAGTATGTTTTTCTTTGCCTAGTATAATGCCACTCTGAGTCCCAGATGAACTTGGATTTTAAATATTTTTTAAATTAGTTAATACATAAAACATAATATATTTAATAAAATACGTATCATATACTCACATAAACATCCAATTTGACAACTAGAACTTGAGCAGTACAGTTAAATATTATACACCTCCCCATACATTAATTAAAATATTGTATGAATTAAAGCATGTATCATCTCTCTAGAAGTTGTTACCAATTTCATGTCTATTCTTCCAGGCTCCCCCCATCTGTGTGTGTGTGTGTGTGTGTGTCTGTGTGTCTGTGTGTATGTGTCCTTGATATTTCACATATAGTGTCATACAGTAAAGGGCATTTTGATTTTTTCTTAACCATATGTCACAGATATAATATCCTCTGTCTCTCTCTGTCTCTCTCTCTCTCACACACACACAGACACATATATGCACATACTTATATTTATTTATTTTGAAATAAATGTTGTACTGCTCATTCTTGTCTATATTTCTTTGTCCATGTGTGCCAACTATTTTTATAAGATATATTTGTAGAAAGGATGTAAGGCTGGCACTACATTAGGTTGCATCACTTTCAAGTTATTTGGCCTGGAGCAGGCCTATATGAACTATTCTTGAAGACTAAATGAAATTCATATTCTCTTGGTTTATCCTGACACAGGTAGTAAAAAATGATTATTGTTCTGCTAAGTTCAGTGTAGTTTATTAAAATTTGAAGTCTATTCACAAAATAATGAAAATCAAGCTAACATCTCTTTTTAAAAAATCTCACTTGATTGCTGTAGGCTGATTCTGGAACTCCATGAAAATTAATCCATGGAGTTTCAGTAGCTAGTCCAGGCAGAGCTGTCAATGCAAATGTCCAGAACAAGCCGGCAACCGTGGCCCTAAAGACTACCCAGAGACACAGCCTTTCTGTTATCTGACCTTCCTTCTGCCCTGAAAATACATCAGTGTCAGTCATGGCCCTGGAGGTAAAGACAGAGCATCCTTGAACTTAATCTAGCAAATCACATCCAACAGAATGTCGACTTGCCTTGCAGGGATCATATTGACTGAAAATTTGCATTTGCTGTCTTCTGATGTTTCTCCTTTTCCATGTCTTCTAATTTATACAATTCTGTATTTCATGTTTAATGAGCTCTTGGCAGAGATGCTATAATACGAAGTCACAAACATCAATTTCTCTCAGTGGTTATATTATTATAAATTAGTAATATGACACTGTACCTGAACTAGATTTATTTTTATTGACTTGTTTTCTTGTTCCGTGGGTAACATGGACAAATATATGATGCAAAGCACCAAATTGGCTGCAGCACATTCTCTCCTGTTATCTGTTTTACCAGACAGGCTCAACCACAGTTTATACCACCTATTGGAATTATCACAAAAAAAAACTAAGCAGTTTATTTTTCTTAAGGCAAAGTGTTGATTATGAGAATCATCAGCATATACAGCCTAGTAAGGAGTACCCATCATTGTTCGTCATGGATGGACAGACTGCGGTTGGTCATATATAAATCTTAGAAGTGGGTTTGGCAAGTTTAGATCAGTGTCTCAAAGAAATCCAGACCTGGCCCTGTAAAATTAAACTATGAGCAGAGTTTCTCTGGCAGTCAGCCACAGGACTGCTTTTTTAAAAATTTTTTATCTTCTACACACACATGCACACATGAGAGAGAAAGAGAGAGAGAGAGAGAGAGAGAGAGAGAGAAGAGTGCATTTTACTTAAGGATTCATGAAAATATTCTTGATTGATCTTTAGGATAGTTGTACTCTGAATCTGGCCTTAAAAATAGTTCCTACATCTACTTTAATTCTGATAAAACTTTTACTTTTCCCAAGGCTAGTTTTAGGGGAAAATCACTATGTTGTGGAAACTGCAAAAATTGCTTCTTTTAATGCCCAAGTTCGTGATAAAAATAAATGTCCTCTTGAATGGAGTCTGCAGCTTTATTTGCAGGTTATATTTTGGAGACATTTTATGCTTCTGTACTGGTTAAGTTCTATAGAACCAGAGGAGTTGTATAGAGTGAAGATGCTTAGATTTCTCTCTCTTAAGAATTTGGAAGCCGCTGACAGAAGGCAAGAATTTTGTCTTATGTAGCTGTCTGCATCTCGATGAAAGATACATCTTACCTTCTTTCACAAAGTGAGAAATTGTAGATTTTTCAAGAGAATGGCATAAAAACTACCATAGCTATCTAATTTTAAAATTGTCAATTTAGTCCTGTTTTCATAAATCACAATTTGACCTTTTTAGTTTATAAACACATAGCAAATTACATGAAATAAGAAAATAAAATTGTTTCATTTGTTATCTAACTTTTCTTAGATTAGGAGGAAGAAACAGGATTATGGAGACCTGAATAAAGTCTACTTATTCTTAGATTAAATCTTAATTTTCTGTGTGAATCTGGGCAGTCACAGATTCTCTCTATAGACATTCTTTCTCCCTCCTTGAAAGTTTAAGCCAAATACTCAGTAAGAAATTTCATTCAAATAAAGCAGCAGGTGGAAGATTTGGAGCATAGTTAAAAGTAGTATAAGGAGATATAATTTATTATATTTTCAAAATGATAGTTTCTAATCTGCAATTCATTTCTAGTCTTTTTTTTTTTTTTTTTTTTTTTTTTTTTTTTTTTACAATTGTCTATACTTGAGCCTTTTGGAAAACTGATCTATATCCTTTTAAAGGGTTGATGATTTCTACCTGAATGTGTGATATTTGAAAGACCACTAAATTTAATGTGTTTTAACATCACCTTCCAAAAACAGTTACGTTACTTTGTCCTGTTAAGTTTTTAATGTCTATATTTAATAATAATATCCCGAATGTCAACATGAGGTTTCTAGAGCAGAGCAAGTTACTATTTACTTAGAGCACATTATAACTGCACCAACTTACTCCCCTTTACCCAAATTCTTATTCTGGAGTGGTGATACTGACATAGGAGGAGGGACTCGACTCTGGAGGTGGGGCTCAGACACTGAAACAAATTGAGGACTAACTAAAACAGGGTGAGGGCAGAAGCAACTTTCTATAAGAAATACCCTCCAGTGTGCCACAACAGCTTACCATTGCCACGGCAACACCCAGGAGTTATGACCCCTTTTCATGACAATCACCTGACAACACAAAAGTTACTACCCCTTCCCTAGAAATTTCTGCATAAACCACCCATTAATCTGCATGTAATTAAAAGCAGGTATAAATATGACTGCAAAACTGCCCTGAGCTGAAACTCTCTGCCTATGGGGTAGCCCTGCTCTGCTGGAGCAGTCACAGAGCTGTAACCCTGCCAGAGCTGTAACACTGTCTCTTCAACAAAGCTGTTTTCTTCTACTTCCAGCTTGCCCTTGAATTCTTTCCTGGGTAAAGCCAGGAACCCTTATGGGCTAAGCCCCACTTTGGAGCTTGCCTGCCCTACATTAGTATGTTGAGAACCAGATGTGATCCCCGACACAGTGGGGTCTGTTCAAGGTGAGGAGCCAACAGAATAAAAGTGGGCAGAAATGAGAGGCAGCTGTGCCTCCTTCTCACCCATATTTTTTCTGAGAGAGAGATACATGGAGACATAATGAGAAGGATTTTGGTTCTTCACTCAGAAAAGTGAATAAACTTCTTCAGTAGGAGAAAATGACTAGTGTCTTTAGCTTTACAGTCCAACAATTGTCTTCACGGTCCCAGGACTTATCTTCCTTGAAATGTAAACATAGTCCCCCAGGGGGTAAATCTCTCTGTAGTGCTCACTATCCAGTCATAAGTTCCAGGCTTATGTTTTTTTTTTGTTTTTTTTTTTTTTTTTTTTGGCACAGGTCCCAAGTTTCAGTAAAACTTCCTTAGAAATCTCTAACAATTCAGAAACATAAAAAATAGTTTTCTCTACAGCATTGCATCTTCTAGGTGTTCATTTTTTGTATCTGTTTGTCTAGCATATTTTGGAAGAGTTTTTAAAGCTCTTTTCACTCATATAGCAGTATGACAGATCAGACATCATAGTGGACATGGCTATCAAATGTGTTGAATAATTGCATAATTAGCTAAAATCAAGGGGTTGAACAATAATGCTCATAGGGTATTGGTTGATGGCAAGAGACCATCAAGTGTCAGCACTTGGTCCTAGCTACTTCAGCATTTTCATCACTGAATTAAGCAAACGGTTTTTGTCTGCATAATCATCTTGAGAGTGACTGGTTTGAAAAGTGGCAGAAGAAGAACGGCCTGAGCTATCATTTCAGACCACAGTCCCAGCCTGAGAGATCATTTTGAATAATAGTGTGGACATTTACTTTTAAGAACTATCTACTATCATCACATATCATGGGTAAGAAAAGGAGACAAATTAAATGCTGTGAGAAATTAACATTTGTTCTATTGGCATGTTTTCCACAGTGAGGCCAATGACTGACCAGAATGTAAGTTCCGTAAGGATGGAACTATTCCCTTTTAAATGATTTATTCTCATTGCCCACCAAGAATACTTTGTGCGTAGTAGGCTACTAATAAATATATATTACATGAACGAGTAAATAAATAAACAGTAAAAGAAGAAACTCAGGCAAAGTGACAAAGACTCTAGTATTGTTTGAAGGATGCTGGTGCTTTGACATTACTATTTTTATTATTGTTTGTATTTAACAGTTTTGACTTTTCTTATTACAATTGTTTCCTTCTTTTTTTATATATATATATTCTCAATATCCTTTTAATCTCTATATTGCTCCTCCTCTTACTTTAATGAATTACAATTACTGAACTCAATTCTTAAAATATGATGTACCCAGTAATGAGATTGCTGGGTCAAATGGTATTTCTGGTTCTAGTTCCTTGAGGAATCACCATACTGTCTTCCACAATGGCTGAACTAATTTGCACTCCCACTAACAGTGTAAAAGTGTTCCTATTTCTCCACATCCCCTCTAGCTTACCCAAAAGAATATAAATCATTCTACTATAAAGACACATGGACACGTATGTTTATTGCAGCACTGTTCACAATAGCAAAGATTTTGGAGCCAACCCAAATGCCCATCAATGATAGACTGGATGAAGAAAATGTGGCACATATACACCATGCAATACTATGCAGTCTTAAAAAGGATGAGTTCATGTCCTTTGCAGGGGCATGGATGAAGCTGGAAACCATCATTCTCAGCAAACTAACACAGGAACAGAAAACCAAACATCACATGTTCTCAGTCATAAGTGGGAGTTGAAGAAGAAGAGCACACAGACACCGGGAGGGGAATATCACACACCAGGGCCTGTCGAGGGGTGGGGGGGCTAGGGGAGGGTTAGAATTAGGAGAAATACCTAATGTAGATGAAGGGTTGATGGGCGCAGCAAACCACCATGGCATGTGTATACCTATGTAACAAACCTGCATGTTCTGCACATGTATCCCAGAACTTAATGTATATATATCAGGCTAATTGTAACTACAAAAAAAAAAAAAAATGATGTAGTCAAAGGCTTGGTTTTTGGCACTCTTCTCTCTCTTTACCTTTTCCCTGTATTATGTCATCCTAATCCCTGGGTTTATTTGTTTATTTTTTTTGTAAAATATTTTATTTTATTATTTATATTCTAATATTTTTACTTATATACATTTATTGGGTACATGTGTCTTTTTGTTACATGCATAGAAGGCAGAATGGTGAAGTCTGGCTTTACCCACCCACATATTTTAAAAACTGTATCCACATACTTTAAAAACTCTAGCCTTAGCATTGACATTCTTGCAAGTTGGTCCTTAGTCCTTTGTACTCAGACTGTGAAATGCTGAATTTACCATCTTTCTTGCCCAGTATACTCCTTGTCTTATATTTCTTCTTTTGTGACTGTAACCAATCTCTACCTCACCGCACAGGCCCAAAACAATTTCACTTCCATATTCTTCTTTCTCTTAGAGTCTATTTTTCAAAATCACTCATCCCCTACTTTCCATTGCCCCAGCACTTTTTTATTTCAGATCCATATAATTGAACTATTTTGTCTAGTTTTTCCTACCTTTCTTCTCCACACTTCTGCTAAAGGGATCCTTCTAAAACCCAAGTATAATGACACATATCTAATTAAAGTTTGAATTATTAAATTTAATTAATAAACTTAGCTTTCAAGATATTACTCAGATCTTCATACTCTGAACTACATCTTCTTTGAAGTCCTCAGATGTTACTCTCCTTACACATTCTTTGTGTCTGTCAGTAATTCATGTATTCAATTATTAGGTAATCAAACATTCTTTTTTCTCATTAAGCAACATTTAAATGAGAACCTAGTATGATCCAGTGAATTTAGCCGGGAGATGGGGTTACAGCATGGAACAAAACAATCAGTCTGTTTCTTCAAGGAGTTTGCAATTTATTGAGGAAGATTATAGATAAATAAGACAAATAATTAGAAATGTAATAAGGGACATAAAGAAGAATTATAGAGTACCTATAATAGGAGTCCTTGATAAAGTCTATGAAGTAAGGCATACTTTCCCTGTAGAAATAAAGTGTATTCTAAGCCATTAGTAACTAGGAAAAGTGAACTAGGTATGGAGGGGAAACATCATTCTAAGATCTCTCTCACATCTAAGAGATGGTGAGAAGAGTGTGAGGCAGGAAGAAATTATGGTGCTTCCACAGAGGGGAGAAAAGGGAAAAGTGGCAACTGGCCATCCATGTCATACTCTACTGTATCTCCCTTTCCTCATTTTTTTGTGTGTACTTCATCTTTCGATACTTATTCAAAATGCCACCACCTCCTCTACAGCCACTGACTTTGATTTTTACCTCCTTCGTTTGTGCTCTTAAATCACCTGTTAAGACTTCTCATAAAATGTATCTTGCATTTGCTGGAATGAACTACCTGTGTTCTTGAGTTTCAGCACAGAGCTTGGCACATCACATAGTGGAAGTTAACAAATCTTTGTTGGGTGAAAGAATGAGTGAATGAAAACTGAGTAGAAGATTAAGATGTAGTAAATGTGGGCACTGTGGACAATTACATACAGTTCTGTGATTATAAAAATGTGTCTGTTTTTCATACATTTTGAAGTGAGTGACAAAATATGGTACAAAAATTAATTGATATTAGAATTGGACCTGCCTATATTTTAAACAGTGTATCTGTCTCTCAGTCTCCCTGTCAGGTTGATAAAGATTTAAGTTTCCTAAATGCGCAGAATCCCTCTGAGAATTGAATGGAACAGAAGCGTGATTATCATTCCTTCACAGAACTCTACAGAAACCAAAGAAAGTCTTATACAGATCTGTAGGGATTATATTATTTCAAATATAGTTTTGTTCAGCACCTTAGAGACCAACTGCTGAGAAAGAAAGTGCTCAGTAAGAAGAAATCTGTCTCCTAATCAAATTGCTCTAGCCACCATTGTCAACTTTAAAGGGTAGAGTACACACACACACATACACACACACACACGTTCTTTATCTCTCACTGACTTGCCCTACATTTTGAACTCTTTAACTTTGGAATTTCCTTAGTATCTATAGTGGCTTATTTCACATATATTAATAAATCCTATTGGTAGTCTGCATGCATCCTTTACATGAATTTCTTATGCATAAATGGTGCTTCGATTTATATTTAAGACTCACTGACCATGTGGTCTATTTAAGCAGGGTTACGTGTTGTAATCAGTCATGGACCACTCTAAAAACATTTTATAAAAGCACTGCAAGGTCCCAGCATAGCAGAAACCAAGGAAAAAATGCCATCTCACTGTACAGTTTCAATTTGTACTTTCTAGGCTTTACAAATGAAAGTTTAAAAGTGTTATTTAAAGATGTATATTTCAACTTGTAAGTGCATTTATCTCCTTTATGCTATGTATGTGGGGTTGCAGTGTAAACAATCACACATGACAGAATTCTTTTAGACTTTAGAGTTTTATTGAATAGTTTGCATCTCTAAAGGCAACACCAGCCATTGATGAGGTCTGCACAGCTGCAGCCTATTCATACTACAAATAAAAGTTTTATTGGTACAACTTTGGATTATCTATTTAAATACGATGCAGATGACTATTGGTATCGTAATACTGCTATTCTACTATATCACTATTTCCCTGTTCCACTATACCACTAATAGTGGTCTCAAACCACTCAACTGGGAAGAGGGGTATTAAAAACTCATTGTTGGGGCAGTGAATTGGCATCACATGTACTGGGTTCAATTCAGTTAAAGGTAATTTGATTTTTAAAAAACTTAAATTTCTTATTGTTCTGTATACATATATGTGTGCAATATGCACAGATATATAGAAATGTATCTTTCAAGATTAATTAAAATGAGTCATTCTACTAGACTAGAGGAATGCTCACAGATATATCTTTATAGAAGTCCTAATTTTACTTCTACTTTTCCTGTCATTAATGGTAGATAGCATTTATTGAGCACCTGCTCTGCTCAATTACACTTTATACTTATTATTAAAGTTAATTCTCACAATAATTCCACAAGATGGATCATTCTGTGCTCCTTTATAAATACATATTAGGATGTGGGAACATTTTGGCAAATTGCCAAGTTACATATTTATGCAGTAAAAGATGAGCCTAGGTTTTGAACTCAGTTTTTCACATATCACAAAACCAGAAATCTTGTTACTATGTACAATATGGTCTAATAGTACTTAAATGTTAGTATAAAAGTTATTTTCTTTCTGGCAGGCACCATTTTATATGCCATCTTATCATTATAATTACTACTTAGGATGAGTATTGATATTCCTTTTCTTTTTATAGATGAGAAAACTGAAGTTACATCAAGTCAAGTAAATTATTCACATAGATTGTTAAGTGGCATAGTTGGGATTCAAACCAGATCTATCCAATTCTAAACACTGGGCTCTTCCAGATACATTACACATTGGATGATTTTTTTAGTACTTCCTATATTTCCAGGAACTATGCTAGTCCTTTAAGGATAATGTGTTATATTCGCTATACACATTTCTGTTTTCTTGAAAATAATCTAGTAAAAATAACAATCTATTGATGACACTAGTACCAAATCTTATTTAATTTGAATCTCAGGATGCCATCAGAAAACAAAGGCAAGGGGATTTGATTTTGTCTAACAGGGTATGCAAGAGCTTCTTTGATGAAGCTGTAGTTAATATAGATTCTGAAATATGTGTTTAAACTAGCCTTGCATAAAGGAAGGAAGGAAATCTATTCACTGTATATAGAGAAAAAAATGTCCATTGTGGGGCTTTAAAAACATCTAGCTTAGCTAGCGTTTACGTAGCAAGGGAAAAGTGGTAAGAAGCAACCACAGAGAAGGAATTTGGGAACCAATTATTCAGGGTGTTTACAGGTCATGCTCACAATTTGAGCTTTATTTTAAGAGCAATAGAAATGGATAAACTTTTGTCTCTGCATTTTAAAAACACAGATATGCCTAAAACATAGAGAATGGATTGTGGAAAAACAAAGTTGATGACTGGAATTACAATGAGACTAACAATTATTCCAGAATTCCAGAAGAACATGAATGGTTTCTTGAACTGGTATGGTATGGTAGCAGTGGATATGCCTATAAATTGATAGATTAAATCTCTTTCTTCATTCAGTAATTATTTACAGAGAGTTAACTATGTACTAGGCATTATTCCAGATGCTTGGAATATAGAAGTACATAGACAAAATCTCATTTTTATGACTTTTATTCTAGGTAATGTAGGAAGCCATCATCATTTGTGCAGATTAGTGACATATTTTTACAGAATCATTCTGAGTGTTGTGTAGGGAATATGGAAGCAAGTATAGAAACAGGAAGAGAGTTAGGAGACTATTTCAATAACACAGGCAGAGACCTTGGTGGCAGTATGGTGAGAAGTTGGCATATTTTGGATTGGTGATTCATGGTACATTGAGGAGTAAGTGAGGCAAAGAGATGCCAAAGATGACTCCTAAGACTGCCATGGTCAGGTGGGTAGATATTGGTGTCATTTACCAAATAAAAAATTGAATCTACAAAAGACTAATTTCAGAGAGGGAAATAATGAACTTTCTTTAGCTTTGAAGTTCCAATATAATATTCAAAAATGGATTTTTAGGAAATATTTGGTTTTTATGATTTGGATTTCAGAAGAGTGCTTGGGACAAGCGATGAGATTTGTGTTAGGTCCCATGGCATTGGGACTTGCTATGGTCTGAGTGTCCCCTCCAAACTTCATGTTGAAATTTTATTACCAAATTTAATTGCCTCTTCAGTATGAAGAAGTGGGACCATAAAGAGATGATTAGACCCTGAAGGATCAGCTCTCATGAATGGATTAACGGCATTATCATGGGAGTGGCTTCATTGTAAAAGGGTGGGTTCAGCCCTTGCTCTCACTCTTGCCCTATCTTTGCCCTTCTGCCTCCCACCTTCTTTTATGGGGTGATGTAGAAAGAAGGCCCTTGCCAGATGCCAGACTCTGGATCTTGAACTTCCCATCCTCCATAACTGTGAGGAAATAACTTTCTGTTCTTTAAAAATTACCCAGTCTGTGTTATTCTGTTATAGCATCACAAAATGGACTAAAACAGGACTGTATTTGAAACCACCATATAATCCTTGGTGTGTTCATTACATAGTATGATGGGGACAAAGATTGATTTGTAAGAAATGCCTAAGCTTGAGGATCAGGTATAAAAGAGGACACATATTTTTAAAATTATTATTATTAAGTTATATGAGCTTTTTATATATTTATATATTCTAAATGCAAGCCCTTATCAGATACATGGCATGCCAAACTTGTCTCTCAGTTTCTGTATTTTCTTTTCACTTTCTTAATGGTATTTTTTCCTGTGATCATTTTTAAAAAGGATCTATGAGTGTACCAGGCAATTGAGAATTCATGGATTGCTCCTAAGCTAGTCCAGTGCAATCCACATTGTTAACTATTTATTCCTGATGTAGTAACAATCTGATGCTCATACAAATAAAGTTGCATTTACAAAATACACAAAGTAAACAGCACTGAAACTATTGCAGGGCCTTTGTATCTCCAAAATTTGATCACAGTAGCTCTGCGGTGTCACAAATGGGTACTTCACATGAACTCAGGAGTAGGCTACCTCATGTCCTTTATCCTTGGCCTTCTTATCATTATGTACTGTTCAGAATTCAATGGAGGGAGGATGGACTATATCACTGTCAATGCTGCTAGTGTCCTTTATGAAAAGTGAGTTCTCTACCTACAATGTTGTCTCTCAATTTTTCTTTACTATTTAATGGAGAAATGAGGCAAATGCCTTAATAGCTTGATTATGTCAAGCTCAGTCTCAGCTAGGTCTCAGGTAGGAGCACAACTGCTACACTAAGTACATTATTCAAGGTGATTTGAGAAAATAGTGAAGCATTATAAATAAGAATATCACAACAAATATTAATAGCATCCATGAGAAGAAAGTTTGAAGGCTCCACTTCTCACTCCATTGTTCAGAGTCTGAGAAAAAAGAACTTGAAAGTCAACATTTGAACATTCTTAGTAAAGTATCAACCCTGGACTCACTCAAGAGATAGCAATTTTGGTTCAGCTTGTCACAAAATTGTTTTAGGAATTTATGCAGGTGGCTTACATGTTTGTTTCGGTCTGCTCTTCTGTAAAGTAGCAGTAATGATTTTTCTAGTGAGAAGTGTTGGAACTTGGCACAACTACCTGGAATGCCAGAGATTTGGACAATGAAATGAGTTGTGCTTGAAAGCAGGAACAGCCTTCTCTATGTGCATTAATTTATTTCTATTTATCGGCTCACCGCCTAACAGGAAATATGTCCTTCATGCTTAACAGATGCTATTGATATTGCTCTTACTAAGGTCTTGGCTTAACAAGAAGGTGCTTCTGAAACCATCTTCGTTTGTTTGTTTTTAATCTGAAGTTTTGGTTTCAGTAAGCTTGTTTAGAATGCATTTCAAAATGAGTTAATATGATTCAGTTCTAAATTTATAAAGCACTATCCAAACACCAAGTTAGTGAACATATAAATATACTATAACCATCAAAACCCAAACATGTGTAATTTATTTTCCTACTTCCTTTCTTATCCCGCTCAAATTCATTTCCCACACTTTTTCCAGCACAATCTTTCTGAACTAGAAGTCTGGTCGCGTCAGATTTTAATATCACCCAAGAATTTCCCATTGGCTGCTTGATAAAGCCCTGGCTCCTCCATATGGCAGGCACAAGCCCCTGAAATCAGCCTCTCTCTCCAGGCCTCTCTCTCCAGGCCTTTTTCTGGCTACTCTGAGCCACACATCTAATACACCAGCATTGAGAAACTGTTATTTAGCCTTTCCCCGTCCCCCCCCGCAACTCTATTTCTTTCTCTGTGCTGGCTTTTCTCTGTGGAATGCCTTTTATTTTTGCTTCATTGATGACTTCTTATATTTTAAGACTTAACTCAAGGCTTATTTCCTCCTGGGCCTCTTTTCTAAGTAAAACATGCCGAGTTTGATGCCCTGCTTTTGTGTTCACGTGATGCCCTATATGTGTCTCTAACTTTGCACTTACTCTGTTGTATTTAACTTCTATTTCTCTGCACTGTGAGTTCTTTGAGGGCAGAGGCAGTCTTATTCCCCTTTGTTCCCTCAGCTCCAAACATTGTTCCCACAAACATACCTGGCGTTTTTTTTAAGCACTTTATCTACATTTTGCCGTCTAATTTTCACAGTATCACGATAAAGCTAGTATTGGCATTTCAACTTTATTAATGAAGAAACTGAGATTTAGAGAGAAAAAACAATTGCCCAGGCTCATAAAGCTATCGCATGGCAAAGCCTGCTCTCCTCTGTTCCTCTGTCTCATTTCTGAGCCAGAACACTTACCAGATCTTTGTTCTACTTCTTCTCAAATATCATTTCAAATTAATTGGTGAAGTACTTTCTCAGTGATTTCACTAGTTTTACCTATAGATATGCTCTTTTGTGATCTGAAACTAAGTCTTTGCTATTTTAACTTTAAATCACCTGGGCCTTCTCTTTTCTTCATTTCTTAATGGATATCAGTATGGAATCCCTACTTCCTCCAGCTATTGTCATTTACCTCTCCCTCTGATTAGTCTAATTTATCAATGATCAAAATTGTCAAATCTGATAGCTCTTTTCAAGACAGCTTTGAACATACATGTGACAGTTCCTTTGCCAGCAATACCCTTTTCTTTCCATTATTCTAGAAAAATCTTCACACAACTCAAATACCACCTTTTCCATCTTGTATATTGTTTCAGAAAATTAGTTTTGATATTACTGTTTTAGTTATAACTATAGGTTAATATTGCTTAGAAAGTGTAATTATATGAGAACTTAGAGGTAGCTATCAGTTACCTCTTATAGAAGAGACAGTAAAAAAAAATGCTCAAATTTGAAGTTTGTTTGTTACCACTAGTCAGGTTGTTCAAAGAAAAAACAGATGCCAAAGGGAACTGAATTCAAATGTTCAGTATTCTGGTAAATCAACTCTGAAGACCTACAGCTTTCTTATGGTTCCATCTTTGTGTTGATAACACTACTTGATAGGTGATACTTGTGTGTTGTTGACAGTATGTCAATATTATATTAATTCCCTGAAAAACAAGTTTCATTGAGTAATCGAGGGAAAGGTATACCCATATTTATGCCATAGGGCTATTGTTAGAATTAAATTAGATACAATACAGAAAACATCTAACACTATTCCTGCCTCATACAATGAGTATCCTCAGTGGAAGTCTATTCTCTAGTAAGAAAGTGCCCTTATCCAGAAATCTTTCTCTTTCATTTTCATTATGAGAGAAACTATATTTCTGGACCCAAATCACAATTTTCTTATTACCTATGTTATCTCTGGTAAATAATAACCTACAGAAAAAGTTGTTTTGAGAAGTTGAGAAGTTGCTTGGTAGTCAGAAGATTAAGTGATTCACACATTGTTCTGCCCAGGAAATGATGCATAACATTTATATTAATAATTTTGATGACTATTTATCTGTGTATTTAAATTTATTTCACCTAGCCAGCAGACTTATGAAAAAGTTGAAAATGCAATTGAAAATGCTCTAGTTCATCATTGATAATTGAGCATTGAATCGCACACCTTCTTTTTACCTCTGCCAAGTTCAAAGAGATTGTCCCCACCTTGTACCCTATTTCTGGTACTGTTTACTTGCTCTACATTCCTGTGTCTTTTTCTTGTCTTTGCAGTTTTCTTTCCTGGTTCCTTAGCAACAGCCATCTTGTGCTGAGTCCTGAATCCCATTTCAAGGGTCCTGTTTCTTGCCCAGCACCTTGAATCACTGCATAATTCTGGCTGTCAGATTCTCAGTTGCCTAGTTCAGACTGTTTGAACAAGCCTATTATTGTGAATTGATCTTTTTGATTGTGACTACTCTCTGCATCATTTTTACCTGACTGAGGTGACTTTTGCTTTTCATTTTCAGGGGCAAGCTTAATTCCACTCAGTCTATTATTGTGCACTGGCACATGGATGGATGTGTGTGGACACACACACACGAGTACGCAAATCTGCCTGCATTCCCACCAAGTCTGACCACACAAACTTGTCTTACTTTTTGCACAGTAGCAGATGTCAGTACTTAATATTACTAAATCTAGATCCTTGCAGTGCAATACAAGCTTTTAAAATGCAAGTATGTTTTTT
Organism: Homo sapiens; assembly: GCF_000001405.40. Lineage (NCBI taxonomy): Eukaryota > Metazoa > Chordata > Mammalia > Primates > Hominidae > Homo > Homo sapiens. The sequence goes on from NC_000001.11 coordinate 194,087,760, forward strand.
ACATAAAGACTCTTTTATATTTACTTATGGAAACTCTTAATTAGAGATAAATGTACATGGTACCTCAGAATCTGGATTCTGGGACAAGGCTTTTCACATTCACATCCCAGCTCTATTACTTACAAGTTGTGATCGCTTAGCTAAATTATATAATTTTTCTGCACCTTAGCTTCATCATCTCTAAAACGAGGATGCTATATCTCTGTCATCATTAAACGAGTTAATGAATGCAAAGTTTAGAATGCTGTCTGGTGCACAATACATTCAATAAGTATAGGGTATTTTATTATTATATATTTATGCAAATGATCTTGCTTAAAACAAATTTTAACCTTGAAAAGATAATTCAGATTGTTATAATTATAGCAATATTTAATCTTTAGTTTTGACATGATCAAACAGCAATAGAGACTTGGAAGTATTACCGCATGGTTCTTGGAATCCAATGGAATTAATAAATTGGCTTCAGGGAGTTTATAAACCAAATTGAGAAAAACAAAGATTATTACATTTATTTCTGCTACTTAGAAACCATCTTTAAAAAATATTTGCAAATATGTTATGAAGTCATTATTTCTTCATGGTGGTACAATATACTATATTAAATGGTTATATAAGTATCATTATAATACCTCTAGAAAATGTGCATTGATAGTTAAAATATGACTAATTTTTAATTTTTTATATTGCACCAATCCCAGTTTATAAAATGTCTAAGAAAGGAGAGAACAAAAAATTGTCTATATTATTTGATTTAACTTTCACCATAGAAGCCACCATTAATCTTGTACAGAAAGACACTAATGAACTCATACTGCAAAAATAATATAAAATGCTAAAATGGACAAATCAAACAAAACAGAGGTAATCGCATAGCAATTACGTTGTTTGCATTCAAAATCCAACTGGGTGGAAACAGTGACCTTCTAGTTTTTAACAATTAGGTGTATATTGATGATGTCAAAGAATTCGCTTTTTAAAAAAAATCTACTGTTGAAATATTAAAAGGCTGTTGACATTTTCAAAATAGTGTCAAGATTCTTTGCTAATCAAATAACAATGGGAAAAGTCATGTACTTTGTAGTGTGATAGACAATTTTTAGTGTCTGCACACATTGAAATTATCTATCTATCTATCTATCTATCTATCTATCTTTCTATCTATCCATCCATCTATCTATCTCTGTATCTATATCTCTGTCTCTCTCTCTATATATATTTTTTGGGGGGGATGTAGGAGGTGTCCCCAGCACTACCATTGCTGAGAAATTTCTGCTGCTATATCTTTACTGATAGTTGGTGTTATCTTTTATTTTTTTCCTGAAGTTGGAATAAAATATTTTAGTATTTTATTAATATATATTTTTCCTTATCAGTCAATTTGTTGTACATGTTATTTTCTACTAATATATTGGGCTGTTTGGCTTTTCCTTATGGATATGTAATTCTTTATATATTCAAGAGAGCAATTCAGTATTAATTATATGTTGCATATGTCTTATTTGAGTTTGTAGTTTCTGTTATTGTGTCTTTGGGGGATCATTTAATCAACATAAGTTCTTAATATAGTAAAATTTATTAATCTTTTTCTTCATTAATCTTTGTGCTTTGAGAAATTATTCTTTCTAAACAAATCTCTTTCTATCCCAGTTCCATAAATGTATTTTCTTTTATTAGGTTAGTGCAAAAGTTTTTGCCATTTGATTAAAAAAAGGCAAAAACCACAATTACTTTTGCACCAACCTAAATATCTTATTCTAAAAGTAGAGGTTTTTCTTTCACATTTAAAGATTTAATTTAGTTGAGATTGATTTCTACTGGACTGTAAGATCGGCGTCTAATTCTTTTATTTTTCCAATACGAATAACCAATAATTTCAGTACCATTTATTGAAAAATTCAAAAGTTCCCAAAGTACAATAATGCAAGCTGAGTCATGAATAAAATTTCCATCAATGTGTGGATTTCATTATGGTTTTTTTGTTCCCTTCCAGTAGTTTATGTTTTTATGTAGCTGTACCAACATTGCACTACCTTTATTCCTGCTTAATTATAAATTCTGATATTTGTAAAGCAAATTCTCCCACTCAGGTCATCTGTCTTGGATGTACTTGGTCCTTTGTTACTCCATGTCAATTTTAGATTTGTAATGATTGTCATGTTTTACCAAATAAACACACAGCTTTTATATATTAATTGCCATTGCACTATATCTAGTTGGGAAGAGTGGGTATGATTAAAATATTGGCTGGCATTATTTATGCAAATTTTTATATATCTATTGTCATAGCGTATGATGCTAGTGTACAGAAGTGTAATTGAAGCTGTATATGCTGATTATGTAACTCAGAAACAAAGTAAATTTATTCAGTAATTCTAATATTTATTTGTATGTTGCTTGTCATTATTTTTATGTAAACAATCATATTGTGTCATTCATTCCAGTCATTTTAGTTACTTCTTCTCTTATCCTTAACTAAAAATTTTTAGAACACACCTTAATAAAGTTTCTTATTTCAAAGGAATATCTTCAATGTTCACTATTAAATTCTGTTTGTGTGTGTGTGTTATGTATTTGTATATGTATATACATACATACATACATATGGTTACTAAAGTTATCCTTCATTTATTATTTTTCCTTTAGTTTATTTTAATTCTATTAGAATGTGAGATAGGCGTCTAATTCCATTTTATCCAGATTCTGTTTGATCAAATATTCGCTATTCTGTTTTTGTGTGTGTTTTAAATTTTTTTTTTATGTTTTGCTTTAACCTGTTAATCTGCTAATGTGTAGATTACACTAAGTGCTTGTTTTAACAAACAACGTGGATACATTCAAACTTGTCTTGAAATGACCTTTGTAAATTTTGATGAAGTCAGACTATTTATAACTTACTTTGCATTTTTTATCTACAGTGTGAATAAGACACTGATAGTTTTAATTCCTTAAATCTATGATTTAGTAGTTTTAGTTTCAAAGTTATACTGGCCCCACACAATGAAATGAGTTCTGGAGGCTGAGTGCGGTGGCTCATGCTTATAATCCCACCACTTTGGGAGGCTGAGGCAGGTGGATCACTTGAGGTCAAGAGTTCGAGACCAGCCTGGCCAACATGGTGAAACACCGTCTGTACCAAAAATACATAAATTAGCCGGGCATCGTGGTGGGCACCTGCAATTCCAGCTACTAGGGATGCTGAGGCAGGAGAATTGCTTGAACCTGAGAGGTGAAGGTTGCAGAGGGCCAAGATCGCACCACTGAACTCCAGCCTGAGCAACAGAACGAGAATCTGTCTCAAAAAAAAAAAAAAAAAAAAAAAAAAAAAAAAGAAAGAAAGAAAAAGTTATCTTTTCCTATTATCTGAAAGCGGTTTTGTAAAGTTGGAATTTTTTTTTTTCCCTTAATGTTTGGTAACTCACCAGAGAAAACATTTTGGCCTGAGATTTTAATTGTGAGATTTTTGACAATTCGATTTCTTTAAAAGTAATAGGAATATCCAGGCTTTCTCATTTTTCTGTGTCTCATTTATTTAATTATGTTGGGTAATTGTCTTCTGTGATCAAAGGAGTCAAATTTATCTTCAGTTCTACAATTTGTTTAGCCTGTGCAGTCATGACTCTTTTTCATTCTGAATATTATTTAATGTGACTTTTTTTTTAACAAATCTGTAACTATGTGGATGCCCTTCATTGTATGATTACTTTAATTTTCCTCTCCTTTATCCTTTCCTTCTTTTTTTTTTTTCTGGCCTGGCAGGGAGGTGTGGCTGATTATACAGGTGTTTTTGTTGTTGTTGTTGTTGTTGTTGTTTTGTTTTTCTTGTCAGATTCTCATTTTAGAGAATCATTGTTTTAGTTTATAATTTCCTCTTATATAACATACCTTCTATCTAAAGTCACATTTATTCTATCTGAAGTGGATCATCTAACATTACCTTTAATAAAATGTTTGTGGAAAACACTTGCTTCAATATATATTTGCTGGCTCTAAATGCCCACAGTATAAAAGTTATTACTTTACTATATTTAGCTTCCCTTTTCCCCAAGTGTCCAGCATCCAGTACCAAGTCATGTATTCAGCTAATTTTAATTTATCTGGCTGCTTTTATGTAGTTCCTTCAGAATCTTTGTAGAGTTTTTATTTTTATTTTCTAATTGCTAGAAGTTTTACTTAGTACTTTAAAAATCAGCTTGGTTATTTATGATAGTTTCTTGCCCCTAACTCATACTTTCAAGTTTTTATTTTAACTTATTTTAGCATATTGAACTAACTTTTAATTTTCTGTATCTGAAAATGTTATCTAAATTATTTTCAGAGGCTCTGCCTACTTTTTAAAATTTTATAAAATTTTAGAGTATCACATACATATAAAAGACACAAATATTTTAAGTATGCAGAAGGCTGAATTTTCACAAACTGAATTCATGCTTATAACCAGTGCCCTGATCAACAAATCAGGCATTACTAGCACCACAGAACCCTCTTGTACCCTCTTCTGGGCACTATCCAGTCTTTTATTAAGGAGATTATTTTCTTCAATGTTATACTGAAGGTCAATTTTGTCTATTTTTTATACAGTAAGAACTATTTTGTTTCTGATTGTTTTCACCCTTTTTATTTCACAAGATTATTTTGTTTGCTGCAGTTGTGGCCCATTCATTTCCTTGGCTGAAGAATCTTTTAAGTGTCTGTAGAACTCTATTCGCTGATAGGCATTTGCATAGTTTCTAGTTTGTGGCTATTCCAAATGCATTGCTATTTGTACAAGCATATCTTCATTTTTTATGGGTATGCCCTAGAAGAGGAATTACTGGGACATAGGACATATACATGCTGAGCTTTAATACACACTTCCAGTTTTCCAGGGCTTAAACCAATTCACACTTTCACCAGTGTCATAGGAAAGTTCCAGTTGCTGCACAACCTCACAAATATTTACTGTTTCCCATCATTTAATGTTATTATTTTTTAAATCAGCTTTTTAATTTTAGAATTTTTTGATTGTAGGTAATTAGGATTATAGTCATGATTTATACATACTTCTCTGTCAGATTTCTTAAAGTTGTTTTCAGCAAGAAGGCCAGCAGGGAATCTAGTTCTGGCTAGGCAGGGAATTCTAGCAGAATGCAGTTCTGCTAGAAATAGAAGTTTAAATTCATTCTTCAATTCACTTAAATACAGGCTCAAACCCACCACAGTCTTGTTGCCCAATCCAGTGAAATGCCTTTCGTCTCCTATCTTTGACTTTACCTAACAGCAGCTTTTGCCAAAGTCATTTACTCTTTCATTTTGAAATACATTTATCCCTTATCTTTCATCATTTTCTTTTTCCACTGGACACTCCTTGACAGACCCTTTTTACTTCTTCCATTTCCACAATCAGATCACTAAAATTTGGTTTGTATCATTTCTCACATGTTCAGTATTTCATCCTGCTCCACGGTTTTAAATAGCTTGTATGGTAACGACTCTCAAACATCTGTATCAAGCACAGGTCTCTTTGCTGAACTTCATATCTTTTACCCTAGTGCTTGCAACATTCTCACTTGAATATTTCCTAAACTTCTCAAAATTATTATATCCAAAAAGGGAACTCTTGATTTTTTCTGGTTTTCCAGGTTAGGACTTTACATGCACTTTCTCTCTTTTAGCAAAACTCTTGGTGCTTTTTTATCCTCATGTCTCATCTAAGACATTGCCTGCAAAGATTGGCTTTTCCCTACTTAAATAGCTTCCAAATCTGTAAACTCTATTTTATTATTATGCTTGTATTTTTTTTAGCTGTTTTCACAGCCTGCTTTATTTTCATTATATATTGTCTTGCATATTTCTAAGTAAGCTCTATGGAAACAAAATTCACATATATCTTCATCATTGCTGTATCCTTAGCAGTTGTCACAATCACAATGAATAGCACTTGTAAACACTTACAAAATGTTTGTTGGGTGAATGCTACTCCTGGAGGTTTTTAAGTCTTCTAGAGGATATAATAAAGTGTCAACGTCTTAATGACTTGGACAGCAGAATAAAAGAAAGAAAACTGCAGATTCTACTGAATATAATTTTATTAATGATCTCAATTCTTACAAATGCATTCCTTATCATGTCATGGCTATCTCAAAGACCTAGGTCTGGTCGATGATGACCTGTTATTTAAAATACATAAGAATTGGTGTGACTTGAATTCAACTCAAGGAATATTGAAAAAAATTTAATATTGCCTTGTAAAAGTCTATGCTGGAAAATAAGAGGTGTGATGAGGGCATGGATTCCACTTATTAATAAATACTCTTATGAGAAAACATTTTTTCTTATGTATTTCCATCAAAAATGATTTTAGAATGGACTGAATGTCAATGACAATATGTACATTGCCAGGTCAAAGACAAATTCAAAATATCCTTTTTGCATTCACAAGAAGTCTTTTATTGAAATTTAGTGTTTGAGCAGAATTGAATATTACTTATTAATTTACTAACATATTTGCAATTTACTTAATTTTTTACAAGGTGGTTGTTCTTTAACCTGTATAATAAACAGCGATAGCCAGTCATTGTAAAAATTGGTTTTAAATTTTAGTTTATGTAGAAAATATTCTTCCAATGAAATAAAATAATTTTATTTCAATTTGCATTTTTCTGAAAGAAGAAAGGATAAGTGGATTGAATATGAAGTGGATTTGCAATTTTTTAAAAAAATGTGACTATCAGAGATATCTGTCAATCAAAAAAAGAATGGATACCACTATTATTAAACCACCACAGTGTATTTAGTCTTGCTTTTTACTATTAGTTTTGCTATATATCAGCACATTTTTTGCAGTCAGAAAACTGCCTTCAACCATTAAACATATTTTTTTCCTCCATGCCTGGTTCTGTGGGGAAAAAAGACAACAACAGTTGTTCTTCCATCTACTTTTGGAGGTACTAATGTCAAAGTTAACTAAAGAATGGTGAAACACTAAGGCATCTTCAATAATCAATATTTGTATGTTAAATGCAAATTGAAATTATTTGTATTTGCTCTAAAACAATTATTTTAATCATAAACAAATCAGCTGGCAAATTCAACAATAATTTTAATCCCTTATTTACAAAGATTCTTTATTTTAATAAAATTTCATTGTTTATGAAAATTCTCAGACGAGTTCATGTAACCACATTTAATGCCTCATAATGCTTTGCTCAAATTGGCTACTTCTTTGTAAGATGTTGGCAAGCCACTATATAAACAACATGTCCATGCAGGCATTCAGAGGATGAAGATAATAAAATTCTGGTTTAACGTACTAATTAGAAATCTATTGGGGCTTTCCAATTCAATTGTAATAGTCTAGCTGATAGGTCATACAGACAGAGTGTGCATATTTACATTAAAATACTTTCTATTATTATATTTATATGCAATGATTTGACTGAGCCCACTGATTTCCAAGCTCAAATGAGAACCTAAAACAAGATTAAATGAAGAAAGTGTGGTGTTAATATAAAAAATTATAAGAATTTAAATAAAAATTAAATTATTGCTATATTATTGCCAGTTCCTTCTACATTATTGTGTTAATCATGAAGTAATTGGAAATAATTATCATTTTATTCCGTTTTAATATGACAACACCATGTGCAAAATTGTCTTTGTAATTCAACAGTGATTAAAAAGATTATTATTTTCAAAACTCCAAATTTTTCAAAGAAAATTATGGCAAAATTGTTGATGTTTTTTATTCTCACAAAAGGGTAATTCAGTCACTTACTAAAACAACAAAAACTCATCATTTATGCATCCCTGACTCATATGACCATCTTATTATCTATTTTCCTTTTTTTGTATAATGACATGAATTCTGAGAATTTGGTGCGTAAATGGACTCATCATGTCCATCAAATGGCAAAGGATGTGACTAGATCGTCTTAGAACTCTGCCTTCATTTCTGAGAGCTACTCCAAAATAATCCACTGAACCTTATGTTCAGTGCCCCAAACATAAGCATGCACTTGCACACATGTACACATATACATTGAAGTTTTTTCTTTGGCATGAAAAAATGTCTTATATAGTCTTATATATATGTCATAGTCTTTTAAAACAAATATGATGATTTAGAATTAGGTTTAATGATGTGTGATAATAACAGAAATCAGATTATTTTTAGCAACTTAAAATATCTTCTAGGATAAATAGAAAAGGACAAAAATATTTGTGGGAAAAGGTGTATAATGTCTCACAATGAAATGAAGTTCAGGATTTTAGAGTAGAAAGAGAATTTAGAGATATTCTAGACTTGTCTATTCATTTTGAAAATGAGGAAATGTGGTCTACAGAAGTCAACTGATTTACTGAAGAATAGATAGCTATCTAAACGACCACCTCTCTTTCAGTTTGATATTATTTTAAAAATTGTTTCTCTCCTATGATTTATACATTTTTTATAGCTTGTGATGGTTAATTTTATGTGTCAACATGATCATGCTGAGGGATTCCCACACAGCTTCCCACACAGCTGGTAAAACATTATTTCTGGCTGGGCACCGTGGCTCACGCCTGTAATCCCAGCATTTTGGAAGGCTGAGGCAGGAGGATCACTTGAGGTCAGGAGTTCGAGACCAGACTGGCTAATATGGTGAAACCCTGTCTCTACTAAAAATACAAAAAATACAAAAAGTGAGCCAGATACTCGGGAGGCTGAGGCAGGAGAATCTATTGAACCCAGGAGGCAGAGGTTGCAGTAAGCTGAGATCATGCCATTGCACTCCAGCCTGGGCAACAAGAGCAAAACTCGTCTCAAAAAACAAAACAAAACAAAATAAAACATTATTAGTAGGTATGTCTGTGAGGGTTTTTCCAGAAGAGATTAGCATTAGAATCAGTAGTCTGAGTAAACATCTGTCTTCACCAACCTGGGCATGAATTATTCAATTCAGTTAGGGCACAAATAGAACAAAAAGGTGGGGGATGAAAAAAATTATCTCTGTCTTCCTGAACTGGGACATCCATCTTCTGAACTACACCACTGGCTTTCCTGAGTCTCCAGCTTGCAGATGGCAGATGATAGGACTTTTCAACTTCCACAGTCATTTGAGTCCTTCCTTCTAATAAATTTTACACACACACACACACACACACACACACACACACACACACACACATGCTATTGGCTCTGCTTCTCTAGAGAACACTAATACTTAGCACTAACCCCAAATATTATGTCCACTCATTCATCCATCCATTCATTCATTGATTCTGTGCCTATTTCTATTAGAATATAAGCTCTGTGAGGGCAGAATCTTCATCACTGTATTCTCATGGCTTGAACAGTGTTCAGCAAAAATCTGTGTATCTGTGTTCAATAAATGAATGCTGAATGAATGAATTAATTCATGACCACAACTTGCCATTTATGCCTTAAATGATTGTATTCCAACTTCTGTCCAAACCACTCTAGAGATAGCACTCTGGCAAAGTTTACAGTTAAACTTTATTTCAAAATGTAAATATGTTTTCTTAGATCTTTTCCCTAATCTTTGCATTATGTATTTCTTTTGAACTACAATTTGCATACAGTAAAAATGCATGGGTTTTAACTATCTCTGAGTGACTTCTATAACCAACTCATTCAAAGTACAGAGCGCTTCCATTACTTTAGCAGTTTTCCTTTTGCTTATTTTCAGTCATTCTACCTGAAAAGTAACCACTGCTGTAATTTCTTTTATCATAAATTAGTTCCATTTGTTCTTGAACTTTATTTAAATTAAATCATAGAGTAGTATACTTTTTTATCTGAATTATTTTAATCACATCAATATTTTTTGAGCTATATCGATAGTGGGTTATGCTTCTGTCATTTTTCCCTTTTATTGCAATGTAATATATCATTGCGTGCATATACCAAAATTTGTTTATTCACTCTCCTGTTCATGGACACTTGGGGTCTTTTGAATCTTGTGCTATGCACATTCTAATACAAATCTTTTGTATATATTGTATATGTTTCTATTTGGTGTTGTGGGCAAATGTATAAACAAAGAGTTGCTGGAGTATAAACTAGTCTTATATTTATTTATTTGTTTGTTTTTATTTATTCTAATATTTGCCTTTCATTGCTGGAATTCTCAACTGATCTTCCTGGGATGCAATGGAGAAAGAAGCATGTTCTAATAACATATCTTCGAGGTTAGTTTACAAGGGTGTTTGCTTGTCAAAATCTTCCATTCACTAAAATAAAACAGTTTGTGATGCATCTGAAAAAAGGCATGCCTACATTTTCTCTAATTGCTGGGTATCTTAACTTGTCTTAAAATGGCCTGATAAAGAATCATGTTCCTGTAACATATTCTCAAGGTGAGCTTACAACAGTAATTTTTTTCAAACATTTTCATTCATTCAAACACAACAGGTTGTGATGAATCTTTAACATGGTATGCTTACATTTGCTTTTTTTTGCTTCATATGTAAATTCATGGCATATGAACCAATATAGAAAGGAACATGTTCTAACGACACATTATCAATGTTTGCTTACAAAGGTTTTTCTCTGCCAAACACTTCCATTCACTGAAAGATATGAGTTTATGATGCATCCTAAAGAAAGCCTGCTTACATTTGCCTTTTATAGCTTTAATATATAAACCTGTGTAATATGAACAAATGGAGGAAAAAAACATGTTCTAATAACATATTTATAATGTTTGCTTGCACATTTTTTCTCTGAAAAAGCTTTCCATTCACTATTAGAAAACAGTTTATTATGCTTTATTATGCACTTCAAAAATATATTTTATGATGGATTCAAGGGGTACACGTGCAGACTTTGTTACATGGATATATTGCTTAATGGTAAGGTTTGAGCTTCTAGTATACCCAACACCCAAAAAGTGAACATTGTACCTAATAGGTAATTTTTCAACCCTCAACCCCCTCCCAACTTCCCTTCTTTTGGTGTCCCCAGTGTCTGTTATCTCTTTATGTTTATGTGTACCCATTGTTTAGTTCCCACCTATAAGTGAGAACATGTGGTATGGTATTTGATTTTCTGTTTCTGAGTTATTTCACTTAGGATAATGGCCTTCAGCACCACTCATGTTGCAGCAAAGAACATGATTTCCTTCCTTTAATTACTGCATTGTATTCCATGAAAAATATATATATTTATACATATATTTATATTTATATAAATATATAAAAATATATATAAATATATAAAAATATATATAAAAATATAAAAATATTTATATAAATATATAAAAATATTTATATAAATATATAAATATATAAATATATATTTATATAAATATATAAATATATAAATATATAAATATATATTTATATAAATATATAAATATATATTTATATAAATATATAAATATATATAAAATATATAAATATATATTTATATAAATATATAAATATATATAAAATATATAAATATATATATTTTATATAAATATATAAATATATATAAAATATATAAATATATATATTTTATATAAATATATAAATATATATAAAATATATAAATATATATATTTTATATATTTATATATATAAATACATATATTTCATATATCACATATATGATACATATATGCAATACATCTATACATATAAATAATACATATATTTCATATAATGCATATTAATTATACATAGGTGTTATATATTTTATAATATATAATTTGCATTATATATAACACATGTATTATATATGTTTATATATGAAATATATGTATTATATATTTTATATGTATTTCATGGAATACTATAATACTATACCATACTATACTATGATACTACGCTATACTAAAATATATGTATAGGATACATATATTTCAAATATGTATTTCATATTTCATACATATATGAAATATATGTATCCTATATACCACATTTTAAAAACTCAATATTCTGTTGATGGAAATGTAGGTTGATTTTGTGACTTTGTTGTTAGGAACAGTGTTGCAATAAATATACAGGTGTAGATGTCTTTTTTAATGTAAAGATTTCTTTTGCTTTGGGTAGATACCCAGTAGTGGGATTGCTGCATCAAATGACAGTTCTATTTTTAGCTCTTTGAGGAATCTCCATGTTGGTTTTCGTAGGGATTGTATTGATTCGTATTCCCATCAACAGTGTATAAGGATGTACCTTTTCCTACATCCTCACCAACATCTCTCATTTTTTGTCTTTAATAATAGCAATTTGGACTGGTGAGAGATGGTATCTCGTTGTGGTTTTAATTTGCATTTCCCTTATGATTAGTGATGATGAGCATTTTTTCATATGTTTGTTGGCCACTTGTATGTCTTCTTTTGAGAAATGTCTGTTCATGTCCTTTGCCCACTTTTTAATACAGTTGTTTTTTTCTTGTTGAGTTGTTTAAGAAACAACTTTTCATTTTGTTGATCCTTTGTACCCTTTTTGTGCTCTCAATCTCATTTAATTCTGCTTTGCTCTAATCTTTGTTAATACTTTTTTTTGGGGGTGGGGCTGGTTTTGGGTTTGGTTTATTCTTTTTTTATTTTTTTTGAGACTGAGTCTCGCTCTTTTGCCCAGGCTGGAGGGTGCAGTGGCGCGATCTCGGCTCACTGCAAGCTCCACCTCCCGGGTTCACGCCATTCTCCTGCCTCAGCCTCCTGAGTAGCTGGGACTACAGGCGCCCGCCACCACGCCCGGCTAATTTTTTGTAGTTTTGGTAGAGACGGAGTTTCACTGTGTTAGCCAGGATGGTCTTGATCTCCTGACCCCGTGATCCAGCCGCCTCGGCCTCCCAAAGTGCTGGGATTACAGGCGTGAGCCACCGCGCCCAGCCTATTCTTGTTTTTCTAGTTCCTTGATGTGTGACATTAGGTTGTTAATTTGAGATCTTTCTATCTTGATGTAGGCATTTAACACTAACCATTTTTCTTTTACTACTGCTTTTGCTGTATCCCAGAGAGTTTGGTATGATGTATCTCTATTTTTATTCATTTGAAACAAATTTTTATTTCTTCCTTAATTTTCTTGTTTACCCAAAAATTATTCAGGAGCAGCTGTTTATTTTCCATGTATTTGTGTAGTTTTCAGATTTCCTTTTGGCTGTGATTTTTAATTTTATTCCACTGTGGTCTGAAAAGATACTTGATATGATTTTGATTTTTTTGAATTTATTGCTGCTTCCTTTATGGTAAAGTACATAGTCTCTTTTGGAGAATGGTTTATGTGCAGATTAGAAAAATCTATAATCCATGGTTGTTGGGTGGAATGTTCTGTAAGTGTTTATTCAGTCCATTCAGTTCAATCCAGTTTAAGTACAGTGTTTCTTTGTTGATTTTCTGCTTGGATGATCTGTCTAGCACTGTCATTGGGGTACTGAAGTTCGCTACTTCAATTATTATATTGCTCTCTATCTCTTCTTAGGTCTAGTAGTATTTGTTTAATGAATCTCAATGCGCTGGTGTTTGGTGCATGTATATTTAGGATAGTTATATCTTCTTGTTTAATTGAGCCCCTTGTAATTACATGATTTCCTTCTTTGTCTTTTTTTTCACTGTTGTTGATTTCAGGTCTTTTTTATCTGATATATGTATAGCTACTCATACTCATTTTTGTTTTCTGCTCTCAAGCTATATCTTTTACCACCTCTTTACTCTGAGCCTGGAGACCCATTAGGTATGTTTCTTGAAGACAGCAGATGACTACATCATGTCTTTTAATGTTGTTTGCCAGTCTATATGTATTAAATTCAACATTTAGGCCATTCACATTCAAGGTTAATATTAATATATGGACTGTTGTACCTGTCATAATATTGTTAGTTGAATTCTAGTCTCAACTATGTAATTACTTTGTGGAATTTCTGAGCTTTGTAGTTATGCGTACTTATGTGTGCTTTTTTAGGATGGTGAGTATTGTGTTTTCCCTTCCATCTTAGGAACTCATTTGAGCATTTCTCGTATAGTTCATTCTAATAGTGACAAATTCTCTTAGCATTTTTTTGGGAAATAATTTATTTTGCCTTCATTTATGAAGCTTAGTTTCACTGGATATCAAATTCTTGGCTGGAATTTTGTTTTAAGAAGGCTTTAAATTGATCCCCAATCTTTTCTAACTTATAAGGTTTCTGCTGATAAGTCCACTGTTTGTTTAATGGGATTTCCTTTATAGATAATTTGATGCTTCTCTCTAGCTGCTTTTAACATTTTTTTCTTTCACATTGACCTTGGAAAGTCTGATGACTATATGATTTGGTAATATTCTTCTTGTGAAGTATCTTCCAGGTGTTCTCTGAACTTTTTGCATCTGCATTTCTACATCTGCAGCAAGATTAGGTAAATTTTTCTGAATTATTCCTTCAAATATATTTCCCAAACTTTTTACTTTCTCTTCTTCTTACTCAGGAATACCTATAATCTGTAGGTTAAGTCACTTTACATAATTCCATATTTCTCAAAGCCTTTGTTCATTTTTAAATTTCATTTTTTTCTTTATTTTTGTCTGGGTTAATACCAAACACTGGTCTTCAAGTTCTGTAATTTTTTCTTCCATTTAGTCTGGAGTATTATTAAATCTTTCAGCTGTATTTCAAAAGTCCCTCAGTGAATTTTATTGTCAGAAGTTCTGTTTGTTATTGTCTTAATAACTATCTATTTTTTAATGTTTCAGGGTTTTTTTCTGATTTGTTTGTATTGGTTTGCAACCTTATTTCGGATCTCATTGAGCCTTCTTACAGTCTATATTTTGAATTCTTTATCTGTCATTTTAGAATTTTCATTGTGGTTAGAATCCATTGCCAGAGAGCTAGTCTGATCCTTTGGTGGGTGGTGTAACAAAACACTGTTTCTTCATGGTGCCAGAGTTCTTACACTTGTTCCTTCTCATCTAGAGAAATTGACACTTCTTATTTTTGAATTTATTTTCATTTCAGTGGTATTTTTTACCCTTTGAGGGTGTGACTGTAGTACATGTTGCTTAGGGTGTTTTGGCTTTGCTTTTATAGCCCGGTAATCTTCTGACAGCAGGTTTTATATTGGGTTGAGCTCTTCAAGCTCCAGGCCAGTAGGTGGCACTTACTGGTAACAGCTAGCTGTGGCAAAAGCAGATGAGTATGTACTTGATCCTTTTTTACTGGGATGTGCTCACTGTCATTTTGGGCGACAAACTGGTCTGTGGAATGCCCAGTTCCCTGAGTTCCCTGTTCAGCTATTTGGTGCAGGCACACAGAGTTGAGCACAGCTGGACAACTAAGCTCTCCCACAACTACCTCAATGACCAGCGCAGGCATCATCCCTAAGAGGGTGGCTGGGCGAGCGCCTAGTGAAATGCACCAAGCTCTCTACAGATGGGGAGGTGGCTGCACCAACCTATGTCCTAGAGAGGCAGGAATACAATCTGTTTCCCTATCACACCCTTGACCCAAGGTTCATGACTCCCAGTTCAGACACACACCATCATCCATCTCCAGTGTAGGTGACAGCCACAGAAAACACCTGCCTTCTGGCTCTCTGTGAGGTGTTTTTGGCATGGAGCCTCTTCACTCAGCCCAGTACAGACATCTTTGTGTCTCGCTTGTTCTCTGATGTGGGATCACTGCTGCTGCATGTAGAGATGAGGAGGAGCTCCACCTTTCAACACCTGCAGGTGGGTGTCAGCTGTGGTGGTGTTGGCTGGTTGGGTTGGCCTGATGGTGGACCCCTGAGAGAGTGCTCAGATGCTAGCAGTAGTGGACTGGGCCAGATAAACCCCCAATCCCCAGGTCCCTATATGGTCCCTTGGACAATGGTGTCCCAGTCTAGGAGGGAATGGACCAGTAACAGGCTGGTCCCAACTCCACTGGGAGTTGCCCTCAGGCCCCCAGGGTTCAGGTGCCGGTTGTGGTAGGGAGGGGTGTGCTGGTCCCAAGGTCACCAACCATGCTTTCAGGTAGGTATAATCAGAATGCTCAGGCAGCAGCAGAATGCTCAGGCAGTGGGGGCCCCAGGGCTGTTCATGGGCTCATGGGAGCTGGGCTTTCAGAAGGACTCCCAGCCTCAGTTTAAATGATCATGCAGGAGCAGAGCAACTGTACTGTGGGCCTGTCAGTGGGGAAGGCAGATCCCCTCAGTGGGAGCAGTGGAGACAAGCAGCTGATGGGTGCGTGTCTCACTTGCACCTCCATCCCACAGGAGCAGTGGGGATATCCTTCATGGAGGTGTGTGAAGGTGTCCTGTCTCCCACTACTCCCCTGGCCCAGCAGCCATAGTGATGGCAGCAGCAATGGCAGAGGTAGCCTCAGGAGAGAATACAGGCCTCTAGGGCTTGGGTTCTCAGAAGGGCACTGGGCTGTAGCCAAAATCCTCAGGTGTGGGCAAGGTGGCTATGCTCCAGGACTAATTCTGGGGAGGGCAGGCCCCCTCAGCAGGATCTGTGGAGGCTGGAGCTGTGAGTCCCTTGGCATACTTGTGCTTCCCTCCTGCAGAAGCAGTAGTGTATTCTGCTATTAGAGTACATGAAGGTGCTCAGTCTTTTTGGTTCCTCTGTGGCCCAGTGGTAGCAATGGCAGCAGGAGCACTGACGGCAGTGGGAGCCCCAGGATAGACTGTAGGCCCCTGGGGCCTGGACTCTCAGAAGAATGCTGAGCTACAGCCAAATGCTCAGATGGGGGCAGGGTGGGAGCCAGTTGTGCTGTGGACTTGAGGCCAGGGAAGGTGGACTCTGTCTAGTGGGAGGAGCAGAGGCAGCAGAACCATGGAAGTGCACTGTCTGCCTACTCCTCTTCTTGCAGCAGCAGCAGCAGCAGCAGCAGCAGCAGCATTATCCATCTTTGGAGTGTGTGAAAGTGCTTCCTCTCCCCATTCCTTCCTTGGCAGTGGCAGTGGTGGTGGCAGCTGGCTCTGGGCTGTAGCTGCTCAGGGATCAAAATCCTGTGGGAGTCCACATGCACTCAAGCAGTGCCTCTGCACAGTCTCCAGGCAGCTCCCTGTGTTAGCCTAGAGGTCCAGGGGCACTTAGGGAGGTCTCTCATGACTAGAATTGTAAAGGTCTTTGGCAGAAGTGTGAAACCCCAGGAGTCTCTCACCTACTCATCCCTTCCCCATGTGAGGGAGCATCTCTTGGATCCTCGCTGCTCCCAGCCCAGCAGGCTGCCCAGCTCTGCTCTCCTCTGCTTTCTGTGATTCCTGTCACTTCTCTGTTGAATTCCAATGTCCTCTCAGAGATGATCTACCTGAAGTCTTAATATTTACTCACTGTTTGGATTCCTCTCCGTGAGGGCAGTACCCACTAGCTGCTTCTAGTCAACTTGCACCAGAACTAGTTTTATATTTAAATTGAAAAGATATTACCACCGAGTTTTCCAGAAAGATTGTATCATTTTACTACCATATGAACAACATCATGGGAGTTATTCCATATTTTCTCCATTTCCTTTAAAAGCCTTTTCATTTTAGCCATTTGAGTTGGTGTATAGGGGCATCTGGTAGTTGTTTTAATTTGTATTACTTTAATGACAAATGCTGGAGAGCAACTTTTCTTTTGCTTATTGTTATTCCCCGGGCTTCCATATTTGGCCTGTACTCTGCATATTTTCCATGGCTTTAAAAACATCACAGCATAAGTATTCATTGCATCCAAATATCCTTCTTTTATCTCACTTCTTAACTTTCTATTAGTTATCACAATCATCTCTTGGATAACCTCTGTTGTATTTATGGTCCCTCAAATTTCTCGCTCTCTCTGGGACCAAACTCAGTGTCAAATAACCAGAAACTATTCTTGTGATTTCTGTTCTCTGGAACGGAACCTTTGATTATTAACCACTGCCAAGACACATTTCAAAATTTCTGTACTTTAAGGAGACAGGTGTGGGTTGGGAGGCATGTGTGGGATTTCTCTTTTGTCACAGAGGTATCTTAGTCTATGTCTTACTTCCTTGATTCCATTATAATTTTTTTCCAGGAGCATGAAATTCTAGACTCTTGAAGTCACAGAAGATTGCAAATTCTAGGAAAACAAGCTGTACTCAATTTGTTAACTGTGATTTCAACCAGCAGTGTATAATGACACCTTCTCCATATATTGCGGAATCCTATTTCTGTAATACTCCTAATTAGATACCTGTTGTGTTTCATTCACATCTGTAATCATTTCCTATAGTAGTTACTCAATAGGTATTTCTTAATGTATTAATTTGTTTAATTCATTTACTTCATTAATATTAAATATTTATTGAGTATATTGTATATATTGTATAGATACTTGTACTATAACAATGGGAAAAAAGACAAAAATCTCTAATGGAATATACATGATTTTATATATACCTGCATATATAACTGAACTTTAGCTTATTGGATTGCTTCTAATTTTTCAGTCATGCTGGCCTGAGTGTTTCTCTCTCTAATCACAACTTCCTCTGAATCTTGGATTTGTCCAACTGTCATGGCCATTATAAGCACGTTGTGCTTAAACATTTGCCTAAAGAGATACTTTTTACCCCCCCAAAATTCCATAATGATAATTTCTACCATATTAAGCCATATGCATGTGATATTGCTAAATCCTAGTGATAGAATAAACAGAAAAGAATTGCTTTTACAATTGGATTTCTCACAACTTGCATTTTGAATATTGTTTTCCAATTGTTTTGTGGTCTATACAATAATATTTGAAAAACAAAACAGCATAAAACATTTAGAAATATGTTAGGCCACTTTGAAAATGCATAATAGCCCTTGAAAATATATGTTTTGATATAGCATAATTTGTATGAGATTATATTTTGTAACAACACAGGTTAAAGAAACTATCTGAGTTTTTCTAATTTAAAAATAAGTTCTGTAAGGTTGATGACAGAAAATGGTAAGGCTAATTGGAAAGTCATATAATCAATAATCAAACATAGTCACTCCTTTAGAGTGAGGCAGCTTTAGACCTTTACAAGTTTAGCAGAATCATTCTTTTCCTACCACAAGATCCTTTGCTACAATGACTTGCCATTGCTTTTAAAAGAAGGAATAAGAGGCTGGGCGTGGTGTCTCACCTCTGTAATCCCAGCACTTTGGGAGGCCAAGGTGCGTGGATCACTTGAGGCGAGGAGTTGGAGACCAGCCTGGCCAACATGGTGAAACGCTGTCTCTACTAAAAATACAAAAATTAGCTGGGTGTGGGCAGCAAGTCCCAACAACTACTTGGGAGGCTGAGGCATGAGAATCGCTTGAACCCGGGAGGCGGAGGTTGCAGTGAGCTGAGATTGCACCACTGCACTCCAGCCTGGGCAACACAGCAAGGCTCTGTCTAAAGAAATAAAAAGGAGAAGGAACACCAGTACAATTTTTTAAGGTAAAAGAAAGAAGTATAATAATAACAACTAATATTAGTCAAACACTTCTAGCACATTAAGAAAATTTCATGCTTTTCTTACTTTGCTAGTGGTTTAGAGAATGGGATTTTCTTTACTCTGCTGTTTCTTAACTGTGTGACTTTGGGCAGGTTTCATTGTTAAAGTGGGGCTAATGATGCTTTTAAAGAAAAGTTTTGATGATTCTATTGAATGCCTGCAAGGCACAGTGCTATGCACATAGTTGGCACTCAATAATTGTTTAGTTTCTTTTATCATGAACTATAGTGAAGTAGGGTGTTATTTATCCTTATTGTGGATGAAAAGACTGAAGTTCCGGTACATTATGTAATGGAAGCAAGCATATACAACTGTTAGTTAATAGAGTTGAAATTTACTCTAAATATTTCCACTCCTCATAGTTGCCTTCAATTACTAAAATGAAATCATGTTTTTTTTTTTCCTACCTAATGTGAAAGGTGGAAATACTTATAGAGGAATGGGAAGACATTTAGATTTAACTAGTCTTATTTGATATGGTTAAGTTCTTTGTGACCAGGGAATTCAAACCTGGTCTAACATTAAAACACTCAGAGTCTGAAAATAAGCTTGCCACTGATAAATTTTGATATATGAATTATGCATATACCCAGACACACATACATATTTAATGTGGTCTCCATATGTGAGTAACAACTTAATTTCTTTCATTATATTTATAAAAAAAATTTCCACATCATCTTGAAGTTGGAATATAAAGTTCACTTAGTTACTCATATATTATTAATTGTATTGTAGACTGATAACGTCGGAAATTATGTTTTTATCCCTTAAATCTGTCAATTTCAGTTAAATTGATTAATTTTCAGAATGCATTGTGTGTCTTATTTATATCAAATAATAATAATTTTTCTCCACAGGTTATCACAAGCATTTTAGAGATCTCTTTTGGTTTTAACCCATATCAAGAAAAGGAGGTATATTATGCCACTATTTGCTACCAATTTTTAATAGAAAATACGAGTAAGAATCCTCATCAATCTTCCTGTCCGGACAGTTCATTGTAATACTTTTCTATTTGGTTCTGAGTGGCCCCATGTATTCATTTTTAAATTGCAATTTGGATGCTTCATACTAAATCATTTTGATAGCATATATTTTGTTCCCCTTTGGAGATAAAGAACACATGTCTTGACTCAGTTTGAAGCAAATAATCCTCTTAATAAGAAGATGATCTCAGCCACGTGTTTCTTTGATTCTTTTTGGTACAAGTGTGTTAATTAGAAATGAGTCAATGGTAGCAGGAAGAGTTGATACCCAATTTAATTACATTTCCTTGAAATAATACAAGTGGGTAACTGATACATTATATTTCTCAGATATACAGTAAGAACAGTTTGGTATTATTAGTAAGAATTTAAGATAGTGTAAGTAATAGTTTAATTTGCATTAGATGTATTTTTCTAGGTTTACTTTTAATTGAAGTATGATAAGAATAACATTCTTTCAGAATTTGTCTGATGTGTTTAAAACTTTTTCAGAAAATGAGAAATTTTTGGTTAAAACTATAAAGAATTTAATACAGAACAAATAGATTAGTAAATAGAGAGGCATCTTATTTTAACCCTAATTAGAAGAATAATCTTGAAACATTTTGAAAGTCTGAAGGTGACCTCTTCATGAGCTTTTTATACATGGCTTAAATAGGTGCTAAAATAATTATCCTTTCATATGTCCAAATATTATGTATACTCTGAATTACATTTAGGTTGCCTTAGAGGAAGTAATCTAAGGTTTATATCAGCTATGAGTTTTTTCATATTTAAAACCTGTTGGAATATATCTGACTCTCTATCCCTAATTAGACTTTGTCAACATTGATAGACCCTCTATACTATAGCCATGGAACCACAATTTTGGGCAGTTAGTACAAAGTCTATTTCTCTGTTATACCGCCACTCAAATTCTAAGGATATAATTCCGTGAAATGAGTTACTTCCCTTTCTGATTAAATGGTCTAGGATAGATTTTATAATCTCTAAATGATCCACACTTGATATAAATGTAAATAATCCCTGATACGGGAATATTAAAAAAAACTATGGTATAATTATTCTACGGCAAATGATGCAGTATTAACAATAATGTATTAAATTTATAAGTTTTAAGATGAATATAGAAAATATGTTAACAATTTGCAGAACAATAAAACATGATATTTTATTTAAAAAAGCAATATTCAACAAAAATACAAAGCTGTGTGTATACGTATAAATGTTTGAAAAAATTCTTTTTGGTTTTTTTTTTTCTTTTTTTTTTTTTTTTGAGGCAGGGTCTCACTGTTTCCCAGGATGGAGTGCAGCAGCACAATCACAGCTCACTGGAGCCTTGACCACCCAGGCTCAAGCAATCCTCCCACCTTAGCCTCCTGAGTAGCTGGGATTATACGCATGCCTCATTATGCCAAGCTCACTTTTTAAAATTTTTTGTTGAGACAGGGTTTCACTTTGTTGCCCATACTGGTCTCCAACTCCTGGGCTCAAGCGATCATCCTGCCTCTTAAAGTGCTGGGATCACAGGTGTAAGTCTTTTGTTTGTTCTTTTTTTTTTTTTTTTTTTTTTTTTTTGAGACAGAGTCTCACTCTGTCGCCCAGGTTGGAGTGCAGTGGCAGGATCTCAGCTCACTGCAAGATTTGCCTCCCAGGTTCACGCCATTCTCCTGCCTCAGCCTCCCGAGTAGCTGGGACTACAGGCGCCTGCCACCACGCCCGGCTAAGTTTTTTGTATTTTTAGTAGAGACGGAGTTTCACTGTGTTAGCCAGGATGGTCTCGATCTCCTGACCTCGTGATCCGGCCGCCTCAGCCCCCTAAAGTGCTGGGATTACAGGTCTGAGTCACCGCGCCCCGTCCTGTTTTACTTTTTTATTTTTGTTGTTGTTTGTTTGTTTTTGGATAATGAATACTTCTGATTAGAGAGGTGGATTTTGAGGATTTTGAGAAAAGAGCATGAGAAATTTTGTGTTTTTTTCCCTCTAAACTTTCGTGATAGTTTTCATAGTAAATTCACCCAAAAATACTATTTGTGTTTAGTAACTTACACATTTAATATGCCATGAGAGATACCATATTGTACACAACCCCTTGCCATCTTTCTAGTACTTCCTTAATATCCCTCTCTCAACAATTTCTTTCACATATTACACTGTTAAATAGTTTTACCTCCTTTTCGAAAACCTTGTATCCTGACAACCTCACCAATCCCATAAAGACTTAGCTAACAAACATAGGCAAGTCCTGTAACTTTTGAGACCACCCATGAAGAGACTAAACCTCCTCCAATGGATGAGGATGGAAGGGAATCCCACTTAAAAATTATATTACTCCAATATACGTAGAAGTTCGGTACATTTTCTAGATCAAGATGAAGTTATTTTAGTGTATTTTGATTATTGTCAGGGATTTCTTCAAGGCCCAAGTATTTATTCACAACTATATTGTAAGCATATTGAAGAATTCTTGGCACATGGTAGATTGCTAATAAATATCTCATAATAAATTTCTGAAGGACTTAAACTGCCCCTTCTTTTGTGTCAAGATATTTATTTTCAGATCAAACACTCTCTGTGAGATGCTTCACCTATTAACTAATTAGGCACCCAGAGCTTTCCACATAGTACAGTGCCTGAACCATGGTAGTGCCTTTAACTATATAGTATATGAATTAATGAATTGATGGACAAATAGATGGAGAATAGATTGATGAATGTTTCTTATAACCAAAGCATTATTTACTCCAATGTAAAACTATCAAAAAGAATGCTTCTGGTGACAAGTGACTAACCTCATGTGATATTTATTTCAACCTTCTCACTAATTGAAGCAAAATTATTTTGTTTTATTAGAACATATTTTTGGTAAAAAGTCTTACTTTCCTATAATATTGACAAAAATAGTATTTCTCTTGATCTATAATGATGATGGCAGCTATGGCTTATTTCACTGTTGAATAAGCTCACTAGAGAAATTATCATTGAAGTTGCTCATACATTTCTGTTACTTTTGAATCTTAGAAAATACTGGGACTACAATGTAGAAAAATTACTTTTTCAACAAAGATCTTGTACATTTTATAAAAGAGTGGAAGAAATAATATTTTAAAAATGTATTGAAGTTTTTAAAAATTATTGTTTTGCCTTTTATCATAGGGGACCCATAACTTCTTTACTTTCAAAGGCACACATGTGTCTCTAAGGAATTACTGGATGGTTATTGGATAGTTTGAAATTGCAAAATTTAGTGTTCAGGAACTTGGAATCTGCATAGACAAACTCTGGAAAGTTTGACTTTGGTAAAACTATTCACATTTTTTTTAACCCCTAAAAAATATAAAGCCATGACCTAAGGGACATCTAATTTCATTATAATCTCGAAAAAGGTTATGATTAGGAATCCAGATATAGTGGATGGAAAATCTCTTCCAGAAAAGGAGGAGGAATACCTGAATAACTCTTAGATACTGTAGACTATGAGAAGAAGAAAGGAATTGGAGATAGGATAAGCAGGAGGTAACACTTGTCAATAATTGCCTATCTTTCTGTAGTAGGATCCTCCATGGCTAGAACTGTTAGACACATTGAAGAGAAAACGAGATGCAGAAGTGTTTCATCACACTTGCTCTTTTTTTTTTGACAGAATCTCACTCTGTCGCCCAGCCTGAAGTGCAGTGGCAAGATCTTGGCTCACTGCAACCTCTGCCTCCTGGGTTCAAGCGATTCTCCTGCCTCAGCCTCCCGAGTAGCTGGGATTACCGGTGCCTGCCACCACACCCAGCTAATTTCTTTTGTATTTTAGTAGAGATGGGGTTTCACCATGTTGCCCAGCCTGGTTTCGAACTCCTTACCTCAAGCTATCCGCCCACCTTGGCCCCGCAAAGTGCTAGGATTACAGGCGTGAGCCACCACGCCCCGCCCGCTTGCTCCTTTGAACCCTGGGAGAAGATGATTGTACAAGGAGTAATTTAGTAAAACACAGTGTGTGGAGGTACTGAATGCATCTGCAGTGGTGGGAGATGATCATCCAGATGAAACTTAATCACTTCCACATGACATTGAAGGGACTAAAAAGTTTCTCTAATTTAATGTGAAGCTGCAAAGGAGAGATTATATTGAATGTTACTGAGAATCTGGCTAAAGAACTTTCACAATGTTGTCAAAGAGGGCACACAATGGCCTTGCAATCAAATTCCTCAAGGCAGATTGTCTAGCATAGAAAGTCACAATCAAACCTCAGAGCATCCTAGAAATGCTGAGACCAAAGCAGACTAACCAAAGCAGACCGAGTTTTTCAGCTACACACTTTAGGAGCAGAAACCTATACAATTCCCAGAGATAGAAGTATGCTAACCACACTTCAGGGAATACCAGCTGGCCCTCTCCTCGAAAACAGAACAGCCACAGCAGAGTCCAACAAATTGTCCCCAGGAGGCAGAAATTGTACGAAAGGGTAGAGGGAGAGCGGAATCTGATTCCGATCCTTTCATATTCTTTTTATATATCTTCAAATGAGAATATATGTTAAAGCTGGGAGAAGCTGAGATATGATTAAATAATAAATGTATATGCTGGGATAATTAGGTCACTTATAAAAATGAACTACTACTTCCTTACACATCTGAGTAGGACTATAAGAAAATTTCCAATTTTACTTCAAAAATGATAATAAAAATATGTTACTTTAAATACATATTTGGCTTTACATTCACAGTTTGTTGTCTGTTTATGTGTTTAAGTGGACCCTAAATAAAACCTTGTGGATAAGAAAATTAAAATTCTTTCAAGTAAATTTAGTAATTTTAAAACAGAACAAAAGAGATAGAAAAATCTTTTTATGATAGAAATTCTAGTGAATATTATATATATGATAAGTTTAAAGAAAATCAATAATTATGGTTTCATATATATTTAAATGTATAGCAGCAAAACTACAATTTTAAACATAATCAAAATCTTATAAAATTACATTGTTTTAATTCATAAGTTAAAGATTTAGTTTTGCTCTGTAATTTTGCTATCTATGCTTGAGACAATCAAGAACAATGGAAAACACAGACTGTGTAGCTAAAGCAAATGAGTCCATTTTTTACTAGTTATGTGAACTTGGCCATTGATTAAATTTTTGTTCTTCAATTTCCCCATATGTACAATGGTAACAGTACATACCTCACTGAATTATTTTGTGGACTAAAATTAGAAATTATTCTAAGCTTAGTAAAGTGATTCGAATCATGCCTGGCATATTGAATGTCCTGTCTGGGGCTTGACTTTATTATCTTCAACCAGTGGCCAGCAGAAAGAATCCTTAGAAAACATTAAATAATGCAAATTTCTGAAATATTAATGTCAAAATCAAATATATTTAAATATTATCTTTCTCATTTCTAACCTTAGAAATGTTTAAGATTACAATTTTATATGTATAATCACCAGGCCTATGCATCATTGTTCTAATTAAAATTCTCCTTCTGCGTGCTTTTAGCTGTGATTTTTGAAGCAGCTTATAAAAATAAAAATAAAAAGTCACAAATATTTTCGATAAGCTGTGATACATGTTTCCCAGAATTGTTGTTAAGCGTTTCTTGGAATTTCTCAGGAAGTTTGTGAAATATTTCCATGCATATAGTGTTAATTAAAAGGTAATATAAAAGTATCTTTAGCTCAGAGGCTTTACAAATATGGTTTCATGGTAATGGACAGACTCTGGAAACTGATAGCCATAAAGGCTTATTTCAGCATATGGAAGCTTAGATCTCTCTGATAATTAAAAGTCAACAAATTCACATTAAAAAAATTATGCAGCAGAGACTGCTTGATTTTGTTAGTAAAGAAATGCTTTCCTTCAACAGGCCTGCTGTGTTTGGTTAAAATATCTTAAACATTTTATGTATTGTTAATTTTTTTACACTTTGAAAGCTTCCACTTCTGCTAAGGAAGAAGACAATATAAGAGAACATCATTCTCGCTGTCAATCAGGGAAGTAAGATAACTTACAAAATTGTAGATTCTTAAAAATCCTCCAAGAGCTGAGGCCATGAAAAAGCATAAATAAGCAAAACCCAGTAAGTGAGAAGACTTTCTAGGAGTTAAGAGACCCAAAGCTGCTTTTAACAGTGGTAGAGCACAGGGAAAAGGAAAAAAAGCCTCCATTGATGAGGGTAAGTAAAAGACAATTTAGAATTTCTAGGGGGTACTAGCCATAGAGTCTGTACCCAACCACCAGCTCTTTCCCAGAGGCTATCAATGCCCAGGTGGAATTCTGGGGACAGGGCAAGAAGCTCTCCCTGCCTGGGTAATCCAGCCCTCATGGCAGCAGCTACCTAGACTGGCATAAGAGCAGGAGAACTCACAGTGACCTGCGTTGAGATGCAGCCATGCTTGGCGAGCTGAGGGCAGGGCTGTAAAACTTCTGAGGCACATTACACACCAAAAGGGTACATGGCAGAGGCTACTACAGCTGGGCTGGGGCAGGAGTGCTGAGAAAAATTCCTGAGTTAGAGGCACAAGGGTTTCTGCTGAATCCTGAGGGCAGACAGAGAAATGAAAAAAAATCCTTTAGGTAGTCTGAGATTCCATTGTGCGGTAAGAGCCACTGCTGGTGGCTGGGCAAGGAGCAGAGGAGCTGAGAGAGATATAACCTGAGGTGCAGGCATGCAGGAGTGCCCATGGCTGAAATGGGACTGGAGAATGGAGAAAGGTCCTTCAGGCTCTCTAGGTCTGAGTACAAGAATGTGGCCTTCTGTGGTGGGGGGGCGGAGGTCGGGGGCGGTAAGGAAGACAGATGGAGACTCCTGAATACACACTTGATGTGTAGGTTCTCTGGGCCTGCTGCAGTCTGAGGACACAGCAGGAAAGCTGAGAGCACCTCCTCAGACACTCAGTTATTGAACCTTGCTGAAGGCTCTAATGCATATCTCTGAATGCATTTGGAGCCAGTGATAAACTAAATCACCGTAAGCAAAAGGAAGTCCAGATTCAGCTCCTTTAACAGATTAGATTGACTCAGCCATATTCACTAGCAGCCTTAAAGGAGAGTTTTGTTTTGGGGGTGCAACTAAAATTTTCTTCAGTCTCTCTCTCATGATTGCCCATTAATCTATTAACTCATTAACCCCTTAATCTATGAATGGATTAGTCAATTCATGAGGGCAAATCCTTTCTGATCCTATCACTTCTTAAACATTTCACCTTTCAATATTGCATGGACCAATTCTGAGCCAAGAACTGTCATTAGTATTGGTGATAACACATTGAAGACAAAATTGTCTCCCTCAGTGGAATTGATGCCTAGGTTAATTGTATTTTGTGTGTTTTAAAATTATCATTCATTTTTTAAAAAATATATATTTTTAGGATTTTAAAATAAGTTATTCATTGACTATTTAAAATTTTGTAACTGTGCTACATAGATTATATTTTTTGAGGGTCGAAAGGTATTAATCACTTGGACATCTTCATATTCTCCCTATTTTTCTGGATATTTATCTATTCATATTTGAATGTTCTTACTGACATGTACCCAACATAACCACAAGGTTCATGTCAGGAGAAAAAGCATGCACACACACACACACACACACACACACACACACACACACATACACAATTTTATGGGTTTCTATACAGAAATGCTGGATTTATCTTTTAAGTCTCTCCCTCTGGTAGGATTTCTTTCACACACAGTGCTCTAGCTTATCCTGTCTTTTGAGAGTTGACCTATCTCATCTCTCAAAATTGTAACAAAAAAGTAAAGCAAAAAGTGAATTTAATGAACCTGTAGGTTACTGGAGCAATTTTGTTCCATATCGTGCATAAATGTACGCTATATGTAAAATGTGCAATTAAGAATTCTAAACATAATAAGTTTTGAGAAATAGAAAATAAACATAAAAATAAAATGAAATTTTACATACTGATAAATTCCCCTGTGAAATTCTGATTTCTTTGTTATTGATAATGAACTATTCTCTCATATAAATTGTATTTTTATTATGTTTTCAACTATACTTTTTTTCTCAAACAAGTACGAATTGAATAGAAACAGACAAATAGAAGTGGGTTATTATACTCTTGGAAATTAACTAAATATTCAAAAAAACAATTATTAATAAATGAGTCTTTAGCTCACATATTTCCCAATTTGTGAATAGATTAACCTCTGTGTGTTGGCTCAAATCTCAATTCAGTCCCCAAAGACTTGGCCATGTTGATTTGGGCCTGTCTCATGTGTGAGGTTCAGGGATTAGGATGAGATTTTGTAGCTTGCACAAATGTCAGTTCAGCTCTCAAAGCTTATGCTATATGGACTTGAGTTTGTGCAAAGAATTTGTGATTTACACACTAGGCTGGGAATTTTATGACATTCTACACAGAAATGCTGAATTTGTCTTTTCAGTGTCTCCCTACTGTAGGATTTCTTTCACACACAGTGCTCTGGCCTATCCTGTCTTTTTTCCATTTTTCTTTTTTTAAATTTTTTAATTATACTTTAAGTTTTAGGGTACACGTGCACAACATGCAGGTTAGTTACATATGTATACATGTGCCATGTTGGTGTGCTGCACCCAGTAACTCGTCATTTAATATTAGGTATATCTCCAAATGCTATCCCTCCCCCCTCCCCTCACCCCACAACAGGCCCCAGTTTGTGGTGTTCCCCTTCCTGTGTCCATGTGTTCTCATTGTTCAATTCCCACCTATGAGTGAGAAAATGCAGTGTTTGGTTTTTTGTCCTTGCGATAGTTTGCTGAGAATGATGGTTTCCAGCTTCATCCATGTCCCTACAAAGGACATGAACTCATCATTTTTTATGGCTGCATAGTATTCCATGGTGTATATGTGCCACATTTTCTTCATCCAGTCTATCATTGTTGGACATTTGGCTTGGTTCCAAGTCTTTGCTATTGTGAATAGTGCCACAATAAACATACGTGTGCATGTGTCTTTATAGCAGCATGATTTATAATCCTTTGGGTATATACCCAATAATGGGATGGCTGGGTCAAATGCTATTTCTAGTTCTAGATCCTTGAGGAATCGCCACACTGACTTCCACAATGGTTGAACTAGTTTACAGTCCCACCAACAGTGTAAAAGTGTTCCTATTTCTCCACATCCTCTCCAGCACCTGTTGTTTCCTGACTTTTTAATGATTGCTATTCTAACTGGTGTGAGATGGTATCTCATTGTGGTTTTGATTTGCATTTCTCTGATGGCCAGTGATGATGAGCATTTTTTCATGTGTCTTTTGGCTGTCCAAAAGCAATGGCAACAAAAGCCAAAATTGACAAATGGGATCTAATTAAACTAAAGAGCTTCTGCACAGCAAAAGAAACTACCATCAGAGTGAACAGGCATCCTACAGAATGGGAGAAAATTTTTGCAATCTACTCATCTGACAAAGGGCTAATATCCAGAATCTACAAGGAACTCAAACAAATTTACCAGAAAAAAACAAACAACCCCATCAAAAAGTGGGTGAAGGATATGAACAGACACTTCTCCATTTTTCTTTTGCACAGATTCAAACTATATGTCAAAGTTTTAGCTGCAAATATTGAGCCACTGTGTGCCTGGTATTCACCTGGAGTGCAAATGAAACAGGAAAAGTTCCCTTGTCCCCCTCGCAGGGCACGCGATGCGGGGGGGCGTGGCTGGCTTCTTAGGTGCCCTGCTGCTCAAAACCCCTAGAGGGAGCAGGCAGATGGGCAGGTCATGGGGAGGGTGGGCTCTGACCCCACGGCAGCCTCTAGGGGTGACTGTTTACAGCTCCTGAGGCCAGTGGGCGTGTGTTACATTGTGCTCTTTCAGTTTTGCCATCTGAAAGTCGGCTTGTGTTATCAGCTCAGTTACACCCTCTGCCTGATCACAAGGACAGAGGACTTTCTGTATCCTGGATCCTTGCCTTAGTGTACTGGAAAAATCGGATCATACATGGGCTTGGAGAATGTGTGCAAGGTATTTTATTGAGTGTTGGTAGCTCTCAGTGAGGTGGACGGGGAGGCAAGAAGAGGGATGGAGTGGGAAGGTAGTTTTCCCTTGGAGTGGGCTGCCCCGCGGCTAGGTTCTCCTCCGTCCGACCGGCCCCAGCTAAACTCCGCATCATTCAGCTGGTGGATGGCCTGCTGGCGTCTGCCGGTGCCGGTCGGTGTGCCCTTCCACCGGTATGTTCCTCTCGACGTCCAGCCGCTTGTGTGTTCCTCTGGTGTGTTTCACTCAATGTCCACCCACTCGTGTTTCTACCCACTAGGGCACCGGGGATTTATAGGCACAGGATGGGGGCGTGGAGGGCCAGAGTCGTCTTGGAAAATGGAAGATTTGGGCACGAGAACAGAAATGCCCGTCCTCACCTAGGTCCGAGGGCACAGGCCAAGGGGTGGACCCCTAACCAGGGACCCACTCTTCTCTACCCAGCACTTACCTGGCCCCCTCCCATGTGGCAAAGCTAAGAGAAAAGAAGAAACAAAAATAAAAACAGAAAATGCCCCTGTGACTGGATTGCTTCTCCAGGTTGTGAAGATGGCTATCTCCATGACCCATGAGCCTTTGTTTACTTTTCAGGGTTCTCAGGTGGTTTTTTGTTTTTTTTTTTTGTTTTCTTTGTAATTTATCCAAATTTTAGAATTATAATCAGTAAGTGGGGTGGATCTTAGAAGCTCACATCATCATAGGCAGAATCGGTATTCCCATATGGCATACATTTTTGAAAAGTACATATTTCCTTTCTATAGTGAGATATTGAAGCTATTATCACCTACATTTTGAAAGATAATATGTTTGTAGCAATCTTTAAGTTGCATGTGATCAGTCAGTGGATGGTATAAGCTTCTGAACCTGTACTGGGTTCAGTACTAACTTGAATACACATGGCTATTAATTGCCACCAGTTAGGCTGGTATGCCTTATGGCTGCCCAGCTGTTTGGCAGAAAGTAAGGTTGGGAAATCAACTTTCATGTTTGCTATTTAAAACTACCCATGTCTATTATTTTTGATTTTGAGCAGCTGCTATCCTCAAAATTGAAGAAACACATCTGTCTAAGTAAGCTGCTAGATTTAAACAATAAAAAAGGTTTCTGTTAAACATTTAAAAGATTAAATCTTGTTGCTACAGCTCTATCAGGCACTCTCATCCAACTTTCTTCTTTAACTAGAAAATAATTTTACCCAAATTACATGCACTCTTATGCTTAGTAATTTTTTACTAAGAGAATGCAAAGAACATACAATTATCTATTAATTTGCTAATTTTTAGGTGGTAACTGCCATAGCCACATACATATTAATGTTTAGATTTCATTAAAAAAATGGTTTTATCTTCTTGCTGATGGCAGTAGGTCTGGCATCCTGAACATGGAAGCTGTTGTTAAAACATTTTGAACCAGCAAAATATTTTAAAACACACAGCAGTGATACTTAGTGAATTATTCATGTTCATTCCCAGGATGAAGATGGGGAGAGAATCATGGCATCAATAAATACAGGATATGATTCTATTTTAGTAATCCTCTGAAGATCATCCTGTAAGTTTGCAGCAATTTTCTGATAAATCCTGCCTTTATTTATCTGTTATATCCCTTGTGTTAGGTAAATTGACAAGTAATTGACTTTAGTTTAATGCTATAACACCACACATTGACTTATCTTCTTTCCTTTTTCAGATAAATTCTATCTTCATTTATTTTATAGTTTATTGATGCTCATGCTCTTAAATTTAATATATTATGTATAAACATTTTATAATTTTTGGAATGAAAATGGCACTTGCCATTTTTGTTTCCCAGGATGAGATGATGAAATGGAGGAATTATCTTTTTTTTCTATGAAAGCAACACCATTTTCATTAAAAGAAACTTCTAAAATACAAATGGTTTAAACCTACAAATAAGCTTTAGAGTAAACTGCAAAAAGAGAGAAATGAAATGAAGATGGAATATATAACTAAAAAGGAAGCACAACTTAAAGAATTGGAAAATTCTCAGCTTAGTCATGTAAAGAATTAAGTCATATTTGGAAGAGAATACAAAAGGTGTGGACAAATAAAGTGTAA
Source organism: Homo sapiens (assembly GCF_000001405.40). Taxonomy (NCBI): domain Eukaryota; kingdom Metazoa; phylum Chordata; class Mammalia; order Primates; family Hominidae; genus Homo; species Homo sapiens. The sequence goes on from NC_000001.11 coordinate 194,120,150, forward strand.
TAAGGAGATTAGTATGGACAGAAGGAAGCCAGATGCTATCCATCAAGACAATGAAAGAATAACCTCAAGGACATTTTTTAAATCATTGAGGCTGCCACTTCCATCGGCTCAGAATGCCAAGGCTTTGAGGGCAAAACAGTTTCAAGGAAGGGGAATAAGGCACACCTGGAACTGCAGGGCTGATTTCTCAGGGCCACCTCAAGTCTCTGTTCCCTAAATTGTGTTGCAGCACTTGCCACCCCAGCTGTGGCTCAAGTTAGCCCAGGCATGGCTTAGGCTGCCCTTCTCAAAGGCAGTACAAGTAGTAAACCTTGGCAGTGTCCATGTGGTGATAACCTTGCATATTAGCAGAGTGCGAGAGCTGTGGAGGCACGACTACCTCCATTTAGATTTCAGATGATGTCTCAGAGAGTCTTGGGACCCAGGCACAGAACTGCCACAGGAACATGGCTGGTGCAGAGTCCCCACTAGGGCAATGCCTAGTGAAGCCATGAGGACAGCTTCACCACTAAGACCTCAGAACTGTACAACCACCAAAATGGAACTCCAGCCTGGGAGAGTGACAGACACTAGACTTCAACCCTGGAGAGCTCTGGTGTGGGCTTTGCCCCACAAAGCTATGAAGGCAGGATCCCCTGGAGCCCTGGAGATCTAACCACCATGCCAGTGTGTGAAAGCAGGACATGGAATCGAAGATTATTCTCAATAATTAAGAGTTAATGTTGTTTGCCATGTTTGGCTTTGGATTCATTTGGGACATGTTACCCCTGTCTTCTTGCCCATTTCTTCTTTTGGGAATAGGAATGTCTATTCTATGTCTGTCCCACTTTTGTATTTTGGTAGCACATAATTGTTTAATTTCAAATGCTCGCAGCTAAAGGGGAATTTGCTTCAGGATGAATCATACCTTCAGTCTCACCTGTATCTGGTGGAGATGGTATTTAGGTGAAACTCTGGACTTTAAACTTTGGAGTTGATACTGAAATAAATTAAGATTTTTGAGGCTATTTGGATGAAATGAATTTATATTGCATGTGAGAAGGACATATATTTTTGGGGCAGAATGTTGTGGTTTGAATATGCTCCCTCTCAAATTCATGTTATCGAGGCCTAATCCCCATTGTGGCAGTATGGGGAGATGGTGCCTTTTGGGAAGTGATTTATGTCATGAGGGCTCCAGTCTCATCAATAAATTAGTGTTTTGTAAAAGGGATACAGGGAATAACTCAGGCCCTTATTGCCCTTCTGTTTTTTTGTTCTACATGAGGGTACAACATTCTTCCTCTCCAAAGGATGCAGAAACAAGGCACCATCTTGGAAACAGATAAACGAGGCCCTCACAAGCCGGTGTTTTCATCTTAGCCTTCTCAGCCTCCAGAACCACGAGGAAATAAATTTTTACTGTTTCTAAGTTACCCAGGGTGATATTTTATTGTAGCAGTACAAAGAAACTAAGACAGCTCCTGTGCCCATTTTAAAATTTGGTTATGTGTGTGTTTCGCTACTGAATTGTATGAGTGCTTTCTAAGTCCATTTTCTGTTACTACAATAGAATATTACAGACTGTGTAATTTATAAAGAAAAGAAATGTATTTCTCATAGTTCTGGAAAATCCAAGAGCATGGTGTTGATGTCTGGTAAAGACCTTCTTGCTGAGTTAGTTAGCCCATGGAAAACAGGCAGAAGGACACACAGGCATACAAGGCACAGAGGTAAATGAGCTGAACTCCTCCTTTCTATTAGGAATCCATTCCTGGCATACCTAACCCACTCCTGAGATAATGGCATTAATCCCTTAATGAGGAAGGAAACCTCATGGCCTAATTACCTCTTAAGGCCCTGCCTCTTAACACTACCACAATGGCAACCAAGTTTCCACCAACTAAATTTTGGGGGAACACGTTCAAATCATAGCAAATTCCTTATGTATTTTGGATATTTTGTATATTAAATTCATATCAGATGTATAGTTTTCAAACAGTTTCTCTTCATTTATAGGTTGTCTTTTCTTTCTTTTCTATTTTTTATTTTATCTTTTTTGTTTGCTTTGCAGAAGCTTTTTAGTTTAATGCAATCCCACTTACACAGTTTTGCTTTTGTTTTCTATGCTTTTGGTGCCATACAAAAAAATTATTACCAGGACCAAGGGCAAGGAAATATTTCCTATGTTTTCTCCTAGGAGTTTAATGGTCTCAGGTCTTAAATTTAATTCTCTAAGTTGTTTTCTGTGTATGGTATAAGATAAAGATCCCACTTATTGTTTTTCATGTAAATATCTAGTTGTTCCAACACCATTTGTTATAGAGACTAATAACCACATTGTATATTCTTTGTGCCCCTCTCAAAAATTAGTGGACTTTTCATGTGTGAGTTTATTTCTTGGCTCTTCATTTTGTTCCATTGGTCTGTATGACTGTTTTTAAGCCAGCACCATAATATTTTGAATACAATAGCTTTGTAATATAATTTGAAATCAGGAAGTTAATTCCTTTAACTTTTTTCATTTTTCTTAAGATTGCTTTGGCTGTCTGCGTTTTTTGTGTGTGTGTGTGTGTCATTTCATACATATTTTAGAGGTTTTTTTCCCTAATTTGGTAAAAGATGACTGAAATTTTGATAGGGATTTTATTGAATGTATAATTTAATTTTGGTAGTATGGCCTTTTTTCAATATTAATTCTTCCAATTCATAAATATGGGATATAATTCTCTTCATTTGTATCTTTTCCAATTTCTTTCATCACTGTATTATATTACACAAATCTTTCACCTTCTTGGTTAGCTTTATTCCTAAATATTTTGTTGATTTTGGTGCTATTGTAAATAGGATTATTTTCTTCATTTTCTTTGGAAGTTTTGTTGATGTAAAAAAACACAAGTGATTTTTGAATATTAATTCTGTATCCTACAGCTTTACTAAATTTGCTTATTAGTTAACAGCTTTTAATGGGGTCTTATAGGTTTTCTACAAATAGAATCATATCATCTGCAAAAGTAATTTTACTTTTTCCTTTCTATTAATTTCTCATGTCTAATTTCTCTGGCTAGGAATTTCAGTACAGTGTTACACAAAAGTGGCAAGAGTAGGTACTTGCCTTGTATCAGAGTACAGAGGCAAAGTTTTCGGTTATTCCTAATGGATTATGATGTTAGCTATAAGCGTTTTATGAATGGTCTTTACTGTATTGAGGTAAGTTCCTTTGGTAACCAATTTTGTTTAGAATTTTTATCATGCATATATGTTGAACTTTGTCATTGTCAAATGTTTTGTCTACATTTATTTTACGATAGAAAAATGTAATCCATTTATGTTTAAAGTAATTATTAATAGGTAAGGACTTACTAGTGCCATTTTGTTGTATTCTGACTGTTTTGTAGTTTAATCTTTGTTTTATTCTTTCTCTCTTGTCTTCTTTTTAATGTGATTAATTTTTTGTAATGGTATGCTTTAATTCCTTTATCTTTTTTGTATGTGGTACAGGCTTTTGCCTTTGTATGTTGTGGCTACTATGAGGCTTACATAGAATATCTTTTAGTTACGATATTCTATTTTAAGTTGATAACAATCTAACTTTTACTGCATACAAAACCCTACATTTTAACTTCCCCTCCACCAACTTTTATGTTATTGATGGCACAATTTACCTTTTACATATTAAGTTTCCATTGCCAAATTATTATAGCTAGTTCTTTTGAATACATTTGCCTTTTTACTTTAATACTAGAATTAAAAGTTATTCATGCACCATCATTAGAGTATTAGAATATTCTGAATTTGAATATAGTTTTACCATTATAGTGAGTTTCATACTTTCATATGCATTGTTAGCATCCTTTTGTTTCAACTTGGAGAACTTCTTTATCATTGCTTGTAAGACAGATCTAATTGTGATGAACTATCACAGCTGATTTGTCTGAGAGAATAGAATTACATATTCACTAAGATAGACTGCACGTTTGGTCATAAAATAGATCTTCATAAATCTAAAAGGATTGAAAACCTGTGACTATGTTTTCTAACCAAAAACAAAATTCAGTTAGAAATCAGCAATAAAACATCTAGGAAAATCCAAATATTTAGAAACAAGATGATGCGTATTTAAACAATTCACAAGTCAAAGATGGAATAAAAGTGATATTGGCAATTTTTTAAGTGAATATCAAAAAAACTCGCACTTCAAAATTCATCAAATACAGCAAAGAAAGCAATTCATGAAGGGAAAGTTTAAATACCATCTTGAATACTTTTAAAGCCAGTGACTTAAGGATCTATATTAAGAAGCTAGTAAAAGAAAAGCAAAATGAGCTCAAATAAGTAAGAGGAAGGAAATAATAATGATAACAACAGAAATCAATTTTTTAAAAGCAGATGAACAATAGAGAAATTTAACAAACACAAAAATGTGTTCTTTAAAAAGATCAACAAAATTTACACATTCCTCTAAACACTGACCAGCAATAAAGGAAGAGAACACAAATCAATAATATTATAAATAAAAAACAAGGTCATCACAATAGAAAGAATACTTACAGTGTCATTATAAAAATAGTTTTGACCTCAAGGGCTGGGTATTTTTAGGTGTGATACACCCAGAGTGTTTTTAGTCTTTATTTTGTCACATTACTGGTTTTAAAATTACCTTTTTTATAGCTTCTTAAAAATATTATTTTCAGATCAAATGAATCAACATTTATCTTGATGTTTGGAATGTTTATGGCCATTTTTCTTTCTACAGGTTGATTCAATATGTTTTTTAATTTGCATGTTATTTTACGATTCCCAACTGTCCACTTTAAATAATTTTCTAGTTCATGAATAACGTACATTCAAATTATTTACTTTTGCCCTAAAAAATGAAAACAACTATTTAAGAATAGTATTAACATTAAAGTAGGATTAAGCTTTTGGAATGCCTCATCTCCTCTCTATTATATTCACTCATTTAATTACTTCTGAGACCTATCAACAACTAAGATGCTTCTAAAATCTTAATATTTTTCCTAGAAATAAAACTATTAATCTTTATCTCTTCTCCTTCTCTAGAAAACTTGAATAGTCTATACCCAGATGTAAATATCATGGATTTTTTTTACTCTCTTCTTCAAGCAAAAGACAAACCTCTTAAAAAAGATTAATATTGGCAAATTAAGGTATCACCAGTAGGACATAAATAGAATTATTTTTAGTTTATACATGTGTTTGCAGACCAGTGTTTAGAGACTGTTTGGTGAAGTCAAACCCTTTAATTTTAAAAGCAAACATTTGTTGAATCAGTCAATCTTTAAACATTGTACTATATTTATGATCTTTTCATCGTATAACAAATTATAGCTCCTTTTAGTCTGCTTATGGCTCCTCCAAGATACTGTGGAAACAACCCAAATTGCTTCTAACCCAAAAGATAAAAGTTCAGATTGTCCCCTCTTGTACTCTTTTAATGAAGATGAAACCAACCCTGTTACCCTATCTACAGATGACTGGGGCAATTATTTCTGAAGCTGTAAAGGTAATTACATATCAGCTAGCCAAAAGAAAGAGACCAACCAAGTCAAATCTGTGAAGCGCATACTTCCATATATGTTAGCCCACGGTGAGTAATGCAACTATAAATTGTAAGTGAAGAAGGAGAGTCTGCAATTAAAGAATACTCCTGGCTAGGTGCGGTGGCTCACTCCTGTAATCCCAACACTTTGGGAGGCCAAGGCGGTTGAATCACGAGGTCAGGAGTTCGAGACCAGCCTGACCAACATGGTGAAACCCCATCTCTACTAAAATACAAAAATTAGCCAGGCATGGTGGTGTGCACCTGCAATTCCAGCTACCCAGGAGCCTGAGGCAGGAGAATCATTTGAACCTGGGAGGCGGAGGTTGAAGTGAGCCAAGATCATGCCTTTGCACTCCATCCTGGACAATAGAGCAAGACTTTGTCTCAAAAAAAAAAAAAAAAAGAATACTCCTTTGCACATTAACTTTATATTTTTGCTCTCTAGGATGCAAACAATAAACCTCAGAACATCTCAAACCCAAGGAGTCTGGGTGAGTGAGAAAGTTACTTTCTATACTACCTTTGTGTTACTTTATTCTGTTAAGCCAGAATTCCTGGAGGTATTATTATTTTCTTATATTTGGTAAACTTTGGATTATCTATCCATCTCACAGTAGCTTTCTCACTTGCGTAGAACTGTTTCTCACCCACAACAATGTGTTTTACCTGAAGTCAAAATTTGACTTAATAATTATGAGTGTTTATATTAAAAATTATAAGTTTATCATTGTTATTAAAACTGAAGTCACAATCAGAAATCCTTGGAATAATTAAAAACATCTGAGGCTAAGAGGCCTTGTAAGAAACTCAGATTCTGATACCCTAACTGAATTGTGTGAAGAATCTAGGTAGATAGATAAGGGTAATTGAATAGGTGCCAACAAGTAAATAACGTTGCAAGAAAACATTGATAAAATACTTATATTATATATGGCAGTAACTGTGTTAAATGCTTTATATTCAATTAATGTAATCCCCACAATATAATCTGGAAGTGGTTCTATTTTTACTTGAAAGAGGCATATCAACTTTCCCATGGTTATAATTACAATAACATTGAAACAAGTGTGCTAATCGTCATGCGGACTGACTTCAAAGTTTATAATTCCAAAGCCTATTTTAATATGTCCATGCATTATTTTCATCAAAAGCAACTGAGGAGCTCATTAAACATACAGATTTCTAGGATCCACATCAGACATTAAGAATTTTAATCTCTGAGTTCCAGTTAGGAAGTATAAATACTTAATAGATAATGAGAATTCTGGGTGATTTTGTTACTGAGATTCATAGTAAGATACATAGGTTCTAGATAATGAGGCACCAAATCAAAGCCAAGGAGGGAAGCTTAAATGGAAACAGTTGGATAAGCCTGAGAAATAAAAACAAGTGACATTTTTGTTTGAGTGTGGCTCCACAAGGGAATCACTTGGAGAACTTTTAAAAACCTCCATGTGTTAACTCTACTCCAGACCCATGACATGTGGGTCCTTCACATCAGTACTTCAAAACTATTCCCAGATGATTTTTAATAAGAAACCAGGTTTTTCATTAACATACAACTAAAACTAATTTGGAAGGATTTCTCCTATTAAATGTGACAATTGAACAAATTAAAACAGCCTCTCTGATCTCTGTTATATGTAAGAGGAGATCATTGGAGGTCTTTAGAGAGTGCCATCTGACTATTCTTATTTATGGCAGTTTGCCAAGCATGTGTATTCTACACATATCTAATAATCTTATTGGTGTTCGGCAACATAATAGTTAATAATGACAAACTTTGTTTTCTATCTGAGTTTTGAGTTTATAAGAATAAATGATTTTAATTCATGTTACCTCACAAAGATTCCCATTGTAATTGCTTGTCATTGCTCAAATTCCTGATAAATAGTATATTTTACACCTGAAAATTTAAATTATAACCAAAAGTTGATATAAGAATTTTAAGAGGAGCTAAGCTGTGGTAACAGCAAAACCACTCCATGCTTTCAAATCAATTTATATGCCTAGATCTAGGAAATACACTAAAATGTTCCCTTTCCTTTCCCTAGAATTTATAAACAACATTTATAATTTAGTTAAAAAAATTCTGTATCTCTATTATGATGGAGGATAGTGGAAGTAGGAAAAAGTAAACTAAAGTAGCAAAATATACTTTAGAAATGAGTTTATTTAGAAACTCACTAGTACGGCATATGAAATAAGTAAACAGAATGTGTTACCAATGGTTCAAAATAATTTGGCTCTACCATACTTGAAATTCTGATGTATATTCAGTTTCATTGACTCCTTCTTAGAAAACAGAACTCTTAAGAAAATAAAAATGCTCTTTTAGATAAATATATCTTTACCTACCTAATGTGACATGATTATTACTGGAAGAATATAATACCCTTCCTTTTTACTCCAATAAGTTGGTATATTTTAACTTTATTTTTCTAAGTGTATTTTATTACCTGAAATTGGCTGCAATTACTATATTTAGAAAGTAGATAATAAAACAACGTAGCATCTTAAACTATTGATATTTTAAAATAAGCAGAATCTAGAAAACTCATACATTTTTATACTTTATTAACTATTGTAACATCATTGGACCTGTTTCATAGAATGGCTGTGTCTAGAGACTCCCTAGAGAAAAATTTTTATCTCTAGACAATCATTATCATCGCAGAGAGACTACTCATAACAAATGCTTTTCTAAATTTAATTGGTAACTTTGCTCTTGATATAGATCAAGGACCAACAATACCAAAGTTATATGCTGACTTGCATTTGTTTTTTCCGGAGAGATATGAAATTCTCTGTGATTAAACTGCAGCTGAAATTGCTTTCACATAAATACTTAGTAGTTTATTTTGCAATGGTAAAAGTAGTAACAAACCTCAAATTTTCAAAGTTGAAGATGATATCAAAAATAACTTTTAAAATCTGTAAACAGAAAAGTTTAAGGACAGCTTTTAAAAACTGGGTTTGAAAAAGCAAATAAAATGCTCTAGATAATTCTCACTAGGAAAATATTTATCAGTTAGGATACCCAAATATTTTTATCTATATTCCATAATGCTACTTTATAGTTTGGATTCCCTTGGCTAATTTTCAAAATAAATCAACCACTGCTTGGCTTCTTCAGTATATTGCACATTGCATATTTTCAACTGATATTAGTTCTTTGGATGAATTCCAAGAGAAATAAGGCATTATTAATTGATCTATTTATAACTGATTTAGCAGTGCGTTTTTAGTGTTCAATCTATCATTATTTAACATTGTATACTTTACTACAATACACAAATCTGTAACTGTTTCTTTTTAATAATCATTTGCAACCTGATGTTCAGGTGCCCTAGTTTTGTAGGGTCCTTAACTTTTAATAAGTGGGGACCTGGCTTTAGGAGACCATTGACTCTGACTCTGATTTGTGACTCAATGAGCTTAAACTGTCAAATTGAAATTAATGTATAATTGAAACTAGTTATATTGGTTGTTAAATGACCTGGGTGAGCCTACCCCAACAAAACCTTCTTTTAAATACATTCAAGCATACATAAAATGTAGTTCATATTTATTAACTTCTTATATGCCAGGAACAAATGTAAATGCATTGTTTACAGTAATCACACCATAACATAATGATTCAAGTAATTAACTTTGCCCTTAACTTATTTTCATTTTATTTTGGTCTCTATATATGGATATGTAATGGTTAATATATTGTAATAGTAGAAAATGTTAAAAGTATAAAAAGATATACAGAGAAAACAATCTCCCACCTTTGTCTCCCATTTATCCAGCTGCTATCTGCATCTACGCCTTGAGCCTAGTACTTTTTGAGGGAATGACTCCTTAAGAATAGTTTATGCTCCTTTGGAAATATGTCTGTTTAGATTTTTCTACCTCTGTATATGAGATTTATAAAATGTATCTTTTTATTTGTGGTGTTTTCATTTTTATTTCTTTATTTTAAAAATTATTCCAACAATGGAAATTCATTTTGGTTTCCAAATTTCCAAATGGAAGGAGGATTTTTCTTTCCAATATTGTCTTCAATTTCTCATGTCATTAAGTAGTGTTCAGAAAAGGTTTGTACTACTAATTTTTTGGAATTATTGTATATGCTTTATGCTGTAAAGTCAATTTTCATAACTATTGAATGAAAATCTAGAAAGATATACTCTTTTCAGGTTCTAAATTTTGATATTAATCAATCAGATATATCCAGTTAATTATATTTATTACCACTTCCACATCTTGTTTTTGTTGTATTCATTACTCATGAGCTAAAAGTCTTTAACTTTTACCAGTGAATTTTTTGTCTTTTTCTCCTTCATGAATGAGACAAAAAATTGCTTTTTAGTTATATTTTCTTTTTGAATACCAGTGAAATTGCATACTATCATATATGCTTACCAAGATTACACCTATTTTTGAGATGGAGTCCCACTCTCTCGCCCGGGCTGGAGTGCAGTGGCGCGATCTTGGCTCACTGCAACGTCTGCCTCCTGGGTTCAAGCCATTTTCCTGCCTCAGCCTTCCAAGTAGCTGGGACTACAGGCATGAGCCGCCATGCCCAGCTGATTTGTGTCTTTTTTTTTTTTTTTTTGAGACGGAGTTTCGCTCTTGTTGCCCAGGCTGGAGTGCAATGGCACGATCTCGGCTCACCACAACCTCTGCCTTCCGGGTTCAAGCGATTCTCCTGTCTCAGCCTCCCAAGTAGCTGGGATTACAGGCATGTGCCACCACACCCAGATTAATTTTGTATTTATAGTATAGACGGGGTTTCTCCATGTTAGTCAGGCTGGTCTCGAACTCCTGATCTCAAGTGATCTGCCTGCCCCGGCCTCCCAAAGTGCTGGGATTACAGGCGTAAGCCACCGCACCAGAAAATTACACCTATTCTATTATAAAGTAATTGCCCCTGCTTTATCAGTTTTCTATTCCACATAAGAAACCATATCAACCTTTATTTATTGTAAGATTCTGTGCATGGGCAGTTTTAGCTGGTTTCAACCAGGGAAGGGCTTTTGCTGGTCTCAGATGGTGTCACTCATGCTTCTGCCCTTAGGTGCCAGATTGCCTTGAGACTGGCTGCTGTAGGAGGGCCTCACGTGGAGTTCTGGTGTCTTGTGTCTGCTCTCTAGGACTGGGAGTTGTCCAGTAGGCCAGCTCACTTCTTCATCAGACAATGTGCAGAAGTGTTCAAAGACTCATACATCTTTATAATGAGTGTTCTAATAGATTGGAGCTAGCATTACATTACTTTTGCACATTGTCTTGTCCCAAACATGTCTGAAGACCATTTCAGAACGAAGGGAAAGGGATATAGACTCACTGTTTAATGGGAGTAACTTCAAAGTCACATTGCAAAATACATGTCCCTAGAAAAGGGTTACGACCAATTTTATATCAATCCACAACTATTTTCCTTGTGTTTACATTGGCCTACCACTACTTTGCTCATTTTGTTTTTTTAATTCAAACTTTCTTACTTCCAGTATTCTTCCTTAGGGGAGCACAGTAGTCCTTCCCTTACTGCAGGGGGATATGTTCCAAGATCCTTGGCCAAGGTCTAAAACCGTGGATAGTATCAAACCCTATATATACTATGTTTCTTTCCTATGTCTACATATTTGTGATTAAATTTAATTTATAAATTAGGCAAAGTAAGAGAATAACAAAAATGACTAATAATTAATTAGAACAATTAAGTAAAATAAGGGTTACTTGAACACAAGGCACTGCAATGCCACAACAGTCATTCTGTAAACTGAGACAGCTACTAAGTGACTAATGGGCAGGTAGACAGTGTGGATCTGCTGGACAACGGGTAAATTCATGTCCTGGGAGGAATGGAGAAGACAGCACAGAATTTTATCATCATATTCAGAACAGTGCTCAATTTAACAAAGGAATTGTTTATTTCTGGTATTTTCAATTTAATGTTTTTGGACTGCAGTTGACCATAGGTAACTGAAACTGGAACATGAAACTGTGATTAAGGAGGGACTACTTTCTTTTACATACGGAGCGGACTTAACTTTGTGACTCAAAGTAAATATTAATATTTCTCTCTTGTTTGTAAATACAAGAATAAAGCCCTTTACATTTGTCCATATGACAGATATTGATGGCTGTATTTGTCATCTTGTTTTGTCATCTTTTAAGGGTTTGTTAGGCATTGCAAAAAGTCTTTCCTAATAATTCATTTAGTCCACTACCTCTTAAGCTAGTTATCTATTTACTCTCTACAGGAGCAATTGTAAAATTAATGTTATGTTTTCAATAATATTTTATTTCTAGTTTTAAATTTACTTTCCAAAATTTTAATTTGTACTATGAATATTTTCATAATGCATTGAATGATTTCTTAGCTTTAAATAACATTTCTCTAGTCTAAATTGTTGCAGATAAAGAGTCATTATACTATCTTATGATCTTCCTCTCTCAAATTTTATTAGTTGTACTATTTCTGTAGGGTTAAAACATATACTGTTTATATTTTTTCTTGATAACCCTAACTTCCATGCTTGATTTAGTCTTGTTTCTAGAATTAAATATAGGTGTACCTCAGAGCTATTGTGGGTTTGGTTCTAGACCGCCAAATAAAGCAAATAATGTAATAAAGCCACTCAGATGATTTTTTGGCTTCCCAATGCATACAAAATTTATGTTTACACAATGCTGGAGTTTATTAAGTGTGCAATAGAATTACACCTAAAAATAGGCTGGGTGCGGGGGCTCACGCCTGTAATCCCAGCACTTTGGGAGGCTGAGGCAGGTGGATCATGAGGTCAGGAGATCGAGACCATCTTGGCTAACATGGTGAAACCCCGTCTCTACTAAAAATACAAAAAATTAGCCAGGCGTGGTGGCGGGTGCCTGTAGTCCCAGCTACTTGGGAGGCAGGAGAATGGCGTGAACCCGGGAGGCTGAGTTTGCAGTGAGCCAAGATCGGGCCACTGCACTCCAGCCTGGGGGACAGAGCGAGACTCCATCTCAAAAAAAAAAAAGAAAAAAAAAGAATTATGCCTAAAAATCAATATACATACCTTATTAAAAGTATTTTATTGCTAAAAAATGCTAATGATCATCTGAGCCTTCAGCAAGTCATAATCTTTTTGTAGGTGGAAGGCCCTGTCTCAATATTGATAGCTGCTGACTAGGGCAGTGATGGCTGAAAATTGAGAAGTCTGTGGGAATTTCTTAAAATAAGACAACAATGAATTTTGCTGCATCAGTTGACACTTCCTTTCATGAAAGATCTCCTTGTAGTATTTCATGCTGTTCGATAACATTGTCCCCACAGTAGAACTTTGAAAACTGGCCTAAATCCTCTCAAAACCTGCTGCTGCTTTATCAGCTAAGTTTATGTAATATTTCAAATCCTTTGTTGTCACTTCAACAATGTTCACAGCATCTTCACCAGAAGTATACTGCATGTCAACAAACTATTTTCTTTGCTTATTTATAGAAGCAACTCTTCATCTGTTCAAGTTTTATCATGAGATTGTGGCAATTCAGTCCCCTCTTCAGGCTTCACTTTTAATTCTCTTGCTGTTTTCAGCAAATCTGCAGTGACTTCCTCCACTGAAGTTCTGAACCCCTCAAATTCATCCATGAGGGTTTGAATCAACTTCTATCAAACTTCCATTAAGGTAGATATTTTGGCCACCTGCCAATGAATCACAAGTGTTCTTAATGGCATTTAGAATGGTGAATGCTTTCCAGAAGGTTATCCATTTGCTTTGCCTAGATCCGTTAGAAGAATCACTATCTATGGCAATTATAGTTTTATGAAATGTATTTTTTAACTAATAAGACTTGAAAGTCGATATGATCCATAGGTTCTTGATCCATGGGCTACAGAATGGATGTTGTGTTAGCAGGCATAAAAACACAATTCATCTCCAGGTACATCTCAGTTAGAGCTCTTGTGTAACCAGGTAAATTGTTTAAATTGTTAATGAGCAGTAATATTTTGAAAGGGTTTTTTTTTTTTTTTTCTGAGCCGTGGGCCCCAAGAGTGGGCTAACGATGTTCAGTCAACCATGCTCTAAACAGATGTGCTGTCATCCAGACTTTCTTGTTCTATGTATAGAGCACAGGCAGAATAGATTTAGCACAGCAGAATAGATTTAGCATTAATTCTTAAGGGTTCTAGGATTTTCAGAATAGTAAATAAGGATTGGCTTCAATTTATTATAAAATCGCCAGCTGCATTAACTCCTAATAAGAGAGTCACCCCGTCTTGGAAGCTTTGAAATCAGGCACTGACCTCTCCTGTCTAGCTATGAATATCCTAGATGACATCTCATTCCAAAACAAGGCTATACGTCTACGTTGAAAATCTGTTGTGTAGCATAACCACCTCTATCAATTATCCTAGCTAGAGCTTATGATTAATTTGTTGCAGCTTCTACATCAGCACTTGTAGCTTTACATTGCACTTTTATGTTATAAATACACCTTATTTTCTTAAACTTTATTAACCAACCTCTGTTAGCTTCAGGCTTTTCTTCTGCAGCTTCCTCACCTCTATCAGCCATCATTAATTAAAGATAGTTAGAGGCTTGCTCTGGATGTGGTTTTGGCTTACAGGAATGTTGTGGATTGTATGATCTTCTATACAGACCACTAAAACTTTCTCCATATCAGCAACAAGGCTGTTTCACTTTCTTATCATTCATTTCTTCAGTGAAATAGCACTTTCAATTTACTTCAAGAATTTTCCTTTTGCATTGACAACTTGAATAACTGGTGCACGAGGCCTACCTCTCAACCTGTTTTGGCTTTCAACTCGCCTTCCTCACTAAGCTTAATTATGAGTAGCTTTTAATTTGAACTGAGAGACTTGCCACTTTTCCTTTCACTTTAATGCATAGAGGGCTTAGAGGCCATTGTAGGATTATTAACTGGCCTAATTCCAATGTTGTTATGTCTTGGGGAATAGGGAGGTTGAAAGAGAGGGCAAGATATGGGGGTGCTGGCCTGTGAAGAAGTCAGAATGCACACATTTATTGATTGTTTGCTCTCTTATATGGATGCTGTTCGTAGCACTCCAAAACAATTACTGTAACATCAAAAATCACTGACCATAGATCACCATTACAGTTATAATAAAATTGAAGATCTTTGAAATATTTCAGGAATTTCCAAAATTGTGACCCAGAGACTAAGTGAACACATGCTGTTGGAAAATTGGTGCCAATAGACTCTCTGGTCTCAGGGTTGTCACAAACATTCGATATGTAAAAATCACAGTATCTGTGAAGTGCAATGAAGCAAAGCATAGTAAAAGGAAATATATATGTATATTTAATGCATATTATTAGCGCTTACCTAATATGTTTCTTCATTATCTTGTGTTGTCTAAAATTTCTACTCTTAATTTCCTGGTGAATTATGCAAATCTTTTTGCATTTGTGCATATTATGCTGTTTGGCTTTTGACTTTATTCCTAAAATATGTTTTCTTGGATTATAGTTTACTTTGCTTGTGGCTACACAAGTGTTTTTCACCTATGTTCTAGTGTTAAAGGGAGAAATATACGACTAGAGTGCTTTTTGTCTGTAGAATTGATTTTGTTTTACTGCTTGGATACTAAAAACTCTTAATTTATATTTAAAATACAAAACCTTTAATAGAGCATCTTCCTGTTAACTATTAAAGCTCAAAATTCCCTATTGTGTTCCCTTTCTGTATGTGGAGTTCAATTATCTTTTATTTTAGGGAAATGTATTGAATTATAGCTTTAGTTTTTTAATTTAGATCTCTGTTTTTTGCATATGGAGCTTTTCCTTTGTCTATTGTTTCCCTACTATATTTTTTAGCTCTTTATTTTAAATTTCTATTTGTTCTTTTTCTTTCTTTGATTCTATGATTCTCTTTGTTTCTATCTTCTTTCTTTGTTATTTCACTTCTTTTCTATTTATATTTTTATATCCTTTGCTCTGATTTCCACAATGGTAATTATTCTTTCCTTTTTTTTTTTCAATTTGATGTTTCTGTGACTATTTTAACTGTATTTATTACCTTAGTTCTCTCAGATTATATTTTATTGGCTTTTGTTTTCTTACCTTCTCTTGCCCAAGTTCCAATAGTTTTGTTTTGTTATGTTTAAGTACACAACTACTTTGTTAAATTATATTTGTTTATCATGCAATTCTTATTAAGCACTCTTCTTTTCTTTTTTTTGAGACGGAGTTTTGTTCTTGTTTCCCAGGCTGGAGTGCAATGGCGTGATCTTGGCTCATTGCAACCTCCCCTTCCCAGGTTGAAGTGATTCTCCTGCTTCAGCCTCCTGAGTAGCTGGGATTACAGGCACGCGCCACCATGCCCAGCTAATTTTGTATTTTTAGTAGAGACGGGGTTTCAACATGTTGGTCAGGCTGGTGGCAAACTCCTGACCTTGTGATCCGCCCGCTTCGTCCTCCGAAAGTACTGGGATTACAGGAGTGAGCCATTGCACCCAGCCAACCACACTTATTTTTTGGCTATGTTTTGGTGAGTGTTCTTTAAATAAGCATAATTTTCTGATTTTTCCTTCATTTTTCTTATACTACCCTTCTAACTATGCTGTGTCACTTCATTTTTTGTTACTCATATTTGACCGTGTACATTTTTCTGATTCAGCCATTTTTCCAAGTTTTCTTTAGAGAAAGAGTATTTTCTCCCAGGCTATCTGGTATGCACAATCCATAGTGTCTCTTCTCATTTGCTGCCTTAAATGCAGATGACATCAGTAAATATCCCTTATCCTATTTCCTTTTACAATTGACTGATTTCCAAGCTCCTCTCAAATTATAAAGATGACTCTATCTTCTCAGTTTCTATATCTTTTATTACAAAAAATAAATAAATATTTTTCACATGAGGGTCTTCCCTGTGCCTTTAGTATGTGTATTTTCATTGCATTTTTTTCTTATTGGATTCACTCTTAGCTCTCTTTTTTTTAAATCTCCTTTCGGATTGCTTTATTAACCTCACTTAACTGTGACACATTAAAATTGCAGAGTGTATAGGTTGACTATCACCTAGTTCCACAAAGTAACTAGAATAATGTACATATTCCCCAACATATACTTTTTTATATTTTTGACTTTTTGTTACATTTATTTGCATTATACAAGTATCAAAAAATTAAGTTTTGCATCAAGTTCCTATTGAAAATCAAGAAATGTACTATTCATAATCTTTGTTTTATAATGAGGAAATTCGAGCATATGGTATTTAAGCCATATGCAACCAATTAAGCAATCAGTAAGGAGTAGAGCTAGGTTTCCACTCAGAGAATCTGGCCCCAGAAACCATGCTCAGGAACGTATACAATATTTCTGAGAAATTTAAATATGATTCTAGTTCTAGGTTAACAACGAGTATACTAATTATAGCAAAATATTTTCCCCAGATGAAATGGAAGATTATGCACACAAAACCATAATTAATTTTCTTACTGCTCTTACCTGGAGGTTGAACTAATACTCAGTAGTTGAATGCTACACACACACACAGACAACACGTATATATACACATAAACACACATACACATAGTATAGCATTAAAAGGTATCTATGACTAGATGAATATAAATATTTTAATGTGTATTTTAAATAAATTTAAATAATTGTTGACGATCTTAAACTGAAACAGGTGTGTGTATCTTTTGGAAATGCAGGAACATTGTTTAAGTGTTTCCAAATGAAGTACTTTTTTTTTTTTTTGAGATGGAGTCTTGCTCTGTCGCCCAGGCTGGAGTGCAGTGGCGCGATCTCGGCTCACTGCAAGCTCCACCTCCCGGGTTCACGCCATTCTCCTGCCTCAGCCTCCTGAGTAGCTGGGACTACAGGTGCCCACCACCACGCCCGGCTAATGTTTTTGTATTTTTAGTAGACACAGGGTTTCACTGTGTTAGCCAGGATGGTCTCAATCTCCTGACCTCATGATCTGCCCCCCTTGGCCTCCCAAAGTGCTGGGATTATAGGTGTGGACCACTGTGCTGGGCACAAAGGAAGTATATATTTTTTTACTCAGGTATTATTTTTTACCCTTAATAATACCCTATTTTTAAAAATATTGCTCATATATTTATTAAACAAAAATTGTCACTAAAGTTTTTTTTATCTGTTTTGTATGTTCTATATGTTATATTCTCCCTCTGTTCTATTATGCAATTTATTTTTCAAATTCTCTCTTCCATGTGCTCTAAAAAGGTGGTTGAGATTTCTGTCACAAGTTTATGCTATTTTTTTTTAAATTCACTCTTTTTTTTTACTGTTTACATTTATAGCTACTAGGAGAATGTGTTTCCATTTATTGCCTCTGATATTCAAGAATACAACTTTTGTTTATTTCACTTTATTGTTACCTCTTTCTTCTTTCTATTTAGCTTTATTTCTTCTGAATGGATATCACCTGTGAGTTCTGTGACACAACTTTACATTTATTTGTGTCCTACATCTCACTCTGCTATGACATTTTATTCTCTTAGGCTTTGCAATAGAACTCATCCTCATCATCAAACACAGAGTAAGTAAGTTGAGAACACTATTTTATATTTTTAAGATAAAAAGGAATTTAGTATTTTGAAGTTTTTTAAACTTCTTACACTCATATTTCTTATTTTACTTACTATAGTGAAATATATAGTGGAGTAATGAAAAATTCGAAGGGATTCGTTTAACATAAGTTCCTTTTTCATATGTTAGATTGAATAATCTTCATACAACTTGAATAAATATTAAACAATTGACTGGCTTTTGTTAGTTCATTGTACATGCTAAACATTTTTTGAGAGGTTTTCATTGTTGCTTCATTACCTAAAAATGTAACCTCTACTAGCAACATTGGTTTATTTATTATTCTCTTTGCTTATATGGTCTCATACATAAATTGGAAAATATTTTTATTTTCAAAGTCAACAAAATTATAATTTATGACAATTTTAATACCTATGTTTGAGTCATTACAAAACTAATTTTTTATTGAAAATGTCACAAATGTCATTACTGAAACAATTATATATATATGTAATTCAATCTGTGTGTAGAATATATATATTCAATATATATTCAATCCGTGTGTAGAATATTGTTTGGAGATTGGGATCACCGAAGTGTTAGAAATTGCACTGAGCTAATTTATACATACTTAATGGTAAGTGATTTTTTTAATATGAGAAACTCCTAGATATTAGAGCTGAGAAAGAAAAGATAGACTCTTCACCAGAGACATATGATGCATCACAGATAGCCATTCATAAAAAGGGAGTTTTGAATTACATTTCTAAGTTAAAGAAAATACTCAAGATCATCTTAACTTAGTGGTGAGCAAACTTGTATTTTCTTTATAAGAGAGTAACTCCATTAAGAAGAATAATGATTATGGACCAAGTTTTGCTTTATATGTAAATATTTATTTATTTAAAAATTAGGCATCTAAAATTGATATATGCATTATTTTATTCCCAATTACTTAAGAATTTATGTTCTGTGGTAACTGTGGTCATGGTAAGTGAAGTTTTAGCTATTATTTCAGGAACCATATAATTATCATGCATTGCCATTCCTGGTTGTAACACCAGGCTTTGGTACACATTTTTTAAATGAAAAAATATGTTCTCAATCAGAATATGGCTTACCTTCCTTTGGCTATATTATTAATTGATCAGTTAAAATAACTTGTTCCTTAATATAATTTTAAAATAGATGTTTCTTTCACGATAAAAGGTGAAGTTGTAAATTTTAAACTTAATTTTGGGATTAAGAGGATTATTCACCTTGATTGAGATTTATCCCTGGGATACAAGGATGGATAAGCATATGCAAATTAATAAATGTGATTCATCATATTAACAGAATAAGGATAAAACCGTATGATCCCCTCAATAGATGGAATAAAAAGCATCCAACAAAATTCAATATCTTTCCATTATAAACACTCTCAGCAAATTAGGTACAGAAGGAATGTTTCTCAACACAATCAAGGCCAGATATTACAAGCCCATAGCTAACATGATACTCATCAGTGACAAAATGAAAGTCTTTTTTTATTTTTTCTAAAATCAGGAGCAAGACAAGGGTGCCCACTCTCACCACTTCTATTGACATAGTACTGGAATTCCTAGCAAGAGTAAATAGTCAAGCAAAAAAATAAATAAAAGCATCCAATAGTAAAGAAAAAATGAACCTGTCTCTGTTTGCTGATGACATATTGTATACAAAATCTTAAAAGATTCCACAAAAAACTGTTAAAATTGATAAAGAATTTCAGTAAAGTTTCAGGAGACAAAATAAGCTGACAAAAATTAGTAGTGTTTCTATACATTAACAGTGAACTATCTGAAAAAGAAATTAAGAAAATAATCCCATTTACGTTAGTATCAAAAAATTACTTAGGAATAAATTTAACCAAGGACGTGACAGATCTGTATACTTAAAACTACAAAATATTGAGAAGGAAATTGAAGAAGACAGAAATAAATGGAAAGACATCGTATAGTCATGGATTGAAAGAATTACTATTGTTAAAATTTCCATACTATACAAAGTGATTTGTAGATTCAATGTAGTCTTTATCAAAATTCCCAAGTCTTTGTTAACAGCAATAGAAAAAAAACCTCAAAATGTATATGGAACTATAAAATCCCAAGTAGCTAAAGTTACCTTAACCAAAAAGAACAAAGTTCTAGGCATTATACATTACACAGATTTTAAAATACATTACAAAGCTATAGTAACCCAAACAGTGTGGTACTGTCATTAAAAAAAAAGGCACATCAACCAATGGATTAGAATAGAGAGCTGCAAAATAAATCTGCACACCTACAGTCAACTGACGTCTGACAAAGGTGCCAAGAACACACAATGGGGAAAAGACATTTCTTTTCAGTAAATGGTGCTGAGAACCCCTTAAAATTCAAATCAAAATGGATTAAAAACTTAGATTTAAAACTTAATAATGTAAAACTACTAGAAGAAACATGAGAGAAAACTCCTGACACATGTCTGGGCAGTGATTTCTTGGGTATGACCCCAAAAGCACAGGCAACAAGAACAAAAATAGACAAATGGGATTGAATCAAACAAAACGGTTGCTCTACAGCAAAGGAAACAATTAACAAAGTAAAATATAACACACAGATTGGAAAAAAATTGCAAATCACAAATCAAATAAGAGGGTAACATTCAAAATACACTGGGAACTCAGTCTACTCAATAATAAGGAAACAACCCTCTTAAAAAATGGGCAAAGTCCCTGAGTGGACATTTCTTATAAGAAGACATACAAAGGCCAGCAGATATTAGGTTGGTGCAAAAGTAATTTTGGTATATATTATTTTTAACATCTCTAATCATAGAAATGCAGATTAAAATCACAATGAGGTGTCATCTCGTATGTGTTAGATTAGCTATTATCAAAAAAATTAAAGATAACACATATTAGGATATAGAGTAAAGGGAACACTTGTACACTATCAGGGAGATATTCTGTGACAATAATCAAACATTGATCAACATATAGCAAGAAGCAGAATGTGTGGATAAACCAATGGTTATAAACAATTCAAATTATATGATAAATATCCCCATATTTGTCCATTGACTCCTAGCAAAGGATTAGTCCAAAACTCTTCACAGGCCTAGTTAAAATAAAACATAAATTTTAAAACATAGTTTACTTCCAACTGTATTCAAAATGGGAACACTCTAATTTATTTTAAAAGATAAGATAATTTTGTTACGCACAAGTCATACTAGAAAAATGAGATAACTATAGGTCAATCTCATCTGTCAACAAACATGCAAAAACCTTAAAGGTATTACAGCAGAATAATAATTAAAAAAACAGTGTAGGAAAATCTCTTTAGGACTAAATAGATACCAGGATGGAATAAAACATTAGACTATATATGAATCCCCTAAATTAATGGATCAAATTCATAGAATTTATGCCACATAGGAAATATATACACATATTAATAGATCTGAAAAATTCATCAGTAAAATTCAACAACATTAATTTAAAATTAAAAAAAAGTCATTGAAAGGAATCCCCTAACCCTGAAAAAGTCTAGTATCCACCTCAATCAGGCACCATACTTGCTGGCGAATCTTTAGAATCATTCCCATTATATACTCACCATCAGTGAATGAATGTTCCCATTGTTCCAGAAATCGGATAAATATTTTTTAGCAGTAGTAGTGAACTTGCCTTTTTTTTCAATCTGATAAATGTAGAATTCTCTCTCTTAGAATTTTATTTTGCATTTTCTGTATGTACATTATATTAGGAATCTTTTCATAAGTTTATTTGCCATTTTGATTTATCTTTTGTGAAATACTGGTTCACAATTTTTGTCATTTTTCTGTTTTTTTCTTATGAGTTTATTATATACTTGTATGGTTATACATACATATATGTACATAAATATATTTTTATTTTCTCCCCACTTTCTCTCTCTCTCTGATCAATCCAATCTCTTTCCAATTTGTTGCAGATGTAATTTCCATATTGTAATTATACTTTTGACACTAATAAGTGTAATTATACTTTTGATACTAATACATCTTTTGAGAAACAGTCTTATAAAATTTTAAAATAGTGGAATTTATCACTATTTTCCATTTTAGTTTGCATGTTTTGTGTTTTACATAAATAATAATTCATTATGCACATAATGATGCAGTGACTGGGAATTCTAAGCCAGTCAAATTGGCTTAAGTCCTCACTCATCCTGTTCATCAAAAGAAAGATTACTTGAATAGGGCTGACCTAAACAGGTGAGTCCTTAAAATAGATTGAATCCTTCCTGAAATTATAGAGAATGGAAGTGTGGGGACGCTTAGGCCTATGGAGGGGGTCCTTAAGTTAGATGATTTAAAGTATGAGACGGCCTATGAAGGGGATCAGGGAGGTAACCCCTGAAAGCGGTTCAATTGCTAGCAACACAATGGGGATTTCAGTTCTACACACGTGAGGAAATTGATTCTTCCAACAACTTGAAGAGTCCTGGGGTAGTTCTTTCCTATTTGATATTCCAGATGAAGACACAGCCAGCCAACACATTGATTTCAGCCTTGTGAGTCCCTGCGCAGAAAACTCATCTAAAGTGTTCTGCCTTCCCGACCCACAGAAACAGATAATAAACTGGTGTTGTTTTAAGCTGATAAATTGGTGGTTATTCGGCAATGGAAAGTAAACACCTCCTCTGTGACTTACTTCTTCACTTGTAAAATGAGGATAATATTAGTATCTTCCTCATAAAGTAGATTATTGAGAAGATCGAATAAGTAAATCAATATAAACTTTGGAAGTGCCAAGTAGTGTACAATGCTTGATTGAGTAAACACTATATAAATAATATATTTTATTATGAAGAAGATAATCCTCCATGTTTTATTCTAAAGCTTTAAAGTTTTTTTACGTTAAGTTTATAATCCAATTGATAATAATTTCTGCATAGTATCTGAGGTGGAGACCTTCCTTCCTTCTTTCCTTCCTTCCTTCCTTCCTTCCTTCCTTCCTTCCATTCTTCTTTCCTTCCTTTCTGAAATGGAGAAGCTATAGTGCAGGTGCAGGTTCTATTGGATGTAAATTCCATTTTTTATTCATTGACCTAAAATACCATCTCTTTCACATGTAAAGTATTTATGTATGAGGGCTGTTTCTCTACTCTGTCTTGTGTTCCATTGATTTATTTCTTATTTCTTATAGCAATAACTCAGCTATTAACACAAGTTTTATTATCTGAAAGGAAAAATATTAACGTCTCATCCTTCATCAAATTTTCTCCCTTTTAATTTTTCTTTTGGAAGAACTAGATACATGTATTAACTTGTGTTAGTTAAGCTAATGTAACTGTATGAATAAAATATGTTTTACATGTATATACATCAGGGTAACCATCATCTAGACCAAGAGATAGAATAGTTTTGATACTTATGTTCCTTATGCACATTCCAAGTTAGTAAAACCCCTTCCCATCACAGAGGTAGCCATTATTTAAATTTCTAAAGCATGAATTTTTTTTGCTTGTTTCTAAACTTTGTATAAATAGGATTATATATATATATATATAGGTTTATTTGCATGTTTGTAGTATTTTACTTGATACAATATTTTTGAAATCTATTAATTTCTGCGTGTAGCAGGAATTATTTCAAGTTGTTATGTGATAGTTCATTGTGTGACTATACTACAGTTTGTTAATCAGTTTTCCTGGTAATAAGTATTTGGTTTCCAGTTTTTTACTATCTAAATAATGCCTCCGTGAACACTCTCTTACAGATATTTATATTGGTTTATGCACTCATTTACTTTGAATATATACAGAAAATGAGGAATCACTGGATCATAAAATAGGTATATGTTTAATTAGAAACTTCTAAACAGTTGTTCAAAATTGTAGCATAATTTTACGCTCGTAGTAGTAATGTATGAACATTCCAATTTCCTTACACTTACATAAATATTTAGTATAGGAAATAATTTTATCTTTAACAGTTCTATTTTGTTTTAGCCAGTTGTTCTCTCCTTACAGATGTTAGTTGACCTTTTCTTGAGAGCAAGTTTTTATATACTTATTGGCCACTTTTGAGTATCTTTCTGATGAAATGTCTCTTTAGATATTTTGCCCATTTTTAATTGGGTTCTTTGCCTTTTTCTTACTGACTTGTGATTTGTTGAATATATATATTTATATATATAATTTATGAATATATGAATTATACAGTTTATAAATTTATATTGCTTATAAATTATATATAAAACTATGTTATATATAATTTATAGTGCTACAAATGATGTTATTGCAATAAAGGCTTTCATGCAAAAAACTTTAGAAAGCCCTTGATACATTTACTAAGCATGTATTGAGTGTATAACGACTGATGACCTAAACATTTGTTGAGCACTGGCTGCCAGGCACTGGGCTAGATACTGAGAATACAGCAGTGAAGAACATAAGCCCTGTATAATCTTTGATCTCAGGGAACATGAGATAACAGACAGTAAAAAAACAAACAAAAAATTTAATACTTAATTGAAATTAGCATATGTGCTCAAACAAACAAAAACATATAGACTGTTCTTAGAGTGATTGTAACAGGTTAATGTATCCTAATTAAGGAGGTCAGGGCACGTGACCCTGAAGAAGGACAGTTTAAGTTGAGGTCTTAAGTGTGATCTCAACTTAAAAAAATATGGCACAGCATGCAAGATTTTTATAGTATAATGGAAAAGGCAAATACTAAACACATAGTTACAATACGGTATGATTAAATGTTAGGATAGTAGGAATCCATGTATTATGCAAACACATAGAAGGAGCACATAACTTAATTTGATAAGAAGTCTCATTGGGGAAATGATACCACAACTATTCTTAAAAGGATTTCAAACATTTTAAAGATAATTTCTGACGGTTGAAATTTTACTCTTCTCTTACATTTTTACTATGCTGATTTATTTCCTCTTTATTTAGGAAATCTCAAGGTCCTTAAACTTTAGGGGTCTAGTATTATCTTTATGGTATATTAATACCTAACAACAAAAAATATTAAGCCCTTGGCTCAAGCACCTGGACTGAATTTAATGGATTTTTCAACTCGATAGACCAGTGTACCTTTGTAACAGACCATGGTAAAGCAATATAAACTGATATAATATAAATTTTATGAAACAGATTTACTTACTTTACAGTTTTAACATAATTTATAGCATATTTGTGTCAGTCCTAACACTGATTTTTGAACAATTACAGCATTCTTATAAATAAGTGCCCCTATTTGAATGCCACCATCCCCCAAAGAAACTGTATACTCATATGACATGCAATCTAAATTAGTACCTCAATTAATCACTGGGGTAATGCAGAACTATTACCTTTTTTTCACACAAGGATGCATCATTAAAAACAGCCTCAATTTTCTTTTTTGATGTCTCACATGATTAATTGCAGTCTTGTGACTTGAAAAGGCAAATTATTTGCTGTTATGGAAATTGACATTTCTGGAGTTTTAAGGCTGTGCTCTTGCCCTTCATCTGGAAATTCTTCAGTTCAATAACATAAACTAAGAGTAGCTTTCAAAGAGGCCTTTCCTCCCTACTAAACATGTTTTACATCCAAACAGCGCTTGTTTCTGAAAGTAATATTTTCATTATGTGAGATTTCAAGTTATAAATGTATTTTTATCTTATCATGTACCAGAATGGAGTTAAAGTAAAGCTAATATTAAATGAAGAGAGTCTTCATGTTCAAAATGAATAATACTACCTCCTCAATTTAACAACACTTTGAAATTATCAAATACTATTCTAACTTATTGAATGGTAAGATATTTTGTTCCAGGCCTATGAAATAAGTTTAACTTTGGGGGAAATAAATAAAATACATTTTCTTAAATTTTAAATATCTGCTATTCAATTTAAACCAGTAAATTATAACAGGCTTGAAACACAATTATGATTCCTTTGGTTACTTCTATTTTCAGTATGCATTGCTTGAATTTGACAGCTGATGCTATTTTACCATTTAAAGAAAGGTTATGTATAAAGTCCTTCTGCTGTTTATAAACCATTTGTTTTTATTACTCAATGGCAAATAATTACTTATTATGCCAAAATCAGTGCCGATGTTTTATATTAGTTTTGTCTGAGTTAGCTACAAATCATGAGTAAATATATGGAAACATCATTCAAGAAAATTGATCAGAATGAAAGTATCATTCTGCTTACCATATTTAGACGTATGTGACCAACACATAAATAAAGATATCAGCTGCAGGAACCCACAAGAAAAATATTTTTAATTCTGACTTCAGCAAACAGAGGGGCACCTGAAAGTGTTAGACCAGAAGATACCACTGAGGAAGGAATGTTTAAAGTGGAATGATACATTTCCAACAGAACATAAACAACAAAATACTTAATATGCAGTCCAGACTGAAATGTGTAATGAAAATAGTTGGATATTAAAGAATTCAAGAGTGAGAGGCATCAGCAAGGAGGACCTCCTCCTTATTATTGAGGTAAGATAAATTTGTTTTTTATCAAAATAAATTATCACTAAGCAAAGCAGAGAAAACAATCTGTGATCCACTGCAGCCAGCAAAAGGCTTCCACAATTAGAAAAATATGAAAATGATGCATGCAAGTTAGATGGGTTCACTAAATG
The DNA here is from genome assembly GCF_000001405.40 of Homo sapiens. Lineage (NCBI taxonomy): Eukaryota > Metazoa > Chordata > Mammalia > Primates > Hominidae > Homo > Homo sapiens. The sequence goes on from NC_000001.11 coordinate 194,146,870, forward strand.
ACAAAACATATCTCAGGGGAGAAAAATAAAGATGAGGAAATATTCATTTTTACACAGGGACGTTATCAATTTTTGATAAAGAGGCCACACTTGGAGACAATATGTAACAATTTTGGTTGCAGGTGGAGACTGGCATTCACCTGCCAACATCCAAATCCATGCTTATCCACTTACAGTCCTGAGATTTTTTTCTAGTAAGTCCAGTGTATATATAAGACACTTTTTCTTTGTAAAATAGGGTCACATATGTCTAAGTTATGTGTGTACCATGAATCTGAGAGGATATATACCTAGCCCATATTATATACCCAGATTCTGACATATGTTAGGCATTCAATGAATATTTGTTCAGTGAAAAATAAATGGGTTATATTTGTAAGTTTTCAGTAAATAATTTTATATTTATACCTATGAATTTTAGTTGTTCTACGTATTTGTCCTTTTGTTCCCAAATTCACTTAAGTAATCTATTAATCTATCATACCATTCCAGTCTTAGCTCCCATTTTGTATATATATAGAATGTCTACTCATAATTCCTTGAATATACTTTACACTGTTAGTTTTTGCTTTAGCTCAACAAAAATGTCCTCCTTTCTTCTCATTCTGCCTAAAAATTTCTATTTATCTTTCAAATAAAATCTCACATACTTTTCCAACTGTCACTGAACACTTACTTTTCAATAATGATAATCATAATACTAAGATTGGATATGAAAGCATTTTAACATACAGTACATTCCTCTTAGTTCACATTACTTCTAATCATCATCTTCTTTAAGAAAAATCAGTAATGTGAAGTATGTGCTGAAAACAGAATTTCCTGTTTGTTTGTATTTGTTCTTGGTATTTTCTTCCATAGCATTTACTGCCATATGATATTAGATACATATTTTTTTCTAGTATTTATTTTTGCCTCCCACCCTGTCCTGTAAGTTCCAACAGGATAGAAATCTTGTATTGTTTACTCCAAATGCTTAGAAAAAGTGCCTGACACATTCCCAACATACAGCAAATACTTAATAAAAAATGGTCTGAACATTCCTGCCTGAAGAGCCTGTGTTTCATGAATGAGATCCTTAAATGCAATTAGATGCTTAAATATTGCCACACTGTGTTTGCAATGGGGACCTAACTGTTATCATATCCACTGTTACTGCTGATGTAGGACATAATTCATTCTTTCAGTAACCACCCTTTTTAAAAAAAGAAAGTCTAGAGTGAAATATTATTACATTATAAAACCACTTGATTCTAGAGGTAAAATGGAATCTGGTTTTATGCCACAATGTTTGACTCTTTAAACCTGTAAAGTGAGAGTCATTCATATATTATTCATATTGCTGTTTTTTAAAGCGGACTTCTTTTTATGATTTTTTTGTCAATGATCATTTGGAGGTAGTCACTCTAAATTCTAATTTATCAAAATTTTACATAAACTATAATACAGGAATGATAGGTAATTCCATATTTCCATTGTAAGATAATTCAAGAAAATATGAGCAAATATTTCATTATAGGACCCTAATTTTGAAGAGTGGTTCAAAGATGTGAGTATGGTGATGTAATATTTGCCAGACCCTTTGAGACCTCATTACTGTAAGTGTAATTTTAAGATGATAATTTTTCTCTTCATCCAAATTGAGGTAGAAGTGCATTGTAAGTAAAATTTTTATTTTATGAAGAAAGATGAACGGCCAGGCATGGTGGCTTATGCCTGTAATCCCAGCACTTTGGGAGGCCGAGGCGTGCAGATCACCTGAGGTCAGGAGTTCAAGACCAGCCTGGCCAACATGGTGAAACCCTGTCTCTACTAAAAATACAAAAATTAGTTGGGCATGGTGGTGCACACCTGTAATCCCAGCTACTTGGGAGGTTGAGGCAGAAGAATGGCTTGAATCCAGGAGGCAGAGGTTGCAGTGGGCCAAGATAGCACCACTGCACTCCAGCCTGGGCCACCGAGCAAGACTGCATCTCAGAAAAAAAAAAAAAAAAAAAAAAAAAAAAGATGAACAAGAAAGTCAAGAAGTGTATAATCAAGGATACAATGTAGGTTGTTGACTTGATATTTCATACCGTTTTGTGAACAACTTTAAATCTTCGTACAGTCTAAATTAACCATGAATCATCAGTAGAGACATTTAAAAATCTATGGTCCTTTACCGAAGTGTATTTTTAGGCTGCTGTCATTTCAAATACACACTCAAAAATCAGGATGCTGTGGAGACTCTAAAAAATATTTATGTTCTTCTAGCTAGGACATTGTACATGCCAGAATGTTCTTTGAAACTTACCAAGAAAATTTCAACCTCTTTCATGTGTTTATAAATACCTTATTATTCTAAAACTTAGCATTCTGGCATTGGTTAGTCTCTCTTCCTCAGATAAATGAGGCAATTAATAAGTTAATATTATCCCTATGCTAATCTATGTATGAAGTAGAAAAGATTCTCTAACGTTAGACAATTTAAAACAATAATTTATATTGACTTTGATTAGATTACAGGACCATTTAGTAACTGCCATTTCAAAAGTACTGGCAATTTTTAAAGGCCTTAATGGAAATAGAGCTAAAAGAACAGTCTTTTTTTTGTAATTATGACTAATAAAATTTCTGTTTGTAATCAACCTAATATAAATTCAACACACAATTAAGATTTAGGAATGTGTAACACCCCAAGGCTCTTAATTTTCAAAAGTCACAAAACTATGTTTACTCAAATGGTTTGACATTATTTAAAAATTGGATTCTATCTTATTCTCTTGAGGAAATTTTTGGGTAGTTAGAAGTTTTGACATAATTAATTTCTGAATATTTCACATTTATCTTTCAGATTTTCCTGACATCAATGTATCCTTTTGAGTATATTATCGTATCTCTTAACATTTCTGTTTCATCCTTGACCTGAGACTTTTTTTTTTTTTTTTAATCTTGAGATAATTCTTGGCTTTGTCAAGGCTACTGGTGACAAAAGCATTAGCAAGCAGGTAAGTTCTGACCTTTTTTGTACCTTATTTTTTTTTCATTATTTTACTTCTTTTTTCTTTTTGGTGATTTGTTTTACAAAATTCAGATATTTCTACTTTCAGCAATAGACTCTGCAGGAGTCTTTCGGTTTCTCAAAATCTATTGTGATAATTTATGGAGGTGTTTTACAACACACATACATAAAATACTGTGTGGTTTTATTTGTCTTAATGTGCACTGACTTTGCTATAAAATATATTTAACTTTTATCATTAGCTACAGCAGTGTATCTCATAACATTCAATAGCCATGCATAAAACATCTGATGATTACGCTGTTTGAAATCTAGCTTCAAAGATTGCAATTTAAGTAATTAGAAAATTGGTGGAATATTTTTCTTGCATATCATTAAAATTTTTTTTCTGCAAACTACAAAAACACATTTCTGAAAAGTACTGTAATTGATTGCCACCAACACATACCAAGTGTCACTTCTGATTCTATTAAAACAGAGATTTCTGTTAGTCACTGTAATAAAATATTCTTATGTTCAGATTCTGTGCAAATGCAATGTTTACTTTGATAGAATAAGACAAATGATATCAGTATATTGTCTATTGGATCTGATGTGTAATAACTCAGATGAAAGCTTAGCTCACATACCATGCTGCAGAAAAATGACAACCAAATCTGGAGAGTCTTGGGTTTTATGAAAAATTCTATCAATAACATGAGTCAGCTTGGAAGTGGATTTTTCTCTAATCTCAGATGAGAATATAGCAGTTGATAGTTTGATTTAATTCTAATGAGACCATGAACAGAGGACCCAGTTAATCTGTGGCAGATTGGGGACCCAGAAACCTGAAATGATAAATTTGTATTGTTGTAAGCTGCTAAGTTTATTCTAGCAATTAAAAAAAAAACCTAATGAGGGAACCAACTATTTCCTCTATTCCTTATATTATGGATTTGATTAGACTTCTCACTATGCTTGACAGTTGTATAGCTGTAATCAGTTACTTAATTTATAAGACTGATTTTAATAATTTTGAAAGTCAAAATTAAGAGAAAGGACCACAAATTCTTTTGTCAAAGAAGAATATTGAACAAATTAATTCACATGTCAAACAGATATATACAGGAGGACTATGGCAAACATTGCCTGCTTTGTGGTCCAATTCCAAAGCTACACATATCACCTCGAAAACAATGGTTGGGTCTTCCCTTTATATTTGTATTATGAAAAGATCTAATTGAAGTATCTAGAAGGCAGATATTGATTGTAAATTTCAGGATAGTAGTTTTTAGCTTCAAAATAGTCATAAGATTTTATGTTGCTTGATTTCTTATATCAGTTTTGGAAAAGTGTAAGATATCTTTTCAAATAGTCTTTGTTTCACTTTCTTTCCTCTCCGTCTGGTACTACAATTGTTTCTGAGAAGATTGCAGTGCATCTCCTCAATGACTTTCTGTTGTTTTCATACTTTTTTTAACCACATTTTTGTTTGTCTCTTTGTATTTCATTCTCTTTATGTCCTTCCATTTATTTACCACCTAATACTTTTATTCAGCTGTAAATCCATACAGTAAGCCCTTAATTTCAGTTATTGTATTTTTTAGTTCCACTTTCCAATTGATTTAGTTTCCATTCTGTGGCCAATATTATAATTCTGTTTTTCATATTTCTGAATTGATTAAATGTAACCTTTTTTTTTTTTTTTTTTTTTTTTTTGAGACAGAGTCTCTCTCTGTCCCCCAGGCTGGAGGCAGTGGTACAATCTTGGCCCACTGCAACCTCCACTTCCTGGGTTCAAGCAATTTTGTGCCTCAGCCTCCCGAGTAGCTGGGACTACAGGTGTGCATCCACCATGACCAGCTAATTTTTGTATTTTTAGCAGAGACAGGGTTTCACCATGTTGGCCAGGCTGCTCTAGAACTCCTGGCCTCAAGTGATCTGCCCACCTGGGCCTCCCAATGTGCTGGGATTACAGGGGTGAGCCACTGCAGCAGACCTGATTAAACATAACATTTTAAAATTGATATTTAATGGCTTCATTATTTGGATTATCTATGGGTCTATTTCTATTCTCCATTATTTATCTTACGTTTGCATAATCTTATCTGGTTTTCATAGGTATGTGCCTTTTTTTTTAACTAATTGTCAACTTTTATGAATAAATAGAGGCATCAAATTGTGTTATCTCCATCAAGACATCAAGAGAAAATTTTCATTCTCATAAACTGGATCACCATAATCCAACTGTAGAGATTAAAATAAATCAAAGCTGGGTTTACTTTCTATATTGACATGTCTGATTTTGGTTAATCCTGAAGCTGTAGTATCCCCTGTAGCTATCCAAACTAAAAGCCTGCGTAGAAAGGTTACCAATCCATCAACATACATTTTGGCAGGCTATGAGCCCCAATTTGGATCTCCCTACTCAGACAAGGCTATTCATCTCTTGAAACTTTTCTCTGAGTCTTCCTCTTTCAGCTGTCTCTTTTTGAATTGACAGAGAACCCTATGAGAAATGCATTACAAATCTTATATAACATCACTGACATTCCTCATACTTCTATATTGGATCATAAGAGATATATTTTTGCAGATTTTTACAGATTTTCTGGTTATATAAAAGATTATGATTTTAATTGCTTAGTCTGTCATCAGAGCAAAACTGGTCTAGTTTACACATGCTGTCTCTCTCTCACTCTCATGTATACCTACATATGCACTTATTTTATGCTTTTATGCTTATGAGGTATCTTTAACCATGGGTTAAATGAAAGTCCATAAGGTTACTTTTTGATATTTACCTAAGTGGTAGGTTATGCCAAGCATTTGTGATAGAATGATAAAATATCGTAGTTGCTTATTTGAAATCTCTACTCTTTCTATACATTTCAGAGTCTTGAGATAGCTGGAATAAATTTAAAATGAATGGAAACCCACTGAATTAGAAATCCTGGAGTTAATAATGGTTGATTACTATTACCAAAGTTTATTTGCAGCTTAGAGTGCATCTTGATTTAGCATTTACTTACTTATTTTTCAGTATTTTCCCTTAGTTTATTTCCAGTTATAGACATTTTGCATTACTAATTAAATTTGGTGTACAATACATACTGGGAAGAAAGGCAAGAATTTCATTTTTTTAAATAATTTAGCAAAATACATAGAATGTTTTGAATATTTACATTATCCAATAGAAAATAATGTTTACTCAATTTTTGTAGACCCAAATATGTGATCGATAGCTCTCTATAACAGTGGTGTTTTCTCAAACAAGTTTTGAAAGTAAAAACAAAAATGTGCATTCTTACAACAAACCCTTAGTATTCTAAAATAAACTCTCAAAACTTTATTGACAATCAACAATTAAATCATATATCTAATAGGATCCTCTTATTTGAACAAGATTGTTTAGAAACATTTTTTAAAAGAGTTTGTTGACAACAACAATATTGAGGAGATGAAAGGGAAAATTCTGTATGATGTTATAATTTTATAACTATAGGCATTCGCAATATATTCTTTTTGCAGAAATTTGAGTTGATATACTTTGAGATTTCTGACAGACCAAACCATGCCAAGAATCATCTTTTGCTAATAAATCTAGCATGTAGAATTTATATGTTCATAAATATTCATATATCTAAAACACATTTTTTCCAGGAATTATTCAGTGAAATTTTATTTCCTAAAACATTAATACTAAAATTCTTTCTGAGATGCAGTAAAGAGCTACTTCTAATTTTATAGCAAATAATTCTCATTTAACATATAATTTTAAAAATACTTGTATTGTAGCTCAGAACACAATAATACATATATAGGGTATATTTTATTTAAAAATACAAAAGAAAAACCGTGGTATTTTAGCATTATTTTAAATGTAAATTGATGTGTTTTTGTTAAACACCTTAAATTGAGTAATAACATTGAAAGTGGTTTTCCTTTATTATTTTATTGTTGGTCTATGAGACCAGATGGGAGGGTTATTGTTTGTTGTGTTTTCAGCTTTTTGGCTATATGATGGAGATTTACATATATATATATAAACATTAATAAATCTTATTATTGTAAGTTTGCAGTGTAGACTCATTTGATAATATAGGGTATAAAAATGATTTTTGGCCAGGCGCAGTGGCTCACGCCTGTAATCCCAACACCTTGGGAGGCCGAGGCCGGCAGATCACCTGAGGTCAGGAGTTGGAAACCAGCCTGGCCAACATGGTGAAACCCTGTCTCTACTAAACATACAAAACTTAGCCAGGCATGGTGGCCCGCACCTATAATCCCCTACTTGGGAGGCTGAGACACAAGAATCGCTTGATCCCAGGAGGCGGAGGTTGCAGTGAACCGAGATCATGCCACTGCACTCCAGCCTGGGTGACACTGAGGCTCCATTTAAAAAAAAAGAAAAAGAAAAAGAAAAAGAATTCCCTAAAATGGACCCTCCTTTGTCACTCAAAAAAGTCATCATTTTACAACAGCAACATTTTGTTTCCAGAATATTATGTATATTCCAAAAAAACAAAACACTGACACAATAACTCTATCTTTATAAATGATAGGAGTGATGTCAGCATCAGAGTGAGCAAATTCTGTCTCAATATTCAAGGTCATTTTGGGCTGAGGGAATACGGGCATTAGACAGATTCATTCAGCAAAAATATTTTTGCTTCTCTGATTCAGGCAAAGATAAGAACTGAAACATGATTATAGTTCAGATCATTTGTATTTTATTCAAATAAACACACCTTTTTCTCCTGAAAATAGGCTAATTTCAAAAAACAATTTTAGTATAGTTATAGGTAATTTACTCAGTTACTATTGAGTTAATATACACAGGATAACATGTTGATCCTTAGGGATGAATTATATTTCTCTAGTATGTAGTCTAGACTTACAATGTCTCCCTTCAATTGTCTTCCAAACTAAGTGTTTTTAATCAGAAAATGAACTGTTGACAGTATGTATAGCAATGTATTGATGCAAATACATCACTCAAGGGAAAGCAAGTCATGGTAGTGCAAAGGTAGAACCTTGTGATGCTATATACTTAGAAAATAAAGCATATTCATTGTTACTGATGTTATCTATGACCTGAAATTTATAGTTTCTAGAACAATATTCCCTCTACTTCGCTCCTATTTTACTAAAGAATATTAATTAGGGACCAAAACATCTTCAAATTGTCTGGAAAAAAATTAAAGGTCACAGGTTGTAGATATATAATCTTATTTTCTAAGAATTCAAGGTTAGTTGTATTTGTTATTTGGAAACCCTTTCTAGGAATGTTTTAATGAAAATGATAGCTATGAAATAAATATTTATGTGAATTAAAAATGTTTAAATTTGACTATCAGTAACTTCCATTCAGTTCAGAAAACCTACTGTGAACCCACTTATCTTCCCTTTGAGAAGCTGTTTCTTAAATGGATTCATGTTATCCTGTGAACTTCGCTCAGCAGCGTTATAAACATTACCCTTAGTTTAAACAGAAAATGCCATTAGAAAAATACTAACAAAAGAGGATGACTCTGGTGGTATTATGTTACATATTTGTGTTAATGGAAAGAAAATTAAACTGGAAAACAAATACATATAGAAAAAAATCAGTTAAATCAACCATAAAAAGATAAATTTGAAATTTCCCAAATATTTTATGCCATTAGATTGCTTAGAAATCTTATTCATTAGAAAAGTAGGATTTTTGTTAAAAGAAGTGGGTATGTTCTGATTGACTTTATTTCAAAGTAGTATTATATTCTATGTACTTATATACTAAAACTAATATAAAATTTACACTTGTGTGAAATTAGATACATACAAAACTAGCTGCTTTTCCACTTAGAGTGACATTATTTTTTAACAATTTTATTTGGATATAACTGATATACAAAGAACAGCACACATTTAATATATACAATTGATGCATTTGGACATATGTAAACATCCATGATACCATCATCACAGTAAAGATAATAGACCTATCAACACCTCACAAAGTTTCTTTGTGTCCTCTGTTGTTGTTTTTTCTTTTGTAGTAAGAAAACTTACCATGAGATCTACTCTCTTGACAAATTTCAAAGTGCAAAACACCACATTTCTAACTATAGGCACTATGTTTAGAGTAGATCTCTAGAGCTTTTTCTTCACGTATAACTGTCAATGTATAATCATTGAACAACTTCCCACTTCCCCCACTGCACAGCACCTGTCAGCCACTATTGTATTCTCTGCTTCTGTATTCAAGCTTCTGTGAGTTTGACTATTATATAAGACTTACCTACCTGGATTGCAGTATTTGTCCTTCTGTGACTGGTGTATTTCACTTAGTATAATGTCCCTCAAGTCATTCACGTTGTCACATTTGGCAGGTTATCATTTTTAAGGCTGAAAAATAGTCCATTGTATATGTATACCATCGTTTCTTTATCCATTCATCTGTTGATGGGCATTTAGGTTGATTTCATATCTTGGCTATTGTGAATAATGCTTCAATAAACATGATAGTGTAAATATGGCTTCAAGATATTGATTCCAATTATTTTGGATATATACTTAAAAATGGGATTGCTGAATCATATAGAAGTTACGTTTTTAATTCTTTGAGGAGCCTTCACACTGTTTTCCATAGTTGCTGCACAATTTTACATTGTCACTAACAGTGTACAGGGTTCCAATTTCTCCACATTCTCACTAACATTTTTTAAAATAAATTAATGGCTCTCCTGACAGGTGTGAGGTGACTTATTTTGTAGTTTGATTTGCACTTCCTGAATCATTAGTGATGTTGAGTATCTTTTTATGTACCTGCTGGCCATTTATATGTCTTCTTTGCACTTTGCAGAAATATCTATTCAAGTTCCTTGTGTTATTTTCATTGCATTTGTTTGTTTGTTTGTTTGAGACAGTCTCCTTCTGTCACTCAGGCTGCACTCCAGTGGTGTGATCTCTGCTCACTGCAATCTCCACCTCCCAGGTTTAAGTGATTCTCCTACCTCAGCCTCCTGAGTAGCTGGTATTACAGGTGCCCACCACCATGCCTGGCTAATTTTTGTATTTTTAGTAGAAATGGGGTTTCACCATGTTGGCCAGGCTTTAATCTATTTTGAATTGGTTTTGTGTATGGTGTAAAATAAGGGTCCAATTTCATTTGTTTGCATGTAGATACCTCATTTTTTTATTATACTTTAAGTTCTGGGATACATGTGCAGAACCTGCAGGTTTGTTACATAGGTATACATGGGCCATGGTGGTTTGCTGCACATATCAACCCATCATGTACATTAGGTATTTCTACTAATGCTATCCCTTTTCAGCCCCCAACCTGCTGACAGGCCCCGGTGCATGATGTTCCCCTCCTTGTGTCCATGTGTTCTTATTGTTCAAATCCCACTTATGAGTGAGAACATGTGGTGTTTGATTTTCTGTTTCTGTGTTAGTTTGCTGAGAATGACGGTTTCCAACTTCATCCCAGTCCCTGCAAAGGACATGAACTCATCATTTTTATGGCTGCATAGTATTCCATGGTGTATATGTGCCACATTTTCTTTATCCAGTCTATCATTGATGGGCATTTGGGTTGTTTCCAAGTCTTTGCGATTGTGAATAGTGCTGCAATAAACATACTTGTCCATTTGTATTTATAGTAGGATGATTTATAATCCTTTGGGTATGTGCTCAGTAATGGGATTTTGCTGGGTCTAATGGTATTTCTGGTTCAAGATCCCTGAGGAATCGCCGCACTGTCTTCCACAATGGTTGAACTAATTTACACTCCCACCAACAGTGTAAAAGCGTTCCTATTTCTCCACAGCCTCTCCAGCATCTGTTGTTTCCTGACTTTTAATTATTGCCATTCGAACTGGCATGAGATGGTATCTCATTTTGGTTTTGATTTGCATTGCTCTAATAACCAGTGATGATGAGCTTTTTTTTTTTTCATGTTTTTTGGCTGCATAAATGTCTTCTTTTGAAAAGTGTCTTTCCATAGTCTTCACCCACTTTTTGATTTTTTTTTCCTTGTAAATTTGTTTAAGTTCCTTTTAGATTCTGGATATTAGCCCTTTGTCAGATGAATAGATTGCAAAAATTTTCTCCCATTCTGTAGGTTGCCTGTTCACTCTGATGATAATTTCTTTTGCTGTGCAGAAGCTCTTTAGTTTAATTAGATCCCATTTGTCAATTTTGGCTTTTGTTGCAATTGCTTTTGGTGTTTTAGTCATAAAGTCTTTGCCCGTGCCTATGTCCTGAATGGTATTGCCTAGGTTTTCTTCTAGGGCTTTTATGATTTTTAGGTCTTAGGTTTAAGTCTTTAACCTGAAAACCAACAAACAGAAAGGAATAACATCAACATCATCAAAAAGGACATTCACACAAAAACCCCACCTGAAGGTCACCAGCATCAAAGACCAAAGGTAGATAAATCCATGAACATGAGGGAAAACCCACGCAAAAAGGCTGAAAACTCCATGATACCTGATATTCTTCATGCCATTTGTTGAAGAGAGTATCCATTCCCTACTGTGTATTCTTGGCATCTGTGTCACAGGTCACTTGTCCATATATATGGGTTTATTTCTGGGCTCTCCATTCTGTTCTGTTTGTTTATATGTTTGTCTTTATGCTTGTACCATACTGTTTTATTACTGTAGCTCTATAATATATTTTGAAATCAGGAAGTGTGATACCTTCAGCTTTGTTCCTCTGTCTCAAGATTTCTGTGGGTGTTTTGGATCTTTTGTAGTTCCATATGAATTTCAAATTGCTTTTATATTTTAAAAAATGCCATTGGGAATTTGATGGCAATAAATTTAAATCTGTAGATTACTTTGTTTAGTGTGGATACCCGATCAATATTGTCATTCAATCCATGAACACAGAGGAAGTTTTTTATTTATTTGTGTCTTTAATTTTTTTCATCAATGTTTTATAGTTATCAAGAAGCAAGTATTTCACTTTCTTGGTCACGTTTATTACCAAGCATTTTATTCTTTCTGACGCCATTGTACATGGGATTGTTTTCTTAATTTCCTTTTCAGATGCTTTACTTTTAGTGAATAGAAATGCAGTGGATTTGTGTACATTGATTTGGTATCCTGAAACCTTACTGAATTTGTTTATTTGTTCTAAGTTTTTATTTGAGGAACCTTTAGGGTGGTTCAACGTCATATACAAATTAGCAAATGCAATATACCACATTAATAGAATGAAGGATAAAAATAACAAGATAATGTAAATAAATACAAAAAAAGTATTTGACAAAATTCAATACCTTTTCATGATAAAAACACACAACAGCTAGGTTTAGAAAGCAAGTACATCAACATAATAAAGTTCATGTATGACAAGCCCACAATAAACATCATCCTCAATGGAGAAAATGTGAAAGCTTTTCCTATAAGATGAGGAATAAGATGAGGATGCTTACCTTCACCTCTTCTGTTCAGCATAGTACTGCAGAAGCCCTAGGAAGAGCAATTAGGCAAGAAAAATAAATGAAAGGCATAAAAACCAGAAAGGATGAGATAACATTTTCTCTGTTTATAGAATACATGAGGCTATATGTAAAAAAGATTGTGATTTGGCCTGGCAAGGTGGCTCACGCCTCTAATCCCAGCATTTTGGGAGGCCAAGGCGGGGGGATCACAAGGTCAGGAGATCGAGACCATCATGGCTAACATGGTGAAACCCCGTCTCTACTAAAAATACAAAAAAAAAAAAAAATTAGCCAGGCATGGGTGGCGGGCACCTGTAGTCCCAGCTACCCGGGAGGCTGAGGCAGGAGAATGGCATGAACCCGGGAGGCAGAGCTTGCAGTGAGCTGAGACCATGCCACTGCACTCCAGCCTGGGTGACAGAGCAAGACTCTGTCTTAATAATAATAATAATAATAATAGGATTGCCATTTAAGCAAAAGATGATATTCTGAAACTTCTACTCATTATACCAGAAAGCACTGAATTTTGATTTATTCATTAAATCTTTCTTTTATTTGTATAGGAGGTATTTATCTCCAACTATCTGTGCTGGACTCTGTGGCAGGCAAGGAAGATGCAGAGGCTCATGGATGAATATAAGAAATATGTAACCTCAAGGGTCTTCCATCTTTTTCAAAGAATTGGACATATAGATAAATAAAAACATAATACACATTACTAAATACAACCCTGGAAATGTTATTCATATGGTTTAATCTGAGAGGAGGGTCATTTAATTGATCTGTGACCACCAAGAAAAGCTTACTAATAGAGGTATGGCTTGAGAGGACTAGTAGAACTTATTCCACAAGAGGGCACACCTTGTGAAAGTTATGGAGTGTGGAAAAACATGTAGTGAGAACAGCAGCCAATATGAGGTTGCTCAAGTGGGATCTGGGAATGGTGGGAAGTGAGAACAGGCTGAAATGTGGTCAGGGAGAGGTGTCTTTTATGACACACTAAGGATCAGGAACTGTAGACTATAAACTGATAGAGCCTGTTTTTTTATGCCTCAAGCAAAATGTCAGGTAAAATTCAAAACTTCTGACACAATTTCATGCAACATAGAGACTATGAAAATTGCTGAAGGATTTTAAAACGAGTGACATGGGTCAATCAGCTATTCAGAAAGATCACTCTGGAAGTTATCATGAAGGATAGCTTGAGGAAAGTAAGACAAAAGGCAGAAGGACTAGAGTCTGTTGGCATTCCCTAGAAATATAGATCTTAGCCATGAAAGTGTTACAGACTCTTCATATTACTGCAATTATTATTAATAGCTACATTTATGTATGTTCAGTATGTTAGGCACTGTGTTAATAGGTTAATATATTATCTCATAATAATGCCAAGAGCAAACCTATGAAGATTATATTAATATTCACCGTGTTAGTCCAGACTCTTAGCAAAGCAGACACCAAGAAAGGGCCATATCTGCAAAGATTTTTCACTCCTACCACAAGCAAAATGCTTGTGTAAGAGAAAATAGGGAGGGCTCCAGAGGAGGATGAGAAAGACCATGATGTAAGATTAATCCAGAGGGAAGTAAAGGGGAGGGAAGGATGGGTGGCAGTGACTTAGATGGCAGTGGAGTCTAATGAAGCTTTGTCAAGGACAGCAGGGAGTTTGGCCCAAAGTCAGCAGTTGTAAGTGTCCCTTCTATCCCAAGAACAAGACTCACTCAATATTTCTGCCCTGCTTTGATACCTGCTGGGAGCAGCCCCCAGGAAGCATGGCCTCAGAGATAATGTGGCAATGGGTTTTAGAGCATGGTGTCTAGAGCCCTTCTTCAGCTATACATTCCCTACTTGGAGGCCTGTGAGAATCATTCTCTTAGCAAGAACCAGCTATATAATATGTGGAGCCTAGTGCAGAATGACAATGTGAAACCCTTTGTTAAAAATTTTTAAATATTTCAATATGACAACGACAGAGCATTAAACTGAGTGTGGGCCCTCCTAAGCACATGGCTGTGTGTGGCTGCACAGGGTGGCATACCCATGAAGTCAGCACTGCTCATAGCTACCACAGCCTAAATGAGAAACAAATGTTAAACTCTCAACATTGAAAAGCTAAGAAACTGTTGTCATTTTACAAATGCAAGTATTTGCACATTGAAATACCATTTTCCTGCACTTATTTTAAGAATAGTTTTTAAAAGGTGGGCTAAGTTGAAAAGACTTGAACAGTTGAAATTGATTGAACTTGGTGTATTATTTTTGTACAGGTTGAGGGATTTTTTTATGTGTGCATGAAGGATGTGAGAGGAGATTCTTGCTGAACATAAATTGGTACCTACAGCAGAGATAGATAATTCAGGAAAAGAAACAGGTTGGAGGCATGGATCCTGAGAATACTTTTGGACATGCTGATTTTGAAGTGCATTGGGACGTCTAACTCAAGATCTGAAGGACACAGCTGGGTGCATGAGTCAGAAGTTTGGGTGAGAGGCCTGGGCAGAAATGAAAAATGTGTACAATCAGCACATTACCAGTTTATTGACCCATCTGAAATAAGTGATGTACAAATCCAAAATGGTTTTATTTTTATCCAATTATTTCCTTTGAGAAAGAAAAGCAGCCCCTCAGCTGTCAGCTGAGAGCTGACCTTGCACTAACAGCTAGGCCATGGTATTCTCCTGACAAACTAAACCATTTCACAGAACACCAATATCAGACAAGGTCATTCTGTGACAATGATGGAGTGAGCTAAAAACAAGCCCCCTCCATAATCGTGACTGAGCACAGACAGATAAAACACCGTCCATACTACAAAAATGGCCAAACATCCCCATCTCCAGACTAGCATGAGTTCCTGCTTCTCTGTTATTGATTACAACTTTTGCCCTGCTTTGTGTTCTCTGCCTCCTTTTTGTTTTCTTTTCTTCTTCTCTTTTTTTTTAAAAGAGACACAGACTTGCTCTGTCATCCAGGATGGAGTGCACAATAGTGGCATGATCATAGTTCACTACAGCCTGCAGCCTAAGCAATCTTCCTGCCTCAGCCTCCCAAGTAGCTAGGACTGTAGCTCTCTGCTACATGTCTCTGACTTCTCCTCTGCCTGTCTCTGACTTCTCCTGTAGCAGCTAGAGAAAAAATTCTGCTTACAAGGAGTTCATTTGACTAGATCAGGTCCACTCAGGTTAATCTTCATTTTGCCATATATTTAACCACGGACATGATGTCTTATGTCTACAGGTTCCATCCAAACCCAATGGGATTACACAGATTATTTATATCAAGAGAAAATAATCTTAAGGCCAGTTCAGAATCCATAATGAGCTTTTTCATTCTTAAAGGAGTACCTTGGCCCTAAAGCATTGATGCTTTCTTTATGATATGAAATAGTTGAATCTAGATTCATATCTTACTTAGCAGATTCATAACGGGAAATGTCCCTTCACGGTTTTTTAAAGGCACTAAAGTGCTTAAAAATCAGTAAGAGAGATTACCTCACATTTGAAGAGTAAAGAGAAAGAAACATTAATCCACAACATCAGCAGATATTTAAGGGATGGTGAAGGTAGTGAAGTAAATAGAGGATAGTCAGAGAATTTGAAGACGGGTAGAGGATGGTTCTCTGTCATGTTCAAGGAAATCAAAGGAACAAAAGGTTTTAAGGTAGAAAATCTTTACAACACAGTCAAATGAAGGAAAAAGTTTGGATTTTTAGAAGAACCATTATCTTTGTCCGTGAGTTAACAGAGTGATAAGTACGATCGTGTGATGGAGGCAAGATATATTTTAAAAAGAGGAAGCAGGGACAAATCTGTACATTGACTATTTGAATGAGGATGTGGTAGGAGATAATGGAAAACAAGATCAAAATATTTTGTATGGTTTTGTATTAAACTTTGCTGCTTATTCCTTTTTAGTATGAGAAAGACTTGAGATTATAGCCATTGGGAAAGGAGCCAGTAAATAATTAATAGGTTTGAAAATCCACAAGAGGAAGGGTATAATTAATACAGTAGGAATCTACAAGAAAAAAGGAAAGATAGAATGAAGGATGACAGTGTAAATAAAACTCATCCTGGGATTCTTGCAGAAAGGGCAAAAGGATGGCTGGAAAAATACAAAGAAATACATCTTTAAAGTGAGTGGACAGGATATTGAAGGAGAAAGTACTCTAGTACTTTTAGTTTGCTAAATGAAACAAATTCAAAGATGCAACACCATTAATTGGGAGCAAGAGTTCCAGGCAATGAGTAAGAAACCTTATTAACCTAATCAGGGGGTTAATAAAATGCATTGAAATCATGAGATGATAAAAGCTAAATTAAAGAAGTGGTAGATGGGACCAACATACAGCTGGGATTAGGGATCAAAGATTTTATTGGCATCAGTTTACACACTTATGTAATGTTCCAAAGGAACAGTTGATCAAATTATATATATTAAAGAATGCAGTCTAACTGTAGTTTTGAGAAAGTGTTTATGCTTTGCTAGCACGTGTAGGATTTTAGAGAGTAGGGTTACAGAGAACAGAAATCCCTATCTGTTTACTCTTTATTGTGTGAACAATGTAAAGCAAGGAAAGAAAAAGAGTCAAGGCTAGGACTGCTCACGGATAGAAGATACAAAGTTAGAAAAATTGGGCAAAAGTCAGGTGTGAAGAGACAACCTTGAATTTATCAAAGATGAGAACATTATTTACTTTTGTAGTAGTTTTTGTTAAGAAATTTTATGTAGAGTTTTGTTTATGTTATATTTGATCCATACCATGTTTTTATTTTTAACTAAATAGCAATCTAGTTTCTTTCCTAATATGACTATAAAATCTGAAGAATTACTAAATAGTCATTAAAATGTTCCCAAGGAACTGAGATAATGTGTAATTATCTATGCTTATGTGACCTTGAATATGAAGAAGCAGTTTTAAAAAATGCAAGGATAATAGTGTTTCTTTGCCAAATGAATAATTAAGAATTTTTAAAAATGCCATTTTGTAGAAATGAAGTGCTGGTTCATAATATCAGTTTCTTCTTTGAATGGTCAATCTGGGGGGGGCTTTGAGAAAGGGAGGAGCCAGAGAGTGTGAATAAATTAGCAAGCTTCCAAAATCATTAAATGCTGCCTTTTCTTTATACAATGGCTTTCATACATTCTAAACCTGTATTTTAGGTAGGGTCATCCTTACAATTTTAGTGGAAACTCATAAAAATAGTGTATTTAGAAAATAGACACTGCAGTTAAAAAAAGAATATTAAAATATATTACAAATAACAAATTCTGATCCCAATTGGATAGTAGCACATTGAGAAAGCACGTTAACTCGTGGTATTGAAGAACAGTTTCATGGAAATTCCTAATGAAAAGCAAAATGGCTACATTTTATCTGGACTGTGGGGGCTTCATAAATGATAGTTATTTTGTAGTTCAGTGAACTGATGTCAAAGGACAACAGCAAATAAATTAAATGAAACAAAATCAAAATAAGATAATCTGGTTTCCAGAATATAAGCATCTATTGCTAATATGAAAGGAAGCATCTCTTATTCAAAAGCACATCAGTTTAATTTCACATGCTTGTTTTCTTTTCTAAACCAAGATGCACTTAACTTACTCTTCCACAATGAAAGCATATTTTGTTTGCAGTTATAGCAACCTCTATATTTTTATGCTGATATCACAAATTTTCAAATAAAATATGATTTTTTCCAGCATCCTACATTTTATGGATGCATAATCTTTGTTCGAAGTTAAATCCAACTGACAGATTTACATTATATTTAATGGAATGTACAATGTTGACTTTTGAATTCAAAAATAAATGTACATAAATATTCCCTTCTTTCCTAAATATGTTTATTTAGTGATAACAGAAACTTTCTCAAGAATGGAATCAACACAGCAAACAACTGAAACAAATCTGTTACAAGATTCTGTTTTCTAGCACAATTATTACAGGGGCTTTTACTAAAAAAAGTGCATATTAATTTATTTTCTTGGCACAACATTATATTATAAAATGACTAGATTTTTAACATGCATGTTAAAGAACCAAACTGTATAAAAGGTTTACAACATTATAATTAAGTGAAAAACTCTAGTGCCTCATCCCGTCTGTAATTCAACTCGAGTTAATTTTTTTACCCATTTTTGATTTTGGTACTCCTGATAACACCATGATAAGAAATTTGAAGCTTATCCCTCTTTTTTATTTGTAGTTTTTAGAGTCTCCTAATCTCCTTATGAAAGATAACATTTTTCTCACTCACAACATCTCAACTTCTACCCATTACCAAACAACTCATACAAATCCTTTAACTGGTTGCCATCAACCAGTTGCCATTGTGATATTAGTAGTCCTTCAATAACAATAATGTTTTTTAAATTATGACTTAATGTTATTAAATATAAAATATTTCATATAATGAACAAAGAAATCGGAATAATAGAAAAAACATCCATTGATTTACAATTCACCTTTGAAAAATAATGCATAATAATATTCCTCCTCCCTCTAGAGAATAACACAATTAAGATATTTTGGAATTTACAATTATTATAGACCTCTATGTACATTTACTATATAAATTTAGTGAATATTAATACCTTTAATGTCTACAGTAGTTATCAAACTTTTCTTTATTTATTGGCATTTTTTAGACCTTGCTGAAGTTTGAGGAAAACATATGAAACATGCTATTTCAATTTTTCCTCAAGCTTTATTTCTATTTACTTTATTTCTACACTTGTATTTCGTGAATATGTTTACAGAGCATCCATGACATTTTCCCATTTGTGGCATGTTATATTAATAGCCAAAATTATGAAAAATGGGACATTTCTTATTTATTTTCATATATTAGAAAAGTCAGAATTTCAGAAGTTATAGAACTTCCACAAGTCTCATAATTAATAAATTGTACAATTGGGACTTGTGCTTAGATTTTTCTGCTTGAAATCTCTTGCACTTAACCAACGTACTGCTGTTTCTTATTAGATTATAGTTATTTATGTATTAGTCTATAGCTTACTGTGTCTTTTAAGGAAGACTGATATTTCATACAATCTTATATTCCTGTGCTGAATATTGCCTGGTTTGAATAGGTATTTCATAAATGTTACTTCCTTCCATCTGCTATTCACATAAATGAATGACCTTCTCATGCTTTATGTTCAAAGGCTGAAGAAACGAATAATGCTATTAATCAGAATAGGACAGTCAGGTCACTCAAGAGTCCAACATCACTTGATAATAGATGTAGAATGTGTTGTCTGATTTGAGTTGGCAGACACTATACATCTTAACAGAGTCTAACTCTTTGGAATGGGAGGAAAAACTGTACAGCCATTTTTAAGACATATTTTACAAATTTCAGGTATGAAACATAAGAATTAGTCTTTAAAAATTATTTTATCAAAAAGAAAATAAACAAACATTTACTATATAGAACCAAACCATAAGCTATTTCTATATGATAAAAACATCAGTCAGAATATGAAACACTGCATTTATAATAAGAGTCGAATTATTCGACCAAAAGCCAGACAGGGAAAGACTTGGAACTATATCTTTTAGAATAGAGACTAATCAAGAGTGAGAGACTGCTTAAAAACATTTAGAGTCTTCACCCAGAAAAGTAACTGAGAAACTTAACTGTGTGAGATGAAAAGAAGGATGAAAAGAATTATGTAAAAATAGATGGATACCGAATGGATATTATCTAAGTACTTTTAACTAATACATAATGTTAAAAATATTTATTTTATGTAAATATAGAGTTTAATTTTATTTATACAATTTTACTGAAAATGTGGAAGGCCATTATGAAATAATAATGACTATAAAATATTATTTAAATTAATTGTACTTTAATAATGTAGATGTTAGAAAGGTTATATAACTTTCCCAATTTGCCCAAATGTTAAATGGTGGATCAAGGATTTAAACACTGAAATTTGACCCTAAAACCTGGGCTCATAATTACCAGATTAATTACTACAAGTCTTTCTCTGTATAGCCATTTTTAAAAAAATTTGGTCAAACATCTAATTATGTACACAGTGCATGATACGGATTGGCTGTGTCCCCACCCAAATCTCAACTTGTATTGTATCTCCCAGAATTCCCACTTGTTGTGGGATGGACCCAGCGGGAGGAAATTGAATCATGTGGTCACTTCTTTCCTGTGCCATTATGATAGTGAATAAGTCTCACCTGATCTGATGGGTTTATCAGCGTTTCCGCTTTTGCTTCTTCCTCATTTTCTCCTGTTGCCGCTATGTAAGAAGTGCTTTTTGCCTCCCACCATGTCTCTGAGGCCTCTCCAGCCATGTGGAACTGTAAGTCCAATTAAACCTCTTTTTCTTCTCAGTCTGGGGTATGTCTTTATCAGGAGCATGAAAACGGACTCATACAGTGCACAAGTGTCTACCAAGCTGTAGAAGATTTACAAGAGAGTAATTAATTCACCTTATTTGGACCACTTCATATCCTCAATCTTAATCCAGAAACCATCACATGTATGTCTTTTGCCAAGTCAATTTTCTATTATACAGTTATGGGACATGGTAAGCCTGCAGCATATATAAGAAAGTAATTATATAACATTTTATGTACCTTATCTAGAAAGCAACTTTGCTTTTGTTCTGAGAGAAGAAAACTATAGCTTTTTCTTTTTTTATATGGCAAATAGCGAATCAGCAAATGCCATACTTGTTAGTTGAAGAAACTTAAATATCTAAATCTCTTCTATGACATACTTTGGATATTTCTCATGTTAAACAATGCATATTTCTATTGAGTGACAGGAAAAAAAATGACACAGAGCCTGGGAACAAAGTAATATTATTTAAAAAATCAAGTTCTGTGGTTTCTTAATGATCATCTAGTTTATTTTAAGTTACTACACTGGACCTAAACTAAACTAATTAATGAGCACAAACGTTAGGATTGCTGTTACTTGAAGCTGTGTATGGAAGAATCTATAAATCCCTTTTCCTAATGTCTGGTTTGTTAGCAGCCACTGTCATATCAGTAAAAAGCACCAAGAAGTATTTAATTACGTGGCTACTTCTGGACATTGGAAATGATACAAAGTTTGACTGTGGCTAGTACTCTATAATGAAAGTATTAGCATCTTTCCGCAGTGACATAAAAGCAGCCATGGTTTTAGCAACCCTTAGATCTCTACTTAGGCATTGCCTATTCCTGCAATTAGGGAACAAGTTATTCTGCCTGTGCTGATAGATTCCTCATGCTAAATGAATGTCTGGTACTTTAGGGAAGGGAAATCAGGAAAAATATTAATCTAAAAGCACACACTCTCACTTTCACATGTAATTCTGATACTGACCATGCCATTAACCTTTATATGGTCTGGGTGTTTAGGTGCTTCATATATTAAGCCCCAGGGTGAGAATATTAGGAGGTGGGACCTTTGGGAGGTGATTAGGTTATCAGGGCAGAGCCTTCATGAATGGGGTTAGTACCCTTATAAAAGTGGCCCGAGAGACCTCTCTCATCCCTTTGGTCATGTGAGGCTAGAGTAAGAAGATGACTGTCTAAGAGGAAGTTTAGCCTCATCAGACACTGAGTCTGATAGCACCTTAATCTTGGACTTCCCAGCCTGCTTCCAGAACTGTAAGAAATAAAGTTTTGTTGTTTATAAGCTTTATAAAGCTGCCAACATTATGGTATTTTGTTATATCAGACCAAATGGACAAAATAAATCCCACCAGAGAACTTTAAACCATATCTTAAACAAAGCCCTAGTATAACTCTCCCTAAATGTAAAGATAAAAGATAAAATGTTAAAACATATGAGATCCTATTTGTCATATAACCCTAATGTGAGTTACAGAATATGCAGTCAAAATATGTTAGAGACATTGAAAGACCATTGTTTAACCACTATGAATATATACAAAATCTTCATTATAAAAAATATTAACAATTTAATGGCTTTGTTGAAACCTAAAAAGACTTATGTGTACACACACACACACAGTTTCACTAAATTAATTTAAAACTAGTGCTAATTACTGAAAATATCAAAACCATAAATGAATGAATGCATGTTGAAAGCATTTTCATAAGTAATTATAACAATATTATTTAATCTTCTAGGATATTGGAAATATCCTAGATATTTCCTATGGATCTATGATATCATAGATCCTTGAGCTTAATTCATTTTGTGAAATATCTTGACTCCATAAAGTGAAGAGTATCATTATCTCTATTAAGAGAAGAATAAAATAAAACAAAAATCAATTTAGTTGCATGAGGTTGACTATGTAATGTGAATCACAGAACCTTATGCAATTTAAGAACTAGAAAACCACTTGGAGAGCAATGAATGCCTATCAACTAATTCGAGGTGAATTCCTAGAGAAATAGCTGATGCCATTACCTAAAAGCCAATGAGTACATCACTGTGGTTCATACTTGTTTAGCCGGTCATATCAGTGGTTTTCAAATGTAGGTGTCCATCAGAATCACTTGGAGGGCTAATTAACACTGGACCCTACCCCAAAGTGTCTGATGGAGTAGATTCAGGACATCACCCGAGAATCTGGCGGTATTAAGTGTTTTCCTGGTGATAGTAATACTGCTGGCCAGAGGACAGCACTTTTATTTTTTCATTTTTTTCTTATTTTTTATTTTTATAGATACAGGAGATACATGTGCAGGTTTGTTATACGGATATATTGCCTAGTGGCGGGGTTTGGGTTTCTAGTGTATCTATCACTCAAATAGAAAATATTCTACCCAATAGGTAATTTTTTTAACCCTGACCCTCCTACCACCTTCCCCCCTTTTGGCAGCCCCAGTGTCTATTATTTCCTTCTGTATGTCCATATATACTCATTGTTTAGCTTTCACTTATAAGTGAGAACATTAAGTTTTTTATTTTCTGTTTCTGAGTTATTTCACTTAGGATAATAACCTGCAACTCCACCAATTTTGCTGCAAAAGACATTATTTTTATATAACTGTGTAGTATTCCAGGGTGTATATATACCACATTTTTAATCTAATCATTCACTTCTAGACACATAGGTTGACTTTACTGCTGTGAATCGTGCTGCAACAAATATGCAAGTGCAGATGTCTTTTTGGTATAACAATTTCTTTTCCTTTGAGTAGACGCCCAGAAGTGGGATTCCTGGGTCAAATAATAGTTCTATTTCTAGTTCTTTGTGAAATCTCCATACTGTTTTCCATAGATGTTGTACTAATTTATGATCTCAAAAAGAGTATATGAACATTACCTTTTCTTCACATCTGTTGTTTTTGACTTTTTAATAATAGCCATTCTGACTAGAGTGAGATTGTATCTCACTGTGTTTTTAATTTGCATTGCATTTCTCTGGTAATTAGTAGTGTTGATTTTTTTCATATGTTCGTGGGCCACTTGCATGTCTTTTTTAGAGAACTGTCTGTTCATGTTCTTTGCCCAGTTTTGAATGTAGTAATTTTCTTGTGTGTGTGTTGTTGTTGTTAAGTTCCTGTAGATTCTGATATTGGTCCTTTGTCATATGCATAGTTTGCAAATATCTTCTCCCATTCTGTAGGTTGTCGTTTACTCTGTTGGTTATTTCTTTTGCTGTGCAGAAGTTTTTAGTTAAAGTAAGTCTCATTTGTTTATTTTTTTTGTTTCAGTTGCATTTGCTTTTGAAGCCTTAGTCACAAGTTACTTGCCTAGGCCAATGTCCGGAAGAGTTTGTACTAGGTTCTCTTCTAGAATGTTTATAGTTTTGGGGCTTACATTTAAGTCTTTAATCAATTTTGAGTTAATTTTTGTATATGCTGATTTATAGGGATCCAGTTTCTTTCTTCGACATATCATTAGCCAGTTTGTCCAGCACCATTTATTGAAGGGGGAGTCCTTTTCCCATTGTGCATTTTTGTCAACTTTATCAAAGATCTGTTGGTTGTAGGCATGTGGCTTCATTTCTGATCAGTGCATCTATTTTTGTACAAGTCCCATGTTATTTTGATTACCATAGCCTTGTGGTATAATTTGAAGTTAGGTAATATGAGACCTCTAGCTTTGCTCTCTCTTTGCTTAGGTTTGCTTTGTCTATTCCGGCTCATTTTTGGTTCCATATTAATTTTAGAATTATTTTTCTAATTCTGTGGAAAACGACATTGGTAATTTGATAGGAGTTGCATTGGATCTCTGCATATTGCTTTTGGCAGTGTGGTCACTTTAATGATGTTTATACTTCCAATCCATTAACATGGGATGTTTTTCTGTTTTCTTTCCTTTCCTTTTCTTTTCTTTCTTTCTTTTTTTTTTTTTTTTAACAAGGTCATACACTGTTGCCCAGGCTGGAGTGCAGTGGCATGATCATGTCTCACTGCAGCCTCAACCTCTCAGGCTCAAATGCTCCAATCACCTCAGCATCCTGAGTAGCTAGAATCACAGGTATGTATCACCACACCTGGATAATTTTTAAAATTTTTAATAGAGATATCTCACTATGTAGAGGATGTCAGTACGTTGCTCAGGCTTGTCTCAGACTCTTGGGATCAAGCGATCCTCCTGCCTCAACCTTCCAACGTGTTGGGATTGCAGGCGTGAGCCTCATGCCTGGCATTTTTCCATTTGTTTGTGTCATCTATGATTTATTGTAGTGATTTGTAGTTCTTGTCCTAGGGATCTTTTGCCTCCTTGGTTAACTGTTTTCCTGGGTATTTTATTTTCGTGTGTGTCTATTGTAAATGTGATTATTGATTTAGTTTTCAGTCTGAACTTTATTGGCATATAGTAATGCTACTGTTATTTTGTTGTGTCTATTGTAAATGTGATTGGGTTATTGATTTAGTTTTCAGCTTGAACATTATTGGTATATAGAAATGCTACTGATTTTTGTACATTGTTTTCGTATCCTGAAACTTTACTGAAGTCATTTATAAAGTCTAAGAGTCTTTTGGAGAAGTCTTTGGGGTTTTCTAGATATAAGATTATGTCATCAGGGAAGAAAGATAATTTGACTTTCTCTTTCATAATGTGGTAGCTTTTATTTATTTGTCTTCCTTTATTCCTCTGGCTAGGCCTAAGGACTGCATTTTTAGGACCACTAGTCAAAATTATTCTCTTCAAATTTACAGGAGAGCAAAAAACACACAGAATTTGTTTAATATGCTAATCCCATAGCTTTTCCCCTGTACAGTCTCTTTTATTAAGTGTGGGTTATCCTACCAATTTATATATTTTTTCCAAACGCTCCTAGTGATTCTTATGATGAAATAAGATTTTAGAAACAAATCTAAATACCTGGATGGAGAAAAGGAGAATAATGAAATGATTCACCCTATTTATTACAACTCCATATACCTGAAGCCACTGAAGCACAGATGGTAACACTTTTACTGTGCTGACACCTTTACAAATTGGACCATCCTCATTTATCTCATAGGCTTGCATTTCTGTCATAGTAGGGCTGTGGATTATTATTTGAAATGCATGGATAAAAATTACTTAGGAATTCAGTCCTTGAACACTGAGCAATCAAAGCAACGGCTGTAACTATTACTCATCTTTGAAGACAGAAGGTTTATGTTTTGGAAAAGGATGATTAACTTTGATGTTTTTAATTAGAACTGTCTTTAGTCAATAAATTGGGATTTTTATCAAGAGAACACATATATTTCTTAGTGCAATTTTATTATAAGATACTCTTTAAATAAGCATTACCTACAATTGTTTAAATTATTTTCAGATTTCACACATCTTTCTCTATCAACAGAAAACCTTTAAAAATATTCTAATGCCATGCACCTGCATAGTCTCATTCATAAATATCAAGATTCTTATGTATTATTTTGCTTCCGATATGGATCGACATAAGTGTATGATGAACAATGTTCATTTTGAAAATAACTCAAAGTTCAAAAGTAAAACTCTACCTACATATTATGTAACATGAAAGCATATTTTATTTCTTCTTGATATGTGAGAACTGAATGCCAATTGAGGAAGAAATTACTGCCCCAAAACTCTCACAAAAATACAATAAGGTAGACGATTTAAAATTGATTTTAGAAGACTTATGGATCACAAACTAAAAGGAATAATGTACAGTGTCACTAAATATTTCCTCTATCAAAAAGCTTAAAATATATATTATTTATATTTCCTCTTAGAGAAACTGCTGAACTTCATGATTCTAACAGCTGCTGTGTAATTCTTGTATTTTTGTCATTCCTAAACTTCATAATCTGCAGTGCCTAAGGCAATATCAACGTGGACAAATGGCAAATCTAATTAGATATGACTCTAATACAATGTTGCACAAGGTAAACTGAGTGTATTTTCTGTGTAAATGTAATATTTCCACAGCTCCTACAAGAATAAGTAGGCCCCAATATAATATAATACAATTTTTCTATGAAACAAGTGTGAGTTTCTGAAGGAATTTTTCATAATTCTCAGGAATGTCATTAGAGTCAGCAAACAGTTTCAAATAAGGGTGAATATCCATTTCAAGTAAAATAGCAGAATTGCAAAACTAGAGAAAAAACTCCGAAAAGCCCATAAATTTAACAATATAACCTAGAGCAGTTTAAATACAAGATATTTTATCTACATGTGAATGTTTCAGACATAGCAGAGGTTTATTTATTGATATTTTAAAACCAATAGAAACATGGCAAAAATGCTTACATGTAAAATTAATGCATCTGAGAATGTGACCTCTAATAAATTAGAACAAAACTATGAATAAAAATAAAAAGTTAAATATTTGGATGAATAATATTACTAAGCACCTAAAACATAACCCTTGATATACTAAATCTTATTTGTTATTTTGATAGATTTTCACTAAAACACAAGAGTTTTGTTGCCTACATAAACAGTATATAATGAACGCCATTCATATCTTTAAGAATGTTTCATTATGACCATTTTGTAGACATGTTAAGAATGTTTCTCTGGACAGAGTATACAAGACTAGTATAGTCTAGGATTAAGTGAGAAAATAACTTAGAGTAATTGAATTAAAATTTATCTTCAGCCATAATGGAGTTTTTGGCACTGAAAACTGGACAAAATATATTAAAATATATTAAATTTTTACTCAAACAGAATAGAACTGCAATGCCTCAGAATAGAGAAACTCACAAAGTGATGGCCATGATTAGTCTGTTTTCTGCCTAGGGACAAACTGCAACACAGAGAGGTGGAACCTGAGCACAGAATGGTGGTTAGACTAAGCTCGGGAGGCAAAAATCAAAATTACAGGATAGCTGTAGATTTGGGGTATTTTTCCTTCACATAAGGAATAATTAGGACATTTTATACATCATCTGCTGATATCCTACACAACTAATATTTTTGGAAATTTACAGTGGAAAATGCTGGTATGTGATCATCTTTCTGGTTGGATTGTAATTTCACAGGATGCCCCATTGTTAAGCAGAGGGGCTTCTCTATTGTCCTCTAAGGAGCAATTTCCTCCTCTGTGTATGGAAGTCTGTGTCTGCTTTGAATGCCACTGCATCTTCTGTTATCATAATTAGTAGTCCTCTCCCAAACTCAGATTAATCAAGTTCAAATTATCTCTATTTTTGGATCTCTAAGAATGGGCTACTTGTATTATTACCAATTTTCTCCTATTTATTGATAATTCTTATTATTTTTGAACTGATCTGAGACTGGAAATTTGTGAACTTCTGAACATTTTTAATTGCACAATCAGCCACTGTTTACCATGGCTATCCTCCTAAACCTGCCTTAATTCCAGGGTATATGTCTAATGGCACACCCTTTTATTTGTGTAACTTGACAAAAATAGCATATCTGAGTCAAGAATCCCAAGATTTTACAACTCTTTCTCTTAGCTACTTTATTTATTTATTTTTACTAATACTGTATGCTTCATGAATATTTTCCATATAAATTAATCATGGACACCAGATTTAACACAGGCCCTTCTGTTTTCATTTTCTATTACTTCCCTATTTTACTTTTATTCCTCTCATTATTCATTCCTTCTGTTTAAGTTTGAGATGGTCATTTTTGAAATAGATTTTACTTATGTGTAATAGATAAAGATTAGTTCTTTGCTAAGTGATTGATAGAGAGAATGGCAATGATTAACCTTGGAAACCACTCAGTCTAGGAAGGAGATATTCCTGATTGTGGCCATGAGGTATGAATGGAATCCAGAAGTGTCTGTTGTCATTACAGAGCTTGTGAGAGGTATAAACATGCTACACATCCACAACTCTTCCTCTTACTTCCCCTCTTACAACTGCTTCCTTCCATCTACTGTCATAGGTCCTCATCGCCCCATTGGAAATCTCCTTTAGCCCTTGAATCTTAAGTATGGCAGTGTTAAAAGTGAAAAACTACTCATTCAGATAGTTTTACAAGATAACTCAGAAGAAGGTGGATACATTCCAGAATGTCTTATAATAATGTAGTTATTAAGTCTAGTTATGAAACAGAGATATGAAAAATCAGTACAGCAACTAATAGCAACTGCTATTCAGTCAGAACCTCCTTCATACTAAAGTGCAAGATAGCTTCTACTCAAGGAAACTAGTTCTAAATAGTCTGGCACAAAATTGGATCAATTTTGTACGAAAGCTTTTTCATATTTTCTCTGTTTTGCATCAGCACTCTGACCATTAAAGTTCATGATATAATATTCTATAAAGCAAATTTCTATTTTGGAGTTTGCCTCAAAATTTCTAATTTTATTTTTAAGTCTATACTTATTCTGCTCCTGTTTTCCTTACTAAAACACACAGAACTGTACAAAGAGTTAGGGGCAAGAGTAAAATTATTTGGATCATCTCTGTCTTTCAGCCAATATTATTGTCCGTTGTTGGTAAAAGATGTAGGATATGGGTTGACATATGTTGGGATAGACCACAGGACTAATACATACCATTAAATAGAATAGGCTTAGCCAGAAACAGCCCTCAGAATTTGTTGGTCAGGGCACAATCAGTGATCCATAGTTTGGACACTGAAGGATTACAGAATATGACCAAAACATTAAAATAGGCCATCCATGAAGGGGAAATACAGAGAGAAGTGCTAACAAACGTGGATCAGAAACCTGAGCACCACCATGAAGCTCTTCTAATGGAGTAGCCTCGGAATGCAGAAACAAAAGGGAACTTAAAAAGAAAGAAAATGAAAAGGATGCAATTCCTCCCACATTCTTTGGCTCATGTGGTCTCTTTTCAGTCCTCTAGCTAGAAAGAGGAGACTTTCTTTTAGAGTTTTTGCTGAGTTCACCCCTGATGCAGTTCTGAGAATTGGCACCCCCTTTATGTCAAAATAGTAAGATAAAAGTGAGAAAAAGAGTTGTGATGCTCAAAACTTTATGGTTCATTATTTTATATTTCACTTTCTTCCATGATCTGCCTGTTGTCGGCTTTTCATAGTCCTCTGGTAGATGCTCTTCATGTTATGTTCTGATATTTTAGTTGTAATAACTGTGAGAAACAGGCTCTAGGGATCTTTCTCCTGGCAAGGCTGCCAATCCCAAGATGAATGTATCAAATATAATAGCATTTGCATAGACCAGCAACACAAATAATAATATAAACTCATTTTGGTTTAATGACTTAGGAAAAACTAAATGGAGAAAAATAAAACTAAATTTGGAAAGCATGCCTTATATAAATATGAACTCCAGATGAAATAAGACCTAATTGTGATTTACAAATCTGAAAATAGAATGAATAATAAGGGTGATATCATTGTGTCATAGGGTAGGAAAGTATTTCTATATACTCTGAAACTACAATCCCTAAACTAGCAACCAAAAAAAAAAAAAAGAATATATCAAAACTAAGAATTTTTTAAAAATAAAACAAAGCACATTATGGACAGAAATATCAGAAAGTAACACTTTGATAAAATACTCTTATTGTGTAAAACTGAGAATGAATGAGAATATACAAGGGACTCCTGAAAAGTAACTAGAAAAATACTGGAACCACAATAGACAGGCAAAGAATATAATAGACAAGTTTTAGAAGAGAAACCCCAGAATGCTAAAAATCATATCAAGAGATGGTGAAATCCTTTTATAATCAGAGCAAAGCAGAGTAAAATAATAATAGATTTTACTTACGCTTATTAGACTAGTAAAGATTAAAAATGTGATGAATTAAATAGTACGAATCTCCATGCACTGATGGAGCAGCTCTCCTGGAAAGTAACCTGGCAGTATTTATTTAAATTAAGAATATGCATGATTTATTTCGTTACTCAGTATGTATTTCAAAGTAATTCTAACACTGGTCCACAAAAGGACTCAGTATTCTATATGGCATTCTTTGTGACATTGGAAGTTGCAGTTAATCAGTCCACTTTCAGAAGAGTATATGAGGTATACATAGAATATATGAAAAATGACTTATGAGGTGATTGAAAGAAATGTATTCAATGTACTTCAATCATATGATATGATTGAAGCGTAGAAATATATTTGAGAAAAAATAAGGTATATGTTTTACACATACATCTAAATATATATATAATATATATAAAAAACCATATACACAAATTTGAAATTTAACACATTTCAAAATAACACACATAAAGTAAAATATTCAACATATTAGAACTATTGCCATTGGGCTCATGAGGAGCATGGGAAAGGAAGTGACACAGAATAAATAAATACATCCAGAAATATCTTAATAACAAAAGCTACACATCATTTTATGGTTTCTCTTGCATTCTGAAACATAATTAGCTCAACCTTCAATACTGAAGATTTATAAATGCACAACAACAAACACACTTGTCATATGAATGTATAGTATTTTGGAGGAGAGAGGGTAATAATAGATGTTTACTTGACTTAGGGAACTCCTGTTAATCTTTCCTAGAGCATCTTTGATCTGTGTTTTGGATAAAAGAAAAAAATATCATTGATGTGAGAAAATTTTCCAAAAAGAAATGTCTGAATGAATGATATAGTAGTTTTATTTCTTTTTTTGTAGCCTCTCCATATTATAGCATAAATTGATGCTGGTGTAATGCTGGTTGGACCAGGTGAATAAGAAATAGCAACAATTCTAGATGTATTGGTAAGTCATTTGTTTGAAGGAAGGTGGGAAATAAATCCAACAAGGGTTCAGAGACTTGCCACCATAGAAGCTTTCTGTAGATCCAGTGGTGAGGGGCTTGTGGAGATACCTTTCCTATGTGAGGAAGGAATTATTTTTCTCTTTTTTCTTGCCTTTCTGTGGGCTAGTGAACATTTGCTGGGGGTCAGTCTTGGTTTATTAGCAGTATTTTTGACTGTATCTCTTTGTATACTTCCCATCACAGTTGCTTTGTATATCATTCACAGGTGACTTATAACATTCTATCAGTAACATTTACCATGTCAAGTGGAATGTGGAGACTTAATTTCTATTTAGGTACCTTTATTTTTCCTGAGACACTACTACTATCTCAGATAGTGTTAAAAATCTTTGTTTCAATCATCAAATACAATTATAAAACTAAAGAGGAAAATATAGTGTGTTATATGTATTCATATTTCCAAACTTTCTATCATCTTTTTTCCTTCCTTGATGTTCTAAGTTAACTTTTGTATCATATCATTCCTGAATGAAGAGCATTCTTTAGCCAATCATTAAAATCGGACTCCCAGGGACAAATTATTTTAGCTTTCCTTAACCATAGAATGTAATTGCCACCTATGATAAGCCCATGGCCAATATGAGACTCAACAGTGAAAAACGAAAAGCTTCTTCTAACATCGAAAACAAAACCAGAATGCCCACTTTCTCTACTTCTATTCACTCAGGTACTGGAAGTCATAGTGAGAGCAATTTGGCAAGAAAAATAAAAGGCATCCAAAGTGGAAAGAAAGCAACAAAATTATCTGTTTGCAGATGACATAAACATATAGTAAAAATCCTTAAAACTCCACAAAAAACTTAGAATAAACAAATTTAGTAAATTTTCAGGATGCAAAATAAACATACAAAGTCAGTTGTATTTTTATATGCTAACAATGAAGTACCAGAAAATGAGATATTAAAAATTCCATTTACAATAGCATCAAAAAGAACAATATACTTAGGAATAAACTTAACCAAGGAGAAGAAAGACTTGTTCATTAGTTTATTTTTTATCACTTCTATTTTTCTGTTAAGGTTTTCTAATTTTTTCATTTATTTCAAGAAAACATGCAATTGAATTTTGAAGCATTTTTATGATGACTGCTTTAAAGTTGTGGTCAGATAATTCCAATATCTGATTTGTCTTCTTGTGTTAGTTGATTTCCTTTTCTCATTTAAACTGTAATGTTTTTGATTACTAGATATCATAAGTGATTGCTTATTGTGTCCTAGACATGTTTTTGATTATGTTTAGAGACTCTGGATCCTATTTAAACATTTTATTTTGGGGAGAAGTCACACCTTTTAGGTTAGTATGTAGGTATTGGCCTGCTTTGCTCTGATGTATTTCCAATGGCAGGTTTATTTTTACTATTTGCAATGTTACTTTGGTCTGCTTGGTTTATCTGGTGCTGCCGATGCTCTTGCTGGTACTGCTGATACTGCCTGGGAAGGTAGAATGCATTTCCCCTGATCAGGCTGCTTGGTGACTCTAGGTAGGAAGGGGTGTGGAGAGGTCCCATTATCAGTGCCCTCTGACTTCACCATGTCCCTGGGCATGTGAAGAGGCTCTCGTGCCCTTGGGGAAAAAAAAAAAAAAAAAAACAGGTTGTCTGGGTCGTGCTGTTATTTACTGTTGAGTCTCATTTATCTTTTGCCTATTCCACTAACTTGTTAGGTATTTCTAGGAGGGTGAGGAGTTTCTCGAGCACACAGGGTGAAGAGGCTTCCTGGACTGGGCCATTTGTTGTAACTGGATCCCTTTTTCTAGTTCCAAAAGACTTCTCAGTATTTTTGGATGAGGGAGGAGAGTCTTGGAACATAAGGGTGAATAAACCCACACCCACAGTTATAGGAAATCCAATGAAGGCTAAGTAAAAAACATGAAGAAAACTATACCTAGTCTCATAAAAATAACTCCCTCAAAATCAAGGAGAAAATTTTAAAATGTGAAAAACTGGCTCTATTAGTTTTCCAGGGTTGCATTAATGAAGTACCACAGTCTGGGTGACTTAAACAATAGAAACTAATTTTTTCATAGTTCTGAAAAA
The DNA here is from genome assembly GCF_000001405.40 of Homo sapiens. NCBI lineage: Eukaryota > Metazoa > Chordata > Mammalia > Primates > Hominidae > Homo > Homo sapiens. The sequence continues at coordinate 194,180,448 of NC_000001.11, forward strand.
TAAAAGTCTGAGTTCAAGGTGTCAGCAGAAGTGATTTCATTCTGAGGCCCTTTTCCTTGGCCTATAGATGGCTGTCTTCTCTCTGTCTTCACATGGCCCTGTCTGTGTATTTCTGCTCCCAAATTTCTTCTTATAAGGATATCAGTCATACTGGATTAGAACCCATCGTGATGACCTCATTTAACCTTAATTAGTTCTTTAAAGATACTCCCTCCAAATACAGTCATCTTTTTAGGTACTGGGACCTAAAATATCAACATATGAATTTTTAAGACGCAATTCAACACATACACAAGGAGAACACAATCCAAAGGCAAAGGACATGTTATACAGAAAGGGAAAAAAGGCAGAGGGAGATATCACTTGTCAGAAACAAGGTAAGCAAGGATGTAGAGGAGAAGCACTGGAGAAGCACCCTTAAAAAACTGAAAGCACAAAGACAAAACAAAAACCATCACCACAAAATTCTATGCCTACCACAAGTATCATTTACAATTGAAACAACAGAAATTTTTTTTTTCAGAAATAAAAGAACTGAAATAATTTATCACCAGGAGATCCACATTAAGAAATGCTAACATCTTTCAGGCTGAAGAAAAATAATGAAAGATGGAAGTTTTGATATATATATAATGAAGTAGAGTGAACCAGAATGACATAATAAGATATATATATATATACACACAAACACACATATGCATATGAGTTTATCATATAATTTAAATCTTTTTAAAAATTAACTGCAGGCTGAAGAAAATATATTCTGGGATTTATAACAAATTAAAAAGTAAAGGTATTGCAGTAATAGCAATAGTGACAGGAGACAGACAAATTCCTAGGCAGACAGGGACAGGTCCCTGGTGAAACCTGACCTTCGAGCCAAAGACAGCCTGAAGCCTAAAATCCTAACTGCCAGTTCTGGATAGAGTCCATGACTGGAGTGAGAACTTCCATTCCTGCCTTACCCTCTCTTTCTCGATTTGTTTCTTCTGGATGATGCCTTTTATCCAAATGAATGGTGCTTTTTCCAAAGACTGCCCATGGACCAATCAGCATTCATTTCCCCATTGTAAGCTCATAAAAACCCTGGACTCAACCACACAGACTGCTACCCACTTTTGTGTCCCCTCTCACCACTGAGAGTGTTCCTTCTGTTGCTCAATAAAATTCTTCTCTGCCTTACTCACTCTCTGGTGTCCACACACCTTATTCCTCTTGGTTGTAGGACACAAACCTGAAACCTGCCGAGCTATGGGCAGTGGGAATGAAAGAGAGCTGTTAACATGCTCCTGTCCACCAGCCTATGGGAGATAGAGAGCTGTAACATGCTATCATTCACTGAAATACAGGAGAAAGATTGCTGTAGCATGTTCCTGCTCACTGAGCTATAGAAGTGAGGAACGGTGACATCTCTTGGGGGCTCAGACCTCAGGACTCCCCAAGCAGAAGCTGCAACATTCCTCGGGGCTTTGCAATTGCTGGCATCTCCAAGTTTTTAGGCACCACCAGGCTCCTCTTGTCTAGACACCAGTGCCCAATGCAGAAGCTGCTTGTAGCATGCCCGGTCCAGCTGTGGGCTGAGTACCAAGCCACTGAAGGTGCAAGATCTGAGCAAGTGCAAGCTCAGTTCAGCCTGCTGGGCTGAGCAGGCAGAGCGAACCCAGCCACAGAGATTTCCGGCTGGTGAAGCAGCACCAAAGGAATCCTGTAACAATAACATAAAGGTGGACAGGAGGAGAAATGGAAATATGAGTTTGTTTACTATAGGTAAATATAGACTTACCATATGATCCAGATATTTCACCTCTAGGTATTTATCCAAGATAAACAAAAACATATGTTATAAAAAGATCTGTACATGAACATGTATGTTCATATCATCTTTATTTGTAGTAGGATAAAACAATACCTAGAAACAACCCAAATGTCCAACAAAATATGAATGAATATAGCAATACAATGGAATACTACTCAACAATAAAAAATAATTAACTATGGATTTATAAGATGCCACAGACGAATCTCAATGTTTCAAAATAATTAAGGGGAGTAAAATAATTGAGCTACAATCATAATCTCTAATTGCATTCATATAAAAGTCTGGAAAATCCAAACCAATATATAGTGAAGAAAAGCTGACAGTGGTTGGAAAAAGGGATGGGTAAAGGCTGAAAGGAGGAATTAAATAGGCAAGATAAAACTTCCATGGGCAATGGATATATTTGGCAATGGATAATAGTTTCATGGACATATGCCAAAAGGCATAAATCCAGCACTTTAAATAAGTAGAGCTCATAAAACCATAGTAATTTGCTTTCAAAAAAAAATGGAGCCTTATTTACCCACAATTGTCACTTGTACCAAATCAGCATATTTAAATATTATTTTTAAAATAATCTCAGCCTCTGATAAGTTTACAAATTCTTAATCACAAGCATCTGTGTACAGGTATTTAGGTGGATAATGCAGCTGATATGATATATTTATTAAGCCCAGTGAGCAATGTTAACAACAATTATACTCTTCATTTTAATAGAATGTTTATGTTTGATGTTTAAATAATTTCATTATCAAGATGAATAATAGGATTGACTTTGACAACTTTCTTAATTACTGATTTTGACAGGAAGCCAACGCTAATTAGAATTTCATTTTTTAAAAATGAATACATTGTTTGTAATGAGCCAAACATCTCTCAATTAAATCAGAGTTCTAATATTGCCCAAGTTGTCATTTTAATTACAGCATAATATATGTAGAGAATAAGTATGTATTTTAATTTTAAAATGTGACTTTTAAATGAACTAATTTATAGATGAATTTTTGGTAGTCTACTGCAATTTCTGCTATATGTGATAGAGATATAAAAATCATTTTAGCATTTAAATTTCTAAAAATTAAACTTTTCTAATTGTATTTGAAATAAAAAAGTTTTTCTTCCTATGGGAATAGGACATTACAATATGCACTACAAAAACCAAAAGCTTTTGTTGTGATCCTCTACGTCTGACCCGTGGGTCACAAGTTGACAATGTTTCCAATTTTCACCCCTCCTCCTGCCAACCTGTAGACCCTAGGGTTCCTAGTTCATTTCAAATGGTTGAGTCTGGGCTTCATTTTTGAAGGAACTACTCATTTCAATCTGTTCTCTTCATCCATGCCAACAGTTAGTTGACATTTCCTCATGATGAAACTGAGAATCAGAGTAGCTCTTCTTGGGGGCCTCCAACAATTGTAAATAACCCTTTCTTTCCAGGAGTCCCTTTGTGTGCCATTGGGATTATATTTCTTATATTCGAAGCTGGGTATTAAGTTGCCTCCCCACCAAAAAACAGTGACTTTCACCTTAGGGTTGGTTGTAAGACTCCTTCTAGTGTTTAAGGAAATACTGTGTTAGTTCTGGAAGCTATCCGGATTAGGCAGTGTTGGAATTGTCCTTGTTGTTGCCCATGGTGGTATCTAGGCGATCTTTAATGTAACCCGCTGTACCTGTATTAATGCTTTGGACTTGGTAGAAAAGTTAATACAAAAACTACAGTAGAATGCCACCTGACTTTCTAAGGTAGACACTGTTAGCTTTATGGGGTTTATTCAACTGGGAATATGGAGGACAGTGCTGAAGTCAATAATTAATTTGGCTGTTAGGGGGTTCTGTTAATAGTAGCTTTAGTTAAATGCTGCATAACACAAATTAAACTGATTTAGCCCTAGCCCCTGGCAGTCATATTAATCAGAGTCAAAGAGGCAGGCAGATGGCACACTTGTGAGAAAATTCATCAGTAGTTAAATGGTATAGAAATGAGTGTCGGGTATTAATGGGAGACAATTTTCTATGAGTCTTTTTCATTTGTGCATGACTTTATCATACTGTGTTTTTGGACCGTCTTTTCAGTTATATTTGTATGGTAAACAGCACTGGAAGATACAGTGGCTCATTCCAGGATGGAGGATGCATGGATTTCCTGAGAAGTTTAATAAAGATATGTCATTCCAAGGCAAAGATTAGGTGGTTTGCAAGCACCCTGATTTGAAAGATTGGTGGTTTTTCATACTGTGCCCTGAGTAATAAAGTTCCTTATAAGTGACCTAGGAGTCTCATGTTCTTTGCCAGAATTATGAAACTTTGTCAGGGTAACTATTTATTTTGCAAGCAGGGTAAAAATTTCAGACATTTTACATTTCTTAGCAACCTTCCCACAGTGTGTAATCAAAGCATTAATTCCTGAGGCCAGATTGGTGATTCTTTACACAAGGAAACAAAAGTGACTGGAAAGCAGTCATAGCTACTTATGTTTAATTGTACATTTGTTGTGTCAGGCCATGGAAACACTAACCCCTGTGGATCCAGAGTGTTTTTCACAAATCCATAGTTCTTGATATGTTTGACGTTTTCATTTCCTGTGTATACAGTCACTCTAACAAATAGCCATAATTCCCTGGGGGAAGGATGCAGGGAATCATCACAGTGTTTGTTTACCATGACTTTGTAGGTCCTTTTCTCTGGGGACCTGGTCATCTTTTGAGTCAATCAATTTAAGGTATGAAAACTCAGATCTGAATTGGCACAAAGCTTCTGATTTAAATTGAGGTGTCTATCAATTGTACAGTCTCTTCCTTTATATAGATTAAGCAAACCCTTTGCCAATTTCTTCTCTATCTTGTCTCTATGGAAACCATATTACACTTACCATCCCTGGATATCTCTAAAGGTTAGTCACCTGCCTGTGACTAAGATCTTGCTATTCCTTGCAACAGTTGCAGACAGCTTGCTTCTGATGGTTAAGCACTATCATTATCACCTCCTTTATGTCATGCCCTTTGCTATCTGGATGGTCACTTCTGTATTACTATCTCCTTCCAAGTTGCCTGCAGACAACATCCTCCACTTCTCAATTAATTCCAGTACCTTTCTCACCCAGGTATCTCCTACCAACTATGATTTGTCTTCAGTAAACCATAGTCAGTTGGTAGGCTCTTGATATTACATGGTATCCACTAAAACATGTTCAGTTTTGTATGGCTTTTTTTGAATATTTCTTCAACTTGCCACAATAGTTCTATTATTTCTGTTTGCTTAGGGTGGATCATTACTTTCTCTAAGCTTCACAGGGATTTGCTAGCAGCATAATGATGCTATCTTCTGGCATCCTTATCAGGATGTTTATTTTCTTATCACAGGAGATTTCTTCCATGTTTATAAAATTCACCAAATTTTATGTTCTGCCCTTCTTGTTCTAGCTCTTACCAGATCCATTCTCTCCCAGCTCATACAAGTGCATGTGGACTTACTCCTACAGATCTTTAACGATATAGTATCATTCCTCCTTCAGGTAACACAGCAATTTATTTATCAAGTTACGTTGTGAACAATCCTATTTTGTTGATCTTCTGGCCATGAGGGGGAGCAGAGACTTATGCTGTGGGAGGCATGCTGTCTTGAGAGACAGAGGAGTGGGCTGCTTCTGAAGATCCTATGAGGGAAACAAGTCTAGGTTTTCAAAATTTTCTAGTGCATCTACCCAAGTTTCTCAAGTTCATGTCTCAGGATCCCAGTCCTTCCAAATCAAAACCCTTACAATGGGATAAGCAGACTTGCTGTGTTTGAAAGTTTAATCTTATCTTTCTCTCCATTGCTCTGAAGGTAGATTGTGATAGAATGTGCAGGTCTTATGTTAACCTGGAATTAAAGAGATACAATTTAAAATAGGGGCAGGAGATACAAGTCAGTGTCTCTCCACACACTAATAGGAACTGTGGGAGATGGAGTTTGAGCATAGGCTTCTGAGGGAGGTGTCGGGTAATTAGATTCCAAGATGAATAGGGTTATAGCAAATAAATTTGGCTCATCTCCAGATATTGTAGATGTAAAATTTAAGCAGGTGGGAGCAGAGCTTATTTAGATTTTATTAGTAATTTGAGGAAGAGGGAAATACTTCAGTGTCACTGATGGAGGCCAAATTGTCAGAGACTGGGCTAGTCATTCTAGCAATTTGTTCCAAAATAAAGAGAAACAGTGAGATACAATTAGAGCACCAGCCAGTTTCCAAACATTGGACCAGCAGGAACAAAGCAGGAGCTCTTCTATTTCTTTGTGGCTCCATTCTTCTTTTCTTCCCTTACTGCCTGCAGATCTTTTTTTTTCTTTCTTTCTCTTTTTTCTCTTTTAGCTTCTTTGTTTCTGCAGTATGCTTTGATGGATAAAACATTTAGTTCACAAGATATATAGAATAAAAAAAGGATAGCTACATTACATAGAAATTAGGAGTGATTAATATTGGTCGGGTGAGGAATTAAAAACCATTATCGCTAATTCCTACAGAGCTTCAATTTAGAAAACTGAATTTTTGTTGTTGTTGTTGTATCCAGATGGTATCGCATTGGTATGGGGAGAAGAATAGATTAGGCTGCAAGTGCCTAGCTGAACACCTATGAAAAACTGATGTCGGGCAAAAGTAGAACCGAGGTTAATAATCATTCACTTACTAACATGGAAAAATCTGCTCCACATCAAGGAGAATGATGGCTATGAATATTTTTACTGAAATATATTATCAGTAGAAGAAAGTGGATATGGACAATAGAAGAAGATATATGTGAGAGAATGCCAGAGACTCTAAAGGAACAATAATTTAATTTATTGTTTACTTATTAACATATTTAAGATAATTCAATGGAATTAATTCCTTATTTGATCAAGAGGAGGATGTGAATAACAATGCTTTAAGATGAAAGAGATGTATGTTTAAACAATATTAGCAATTAAACAAAATGTTCATATTAAAACCAATAGAGTTAGAAGTATATTTCCTTTATTCTTTTATTGACTTTCCCTCAGGAATAAAGTAAGAACCATAAAGTCAGTAATTGCATGAACATTTCCATTTAATATCATAGGGGCTGTTGAATTCTCAGCAACTGGATTACCTTTCTGAAACTTGGAGAATAATATGGATATAAAGATGACTGTTTTCTCCTTATTGAGTATACACAAACTAACAATGTATTACTAATTTAGATGACTAGTCTCATAAAACAATTTCCTTTAAACTTTTTTTGTAGTCAAAGCATTTCCAAATAATAGGATCTTAGAATCTGATACAAATTTAGAAAAAGACTGTATGACATTTTAGAAAAATTATAAACTTTCAGAAATAAGTCAGAGTCAATTATTTTATTTGGGAAGATAGCATCTTATTACAGAAGGAAATGAAAATTTCACATTATGGAAACAAAGAAACTAACTCAAAAAGGATGCATGTCATGCACTATTATCAATAATAAGTCTCTGGCAAATGCCTATATATAGAACCTAGTCTTGATGATGGAATTACAAATATACGAACCTCTCTCTAGAGGGAATTAATGTAGACTTCTATAAAAGCAACATCTGCTCAGTTTCAAGAGCAGGGTGCCAGTGTGGCTGGATCACAGCCATCCAGAAGGACCGCAGATTATGAGGCCTGAGAAGAATCCTATGGCCAGAACATGTATGGCATTTTGGAACACAGTAAAGATTTCTGATTTTACCTGAACTGTAAAGATTGATTGTAGACATTGAAGAGTCACCACCAATCTGCATTTTGAAATGATTACTTAGACTGTTGTACTGATAATAGATTGTAGGGGAAATACACTGTAAAATGTAAAAAGGGAGACCAATATGGTAGCTACTACATAGTCAGAAAAGCGACAATGGTGGCTTGGATTAAGATAGGAACAGTGGAATTGTTGACAAGTGATCAGACCTGGCCTATATTCTAAAGGCAGATGACCAGATATTCTGTTGCATTATAAAAAAGAGCAGTTAGGATGCTTCCAAGATCTTTGTCCTGAGCAACTGTGTGATTGAGATTAACAAATAATGAAATAAAGAATTTGGGGATGGGGTAGGATGGGGTTGAGATATCAAGATTTCTGTTTTGGATGTGAATGCTTAGTGTAAAGATATATGAGCCTACAGCTTGGGGAAATATTAGAATGAGATAAAAATTTGGATTCAGCAAGATATATGTGATATTATAAGTAATAGGATTATGCCAATGATGGAAGCATTATTGATTCCAGGCAAATCACAGTATTTGAATGTAGTAGTGATGAGAATAATTTGTAAGACTAAGCTTTAGAGTGCTCTACCTTGAAAGGCTGGTCTGGAAGAGAGGATCCAGCAGAAATCACAGGAGGAAGCCACAGGAAGCCAACGCAAACCCCACAACTCTCTATTATATAGTATAGAAACTATTTTTGAGTGTCATTGAATAGACACTATTGAATAGTGTCTTTACCTTCACGTTTATTATAATGTTCATTATATATTCAACTGTTCACATTCTTAATATGTACATTAAAATATAAATTCTTTGATGGTATGGAGCATGTCTCTTTAGCTCACCACTTTATAGGGTCTCATTCCTACTCTAGTGTCCAGTATACCTAGGTACTAAAAAATAATTGTCCCCCTTTTTCACAACGGGTTTGCCGCCAGAACAGAGGTGTCATGAAAACTACCCCTAAAAGCCAAAATGGGAAAGGAAAAGACTCACATCAACATTGTCATCATCGGACACGTAGATTTGGGCAAGTTTACCACTACTGGCCATCTGATCTAAAAATGCAGTGGCATCGACAAAAGAATCATGGAGAAATTTGAGAAGGAGGCTGCTGAGATGGGAAAGGGCTCCTTCAAGTATGCCTGGGTCTTGGATAAACTGAATGCTGAGCATGAAGGTGGCATCACCATTGATATCTCCTTGTGGAAATTTGAGACAAGTAAGTACTATGTGACTATTATTGATGCCCCAGGACACAGAGTCTTCATCAAAAACATGATTACAGGGACATCTCAGGCTGACTCTGCTGTCCTGATTGTTGCTGCTGGTGTTGGTGAATTTGAAGGTAGCATCCCCAGGAATGGGCAGACACGAGAGCATGCCCTCTGGCTTACACACTGGGGGTGAAACAACTAATTGTTGGTGTTAACAAAATTGATTCCACTGAGCCACCCTACAGCTAGAAGAGATATGAGGCAATCAATTCAGCACCTTCATTAAGAAAATTGGCTACAACCCCAACACAATAGCATTTGTGCCAATTTCTGGTTGGAATGGTGACAACATGTTGGAGCCAACTGCTAACATACCTTGGTTCAAGGGATGGAAAGTCACCCGTAAGGATAGCAATGTCAGTGGAACCATGCTGCTTGAGGCTCTGGACTGCATCCTACCACCAAATCGTCCAACTAACAAGCTCTTGTGCCTGCCTCCCCAGGATGTCTACAAAATTGGTGGTATTGGTACTGTTCCTGTTGGCCGAGTGGAGACTGGTGTTCTCAAACCTGGTATAGTGGTCACCTTTGCTCCAGTCAATATTACAACTGAAGTAAAATCTGTCAAAATGCACCATGAAGCTTTGAGTGAAGCTTTTCCTGGGGACAGTGTGGGCTTCAGTGTCAACAATGTGTCTGTCAAGGACGTTTGTTGTGGCAATGTTGCTAGTGATAGCAAAAACGACCCACCAGTGGAAGCAGCTGGCTTCACTGCTCCGGTGATTATCCTGAACCATCCAGGCCAAATCAGCGCTGGCTGTGCCCCTGCACTGGATAGCCACATGGTTCACGTTGCATGCAAGTTTGCTGAGCTGAAGGAAAAGATTGATCGCCGTTCTGGTAAAAAGCTGGAAGATGGCCCTAAATTCTTGAAGTCTGGTGATGCTGCCATCATTGATGTGGTTCCTGGCAAGCACATTTGTGTTGAGAGTTTATCAGACTATCCACCTCTGGGTGGCTTTGCTGTTCATGATATGAGACAGGCAATTGCTGTGGGTGTGTGTCATCAAAGGAGTGGACAAGAAGGCTGCTGGAGATGGCAAAGTCACCTAGTCTGCCCAGAAGGCTAAATGAATATTATCCCTAATACCAGCCACCCCGGGTTTAATCAGTGGTGGAGGAATGGTATCAGGGCTGTTTGTTTAAACTGGCCATTTAAGTTTAATAGTAGAAGACTGGTTAATGATAACAATGCATCGTAAAATCTTCAGAAGGAAAGGAAAATGTTTTGAGTACCACTTTGATTCTCTTTTTTGCGTGTGGCAGTTTTAAGTTATTCGTTTTTAAAATCAGTATTTTTTTCTTTTTTTTAAATTATACTTTAAGTTCTGGGATACATGTGCAGAAAAGTGCAGGTTTTTTCCATAGGTATACACATATTTATTTATTTATTTATTTATTTTGAGATGGAGTCTCCCTCTGTCACCCAGGCTGGAGTGCAGTGACGCCATCTCGGCTCACCGCAAGCTCCGCCCCCTGGTTTCACGCCATTCTCCTGCCTCAGCCTCCCGAGTGGCTGGGACTACAGGTGCCCGCCACCACGCCTGGCTCATTTTTTGTATTTTTAAGTAGAGAGGGGGCTTCACTGTGTTAGCCAGGCTGGTCTCCATCTCCCGACCTTGTGATCTGCCTGCCTCAGCCTCCCACAGTGCTGGGATTACATGTGTGAGCCACCGCGCCCGGCCAGGTATGCACGTACTTTTAATGGAAACAGCTTGACCAAAAATCTGTCACAGAATTTTGAGACCCACTAAGAATGTTTAATGAGAAAAAAAATTATCCAATGATTAAATAAAATAAATAGTTAGTAGGGTTTTTCATAAACATATTTTTAAGTTTGTAATTTGAATGCTTTTAACATTTAACTTTTTTTTACAATGAATGTGAATATTTTTTGTTAAAATATTTGTTCACACCTCCATTGGTTTCTTCAGTTCCATGTATTTTTTGATATTTAAAATTTTATGTACATTTATTATTTTCCATATATTTTTATTTTGTCTTGCTGAATTGTGTTTATTTTAAAAATTTACACAAATAGCTGTTATATTGGGACTTTATAAGTATTCTCTTTTTCATAGAGTTTTAATTATTTTACATTTATATAATTAATGTTTCTGGAGTACATCCTGAAGATAAATGTGTTATGAGAAGAAAAATGTATTTTCTTTTTTCCTGTCAAAAAAAAAACCCCTATCACCTTTGATACTTCTTTCTTCCAAGGTATGTATGAGTTTGAGACCTCTGATAACATTTTCAGAGGAAAATTATTTCATAAAGGAATAGATTTGAAAGCATGTAACAATGTTATGAATCTTTGTGTTAGTGCCTAGGCTAAAAAGCTTCCAAAATAAAGATGCTTTTGTTGGTTGATGTTCATTGGTTTGTGGTTGTTTCAACTTAGATTGACAGTTGTATACTGTGTGTGTGTGTGTGTGTGTGTGTGTGTGTGTGTGTGTGTGTGTATACTATATATATATAATATGTATATAAATATACATTGTCATTATCCATTTTTGTTATTTTAATTTCAAGGATGCACATATCAAAATTAAGCAATATATTTTCAGAATATTTGGTATATGTAAAAGATAGTGGCAGAAAAATTATATTGATAATTTTAAAGCCATCTTTGTTCATTTTAGAGAAAATTAAACTGTATTCTGCTTTAAAATATATCCAGAAGTTTTCAACATTCAATGGAAGAACATATAATTAAATATGATTTAGACTGTTTTAAACAGTTAGTTTACAAGTATTGTTTATAAATTAATGATTCAATTTAATGTGAACATCCTTTGTGTCAGAGTTGGGACACTACAAAATTCAGTTTATAATAATTTATGCAGTGTACAAAAAACACAAGTCACCTTTGCTTATTAGTAGGTCATTTTTCACTTTTTTAGATGAGCAAGAATAGCTTTAATGGATTTCCAAAATGCATAGTAGTTAGAGAAGCAAATTAGGTCATAATAATAAATAAATGAAGATTCTGATACTCTTATGTTTTCAAAGGTACAGGTAACTCCTTATCCAGGGTTTTTAGGGGAAATGCAGCTGTTGATGAGCATTTTTTGGAAGATGTTATTACATAATTACCGCAATTATTAAAAGCCAAACAACCTAATAGTTAAGAGCCTAAAATCAACGATGAGATAGCCTTCATTCCGTTCCCAGTTCTGTCATTAGCTAGCCGCATAATTTGCAAAAATTACTGTGTCTCAGTTTCCTCAGCTTTACAGATAAGGAAATAATAGTATCAGTTGATAGTGTTGATGTTGGGATTTAATTATTTTGTATGAGGGCGTTTAAATAGAACTATATGAGATTTTGCTACTATTAAAATTGAAATCAAATATTGAAATAATTTATGAAGAAGAAAAAAGATGTATTCACATTTAGATTCCATTTGGAAGAAATAACAAATTTCCTTTAATTAATTGTTAGTATGACTAAAAATTTATTTCACAAAGTTGCTGAAAACAAACATTTGTTAGAGTCTACAGTGTCATAGTGTTTGCTTTTTAAAATGTTAAGATTAAATCATATTGTTACTTTATTTTTTTCTAATTAATATTTTATATGAAGTGTTCTTCTATTAAATGGGTTGATGTCACCATAAAATATGAATAGAATAGCTATCTTGTCATTTCTTTTTTTCCTTCCTTTTAGTTTTTAATGTTTATGGGTATATAGTAGATACATATATTTATGGGAAACATGGGGTATTTTGATAGCTATATACTGTGCAATAATCACATCATGATAAATGGGATATTCATCAACTCAAGCATTCATAATTTCTTAGTGTTACAAACATTCCCATGGTAGCCTCTCTGTTATTTTAAAGTGTACAACAAATTTAGCCACTGCTTTACTATCACTATAGCCACGCTGTTTTCGTATCAAACACTAGGTCTTATTCATTGTATCTAACTATATTTTTGTACCTATTAACCAAAACTCAAGCAGAGTCCTATAAATTTTTGTCCTATCCCAATCGATTTTTGAGTACTTTCTCATTTTTGCCATAGCAAGGTATTTCATGCTAATCTTTTATCATCCATGCTCTACCCCCTTGGAAGAGCAATTTCTTCAAGAAGCTTTATTTCCTTTAAGAAGAGAATAATATTTAGAAATCTAGATCTGCTATTTGTATTTTCTTTGCTACTGGGATGTCAATTTCTCTAGACCATCTCAGCAGACATGTAATTACATGTTTTTAAATGTTTTATTGACACATACTCTTTGTTCATATTTATGGGGCACGGGTGATATTTTGATACATGTAGAGAATGTGTAATCATCAAGTCAGGGTATTTAGGCTATTCATCACCTCCAGCATTTATCATAGTTTTGTGTTGTGAATATTTCAAATCCTCTCTTCTAGATTATTTTGAAATGTACAATATATTGTTGTTAACTTCAGTCACCCTACTGTGCTATTGAACATTAGAACTTATTCCTCCTATCTAATTATATATTTGTGCTCATTAGCCTGCCTCACTTCATCCCCCAAGCTTCCCCCCAACACACCCTTCCCAGATTCTGGTATCTATTGTTCTACTATCTACCTCTAAGAGATCAAATTGTTTAGCTCCCACACGTTAGAACATGTGATATTTGTCTTTCTGTGTCCTGTTTATTTCACTTAATACTATTTAAATATATGTATTAAACACCATAGATTACATATTAAAATTATCCAATAGTATGAAGATTCATTCCAGAAGTTTACTTTTTCCATATTTTTAATTTCTTTGTCCAACAATGAGAAACGTATCCCCCATTAGCTATAATATTTTTATTTAATATTATAATACAAATGAAATACATGATTCAGATTCTCTAACCCATACTACTATGAGAAATTAATCTGCTATCTAGACTTAAACGTAAGTTTACAGTTCTTTGATCGTTAACCTAAAGCACGAGTAATTTTCAAGCTACTGTATTACATTTGCTGATTTCTGTTGGTTAAGGCAAGGCAAATCCAATGTAAACGGGAAGGAAATTTCACAAGTGCATGGATACAGAGAAGTGTGATGCATTGAGTGGAGGTATTGCTGCAACAATCTAGCACAATGTGTTGCTGTACCCAGTGATTAACAACTCCTCATGGGGAATATATAGTCACCCCTTCCTAAGATACCTAAAGTTTTACTTAATCATGGCATCAGTCTCACCATACGTGATTTTGTGAGTACGTCAAGTCTGGATGTAGGTGAGGCACTTCTGAGGTAGCTACTTGATATGGTTTGGCTCTGTGTCCCTGCCCAAATCTCACATTGAATTGTAATCCCCACCTGTCAGGGCAGGGACCTGTGGGAGGTGACAGGATCATGGGGGTGGTTTCCCCTATGCTGTTCTCGTGATAGTGAGTGAATTCTCATGAAGTGTGTGGCAGTTTTTCCCCTCTCATTCTCTCTCTCTCCTGCTCCTTCTCGGTAAGACATGCCTTGTTTCCCTTTTGCCTTCTGCCATGGTTGTAAGTAAGTTTCCTGAGGCCTCTTCAGCCATGCGGAACTGTGAGTCAATTAAACCTCTTTTCTTTATAAATTATCCAGTCTCAGGTGGTTCTTTATAGCAGTATGAAAATGAACTAATACACTATTTATTCAATGACCCATGAAGTAAAAAGTCAAGTTATCCAGCCCACATATGCCCAAACAATGATCTCACTCTGTGGTAAGAAGGATTTTAAGATGGCCCGTAAGATTCCCACATCCTGGTATACATGCCCTAAATAATCCCCTCTCATTTCATGTAAATTGGACCTATGACTATGATGAACTATATCTCTTATGAATAAGTTATTCATCAATTAACTTTTAGTTAACTGAAAGGAATGTTACCCTGAGTGGATCTGGTCTAAACAGGTGAGACATTTAAATGACAGGGATGCATTGAAGAGACGCACTCCTGCTGGCATAGAAGGAAGCAAACTATATTTGTAAAGAAGACTATGTGGCAGGAAATTATAACTCACCTCTTGGAGTGAGGCCTTTCATTTTATGATATGAGAAACTGAATTCTGCCAACAAACAGTGATTGTGGAAGGGACAGCTGAGCCTCAGAAGAAACCCAAGCCCCAGCCAACACTTGAGTTTAGCCTGGTGAGACTGAGCAGAGGCCTCAGCTAGGTGGACACCCAGACTCCTAACCCATGGACAGTGTGAGAAAATAAATTGTTTTGTGTTAGGGCGATGGGTCTGTGGTAATTAGCCCAGCTTTCTCTGTCATTTTTTATTCTACCTTTGGGCCTTCCTTCATTTTTTATGACGCGGTTCATATTTTCAGGAAAGCAACCCTCTGAGTCTACAGTATGCATTTCAAAAGTGGGGCCAGAGGCCTCATTTAATTTGAATTTCCTCCGTCCCTTAGAGTCCAAGCTGGAAGGAGTTTTAGTATGACATTTATTTAAATAACTTTGTTTTTTCAGTGAATTTGGGGAGGATTCATTCTATGCTCCAAAAGTCACATCCATAATTCATTTTATGACAAACTTCTCTCCTTTAAGAGTGTCAGTTTAATGTGTGACAATATTCATATGATTTTTTAGGAGCCAGTTTGTTAAGCTGGGAAGATCTATCAGGCATAGCCTTAAATGGTTTTGAGGTTTGAAGAAAAGGCCTTACTCTGACATCCTTGCTTTAACCTTTAGCTTGAGACTACTTATAAGTTCCAGAGATATGCTGTAAAACATATTGCCTATAGTTAATATATGGTATTGTGCACTTAATTTGTTAAGAGGGTATGCATATCTCATGCTAAATGTTCTGACCACAAAACATACACAAAGAACATTTCGAGGTGATAGTGGTATTTTTTTTTTTACCTTGGTTACGGTGATGGCATGAGTGAGTTTATGCATATGTCCAAACTCATCAATTTCTATACATTAAATATATGCAGATATTTGTGTATCAGTCATACTCAAATAAAGACGTTTTGAAAATCATTGCCAGGTTGAGAGACTGAGGATGAAAAGCTTTATTTTCCAAACCAACAAGTCATTGCATAGCTAAAAGAAGCCACATGTTACTTTGCATTTCTGCCAGAACATGTCTTTAGTCAGATACACCAGTCATTAGGTACAGTTAATGTCATCCAAGGTCCTACTGCAGGAATTATGTTGGCCAATTGTTCTGCCTTTACACACATGGGTTCTCACCATCCCAGCCTCCAACAGTGGTTTCCCCACAGCTCTGACAGACACAGTAACAGTTTGTTGCAATTCCACAGCCTCAGACTTTGGGTCTCCTCCCTGCTTTTCTTCGCTAATATCAGTCTCCTAGCTTTTCTTCCAGCCTCCATCTGCCAGCTGACCTCAAAGCAAAGTTGCATGTTCTAACTTTTTGTTATGACAGACAGCACACCAAGGTACTATTTCTATTTCAGATGTGCATTTGTAATTACACACATACACATAACATACACATACCAAAATTTAGTAGCGGAAAACAAGGACAACATTATTGTCTCGTGATTCTATGAGTCAGCAATTTGAGCTGGACTCAATTGGATGTTTCTACTGTTGCGCTCTACAAGAGGCTCTCACATAGCTGCAGTCATGTGGTGGCTTATTTGAAGCTCGATGGCCTGAGGTGGCCACACTTCCATAGTAGGTGGTTAATGTTAGATGTTATCTGAGTAAAATGTCTACAGCTTATTAGCCTGGACTTCTTCACCTGTTGGAAATGTTTTTAGGGCATAAGTAAGTCCCAATGCAAAAAGAGTTTTTTAATATCTATTTTTGTATTACATTTGATTTTGTTCTATTGGACAAAGCTAGTCACATGGTCAAACTCAGGTTCAATGGGGAGGTGACTAGGCAGGACATACATCGATAGATACAGAAAGGGTCATTGGGGCCACTACTCTGACAGCTTTCAGAGTCTGGGAATAAATAGGAATACCCTTTAATGGTAAGATGATGAGTTGAAAATGCTATGGCTCCTAGTGACACCATATAAAATTTCTGGTACCATGCCTGGATTTGTTATTTGTGTCTTTCAATGCAAACTGGACCATCTGATTACCCTCAAGGAGGTCACCTTTGTTACAAATTATTTTTTTCTAGACCACCACCAAATCTGATCTAATTTTTATCCTGATTTCCTATGGGTTTGCATTACTGAGGTCCAGCAATTATATCATTTGATTCCGTGTGAATTTCTAGAGGTACTCTCATTCTTTTGTAGAACACTTTATTCCAAGGATGTCCTGATGTAACTTTCTTCTGTTCCCTCAGGTGCAGAGTGCTTTTTCCACCAAAGAAGAGACATTGTACTCTTTTTGGGGTTATATTAATGACTGTGAGTATCTTCCCCAAAATAATTTATATTCTCTTTAGAAAGAAAGATTTCTGAGCAACTTCATATGATAATAAACCTAATTTAACTTTAAGAATCATATTTTCGAATAAGTAGGCTTGAAAGTATCCTTTCCTATTTCTGCCATGATTTCCTAATAAAAATTCTGAGCTACTGACCTACTTATAAGAATTAACTTGTAACATAAATCAGTCCAATCAATTCATGTCCTCAGTGTATCTCAAACTAAGTCAGAATAAAGGAGCCACTTTTGTCTTTAGTAATGTAGATATTAGAAAATAATCCTTGAAATTCCACTAGTCATATCATCTTCTCCACACTGAGTGATGATGAGAGTTTGAGCACACAGAAAAATAATGAAGATAATATAGAGGAAAGAAAATTCTAATGACTTTGGAGTCATTTGTTCTGTTCAATTCCAGGGGTTACTATTTATTTTTTTCTAGATACATTTTCTAATAATTACACTTTTATATATTTGGAAATGTATTTTTCTCTGTTACTTGCAAAGAACATTGTTCTTGATTAATATAAAAGCCCAATAAAATCATTAATTCCAGGGATAAAGAACTCCACTAGAGAGATTATAGCAAGAAAAGTTTAATTATAATTATATATTACCTAAAACTAATGACATTTTTATGGTATATAAAAGGTTTATGTTTTCACATTGTATGTTCATTCTCATTTCATACCCTTTTTGCAGAATTCACCTCTCTGTCCTCCTCAATGCCATCTGTCTTTTGTTTGGTCTCCCTGATGTTAGTCACGAAGTCTGCTTAGAAGGATTTATGTCTTACTTTGATATAGGTTCTATACTCAATGCTAGGGAACAATCATTGGCAAGATGTGTCTCCTTTACTCAAAGAGGTTTTAATGGTCTATGTTTGGAAAAGAGACATACAGTCATTAGAATGCAATATTGTGAAAGTTGACAAGGGAAATTCTTGGGGTTATGGGAATCTTCAATATCTTTATTGAGAAATACAGATATACACATTTATCAAAACTCATAAAATGATGAATTTGTAGTATTTTATTGTGTATAAATTATGCCTCAATAAAAGTTCATTGTAATGTGCTGAAAGAATAAATGATAAAGAAGCATATGTTTGCTGATGACAGTTTTGCACCAATTCCTTTTTATTTTTACTTTTCCTCCCTTTAGGTTTCTTACTATGGCCTTCAATAAATTGTAACTCCAGGCTTAAATTTGATCAAATATTCTTCTAGTGGGTCATGAGGCTATTGAGTGTCACAACAAAAGATTTCCATTTAATTTTGTAATATGCCTGATAATAAGGAAAAAATATATTAAAAATGAAAACTAGGAAAAGATGTAAAGTCAGTGAGTAATTTTGGGAGATAATACAGGAAATAATTGATAAATAGTAAATTGAGACTGAGGAAATAAGAGTCAGAAAAACTATACAGGTTAAACTTCATTCTATAAGTGTTTAAACTTTAGCTTAGGCAGTCTGCATTTTTGTTTTTCATCTATTTTACAGATAATCCTTTGAAAATTTATCATGATCTTTCCTTTAATAAAATAAGTAGAACTCAGAATAAAATAAAGTAACCCCAAGTTAAAACTACAGCAATTTAACCACCATCTGGAAAAGTGACCCTGTCTATGACCTCCACAGTTACACTTTACTATGCTCCATGCTCTTTGATGTGGAGCTAGAACCTCACACCAAGAAGTGATTTATATGCAGAAAAAATGATATCCACACATCTCTAGGGAACCATATTCATTTATTAATTCACTGTGCATGTTTCTTTAATAAGAAGTTCAATAAAATAAGTGTACAATACTTACATATTTATTTTCCAAATAATTTTTAGATGCAGATTTCAACTTTCCAATTTGTAGCAAGATTTAAGTGCCAGAGCTTAGATTTTTAGTTATTAAAGTATTGTTGACATCTTCAACACTATCTTTTAAAAGTACCTTATATTTTATTATAATATTTCTCTAGCATGGTTTTTGAACTTATATTCATTTACATATTATTATTACCTCAAAAAAGCCATATGCAGGGCTTGCTGCAACTTTAAAAATGTTATATATGTGGAAATATATATTTTTTAAATGGCTGCATTGAATTGGCAAACCCAAGCTTTCCTGTTCTCATTTGCCAATGCCAGCCTTTGCTTTAAGCAACCAAATGTCTAAGGCTGTCAAAATTAGAACAATGACAAGGCAAATGAATCTGGATTTTCAGTTCACCCTAGACAGCAACAGCAACTGCTTTTGGAAACATTTTATAGATTTAGGTGTGTAAGAATAGATCTTGAAAGATGCTTTTCTTCTTCATAAGAAATAATCCTGAAGTTGAAACTTGTCCCCAAAGACCTGATGCTTTCAATATTTCCTCTTCTATATACTTAAAATAAATTTGAATAAAACAATATTATTTGTAAATTATTATGAAATAATCACCATACAGCTTCCATTTCCTTGTTTCTAATTTCTACTTGGAAAATTTTTGAACTTATTTGAGAAGCGTCTCATATTTTAATTGAACTCACAAAATGCAGATATTAAGTGATTTATCAAATCAGATTTGCTTATGCAATTACTGTTAGAATTTTTCAAAGTAATTTACTTAAAATATCTTAAGAAAAATGCAAAGTAATATAATATAATAAAAACAGACCAGAATTCCTCTCTCAAATTATTATTATATGGGAAAAAATAGATTTTATTTTTTTTTAATTACACTTTAAGTAAGTTTTAGGGTACATGGGCACAACGTGCAGGTCTGTTACATATGTATACATGTGCCATGTTGGTGTGCTGCAACCATTAACTCGTCATTTAACATTAGGTATACCTACTAATGCTATCCCTCTCCTAGCCCCCTACCCCACAATAGGCCCCAGTGTGTGATGTTCCCCTTCCTGTGGCCATGTGTTCTCATTGTTCAATTCCCACCTATGAGTGAGAACATGTGGTGTTTGGTTTTTTTGTCCTTGTGATAGTTTGCTGAGAATGATGGTTTCCAGCTTCATCCATGTCCCTACAAAGGACATGAACTCATCATTTTCTATGGCTGAGTAGTATTCCATGGTGTATATGTGCCACATTTTCTTAATCCAGTCTATCATTGTTGGACATTTGGGTTGGTTCCAAGTCTTTGCTATTGTGAATAGTGCCGCAATAAACAGACGTGTGCATGTGTCTTTATAGCAGCATGATTTATAATTCTTTGGGTATATACCCAGTAATGGGATGGCTGGGTCAAATGGTATTTCTAGTTCTAGGTCCCTGAGGAATCGCCACACTGACTTCCACAATGGTTGAACTAATTTACATTCCCACCAACAGTGTAAAAGTGTTCCTATTTCTCCACATCCTCTCCAGCACCTGTTGTTGTTTCCTGACTTTGTAATGATTGCCATTCTAACTGGTGTGAGATGGTATCTCACTGTGGTTTTGATTTGCATTTCTCTGATGGCCAGTGATGATGAGCATTTTTTCATATGTCTTTTGGCTGCATAAATGTCTTATTTTGGGAAGTGTCTGTTCATATCCTTCACCTACTTTTTGATGGAGTTGTTTGTTTTTTTCTTGTAAATTTGTTTGAGTTCATTGTAGATTCTGGATATTAGTCCTTTGTCAGATGAGTAGGTTGCAAAAATTTTCTCCCATTCTGTAGGTTGCCTGTTCACTCTGATGGTAGTTTCTTTTGCAGTGCAGAAACTCTTTAGTTTAATTAGATCCCATTTGTCAATTTTGGCTTTTGTTGCCATTGCTTTTGGTGTTTCAGACATGAAGTCCTTGTCCATGCCTATGTCCTGAATGGTATTGCCTAGGTTTTCTTCTAGGGTTTTTATGGTTTTAGGTCTAACATTTAAGTCTTTAATCTGTCTTGAATTAATTTTTGTATAAGATGTAAGGAAGGGATCCAGTTTCAGCTTTCTACATATGGCTAGCCAGTTTTCCCAGCACCATTTATTAAATAGGGAATCCTTTCCCCATTGCTTGCTTTTCTCAGGTTTGTCAAAGATCAGATAGTTGTAGATATGTGGCATTATTTCTGAGGGCTCTGTTCTGTTCCATTGGTCTATATCTCTGTTTTGGTACCAGTACCATACTCTTTTGGTTACTGTAGCCTTGTAGTAGAGTTTGAAGTCAGGTAGCATGATGCCTCCAGCTTTGTTCTTTTGGCTTAGGATTGACTTGGCAATGCGGGCTCTTTTTTGGTTCCATATGAACTTCAAGGTAGTTTTTTCCAATTCTGTGAAGAAAGTCACTGGTAGCTTGATGGGAATGGCATTGAATCTATAAATTACCTTGGGCAGTATGGCCATTTTCATGATATTGATTCTTCCTACCCATGAGCATGGAATATTCTTCCATTTGTTTGTATCCTCTTTTATTTCATTGAGCAGTGGTCTGTAGTTCTCCTTGAAGAGGTCCTTCGCATCACTTGTAAGTTGGATTCTTAGGTATTTTATTCTCTTTGAAGCAATTGTAAATGGGAGTTGACTCATGATTTGGCTCTCTGTTTGTCTGTTATTGGTGTATAAGAATGCTTGTGATTTTTGCATGTTGATTTTGTATCCTGAGACTTTGCTGAAGTTGCTTATCAGCTTAAGGAGATTTGGGGCTGAAACGATGGGGTTTTCTAGATATACAATCATGTCATCTGCAAACAGGGACAAATTGACTTCCTCTTTTCCCAGTTGAATAACCTTTATGTCTTTCTCCTGCCTGATTGCCCTGGCCAGAACTTCCAACACTATGTTGAATAGGAAAGAGTAAATGCTTCAGTTTACTTTATATCTAAAGTCTGTCCTCTGCAAGATTTTCAAAATCATTGCAACGGGGAGAATCAAAAGCAAATTGTGAAACAAAATAATTTCATGTGACTTTATAGACCAACCATTTTTCAAGTGATTGGCTGAAATTTTTTGTAATATGTTTAAATCAACACTATTACAGAGTTAAGGGAAGGCTTATGGTGTTTTTATTTTACTTTAAAAGGGCAAATAATGTTTTTGGAATACTCTTTCATAATTTTTTACAAGTATTTATTTGCAAATGTATTGATTGCATACAATTCTAAGTTGTATATATATTCTTCTATGATAGATAGTGCTATATTATTTTGAAATAATATAACCAACAAATTTTGGTTGCTATCACTCAATTTGCTATTTTCTGGTGTTTGCAGTACCTGTCACTGTGTAACAAGCCACTCTAAAATTGAATGGTCTAAACCATTTTATTATTCTTATGGTATCTCTGAGTTACAGATTCAGAAATGGGACAGTGAAGACAGATCTTGTCACCTTCATAATATTTGGGGCCTCAGCTGTAATCGCTGGTTAAAATACTTGCAGCTGGGCAATTCCATTCCATGTGGCTTGTTTTACTTACTTACATGTTTGGCTCCTACTGGGATGGCTGAGGACAGGCGGTGTTGACTGGGGTATTCCAGCAAATAATGTGGATGCTGAAGAGTGTATATGACAAAGTTTCATTATTCAGCTTCTACAGTTTTGCTGGAATACTTTCTCTGGGAATACTTCCTGTTAGAGCCCTGAGACTGCCATACTGGGAGGCCACATACACTCCAGTCAATAGTCCCTGCTGTACCCATTCTACAACCATCCCAGCTGATGATCCAAAGCACCATAGTGGATGCATCTTCAAAATAAAATGAAATCATCTATAACTGATAATGATATCTGAACAATTTGTAATGTGTATAATTATTGAAAAGATACTTCAAAAACTCAAGTCCTATTTGCTGTTAATTATTGTCAACTATGTTAAAGCCATTAAAACACTGCCTATAATTCAATAATTGTGATTGTTATTCCTTCTGATAAAGCAGATTATTACTAAAATTGTGAAACTATCGGGGGAAATTCAGCCAGATATCGGGCGAAATTCACCCCTGATATTTCATGTAGGTTCTTTTCTATATTCTCTAAGTGTCAGCCAGTCTGAGAAATAAAGGGACAGAGTACAAAAGAGAGAAATTTTAAAGCTGGGCGTCCAGGGGAGACATCACCTGTCGGCAGGTTCCGTGATGCCCCCTGAGTGGTAAAACCGCAAGTTTTTATTAGTGATTTTCAAAAGGGGAGGCAGTGTATGCATAGGGTGTGGGTCACAGAGATCACATGCTTCACAAGGTAATAAGATATCACAAGGCAAATGGAGGCAGGGCGAGATCACGGGACCACAGGACAGGGGTGAAATTAAAATTGCTAATGGAGTTTCGGGCCTGCATTGTCATTGATAACAACTTGTCAGGAGACAGACAGGGTTTGAGAGCAGACAAGTGGTCTGACCAAAATTTATTAGGTGGGAATTTCCTCATCCTAATAAGCCTGGGAGCGCTATGGGAAACTGGGGCTTATTTCATCCCTATAGCTCGACCATAAAAGATGGCCGCCCACCGAAGCAGCCATTTCAGAGGCCTACCCTCAGGGATGCATTCTCTTTCTCAGGGATGTTCCTTGCTGAGAAAAATAATTCAGAGATATTTCTCCCATTTGCTTTTGAAAGAAGAGAAATATGGCTCTGTTCCGCCCAGCTCACCAGCGGTCAGAGTTTAAGGTTATCTCTCTCGTTCCCTGAACATTGCTGTTATCCTGTTCTTTTTTCAAGGTGCCCAGATTTCATACTGTTCAAACACACATGCTCTATAATTTGTGCAGTTAATCATCACAGGGTCCTGAGGCGACATACATCCTCCTCAGTTTACAAGATGACAGGATTAAGAGATTAAAGTAAAGATAGGCATAGGAAATCACAAGGGTATTGATTGGGGAAGTGATAAGTGTCCATAAAATCTTCACAATTTATGTTCAGAGATTGCAGTAAAGACAGGCATAAGAAATTATAAAAGTATTAATTTGGGGAACTAATAAATGTCCATGAAATCGTCACAATTTATGTTCTTCTGCCACAGCTTCAGCCGGTCCCTCCATTCGGGGTCCCTGACTTCCCACAACAGAAACTACTAATTTTTTAAATTTTATATTTTGTCCAAAAAATAACAATCTCTTCGTATTTTATGCTGTCTACCTTAATTATTTGTGTGGCTTAGACATTGCACTATTTTAGTATTGTTATTCTTTCTTCTTTCCAAATAGATACTATTCTGTTTCCTCTTTATCTTTCTTTTTAATTGTTGCCAGACAAAAAAGTTTTCTGTGGAATTTCCTTTTGAAGAAAATATCTGTTCTCTCATCTTCTCTTAAAAGGTATTTTTTTTTAGTTTATTTCATTCTACAAATAAATATCATTTTCATTTAAATACAAAATTTCCTTTTTGACAGGTAACAGTTGAATATTTTAAATAAGAAAGATATATGTATGGTATGGCTTGTCTGATGCTAAACTCAGGGATGAGGAGGTGCAACACATGTCACATTTCTGCAAAACCTGATGATGGCAAACAGAAGAAAGGTAGATGGTGTCCAAGATTCTCTTTTAGGAAGTGTTCAGATATGGCATCTCGTAAGTGTAGACAGGTTTTATTTGATATGTTAATTGATAATTTATAGAAATAATGCTTATAAGCTCATTCTAAAAGTGAAAATCACATGAAATAGTCCCCAAAAAGCCACAAAATGAAATGACCCCATTAGTTAGAAGATAAACAAAGGATTCTTCAGAAAATGAGTGATTTTAATAAATTCCTAGAAAAAAGAGATTGAGAGGACAATAATGAATGAAACAAAGCCATTCATAGCCTGAAATATGCTAATGAGAGGGCAGCAATGAGGGAAAAAACAAAAACAGAAACAAAAATTAATCTACACAATAAATCTTGAGTCTTCCTTTTTGAAATTTGGAGGTAAAATAAGAGTCAGTAGAGGGAAGTGGGCCTTAAAATAGGTCAGTTGACTAAAGATATGTACATGGAAAGCTAAGTCAGTATGATCCTTTTTCTCATTAAACTTTAATATCTGTCTTTAGCAGTTCTCGCATATTTTTGACATTTTCCCTATTAAAGTAAAAATCTCTTATTTCTTAACTTTCTGGTATGGAACTGTGCTATATCTTCTTGGCATATAATCATTCTTCTCTGTGTGTGTGTTTGTTTGTGTGCATATGTGTGTGTGTCTCTCACACACACACATGCACACAAACACATACAGTCCCCATTATTCCCAATTATAGGAATACTGACTGTTCATGGCTCATAAGCCTCAGAGGCAGGGAACTGCCTCAACCAAGTTTATGTCCTTTGGATTGGGCAGTGCATAGCTCATAATTAGCTGATATGGAGGTACAAAGGCATGACCTCCTTCTTTCAATTCAGGACAACTCTGCCCACCCTGAATGTTCCCCAGGTTTGGATGTGCTTCATTGGAATCCTTAGTACTTTTCATTCCCTCTTTGTTCAGTCCTCATCTCCTGGAAAACATATCATCACTCAAGAGCACTTCACAATAGTCCCTTTAAAAACAGGATATTCTTATTCTTTTTTATTTTTTTTCACCTAAGGTGATTCTTGGAATGTTGCCTCAGAGCCAGTGGGGTCTCCAAAGATCCTTTCAGAGGATTTGCAAGGTCAAAATATTTTCACAGCAATAGTAATCTCTTATATGCTCCTTTCACTCTTAACTTTCCAATTTATACTCCCATGTGGAGTTTTACAGAAGATACCTGAATTTATGCTTGTATGCACTTGTGTTTTCTGAAACGTTTAAGTTAGTAGATTTGTGATTTTTCAAAGATTAAACTCAGTTATCAGTATTTCAACTATGATCTATCTATCATCTATCTATGTAATCAGTTATCTATCCAATTATACCTGTTGCAATCCCTGTAAAATCATTATTATCCAATAAATTATTATTTTGTAATTCTAAAAATTTTCTTATTGTCTTGTTTCATCATAGTATTTTTTATACTTTTTTAAAAATGTCAAAAATCTTGTCTAAAATTTATCACTTTAGTAATGATTTATTCAACAATAAAATTCATTTTATTTTGGATGAATTAGGATGAATTATTAGCTTAATAAAATATTAGAAAAAGTACTTTCTCAACATATAGCTGTATCACTTACATCTAAAAATGCTAGAAAAAAGATGAACTGATATAACACAGAATTCTCTGATGTATGGAAGGGAAATGCTGAAAAACTTCTAATAAATAGAAACAAAATTATTAACAAGATGGCTTTTCTTGTCATTGTAAATATTAATAATCTCCATGATTGTTTCTTATACAGCAGAATGCATTCAAATAATATATGGTGCTAAGTTTCAATGTCACATCAAATCCAATCATTTCAGTACTTAAAAATTTAAAAAAGAAAAATGATAAATGTAGATGTGATACGCTCTTAAATAACCAACAATTTTGATGGGAATTGCATTAAATTTGTAGATTGCTTTTGGCAATATGGTCATTTTCACAATATTGATGCTACCCATCTATGAGCATGGAATGTTTATCCATTTGTTTGTGTCATCTATGATTTCCTTCAGCAATGTTTTGTAGTTTTCCTTGTAGAGGTCTTTCACCTCCTTGGTTAGGTATATTCCTAAGTAGTTTCTTCTTCTTATATATATATTTCGCAGCTATTGTAAAGGGGTTGAGTTCTTGATTTGATTATCAGCTTGGTCACTATTTGTGTATAGAAGAGCTACTGATTGGTGTACATTAATTTTGTATCCAGAAACTTTGCTGAATTCCTTTATCAGTTCTAGGAGCTTTCTGGAGGAGTCTTTAGTGTTTTCTAGGTAAACGATCATATCATCAGCAAACAGTGACAGTTTGACTTCCTCTTTACCTACTTGGATGTCCTCTCTTTCTTTTGTCTGATTGCTCTGGCTAGGACTTCCAGTACTATGTTGAAGAGGAGTGGTGAGAGTGGGCATCCTTGTCTTGTTCCAGTTCTCAGAGGGAATGCTTTCAACTCTTCCCCATTCACTATTATATTGGCTGTGGGTTTGTCATAGGTGGCTTTTATTAAATTGAAGTATGTCTCTTGTATGCCTATTTTGCTGAGAGTTTTAATCATAAAGGGATGTTAGATTTTGTCAAATGCTTTTTCTTTCCCATCAGCATACCACCATCATTCTTCACAGAATTAGAAAAAAACACTTCTAAAATTCATACGGAATCAACCCTCATAGTCAAAGCAAGACTAAGCCAAAAGAACAAATCTGAAAGCATCACATTACCTGATTTCAAACTATACTATAAGGCCACAGCAACCCAAACAGCATGGTAGTAGCATAAAAATAGTCACAAAGACCAATGGAACAGAATAGATAACCCAGAAATAAACCCAAATACTTACAGCTGACTGATCTTTGACAACGTAAACAAAAATATAAAGTGGGTAAATGAAACCCATTTCAACATATGATGCTGGGATAATTGGCTAGCCACATGTAGGAGAATGAAACTCAATCCTTATCTCTCTCACCTTATAAAAATATCAACTCAAGATGGATTAAAGACTTAAACCTAAGACCTGAAGCTATAAATATTCTAAAGGTAATATTGGAAAAAACCCTTCTAGACATTGGCTTAGGTAAGGATTTCATGACAAAAACCCAAAAGCAAATGTAATAAAAACAAAGATAAATTGCTGGGACTTAAATACACGTAAGAGCTTTTGCACAGCAAAAGGAACAGTAAGTGGAGTAAACAGACAACCCAAAGAGTGGGAAAAATCTTTACAATCTATACACCTGATAAAGGACTAATATCCAGAATCTACAATGAACTCAAACATATCAACAAGAAAAAAACAAACAATCCCATCAAAGAGTAAGCTAAGGACATCAATGGACAATTCTCAAAAGAAGATATGAGGCTGGGCGCAGTGGCTCACGCCTGTAATCCCAGCACTTTGGGAGGCCAAGGCAGGCAGATCATGAGGTCAAGAGATCAAGACCAGTCTGGCCACCATGGTAAAACCCTGTCTCTACTAAAAATGAAAAAATATTAGCTGGGCATGGTGGCACACATCTGTAGTCCCAGCTACTCAGGAGGCTAAGGCAGAAGAATCGCTTGAACCAGAAGGTGGAGGTTGCAGTGAACCGAGATCACACCACTGCACTCCAGCCTGGCGACAGAGCAGGACTCCATCTCAGAACAACAACAACAATAGCAACAACAACAACAAAAAAGATATGCAAATGGCCAACAAACATAGGAAAAAATGCTCAACATCACTAATGATGAGGGAAATGCAAATCAAAACCACAGTGAGATACGACCTTACTCCTGCAAGAATTAAATAATAATTAAATTTTTTATTAAATAATAATTATTTAATAATTAAATAAAATAAATAATTACTAAATTAAATAATAAAAATATTAGATGTTGGCATGGAACAGGGAACACTTCTACACTGCTGGTGGGAATGCAAACTCATACAAACACTATGGAAAACAGTGTGGAGATTTCTTAAACAACTAAAAGTAGAACTACTATTTGATCCAGCAATCCCACTACTGGGTGTCTACTCAGAGGAAAAAAAAGTTGTTGTTATACAAAAAAGATACTTGCACACGCATGTTTATAGCAGCACAATTCACAATTGCAAAAATGTGGAACCAACCCTAATGCCCATCAATCAATGAGTAGATGAAGACACTGTGAGATATATATATATAGTGTATATGTATACACTATATATGTATATATACACATATACATATACATAGTGTATATGTGTGTGTGTATACACAGACACACACACACACACACACACACACAATGGAATACTACTCAGCCATAAAAATAAATGAATTAATGGCATTCATAGCCACCTGGATGAGATTGGAGAATATTATCCTAAGTGAAGTAACTCAGGAATGGAAAACCAAACATCATATGTTTTCAGTCATAAGTGGGAGCTAATCTGTGAGGATGCAAAGGCATAAGAATGACACAATGGACTTTGGGAACTTGAGGGAAAAGAGTGGGAAGGGAGTGAGCGATAAAAGACTACAAATAGGGATCAGTGTATACTACTCAGGGGATGGGTGCACCACGCTCTCACAAATCACCACTAAAGGACTTACTCATTTAACCAAACACCACCTGCTCCCCAATAACTTATGGAAATAAAAAATTAAAATACATTTAAAAACCCCAACAATTGTTTGTTACATATTTTCAACTACAAATTAAGGAGCCAGAAAAGCAGCTCAGAGAGTAAGTTGTCATTGGCTAGAGAAGCAACAAAATAGTTGAGAAACTATAATTTATTCCTTAGTTGACACAACTGAAACGTTGCTGAATGAAAGAATCAGTAAAGCAAATCATAGCACTGCCACCACTTTTCAGTATTACAGTAGCTTGTCAATTTAAAGATTTAGCTGCAAACAGCAAGTTAATATTTGATCTATGGATAGATTTACAAATATGGCTGGACTTGCTGTTTTGCTTGCTTCTTTCCATTCAGTGTTGGTCCCAAATTATCACTGAAGAAAATATATATGTGTATTGATGTGTGTGGGGTGTGGGATGCTGAGCAACAAGAACTAAAGACTGCTGACATAATCAAATGTTAAGTAGTTTTTTAATCTCCTGATTTATCCTAGCACCACTCTGTTAACATTTGCTCTGATGGTGATAAAGCAATAGTGGTTAAACTGTAGATTCCTTTACACAAAACAAGACAGTGACACTGAACTGTATTAGGAGTCATTGTATTCCTTACTGCCACACATTGGCTGATTAAAAAGAAAAAAAAATCTAGTTTCACTTACAAATGTCCCAAAAGAAAGTGAACATTACTACATTTTATTAAATTTAGACACTTGTTAGCATATGCCTATTTTTAATATGCCTACTGAGATTTAATTGCCATAGCGTAAACTGCACATATTTAGAGCAGGCAGTTTAATAATTTTTGACATATATAAACCATCATAAAACCATTACTACAATAAAGACAGTGAGCAAATCTATCAGCCCCAAAACTGTCCCCATGCTCTTGAGTAATCACTCTCACCTTTCCAAGCCACCTGTCCCTTTCCCAGTCCCCTGGCAACCAATGTTTTCTTCATTATAGTTTGCATTTTCTACAATTTCATGTAAATGTAATTTTATAGTATATGCTTTTAGCTTTTCTTACATGCAGAGTTATTTTTATATTCATGTTGTTGTGTGTGTCAACATTTCATTCAATTTTATTGCTGAGTATTCTGCTGTTGTATAATTATTTTACATTTTGTATATCCAGACACCTGTAATGGGGCATTTGATCATTTAATTTTTTTCTTTTACAAATAAAGCTGTTATGAAAGTTTATAACACAATTTGATCGGCTATGTGCTTTTAATTTTTCCTGGGTAATACCTAGGAGTAGAATGGCTGGATCACATAGAAGGTGTATGGTTAACACTTTAGGAAACTGCCAAACTGTTTTTCCAGGGAATTGTATAGTTTTACATTCCCATTAACAATGTATAAGAGTTCCAATGCCTCTGCATCTTCACCAACACTTGAAAGTTCTTTAAAAATTAGACATTCAAGTAGGTGTTTAGGGGTTTCTCATATTGTACTTTTAATCTGCACATTGCTAATGAAGAATGTTGATGTTGAGTATCTTTCCATGTGCTCATTTGCCATCTGTATATCTTCACCAGTGAAGTAAATGCCCAAATCACTGACTATTTTTTATACGGTGATTTTGTTTCTTATTGAAGTTTGAGAGCTCTTAATATATTTTATATATAAATCTTTCATCAGATGGGTGACTTGAAATCATTTTCTATCAGTGTCTGGACTTTTTATCTTATTTATGATGTATTTTGAAAAACAGAATTTTTAAAATTTTGATGAAGACAAGTTTATCATTTCTTTAAGAAACTGCCACTTGATGGCAAAGAACATGAACAGACACTTTTCAAAAGAAGAGATACGCACAGCCAACAAGCATATAAGAAGTGCTCAACGGCACTAATCATTAGAGAAATGCAAATCCAAACCACAATGAGATACCATCTTGTATCAGTCAGGGTGGATATTATTAAAAAGTTAAAAAGTGACAGATGCTGATGAGGCTGTGGAGAAAAGGGAATGCTTATACACTGCTGGTGGGAATGTAAATCGTTTCAGCCATTGTGAAAAGCTGTGTGATGATTTCTCTAAGAACCTAAAACACAAGTATCACCTAAGTCAGCAATCCCATTATTGGGTATATACTTTAAGGAATATAAATTGTTCTTCCATAAAGACACATAAACATGCATGTTTACTGCACCACTATTCACAATAGCAAAGACATGGAATCAACCTTAATGCCCATCAACAGTAGACTAGACTACAAAAAAAAAATGTGGTGCATATACACTATAGAATACTACATAGCCATAAAAAAGAACAACATCATGTCCTTTGCAGCAACATGGATGGGGCTGAGGGCCACAATCCTATGCGAATTAACGGAGAAACAGAAAACCAAATACCACTTATAGAGGAGGCCATTATCCTGGGCAAACTAACAAAGGAACCAAAAATCAAATATCACACATTCTCACTTATAAGTCCGAGCTAAACATTAAATACAAACATGGATGCAAAACGGAACGGAATGACTGACAGATGTTGAGGCCTAACTGAGGGTGGAAGGTGGGAGAGGGGAGAGGATTGAAAAACTACCTGTTGGGTACTATACTTATTATCTGGGTGACAAAATAATCTGTACACCAAACCCTCATGACATGTAATCTACCTATATAAAAAACCTGCACATGTACCCCTGAACTTAAAATAAAAGAAGTTAAAAAAAAAAAACCTGCCACTTGATATACTTTGGTATATCGCATCAAAAAACAATATCTAAAATTATATAAAAAGACTATTAAAATACTATGAGTTTCTTTATATACTTCAAACACAGCAAAATGATAAATGTGGAAGCAGATACAAAAAGTCAGCTGTCTTCTATTAAGCTGGATGTTAAAGATACTTCCAAAAATGTAACTTAATGCCAATCTTCTCACTATTTCTTTGGAAAATACAGTTTTTTAAATGAAATATATCTTATATTAATACATAGCAGGCTTATTATTGTTTTAGATAAATTAAGACATACATATTTTTTAAATTTTCTCAGTTCAAATTACCAATGTGGTAAATATATATATATATATATATATATATATATATTTCATATAAACAATATTTCTTAGTCTCAATAATTTTCAAATGTGTAAAGGATATTAAAATCAATAAGTTCAAGAAACACTAACTTAAGACAAAAACAACATGGGATAGAGTTATCATTGTTTCCCTTCTACTCATAAGGAAATTATCAGATAAGTGAAGGAATTTGTCTAGTGTCTTTCATCTAGAATGAGCTAGAGCTTGGATTTTAACCAAGACTTTGATTTAGAAAATAGTTTTAGCATGTACTAAAAAATTAAATATATAAAGAGAAAGAAAAATAGATTTAAAAAGTAATGGTATATTAAAATCTGATAGGGAGAAGGGGAATAATAATATCAAATTATTAGACTATTTTTTGAGTGAAAGGCGCTTTCAGCAAAGATCTATACTTTTTCATCCCAGCCTATTCTTCAGTAATTTCTGGAAGATTTTATTTTTATTGTTTTGGTTCTAATATTGATTTTGGAATTATTTTTCACTTTATTATATGTTATTTCTAGGTTTCTCTGTCAAAGTTTCATTGAGAGAAGTTAACACAGGATAATTTGCTTGAAGCTACTGATGGCTTCAGGAAATTTAAAGGGCCTTTTTCTTTACTGATGTTCTGTTATTTATTTTCTTCCATCAATTTCTCTTTCCTTTAAGCATTATTCTTTCATCTGGCACATTAAGTGCTCTTAGTTTTCTGAGGGCTTGCTATAGCAATTATCTGGAAAACTTCAAATTCCTTCTCTAAGCTTCACTTTTCAACGTTATTTCTTTTCCTGATGACTTTAAATCTTGTTCTATTGTCTCAATATCCTTTCTTAGCTTGGGTATTAATAACTTGTCATTAATAATTTGTTACGGAAAACTGATAAAATGATTTCTGCCTCCTTCTAATACATGTATTTTGATACAAATTTTAGGTAATTTACATTTCTGAAATGAATGTGATTTTTGGATATCATTATAATTACCATAAATCTTGCCATTTACTAGTAGATTCTAGCATTCATTATGCTTATTTTTTGGTAAAATTTTTATTAAATTTAAAATCTATCTTTTTAAAAATGTGTGATGAATTCTTAATGAATGCCAGACAGTGATCAAACATTGAAGAGACAATAGTAAAAGCAGCAGACTTTGATAGAGCTTACATTCAAATAATCATAGACAAAAACAATTAAATTAATTTAAAAAATTAAATAAATACTATTATTGTAGCTAGTCATAATTATAATATCATCAGAAAAGTAAAACAGAAAAAGTCATGTGGCTAAATGACAGTAAGCTATTCTTTTGTAGACAGGGCAAAAAAGGTCTTTCTGGGAAATTTTAAGTGAAAAGTAAACAGGGTGAAGGAGCCAGTTGAAGGGGAGAAAATCATCCTAATCAGAGATCACAGTGCACAGGTCTATTTGCAAAACTAACTTGGATGCTCAAAGGCAAAAGGAAACTAATCTTGCCAGATTACAATTGCTAGAGTCAGGGGATAAATTCAATAGACATATAACAGCTAGATCATATAGAGGCTGACCAAAATAAGAAATGTGGACTGTACTCTAAGTGCAACAGGAAGCCATGAGAGAGTTTAGAGAAAAAGTGACATGATTTAATTTGAAGCTATAAGGATTGCTCAAGCTTCTTTGTGGATAATAGACTGTAAAAAGGGAAGGGGAAAATCAGGAAGATCATTTAGGAGTGTAAACCAAAAGTATCTGAGATAGGTCTTGATCAATTTAGAAAGTTTATTTTGCCATGGTTGAGGACATGCCCATGACACAGCCTCAGGAGGTCCTAATGACACGTGCCCAAGTTTGATGGGGCACAGCTTGGTATTATACAGTTTAAGGAGACTTGAGACATCAATCAATACATGTAAAATGTACATTGATTCGGTCTGGAAAGGTGGCACAACTCAAAGAAGGGGCTTCCAGGCCATAGGTAGATTCGAAGATTTTCTGATTGGCAATTGATTGAGTTATTATGAATAAAAAGGAATGTCTGGATTATGATAAGGGATTGTGCAGACCAAGTTTTTATCACGCAGATGAAACCTCCAGGTAGCAGGCTCCAGAGAAAATCGATTACATTTACAATTGTAAATGTTTCTTATCAGATTTAAAGAGTCTGTTGTAATTCCAAAAGTGAGGAGGGTATAATGACGCATGTCTGGCTCCCCCTTCCCATCATGGCCTGAACCAGTTTTTCAGGTTAACTTTGGAATGCCCTTGTTGAGAGGAGTCTTCAGATGGTGAGAGGGCCTAGGATTTTATTTTTGGTTTGCAGAGGGATAAGTTCACTCCAGAGAAGATCTGCTGTTAGCTTGAATTAGGTTAGAAATAAAGAGAGCATAGTAGTGGAAATCAGGATATATTTTGCTCAAAGAAGCTTGTTGAGAATTGATTCAGACTGACAACATAGGGTTTTGGCCCTATGTATCTAGAGGAATGGTAATGCCATTAAATGGGATGGGAGAACTGGAGTTGCAGGCATTGAAAGCAGTGTTTGTTGTTTAATCTAATCTATTAAGGCAGATATGACTATAGCAAGTACATTCAGAATTTACCCATATAATCAATTTAAAATGAAGAAAAAGCAGTACAGTTCCAAGTATGCTCATGTGAGCCTCTGCTAATTTTTATGGTATGTTGACATAACTTGCAATTTATGATAAATTATTTCACTTCTTTAAGATTTTGTTTTTGGTTAATTTTCAGTTAAATACTCAACTATCAGAATATGTTTTTTTATGATGATTACATTTCAATTCTCACCCTCTAATGAAATTAACTTATTTCCCTTAAGAAAGATTAGACCATTTAGAATTTACAATTCATTCAATGACACATTTCTTGCAATATTAAGCTTAAGCTTCAAGATATATTTGATTCCTCAGTGAGCGGGTGTGACCATTTTAAATGTACTTATCACTTGAAAACATTCCACATTTTCTTTTTATTTTTAATATAGTTACCATGGTAACCATAGCTGTTTCTTGATATTTTGCCTCAAAAAAACAGCCATGTCATTTTAGACAGACATGGTGGGGAACAGCATTTCTAAATCTCTCTACATCTTTTTCTCTTTATTATGATGATGATATAATGTAATGATAATTTTAAAATTCTGACTATATAATGTCAACTTTTCTTGCTCCTGGGTTTGTGGTATGTCTTTGTTCTATTTGCTTCATGTTGCTATAATGTAAATATTAAATAACTACCTGATTTTATCACTTAAGCAATAGTCATTCTATTAGAGTTGCGTGGTGTGAAAATTGACTACCAGTGTGAGCTAGAACCTTGGATCAAACTACATAATGAGTAGTTATATAAATTATTTGCAAAGCCTGTAACAATGGTGACAATTGTTGCTAAAATGCTCTGAATATTTAAGAGTTGAACTGTGTAATGTGCTGTATATACAAGTCTAAACTTTTAAACTTTAAAATTTGTGTCCTGTTGCAAGATTTCCATTTTATCTGAATAATTTTCTATTTAAGCTAATTTTAGCTAAGTTTTAAATCCTTTTTTAACAGAAAACCTGTTACAGAAGACACCTGCTATTTGATTATTCAATATGTCTCTTACCTTTTAAGACTGAAACTTGATTTTCTTTAGAGTGGCATTATCCCAGCTTCTTTAGGACAGAAAGATTGCTAAGCTATAAGAGGCTGAGTTGTCAGTACTTCTAGGAAATATTCATAAAAGATCTTAACCCAACTCTGAGGTACACCTTTCTGCTATTTTCCTCTTCATCTTACATATGTTCTATGTCAATGGCCTCATGCCTCAGCAGGAACATTGGGCCATGTGGTCCTTTGAGCATAGAAACCTTGGGCTAAAGATGGCCAGAAATAAAGAAAACAGACTGAGCTCCTTATGTAACTCTGGAGCCCACATGGCAGCTCTGTACTATCTACCTCTGGATTTGATGGGATATATATATTATATGTATAATATAAGCCTTTGTGGATTAAGTCATAAAGATTTCTTTTATTAGGTTGACACAAAAGTAATTGCGATTTTTGTCATTACTTGTAACATATGTTGGCAAATATAAATTGTGTACCTTGTATAATAAATCCAGTTGTTTAGTGTATATGATTTTTTATATTCAGCATCTGGTGTTAATGTTAATAATTCTCTGTGAGGCTAGCTTTATTTTTGTTCTATATGAGCTACCTTGAATATTTTCATTAAACCCTAACAGCTCTATGAAGCATATTATTATCTCAATTGTGGAGATGAAAAGAACAAAGCAATAGAGTGGTTAAGGATTTTTTTCCAGGTCATACGTCTTCTGGAATACTGAGTTGTCATTTGAATCCACCTAGCTTGACTAGCGGCCACATTCTCAGCAAATGGTTTTACCTAATGCTGTTATGGATTAAATGTGTTCCCTAAATTGTATGTGTTGGAAATGTAATCCCCAAATTTACATGTTGATTGGAAACGAGGCCTTTGGGAGGTAATTATTATTAGATAAGGACATCAGGGTGAGGTGCCCATGGTAGGACTGATGGCTTTATAAGAAAAGAAAGAGAGACATTGGATGACATACATGTTCTTGCTCTCTTGCCATCTGATATCTTCTGCCGTTTAGTGATACACCAAATAATAGCCTCTTGATCTTGAACTTCTCAGCCTCCCAAACTATAAGAAAAGAAATTATTTTCCTTATAAATTATCCAGTCTGTGGTATTCTGCTGTGGCAAAGAAAATGGACTAAGATGTATGCCTTCTAGACAGTTTTAGATTTGATTGAAATTCAGCCCCAAAATGAAGTTTTTAAAAGAGTATTTTCTTGCTAAAGAGAACTAGCTAAAAATTAAATTAATAAGATCACAATGATATGTAATGTTACTTAACAGCCTATTATTTTATTAACTAGTTCCACAAACATTTTTTTATTGTTTAAAGTATAGTGATTCAAGAAAAGAAGCTGGTGAAAGAAAAATAAAAGAAAGTTTCTTCTCTTAATAGACTTACCATTAATTGTCTACAGATCAAAATAGCAAAGCAAAATTCGGTCACAAGAAGATTAAAACTAAAGAAAAATAATCATAACATTTTAAATCAAGAAATAAAATTTTAGAAACTCCTCTGACCATCTATGAGATTTAGCAAAATGGGTCCTATGGTGTCAGAAATATTAACATTTCTTGAGTGAACACAGTCTACTGGAAGATAGGCTAAGTTCAGTATAGAAGTTATTAATTCAAACAACATTACGCCTAGGTGCAATGCTGTCTTCATTTATAGATGGAGACATTGAGAACTAACGGGATACTTCTTGTATTCAAATGCAGATTCCATAAGACTAGAAATACTCTCTTGTTTCATGCTATATTGCTTATCCTAAAATAGTATTTGTCACATAGTAAATATTCAATATCATCAGCTGTAAATAAAATCACATACCTGCGAAGAGATGGAGTTGCCTGAATAACTCTGGCTTGTCTAACTCTAAATGCAAGGTTTTTTTTTTGTTGTTTTTTTTTTTTTTAATGGAGACGGAGTCTAGCACTGTCGCCCAGGCTGGAGTGCAGTGACGCGATCTCAGCTCACTGCAAGCTCCGCCCCCCGGGTTCACGCCATTCTCCTGCCTCAGCCTCTCAAGCAGTTGGGATTACAGGTGCCCACCACCATGCCCGGCTAATTTATTGTATTTTTAGTAGAGACAGGGTTTCACCGTGTTAGCCAGGATGGTCTCGATCTCCTGACCTCGTGATCCGCCCATCTCGGCCTCCCAAAGTGCTGGGATTACAGGCGTGAGCCACCGCGCCTGGCCTGTACAATGCAACTTCTAAATCACTATTCAGTAGTTAAATTTGAGAGAAGTTAAAAATAGGACTCGGGAGAGACAGTTTAAAAATAGATACTAACATAATAGATAATTATCATGCCTAGATATTTCTTCTTGAGTAGGAGCCCTTGACAATTAAAAGAAAGCCAGGAATTTTAATGCCAAGTTAATGTTGAACAAATTAGGCACACACATACATAACTTAGTCCACAGGTATAGACAGTGATGCACACACACACACACACACACACACATGCTCATACATATCTGCAGAGTTTTTGTGTTATTGTTTTAAAAAAATTGAAAGAGGATAATTATGAAGATTACCTTTTAAACTTGTGTTTCGCCTGTGACTCTGCCTTTTTTGCCTCTGTTAACAGAAATCTGAGAAATTAGAAATGCATTTGCTGAATTGAAGAACCCATTAGAGACTCTCAACAGGAGAATGGGTCTTGCTGAGGAGTCAGTGACCTCTCAGGCCAGCTATTTGAAAATACAAAGTCAGAGGAAAAAAACGAAAAAAAGAATGAAAATGAATTAAGACTGCCTACGAGATACAGAAAATTACCTCAAAAGACTAAATCTGAGTTATCAGTGCTCAAAAGGGAATCAAACAAGAGCAAGTGGTAGAAAGTTTTTTCAAGGAAAGAATAACAGA
The DNA here is from genome assembly GCF_000001405.40 of Homo sapiens. NCBI lineage: Eukaryota > Metazoa > Chordata > Mammalia > Primates > Hominidae > Homo > Homo sapiens. Next base: position 194,219,183 of record NC_000001.11, read on the forward strand.
AAACTTACCAACTCTTGAGATAGATATACATATCTAGGTACAGGAAGATCTGAGAGCACCAAGCAGATTCAACTCAAATAAGAATACCATAAGACACTGAATAATCAGACTGTCAAAGGTCAAGGACAAAGAGAGAATACTAAAGGCAGCAAGAGAAGAAAAGCAAATAACATATAAAGGAATTCCAATCCATCTGGCAGCAGATTTCACAATGGAAATCTTATAGGCCAGCGGGGAGTGGAACATGTTCAAAAGCTCAAAGAAGAAAACTGATATGAAAGAATATTGCATTCAGCAAAATTATCCTTCAGATATGAAGGAGAAATAAAGTTTTTCCAAGACAATCAAAAACTGAGAAAATTTACCATCGCCAGACCCATTGCAAGAAATACTAAAGGGAGTTCTTCAATCTGAAAGAACTGAAAAAAAAAAAAAAACTAATATGCAAAAAGAAAATTTTGCAATGTATAAAACACAATGGTAAGTTTAAGTATAGAGACAAACCCGGAATACTCTATTGCTGTAATTGTGGTGTGCATTCCACTCCTAACTCTAGTATGAAGTTTAGAAGACAAATATATCAAAAACCATAGTAGGTTACAGCAACCTGTTAAGAGATAGATAACAAATAAATATGTAAATAGAGACAAGTAACCCAAAATATGAGTCACATAAAGTGTGTATATATATAATATATATATATACACACTTTATATATAAGTATATATATATACACACTTTATATATAAGTAAATATATACACACTTTATATATAAGTATATATATATATATTTGTATTTTTACCTTTATATCTATTCTTAATTGTGATCTAAGACAAATTTTCATCTAATTGAAAAACATATCTATGAGATGTTTTTGTAAGCCTCATGGCAACAACAATGCAAAAACCTATAATAGATTAAAAAAAGCAATAAATGAAAACATGTAACCAGAGAAAATCACTTAACCACAAAGAAATACAGGAAGAAAGGGGCCGGGCGCCGTGGCTCACACCTGTAATCCCAGTACTTTGGGAGGCAGAGGCAGGCAGATCACGAGGTCAGGAGATCGAGACCACCCTGGCTAACACGGTGAAACCCCATCTCTACTAAAAATACAAAAAATTAGCAGGCGTGGTGGCGGGAGCCTGTAGTCCCAGCTACTCGGGAGGCTGAGGCAGGAGAATGGCGTGAACACGGGGGGCAGAGCTTGCAGTGAGCTGAGATCCTGCCACTGCACTCCAGCCTGGGCGACAGAGAGAGACTCCGTCTCAAAAAAAAAAAAAAAAAAAAAGAAGAAGAAATACAGGATGAAAGGAAGACAGGAAAAAAGAAAGAGAGGAGTAGAAATCGCAAATAAACCAGAATGCAAGCAACAAAATGGCAGTGGTGAGATCTTACTTATCAATAAGAATGCTGAATGTAAATGATCTGAATACCCTAAGTCAAAGGCGTGAAGTAGCTAAACAGATAAAGAAACATGACCCAACCATATTCTGGCTTCAAGAAAACCAATTCACCCTTAAAAACACACATAGTCTGAAAATGAAGGGATGAAAAAAATAGTCCATGCTACTGGAAACCAAAAAAGAGCAGGAGCAGCTATACATTTATTGAATAAAATAGACTACAAAACTAATATTCCAGAAAGAGACAAATAAGGTTAGAAAATGGTGATAAAGGAGTCAATTCATTAGGAGGTTATATTACAAATATTTATGCACCCAACATCAGAGCTTCCAAGTACATAAAGCAAAGAATAATAGATCTAAAGGGAGAGATAGAGTGTAATGCAATAATATTGGGGGATTTTAATACCTCACTCTCAATAATGGACAGATCATTCAGACAGAAAATGAACAAGGAAACAGTGCATTTAAACTACACAATATATCTAATAGGCTTAACTGACATTTACAGAACATTTCACCCAATTGCTGCAGAATACACATTCTTTTCATCACCACATGGAACATTTTCTAGAATAGACCATATATCAGGCCATAAAACAAGACTAAGCAAATTCAAAAAATAGAAATTATATCTAGTGCCTTTTCTCACCAAAATGGAATAAAACTAGAAATCAGTTACAAGAAGAACCTTGATAAATAAGCTAATATATGGAAATTAAACAACATGCTCCTGAATGACTAAAGGGTGAATAAAAAAATTAAGAAGACAACTTCTTAAAATAGATTAGATTGAAAAAAGAAATGCAACATACCAAAACCATGTGTTACAGCAAAAGCAGTGCAGTAAGAAGTTTATAGCAATAAACAACTATATCAAATAAGTAGAAAGACTTCAAATAAAAAACTTAATAATGTACCTCAACCATTAGAAATACAAAAACAAAAAAAATCCAAAATTAGCAGAAGGAAAGATAATAAATATCTGAGCAGAAATAAGTGAAATTGCGACTGAAATCAATACAGAAGCTTAATGAAACAAAAAGTTGGTTTTTTGAAAAGGTAAACAAAATTGACAAAACTTTGAACAAAGAGAAAAGAACCAAATAAATAAAATTAGAAATGAAAAAGGATGCATACCTGAGACCTCAAAAATATGAAGAGTTTTCAGAGACTGTTCTGAATAACTATATACCAACAAATTGGATAACCTAGAAGAAATAAGTTCCTGGAAACATACAACCTACATAGATTGAACCCTGAAGAAACTGAAAACCTCAACAAATTAATAACGAGTAACAAGATCTAAACTGTAGTAAAAAAAAAAAAAAAAAAAAAAAAAAGCTTCCCATAAAAGTAAATCTCAGGACCTGATGGCTTCACTGCTGAATTTAACCCATCATTTAAAGAACTAATACCAATCCTACTCAACTCAACAATAAATTAAAGAGAAGAGAATATTTCCAAACTCATTCTATGAGGCCATTACCACGATACCAAAACCAGACAAGAATACAACAAAAAAGAAAACTACAGGCCAATAACATTGATGAACACAGATGCAAATTCCTCAACAAAATACTAGCAAACCAAATTCAACAACACATTAAAAAGACAATTCACCATGGTCAAGTGAGATTTAGTCCAGGAATACAAGAATAGTTAAACATACACCAATCTGTAAATGTGACATTCCACATTAAGAGAATTAAGAACAAAAATCATATTATTATTTCAATAGGTAGACAAAACCCAGTTGATATAACATTGCTTTATTAAAAACCCTAATCAAAACGGTTATAGAAGAAACATATCTCAAAATAATAAAGGCCATACATGACAAACCCAGAGTTAGTATTCTGAGCAGGGAAAAATTAAAGTCCCTTCTTCTAAGGACTGGAACAAGACAGGATGCCCACTTTCCCCATTTTTATTTCATGTAACACAGAAAGTCCTGGTTAGAATGATTAGGCAAGAGAAAGAAATAACAGTCATCTAAATTGGAAAAGAAGAAACCAAATTAGTCTTGTTTGCAGATGACATAGTCTTAAACCTAGAAAAACATGAAGACTATCACACATTTTCTAGAATTGAGAAATGAGTTTACTAACGTTGCAGGATACAAAATCAACATACAAAAATCAGTAACATTTATATACATCAACAATAAATAATCTGAAAAGGAAACCAGTAAATCAATCCCTTTAGCAACAAAAATATAAAGTATCTAGGAATCCTTCTAATTAAAGGAGTGAAACATCTCTACAAGAAAAACTATAAAATTCTAATGAAAGAAATAGAAGGGAACACAAAAAAGTTGGAAAGATAGTCCATGCTCAAGGGTTAGAAAAATTAATGTTCAAATGACAATATCAACAAAAGCAATTTACAGATTTCATGCAACCCCAATCAAAATTTACTACCAAGCCATCATAACCAAAAAGAGACATATAGACCAATGGAACAGAAAATAAAACCCAGATATAAATTCACACATCTACAGGTAACTCATTTTCAACGAAGATACCAAGAGCACACGATGGAGAAAGGATAGTCTTCTTAATAAATGGTAGCAGGAAAACTGGATAACTGTCTACTGAAAAATAAAACTAAATCCTTATCTCTCACCATACACGAAAATCAAATAAAAATGGATTAAGGATTTAAATCTAAGACCTGAAACTATGAAACTGCTAGAGAAAAAAAAAACACCTGGGAAACATTCCAGGACACTGGTCTTGGCAAAGACTTTTTGAGTAAGACCTCAAAAGCACAGGCAACCAAAGCAAAAATAGGCAAATCCGACTAAATCAAGCTAAAAATGCTTCTGTACAGCAAAGGAAACAACCGATAAAATAAAGAGACAATTCCCAGAAAGGGAGAAAATATTTGAAATCTATCCATCTGACAAGATTAATAACCATAATATATAATAAGCTCAAACAATTCAATAGCAAAATAAGAAGAAGAATCCAAAATGGGCAAAATAATTGAACAGACATTTCTCAAAAAAGACATAAAAATGGCCAACAGGTATATTACGAATTGCTCAACATCACTAATCATCAAATAAATGCAAATCAAACCACAATGAGATATTATCTTATACAAGTTAAAATGGCTTGTCTAAAAATTACAGACAGTAACAGATGCTGGCAAAGATGTGGAGAATGAGGAACCCTTGTACACTGTTGGTGGGGATGTAAATTATATATTTAAAATACAGTCACTGTGGGGAACAGTATGGAGGTTCCTCAAAAACTAAAAATAGAACTATCATATGATCCAGCCATTCTACTACTGGGTATATATATCCAAAAGAAAGGAAATCAGTATATGAAAGAGATATATGCACTGCATAGTAGCAAAAATATGGTATCAAAGTAAGTGTGCATCAATGAATGAATGGATAAAGAAAATATGACATACATACACACAATGGAATATTATTCAACCATAAAAAAGCATGAAATCCTGTCTGCCACAACTTGGATGGAACTGAAGTCCATTATAGTAAATGAAATAAACCAAGCACAGACAGGTAAGTATTGCATGTTCTCACTCACATCTGGCAGCTAAAAATGTGGATGTCATGAAGATAGAGAGTAGAATGGTGATTACCGCAGGCTGGGAATGGTAGGGGGAAGGGATATCGAAGGGAGGAAAAAGACACAAAATAAATCACAATGTGAGGACAGCCTCTCTTTATTGAATTAGAAATAAATATTAATTTGAATATAATAGTTTAAGATGAACACACTACACACATTTCCTCTTTTGGTTTTTAGATGTTTTTCCCTCTGATCCATTATTCTTGTACTTTAGTGGAGTGTTTAGGACAAGATTCTTATTGGGGTTATTGGGATAATTTTGATGGTACTTGTTATTTGATTCTTAAATAGGTGATTACATAGCTTATCTAAAATTTAGAGATTTTTGAGTAATGCTATTTCTTTGAAAGCACAATTACTTAATTTTGGATTGCTCATTATAATGAATTAATTGTAATCACATTAAAAAGTACTGCTATGATAGACTCCTTAGGAAACATGGAAGCATCATATTATCAACTTCAAAAACAACTGAATCTAGATTTTGTAAAATCATCTTGCATGTATTAAGTTTGCCTTCTGCATATTTTAAGGAGGGCTCTGAGTCTAACAAATAGCGTAAATGTTTATTGGTTACTGTTTGAAAATTTTTCAAGAGACTCTAGAATGATACAACATACGAATATAGTCTATTTCACTAAGGATATTAAGATCAAACAGAAAATTCAATATGACAGTGAAGCATATGAGTTTAGTGTATAGACTTAGTGGGTCTGAAACTTAACAGTGCCACGTACTTTATTTGAGACCCTGAACAAGTTACTTAAATTTACTGTGCCTCAATTTCTACAGATATATATATATATTATACTATATAATATATATTAGGATTACATATATCCTACAGTCAGACATCTTTTCTATGCTCTTATAGTATCTTGCAATTTATTATAATAACAAGAAAAAATATTTTTGTTCATTATATATATTTACCTATACTTTATTGCTCTATGATTGCAGCAGTCATCCTTTTATGTTCATAGCTGTACTTCTTTGCCAAATACATGGCTATTACTTAGTGAGTATTAAGTAGTATCTTCCCATAATTAAAATTATGTATAAATGTATATTTGAATGCAAATTAAACTCTTTTATTAAACTAAATCCTTCCTAGACTGGTGGTCTCTAACACCACAAAAATGTAGTTCCCAGATAAATAACCTAGGCAACTGCCGAGTCAACTGGGCTAGTCAACTAAATACCTAGACCACCTAAACACCCTGGTCAACTGGAAATGCATATATTTCCAAAAGTAGATTAGAAAAAAATGAGAATAATTAATAATGAACTGAACAATACTAGAGTTTGATTTAGAGACAACAATGTGGAGAAGGAAAAGATTTTCACTACCTTGTTCTTGCTAAATATCTCTCACTTTGGAACTGTGATAACTTGGACAATCTCTCTGATTTGTAGTCCCAATCACAGTCTTAGGCTAGCTTTATTGCTACAATTAAGATAATATGCATAAATATGATACATGAGCTATAAAATGCATCTCATTGCCAACATTCTCATCTCAGTTTTAAGCACAGGGCACAGAAACCTAAAGTGAAAACTCCACACTATATATCATATCAAAACATAACAGAGGCAAGTATTACAAAATTAAATTAATATTTTATACTATTGTATAATATAGAAATAGCTACATATGTATTATATACTACCAGGATTTTCACTTGTGAATGATATATTTACCTCATCATTATAATAATGCTTAACCAAGCAACAGATGTTCATTTTGAGGAAGCTATTATTGTAACATAGATTGTTAAGGTTAGCATAGTGACAAAACCACAAACCGCTTACAGCCACGAGTCCTTCTTCTCCCAGTAGCACTATAGTTTAACTTTATCTTTCTTTGACCTAAATTCAATAAAAGGGGGAAAAAGAATCCCTGTGTCTTTAAAATACTGTTAAACCACCACAGTTCAGTAATTTATTTGGCTTTAGCCTTTGCAAGCTAACTGTCTGTAGTTGCAACTTTACAGATTTTATGTATTCAGTTTGAAAAAAAAAAAAAGGCTTTTTTTTCCCCCAAAAGAAGCTAGCTGTTAACAGAAAGAAGAGAAAAACAAGATTTATCTTATCCAGCTCCATCCAAAACAAGGTGCTATGCTTTCTGTGACTTCAATTTGACAAGTAAAGCCCTGGGCAGGCATGTAGTATCACTGCTTGTCACTATAAGGCAACAGACTGGAAAAGACATGAGATAGTGTAGAAATAAGCAAGTGTAGCAGGTAACTAATTAAGATTAGGAGTGCACGCTGGAAGATTTTCTAAATCCAAGACACCCAATCCTTCCATATCTACTGTAATACAAAACATATACAGCTGGCATGCAACAAGCTCATCTTGGAAAATGTATGCTTTTTGCTTTGTAAAATTTAAAGTAAAAATGGTAGATGAAATGAAAATCTGCAAGTGAGGCAAAATCTGTGTTGACTGCCTTTGTTGTAGAAGTTTGTCTCATTCTGAAATAAATCTTGATTTATTCCAAATTAGGAGATTTAAGTATTTCAATTTCCAATTTAAAAATAATTCCTTCTCTTTGTCTCTGGCAGTATATAATATGTATGTGTATAAACATATATTCACCTTAAAATTTAATATGTGAATACCAAAATATTACATAGAATTATGTGTAGTCTTGTTTCGCCACTGTTCATTTTTTCTCATATTTAACTCTCATGAAAATTTCCCTCATTTTTTTGAGTGTTGTTTCTATCATTTTATTTCAGTCATTTCATTCTTTATTTTCTTCTATTTTTCCTTTGCTCTACAGTCATTTGGGGCATTGTTTTCTGTATCAAGATCTTTTTACACAGACTATATTGCATGGGAAGGCGGCATGCAAGAGTAATGATATGCAAGGTGATTTTTAAAATAAAATATGACAACTGTTGAAAAAGCATGTTTTATCTATTTCTCATTGTATTTTCTCTTTTTTGATACTGTATAGAATCATTAGGATAAACCAGTTGGCAATATACTCAGAATGAAGAAAACAGTGCAATCCCTGTCTTCCAGGAAATTATAACAGGTTAGGAAAAAGTCACAAAGTGCTTCACCGCATTTTTTTTTCCTCATGTGTTATTCATCAGTATTTCCATGAACTTCCTCAGGTTACTCAGGATCCAAGATAGCATTATACTTACATCATTTATAACAATTGAAGCTCAGAACAAACAGATGTGAGGTTGAAAATGAATCACCTGAATAGCAGCAGTTAAGAATTCTTCACACTTAGCATACACAGTGACCTCCTGATGGAAAAGAGCAATTTTCAGCTGATTGATCACACTCATTTTCCTTTTTCTGAAATTATTATTCTAAAGAAATAATACTGACTGAGTTATTCTGGCCCTGTTTTTCATAATGTCTCCATTGTATTTCCATGTAGTTACCTTGAGTTTATGGAATTGTCTCTGTTGCAACTCAGAAGTCATGGTTCAGCTATTGAATCAGGAAGTTCTGGATATTTTAGAGTTACTTGAAACTTTTTAGGTCTTATAGTTCATTTGGATGGAGCTGGAGGCTATTATCCTTAGCAAACTAATGCAAGAACAAAACCCCTCACTTATAAGTGGGAGATAAATGATGAGAACACCTGGACACAAAGAGAAGAACAACAGACACAGGGGCCTACCTTAGGGTGGAGGGTGGGAGGAAGACAAAGAGCAAATAAAATTAACTAATGGGTACTAGGTTTAGTAGCTGGGTGACAAAGTAATCTGTACAAGAACCCCCAGTGACATGAGTTTACCTATATAACAAACCTGCACATGTGCCCCTGAACCTAAAACGAAATTTTAAAAACAAACAAAAATCATAACAATGTCAACGTGTCCATTTTTAATGGGATTCCATTAAGCTGTGTATATCTTGCCAATTGGCAACCTCTGAACTAGCTGGTGAGCATTTGTCAAAGTATTTTCTTAATTTCAGTTCCATTATTTTGCCAACTCAGTTTTGTAAACCAACTGGATCACAATGAAAACTGCTTAGGAAAGGTAAAAGCTGCCAGCAGATATTTCTTGTAATTTCCAAATATTACACTTAGTAAAAGAAATAAAACTAGTAGAAAATGTAAGCTAACAATTTAATGTTTTACAGTGCTTATAATCTTGTTACTTTCCTCCTTCATTACTATTTCTTGGTTTATCTAGACTTTTTTCAGGATTGTATATATTTTAACTCCCCTTGTCTGGTTGAAAAAAAAAAAACTTAGCCTCCATCTTCATAGTTTCTGAGTAGTGCATTTTGTATATAATTGAAATACTTTTCCTCTAACTTTCATATATAAAAAACTACAGCACAATGAGGAAACAGCCTGCTGGTCTCTGCACATAAATCCTATGACCCCAAGGAGGTTATAGCTCTCTTTTGTTACTATTCCTCTAATGACATAAGCCTGAAATATCCACCTGATCGCATTCCTACTAACACACATAAAACCTCCAGGTCATCAAAGTTCATGATGCTGGATATAAAGTTACCCATTTATTTTATTTTATTTTTAGCTGACATATTAATTATACACATTTATGATGTACATAGTGGTGTCTTGATATGTATAATGTATAGTGATCCAACCAGCATAATTAGCATCTCCATTATCTCAAACATTTATGATTTCTTTGTGTTGGGAACATTCAATATCTTCCTTCTAGCTATCTGAAACTATACAATATATTATTGTTTACTATAATCACATAAAAAACCCATTTTAAAAATGAGTCATTGTATGTGATTGACTGCTACTCATTTCAACAATTCATACCCAGATGTATATTTGGATTACAACATAGTAAATATGAGAGTGTGATTGTTCAGAGATTTTGCTCTCCTTCAAGAGAATGCTTGTGATGCAAAAACAAATAATTGAAAAGAAACTGAATTTTTCATCACATCAGCAAGCTCTGAATAAGTATAGTAGATGACAGTATACACCACTTCAATATGTAATGTTTACACTAACATGACTTTTCTCCTCATGGAAGAATGTGCCTCTTCCAGCTCGTTCATAAAATTTAATTCCAACATGTGCCACCATATCATGTAAAACCACACATAAAGCAAGATCATGTATTTTTATCCATTGTAATTTGTTAAGAAAATAAAAGATACAGTCAAATAAATGTCATTGTATGAAAAACTTGAGAAATCTGAACATCGACCTTACCTGTGATCTCAGATTTCTACAGTGATTTGCTTACCTATCATTTGTGTTTAATGATGCTGAATTTCTCCTACTACTTCAGGAAATCACAGAAATACATTTCCACTTCTAGGAGCATACTCTTCCACCAAAATTAACAAACAAATGAACTGGACTATTCACTCTAATCTTCTGTTAATATCTGCAGTAATTTCATGCTGCTTTAAACTAGTCTATTATACACATTTTAATAACAATCATTTCTGAAGTAAGAGAGATTGAGTCATTGGGAAAATTGGATTTGCTAAAAAGATGTCAACGACTTGGATTTCTTTAAAAGGGAGCAATTTTTCTAGGAACACAGGAAATGGGTCAAATAAATACAATGCCTCCAGAATTTAAAAGAGTACCACAACACACTATATTTCTTTCTTAGTGATGTATAGTATCATAACTTACTCCCAGTCAGTGGACACCCAAAATGTCAGGCCTTTCCGTCTGCAGTAATTACTTCCCAGTCCCCTGCCAAACATGTGTTCTTTCAGTGGGTCTAAAGGAGTGCCTACAAACTATTGATGGTAAAGGATTGTTACGGAAGCTTTGGGGTGTCAATTTTCTTTCTGGAAACCTCGGTGGCCAGTGGCGCCTTTCTCGGGTTCTTGTCCTGCATCCAGAAGAATGAGGTACGCAGACATGTGAAGGGTGAACAGGATGAAGATGAGCTTTATACAATGTTACAACAGCTCAGAGGAGACCTGCAGTGTGTACCTACTCTCTGCAGCAGGCCATCCATGGGCTTTTCAATTCTCACCAGAGGAGGGTCTGGAGAGGGTGGCACCTGTCTGCTGGCATGTTGTTTCTGCAGCTCTCAGCAGAGAAGGTAGCTAGCTCCTCTCTGCTGAGAGCTGGTCATCCCAACATCTCCAGCTCTCAGCAGAGTGAGTATTCCTCTCTGCAGCTGGTGTCCAATTGTTTCTCTGCCATCTTCATCCTCTGGCCATTATCTGCCCTACTCTGGCTGAGTCCAGGGCTTTTATGGACCTCAGAGGGGAGGAAGTGCCAATTGGTCCATGGGCGGCCATGGGCAGGTGGAAGAGGCACCAGGAGTCCCCACTCTGGTCCCCTGCCTGATAGTGTGGCCCCCAGCCTTCAGGCCCTCCCTGGCTTGAGGTGGGGCCTTACTGGAGACCCAACCCCTTCTGCCCAGGAATCAATTTAACTCCCACTGCCATTCATGGTTCCCGGGGCTCAGCCCCAACCCCCAATCTGAGATTGGGGCAGGCTAGGAGGGAAGAGAGGCCAGGCAGCAGGAGGAGACACCCCCAAGCCTGCAAGGTAGGGGAGGAGGGCTTCCCAGGCCCCAAGGGTGCAGGCTACAAAGACACCGTGTCCTGTACCTGGGAGGGCAGCAGCAGCTGTACCTGGGAGGGTAGATCCTGCCTGTTCCCAGTCACCTGCCAAGAGCATAGGCAGGCTCAGATCCACAAACTGTGGGCCAGCCCAGGAGGGTGGGACTCCTGCCTGCTCCCTAGAGCAAAGGGTTTGGGTCTGCAGCCACAGATTGGGCAACTGGGTGGCTGCATCAGCACCCAGGGAGCTCCCACCCCAACTCAGAAGGGGCGGGGTTCCCACCTGCTCCATGGAGTGGCAATCCCCAGCCATGACTACCTGCTGCAGCTGGCATGATGGCAACAGCCACTGCCATCATTATCAGCTGATTATTGTTAATATTTTTTCTAACATGTTGTGGAATAATATTTTACACACAATAAATATGAAAAAGGAGAGTAGCAAAGAATGCCAAACACATACGAAATATGGACACTGAGTTCTATCTGCATATTCAGGAACTGTGGTAATTCTACAGTTGTAACTAGAGTTTATCAGTAAAACAATTCTTCATGTTAGATGCTTATAGGCACACTCTGAACAGAATCATCATAACACTTGGTATCATCAGTCATTTTCATTTTATCCATTCTAGTGGGTGGGTGTGTAATGGTCTCTCATAGTGATTTGAATTTTTCATTTATATCTTGCCGTCTTTTAGGCATAGCATATGCTGTGGCAAAATAGTAGATATACAAAAATATATTAATAAAATGAGAAAGATTTTCTAATATTAAAATTAATTACTTTTCTCTTTCATAGTGCTCTAATATAACTTGTTTTCAAAATCAGCATTATCTGTTTCATTTCCATAAATGAGGGTTATTAAAATGAATCAATGCATTTGTACCATGCATAATTCATGAATGAAATCTATAAATTACAAAATATAGATTATAGGCCCAACTGTCATAATTTTCATAATTGCTGTATTTTAACTTCTACAAATAATCTGATAAATATATTATCTCAAATTTTATGACATTACTGCTTATCTCCACTGTGTTCTAGGAATTCTGAAAAATAGAATATACAATTGGCCCCTGAACAACATGGATGTTAGGGGCACTGAACCTCATGTGAAGCTGAAAATCATATATATTAATAACATTTGACTCTCCAGAAACATAACTACTAATAGCCTTATTTATGTTATAACTTAATAACTTACTTATGTTATCCTACTGATAAGATAAACAATATTAACACAATACTGATAACATAAACCGTATTGATTCATGTCAGCCTTACTGATAACACGAACAATATTAACATGTATTTTGTATGCTATATGGACTATATACTGTATTCATATGATAAAGTGATCTACAGAAAAGAAAATGTCATTAAGAAAATCATAAGGAAGGGGAAATATATTTACTCTTCATTAAGTGGAGATGGATCATCATCAAGGTGCTCATCCTTGTCTTCATGTTGAGAAGGAGGAGAATGAGGAAGGGTTGGTCTTGTTGCCTCAGGGGTGGCAGAAGTGAAGAAAATTCATGTATAAGTGGACCCATACAATTCAAACCCATGTTGTTCAACAGTCAACTGTAATTAAGATATTTCTTGCTGTTTTCTATGAGCCACATATCAATAGAGAAACTAAAAACATTTTAATTACTGAAATGTAAGACACACTGTGATAATGCTATAATGCAGGAATCAAATTTTGTAGGAGATTATGGAACAATCCCGTGCTATCTGATTAAATAATCTTTCTATAGTTTAGTGCCAATAGACAGGTTACTTACACTTAAATATAGTTGGAGGGAGGAAATTGAGAAAAATCAAAGTTCTACAATCTTATTCTCATACATTTTTGGCTAGAATTTCCTGTTTATGGAATGGAGAATAGAACTGTTTGGAGAGAACACAGAATAGGCAGACAAGAGTTTGGGAATAGGATTTTGATATTGAGAAAGATTTTAAGAGGTATTATATACTAGGTACTCTGTGTGTGTGTGTGTATGTACCTGTGTGTATACATGTATACATATATAAATACATACATATATACATATACATACATACACACATACACAGAAAGAGAGAGCGATACAGAGACAGAAAGAGAGAGAGAGATAAAGAGAGAGACAGCTTGGACCAATGTAGTGAATATAGAGAGAAATAAGAAAATGATTATAAAATAGCAGCAATATAATTTAATAATTTATAACCTGTTGCTTGAAGATAATATTTTAAATAATTAAACTGAGAAGAGGTATGCTGACAAGGACCATGAAGGAACACATGGCCTACGGAGACAGAGTGGAGTATAGATGTTTGGATATGCTCAGCTTGTGAAAGACATGAGATGTCCAGTGGGAAGTTATACAAGGATATATGGAATTCAGACGGGAGGTGGATAAATGTGAGATTAGATGATAAAATATTAGTTGATGTTCTGAAAAAAAGATCATTTAGGAAAAAATACATGTAATAAGCAAACAGATTTCGAGTGGAGTGCTTTGGTGCTGTTTATTTTAAGTGGCTGAGTAGGGACATGTGAGTCACTCAAGGAAACAGAACAAATATAAAGGTTAGGTCAACTAAATGATTTAAACAGTATAGAAGCCAAGTTATTCAAGGGAATAAAAATTTTAAAAATAACATTTATTTCAGTTTTCTCTTTTTTACAGTAAGTTATGATTCAGTGATTAATATTACCAGTTTATAGAGGAGGCTAAGAAACAGAGATATTAAGTATCTTTCCTAGGCTAAATGAGTAACAAAACTGGGATTTTACTAAAATCAGAAAATTAAAAAGAAAGAAGAGCTCTGGATAAAGCAAAAAAAAAATGTGTCATTGGTTTATTAGTCAGGATGAATCAAATTATGCTGAATTAAAAAATTAGCCACGCTATCTCAACAGCTTAATACAACAAAGATTTGTTTGGGTCTGTATATGTTTAGCACGTGTTAGGGTTGCAACTTGGAATGGTGGGCTCTGATCCACCTAGTCATTTTCATGTCTGATATAGCCTGTATCTCATGAAGTGGTAACATTGTTGGCAGAGAGAAAGATCAGTTGCAGATTTCTTTGCTGCTTTTTCTATGCATTGGTCCAGAAATGACACATGTCACTTTTGTACACAGCCTATTGTGTAGAACCCACTTGCAAGCTCTGATTAACTGAAAAGGAGCTGGAAAATATGGGACAGCAAATGTTTGTTATATAGGAGGAGTTTCACTGCTTAACTAGATTGCAAAGTACCAATGAGGGAGTCAGGGAGCAATCAAGATGAGATGATAAGGGAGATTTACTATGTAAAGAGGAATCAAAGGAGGAAAGATTCTGAAGACACAAAAGAGGCAAGAATATATTGATGAAATTAGGATCCAAATAAGACTTAAAAACAAAAGAAATAATTAATGTTTTAAATGATAATATTCAGTCTCAATAAAGTATCGAGTCTAAAATTTCAGATAATAAAAACTTCCCTAGCTCATATTAGATACTCAATAGTTACTTTTCAAACAAGTTAGTGAATCATCTAATTAAAGTAAAAAGGGACTTAAAAACATATTTCCTACGTAGCACTGTATACAAAAAAAAAAAAATCAGAACTTCAGGTATTTTAAAGCTTTACCAAGAAAAAAATAAGTCGTAAGGGAATTGTTATTTATTCTAATGTGTGTTAATCATAATTTTTAGAAATGAGTTAAAATAGCTAATGAAATAGGGATCTCTAAGACTACATGTACAATAGCATACGTACTAAAGTTTAATGCTGTCTGGAGGACAAGGAATAGTTGTAATTCCTTAAAGCATTAATCAACCTTATCAGGCTTCCAGTAAAAATATGTTTTCATACCTTAATAACTTAAAAATTATTTTTAAAAAATAACAACATCCTACCTTATCCCAGTTTTTCTCCCTAGAGGGAATTATTGCTAATAATTTTGTGTATCATTTTCTAAAAATGTATAAAATATAGCAAGATACATAGATCATACATACTTAACCAGATAATGTTATTTTTACTTAAGAAAGTAATATATACTCTTTCTTGAACCTTCTATTTGAATGTTATTTCATTTACAAAAGAAGTAAAATTATAAGCTAAAAATGATAAATAAAATATATGCTTTTCAAATATAAGTGTACTATAATAAGTCCAATTAATGTTGATTATCAAGAAGCAATCTCATTTTTCAACTGTTTTAAGTTTATCATTTAAATAACGAATGGCTCTGGTCAGTTTTTATATGACACACTATTTTTCATTAGGCATTTATTACCAAATTATTATGTGCTCTACTAATTTATCTCACTATTTCATTGTGTAATAATGTTTGAAATATTACATCACAGAAATGAATCTAAGTATGTTTCTTTATTTAAATTGTAAAACTAATTTAGGTAGTAAATGATAAAATTCTTTTTTGAGGGATTTATATAATTATTAAAATATCTGTTGTTTTTATATAGGAAAAATATGTATTCATCAGTTTAAATTGTTTGTGAACCTGGATTGTCCTTCACATCTCTTGGCTAAAAGTCAATATCCAATGTATTCTTTATATATTACTCTATGATATATATCCAGTAAAATGCTATGTGGATACAAAAAGCAAAATTAGGGGATGTATGGTATATGAGTCAGTGTATCAGTGGAGAATACCAGTGACTGACTAATAATTCACGTTAAATCTACTATGTGAAGACTGTTTGCTAGACAGTAAGCATCATGATAAACTATGCTTTATTCATGTTTGTAGTCACAGTGTCTAGAATATTGTCTAATATCTATTTGGCTTTTGAGAGTTCAATGAAAAATTGATGAAGGAATTTATAAATTAATGAGTAAATAGTGATCAAATAGTCATATAAAGTAATACTTCATGAAGAAACAGCATTGAGTTGGCATTTGGGAATTCCTATGATTTGGCACCCTAGGACTATAAATGATTTTATTTTTCATATCTGCATATATTTTTATACTTAATTATTTGTTCTAATATATTTATTTAAAAATATCAGCAGTATAAAAACATGTATTAAATTTGATTTGAAACTATTGTTATAAGGAAAGGAAAAAATCCTCATATTGAAGTGAATTTTATCTTTATTTAATGCTTAATATTTTCCACATGATATTTCAAAGGTTTATGTTATTATTTCTATTATTAAAATTTCAAATATACACAGAAAGCTTACTGAAAACACATTCTAAGTTTTTAATCATAAGTATATTTTTATAGAAGGCAATAAGGTACTAAAATACACTGTTCTAGTGCTGGAACTGAAAGCTGTTAAAACACAGACCTGTTTGCCGTAAATATCCTCATCAATTGATATAAAGCAACAGCCTACATACTTCAGAAAAAATGCCCAAGAATACAGACAAATGAACAAAACTTATAATTATGTATAATTTATAGTTCGCGGTTTTAAAAATAAATGTATTAAAACATCTGTACAAATATTTATTAACAACTTACTATTTATATTCAAAGTTTCCTTATCTTGAACATTTTTAAAGAAAAACAAAACTATAATGCTTACCCTGCTCAATTTAGAGAAATAAACTTATTAGCCACAATTCAACAAAAGGAAGTCTATTCCATCATTTTTAGTTCTGGGAATATCTTTTGGGGAAGATTCTAAAATAGTCTTCAGAGAATTATCTTCAAACGTACCAAAAAACTTCTCAGTAACATTTCCTTTTAATTCTGTAAGAAGCCTTAAAATCTAGGCACTAATTTTCAGAGGAGTCCTTCTGTGACACTCTTGCTTACAGCCATTGGCCAATACCTTATATGTAAGCATTCTATAACTCTAGTTATATAGTTTCCTTTCTATATTTCAAATGGTCACTAGACCCTGATTTTTTATATCTATATTCATCCCAATTCTTTTGTGATCATATGTTTTCTTAAATATTCAACCACTTCATAAAATGCTCTTTCTACTTCTAAGTCGTAAAATGAGGATCATCACCTTTACTCCAAGAGACCTCTTCCCTCAAAGAGACTACCCATTCACAATCTTAGCTCATAGATCCTAATGAAAGTGGGTTGAATTGTATCTCCATAAAACATATGTCCAATTGGAATCACATAATGTGACCTTTATGAAGTTAAGGTATTTGCAGTTGTAATCAAGACTGGGATCATTAAATTGAATGACTCCTGATTAGAATGAGTCCTAAATCCACTAGGAGGTATCCTCACAAGAGACAGAAAAGAACATCACATTACCTGACTTCAAAGTAGCTGCAGTAATCAAAACAGCAAGGTATTGGCAATAGAAACAGACACATAGACTAATGGAAAAGTATAGATAGCCCAGAAATAAATTATGTTATATATGGTGAGCTGATTTTTGACACAATGGGGAAAGGACAGTTTCTTCAATAGATGATGGTGGGACAACTGGATAGCCACCTACAGAAGAATGAAATAATTAGATCCTCATCTCATACCATATACAAAAATTAACAGAAAATCAATTAGAGACTTAAATGTAAGACCTAAAATTAAAACTCCTCAAACAGAAAGTAGAAGAAAAGCTCTATGACATTGGTCTGGGCAATTATTTTTTAGATATGAACCGAAAAGCACAGGTAACAAAGCCAAAAATAGACAAATGGATTACATTAAACTAAAAAGCTCTGAACAAAAAAGAAACCATAAACACAATGAAGAGACAAACTATGGAATGGAAGGAAATCTATTTGCAAACCCTACAACTAATAAAGTATTCATATCCAAAATATATAAGAAATTCAAACAATTCAATAGTAAGAAAACAAATAACCCAATTGAAAAATGGGCAAAGGATCTGAACAGCAATTTCTCAAAAGAAAACATGCCAAATGGCCAAAAGGTATAAGAAATAATGCTAAATATTATTAATCATTAGGTAAATGCAAAAGAAAACTACAGTGAGATATCACCTCACACTGGTTAGAATGGCTATTACTAAAAAGGACAAAAGATAACAAATGTTGGAAAGAATATGGAGAAGAGGGAACTATTGCACACTGTCAATGGCAATGTAAATTAAAACACTCATTATGGAAAACAGTGTGGAAATTCCTCAAAAGATTAAAAATGGTATTACCATATGATCCAGCAACCCCACTACGGGGTACAGATCAAAAGGAACTGAAATCAGTATATTGAAGAGATATCTGGTCCCCTATGTTCACTGTAGTATTATTTATAAAATGCAGCATATATACACAAGGAAATACAACTATTTCTACCTTATAAAATGAAATTCTGTCATTTGTGACAAAATAAGTGAACCTGAAGGACATTATGTTAAATTAAGCCAGGCACAGAAGACAAATACTGCATGATGTCACTTACATGTGGATTTTAAGAAGTTGATCTCCTAGAAGTACAGTGTGGAATGGTAGTTACTAGAGGATGGGTGGGGGATTGAGGCAGTGAAGAGATATTGGTCAAGGGATTTACAATTTCAGTTAAGTAGGAGGAATAAGTACAAATGATCTATTGTACACATGGTGATTATAGTTAATAGCAATATACTGTATTCTTGAAAATTGCTGAAAGTAGATATAAAGTTTTCTCACTACAAAAAAATATATAAGTATGTCAGATAATGCGTATGATAATTAGGTCAGTTTAGCCATTCCACAGTGTATACATATTTCAAAGCCACATGTTGTACATTTTATTTATATATATATATATATATATACACACACACACACACACATCATATAATTTTATGTTTTAATCTAATAAATAAATACATAAATTTTTAAGGGTGCAGAAAAAGAGGAGCCAGAGATACAGGAAAGAAGGCCAGAGATACAGGAATGAAGACGGAACCAAAATTGGAGTTTTGCTGCCACAAACAAAGGAATACCAGGAGGCACTAGATGCTGGAAGAGAAAAGAAACCATTGTCACCCTGGAGTGTGAGCCTGCTCATACCTTAATTTTAGACATCTGGTATCTAGAGCTATGAGAAGGAATTTCTGTTATTTTAAGCCATTGACTTTGAGGCCATTTCTTGTGGCAGCTATAGGAAACTAACACACCAGGTTAGAATCAACGTGGTAGTTTCTCAGTATCCACAGGTGGTTGGTTCTAGGACCCCCGCCAATACCAAAATCTGAGGATGCTCAAAACTCTATTTATATAATATGGCATAGTATTTGCATATAACCTACACACATCTTCTCATATGCTTTAAATCACCTCTAGATTATCTACAATATGTAATACTATCTAAATTGTTGTTATACCATATTGTTTTTATTCATATTATTTTTTATAGTTGTACTGTTATTTCTTTTGTTTTGGAATATTTTTATACACGGTTGAATGTGCAGATACAAAGGGTCATCTGTATTATTCTAAAATTAAATAAAACTATATATTATTTGCCTTTTTGAATAAAGAAATTTTTGATCAGTTACTACATATGATAACTTGTATAATTGCAACTTTATCTTCAGTTACTGGATATAGAAATGTTAATTTATTATAGTATTTCTCAACCTTATTTTTACTACTGCCCCTCATTCCCCCATAGCCATTTCATACTTTTTAAATCACTTTTCCCAAAATATTTTAATATCACAGACATGCTGCATAGTTGTCTGTGTATGAGATGCATGCCATTTGAGTGAGACTCAATGACATGTGTGAGATTTTTTCACCAACACCTAAGAACTTGTTGAGAATGTGAGATTTATGAGGTACTCCATACTCAGAGACGTTAAGTAACTTGCTTCAAGTCAAACAAAATGAGCAGAGAAACAGATGAATTTATTCTAGCTAACTTCAAAAGCTAAGTGTTTAACTATTATAATATACCATTGCTGCTTTTTATACATGTAACAAAATGGAAACAGATTTAGTTTTTAGGTTTTAAGTTAATAATTATAAAATTATGGCAAAATAAAAAATATGTAAATAAATAAGTATACAAATATGTAAGTAATTGAGCCACTTATTATTTTAGTTCCCCAGGAACACCATTCACATAGAACTTCTTCCTAAACATTTACACATGTACTTGCAATGAATAATTTAGGATTTTTTGGACCACTTACTTGAAAAAAACTGCTTCAGAAACAGACAGTCATTGAGTACAAATGATATATGTATACCAGAAATGTATTGAAATGCTATATTTTCCTTATTGATCCAATCCCAGAGGGCATTATAATTACAAAAGTGTTTGGGGTTCATCATTGTTCACACTTCCTAAATCTGTCATTATCTCCAAATCTATCTCTTACCTGGATATTTTAGTAAAAGATAAGGGAAGTGGACCAAGAAAAGAGTAATTGAATTCAAATACCCATCGAGAGTTTTTCCCTTCAAAAAATTATGGATGATTTTTCTTTATAAACTTTTTTAAGTTTCAGGCTTAGGTATTTATATATGTATATTTTATATATAATATGTATATATTATATATACATATATGTAACATATATACACACATAAAATGATATATTTAAATATATACATATATGTATATATACATATATAACTAAATTATATATTTAAACATATATATGATAATTGAGAATTTCAATATTATAAACTATATTTAAATTTATTTTATATACATACATAAATATAAATGTGTATATATATACACATTGTATATATATATATTTTTTTTCCCAATAATAAACTGGGAAAGGTATAAGGAACTGTTCCTCTCTCACAGAAAAACCTTCTTTTACTCCACTCTTTAATCACAGGTGAATCACCTGATCCCCTTTAACATTTTCCCCAATACACCATTTCATTGTTCTTTGTTCTAAGACACATTCTGATGGCCAGGATCAAATATCCACAGTATCTGCTCTTATGCAAGCTCTATGAAGCAGTTCATATAGTGGTGCAAAAGAAAATCCAAACAAGTTCATTTTCCTTAACTTCAGTGGGTTGTTTAATACTTCCTAGCAACGGTGCCACAGATTAGATACTTATATCTATCCCTTGCTATACTTTTTTTAGTTGTAACCTTGCTTTCTACTTCATAAAGAAATCTATGAACATCCCCAAGCTTGCTCATATCAATAAATAAACCTCTGCATTTTCTCTTTACTCATTTTTTCTTCTGCAGTCTCCAAGGATGAGATGGACTATTACAGTTCAAGATTAATTTTCTCACCTAAACTTTTGATCTGATCTCCTGTCATCTTTAACCAGAAATTACACATTCAATTATTTGCTTCCACCTCTTTCCTGAGTTTTCAACATCTACTGTTTCCTTTTTCAAAAGTTATATCTATGCTCTTGTTTGAATTTGTTTTATTTAGGCTTTCAGAAGAATGCAAATACAGAGCAAAACAAAAAACTCTTCACTTTGTATTCTCTTTTAGTTATCACTCTTCTTAAAACTAATGTGTGTTGAATTTCTCCATAGTTGCCCTTTAGTGCTTCAATTTTACTTGTTCTTTTTATTATGTTAGAATTATTCTGAAAAAAGGTTTTAATGATGTCTTATTTGAGTAATTCAGAAAACCTTTAAATTTAAAAGTATATATTTTATTAATCAAATCTATAACTAATACTGACTCTCCCTCCTTGCATTTATTTTACAATGCCTTTGCATATGATATACCTTTATACCATGTTCAAATTTGAATGATCTGTAAATGACTAGAGAATCGTAGATTGACAGCTATTTTCCATCAGCACTTTGAAGATATAACAGTAGTCCATTATCTCTGGCCATTATTAGTGCAGCCACAAAATCTACTGTCAGTCAAATGATTGCTTCTCTATGTAGTAATATGACATTTCTCAGTTCTTTTTTATAATGAAAGTTTCTACTTTACATAAGAGTAGTAAAAATTTTATAATGAACACATACACCCATAACCCAGTTTTGAGAATTACAAACATTTTTCCAATATTATAAAATCTAAAATATTAATTTATATTCTTTTGTTTAGTTAGAGCCAACATATTCCAGATGTTTCTTTTACAAGTAAGCAGTTCAATGCGTATTACAAATGCATGCATTTTTTGTTTCGTGTTATAATCTCAATGTCACTATCAAGCTTACCACAATAAAAAAATAATATTAGGTTAACATATTTTAAGGCCTAGTTCATATTCAAATTTTTCAATTGACTAAAATGTCTGTTCAGAATTGATGCATTCAAATAGAAACAAAAACAAGGCCCATGATATGCATTTATGTGTTGTGTTTCTCAAAAGGTGTTATTCTGAACCAATCACCTTATTCTTTCCTCTTTCCTTTTCCATTCCATGTACTTTTGGAGAATTTGAATCCCTAGTATAGGCAGTTTCTGGATATATTTGATTTCTTCCTTAGAGAGTTCTTTATCTTGTAACTTTTCTTACTTGAAAAAATAAATTTGTAGTTAGATCTAGAGATAAGGCCATATTTTTGTGAGAATAATTCATAGGTGGTGCTCTGTACTCCCACTGCATCACATTAATATCCACAAATATATGTGATACATTTAAGCCATGCTAAGATTGATCAGCACATTCAGGTGTTATCAGCATGACTCAATGACTACAAAATTTCTGATCAAATTTTACCCAATTCTTGTATCATCCACTTACAACAATTGACTAGATGTATTATTTCTTTAGATGATTAATTTTCTCTGTGTTTCTTATGCAGAAAAATATTTACAAGAGAAAGGGAGACTATAGGCTTAATTTTCCCCTTATTTATTAATTTTGAGAGGAAGAAGTTCATTCCTTAGAAACCAAAATAGATTTTAGATACTTGATATCTTTCAATAAATGTCAGTCTTTATACATTGTAATACTCAAATTGTTCCATTCTCGGTGAGCGTCCCTTCAAGTTTGCTCCTCTGTCCTTTTTGGCATGATCCCAGTGGCTTTCTATTTTCTTATATCACAAGATTCCTTAGCTGAGTGTTAACTTTTCAGCCTGATATTAGAAATGTTCCATTTCCCCCCACCAACCTTAATAGTTTTAGGGAAAAATGGTAGTTAGAGACGACAGTCTGGATTCTTGGCATGCAAATTAGTTTTACATCAGTTTCCAGCCCTTTTCAGTAGAGATCCAAAAAAGTGTACATTTTTCTTAAAGAACTAGTAATTCAATATTTAATATTATAATGATTTACTTAGACTTTAAATAATGTTCTGTTTTTTTGTTTTTATTTTTGAGACGGAGTCTCTCTCTGTCGCCCAGGCTGGAGTGCAGTGGTGCGATCTCGGCTCACTGCAAGCTCCACCTTCCGGGAGCTTCTCCTGCCTCAGCCTCCTGAGTAGCTGGGACTACAGGCGCCCGCCACCACACCCGGCTAATTTTTTGTATTTTCAGTAGAGACGGGGTTTCACCATGTTAGCCAGGATGGTCTCGATCTGCTGACCTCATGATCCGCCCACCTCGGCCTCCCAAAGTGCTGGGATTACAGGTGTGAGCCACCGTGCCCAGCCTCGTTTCATTTCTTATACTGAAAATCTTAGTTCTTAAAAACAGCCTATTGCCTTTTTGATTTATGCTACAATAGTATGTGTGTGAAACACAACGGTTTCAAATGGCAATACTAATGATAATATCAATGTTAAAATAAATGTCTTCAACGAAGTTTAACTTTTTTTCATGCTTATTTGTACTCTGTGCTAACGTTTACATTCAATATGCATGTCTTTTAAGATCACTTGTTATAATTAGCTTTGTTGCCAATTTGATATAGAACTAATTTGCTTTAGTTTTTATTCAAGTTTTAGATTTTTTTTTCCCAATGTCTTTATGAAATATGTAAAATAGTTACATTGTTTCAAAGTAAAAACTGTAAGTCAAGTTACACACGGAGAATTCTTCTTTTCTTTTTCATCTCTTTAATCCTAGCCTATTTACTTTCTACCCAGTAATAACCATTTCATTATATTTTGTTTTTCTTCTCATTGTTGCTTTCTGAAATTGAATTTTTATAAATATATGAGATATAAATATATGTTTTCCCAAGCTCACCTTGATATAGTACTAAAAATACTAGAAATGCTGGAGAAACTAATTTCCATGTCAAATAACTGTGTGATTTTGTCTTTTGAGATCTTCAGTTTCACTCCAATCTTAAGTTTTAGATTATTTGTATAAATAGCCCTTGTTGGAACAGGTTTTATCCATTTCAACTCAAAGATTTTATTATTTAAATACTACTAAGCAATTTGCATTTGTCTTTTGCATTTTCTATTGAGATTTTAGTTTAATTACCACATTTTTATTTCTAGAATTTTTATGATACTGCTTTCAAATGTGCTTTTTTTCTTTTTTAAACAATTTGTTCATTTTATCTGATTAAGTCTAATACTTCACTTATCTCTTAACATTTTGGCATATATTTCGATGACTCACTGCATTTGGGAATGAAAGCAATGCTCCTTAGATAGTGGAAGCAATGGTTCCCACACAGGGATTGGGGTGGGCATATCCAGAACCAGTGTGGCAGGCCATGCACAAAATTAGGGGGATCTTAAATAAGAAAATACGTATTTGACCAAGTGCACAGATAGCTAGGAGCACTCTAAGTCCCTGGCAAATGAGGTGTCCTGAAGTTTAAGCTTTCTAGTAGTTCTGCCTCTGGTCACACTCCAATTCTTGTTTCAAGAAGACATTTCATAAAGTTCTTTAAATGCAAAGAAGTTCAGGTACCTTCTTCAAATCCATTTCTCCATCTTAATCCTGGCCTTGAGTGTAAGAAAATATTTTTTCTCACTGGGCCATGTTTTATGACCCCATGAAGTGGGTAAAAGAATGGCCTCTCAAAAGATATCCATGTGCTAATTCCTGAATTTTTTATTGTTATTATCTACGGCAGAAAAAAAAAAGATTTTTTCAGATGAGATTTAGTTAAGTATTTTGAAATGGGGAGATTATTCCACATAATACAGGTAGGCTCTAAGTAAGATCACATCTATCTTTATAAGAAGGAGACAGAAGATTTTAGATACACAGAGATTATGGTGATGTGAAGACAGAGCAGAGAAGGATTTACAGATGTTGGCCTTGAAGACGAGTCATGCAGTAACAAACCAAAGGAGGCTGGTGGCCACCAGAAGCTGGAGGAGGCAAGGAACATAATTTCTCTAGAGCCTCTGGAAGGAACAAGGGGCTACTGACTCCTTGATTTTGGCCCAGTGATACTGAAGTCAGACTTCCGGCTTCCAGAACTATCAAAGAACAATATCTGTTTTAAGCCACAAAGTTCATGTTAATTTATTATAGCACAGGAAACATACACTTCATGTAACAGGAATTGTATTCAGCCTCAGGATTCATCAAATGAGAATCAAATACCAAGAGATTTCTCTATCCAGAGCCGATGACCCACATGATAATATCTCCATGCTATGATTAAAAATTTTCTACCTTCATATTATGCACAGATATACCACAGACTTCTCCTTTGAGATTAGCTGGGATTATAGGCATGTGCCACCACACCCAGCTAATTTTTGTATTAGTGGAGATGGGGTTTTACCATGTTGACCAGGCTGGTCTTGAATTGCTGACCGCAGGTGATCCACCCGCCATGGCCTCCCAAAGTGCTAAGATTATAGGCGTGAGCCGTAGCGCCTGGCCATTTTTGTATTTTTAGTAGAGATGGGATTTCATCATGTTGGCCAGACTGGTCTTGAGCTCCTGACCTCAGGTGATCCACGCACTTCGGCCTCCCAAAGTGCTGGGATTACAGGCTGAGACACCGCGCCCAGCCTATATATTTTTAAAGTATCCATTGTCCGAAGGACATTTGCATAGAAATGCAATTTTTTATGTTATGGATTTATCAGGCTCCGATTAAAAGGTTGACTTGTCAAGTACAGTGATTAAGAAGTAATACTAAGCTTCAAGAAAAGCTTAGGAAAAATATCCTTTTAAGCATTCAATTAAGTGCCCATCTCCTCAACAGGAGATATTTCACTTTCTGAAAAGCAATAATAAAATACTTATAATATAATGCAATAGCCATAATATTTAAAGATCTCTTCTAATTACTGATATCTGAAAGTGGTATAAGGTAAGATTAATTCTAGTCCTTTGACACAGAAGAACAGTCTGAGGAAAGGCTTTAAAATATAATAACTGATGAGTCCTTGACTAGAAAACAATTACCTTTCATTACAGATGCCATAATTTATTGTCCCTGCAGTTTGAAGGGAACTCTATGTAATCATTATTATGTTTAATTTTTCTCCTGGATATAAGTTTAGTATTGAACATAAGTATATAATTAGGAACTTATAATTTAGAAACACGATGAGAGCTTCTAAAATGCAAGTTTAATAGAATCTTTTGAATATGCTGCCAAAAAGAAGCTGATAATTCAAAAACATAAATATTATATGAGTAACAATAACTACAACAACAGCCTCCAAAACATGTTGCACATATACTTTCTATTTATCAGATCCTGGGGAAATATGACAGCATAGTTAATCCAAAGTAAATAAGCAAATACCTTCCTGCACCTTTCTTCTCTTCTAAATTCCACTGGAAATAAATAACATAAAATAGGATGTCAGCAACATGGTGCACTAGGAAGTCCTAGGTGACATCCATCCACAAAATCAATGATTTAACACCTATCTACTAAGGAAAATAGCTTTGGGAAAACCCTGAAGTACATCTCAGAAGCTGTAGCAACCCAAGGCAACACAAAAACTGAGGAGAAATGCACAGACAAGGGTAGGAAATATTTTTACCGGTATTATGCTATCTTCTGGGCCAGCACAGCTCCACACCAAAAGAAATCTCTTTGGCCACAAGTGTAAATCAATTTCACTGTACACTGGTTACCAGCTTGTCTAAGTCCGGTAAGACAGAACACCCACACATACACCAAGTTACATGAAGTGGTTTGACTAATCACAGATAGGCAGCAAGGTATAGCAGAACCTTGGGACTCATTCCTCAAGGCTCAGGAAATTTGCCCAGAGTAGATGGAGTCTCATCTTCCCAGGTCCCACTTGCTCCACAGCTGAGCGACCCCAGAAGGTAGCCACATTGAATTTTGTATCCAAGGGGAACCTAACACCCTGGGCAACATGACACCATGGGCTAATGTGTTAAAGGACATCTTATTTCTAGGGAAACAAGGGACAGAAAGTGAACCAGAACTATTCCAGCCAGATTATCTCTCTCTCAGGTTGTTACATACCCAGCACATTCTACAGTCATTCTTGAGAACTAAAACTGTAGAGGAGGATGAGAGGGGAGAATTGCAGTTCTCCTGATAACCAGACCCAGATAGCTCCCTTAGCAAAGGTAGTACATTTTATATTCCCACCAGCCTCCTCATACTTGAAGGAGGAGATTTGTTTCATTGGATCTACGTAACACCTTGACTGACACAATCTCAGGGCAACATCATTGAACGATAGCCAAAATATACTTCATTAGGCCCAGGAGGCTACCACCAGGATGATCAGGCCTGCCTGTAGCTGCAATCTAGCCCAAGGTCCTAGTGATATAAGTAAGATTTCTAAGGAGGTCAAAGAAGGATCCTTCAGCTAGCCCCACTGTCTGCAACTCGTGGACATACTTCCAGATCTCCTTTGTTTGTATTTCTATAATCACTGAGGTGTTTATCCAGATACAGCAGGAGGTGTTGGCAATTGCACACACTACCCCAAATTAGGCAAAAAGAAAACCTAGAGCAATTATGTTGTCTAAAACAACTTTCCCAAGGGAGTTAGGTAATGTCTACCAGCTACCACAGCAGTGGCTGTTGAGGAAACAATATCTGTGTTGGTCAGGAAGAGGTTTCTTATTAATTTTTTATGAGCACTGACTCCCATATACGGTACCAAAGATTACATAAGGAACATAAATTCAGACTCAGTTATACCTCCTGGCAGGTCCCTAGTAAGACTAGTGCATAACTTTAGGTTTCTGGTCCATTGGTGCCTCTACTGCCATGTTTTCATGAAAAAAGCAGGACAGGTTATTGTCCCACCTTCAACCCCTCCATGGGTCTTAGATGTCCCCTATCTGTGTAAAAGTATCAAGATCATATCAAGTATCTTTTCTGAGCAAAATAGAATGAAACTAGAAACCAACAGCAGTAATTAACTAGAAAATTCGACAACTAACAAACACTCTTGAACAACCATTGTGTTAAAGAGGAAACGGAAAGGAATTATTTTTCAATCTTAAAATAAATAAAAACAAAAACATAACATACCAAAACATATGGGACACTGCAAAAGCAGAACTTCAAGAAAATTATATAGTGAAAAATACATATTAAAAAAGAAGAAAGAGTTCAAATAAACAAACTGACATTACAAGTTAAGGAAATATAGAGAAGAACAAACTTACTCCAAAGTTAGCATAAGAAAGAAAATTGAAAATATTAGAGCAAAAAATCATTAAAACAGAGAATAGAAAAACAATACAAAAAAACCCAACAAAATTAAAAGTTGGTGTTTTGAAAGGTTAATTGGCAAACTCTTTGTTAGACTACCTACAAAAAAAAAAAAATGTAAAGTGACGGAAAAGGAGAAATAGAAGACTCAAAATCAGAAATGGAAGAGGAGATATTTCAATGCATTCCTCAAAAATAAAAGGATTATAAGGAATTATTATGAATAACTATATGTCAACAAATAGGATAACCTAGAATAAATTGATAAATTCCTAGAAACATACACTCTAGCAAGGCTGAATCAAGAAGAAATAGAGGCCAGGCATGGTGGCTCATGCCTGTAATCCCAGCACTTTGGGAGGCCGACGCAGGTGGATCACCAGATCAGGAGATTGAGACCATCCTGGCTAACATGGTGAAACCCCGTCTCTACTAAAAATACAAAACATTAGCCAGGCGTGGTGGTGGGTGCCTGTAGTCCCAGCTACTCGGGAGGCTGAGGCAGGAGAATGGCATGAACCTGGGAGGCGGAGCTTGCAGTGAGCCGAGAACTCGCCACTGCACTCCAGCCTGGGTGACAGATCAAGACTCCATCTCAAATAAACAAACAAACAAACAAATAAATAAATAAATAAATAAATAAATAAATAAGAAATAGAGATCCTGAACAGACCAATAAGAAATAAGCCATTTGGATCAGTAATCCAAAACCTCTCAACAAAGAAAGGCCCAGGACCAGATAGCTTCACTGCTAAATTCTATCAAACATTCAAGAATACCAATACTGTGATGGCTGATACTGTCAACTTGATTGGATTGAAGGATGCAAATTATTGATCCTGGGTATGTCTGTGAGGATGTTGCCAAAGGAGATTAACATTTGAGTCAGTGGGCTGGGAAAGGCAGACCCACCCTTAATCTGGGTGGGCACCATCTGATCAGCTGCCCGTGCAGCCAGGACATAAAGCAAGCGGAAAAACGTGAAAAGGCTAGACTGGCTTAGCTTCTCAGCCTACATCTTTATCCTGTGCTGAATGCTTCCTGCTCTTGAATATCAGACTACAGGTCTTCAGCTTTGGGATTCAGACTGGCTTTCTTTCTCCTTAGCTTGCAAATGGTCTATTGTGGGACCTTGTGATTGTGTGAGTTACTACTACTTAATAAGCTCCCCTTAATAAGTTCCCGTATATATATATCATTAGTTCTGTCACTCTAGATACCACAGATTAAATACTTTTTAAACTCTCCCCAAAAAACAGAACAAAAGGAATACATCCAAACTCTATGAGTCTAGCATCACCCCAATACCAAGGCCAAAGATACCACAAGAATGTAAAATGACAGGTCAATATCCCTGATGAACATACATGCATAAATACATAATAAAATACTTGCAAGTCAAATTCAATAGCATACTAAAAGGCTTATATACCATGACCAACTGGAATTTATCACTGCAATGCAACGGTGGCTCGGTATATACATATCAATCAATGTGATATACTACATTAGCAGAACGAAAGACAAAAGCTATGTGATCATCTCAAAAGATGGAGAAAAGCCATTTGACAACATTCAACACTGAGTCACAATAAAAATTCTCAAAAACAGATACACAAATAACTTACTTCAACACAATAAATGCCATATATGAGAAGCCCACAACCAACATTATAATCCATGAGGAAAATAAAGCCTTTTTTTTTAAGATTCGATAAAAGCTGAAGATGCACACTCTCACTTTTATTTAATTTGAAGGCCTACCCAAAGCAATTAGCAAAATAAAATAAAATAAAATAAACTGAAAAACATCCAGCAGATCAGAAAGGAAAAAGTAAAATCATTTTTGTCTGCAGATGATATAATCTTATATGTAATAATTCTAAAATCTCATCAACAACAACAAACTATTAGAACTAATACATTTTAAATTCAGTAAATTCAGTAAAGTTGCAGGATATAAAATCAACATATAAAAGTTGCTGGCATTCCTATACAATAAAAATGAACTTTATGAAAAGCAAATTACGTAAGCACTCCTATTTGCAATAGCAATTACAATAATAAAATACTTAGGGACAAATTTAACCAAAGTGGTGAAAGGCTTGTACAATGAAAATTAAAAAATATTAATGAAGGAAATTAAAGATGACACAGATAAATGGAAAGACATCCACTATTCATGGACAGGAAGAACAAATATATTTAAATGTTCACACTATCTATATTAGTCTGTTCTCACACTGTTAATAAAGACATACTAGAGACTAAGTAATTCATAAAGGAAAGAGTTTTAATTGACTTCCAGTTCCACATTGGCTGGGGAGGCCTCAGGAAACTTACAATCACAACAAAAGGGAAAGCAACGCATTCTTCTTTACATGGTGGTGGGAGAGAGAAATGCCAAGCAAAAAGGGGGAAGCCCCTTATAAAACCATCAGATCTCGTGAGAGCTCACTCACTATCAGGAGAACAACATGAGAGTAAACACCCCCATGATTAAGTTACCTCCCAAGGGGTGCCTCTCACATCACGTGGGGAGTATGGAAATCACAATTCAATATGACATTTAGGTCAGGAAACAGCCAAATCATATTACCACCCAATTCAGTTTATAGATTCAATGCAATTCCTATGAACATCTGATTGCATTATTTACAAAAATAGAAAAGAAAATTCTAAAATTCATATGGATCACAATGATTCCGAATAGTTTAAGACATCTTGAGCAGGAAGAACAAAGCTGGAGGCATAACACCTCTGATTTCAAAATATGTTTCACAGGACAGTAATCAAAACGTATGGTACTGGCATATAAACAGACATTTAATACTAATGGATGAGAAAAGATAGAGCAGAAATAAATCCACACATTTTTAGTCAACTGATCTTTGACAACATTGTCAAGCACACAAAATGGGAAAAGGGAGTCTCATCAATAAACAATGTTGTGAAAACTGGATATGCATATGCAGAAGAAGAAAATTGTATCTTTAATTTATAACATATACAAAAATAAACTAAACTGACTACAGACTTAAATTTAAGACCTGCAACTATAAAACTATTAGGAGAAATCCTAAGGAATAAGCTTCTTGATATTCATCTTGGAATTAATTTTTGGATATAATACCAAAAGCACAGATAATGAAAGAAAAAATAAGTGGGTTCGCATCAAACTAAATAGCTTCTGCGCAACAGGGTAGGCAATCAACAGAGTGTAAAGACAACTCACAGAATGGAAGAAGGTATTTTTAATCCATCTATTTGATGAGAAGTTAATATCTAAATTATATAGGGAACTCATAAAAGTCAATAGAATAAAAGCAAATGACCCCAGTAGAAAATGGTTAAAAGACATACATAGACATTTCTCAAAAGAAGATATACAAGTGGCACAGCTATGTGTAAAGATGCTCAACATCACTAATTATCAGGGAACTGCAAATTGAAACCACAATTAGATATCACCTAACACCTATTAGAATGGCTTTTATCCAAAAGGCAAAAGAAAACAAATGTTGGTGAGGCTGTGGAGATAAGAGCACCCTTATGCACCAGTTTTTGGAATGTAAGTTATCACAGCCATTATAGAAAATGGTATGGAAGTTCTTCAGACAATTAAAAACAGAACTATCATATTATTCTGCATGGTGAAAATAAAGAGATGATCAAAGAATGATTTCAGGGAACACACGGTTTATTGCCAAACAGAAAGAATTTGTTTTCTTTTGTTCACAAGACTTAAAGAGGGGGAGAATAAAGAAAATAAGACCTCTCAGGAATACAGTTTATAGATGAGGTATATTAGCTGCATAGTCAATGAGTTCCAAAATTATTAAACTTTACTTGCTCAGTTAGGATGGAAGCAGTCCTTTACTGGAAGTAAAATCTGATTCAAGATTCAAATGTTTCTTTTTATGAGCAGTTTCTCAGGAGATACTGGCTTGACCAATAGAGCAGAGATCCATGAAGACACATTCCCTTGATACTAGGGGGTAGTTCCGATGTTGGTGGGTAAGGCTTCAAAGCCCCAAGACCTATCACAGCCTGAGCTCTAGCTATTCGGAGAAGCATCCAGCCAAGTGTAAGCCTGTCAAGGCCTAAGCTCTCAAAGTGTCAATCAAACTCTTGAGTTTATATATATTTTGAAATACAGTAGTTGAGGTCAGTTACTAACATACAGGGGCTGATGAAGTGTGGGGTAACATTCCTGAGAAGAGGTGGAGTTTCTGAGAGGTGGGGGAGTAGCTTCAAGTTCTTACACATGGAGTCTGAAAAGTCTTTACATTCCAGAAGGGAGGGAAGAAAACACTGCTCATTCTCATTACAGAAAAACGTATCACTGATGCAGCAAACTATGTAAATGTTTGGAATATTTCAAGGCTACATAACACATATGATCTGGCAATTCCACTTTGGTACAGATCCAAAGGAAATGAAATCAGTATGTTGAGAAAATATCTGCACTCCCATGTTTATTGCAGCACTATTCACCATAGTTAAGATATGGAACAATTTTAACGTCCATCAATAGATGCATGGAAAAAGAAAATGTTATATATATTATATATGTATTATATATTTTTACACACACACACACACACACACACACACAATGGGATACTATTCAGCCATAAAAAAGAATGAAATCCTGTCATTTGCAACAACATGGATGGAAATGTAGGTCATTATACTTAATATATAAGCCAAGCACAGAAAGACAAATACCACATAACCTCACTTACATGTGGAATCTAAAATAGTCAAACTCAGAAGCACAGAGTAGAACGGTGGTGGGCAGAGACTCAGAGGAGGGAGCAAGGAAAATACATTGGTCAAGAGGTGCTAATATTTAGTTATTCAGGTTGTAAAATAATAAGAAATACATTCATTTTTGTCCAGTTTCCTGGCACAATTTCTAGAACCCTTGGAATTTTTTTAATGATGTGTCTTCATGTATGCTAATGAGATGATGGAAGGTTAGGGGGCTCACTGGGGCTGGCAGGCCAGAACTGACCATGTGATTAGAGGACTGGAACTTTCAGCCCCACCCCTGAGCCTCAGAGGAAGAGGAGTTAAAAGTTGAGCTGATTGCTAATGACCGGTAATTTAGGCATCATGCCTATGTAATGAATCCTACATTAATACCCACAAAAGAGGATTTAGAGAGCTTCTGGGTTGCTTAACATTTAGAGGTCCTGGGAAGGTGGTGGTGGATACGTGCCCAGAGAGGATATGGAAGCTCTGTGCCTGTTCCCCTATACTTGTCCTGTGTACCTCTTTATCAGGCTGTTCATTTGTATCCATTGTAATACCCTTTATAAAAATCAGTAAATATAATTGTTTCCCTGAGTTCTGTGAGTTGCTCTAGCAATAACAGCACCCAAAGAGAGGGTCATGGGAACCTTCAATTTATAGCTGGTTGGTCTCAAGCATAGGTGATAACCTGGGGTTCGCAATTGGCATCACACATGGGGGCAGTCTTGTGGGACTAATCTCTTAAACTGTGGTGTTTGTGCTAACTCTGATTAGATTCGGAAATGAATTGAATTGAACTGAATTATAGGACACCCTATAATTCTGGAACTGAATTATAAGACAGGTGGTTTGTACTGTAGAATTGCTCGGTGGGGGAAAAAGCTCCCATGCATCTGGTCACAAAAGTTTTTTAAGTGTAGAGCATGATAAAAACAATTTGCCTTTTCCAATTTTATATGAAGATGTGTAAGTTCTCAAAATCTAATGTACAGCCTGTTAACTATAGTTAACAATACTGTATTGCATATTTGAAATTAGCTAAGAGAGTAGATCTTAAATGTTCTCACCTCACCACACACATACACACACACACATGCACACACACATAAATATTAACAATATGAGGAGACTGATATTTTAATTAGCTTGATTGTGGTGATCATTTCACCATCTATCTCTATATAATAAAACATCAAGTTGCATACCTTAAAAATATATAATTTTATTCCTCAATTATATGTTAGTAAAGCTGAATTAAAGGATATTAAAAAATATAAATTTCCAGCAATACTGCAAAGAAGAAAGGGTGCTTTCAGAAGTGACTGCTAAAATATCTCCGCAAAACAACCTGATATTGTGCGCAGATGTGTGACTAGAAGTAGTCACTAGATCTGGGTGGCAGAACAGGGAAGTATTAAAATGTTGCTGAAAAGCAGTGTTTCAATTCTGAGCACTGAGTAAGGATGCCAATGTTTTCCTCAAGGCTGGGGACAAAAATAGCAGCTCTTTGAGGTGGGACACTTCTGAAGCAGGTGATGAGGCTTGAAAAAGCAAACAGAAACAGGTTGATTGTTTTGCCATCAGGAAAGCAAGGAGGCCCTTGATCAAATCAAGAAGCACTCCCTGTTGCTTCATCCACCATCTCCATACAACTACTGTGGCCAAGGTTTTAACAATTTTGTATAAATCAGTACTTTCTTTGGTTATATGCATCTAGCCACCAATATGTTCGAGTCCAGATGATTTAATATTCCCAGAGTACTAGAAATCATCCTTTAATTATGCCTTTAGCTTAAAAGTGAAAAGTTTTTTGCAACAACAAAAAGTTGAAGAACAACAAAAGTTTAAAATAATAAAAACTACGTATATACAAAAATATTGTGTTGATTTAGAATATATTATCCATAATAAAAGTAGAGGCTTTGATACCTTTTTAAATTTAAAGAGGTTTTTGAAATGTAAACGGACACAGTTTTAAAACTCAGTATTTGAACCTAATTGCAGAGAAACCACAGCTACAGTTTGGACCACTGGAGATCAAATTTGAAGCAAACACATTTCAAAGGTAAAATGTCATAGGTATAGAATCAGAAGTCTCAAAACTTGGCTTACAGTAGTTTAGGAATACAAGTACAAAGAAAAGAGAGGTATACATTATCAAAGCACAGCATTTTAAAAAATGGGATTTTGGTTTACACACAGTGAAAATAATGAAATATGCCATATGCTTAAACACAAAATAATAAAGTAGAAGGATTCCAGTAATAAAATAATTAATTTTTTTGAGAGAACAAAACAATTAAAACACCAAATAGGTAAATTCTTATATGAACATCTTTTATATTGGCCTCCAGTCTGTGCAAAATTGAGATAATAGTGCAAAATCTTAATAGCTCTGCAGAAAGAAAAAAATGATCTTGAACATAGAACTATGTCAACAGTAAAGAAATAAAACTACTCAAGTTTAAAGACAAAATAAATAGGTTTTCATAAATGCAAGAAGTATTGATAGGATATAGTATATTAATATGAGAGAGCATTGGCTCTCTCATAATAAAATGTATAAAATAATAAAATGTAGTAATAATACAAATACATTTAATAATAAAACTGTAAAGGTTATTGTTTTTGCAACTTTGAGATATAATGTTTAAAAAGGTTTTAAATGATCTCACAACATATGGAAGATTACAGGGGAGAATGGATGCAGTGAATGCTTCCTATGACTGGGAAGAAATTATAAGAATTTTGTTCTCATCATTGGTAGAGAAAATAGCACTTAAATATTTGTCTTAAAGCATATGACTTTAGCTTTATTTCCTATTTATCCTCCCAGAATTTCAATGAAAATGAAAAAGAGCTTAAATCAACAAAATTATTAAGTCTATTCCAAGCCTAAGCACGAGGAATGAGAAACATCAGCAATCATTTTAGACACATTTGGAATGTGGAAAGAGTTATGTTGAAAAACAAAGAAGCAAATCTTCACACCAAAACTTTAACAATAAAAGACTAGAGCAAAGATGCAAGTGGTTCTTGTCACCACGACTCTGATTAATTTCTAAGATCATTGCAAGTGCAGAGAGCAAACATGAGCCTAGGCACAGGGATCAGGTAATTGGAGGATGTACAGGGAGTTACTTCCAATTTTAGCAGCATCTGCACAAAAGACAAGAATAAGAATATTGGACACCAAGATGAAACCTGTAATGTGTTTTCTAAAGAAATTAAATAGCATGATTGAGGATGCTAGGGATTTTCGTGAAGATTGGTACCTCTGGGCTGATTGGGTTAAGGGCACTCTCATGGCCTGCTTACCACCTAAACCCTCTAAAATGAGACTTGCAAGTAGATACATTCCTCCCACACATAATTAACCTACCAGTTCTGGGTGTGGATTATGTAAATATACCAGTACTATAGCAAAAGAGACCTGTATTAATTACAAACATAAATGGACAGCCAAGAACAAAATGAAAACGTTAGATGAATAAATTAATCCCATATGTTTCAAAAATACTATAGGGATTGTAAAATGATAGAGGAATATTTACTTAGTGGATGTGATGATTAATTTTATGTGTCAACTTGACTAGGCCACTGGATGCCCAGGTATCTGGTTAAACATTATTATTTCTGGGTGTATCTGTGAGCTGAGGGTGTTTCCAGAAGAGATTAGCATTTGAACTGGTAGGCTGAGTAATGCAAGTGGCCCTCTCCAGTTCAGGTGGGCATCACCAAATCAATGAGGGCCTGAAGAGAACAAAAAGGTAGAGGAAGGTTGGATTCACCCTCCCTCTATTGTGACTGTTTGTTTGAGCTTGAACATTGGTCTTCTCCAGCCCTTTGACTAAGATTTAAATTATTAATATCAGCCCTCTGCCTTTGGACCGGAACAGGGACTTAAACCATTGGTTCTCCTGGTTCTCAGACTTGGACTAAAAGTATACCACAGGCTCTCCTGTATCTCCAGCTTGAAGACAGCAGATCTTGGGACTTCTCATCCCTCATAATTGCCTGAGTGGATTCTTCATAATACATCCCTTGATACATCTCCCATGGTTTCTGCTTCTCTGCAGAAACCTGACTAATACAGGGTTACCATGAATACTTTCTTTTTTTTTTTTTTTTTATTATACTTTAAGTTTTAGGGTACATGTGCACATTGTGCAGGTTAGTTACATATGTATACATGTGCCATGCTGGTGCACTGCACCCACTAACTCATCATCTAGCATTAGGTATATCTCCCAATGCTACCCCTCCCCCCTCCCCCTACCCCACCACAGTCCCCAGAGTGTCATATTCCCCTTCCTGTGACCATGTGATCTCATTGTTCAATTCCCACCTATGAGTGAGAATATGCGGTGTTTGGTTTTTTGTTCTTGCAATAGTTTACTGAGAATGATGGTTTCCAATTTCATCCATGTCCTGAATACTTTCAAGACAATAGTGTACTTTTAAGAAAATAAGGGTACGTTAGCAAAAAAATGAGTTCTCAAAAATAATACAAAGACTGAAAAATACAATTAATTAAAATTATCTTAGAACACAGATATAAAAGCTAAACATAACAAAATAAGAGAGAAAAGTCATAATAGTACAGAGGAGGAATCCAGGAAATCCAAGTTATGGATTCAAAGAAGAAATTAGTGCATGGGGAGGGGCAAATATTCAGCAATGTAATAAAGAAAAATGTTTCAGAGCAGAAGAAAGAATGATTTGAAGTTAGAGAGATTTGATAAAATGTCTTGAACTATAAAATCTGTAAGAAAAATAATTTGAATTATCTCTGTGACAAAGTGTAAATATTTGCTTATTCATTTAAGAAAAGATATACACTGAAGGCAATTATAATCCCTAGGAGAAAAATAAATAGCTGTAGAAAGAATCCTTAGAAGAAATAGGAGGCAAACTAAAATATGCTGTAATTTTGAACAAAGGATGAAATTTTAAAAAGGAAAGCAATTTGAACTTGAATTTTATAACATTTTCTGTTGAGTAGTGATATCTAGCGAAATAGAATCACATTTTTATTTCTATGGGTAGACGTTAGTTACTACTGTCTTATAATAAATACTTTTTTATTTGTAGACCAACTTATAAACAAATCATAAGATATTTAATTATAATTGAAAAGAGTTTGAAATATAACAAACATAAATAAAAATCATATTCAATCAGTAGAAGCATGTAGATTAAAGACAAAATTCAGTGAGGAAAGTTTAGTTTGTACACTTATTTTTTCTCATTTTACTGGAAATCAAATGAAACATTATTTATAGCAAGAATTATAGTTACCAGTTAAACTTTGGAAACATTTTTATTTCAATCAGAATTTTAAAATGATGCCACTGTGACTACTACATTGAACATGGTTCTGAAGGGCCTAGCTATTATTTAAAAAAAAGTCAATAGGACATATATTAAGTAAAAGGAAAAATAAGTAAAAATTATTTGAAAATGATAAATTTCTATGTAGTAAATATAAACAAGTCACACAACAAAATACCTGTTAGAATGAATAATATTTAATTACTGGGTATGTTGCATTTTTATTTGAAAATGATGTAATCCAGCATATAAACAGAACCAAAGACAAAAACCACATGATTATCTCAATAGATGCAGAAAAGGCCTTTCACAAAATTCAACAACACTTCATGCTAAAAACTCTCAATAAATTAGGTATTGATGGGATGTATTTCAAAATAATAAGAGCTATCTATGACAAACCCACAGCCAATATCATACTGAACGGGCAAAAACTGGAAGCATTCCCTTTGAAAACTGGCACAAGACAGGGATGCCCTCTCTCACCACTCCTATTCAACATAGTGTTGGAAGTTCTGGCCAGGGCAATTAGGCAGGAGAAGGAAATAAAGGGTATTCAATTAGGAAAAGAGGAAGTCAAATTGTCCCTGTTTGCAGATGACATGATTGTATAGCTAGAAAACTCCACTGTCTCAGCCCAAAATCTCCTTAAGCTGATAAGCAACTTCAGCAAAGTCTCAGGATACAAAATCAATGTACGAAAATCACAAGCATTCTTATACACCAACAACAGACAAACAGAGAGCCAAATCATGAGTGAACTCCCATTCACAATTGCTTCAAAGAGAATAAAATACCTAGGAATCCAACTTACAAGGGATGTGAAGGAACTCTTCAAGGAGAACTACAAACTACTGCTCAAGGAAATAAAAGAGGATACAAACAAATGGAAGAACATTCCATGCTCATGAGTAGGAAGAATCAATATCGTGAAAATGGCCATACTGCCCAAGGTAATTTACAGATTCAATGCCATCCCCATCAAGCTACCAATGACTTTCTTCACAGAATTGGAAAAAACTACTTTAAAGTTCATATGGAACCAAAAAAGAGCCCTCATCGCCAAGTCAATCCTAAGCCAAAACAACAAAGCTGGAGGCATCACACTACCTGACTTCAAACTATACTACAAGGCTACAGTAACCAAAACAGCATGGTACTGGTACCAAAACAGAGATATAGATCAATGGAACAGAACAGAGCCCTCAGGAATAACGCCGCATATCTACAACTATCTGATCTTTGACAAACCTGAGAAAAACAAGCAATGGGGAAAGGATTCCCTATTTAATAAATGGTGCTGGGAAAACTGCCTAGCCATATGTAGAAAGCTGAAACTGGATCCCTTCCTTACACCTTATACAAAAATCAACTCAAGATGGATTAAAGACTTAAACTTAGACCTAAAACCATAAAAACCCTAGAAGAAAACCTAGGCTTTACCATTCAGGACATAGGCATGGGCAAGGACTTCATGTCTAAAACACCAAAAGCAATGGCAACAAAAGCCAAAATTGACAAATGGGTTCTAATTAAACTAAAGAGCTTCTGCACAGCAAAAGAAACTACCATCAGAGTGAACAGGCAACCCACAAAATGGGAGAAAATTTTCGCAACCTACTCATCTGACAAAGGGCTAATATCCAGAATCTACAATGAACTCAAACAAATTTACAAGAAAAAAACAAACAACCCCATCAAAAAGTGGGCGAAGGACATGAACAGACACTTCTCAAAAGAAGACATTTATGCAGCCAAAAAACACATGAAAAAATGCTCACCATCACTGGCCATCAGAGAAATGCAAATCAAAACCACAATGAGATACCATCTCACACCAGTTAGAATGGCAATCATTAAAAAGTCAGGAAACGACAGGTGCTGGAGAGGATGTGGAGAAATAGCAACACTTTTACACTGTTGGTGGGACTGTAAACTAGTTCAACCATTGTGGAAGTCGATGTGGCAATTCCTCAGGGATCTAGAACTAGAAATACCATTTGACCCAGCCATCCCATTACTGGGTATATACCCAAAGGACTATAAATCATGCTGCTATAAAGACACATGCACACATATGTTTATTGCGGCATTATTCACAATAGCAAAGACTTGGAACCAACCCAAATGTCCAACAATGATAGACTGGATTAAGAAAATGTGGCACATATACACCATGGAATACTATGCAGCCATAAAAAATGATGAGTTAATGTCCTTTGTAGGGACATGGATGAAACTGGAAATCATCATTCTCAGTAAACTATCGCAAGAACAAAAAACAAAACACCGCATATTCTCACTCATATGTGGGAATTGAACAATGAGAACACATGGACACAGGAAGGGGAACATCACACTCTGGGGCCTGTTGTGGGGGGGGCGGGAGGGGGGAGGGATAGCATTGGGAGATATACTTAATGCTAGATGATGAGTTAGTGGGTACAGCACACCAGCATGGCACATGTATACATATGTAACTAACCTGCACATTGTGCACATGTACCCTAAAACTTAAAGTATAATAATAATTAAAAAAATAATTAAAAAAAAAAGAAAATGAGCAACAACTGTCATTTCTACAGATACCACTCCTATATTGTCTATCAAAATACTCATGAGGGTAAATTGTAGTTTTTCATACTGCATATATTTTTCTCTTTATGTGAGCTCATCAAAAGGTAATTTTTAAAAAATTTTGTTTCCCTTGTTAAGATTCACAGATCAATGAAATTCTGTGCTGTGACAGGAACAGTCTACTTATAGACTACCCAATAGAATACCTGCTATCTATAGGTGGCTATTAAATACTTGAAATATGACTACTTCAACTGAGAAGGCAGAATATTAATTTTATTTGATTAATTTAAATTTAAATTCAAATAATTATATGTGTCTGCATATTGAATTGGACATAGGGATCTAGAATATTTTTGGCATATATATGTAAATATTTACTTAGTAAGCTGTGAAAAAAATATATTTTGTCCAATATATTGACTAACTACTCATTTTTTTTTTCTGTAAGTATAAGAATTTATATCCTAATTGGGAAAAGAGTAAACCCTTTTTCCGATTAATCTTCTTGACTAGAAAAGCAAGTCACGGTATTTGAGATTTTTGACATAGTTTTTTAGTCTTGATTATTTAAGAAAAAAAAAATCAACAACCCAAGCAAGTCAAGTTACTTTGAATAATCGATGGAGAAAATGTGGCAAATGGTATCAAGGAAGTTAAAGGAAGCAAAATGTATTTTAATGACAGAAGCATAAAATAAGAAACTCTAATAGCCTTTAATATTCACTTTGAAAGGTGGTTTTCTGCCTTTAGACCTATTATTCCACACATATTCTCTTTAATCATAAGATTAAGAGAGAGAATCAGTCCTTGCTTTGGCTAAAATAATAGAATGATGCTTGAGTGATAAAATAAAATTATAGTTATGAGAATATTTTTTTCCCACAAATGAAAGTCCACAGGGGCCTAACTTATTGAGGGCGAATTTCTCTGTCTTTGGAAGACAAAATTCACTGTGATCAGGAAGAACAATATCTGAATAAAGAATATAGAACTGGAATATGAGTAAAGATTACTCCATTTAGACATAGAAAGTTTGAAATCAGAAGCAGGTCACAGTTTTCAATTAATTTCTCATGTTTTCTTTTATATGTCTTTCTCATCTGTAAGAACAATAATATTGTGGTTACACCATGGAAGTAAGAGACATATAAAACCTTTACAATGGAAATCTATATATATCTTGAGGGCATAAGATAAACAGATGATTATTAAATATTCAATGTTTCAAGAATTATTACATTCTAACATGTGCGCTTTAAGAATCAATAAGGGTTTACAGAAAATGATATCATCAACCACACATATATTAAAAAAAAACTTGTAAAGCATGTCAATGCCCCTGCTATTGTGACCACGACTTAAACTTAATGATTAAGCCACTATCTATTTTGACAAATAAATAACAGTTGTTCAGACTTAGCTTATCTACAAGATAAACACAACCTTGCTACTATTAGATGAATGAATTTTCAAATGAAGTGTTGCACATATATGTCTAGATAAAGGTAACAGATTTACATAGTTCCATTCTAAATCTTCAGACCATTACCATTACCTGTTTGAGACCATAAAATTACATTGATTACATTGACAACACTTGTAATATTTTTCATAATCTTAAAGAATACAAACATTCAGGAATATATATATATATATGTAAAATCTATCTATATATAAAATCTTTATAACCTGTGAAGAGAGATAGCATCACAAAAGAGAGTGAAGAGAAAAAGCAAATGTTATGAAAAATGACTATTAAATGTTATTAATTCTATCATTTAACCCACCAATCCTATTACTGGGTATATACCCAAAGGAAATTTCTAGTTCTACCATAAAAAGACGTGCACACATATGTTCATCACACCACTCTTCACAATTGCAAAGACATGGAAGTAACCTAGATGCCCATGAACAGTGGGCTGGAAAGAAAATGTACATATACAACATGGAGTACTATGCAGCCACAAAAAGAACAAAATCATGTCTTTTACAACAACATGGATGGAGATGGAGGCCAGTATCCTAAGTGAATTAATACAGGAACAGAAAATCAAATACCATATGTTCAAATTGATAAGTGGGAGCTAATCATTGAGTATACCTGGACGTAAAAAAAGAGAACAATAGACGCCGAAGACTACTTGAGGATAGAGGGCAGGATGAGGTTTAGGCTTATAAAATTACCCATCAAGTGCTATGCTTATTACCTGGGTGACAAAATAATCTGTGCACCACACCTGATATAGTTTGTCTGTGTCCCCAACCCAAAACTCAACTTAAATTCTATCTCCAAGAAATTGACATCTTGTGGGAGGGACCAAGGAGGAGGTAATTGAATTATGGGGTCGGCCTTTCTTGTGCTATTCTTGTGATAGTAAGTAAGTCTCAGGAGATCTGATGGATTTATCAGGGGTTTCTGCTTTTGCTTCTTCCTCATTTT
This sequence comes from Homo sapiens, assembly GCF_000001405.40. Lineage (NCBI taxonomy): Eukaryota > Metazoa > Chordata > Mammalia > Primates > Hominidae > Homo > Homo sapiens. Next base: position 194,263,211 of record NC_000001.11, read on the forward strand.
CTGTTGCCACCACCATGTAAGAAGTGCCTTTCACCTCCCACTGTGATTCTGAGGCTTCCTCAGCCATGTGGAACTGTAAGTACAATTAAACCTCTTCCCCGCCCCCCCCCCCCCCCCAGTAGCGGGTATGTCTTTATCAGCAGTGTGAAAATGGACTAATACAGTAAATTGCTACCAGTAGAGTGGAGTGTTGCTGAAAAGATAGCCGAAAATGTGGAAGTAACTTTGGAACTGGGTAACAGGCAAAAATACCGAACACTTTGGAGGGCTCAGAAGAAGACAGGAATATGTGGGAAAGCTCGGCACTTCCTAGAGACTTGTTGAATGGCTTTGCCCAAAATGCTGATAGTGATATGGACAATAAGGTCTAGGCTGAGGTGGTCTCAGTTGGAGAGGAGGAGCTTGTTGGGAACTGGATTAAAGGCAACTCTTGTTATGTTTTAGTAAAGAGACTGGTTGGGATTTTGCCACTGCCATAGAGATCTGTGGAACTTTGAACTTGAGAAAGATGATTTAGGGTATCTGGCAGAAGAAATTTCTAAGCAGCAAAGCATTCAAGAATTGACTTGGGTACTGTTAAAGGCATTCAGTTTTATAAGGGAAGCAGAGCATAAAGTTTGGAAAATTTGCAGTCTGACTGTACGATAGAAAAGCAAAACCCATTTTCTTGGGAGAAATTCAATCCAGCTGCAGAAATTTGCATAAGCAGCAAGGAGCCTAATGTTAATCCTCAAGACCATGGGGAAAATGCCTCCAGGCCATGTCAGAGATCTTCACAGCAGCCCCTCCTATCACAGGCCCAGAGGCCCAGAAGGAAAAAGTGGTTTTGTGGGCTGAGACCATGGATCTTGTGCTGTGTGCAGCCTAGGGACTTGGTGCCCTGGGTCACAGCCACTCCAGCCATGGCTGAAAGGGGCCAATGTACAGCTTGGGATGCAGCTTCAGAGGGTGGAAGCCCTAAGCCTTGGCAGCTTCCCTGTTGTGTTGAGTCTGTGGGTGCACAGAAGTCAAAAATCGAGGTTTAGGAACCTCTGCCTAGATTCCAGAAGATGTATGGAAATGCCTGGATGCCTAGGTAAAAGTTTGCTGTGAGGGCAAGGCCCTCATGGAGACCCTCTGCTAAGGCAGTGTGGAAGGGAAATGTGGGGTTGGAGACCCCATATAGAGTTGCTACTGGGCCACTGTCTAGTGGAGCTGTGAGAAGAGGGCCACCATCCTCCTGAACCCAGAATGGTGGATCCACCGATAGCTTGCACCCTGCGCCTGGAAAAGCCACAGATGTTCAATGCCTGCCTGTGAATGCAGCCAGTAGGGAGGCTGTACCCTGCAAAGGCACAGGGGTGGAGCTGCCCAAGAACACGGGAACCTACCTTTTGCATCAGTGTCATCTGGATGTGAGAGAAGTGAAAGGAGATCATTTTGGAGTTTTAAAATTTGACTGTCCTACTGGATTTTGGACTTGCATGGGCCTTGTAATCCCTTTGTTTTGACCAGTTTCTCCCAATTGGAAAGGCTTTATTTACCCAATACCTGTACCCTATTGTATCTAGGAAGTAACTTGCTTGCTTTTGATTTTACAGGCTCATAGGCATAAGGAACTTGCCTTGTCTCAGATAAGACTTTGGACTGTGGACTTTTAGGTTAATGTTGAAATGAGTAAAGACTTTGGTGGACTGTTGGCAAGGCATGATTGGTTTTGAAATGTGAGGACATGAGATTTGGTGGGGCCAGGGGCACAATAATATGGTTTGGCTGTGTCCCCATCCAAATCTCAACTTGAATTGTATCACCCAGAATTCCCATGTGTTGTAGGAGGGACCTGGGGCAGGTAATTGAATCATGGGGACTGTCTTTCCCATGCTATTCTCGTGATAGTGAATAAGTTTCATGAGATCTAGTGGGTTTTTCAGGTGTTTCTGCTTTTGCTTCTTTCTCATTTTTCTCTTGCTGTTGCCATGTAGGAAGTGCCTTTCACCTCCCGCCATGATTCTGAGGCCTTCCCAGCCATGTGAAACTGTAAGTCCAATTAAATTGCTTTTGGTTCCCATGTTTCAGGTATGTCTTTATCAGCAGTGTGAAAATGAACTAATACAAAACCCCTATTACATTCAATTTACCCATGTGACAAACCTGCACTTGTGCCCTCTGAACCTAAAATAAAAGTTGGAAAGAAAAACATGTATTGGATTTGAAAGGCAAAAAATAGGTAATAAGAGAGACCTCAATCAGCATGGTGATGACCTATGGTTCTGAATAGAACACCATTTTGATAGGCAGTATTATTATTCTTCTATTTTATTAACTCCATTATTATTCATATAGCTGATGAATACCAAAATGATAATATAAAAACATTTTCAATGTTAATAAACATGACATTAAAATAAAATTATTATTAAAGCTAGTTGGTACTTCTGAATTATTATCTTCCAAAGGAGGTCTAGGGGTCTGGGTCACATTTGATTACAAACTTTTTTTTCAGATATGGCAACCTGTGCCTTTTTAAATGTTTTTATCTTTCATACCCCCTTTCTATCTGAATCCTACCAAATGTTGGGGTCCAATCTTGATCCTACTACACACATCATCTTTCATAGTTATTTTACTAACATTTATTGCACTTACTTGCACTTTACATTTACCATTTCTGTAATAATTTAATATTTTCTTATCTCCTTAATCATACCATATGTCACTGAATAAAAATGTCATATTTTTTAGAATAATCAGTTGTAGTTCTGCAATTAGTAAATACTGTATTTTCCAGCAAGTGAAAATCCTCAAATTTCTCATTTATAAGATGAAGATTAGTTCCTAGATGTTTTACTCAATCAATGGTTTCCCCAGTATTTATTCTAAAATACTGGATATCATATTCCTTTTGTATATCTCAACTTCTGCAAATTGAGAAAACTGAATTTCAGATGTGGAAAGGACTTAACTATTAATCTAATTCAATCTAATTAATCTAATCTCTTTTTATTACTGATTTATTTATTTGTTCATCAAATATTTTTGAACACGTTTTATACCAGAAATTTTGCTAAATGTCAGGAAAATCAAGATGAATGATCAATCTTTTAGGTATGAATAATAAAGAGGAGGAAATTGAAAAATATGTACAAAATTACTATATTATGCAACATAGACACTGATAGAGCTATGAACAGAGAATTGTTGAAAGACAAAAAGTAGCTAAGGATGTCAGGAAAATCATTTCAGAAATAGTGGTGCCTGAATTGAATCATAAGGAATGTGGAAAAGGAATATTAAAAGTGAAGGAAACTTGGAGAAACAAAGAAATACATGGAAGCAAGATACAACATAATATGTGTGGGTAACTACAAACGGGTTTTGCTAGTGTGTAAAACTATGATGCAGGAATGATGATGAGCGGGTGGTTAGGAACAGTTTATGTGTATTCTGCAAAAATGTTATAATACTGGAGCATGATATTTCTCAATGTATACTCTTTTGAGCTCCTATGTTAGAATTATATGGGTTGCTGGCTAACCATGCAATTTTTGAATCCCATATTGGAGACAATAAATGAGAATTTCAGAGGGTTTGAGTCTGTGGGTATACATAGGTAACAACATGGTTATGCAATTTTTATGTATGCTTGAGTGTGTATACTCAAGATAAGGCTAAAAGATAGCAAAGAAGAGGCAAAGACTGGAATCATGGAACTTTATCAATGGCCCAACTATGAAATGTTGATACTAAGGAACTAAAGCAGTGGCAATTGAAATGGAGACTTAATGACAGAGGGAATAATATGGAGTGTACATGAGAAAAGTCAAGGAAACTCTAGTTTTAGAACAAAATTTCAGAGAATCCGATTCTACTATGCTTGTAGAATTATGTGAGGGAAAGGGCTCTTAACAACTATTAATTCAATTTCAATTAAGATCCTCAAAAGATTAAGTAGTTATATTCATAGACAACATGTTTAGATAGAACCATGAAAAGATAAGCATCAAGGAAAATCTCTAAAGAGATTGTAAAATTCTAAAAATGGTCCGTGTAAATTCTTTTCAAACATGTCATGCTTTTCTTTGAGCTGAAACAGATTTAAAGAAACCAGGAGAGTAATGCATCTTGTACAGAAGGACTTTGAAATAGTAGCATTTTAAGCAGTCAGTAAATCAAAAGCTGGGCAAATGTCATTCAGGGAGAATGCCAGAACTTTAGACCCAGGTAGGCAAGCAAATGGGTCTTGATCTGAGCAAGGTCAATAAGGTCATGTAAAGATTAAGAAGAGCAAGTAGTTACATCTACTAAGTTAAGCTTGAAGAACTCAATGTTGAAAAATACCCAGAGGGAAAGAAATCATTATATCAAAAAGATGCCCGAAGCAGTATATTTATAGCAGCAATATTCACAATACCAAAAATATGGAATCCACTTAAGTGTCCATCAGTGAATGATTGGATAAAGAAAATGTGATGTGTACACACACACACACACACACACCATGAAATACTACTCAGCCATAAAAAATAATGAAATAATACATTTTGCAGTGACATGTATGGAACTGGAGGCAATTGTCCTAAGTGAAATAACTCAGAAATTCTAATACTGGATGTTCTCACTTATAAGTGGGAGCTAAATAGTATGTACACATGAACAGAGAGTGTGGAATAATAGATAATGGAGACTGAGGACGGTGGGAAGGTGGGGCTGGGTAAGGGATGAGAAATTACTTAATGGGCACAATGTACACTATTTGGGTGATGTTACACTAAAAGCTCAGATTATGCCACTACACAATATATTCCTATAAGAAAACTGTATTGTACCCCCTACATTTACACAAGTAAAAATCATAAAAGTAAAAGAGATCCTCATACAACAGGACAGAAATGCTGGTTTTAAAATAAAATTAACCTTGATCCTCACTGTAACTCAATAAATAAATAAATAAACAGGCCAAAGGCAGAGAGGAGAAATGATAACAGCAAAGCTTTAACTTCTGATCATAAAGCAGAGTCTACTGTCTCTTAGATTTGACTCTGTACTTTGATGGATGTAAGTATTTAAAAATCATACATGTTTGCATCTATGAAGGGCAGAGTCCTAGGGTGTTAATGGAAACACTGGATACTGGGTCTGGTGCATCAGTTCAGATAGGAATCATACAAAAAATAGCAGAATTTTATACTAACGAACTTATGGATTCAAGAACTATCACTGACCTACCTTCAAAAACAAAGTTTATACTGCTATTTCATCTTCTTCCTACACTGAAAAAACAAGATTAGTGAAAAATAAAGCCTAAGAGCACTTTTCCAGCCAAGAAAAAAATACACCAACATGTAGCTTATAATTCAATTTGCACATCTTACTTTCTATTCAAAACGATCTAATTTACCCAATAAAACCAAAGAAAGGAAGGAAGTTCAATAGCAACTGATAGTCTGATGAGGGGTGAGGAGCCATAGTAATGGTGCTGAGATGATTGTGAAACAAGAATTATTTTTACTATGGATACAACAGAAATGTCCTCTGTGGAACACATATGTTTCTTCTACACATAAGTAGTTTCCAAAAGTAAGAAACACTAGATTTAAACTTAGGAGGTTTTCTTTCTAGTTCCAACTCTGCCAATAAGTCTAATTTTTTTATTTGTAAAATAGAGCAGTTCAACTAAATGGCTTATAATGCTTCATTCAGTTCTAGTATTCTATGGAACATAATTTTTATTTAAAGATAGTGGAATAAAGTCTTATGAGTTCTCTCTTTTGTACCCCATGAAACACACACACACAAAGAAAACTAAAGAAAGACTGGGAATTGCCCAATCTCAAAGGATGACTGGTATGCACATTTGCTAATGCTCCACTGCTGTGAACTCACAGCACTCTCTCTGACTGTTGGTTTAACCAGTTATAGATTATCCAGTAGTGAGTGTCATCCATATCAAATAATTTTGATTAAATGACAGTGTTTTGAACAAAAGTCAGTCTACTTTTTTTCAGTTAAGAAATAATCACACATAAACCAACAGCAGGAATATGTATTAACAGTCACTTTAAAAAAAGATAAACTGTACAAAGGATGAAATTAAAAGGCAGAAGATAGAAACCTCTCAAAAGACCTCGTTGAAACAAAGAAAGAGTTCATCAAAACCTGAGAGAGATTGTAACATAAGCTCTACTCTAAAAGCCGTATTAGAATTAGAACAGTTTAAAGAAGAATATAAAGCATCAGTTATCCTAGGAAAGAAATGTAAGAGAAATTAATGTTAAACAACATTGAAAGTCCAATGATAAGTATCAAAACAAGAATAAAAATAACTGAGACAGTAACACAATCATTAGGTTGGAGGAAGTTACACAGGATAAAATGGAGAATATAATTATATAAGAATAGTTATCTTTTAGTTAATTATATAAATCACACAAATGAGATTTAAAATAGTATTTCTATAAAATTAAAAAATAAATGAGATTAAAGTTTTAACTTTCTAGGGGAAGAAAGGTTTACTTACATAAACAAAGATTTTGTTATAGTGGATGTCTCATTGGGTATCAGAGAGAAAATAAGAATGATTCAAGTGAAGGCAATGAACTCAATCAGAAAGATGAAATTAGATGTGGGTCTAGGCAAAAATAAATAATAATAAATCAACTATACATGAAAAATCTATTAGGCCTCAGAATCTCTGTGGCAACATTCACTTCAGATATATGGAGCAATTTCAACAAAAATCACAGAAAAAGAATGGACCAAGAATATTGTAAATATGTAAATGATCTTTTAGAGCTGATGGTAATAGACATTCATATCATAACAGAATTCAAGAAATGGAGTACATTTAAACATTTGCGAAAAATTTTATTTGCCAATCAATTAATGGGACAGGATATGTTTCAAAATAAAACAAAATGGAGAATGTGTTGTAAAAAGATTTAATATAGGCATTAGATATATTTAATGTGGTAAAAAGACTAAAATTCTCAGAGAAAATAGAAGTTAAATGCTACAAATTTTATATTTTAAAATTAACACTAAGACTAACAAATAAGAAGACTGAAGTATGGAAGTTGGCATTATAATATATATTAATGTCCTCATTTTTTATAACAATAACTTAATAGAGTCTAAAGTACAAAATTTAAATACAACACCATTCTCTTAATGTTTAAACTTTTATTTCTCAATTGTAAAGAATATTTGTCAATATGATATAAACATTTACAATAAATCCTCTAAGATTCACTTTAGTTTTTTCTCTTTGATCAAGTCAACAGATATAATCATTTCAATATTGCAAAAGATATATCCATTTCTTTTCTTCTTATTTTCTCTTTATAACTGACCATCTTCCTAAATAAATATCTAAAATTATATTCAGAAGATGTTCCTGGTGTTTTTTCATGTGTTGGGTTTGTTCGTAATTACTCATTTAAAAAAATTTGTCTTAAAATAAAATCTTCTATTATAAATACTAACTGTAGATAGTTAACCATGTTATTGTATTTTTCACTTCAAATTTAGTCATAGAAGATACTCAATAACTATTAACCCTTCCTCTCAGTCGTTTCTGGATGTCAATATGCTTTAAAACTAATTTTTATTTTTTAAAAAGATTTTTACTGTGATCCATTACAATTCACATACACACGCAATTCTTTTCCTTAGAAACACATGGACTAGTATAACATAAGTGGGGGGAAAAAGAGCTATGTTATATGAAAGATAGTTGTACAGATAAATTATTATGGTCAATCACTGTTAAAAGAGATATCTAATTTAGTTGCTTTGGAACAGAGGGGAAGGTTTAAAAAATTCTTGAAATGCTTTTTAAATTCACATTAGCTGTGTATTTTAAGCCATTTTCTAAGAAGTTAATGTGACTGTGGAGCTGGAGTGCATAGACTAGACTGATCTCATCATAGTCCACCTTGGCATAAGTTGATCCAATCACATGGCTGGGAATGGGAGGTTTGTTCTTCCAGTGACTGTTGGGGAACTGTATCCCCACAAAGAGGATAACTGAGGCTGGGCAGCAAGCAACCCTAAGGCTTCCAACCTCACCTAATGGGATAATTTCCCTGTACAAACGACTGGAAATGAAATAAAATACAAAGTCAGACCTTTCAGCAGGTATGGTCCTCAATGAATCAAAATGAAAAATTGTTAGTTCTTTCTTTCTTAGTTTTAATTCCCCTGGTACCTGGGGAAGGGTTAGCTAGAGTGACATCCTAATGATGAAGCAATGGAGAAGCCACTAATCATTTAATCTCTGCTCCTAGGACAAAAAAAAGTGTTAACTAAGAAGTTTTAAACTAGCTAATATAAAAATCCTAACACGTTAATTATAGCCCCATAATTTATCTTAAGTCTATGAGACTTGCCTCTCAACATTCCCTCCCCAACTCACTGTCTGAGTAACTTTTCAAATAAGCATATCTTTTTATATTTGTGCTTTACCTAAATCCCTTCAGTGTTTTTCAAACCCACTAGTTTCAGACAAGCCAAATCTTTTTAGCAAGGTGTTTTGTCATTTTGACAGATAATCAATTAACACCCGAAGCATCGTATTTTCAAGCACTCGCCTATTGCCAATTTAGATTTACAAATAGATATTCAGTGGGTGTTTCCTATAAAAATAACTGTCTAAACTTTTCAGTTTTTTTTAAGATTTTTGCTAAAACTTTTGCCTATCACACTAATTTCTAGGCCTGCTGACTTAAAACACTTGAGTTGACAAAGACTCACATTACTTAAGCAACGGGAAGTTCTTTTTATTTATTTATGTATTTATTTATTTATTTATTATTTTTTTTAATTATACTTTAAGTTTTAGGGTACATGTGCACATTGTGCAGGTTACTTACATATGTATAAATGTGCCATGCTGGTGCGCTGCACCCACTAACTCGTCATCTAGCATTAGGTATATCTCCCAATGCTATCCCTCCCCGCCCCCCCCACCTCCCCACCACAGTCCCCAGAGTGTGATATTCCCCTTCCTGTGTCCATGTGATCTCATTGTTCAATTCCCACCTATGAGTGAGAATATGCGGTGTTTGGTTTTTTGTTCTTGTGATAGTTTACTGAGAATGATGGTTTCCAATTTCATCCATGTCCCTATAAAGGACATGAACTCATCATTTTTTATGGCTGCATAGTATTCCATGGTGTATATGTGCCACATTTTCTTAATCCAGTCTATCATTGTTGGACATTTGGGTTGGTTCCAAGTCTTTGCTATTGTGAATAATGCCGCAATAAACATATGTGTGCATGTGTCTTTATAGCAGCATGATTTATAGTCCTTTGGGTATATACCCAGTAATGGGATGGCTGGGTCAAATGGTATTTCTAGTTCTAGATCCCTGAGGAATTGCCACACTGACTTCCACAATGGTTGAACTAGTTTACAGTCCCACCAACAGTGTAAAAGTGTTGCTATTTCTCCACATCCTCTCCAGCACCTGTTGTTTCCTGACTTTTTAATGATTGCCATTCTAACTGGTGTGAGATGATATCTCATAGTGGTTTTGATTTGCATTTCTCTGATGGCCAGTGAAGATGAGCATTTTTTCATGTGTTTTTTGGCTGCATAAATGTCTTCTTTTGAGAAGTGTCTGTTCATGTCCTTCGCCCACTTTTTGATGGGGTTGTTTGTTTTTTTCTTGTAAATTTGTTTGAGTTCATTGTAGATTCTGGATATTAGCCCTTTGTCAGATGAGTAGGTTGCGAAAATTTTCTCCCATGTTGTAGGTTGCCTGTTCACTCTGATGGTGGTTTCTTTTGCTGTGCAGAAGCTCTTTAGTTTAATTAGATCCCATTTGTCAATTTTGGCTTTTGTTGCCATTGCTTTTGGTGTTTTGGACATGAAGTCCTTGCCCACGCCTATGTCCTGAATGGTAATGCCTAGGTTTTCTTCTAGGGTTTTTATGGTTTTAGGTCTAACGTTTAAATCTTTAATCCATGGTGCTGGGAAAACTGGCTAGCCATATGTAGAAAGCTGAAACTGGATCCCTTCCTTACACCTTAAACAGGAAGTTCTAAAGACAATAGCAATTAATGCAGCAAAAGTCTGATATGACACCTTTGTCAGGCTAAAAGCTAAATCTCACCATTGCAAGCTAGTAATTCTCCCCTTTTAACGAATGGCAAATGTAAAAAGAGTTTGCCAAGTTAATGAAAGAGTGCATTGCTGCAATGTTTAGTATAGATCTAATTCTAAGTTACTATTTCAATTATTACCAGAAAGACTAGTAAAGTCATGCAAAGCTGGAGACACCTGGCCCCGTTTATTTTATTGACCACTTGCCATATCAAGATCCCTAATTCCTGTAAGTTGGCCCTCAATTCAGACCTATTTTTGAGACAAGATTTATGCTAAACTGGGGGGAGTCACTTGCTCACATTTCATGTCCCACAGGTAGGATATTTGTTCTACATTATCTGGCTTCCTAAAATGTCATTACTTCCTCTAGCTCTCTGTTCTCTACATTTAGTCAACATGAATTATTTGTAGTTATTCAGACTTTCTCTTGTGTTTCTGTTCTTCCTCTGCTTTTATTTTTAATGTCTCTTGCAATCCCTCTATTTTCACTTGGTCTGAATTAAGTAACCCAGTTCTAAATTCCTAGAACACTCGGGGATTATCTGCATCATACTTCAGTGTATCTGTTTCATTAGACTGTGTGGCCACTGGGGCCAAACATAGTGACTAAGGCAGTGTCCATAACTTGGTGAGTACATAATAAAATGTTGGCATTTTAGCATATTTCAGAAGATAATTAATTACAATCTCTGACTACAAAATATTTTTAAGGTATTTAACACAGATATATTTATTCAATGCAATAGCATATAGAAAGTTCTGCATTCACACATAGTAGCTAATCAGAGCCAGTACTGAATGGAGCATGACAGTTTAACATATTCAAACAAGCACCAAGTAAGAAAAGATAAAGGATAACTATAACCATGATATTGAGGTATATTGTCTAAGGAGTTATCCATATCTAGTATAATTTAATGTCTGGTGCTTATAGATTAAATATCTATTTAATACAAACAAACAAAAAGCTAATTTTAGGTGTTCCACGAATAAAATATAATGAATCCATCTCCCACTATTGGGACTAATGTGGAAAACTGAGTAATGGACCAAAACAACTAAATTCTTTAAACAAATTTTTCTTGGTTTAGTATTTATAAACATTTAAGTAAATTATTGGAAAAGATGAAAATATGAAGATTTTAGAGTTAAAAGAAAAGGCATGTAAAGGCATTTAAAAATAAACACATTTCTTGATTTCTTACATTGATCCATATTATTGTATTTCAGCTCATTCAATATTAGTAATAAACAGGCAACAAGCTGCTGTATCTCTTTGAGAATGAATTGTAAACTTATGAAGTAACAAGACGAATCAGGAAGAAAAATTCTATTCAGAGAACAATCATTGAAATCAGAAAGAGATATATTTAAGTTATATCTGTATCACTTACTACCTCTGTAATTTTGGGTGAGTTATTTAGGTTATAAAAGCCTGATATCTACCTCAAAGTGTTGTAAGAATAAATAGTAATTACGCATGCAAAGGGGAAGCAAGGAGATTAACAAATAGTTAATGTTTCATTCATTTGCTGTCATTTACTATGACTTTTGTTAAGGAATTGTTTTTCATAAAACAAATTGTATTAAATAATCATATTACCCATTAGCTTTCATATATAATTCGGAAATGTATTCTCAAGAATAACCAATGACATTATAACAAATAAGTTGCTTGCTTCTCAATGTTTACCAAGCACGGAGTGAGTTACTGGATATCCACTATTCTCTAGATAATTAATTGATAGCATTAAATATGCCCAACTCTGGCCTTGTAACTTTAGAAAGTCCCATGAGTTAATTATGCTGTGTAGGTTTTGCTTCTTAAGAAAACTGAACGTATTTTTAATACTATGGTGTTTGTTAGGTTAAAAGTTAATTGGAAAAATAAAATATTTCCACTCCAAGCAGAATTTGTTTTTCACCTGTGGCTAACATATGAAAATTATACACTTTCTTGGTGCTACATAGTACAATACAAAAATTGTGCTGCAAAACAAAAATTAAAAGATGTAAAGAATTTTGGTGTGACTTTCAGTGATCATGATATGCTTAAAATAATATGCATAATTGAAACAAAAGAATGAATCTTTGAATATAAACCACAGAATATTTCCAGGAAAAGCATATTAGCTTGTCTCAGTTAAATCTTCCAACCAAAGGCTAGAAAATTTGAGTAACTTCTTTTTATTAGTCACTTTAAAGCTTTCAAGTCCTGTAGGAACAAGATCCTGGACAGAGGAGAAGCAAAGAGGTGAATGTGGATTTCCTATGTGTGATTCTTCCATCTGGGGATACGACAATCCACATACGGTGGTATGGAATTCAAGAAGTTGAACAAATATATTTTTTTAATCTCCCAGAGGTGGGATAAAATAAATTGAATGTAAGCCTGACGGGGAGGAGCACACAAATACTTTAGCCTTTTATTTGTGAGGCCTGAAGGAATATACTCTTAAAAAAACAGTAACTTAGGAACTGACTAGCTGTCACAAACATTGAAATCCCACCAAGTATTAGCTCAATCACTAACTGAATTATGGTAATTTCCAATAACCTATACTGAATTCTAGAGTCTGGAAACTGAAGATAGCTATGAGCAATTTACCAAGACTATGGAAGTATGGATTACAGTTCAGGGCTTGCAGAGGTGGAACAATTTTTATGAATACACTAGTCTTCCAGTTGCATGAAGACAAAATCAAGTAAGATGTAGACCAGATCTCATAATGATTTGTAATCAGTTTCAAATAAGCTTAATTTCATATTGGATTAAGGTGGTATGGCCCAAATTTAACTACCTGTGAAAAACGAAAGAAAAACTCTATAAAGACAAGCCAATGTGTTAAAATATTTCTAATTTTTTTTCTGCACAATTCCATTTAAAAAATTACATGTCATAGGCCACGCGCGGTGGCTCACCCCTGTAATCCCAGCACTTTGGGAGGCCGAGGCGGGCAGATCACAAGGTCAGGAGATCTAGACCATCCTGGCTAACACGGTGAAACCCCGTCTCTACTAAAAATACAAAAAATTAGCCAGGCGCCTATAGTCCCAGCTACTTGGGAGGCTGAGGCAGGAGAATGGTGTGAACCCAGGAGGCGGAGCTTGCAGTGAGCCGAGATAGCGCCACTGCACTCGGGCCTGGGCAAAAGGGCGAGACTCCGTCTCAAAAAAAAAAAAAAAAAAAAAAAAAAATTACATGTCATAGCAATGGGCAAAAATAAATGGTGGTGCTAATTATGGTGATCATGATGATAATAACAAAGATTAGAAAAGAAACAAAGAAATAGTTTCAGAGGAGTAATAGGTTATGAGGATTTGAGACCTAAATTATAATATGAGATTAATTAATATTTTCAACCAAATAAAGATGAATTGGAATTTTTCGTCAGAGAACTGAACTTTATAAAATGAGTTATGAGAAAATTAAAAGAATAGAAAATATGCTATATGTAAAATTAAGAATTAAAGGGCTGTACTGAAAAACACATGAGAAACAGCAAAAGACAAGATTGGAGATCTGAACAGTAAAACAAATGAAAATATTTAGAGAGAATACAGAAAGAACAGAGATACCATGAATAGGTCTAATATATGTGCAAATGCAGTCCCATTAGAAATGAAAAAAAATTAGACAGGATAATTATTTGAATAAGTAATAGCTAACGATTTCCAAAAACTGATTACTGATATGAAGTCACAGATTTATGGAGATATATATAGATATATATATATAAAGTCAGGCCTTCCATAAATATATATACACGCAAAAACTATATATGATATATATATCAATATCATATAGATATTATATATCTATATATAATATAAACATATAATCTATAGTATATAATAACACATAACACATTATAGTAAAGTATCTAAAATGTTGAATAGAAAGAGAAAATTTATAACCACCATCTGATTCAATGCTATTCCTATCAAACTACCAATGATGTTTTCATAGAATTAGAAGAAACTATTCTAAAATTCGTATGGAACCAAAAAAAAAAAAAAAAGCCTGAATAGCCAAAGCAATCGTATGCAAACAGTACAAAGCCAGAGGCATCACACTACCCAACTTCAAGCTATACAACAAGGCTACAGTAATCAAAACAGCATAGTACTGGTACAAAAATAGACACATAGACAAATGGATCATGGTGGAGAGCCTAGAAATAAAGCCACACACCTACAACCATCTGATATTTGACAGAAACAAGCAACAGGGAAAGGAATCGCTAGTCAATAAATAGTGCTTGCATAACTTTCTAGCCATAAGCAAAAGATTGAAACTGGACCTTTTCCTTTTATCATAAACTAAAATCAATTCGAAATGGATTAGAGATTTAAATGTAAAAGCCAGAACTATAAAAACCTGGAAATAACTAGGAAATACCATTCTGGAAATAGGCACTGGGAAATATTTTGTTATAAAGACTCCAAAAGCAATTGCAACAAAAACAAAAATTAACAAGTGGGACTTAATTAAACTGAAGAGCTTCTGCACAGCAAAGGAAACTTTTAACAGAGTAAAGAGATGACCTATGAAATGGAAGAAAATATTTGCAAACTATGCATCTGACAAGGGCCTACTATCCAGAATCCATAAAGAACTTAAACAATTTAACAATAAAAAAAAACCATTAAAAAATGGGCAAAAAATGTGAATGGACACTTCTCAAGAGAAGACATACACGTAGCCAGCACGCATGTAAAAAAAAAAAAATGTTCAATATCACTAATCACTAGAGAAATGCAAATCAAAACCACAATGAGATACCATCTCACACCAGTCAGAATGGCTATTATTAAAAAGTCAAAAATTAACAGATGTTGGCAAGGTTTTGGAGAAAAGGTAATGCTTATACAGCGCTGGTGAGAATGTAAATTAGTTCAGTCACCGTGGAAAGCATTTTCGAGGTTTCTCAAAGAACTTAAAACAGAACTACCATCCAACCGAGCAATCCCATTTCTGGGTATATACCCAGAGGAATAGAAATCATTCTACCATAAAGACATATGAATGTGTGTATTCATCATGGCACTATTCGCAATAACAAAGACATGGAATCAACCTAGATGCCCATCAACAGTGGACTGGATGAAGAAAATATGAAACACAGGAATAGAAAACCAAATGTCACATGTTCTTACTTATAATTGGAGGTAAACATTGAACACATTTGAACACAAAGAAGGGAACAATAGACACCAGGCCCTTCTTGAAGGTGGAGGGTGGGAGAAGGGAGACATCAAAAAACTACCTACAGGGTACTATGCTCATTAACTGGGTGACCAAATAATCTGTACACCAAACCCCCACAACACACAATTTATCTATGTGACAAACCTGCCCATGTACCCTCTGCACCTACAATAAAGGTTGGAAAGAAAAATTTTTTAAATAAAAATAAAACCACTGTAGTAATTCGTTGTGACTGCCATAACAAAACACATAGACTGGGTAGCTCAACAACAGAAATTTATGTTCTCAGTTCTTGTGGGTAAGGAAATCCGAGACAAAGGTGCTGGACAATTTGGGTCCTGGTAAGAACTCTTTTCCTGGCTTCCAGGTGGCTGCCTTTTTGCCTTATATGACAGAGACAGAGAGTGAGAGAAAGAGAGAACAAGAAAGAGAAAGGAGAGAGTGAGAAAGAAGGGGAGAAACAGCTCTTCGTTTTTCTTCTTATGAGGCCACAGTCCTACGGAATTAGGGCCTCACCCATCTAACCCTATTTAGCCTAATTACCTTCTAAAGACCTATCTCTAAGTATAATAACATAGAAGCTTAAGGCATCAACATATGAATTTTAGAAAGACAAAATGCAGTCTCTTGCAAACAGTTAAATTTCTTCAAAAAACAATAATGAGATTAATAACTGGCCTGTTAACATAAATGATAAAAAAAACACGGTTTGATTTTTTTTCAAGGGCTGAAAAACTAAATAACACTTACCAATAAAGAATTCTATAGAGGCCAGGCGCGGTGGCTCATGCCTGTAATCTCAGCACTTTGGGAGGCTGAGGCGGGTGGATCATGAGGTCAGGAGTTTGAGACAAGCCTGGTCTATACGGTGAAACGCTGTCTCTACTGAAAACACAAAACTTAGCTGGGTGTGGTGGCAGGTGCCTGTAGTCCCAGCTACTCGGGAGGCTGAGGCAGGATAATTGCTTGAAGCCAAGAGGCGGAGGCTGCAGTGAGCCAAGATCGCGCCACTGCACTCCAGCCTGGGTGACAAAGTGAAACTCCCATCTCAAAAAAAAAAAAAAAAAAAGACATTCTATCATAGTAAAAAATGTCCTTCAAAAATTAAAGCAAAATAAACACAATTTTTAGACAAAAAAAATTGAGAGGTTTCATCAGCAGCAGATTTTCAGTAAAGGGAATATAAAAGGACATTTCCAAAGTATAATGACTCAATATGAACACAGGAAGGCAGAGGAAGGCATAATGAACAAGGGAAAAGAATACTATGTAGATAAATAAATTAATTTTTACTGCTTCAAAATCAAGGATGACTTCTGGGTTTAAAATATACACATGCACTACCTGACGACAATACCATGAAAGGCTGGGAGGGACATAATGGAGTTAAAGTGTTCTAAAGCCCCTGCATTGTTTAGAAAATTGTAAAACAAGTAATTTATCTTAGACTATAATAAGTGTAAAATGTACATGAGTAGTGTGATAAATAATATGGTAAACACTGAAATAATAATAAAACAACGAATACTTGAAAGCTATAAAAAGGGAAACAAGAAAGACTAACGAAATTATACTAAAAAAGAAACCAAGTAACCAAGTAAGGAATGCAAGAGGAACAGAGAATAACCGTGACAAGTAGAAAACAAATACTAAACATCTTTACTTCAGTTGTGCCTGAAGTACAAATTCATCATATGCATCACTGGATATAATGGTAACAATGGGTAATTTTCTTCTCACTTCTTGGTTCTTGGTTCTATGAAACCTTCCTCTTAGAGGTACAGAAATACCATATACTAGACATTGGCAAATATATATATATACACACACATATATATGTATATATACACACACATATATATGTATATATACACACACATATATGTATATATACACACACATATATTTACAGTGTGCATATATTTAAATATGTGTATATACCAATGAGGTGATATTTCCATACACACACACACACACACACACACACACACACACCTGCTCTTGTTTTCTTGATGGTGTTTTCTTTTGTAAGTCAAACAGTACTTTCTTTGGCTTTTCATTTATTTCAGCCTCAGGAATATAATAGTCAACTCCCTACCACCAGAGACCTCTATAGATCAAGGCCCCATGGATGCTACTTCAGCCTTGTGGCCCATTAGGATAACTGCACTCGGATAATTGCATCCACATGACCTCCCATGTTTAAGAGATGCTTCCTGACCTCCGCTATGTTAGAATCCTATCATCTCCATTGACCTAGGACAGAGCTGAACAAACTTCATCTATTTGTTCTCACTTAAGAACTGGTTGCGCTGAAGGTCAGCTGAAGTGGAAAGAGAAGAGATACGATAAAGTGTTTTATAGAACGGGGTCAACATTTTCCAATGTCTGAATTATTGGCCTTCACTGACAATTGACTGACCATAAAATATAAAACATGAAATGCCTCAAGGGGCCTGAAACCATAGTAGGTAACAGAGAACTATGAATATACTAAATTAAATATAAGATCTAAAGATCTTTCCTATTGTGCAAATTAACTCTCATAGAAAACAGGAAATCTTATAAAATAGTCAAATTGAAATCAGTTTATATTTTCAGAGTATCTTTCTTATGCTACTGTTTACATTTATACCTGAGCACCTGAAGTCTGTCATCCAACCCGAGTTATCAAGATGGTATTTTCTCAAAGTTCACTGATGTCCACCTTTATTGTTAATCTCCATAGCCCATTCTCAGTCCTCATTCTCTTCAACTTTTTCTGAAGCATTTAATTCTTTTGACAGCATCCTGCATATTTATTTTGTTTTCTTTCATGTCATTATTTTGTAAATCCTTTTTAGGTTTATCTTTCATAATAATCCCTTTCTAAATCTGCGATTATTTTTTCTAAGCACACGTTAGCAGCTCTTCTTTCTCCTCAGGTTAAAAATAAATAAATAAAAGAAGAGAAAGGAAAAACCATCTCCCAGGGATTATTTTTAGCCCTCTTTTCTTCTTACTTTACACAGTCACTTTGGACTATCTAAATCACACGACAGCTTCAAAGACCAACTCCCTAACATGACTCTTAAATCTTCAACCCTCAACACATAAACCACTCACACTAAATCTTTCTCTGCTACTCCTTTTAAGAGGAACTTATGGTTCTTTCTAGATTTCTCACTCTTAATTGCTGCTCTATTTTCCACATTGAATTCCTACTCATTCTTTATTAAGAATAAAATACAACACAAAATTTACCTACTCTATCAAGGCCTCTGTTACTTCCAGAGGAAGAAAAAGTATTTTCAATTTTCTATTTATACAGTGTATTACTGTATCTAGCACCCACTACCCTCTATTGTAATTTAAAAAATTATCTACCACATTACATTGTGAATTCTGTGAATAAAGGTCTTAATCTCATTCATTTTTATCTTTTCCATAGGATTTACCACTGTGCTTTTTGAACATAGAGAGCCCTTAACAAATGCTACCTGTTTTTCTTTGACAATAAAATCTTGAGTCTTCCTAAAACTTTATGGCCAACTATAAATAAACTGCTATGGTGTGATGTCTGTAAACACGGAAGAACAAGAATAAATTAGCTTTATTCTCCTTTTTTTGTGAAGTATGTCATATCTAATTTTATGCTTTTCTTGGGAGATCTATAATCAGTGTTTTCTCTGGGACTATTTTATTGCAGATGCTCTTCCTGTTGCATAAGAGATTTACTCCTAATGGTGTAAGTGAAAATTGATTTTTGTTGCAAATTAAATATACATTTAAATACACTAGAATAATTTCTTATTTAGGCCTAAACTGAAGATGCAGCATTAATTTTAATATTCCCAAATATACACTTAACACATTGGATCTTTTGTTTTGTTTGCTATCTTTAATTAGGTAAAACACAAACTTCTTTTCTTAATACAGATATTATGTACGTCTTTGTTCAGTACTGCTCCAAAAGCTCTATTATCACTTCTTTTAGAAATGATGAAATTCTTCCTATTTTTATTTACTTGCTTTTCTCTTAACTCTTAACTCTTTGTCCAACTTTAGAAGTATAAGGCTGTGAAGATAATTAAATGGAAAGCTGCTTATAAAATATTTTACATCACTAAATGAAATTCCATTAATCTGGTTCACTTTTACATAACATGTTAATTTAAACGTAAGCATGCTTTCTCAGTAGTATCATTTACCAACATTTAAAATCATTTAATTCAGTAAATTGATTTAAAATGATTACCATTACATATCTGGAAAGTTTACTCCATGGACATTTTTTTTTATAGAATAAGAAAGACAAAAAACAGTTTAATATTTCATAGACAATTTTATTTCATTTAAAGGATTGGTCTACGTTGGCACATATCCCAAAGACCTAAAAGTGTCTCTGGCATTTAATAAGTCTTTAGTAAACATTTATGGAATGAATTAAAAAGTTATGACTTTTTTTCTTTTGTAGGTTAAATTTTATATTTAAAATAAAATTATATTAGATAATAACTCTTATTTTAATAGTCTTACTTGGTAAATGTTGTTAAATTTGTATCAATCCACAAAAGGATGCTTTGTTAGTCTATCAAATCCAAACGTCTAGAAACTATCAACTTAGAGAATAATTTTCTGCATGTAGTCACATTAATGTCTAAAATTTTTTAGTTCCAACCCCCACCTTGTGCAACTTTTACTCCTCCACTATCTTGAAAGAAATATCGAAGTGGCTCAATATTCATTTCCGTTGGTGGTAAGGGTGGTGTGAAAACAGGAAAACAAAATGGATCAGCCAAGTAAAAGTCGTTTTGTAAAGTAAGACCAAAAAGAAAAACAAATAATACATGAATCCAGAAGCTCACATATTGTACTGTAGTTATAGATTCAAGTCAAGGTCAGACAGTCAGATGGAGTCAGTACTAAAGAAATGGCGGGGCCGTGTGCGGTGGCTCATGCCTGTAATCTTGGCACTTTGGAAGGCTGAGGCAGGCAGATCAGGTGGTCAGGAGATCGAGACCATCCTGGCTAACACGGAGAAACCCCGCCTCTACTAAAAATACAAAAAATTAGCCGGGCATGGTGGCTGTCGCCTGTAGTCCCACCTACTCGGGAGGCTGAGGCAGGAGAATGGCATGAACCCGGGAGGCAGAGCTTGCAGTGAGCCGAGATCGCGCCACTGCACTCCAGCCTGGGCGACAGAGCGAGACTCTGTCACAGAAAAAAAAAAAAGAAAAGAAACGGGGACACAAGATAAGCAAGACGATCAGCTGGAATCTGAGGAAGGAGTCTTATAGCAATCTTCTTGAACATTACAAAGCATCTATGATTTATATTTATGAACAATCCGGGTAAATGGTTTAAAAGGTTTAAAGGATCTCAGGGCAGGAGAAAATATTCCCCCAAAAGCTATTTTTGGATTTGCTGTGACTGTGGCAATATTAACAGTTCTCCTAAATCAGTAGTTCTGAAACTTTGGTATAAACTGAGGAAGTTGTTGATGTTTTTATCCCTTAACGGTGTGATGGAAGAGGCCTAGGATTGTGACTGGTATAGGGAAAACCTGCATATCTGCAATTTAGCATGCAAGAGAGGGTAGCATTTCTTTGGCTATATTTTGAGAAGTACATTCCGTGTGAAACATTTTCTCTTCTTGTGAAATACAACAAGTTGTTCTGCCCATTCATACTAATTTATCCTCTAATATTTTAGACTAACAGGTACATGGCTATTTGTGCTGATTGGGACACCATTAAAACAGAGATATACATTTAAGACTTAAGAAAGATGCATTTCCTCAGTATTTAGAAACTAAATCTAGGAACAATAAAATTAAGAAACAATAAAATTAAGAATATATATAGCTCAGAAAAGGTGAACGTAAGCAAAGCAATGACATGGGAAATAATGCCTAGTTTATTTTTTACGGCATTTAGAAAGACTGTTTTTTGATAGTCGTGTTTGAAATACATACTGAGTATTATCAGTTCTTTAGATGCAGTCGAGAAACTCAGAGGTTCTTAAACATTTTGTAAGGAAATCCTCAACCTTCGTAAGTATATTTCTGAAACTTTCTGATGTGTAATATTCTTATATGATAATTTTATTAAGGCCTATAATGGAAGTATCCGTTGATACTGTTAAGCCAAAATTTTATCTAGAATTCGGATTTTGTTACTATCAGCTGATAAAAACGTGGACAATCTTTGGTGAGCAAACTTTCAGTTTTGGCAGTTTCACTGTTGTGTTTGTGTGTGTGCATTTATTTCAGCAAGTAACTTCTACTATTACATTTTAGAAAAATAAAGAAAACATGGAAAAACCCATTGTAACTAATAATAGGTGTCCTTCTTATAAAATTATGGCAAAATTGCATTTTCTTCCATGCTTAATATGGCATAATTTGAACCTTAATAGGACATCACTACATTTCAACATGTAGGCTACAATTCAATTTAAAAAAATGATATAATTGAAAAGCATATAGACTTACAGGCATAAAATAATGCTTAAAATTATGAATAATTAGTTTTTTTGATTTGATTTTTAGTTGTTCTTTACAACAGTGCCATGACCATGACCAACATCTACACATAACCACAACTTTAAATCTGTTGAAATTTAACAGTTGGTTTTTTTCAGTCGCTTTCAGGAATAAATTATATGTAAAAGCAGTGGGCTGCTCAGCAAACATGAATACATAATCATAAATGTAATTATGCATGTCCACATATATGCATGTGTACATAGTCTTAATAATGTAGGAAAAATTCAAATTTGAACTTAATTGTATCTTGTTTGAAATAACTCATGATATTTTATGATGTGTTTAATAGTGGTACAAAATGCGTATGTTTCTTTGTATGAATTCTTTGTTTTTCCAAAACCTATTCTTTATTCTTATCTTTGGCACAGAATTGATTGTCAGTAAACATGTATTTGAAAAAAAAAAAAAAAGACATTTATTGGATAAGTTCCTGTTGTTTCCCTTTGCTTCCCTGATAGTATAAGAATTTCAGCTTTATAAACCCTGCTTTTATTTTAAGAAGAAAACAAATTTGACATTCTCTCCATGAAGCATGTGTAGTCTCTAACCTTCTGTTCTGAAAAGTTTAGTTAATAGAGTACATTGTATGTTCCAAGCACTACGTGTTTGATAACTTAATAAGTTCTGGTACTGACATTTGAAGGCCTTGCAGTTTAGTGTAAATTTTATTGTATTCACAGTCAAAATCACAACATCAATTTGATGTTCAAATGTTTTATTACTTCCTAAATGATTATTTTTGTACAATTAGATTTGAAGCTTCGTGAGAAAAATAAAATTATCTTTTGCTACTTCACAGATCAGTAATAATTTTTGATTCATCTCTTAAATTTCTAGTGAAATCCAGATAATAGGTCAAAACTCCAGATGAATCATCCTTGGTCTTCTGATTTCTTTCTCATCACACATTCTGTCTATTACAAAATTATTTTGGCTTTGCCTTCAAAATATGTCTAGAATCTGACCAGTTTTCTTTACTTCCACTGCTACAGTAGTTTAAACCACCAACATCTCGCACCTAAAATACTAGAGGAACCTTCAAAAAGGTCTCCTTTATTCTGCATTTTCACCTCACAAACCATTCCCAATATCACATCCAGAGTAATCTTGTTAAAATGTAAAGGAGGGAGGTCAAACCTCTGCTTAGAGCATTACAATGGTTCCTAATTTCACTTATAGCCTAAAATCTTCATAGTCACTTTCAACACTCTTTATTACCTAAAATACCCCTCCTTCTTTCCCCTCTTCTTAACTTTAATTCTAACTATTTTTTCCCTCATCCACTCCATCCACATTGACCCCTTGCTAATGTAAAACATATGAAGACAATAGGTATTTGCTTTACCTGCTATCTCCACTACACAATGCAAATGCCCGCCCCACCCCACCCCACACTCTCAATTTCCCTTATTTTGTACTAGTTTTTCTTTTCATGGGCCTTATAAGCTTCTTACTGGTATCTTATTGGTACTTATCTTGGTTCATTGGTATTTCTCATTAAAATGTAAGCTCTACAAAGCAGAAGTCTTTATACATTTATATTGTATATTTTTACAGAGATTTCTGCAGATAGATCTGTGATTAGAATAGAGCTTGGCAAATATTAGGTTATCATTAAGTTATTTTAATATGAATAATTAATAAATGAATGAAAAAGTGAGTGATTCTGAAAAGCAAAGTCCCAGAGTTATATATATTTAAACAATGTAGATATTTGAATTTTCAATCAGAAATCACAATAATCCTTACAATTTATTTTATTTTATTTTATTTTATTTTCGAGACAGAGTTTCGTTCTTGTTGCCTAGGCTGGAGCGCAATGGCGCCATCTTGGCTCACTGCAACTTCTGCCTTCTGGGTTCAAATGATTCTCCTGCCTCAGCCTCCTGAAAAGCTGGGATTACAGGCATGCACCACCACACCCAGCTAATTTTTTTGTATTTTTCGTAGGGACGGCATTTCTCCATGTTGGTCAGGCTAGTCTCGAACTCCCAACCTCAGGTGATTCACCCGCCTTGGCCTCCCAAAATGCTGGGATTACAAGCATGAGCCACCGTGCCGGACCAATCCTTACAACTTTAAGGATGTTTTTCATTCCTACATATTATTGAATTTATGTACCAGTTTAATGACAGAAGTAATTTTTTTTTTTTTTTTTTGAGATACAGTCTTGCTTTATTTCCCAGTCTGAAGTGCAGTGGCATGATCGTAGCTCACTGCAACTTCTGACTCCTGGGTTCAATTAACTCTCCTGGCCTCAGCCTCTGGAGTAGCTGGTACTACAGGTGTGCACCACTGCATCTGGCTGAGTTTTTGGTTTTTTGAAATTTTTGTGGAGACAGGGTCTTGCCATGTTGCCCAGGCTAGTCTCAAACTCCTGGCCTCAAGTGATACTCCCACCTCAGCCTCCCAAACTGCTGGGATTACAGATGGGAGCCACTGTGCTCATCCAGAAGTAATTTTTGAACTAAAACATGGCAGATCATTCCTGATTTGCCTTGAGAATTGCAAGACCTCTCCTCATAAAATATATGAGAATGGGAAAATAGCCACAATATGCCATTATGTACAGACAAATCCAAGAAGGAATTTATTCAGAGACCCAGAAACATGGAAAGTAGGTTGATTATACGGGGATAGATTTCAATACAGAACATGAAAAAAGACTTGAGAAAAACACAAGAATCTATGTGGGAAGTCGAATATCATTCCTAATAATGCAATTTTTTAATTATTAAGTATCCAGAGTTGCAGTTACCCAATCCCAGTGTACTAGATAAATGGGAACTCAGAAATAGTGACAAAAGCAGGAAGAAAATCATAGTAATTGGGAAGAATAGGCTAGGAGTTGGATGTGTAAATCGCATTTCCTGACTGAGCACTGTGCAACGTGGCCATGCCACAGTAGAGGTGCAAAATGGTGGCTGCTCATTTGGCCTCTTCCCACTCCAACAGCATTCTTTTTTTATAGTGTCTATTTTGAATCATGTAGTTTTCATAACCTATACCCTGATATTAATTTAATGATATAAAATAATGCAAATTATTTTATAATTGCTCTATGATGCATTTCTTTACAAAAGACAGTGGATTTGTAAAGACATCCATTTTTATATCCTGTTGTCTTCACAAACCCACTCATGGCTACTGGTCAACATATCAATTAAAACCCTATAGGAAGAGCCAATAATTATGTTTACTTATATTCAGGGCAATGAAAATGTCAGCACATTCAGCATCCTTATACGATTACAACCTTCTGTATACTTCAGAACACATATGACAGGTAATTTAATATCTGGCATAGTGGAAAATTCCAGCAAATCTAACAACTCCCTAATGGCATCTTGCCACAGATGTTTAATAGGGGAAGAGAATGTATCAAATCTGTATTCCTATTTAAGTCCTAGAGAAATGAGCTTGTTTATTTATAGCAAAACAATGCTTTTACAGTAGCACTTAAAATATATTGCCTGTCAGTTTTAATATTTATTATGACATAAGTGACTGATAGAAACAGGAAGAAATAATATTTTAAAGACAGAAAGATACAGCTTTGTTGAATTCTTTCTGAGACTCAGGTTAAGAAAGCTGTAAGTGACAGCTACTTTGAAGGAAGAATATTACTTACTAGAATTTCAAATAATGAAAATAATAAAACAGATAAAAGAAAAGAAAACTATTATTTTCTTTCAGACTATAAATTTCCACTTCTATGTAGACGACAAATCACTCATCGCTCTCTAGCATGTATGCAAACAGATAGATTAAAAGCTAAGTAACCAAAGAAATGGAAAGATCAACTTTCTTGTGACAGAACATCCAAAAATGTCAAGAGGTAACTTTGGGAAAAGAGATTACAAGAGAAGACTGAGCACATTTCATTTCCTCCCTCCTTTCTTGAAGGAGATAATCAGTCATGAATATCATCGCTTTTTTTTTTCCATTTTCTCCTTTTACAATTTTGAGTTGATTTTGCCCTTTGAAATCACTTTCTCTAACCTCTCCAGTAAAAACCAATACCTGAACTAAAATAAAATAAAAAACTTAAAACAAACATTTATATTTAAATCCTTTTTAGTCCAAATTTGGGAAGAAGAGAAATAGCATAAAATAATGGCTTGTTACAGATGTATTTTTCTATTATTATTATTTTTTAAATTTATAACTTTTATTAACAAAACAAACTGAGGAGAAGGGCCAAAGAACACTGGTTTTGGAAGTTGGATGAATAAGTAAGTGATAGAAACAGGGTTAAAATATCAGTAAACATAATTTTCCCATGGGTAACTTCATAAATGACTAAGTAAGAACTGATTAAGTATTTTGGTTTGCATTGTTAAAGATTATGAAACTCAAAAAATTTACAAGCCTCTTGAAAATCTTAAACATACAATATTTAAAAATATGCAGCTGGTTCTTGGGGAAATATAGAAGTGTCATATAAATGCTCATTACAACATATTTCAAATTATAATAATGCTGATATTTCTAACAAAACACAAGAGCCCTTGTGACCTGCTTCTATCCAAGTGTATCTTTAATCTCACTTACCTTTTTTATGTATGCAAGTGGTACGATGGAGATGTAGGGCTTCATGAGAGAGACAATGCATGCAGGAATGCACCTGCATTGCCCCTGTTATGCAGCTAGCAGATGGAAATGTGGTTAAGAACTTCCTCTTATACCAGAATGTTTGCTCAGAAGGGACTGTCCCAACTTAGGCGCAGGTGTAATAAATCAACTAAATGTCCTTAACTTGACTCAAGCTCATTATAATATCATTAGCATGACATCTGCATTGTGGTTTCACCACCACCACCCCTACTACCCACTGGGCCTTTCTGTGGTGCTTATGCATAATAATTAAGATGGAATAACTATGGACAAGAACGCACCTGGGCAGTAAGAACTGGGACCAGGAAGCAACTAGGAAGTAAAAGGTTGTGCAAGATGCAAATGAGAAACACACCCCTAGAAATGAGGTTTTTAATCCCCTAGGGCAACCCACTTTTGAGTCCCCTCTCCTTACTGAGCGCTTTCTGTCACTTAATAAAGTCTATTCTGCCATACTCACCCTCCTATGTCCATGTACCTCATTCATCGTGGTGGTGAGACAAGAACTCAGACCTCGCTAAGCTAAGGAGTAAGGCTTCTGCAACAGAACAAGCCAGAATTTCCTACATGAAATATTTATTTTCACATCTTTGTGATGTTCTGACAGTGTGCTGAAGGAAAATGACTTTTTTCCATTCTTTATTTTAAAATTTTGTATTTATTATTAAAGACTCATATTAAGTATTTCCTTTAAACTCCTTTCCTGGATCTCTGATATGAGTTGAATTTACCTCATTTACGATGGCAACCTAAACATACCATTATATCATCACTTAGTGTACTGTATAAAAATCTGTTTTCTATGGGTTACCTCTTCTACTAGGCTATAAGATCCCTATTTTGATTAACCTGGCTTTACTTACCTCTGTCTTTCAGTGTCTAGAATGTGCTAAAAATTTTTATCATAACATAATGAGGTCATTCTTAGTACTAGACAATTGGTAATAGGGTCCAGCCCCCTTGGTACCCATGGAATTAGCAGTTAACTTTTTGGCTCCCACAAGTAATGAGATTTATTGTACACCATCATCAAAATAATAAGTCTTAAAAAGGAGTATATCCTGCAGATGTAGAAACTTTACTACACATTATAACTACATCTTTTTGCCTCTGTTTATTCTGAAAGAAAAGCAATTTAACCTGATGTTTTAACGTCATGTGGTGCATACTATATAATATTAAAGCATGTAAATGGGGTGGTGGTGATCAATGCCTTGATAAACTTAGTTAGTGGTTTTCTTTCAACAGGCAAACCTCTAGGCTTAGTGTAAAGACGTTCTATGATATTTGTTCTAACCAGGACTAAGTCACTCCTTGTATTAGTAAGAAAATACTGTGGAAGACTAGAAACAAGGTGGTGGGGGTAGGGGTAAAAAGAAGAAGAGAAGGGGCGAGGATGAGAGGGAAGGAAGGGGAGAGGAAGAGAGGAGTAAGTGGAAGAGAGAGAGAGGAGAAATAAAGACACAGAAATAAAAAGAAAGGGAAATAGAAAAGATGCTTTCTTCTTCCTTCCTTGCTTGCTTGATTGCTATCTTGCTTGCTTTCTTTCTTTCTCTCTTTCTTTCTTTTTCTTTCTTCTTTTTCTTTTTTCTTTCAATGAAAATGTGTCATAGGAACAAATGTGGTGTTCCCTCTGAGACAACTACACTCCCAGGTGCCTCTTCCAACACATTTTCGTTCTCTTTTTATCATGGCATAGACAATTGTCAGCACTGCTGAAAACTAAATACAGAAAAAGTTGGTTGAGGTTATACTATTCCTTTCATGCTACAATGATGTAACATCATTAAGATCAAAGGGAATTGTTAACTTTCCTCTAATAATAAAAAACACACAAAAATACTGAAACCTTGGATAGGCTTACGAACATTTTAAAAGGCAGAATAACTTTCCCTTACTCAGGATAAATTTTGCCTCTTATCTCTAAATATTATCCTACTGTTTGACAAGAAATAAAAAAATTACTAAATCTTTCACATCCCATATTTTACTGCTGTCTATATTTTACATTTGATATAAACATTTTACAGCAGGTATTG
The DNA here is from genome assembly GCF_000001405.40 of Homo sapiens. NCBI lineage: Eukaryota > Metazoa > Chordata > Mammalia > Primates > Hominidae > Homo > Homo sapiens. The sequence goes on from NC_000001.11 coordinate 194,291,698, forward strand.
TACACTGAAATTTGGATTCATTTATCTCATAAAAAGGAATACAAATGATGGATTGAAACACCCTGGTATCTAAAATTCTAAAAACATTAATATTTTTACTGAAAGTTATAGATTATATTAACACCAGGGTATAGTCAGTGAAAATACTCCCTACAGTTTAGTGTCAATAGTCTGAACAGCAGTCAGTTTTCCATAAAACATGAAAGCCAACAAATTCTGTTATTGGGTAACAAGCTGATCTAAGCCTAATCTATAGTTATTTACTTGAATGGTACAAGTGGATAAAAACATGTAACATCTTTTAAATGCTTATAAAAAATTTAAAGATAAATGCTAGTTTAATTATAGTCATATGCAAATAGGTTTTATTGTTAATACTGAATATAAAGTATAAAAACATAAATTATAGTCTTATGATAGAGACAAATGTCAGCCTTAATTGATGACACTCTATAAGCAATTTTCTGCTTGTAACATTTGTTTTAATTTTCTCACACAAATAACAGAACTTGCATTCATATAATTAAACATACATGGACTATTAATATTTTTGACATCATCTAGGGAATTTACTTAATTACGCTTCACTCTCTAAAACGTGTATTTACTGTTAAATTCTGAAGTAAATAATAACATTCAACAATATTTTCTATACCTCTGGAATTATAAATCCAGGACTGAAAACAACCCATGGAAGCTTGATCATCTCTCAGGAAAAATGTTCTGTAAGTCTGGAATATATACAAGTAATATTATCAATCACTAACTGTAAGTAAATAATTAATATTATTGTAAGGGCTATTATTTAATCTTTTAATCTACATATAGGATAGGTGTTTCATTTAACTTATAAAAATAATTATATAAAAATAAGAATTATTACTGCTTATACAAATTTTGAGGCTTTGCAATTCTGCTGCAGTAATATGGCTAAAAATAAATTGTACAAAGAAACACTTAAGGACATATAATGTGAAAGTATATGTGAATACAGTCAGAAATATTCTGGTAATGACTAGATATACGAATTTAGAGGATTGTTTTCCTCATCTTGTTAAGGTTTATTTGTTTATTTATCTTTATTTGTATTCAATAATCTTTAGTCCTAGAAAATTTTAGGGGAGAGTAAAAGAGAGTAAAGACATCCGTAAATTGTATGATTCATACTATGACCCAAAGACTGAGATCATCAGATATTGCAGAGAAAAAAAATCTTTTATTGAAACCCTCAAATAGTTTAGCCACAGTATAAACTGTAGAAGATGAAATGATGAACAAATATTCAATGCTCATACCCAAAAACAGGGGTTTTCAAGATTATTATGCTTCAGGATCACCCTGAGGGTGTGTTAACACACAGATCACTGGCCTTCACTCCATGCTCCCTCCTCCTGAGTGTCTGATTCAGTAGGTCTGTGATAGGGCCCAGGAATTTGCATTTCTAGTGAGTTACCAGTTGCTGCTAGGATAGAGACCACATGAGGGTCCTCCACCCAGGCTGTACAGTAACTCATCTCCGGAATATTTATCCCCTAAGTTCCTCGCATAATTTATTGTTGGGGAAAGCACTGTTGTTTTCTGAAGCTCTCCATATGAAAGGGCAGTCTCCAGGAATTATGTAAAACTTGAGTTGGGCATTGATATACGGATTGGGTCCACAAAGTTTTAAAAAAACACAAGAGGATATTTACTGATAACAATTACAGTTACATAGCATTTTCAACTTATAATGTATTTGCTTATGCTTTTTCTTGTTTAACTTTGGTCTTTACAACAACTCAATAAAGGAGGCAAGTATTATAATTTCTTTTCTTTAGAAAAGTGATCTGAAGCTCAGTAACATCCTTAGTTCATAACTTTTGTATGCATGTTTGCATAATTGAAATGAAAACATTCTGGCTGCAAGTTAAGTGATTATGGCTGTATACCCTATGCACCATATGCTTATTATGTCTATGAAACAGTAATGAGGCCAACATGGCCAGAAAGACTCCATTAGGCAGTAGTGAAAAAAATATGTAGGATATTTGGATAAAAGTAGATATGCGTAGGGTAGGACAAGACTATGGAATGTCTTGAAATCAAGTTAAGGAATTTGAAAGTTGTAGCAATCAATAAAATCAGTGTAAAATACTATCCTGCAACAGAAAGACGTGCAAATCATACACATATATAATATCTTACTATTTGGAATCTATTTTCTACTAACTTCAGGAATTGACTCACTCCAAAGCTGTAAAAAGAAAACAGAACATGTGTTTCTTCTAATTGGTACAGTCAGTCTCATTACAAATCCTGATCCCCAAAGTAGGAGGCTGGCGGGGGTAGAAAAGGAAAAGATACACAACTAAATTCCATGCAAGTTTTCATTCCAAGACTATTTTCTCCTGCTCTTCATTTTCTCATTAGGCATTGAGAAAAAAGTGTGGTCTTCTTGGCTGTGGGAGGCAGCATGGCTGGATCTCATGCTGGTTGCTGTGCTTTCTCTGCTGTGCTCTGTCTGGCCCAGCCCATCTGAGACACTGAGAGCTGTTGCTGAGGGCCACTGGCCTAACCACCACCTCTTCCCAGGCAAATGCACATTTGGACTGGTGTAACTTGTGGCCTGTTCTCTTTACATGAATAGTGCTGACCAACCCCTTCACTCATTCCTCATAGGTACTGTGGGCCCTACTAATGACTCTCTCACTTGGCTTACATAAGCTGCTCTCTAGCTTTTAGTAAAACATTACTATTCTTCATGGTAAAGACATCTGATAATCGTCTCCATCAGAGAAGATGACATCTTCCTCTTTGTCTTTCAGGAGATGTGCTAGGTTATGTCCACTTAGGAAGCAGGACCCAACATAGCACTAGACATACAAAAGACTTATTGGGGGAAACAACTGGTTGATGATAGAGGAGAGAGGCAGAGAAAGGAGGGTGAGCTTGCAGATCATGATGTGTAGGTTTGACCCCTGTGAAGGAGAAGGGAAGGAAGAGTTGGTGTGGAGAGTCTCAGACTGTAATGCGGTTCTAAGAAAATTTCTGCCAGTCATATAAAGAGTCATTGAGCTAAAGTCTTCCATTGGCAGAGTTGTGTGTCTCTCAGAAATTAGTCTGCATTATTACTACCAGCATGCCCAGTTGTTGGCTAGAAGGAGCCCAGGAAGGGTGGTCTCTATTTGAAAATGATGGATCCGAGGAAGGCAGCAGCAGTGACTATCGATTTTACCCCAATAATAGAGAACTGTGTGGTCTATTTTCTCGGCCACTGTAGGCGATGCTTCATACAACACAAATCTACTTCTATATGCAGGTTTTGGAAGCAGTTACTTATTGGGAGAGGCAGTTCACCATATCCCCCGAGCATTCCTGTATGTCCTTGTCAAGTGTGCCAAATTGCAAATGGCTAACCACTGTCTGACTGTGAGCAGTTTCTGTATCTAATTATGTGGCAACCAAATAGGTGAAGACCAGCACAGCATGGCTACTGTATAACTGTCCACTCACTAGAAAGGAAACTGTCATTTTTGCTGCCTGCCACAAAAGATGCTAGGTCTTCGGCCCTCAGTTCTTTAGCTGCATCACAATGCACTCTTTTAGTCTCATCTGGGATACTGAGATACCTTATGAGACTTGGAGAAGGGGAGAACTGATATAACCATGTTTATGTTTCTGCTGTGAGTATTAATATGCAGACTTCCTATTATTCGCCAAGTCTCACTGATGCCTTTGGAGTTGTGGCAAGCTTAGTCCTGCCTTTGTCTTTGAGGTTGGAGCACTTTCCTGACAGACACAAGGGGAGGGTTGTTGAGATATACAAACTTTTTTTTATTTTTCCCAGAGGAGAAAAGACAAGGGCCTTATGTGCCAGTTTCAGTGATATGAATTGCTCTTGCTCAAGTGTTGGAAGACAGTGGATGGGGCAGAATAAGTGGATCTTGAGTGCTGCACTAGTTAATAAATAGGAGTAAGTAAATAAATAGACTGAAAGGTAAGAGGTAGGATTGAAATAAGCAGCCCAAATGGTACCATGATTTTTGCTTGTTCTCCTATAAAAATGGAGACCGGGAAGTACTCTGGTCCAACATCAGGAAGGGAAATATAAACTACCTATGTCAAAAGGCAGGTGCATTTGCTTGATGTGTCTGGGGATTTACATAGGCTATGTCATAACAGAGGTTCCTCCATGGAGATTGGTCTCCTCCTACTGGAGGAACTGAGAAGTTAACTGGTTGCCCTAGGATAAATTAGCCTTTCAGCACCTCTCCTACCTGGCCCTGAACCACCACATCCTGATTTACTATCCTTTAGGGAGATTGTATAATAAAGGTAGATCCAAAGTCCCTCCAATTCCAGAGACCAAAAGCTTTAGTCATGGTAGGGACACAGTGGGGCAGGAGGGAAAGTGGAGTATACAAACATTTAAGGCTTTGTTTGGATAACAATGCTCAAGTGGCTGTATAATCCGGTTCTCTTGAGAGGACTGGACCACACATTCGATTTGCTATATTTGGAAAAAGAGGTATATGAGAGAATGGAAGTATCTGTATCTATATCCATCACATTTACTGTGCTGCTACAGGGAACTTGAAATGTCTTGTTATTGTGCCATTAATGAGTGGGTTAAGATGTGCAAGTGAGACTTCTTTCAGGGATGATTTGATGATATTATGATGATTGGCTCCACTAAAACCCAATAGTTCAGGGGTGACTCATTCATTCTGAGCCCTTGGAAATCACGTCTTTCTCAGGCTAGAGTTGTTATACATACTCATTCACAGTTATAAAGGAGCAAGGGACTACTAGGAGGCAGCCAAGTCAATCAACTGAAGTGCCTACACTTTCTTTCCCGAGTCATCTTTAAAAACAGTCCTACCTTATTGTGGTGATCAAGGTTAATTACCTTGACAAGATACTGACTCTTCTTTTTGAGTGCTGGTCCCAGAACCCAGGCAGTCAAAATTTCTCTGATTTGTCAAGACCTCAATGGCTTGTCCTTAATGAAACCTTTGCTGTGGTCCCTGGCAAGAATATGATCCAAGACCTTCAACCTTGCAGAATCAAGAAATATGAGGATAAAATCATGCAGTGAGTCATTGGGACTTAACGGAAGTGGGGCTACTTCTATTCCTACTCCTTGCTTTCTGCAGTGATCTGTTCTTCCCATTGAGGACAGAACACTATATGGGCGGGTGGTGGGTGGAGTGTTCTTTGACTTAATGGATATGCACAAAGGATAAAAATCCATCCTTGGAGAGTGTTGCCTCTGAGTTGGTGCTCCAATTCTGCCTCTAGAAGAATACTTCAATGTTCTTGGAGGATAACTAGTGGAGTGTGTGGTATATGATATAACCAGTGGATCTCACAGTCATGGGCCAACTCACACACCTCTGCACCATGAAGTGGGTTGCCTGTTCAGATGCTATTTTGTGTAGGATTCTGTGACTGTGCATGAGGCATTCCATAAGCCACTGAATAGTGTGCTGACTGGGGTTCTTCAAGAAGGAATGTCAAATCCCCACACAAACTGCTGGCACATCAAAGACAGAAAGGTCCCAATGTAGCTGACTTGCTGCCAAGTGTCATTTTAGTTTCCTTGAAATATAATGTCATGTTGACATAGCTACATTGGTCTCTGTTGCTGACAGGTTGAATCTTTAGGAGCGGCAGAAGCTACTCAACCTTTATAAATGGGAATTAATGCTGATGGGCCTATCACTGCAACCAGGGCCATTTTATTGATGTGCCATTTCACCAGTTCCAGCGCAGCCAATGATGAAAGCTGACTAATGTCAAGTAGTCAACACATTTGAATATTTCATCGTTGAGTGTCTCTTACGTAGTGAATGTTTTCTCATGGGTGTTAAAATGTGATACAAAAATCTTCACACTTTGTATACATTTCCATATGTCTGTTCATATGCTGCTACTCCAGACCTCCTTCATGTCTGGTCTCTCGATTGACATTACCATTGGGTATCTAGTAATCAATATAAATTCTCACCTTGGGCTACATATTTTTCTGAAAAAAAGTGAATGACCATTTGCCCTGGTTATCACTCTGTCTACAAGGAGGATTTTTCCTCACTGTTGTCTTTCAAGGCAATTTTTGGAAAAATGACATAACGAAGCAACAGTCCATTTTCAACTGATACCCACACATAGAGTCAATTAATGATAATACAAACGCAGGCCTTTTTTTTTTTTTTTTTTTTTTTTTTTACCTAATCCACCTGATAACAAGATTTCTCTCTGCTCATAGGATAAGCCAGGGGAAAGGAACTGGGGCAATTGTGGTGGGTGGCATGGAGGTCTGGGCTACCTGTGATGTAGCCTATGAAGGAGAAGAAGAGGGAAGAAGGATTGGATGGAAGAGTCTTACATCAAAACGCAGTTCTAGGAATGGTTCAGCCATCCCCATGGGGAGTCCTTGAGTCAAAATTGCCTGTTAAAGAGTAACATTTCACAGAAATGGGCCTGTATTCATAGCCTCCATAGACATAGTCAGACTTTCAATTCTGCTGATTTGATTGCATCAATTCCCTGATGCAATGTACAGGGAGCATTGCATCAGAATTGTGTATCTATATGTCACACTCTGGATGCTAGACTTGACTTGCTAGTGGTCTATCAGCCTCCATGATGGAATAAAGTCACCCTGCATAGCAGGCTCTTCCCAAGTTTACATACAGAAAGCAGGCTAACATCCATCCCTGTGCTCTCAGTTTTCCTTTCAGCCTTTGAACCCACTTCAGACTCTCAGTCCTCCAGGGATCAGCACACATATATCTCATGAGCTTGACCCTTTCTCCCTTCACAGTATCCTCTGGGACTATAAATTATTGGCTTTTTTATTTCTTTCTCTTATGATTGGGGCTTTTAATATTTCATATTAAATTGAATTCTTACTCAGCTTAACATCCTGGATTTATTAAATTTATATGACCTAATCAACAAAAAGTTTCTTTATATGTCAATGGAAAGTGAAAGTTTTAAAATCTTCTGAATATGCTTGGTTTTCAAAACAATTGTCATGAGATGATACTCTAGCAATCCAAAGGTGAACCTATTTTTTTTTTACTTCTTTCTTTTTGTAGTCCTCCTGTAAATCCTATTTATCCCTGAAGCAAATAGTTGCCTCTGGCCGACTAAAGAATAATCCCAAACAAAGGGAACCTAAAATATAAAAGTAAATATTTTTCAAAAAATATGATCTTCATTATGTAGTCCTGACAAATAAATGACAAAACAAAGCAAAGGATTATAAGTGTCAAAAGAGAAAGCAATCTAACTGGGGAAAGCAGTCAGAGAAAGATTAACAGCCCTACGAGTTTATGGTTTAAGTGATTGAAGACTGAAAATTTTAGCCTTCCTGTTGTTATTGTTGAAGGGGTCCCATTAGCCTGCTGAAGATAAAGTGTGTGTAAAGACAGTTGGTGAGCAATAGGAAAATCATATTTCAACCATATGTCCATGATGCACACAGCCTGGCTTGTACATCCCTGAGCCTGAATCTTGAGCATGGGTCTTCTTTGCTCAGGCGTTGTCACATGGAAGTATTTAACCTGTGGAATGAGCCCTTTTCAGGCTCCCTTTATTTTCCTGCATATACTTATCATTCTGGTTGTTCATATTCCTTTAACTTCTCCATTCCTTTAGTAGTTCCTCTTTCCTTCTTCTGTTTCTAGTCTAGGAACCTTTCTCTAACCCACTCTTTAGGCTTGTAAATATTCCAAAATCCATGGTTGGGATATTTTTTACCTGATTCCACTGCTGGATAAAGGGTGAAGTAAGCTTCAGTTTCTAAGCACAGAGAAACATAGAAAAGCGCCCATCTTGTCGTATTTCTGAGTGTAAAATGAACTCATTTCTGTATTTAAAAATAAAATCTGTATCTCTAAAGCTGCAAGAATAATTTTCTGCTGATTCTCAATTTTTTGGTAGAGGGTTGTAAATCTGGGCCAGGGGCATCATTTTGTTAAAATTTAATTTTATTGAACTTTGACAAATTATACTTGTAGATATTTATGAGATACAAAGTGATCCAATAATACGTATAAGTGTGGAATGTTGAGTCTAAGTAACATATCCACCATCTCAAATACTTATCATTTATTCCTCCAAGTATACACACACATACACACACACAAACACACACACACACAATGGTGAAACCCCGTCTCTACTAAAAATACAAAAATTAGCCGAGTGTAGTGGTGCACACCTGTAATCCCAGCTAGTCAGGAGGCTGAGGCAGGAGAATCTCTTGAACCCAGGAGATGAAGGTCGCAGTGAGCCGAGATCACACCACTGCACTCCGGCCTGGACTACAGAGCGAGATTCCGGAAAAAAAAAAAAAAAAAAAAAAAGACAGATATTCTGTCATTTGCAGAAGCATGGATGAATCTAGAGGACATTATGCTAAGTAAAATAAGCCAGGCACAGAAAGAAAAATACATATTCTTTCTTAAATGTGGAATCTAAAATAATTGAATTCATAGAGGTAGAGAGCACAATGACGGTTATGAGAAGATGAGAGGTGGGGGAAATGGGAAGATGGTCAATGGGAGTAACTTATCCTGAAATACAAATCAACCATTCCATCTGTGATTAGAAAGATTATCCCAATACAAAAGAAATGAGTGTCAGTTCCAATGCAATTTACTTTGCTCTCCATGAGATCTGGTCATCAGGATGCTTAAAACTATCTCCAGCCCAGTGGTAAACCCTGACCATATTCAGGGTATACGTATACCCTGCCAACCATGAGGAGTAACATGAGAAGAAATCAATCTCTCTTGCTTTCTCATTTCATTACCAACTGCCAAGCTCTCCTCTGTGCCATATTTCCCTTAGACTTTGTCCTTCATTGTCATGTCCCTATGACTAAGTTTCCTTCTAGGATTGAGCTCCTGCCAACTTTTATTAGTTTCCCTCCAAGTTACCAGAATGCATACCTTCTGCCTAAGTATAGAACATTTTCAACAAATATGCCTGATAGCCATTGCTTCCCAGGTTTGTTTTATCATCTACCCAATAATGTTTGTTTGTTTCTGTTGTTGTTGTTTTCTGATTTGAACAAACTATTGCTGTTTATTTGGAATGAGGACCTAGGTTGCTGACTCATTCGCTATGGTATCTATACTTCATTCTGAATATATAACATTCGTACTTGTAAATAGATCTCTACTCCAAATGGCAGTTCAATCTTAGGGACTGGATCCAGAACAGCACCTAGACCTAAGCTTATTTATTTGAACATTTCCTATCATGAGCCATATGTCAGAAATTTTAGTTTAGGAAGCTGTGGTAGCTGAATGCTTTCCTGTAGCCCAGGACTATTATTCTCTAGAACTTGGCTGAGCATGAGAAGAAAAATAGAACAAGCAGATGGGCTTTGCCTTCGGGTATGGCAGCACACTTCATTCTTTAGAGTATAAGCTTGCTGCTCATGACACTACGGCAGAGCAGAGCCTAAGAGGCCACATAGAGATGAAAATTGCTGCCTTGGCCTCATTATTCAAAGTCTCACTACCCAGAATACAAGCTTAGAAAGGATTCTTCACTATTTTATTCCTATTCTTGCCTGTCAGGAGATATTGTTGAGCCTGTACACCATGTGAAACATCATTTAAAGTTCTATGGAGGATATATGAAAATATTTGGAAAACAGAACCACTCTCAACCCCCACAAAAAAAAACTGAAAAAAGAAATAAAATGTTTATTTTTTCTATGCAAAGCAAATATGAAGTCTCCCCTCTCATTCAACAGTATTTCTGCCTCAAAAAATAAATAAAACATAATCAAAACACTTTAAATTCACTCTAACATGTAACAAAACTGTCACTGGAGATCTCCTGATTTGAGAAATCATAGGGTCTGCAAAACCACAGACTAAATATAATGCTAGACATTTATGTAAAATATTTCAGCAACAATATGAGTTGTATTATTAGGATGAACAATGATGGCCTTATGGTTAAATAAGCATATCTGAATACCTTATTTCTCAAACACACTGAAAATATGGGTTCTGCAAATGGTATCCCTCTTTCTCCCTAAACCTAGAGCAGTGCCCAAGAGAACAGAATACAGGGCCAAGTTTTATGTATTTAAATTCTGTTCTCCCACTTAAAGGTTCTGTTACTATAAAAAAAAAAAACGCAGTACTTGTTCTATGCTTCAGTTACCTTCTATATCATAACAAGATAATGATTGCATCTATTCAAGGAGTTACCAAGAAAATAAAACAAATTTATATAAGAAAACATGAAGGCTAGTGTCTGCCAAATATTAAGTACTTAATGAGTTATTATTATCATAACTCTCTCTATATTAATCAATAAATATTCATTTAAACATGAAGCCATACCAGAGGTTATGTAGTGGGTTAATAACTGTATCGCTTTCCTATCCATAAGGGAGTCCTTGAGAAACAGCAGTTTGAGGGAGTGAAGAGTAGAAGAAGATACTAAAATTAGAGAGAAAGGCTAATATTTAATTAACACTTAAAATGTGTCAGAACTTCTGCATGCATTATCTGATTTTGCCCTCAAACCAACTCTTGTAACTAGCCCAGGTCTGCACAACCAGGAATGGCAGAACAGAAATTAGAACAAGTTCTTCTCTTATCAATGAATATGATGCTCTTGAGGAAAAGCAAGAGGAGACAGAAAGAAATCCGGTATTTTAAACATAGGATTATATAGCCAAAACTAATTTACCAAGTTTATTATACAATTGCTCAAAGTTTCGCTTTGCCCATATAGGCATTATCTACCCTTTTAATTCTCCCCATTGTTGATAAAACCATAAGTTGAATCAAAAAGAACCTCACTGTTTGAATATTATTTAGTACGTCAATGTTTTATTTTGTATATTGGTAAATTATTTGGTTATTTTCTGTTTCTAATAGTTTTTAAATAATTTTGAATTATAGAATGTGGTCTATTAATATAGAATTTTTAAAATACATTTTGTGTATTGACCTTTTAAAACAAGAGGAGGCTTCCTTAAAGTGTCTTTTCACTGTTGTTAAATATACCAGCACATAAAATGTTAATGGAAATACTGCCTTTTAATGTTAGGTAGTGACCTTTATTATAAATGAATTTATCTCTAGAGTATATTTTTCAAAGTTAAAAGAAACCAATTAAAATGTTCTAACACTGAAGAAGCAATAAACCTCAAAAAATATCTGAATATGGAATATAGTTCTTAATTTACTGTCTCTTCACATGCAACATACCCAGAAGGTGTGCTATTGACTTACTATTGTGTTTCTTGATAAGAAGCTTATAAAGTGTCTGCTTAACTTTTCCTTTTCAAATTAACAAGATAATACGAGCATGTAGGTAAGCCATTGGCAAGGGCTAGAGGATAGCCATTTAAAAACAGAAAATATATATTATTGTGTTTTTATCACAATTTTCCTGGCTCAGAAATGAAAAAAAAAAAAAAAACCTTAGACTTGGCCCAGTATGTAAATGATGCAGGAAGCCATGTCCCCTGTCTATCTCTCCAACCACATCTGCTTCTGTTCTCTAATATGCATATATTCTTACAGTACCATCTTCAGGGATTTCTTTGACTTTTATATGCCAGCTTCTTGCTTAGGATGTTTTTTCTTTCTCTCTTACACAATTGATAAATGCCTATTCATTCTTTAATATCATTTATTCATTCAAAAATTTATTGAGCACTATGTGATAGGAACTATTTTTAAGTTCTGGTAACACAGCAGCAAACAATATAGACAAAAGTCCTTTCTTTCATGGAGTTTATATTTCAGTATGAGAAAACAATATACAAGTAAATGTATATATATTTATACATATATAAACATATTCTTATATATTATATATTTGTACATATATAAACATATTCTTATATATTATATATTTGTACATATATAAATATATTCTTATGTATTATATATTTGTACATATATAAATATATTCTTATGTATTATACATTTGTACATATATAAATATATTCTTATGTATTATACATTTGTACATATATAAATATATTCTTATGTATTATACATTTGTACATATATAAATATATTCTTATGTATTATACATTTGTACATATATAAATATATTCTTATGTATTATACATTTGTACATATATAAATATAATATATTTTTATGTATTATATATTTGTACATATATGAATATATTTTTATGTATTATATATTTGTACATATATGAATATATTTTTATGTATTATATATTTATACATATATAAATATATATTATATATTATATATACATGTATAAATTTTATATTTTTTATATATATATATATATATAAAGGAAAAAGATGCAAATCACATATATCACATATAGCCTGGTCGTTTATTGTAGGGACTTTTCCATTTGCTCTGGAAAAGCAGTGAACCAATGTGACGGTTTGGTAAAGAGAGGTTTCATGAACTTATTTATGTTTTAATTGTATTTTTCTGGCTGCTGAATGGAAAACAGACATTACGGGGACAAGTGCAGGTGTATCAATAATCCAGGTGAAAGATGATGTTGGCTCAGTGTAGAAAAAGTGGGTAGTAGGAAAATGGTAAGACATGGTCAGAAATTGAAGGTAGAAGCAAGAAAATGTACTAGCTGATTGGAAATAAAGTATGAGAGCAAGAGATAAATGAAAGACGACTGGAAAGATTTGGAAGAGACTCATCATATGGCATTCAGTTTTATCTTACTGTGCTCCCATGCCAAGTCACCCTCCTCTATACAAGCTAGAGTCTTGTACTCATCTCTAATACCAACCATAAGTATCTTCTTTTAACACGGACTGTACAAAGTTTTATTTACACTATCTCATTTATTATTATACTGATACTGAAGGGAATACAATATTTTTACAATACAATATAGATATAATATGACATTTTATACATGAGCTCATACTCATCAAATCAAAATGCCATAAATTGCTTATGCATTTGTCATTCCCAAAGTGATGTAACACATTTGAGGACAAGGACAATGATGTACTAATTTCTGTATGCCTAGCACCTGGAGAAATCTTTACTCAAAATTGCTGCCCATTACTGTGCTTTGAATGAAGGGAAGAAATGAATCATTGTTAAAGTTTTCTATAACAGTACAATTGGAAGGAGGGCAAAATTCCTTACTGCATCATCAAGTATTTGTCCTTATGTGATCTACGAATCTGCTTAAATTTCTTTCCATCAGCATTTTATGTTTATAATGCAATATAAAATGTAAATATAAACTCCAGATTATCAAACTATAGAATTCTTGGTCCTGTATCTTTTTGCCATTTTTTAATCAACTTATAGATACCAAGGATTTCCAATGTTTTATTTACCCATCTTCCCTCATCAATTGAATTGCTCTTTCAGCAGCTATGCAAGATTCATATACTAAAGATGACTGATGTAATATTTACAAAGGTCTTTAGAATTATCGAGTTCCTCAGAAGAATTTATGTATGGCAAAGAGTTTAAAATGTCAGGAGTTCATACATGAAGCCATTGTGAGCTCCCTTGAGCTCTCCATAACGCTAACAAAGATAGGAACTCTGTCCTCTATGCTACCAGATGATCTCCTGCCTAGTGGTATTATTGAATTTATAATACTGCATTGTAAATGATTGCTTGCATGCTATATTTCCCCACTTCTGGAAGAGATTTTAACTCTTTGTCATTGTATCTCAATACTAACATCATTCTTAGTATAACATACGTACTTAGACAATGTTGAATACGTGCAAAAGATTGCTATGCAAATCATTTAAGCACTCAACTTCATTTTTGATGGTGCTAAATGATGCTATTCTAGCACAGTTGCTAAAGGTCTGCTTTGTTCAATTGTCTCTTGCGCTGCAAATTCCTAGTCTTAAACCATAACTTTTGATCTTGCCAATTCAAATCAATTCAGCAAACATACTAACCATCACTTATTTCAGAAAATGCAATGATGAAAAAGATGACCTTAAATAGCTTGCAATCTAAGAGCAGAAATAAACACAAATAGTATTGTAATGCATTCAGAATGTGAGAAGTGTTATACGATGTTTATTGCAAAATATCATATCAACGTAAAAGATAAAAATTATTTCTTCTCAAAAGCTAGTTGACGGAATTATGTAAGAGAAGAGAAAAGGAAATATTTCAAATATATAAACAGTATTTGATCAAAAAATTATCATAGAGGTCTAGTTCAGATGAAGTACAGAAATATAAGTGGCTTCAAGAAAAAATGTGTGTGCATGAGTGCGTGTGTGTGTGTGAATGTTAAAATCAGTAAAACAGGCCATGGGCAACCTTGTGTATATTACAGACATTGACAATCAAAGTGACAATAGTGGTAGTAGTAGTAGTGAGGACATAAGGTAGCATAAACAAGTTTGAAATATCATGGAAATTAAACACAAAGACATAATGTCAGCACATAGCCTGTTGCTTTGCAAGTAAATGTAGTAATCATGGAAGAATAGAGAGAAAAGATAAGAAGTCTTAGGATAGAACTTTGTATAAGATACATTTAGGGGACAAAATACTATTTATATTTTGGAAATTTATGTTTATAACTATTGGTACATTTTACACTTTAAAATTTAATGTTTAATAAATAACACTATGGTTCAAAATAGTTAATTTGTATTTGTTAGGCTCTTTTAGGCTTTTTCCAATTTCTTCTCTACTCTATTTCTCTTTTCCAAGTGGAATTGTGAGTACTGAGCTTTTTAGAAGCCTATAGTTGTTAATTACTATACTAGCTTCTTTTGCAGTTTATAATTATCTTGCACCTGTCAATGAACTAAGTATAATTGACTCATCCCACACTTATTTATTTCATAGTATATGTACATATCTCCAGGTATTAATAAACTTTTAAAGTGATAGAATCAATGACTCTCATGAAAGCCATGGGAAATATATTACCCATAGTAACTCCATACTTTGTGAGCCTCCTGCACCTTATATCAAAACACTCATAAAACTGTGTCATCTTCTTCTTTCACTTTATTGCCACTTTGTGCTCAAGCCATTTAAAAGGGAACTTAAGATATTTCCTGAAAGTAAAGATATGATATTATTACTTATTTTTTAATATAACTTTTTGGTAATGTGTCCTGTAAGTTCCACTGCAATCGCTTCATAATAGCATTTATCTTTATGTACAGATCAATCATCAAGCTAAAAGAAACTTGGCAAATAATATAGTTTATTTCTCTGCCTATAAGCAAATTTTTACTTAAACCATTTATGTAGTAAAGTGTTAAGAACCTAAGGGTTATTTACTTCTCTAGTAACATATTTTTATGTCTACTATGTGTTCTTACCCAAAGTCCTTCATTGGATTTAACTTTCCACAAATTTCAATGACTTTCATAGTTACTAGTAAAAGAAAAAAAGGAATCATCATCCTCATCCTCTACAATAAAACCCCCATATCTCTGAGCAGCAGCAGTAAGAATTCATCGAGCATTTCTTTTCCTACTTAAGTATCTATTTATTTTTTCTTTTATTATATACTTTTAAATTATAGTTTTCTAAAGTATAATCCAAAGAAAAATGGTTTTATGAGTAATGTGCCTAATTAAACAGACTGTAACTAATGACTTACCTGGAAGATTTCTCAAGATATTTGATTTGAACAAGTGGACAGTAGGATAGTTTGTCAGTTAAAAACCAGACATTCTTTATTTTACTACATAATTGCAAATATTTACATATGATTTTTTTGCTTTTTCTTTAAAACACCAATTCTCTCTATAGCTTGTGTCTGTCACCTCCCCACCCTAAGGGCAGTTTTTATATATTTTTTAGATATAAAAAGACTTTTTATTCAATAATAGACCACTATTGGACATGTTGTGTTGCAACCTTAACTGTTAATTTATATTTTTAATAATTATTACTAAGCTCCATCTCTGATACTGTCATCATTATTTCCTTAAAATTCTATTTCCTTCAAGCATTTTTCGAAAGCTTGTAGAGTCAAAGCTACTAGAAGTTGGTTCACTAAGCTGGTTTGAGCTGTGGACTTATAATTCCAAATGAAAATCGGAAGTGAAACTGTACATATTTTTATATATTACTTTGGATAGAAAAACCACAGTTACTTTTGCACCAACCTAATATGTTATAATTACAATAATTAAATTATACATGATATACTATCATCTGAAAATACGCAACTTTTTAGTTTGTTAGGTAAGAAATTATCTATACTGATTAAATTTTAATGGTGCATATAATTAAAATTAAACTCATTAGATTCTGTCTTTATTCTAATGTAAAATATAATTTTAAAAACTTCTAGAGAAAATAAAAATGAAATAATTACTTCTAAATTCAGTCCTTTGATGGTTCATTTTATTTTCTGACCATCTCAACTCCTCCCTTTTCTGACATCCTCTAAGAAAAAAGCACGATGTGAAACTTGTCATTTTCCCATCACCCACTGTGATAAACACGTTTTATTCATTTGCACCTCAATTCTTCTGTGAAGCTGCTTAGGAAGATACGATGAGAAAAACAAGATATAATGTACTGTTGAAAATAACATTTTATTTGCTCTTGCAAAAATAGAATGTCATTTTCAAAAAAAACAATTCAATTGATTAACTTTAATTAAAAATAGTATGTTCTTTTGTGATAGTTATAAGATTATCTTATTTGAACATTGGGGGCATGAAGCTACAAAAATAACATTATTAAGAACTACCAAAAGATGGTTTTTATTTCACTTAGTTTTCATAAAATCATTAGATCAAAAGCGGACAAAATATTAGAAGGTCCATATTTGATATTTTTAAGCAAAAATCTTAAAAGTCAAAGTGAATATTATGCAATTTTTTTTGAAAAAAAAGATATACTTTTCTAACCAGATCTTAAATAATGACAAAACTGATATAAAAAATAGGCTCTTAGATTTATTGATTATTGCCATTGCAAAGCAATGAAAATATTGTTAAATCTAATGGGACAGCCAGGCGCAGTGGCTCATGCCTACAACCCTAGCACTTTCAGAGGTTGAGGCAGGTTGATCACTTGAGCCCAGTTGTTGGAGAGCAGCCTGGGCAACATGACAAAACTCTGTCTCTACAAAAAATACAAAACATTAGACGGGCGTGGTGGCTTGTGCCTATATTCCCAGTTACTTGGGAGGATGAGGTGAGAGGATCACCTGAACCTAGGAAGGTTGAGGTTGCAGTGAGCAATGATTGCACCAGTCCACTCCAGCAAGGGTGACAGAGAGATACTCTCACTCAAAAAAAGAAAAAAAATCTATTGGGGAATGGGTGAAAAATGTTTAGTAATTAAATGTACTGAACACTGGACCACATGATTTATGTAACTTAGTTTTCATAAAGAATATATAATAGATATTATAACCCATTTTATGCATACAGAAAAAGAGAGGTTTAAAATATTTCCCCAGGGCACACATCTAATAAGCAGAGACCCTGATATTTGAAACTGTGTATATTTTACTATGGAACCATCTAATTTCCACCACAGAGCAAATCTTAAATTAAGAGACACCCCAATATCAATTACTTACATTATATCAAACATGTAAGTACTTGGTATATTTTTGATTATTCAGTTAATTCATTTATAGTTTAAATTAACACTAATTCACTGAACACACATGACAGAATCAATTTTAGATGCAGAGGACATATTCAGTGACAATATCTTAACGCTGGAGATGTAAGACACGACAAAGTTTATAGCAAGTCCGTGCTGGAGATATTGGCTATTAGAAAGTACAGGATCTCACTGATTAAAACATGCCTATTTGCTGACTCACTGGCACAAACTAAACAAATAAAAACATAAGAGAAAAAGCCTTTTATTTGTGCCAGTTTGATATTTAACAAGTATTCTCAGATATTTGCTATTGTTTGTTACAGAAAGAAGAGTCTGATCCATTTTTGTAATCATAATCCAAGGGAATATTGATAAAGTGCAGATTCACACAAGCAAAGTGCCTGAGGAAAGAGCCAAGGAGCTAGCTGGAGGTAAGAGATCCTATGTTGTGGTCAAATAAATTATTGGTTCTAATTCCTCTCTTTTCAGGATAGTATACATTTCTGGTCTTGCTCTGTCTGCTTATTGGTCAGAGTCTCCACTGCTGTCATTAGATTTTGGGCTTGGCCGTGTGAATTTCACTGGCCAGTGAACTGCATGGTAAAGGATGTGATCTCAGTGGAAACCGAAAATGGTGAGCTTGGGGTTTACCTCCTGTGTTCTGCCATAAGAAGATCACTTCCCAGGTAGACAATGCATCAGTATGGGTTACATAGAGCATACCATATGTTCTAGGAAACTCTGTTCCAAAGAGAAAAGGAAACAGAAAGAGCAGACTCCAACCCAACCTGAAGCTTGAAGGTTGGAATCCAGCCTACTCCAGCCAAGTTGCAACTGTCACACAGAACACTAGACATGAAATTACTATTGTTTGAAATCATTACGTTTTGGTATTACTGTGGCAGCAGCTAACTAACACAATTGTTAATGATGCTTGGGATGGCTATGCTTGAGCATATTTTTAGAAACCCACACAATTGAGGTACAGGAAAACAGGGCTTCAAAGTGGCCATTTACTTTTTGGTACACAAAATAGTAAGACATTAAAAATATCCCAAAAGGAAGAATACTAAAAGAATTAAATTCTGTGAGGTTTTACACGTGAAGATCAATAGATTTTCATTACATATTAGATGAATGTTGCCATATGCTAGAAATTATGCTAGTGCAAGTAAAGAGGACTTAGACCCAGTCCTCACAGGACTTATAATTTAAATTCAATTATTTCTAAGATTTCAAGGACTCCTGGTCATAGATCTTTCTGAAATCACTTTTCAGAGTTTTTCAATACTCCCACATAACTTATAAATATCTATAACTTTGCTATTGTGGATGAAGCTGGAAACCATAATTCTCAGCAAACTATCGCAAAGACAAAAGACCAAACACCGCATGTTCTCACTCATAGGTGGGAACTGAACAATGAGAACACTTGGACACAGGAAGGGGAACATCACACACCGGGGCCTGTTGTGGGGTGGGGGGATGGGGGAGGGATAGTATTAGGAGATATACCTAATGTAAATGACGAGTTAATGGGTGCGGCATACCAACATGGCACATGTATACATATGTAACAAACCTGCACGTTGTGCAGATGTACCCTAGAACTTAAAGTATAATAAAAAAAAATAAAAAAAAATCTTTGACTGTTCTACTCATAAAATAAATAAATAAATATGTATAACTTCAGATAGTTTATAGTTAAAATCAGCAGAAAATCTAAAATTTTGAATTCACGGATAGGAAATATAGGGAAGGCAGATAATTTTTTCCACATATTGCCTCATTCTTCTCCTTCTTTATATTTTTTGGATTGGAAACTGGCAGTTCTCAAGCTAATTTTTAAATGTTTTCATTTCCTAGAAAACAACTTCCTGGAAAAGTACTGGGAATTATTGCTGTTTCTTTTCCTACCTGCCTCAAAGTTTTCACCTAGTTCCCTAGATTCACTATCAAATTAATCCTCATTTATCTAATTTCTTCTTTGTCCAGAGATCATTTATTCTGTCTGCTCTCCATTAGTTCTTCCATTCCTAAGATTTTTCTCTCAAGTTGCCACCTCTTCTAATGGTGCAGGATTTTCCCTACCGTAAGACGATTTAGGCCAAGTATTAATCTTTAATTACATTTGGTAGTGGCAAAAAAAAATGCATAGTCCTGTAGAATCTATCAGTTGAAATTTTATTTCTAGTCAACTTTATCCATTTTGTTGCAATTATGCTCCCTTAAACCTGGATTACCTCCCACTTAAACTATTGCTTTAGCTTTCTAACATGCATGCTCCTGTGGCTTTGAACCATCCTTTCTTTCCCTGCCGGATGAATCATCCTAAAATTGTGTAACTCTTTAAAAAGAGACATATTTTCAATGGCTCTCGATAGTCTATTGAGGCAAGTATATAGACCATGCTTTGGCATTCAGGACCATTCATAATGTTGGTGAACCTGAGTATGAATTATCTCAGTTTAATTTGTATTTATCTTCATGACTGCAATACACTTTGTGATACTTGGTTTTGGAAGCCTACTATTACACTAGTCGCCCAGTCTTTCCATATCTTACATTCTTCCCAATTTTGCAACGTATTTTAAACATTATGAATTTTCTACACAGCCTCTGCTATTTGCTCTAATAGTGCAGAGTGTTAATCCAGCAGAGTATGGTATATGGCGCCTTGTGACTGAACCACAATACCATTCATGGTATACAGGCAGATATTTCTCAGGTAATTAACATATGTCTTTAAAGGGCAAAGATGTTGCCTTATTAATTTAAAAAATATACTGAGCCCTCTATATTTGTTACAATTGTGTCTTATATTGTTATAGTTCATTGACTTGTTATTTAATTGAAATAAATTTAAAATATCACAGTAATTGTAACTCTAGGTAGAAGACTCTAGCTAGAATTAAAAAATAATGATAAAATAACTAATATTTGAGGGCTTACTGAGTGCCTGGCACTGTTCTAAATTGTAACAACCCTAACAGTTTGTTAATATCATTTAATCACTTTTGACAGATGAGGATTCTGAGGCCCAGCAAGGTACATCTACCGGCCCAGGACTATGGTAAAGTGGTGATAGAAATGGAAGCTATCAGCCGGGCGCGGAAGCTCCCAACACTTTGCGAGGCTGAGGCGCGGAGCACGAGGTCAGGAGATCCAGACCATCCCGGCTAACACGGTGAAACCCCGTCTCTACTAAAAATACAAAAAATTAGCCAGGCGTGGTGGTGTGCGCCTGTAGTCCCAGCTACTCAGGAGGCTGAGGCAGGAGAATGGCGTGAACCCCGGAGGCGGAGTTTGCAGTGAGCCGAGATCGCGCCACTGCACTCCAGTCTGGGCGACAGAGCGAGACTCCGTCTCAAAAACAAAACAAAACAAAAGAAATGGAAGCTATCTGGACCTACAGCCCATGATCTTCCTATTTCTCAGAACATATGCCATGTTGAGTGACCCAAAGGAATTCATAAACTGATAAGGAAAGGTGTCTGGTTGCCTAGTTGTTGTCTATCAATTTAAAGTGACTAGGCATTGTGAATCAATGTAATGAGGCTAAGAAAATATGTATAGATTTGCAATTATGTGAAGAAAGTCATTGGTAGCTTGATGGGGATGGCATTGAATCTATAAATTACCTTGGGCAGTATGGCCATTTTCACGATATTGATTCTTCCTACCCATGAGCATGAAATGTTCTTCCATTTGTTTGTATCCTCTTTAATTTCATTGAGCAGTGGTTTGTAGTTCTCCTTGAGGAGGTCCTTCACGTCCCTTGTAAGGTGGATTCCTAAGTATTTTGTTCTCTTTGAAGCAATTGTGAATGGGAGTTCACTCATGATTTGACTCTCTGTTTGTGTTATTGGTGTATAGGAATGCTTGTGATTTTTGCACATTGATTTTGTATCCTGAGACTTTGCTGAAGTTGCTTATCAGCTTAAGGAGATTTTGGGCTGAGACAATGGGGTTTTCTAGATATACAATCATATCATCTGCAAACAGGGACAATTTGACTTCCTCTTTTCCTAATTGAATACCCTTTATTTCCTTCTCCTGCCTAATTGCCCTGGCCAGAACTTCCAACACCATGTTGAATAGGAGTGGTGAGAGAGGGCATCCCTGTCTTGTGCCAGTTTTCAAAGGGAATGCTTCCAGTTTTTGCCCATTCAGTATGATATTGGCTGTGGGTTTGTCATAGATAGCTCTTATTGAGATACATCCCATCAATACCTAATTTATTGAGAGTTTTTAGCATGAAGGGTTGTTGAATTTTGTCAAAGGCCTTTTCTGCATCTATTGAGATAATCATGTGGTTTTTGTCTTTGGTTCTGTTTATATGCTGGATTACATTGATTGATTTGGGTATGTTGAACCAGCCTTGCATCCCAGGGATGAAGCCCACTTGATCATGGTGGATAAGCTTTTTGATGTGCTGCTGGATTCGGTTTGCCAGTATTTTATTGATTATTTTTGCATCAATGTTCTTCAAGGATATTGTTCTGAAATTCTCTTTTTTGGTTGTGTCTCTGCCTGGTTTTGGTATCAGGATGATGCTGGCCTCATAAAATGAGTTAGGGAGGATTCCCTCTTTTTCTATTGATTGGAATAGTTTCAGAAGGAATGGTATCAGTTCCTCCTTGTACCTCTGGTAGAATTCAGCTGTGAATCCATCTGGTCCTGGACTCTTTTTGGTGGGTAAGCTACTGATTATTGCCACAATTTCAGCTCCTGTTATTGGTCTATTCAGAGATTCAACTTCTTCCTGGTTTAGTCTTGGAAGAGTGTATGTGTCGAGGAATTTATCAATTTCTTCTAGATTTTCTAGTTTATTTGCGTAGAGGTGTTTGTAGTATTCTCTGATGGTAGTTTGTATTTCTGTGGGATCGGTGGTGATATCCCCTTTATCATTTTTTATTGTGTCTATTTGATTCTTCTCTCTTTTTTTCTTTATTAGTCTTGCTGGCGGTCTATCAATTTTGTTGATCCTTTCAAAAAACCAGCTCCTGGATTCATTAATTTTTTGAAGGGTTTTTTGTGCCTCTCTTTCCTTCAGTTCTGCTCTGATTTTAGTTATTTCTTGCCTTCTGCTAGCTTTTGAATGTGTTTCCTCTTGCTTTTCTAGTTCTTTTAATTGTGATGTTAGGGTGTCAATTTTGGATCTTTCCTGCTTTCTCTTGTGGGCATTCAGTGCTGTAAATTTCCCTCTACACACTGCTTTGAATGTGTCCCAGAGATTCTGGTATGTTGTGTCTTTGTTCTCGTTGGTTTCAAAGAACATCTTTATTCCTGCCTTCATTTCGTTATGTACCCAGTAGTCATTCAGGAGCAGGTTGTTCAGTTTCCATGTAGTTGAACGGTTTTGAGTGAGTTTCTTAATCCTGAGTTCTAGTTTGATTGCACTGTGGTCTGAGAGATAGTTTGTTATAATTTCTGTTCCTTTACATTTGCTGAGGAGAGCTTTACTTCCAACTATGTGGTCAATTTTGGAATAGGTGTGGTATGGTGCTGAAAAAAATGTATATTCTGTTGATTTGGGGTGGAGAGTTCTGTAGATGACTATTAGGTCCGCTTGGTGCAGAGCTGAGTTCAATTCCTGCGTATCCTTGTTGACTTTCTGTCTCGTTGATCTGTCTAATGTTGACAGTGGGGTGTTAAAGTCTCCCACCAATGACTTTCTTCACAGAATTGGAAAAAAACTACCTTGAAGTTCATATGGAACCAAAAAAGAGCCCGCATCGCCAAGTCAATCCTAAGCCAAAAGAACAAAGCCGGAGGCATCACACTACCTGACTTCAAACTATACTACAAGGCTACAGTAACCAAAACAGCATGGTACTGGTACCAAAACAGATATAGATCAATGGAACAGAACAGAGCCCTCAGAAATAACGCCGCATATCTACTAACTATCTGATCTTTGACAAACCTGAGAAAAACAAGCAATGGGGAAAGGATTCCCTATTTAATAAATGGTGCTGGGAAAACTGCCTAGCCATATGTAGAAAGCTGAAACTGGATCCCTTCCTTACATCTTATATAAAAATCAATTCAAGATGGATTAAAGACTTAAACGTTAGACCTAAAACCATAAAAACCCTAGAAGAAAACCTAGGCATTACCATTCAGGACATAGGCACGGGCAAGGACTTCATGTCTAAAACACCAAAAGCAATGGCAACAAAAGACAAAATTGACAAATGGGATCTAATTAAACTAAAGAGCTTCTGCCCAGCAAAAGAAACTACCATCAGAGTGAACAGGCAACCCACAAAATGGGAGAAAATTTTCGCAACCTACTCATCTGACAAGGGGCTAATATCCAGAATCTATAATGAACTCAAACAAATTTACAAGAAAAAAACAAACAACCCCATCAAAAAGCGGGCAAAGGACATGAACAGACACTTCTCAAAAGAAGACATTTATGCAGCCAAAAAACACATGAAAAAATGCTCATCATCACTGGCCATCAGAGAAATGCAAATCAAAACCACAATGAGATATCTTCTCACATCAGTTAGAATGGCAATCATTAAAAAGTCAGGAAACAACAGGTGCTGGAGAGGATGTGGAGAAATAGGAATACTTTTACACTGTTGGTGGGACTGTAAACTATTTCAGCCATTGTGGAAATCAGTGTGGCGATTCCTCAGGGATCTAGAACTAGAAATACCATTTGACCCAGACATCCCATTACTGGGTATATACCCAAAGGACTATAAATCATACTGCTATAAAGACACATGCACATGTATGTTTATTGCAGCACTATTCACAATAGCAAAGACTTGGAACCAACCCAAATGTCCAACAGTGATAGACTGGAATAAGAAAATGTGGCACATATACACCATGGAATACTATGCAGCCATAAAAAATGATGAGTTAATGTCCTTTGTAGGGACATGGATGAAATTGGAAATCATCATTCTCAGTAAACTATCGCAAGAACAAAAAACCAAACACTGCATATTCTCACTCATAGGTGGGAATTGAACAATGGGAACACATGGACACAGGAGGGGGAACATCACACTCTGGGGACTGTTGTGGGGTGGGGGGAGGGGGGAGGGATAGCATTGGGAGATATACCTAATGCTAGATGATGAGTTAGTGGATGCAGCGCACCAGCATGTCACATGTATACATATGTAACTAACCTGCACATTGTGCACATGTACCCTAAAACTTAAAGTATAATAATAAAAAAAAAGAAAGAAAATATGTATAGATTTGGAAAAATTCTTCAGTTATTTTACCTGGCATAAAGATTTTGCAAAAGTCACAAAGTAAACATATATTTATTTGCATCTCATACAACTAATAAGAATTTATTTTATTATATATAGCATAGTGAAATTATCCTATTTTAGAGCATAGGTCAGCAAACTACAGTCCATGGACTTAAGTTCCTTTTCAATAAGTTGCAAAATATTAATAAAGAAGAATATGTAATACAGATTATATGTGATGTAAAAAAAACCTAAAAATAGTATTCGGCCTTCTAGAAAAAAAATGTTTGTTAATTCCTGCTTTAGATTTAGTTCTAGGTAAAAAATGCTGTCACATATGTTAACTGCAATTTGATGAGCTTTGGTTTCCTAATCTTTGATATAACAATAACAATATCATAGTTAACTCACTGTGAAAATTTAAAATGTATGTGAAGTACAGGAAAATATAATGAGCTATCAGTAGAATGAGAGACAGTATAAAGAAGTGATTAACAGTCTATTCTAGGAATATTCTAATCAAGCCATGCCACTTGTTAGCTAAAACTCAGTGGAGAAGAGTAATATGAAACACTCTCATGGTTGTTGGAGGATTAAAGCAACAACCTACTATATACACAAAATGTCAGCTTTCAAAAATTACCATTCTTGCTATTCTCATCATCACTCTAAATTTAAGACACTTAGGTCATGATGAGAATAATTATGAAACAGTTTGTATAGTAGGTACTCCATTTATATACATTTATTTACAAAAAAAGCTTGCACTTTGGAGACAATTAAAATAATTACAAAAGACAGCCCCAGGCTTCAAAGAATTGACATTCTAAGTTGTGAGAATATATATATGATCATATATATATATGAACAAGTTATCAATATAAAATATCTCATCCTTTCATGTAATATTTATTACTTTTTAAAAATACTTCCTAAAGTATTATAATTCGGATAATTCTGCAAATGAGTTTTCCTGGGACAGTACTGCTTTATATACCCATTCCCATGAATAGTGTTCTGTTCATTTTCAGCCTTGTCATCCCAATTTGGATAATAATCTATGTGGTCCCCAAGTTATAATGCAGAGTAGAGATGTGCCAAGTCAAGTAGAAAAAAAACAAGTTAACTATGACCAATGGTCACCAAAAACTATTAATTTTATATATTTTATAGTTTGGGTTACTTATAATTCATTGAAAGGAACAGTCGTGGGATATAATGATAAGCTAATATGTGAAGCTCATTGAAGGAAAAAGCAGTTGCCCAGAGGAACTAGATAAAGCACAGTACTTTTGACACATATGAGATCAGACTCAAAAATGTCTTACCAACATATCCTTGCGGTGACTGATGCTACCATATTAGCAACTGGGCAAGGATTCTTCAAACTGAGAGAAGGAAATGCCAACTAGGATTATTTCATCTTTCTCCCATTAGTGTTTAAACTTAGAACCCTACTTTCATCCAGAAGTTGGTCTACCCTGTCTTACTCTGGTTCTTTACTGTCAGCAATGACAGAATGCAGGCAGTTCCAAATGCAACATGGTAAAACATATCAGATATTATGCACCAGAAATGTATAGAAATCATCATCAGCAAATGCCTCAAGGATCACAGTTCAATTAGAAACTAAAGGAGTGTGACTATCAAAAGAAGTGTTCCCATAGAAAGAATGGCTCTCTGAATTGTACACATGTGTATATATTTTGCACTAGCAACATAAATTTGCCTTTTACATCTCAATTGACTTTTTAAAAATAAATGGATAAATATATTTTCTGTATTTGTACACACCCATTTTAAAACCAATTTACATAAGATATTATGTTCAATGATTCATAAAATGCTGATACATACCATTTGTTTATGCATTTATAGTGATATTGATTGTATTGCTTTGCATTTATCAATTATTGATAATTCATTCTTATATTTATGAAAATTTTATATTCAATTGTAAAGTCAACTATTAAAACAGCTTCATTCAAAATATTGTTTTGTTAGTGAGTATTTAGGAAGAAATATATTGCATGGCCTTTATTTCCTAGTACCTTAATTAAATAGATACGTTTCAATTAAGGTAATGCGACACTTAATTACTGCACGTGTCATAAAAGCTATGTAGAAAATAACAAGTAGATTTCTTAGTTTAAATGCCATTCCTTATTTTATAAACCATATATGACCTTTTATGTTTTCTCCTTTCTGATAACCATGGAAATATGTTAAAACAAAACAGAAATAGAATCCTGACAAGAAAAAAACAATTATCCAATGGAAGAATATGCCAATTGCTCACCTTCTGAATTTAATTTTGTGAACACTCGGTATTATACTGCTCTCAGTGTGACTTTAGGTGCTTGTGAAGAGCCAATAAAAATGTTATATTGTAAGCCATTGAGACTGAAACTCTAATCTGATTATACTGTCTACAGATCTTTAAAAGTTAGTATGAAAGACATCCAAATCTAATAAAATGTAATCTAAGCAGGAATTATTGAGTTTCCCAAATCCATTAAGAAACTAATGGTCATGGATTGTGAACTAAGGCAAATTTAGTAATCTAATGTTGCTTTTAAAATGAGCTAGTTTAGTGCTATCTTCAAAGATATCTCTTTAGATGTTAACTAAAAAAGCTACAATAGTAAGCATCATTACATTGAAAGAGTACTACAAGATTACTAAATCTTGGATCTTTGATTTAAAAAGAGACAATTGTAAACATACAGAGGCTGTCCTCAATGACACACACAAGACTAACTACAGTGGAACAGACTGCGTATTTGGTGTGAACCCACAAAGGAGGGTAAGACAAAAACAAAGAATGTCAAATTTCCATAAATACCCATAAAGTATATTATTAAATTGAACACTATTGGGCAGCATCTTAAATCGTGACAATGCTGAAGTCTCATTTTTGCATCTTTGTCATGAGGAAGTGGTAGTGAAGATGAAAGTTTTTTTGTGGATATCTAACCAACAACATGTATTGATTACAGTTGTAGGCTGAAAAGCAAGAAGTTAAGCCTAATTATTCAAATTACTGTAAGAGGATGGCAGTATAACTCAATAGGGAGAAGAAAAGTCGCAGTATGAAGCAGCTGGTGCTCATTTTTTTTAACTAATGGTATGATTGTCAGAGTGTGAAATAACTGAAAACAATGAAAACAGCTTGAAAAGTGTGCATGTTTGTATGTTCAAGTGTAACATATGGAAACAGCAAAAAGTAATTATAAGAGATTCTGGTATTAGTGGGAATTGTTGTTGTAAGGTTTGCTTTCATAGCAAGTTAACTATGTAGTGTTTTAAAAACTGATGAAAGCATGTTATTTTCCTTCAACTACACATCAAATTTGATGCTAGGTAGAACACAGTTGTCTGACATAAAAATCAGTCATATAGATCATGGGTACATAGTTATGTCTATTATGCATATGTTACATAGGAGCAGGATTGCTCCCTGCCCCCAACTCCTCCCTGACTTTACAGTGTGAAATATACACATCAGAATTTGCTTATTGGTTTCCCATGGGATATATTAGGTTAACAAGAGTTGGGTTAGGCAGGGATATATGGAAATGTAAGAATAAGCTTTGAGATTGTTAAATAATAATGTCTTGTAATCCTAAATGTCTCCAAATGGAGTCACTTATGACAAGTGACTCAGCCTAGAGTGAAACTGATGACCCCTCAAAGTGATAACCATATGCATGGTGGACTGAGGTAATAATACCTGCAATGGTCAGGCATCCCCAAGACCTGATAAAAAGTGAAGTCAAAAGGGCAGCTGAGATAATGACCATGGACACTTGTGCAGGCCATGAAAACAGCAAAGAAACTGACCATGGCCAAGACGTCTGCAGAAGCTCTGCCTGTGAGAATTCTGTGGCCTTTTCTTGATCAAGAAATTCGGACCTTCCCCATCTGTCAGCACGCTGGTCTCCCGAGCTACTCGCCATGGTTTGTTTCCCCTCTTTGTTATTACTGCTTGTGTGTATGTTGAATATATTTGCATGATTGATGGTTTAGGAAAGTCTCATAGTGAACAGTGAATTTGAAAGCATTTAATTGGCCACTGATTCCTTTTGAAACCTCCTGACCACCTTGTCAGAGTTAGCACAACTAGGCTGATTCGAACCTCACATATTAGAAGTTCCCCTGCCTTCTTCTCTGTCTTACTCCATTTGTGTTGCTATAAAGGAATAGCAGAAGTAGGTAATTTGTAAAGAAAAGAGGCTTATTTGGCTCATAGTTCTGTAGGCTGTATAAGAAGCATGGCACCAACATCTGCATCTGGTGAGAACCTCAAGTATCTGCTTCTATTCATGGCAAAACGTCAAGGGAAGCTACTGTAGGCAGCTCACATGGTGAGAAAGAGAATAGAGGAGGTGCCAAAGTCTTTTAAACAACCAGCTCGAGGTAACTAGAAGTGAGAACTCACTCACTCGAGAATAGTATTGAGACATTCATGAGATCTGTTCCCACCTCTTACCAGGTTCCATCTCCAACAATGGGGATCAAATTTTAACATGAGACTTGGTGACTTGGCAGGGCCAAACAAACCATACCCAAATCATACCATTCTCAATACTCAACTATATAACATTATACTTAAATAATATCTCAATCTGGCCAAGCACAGTGGCTCATGCCTGTAATTCCAGCACTTTGGGAGGCTGAGGTGGGCAGATCACGAGGTCTGGAGATTGAGACCACCCTGGCTAATACGGTGAAACCCCATCTCTACTAAAAATACAAAAATATTAGCCGGGCGTGGTGGCGGGTGCCCGTAGTCCCAGCTACTTGGGAGGTTGAGGCAGGAGAATCTCTGGAACCCAGGAGGCGGGAGGTTGCAGTGAACCGAGATTGCGCCAATGCATTCAAGCCTGGTGACAGAGTGAGACCCCATCTCAAAAAAAAAAAAAAAAGAAAAAGAAAGAAAGAAAAAAAAAAAAAAGAAAATCCCAATCCCTGGACCCCCCAAAAAGGCAGTACCTAGCATCTTCTTTTTCCAGGTATAAGTGAAAAATATTTTCAAATACAGAGAAATGAATTTTAAAACACTATCTCTGAATTACATAAGCATTTGAATTTATTTTAATGTATTTATTTATTTTTATTTTTCTTATAGTAAACAAAGATAATAGCTTAACACAAAAACAACAGTTTTTAACTTATAAAATGGGAATCCTTTGAATCTGAAAATATTGCCTTAGTTATCATATGATAATATAGAATGTGAAAGAGGTAACTGTTTTAGTAAAAGGCAAAAGATTTATACAATCTGAAAAGAAACAAAGAAACAAGAGCATACAACTATATTTTAGAACACTAAAAAGTGCTATATTAAAAAAAATAACTTCGCTTTAAATACTGCTATTTCTTTTTATAATATGATTTCTTAAAAATTTAGCCCACAAAGAAGCAAATTCAAAGTCCAAAAGGAGTCCTAAGTTTCCTCAAAGATAATATGGTAATTAAATAATGTAAAACAATACTCTGTGTAAAATCATTTTGTTGGAACTGTACATTTCAGAAATGATTTTGGAGGAGTAATTGAAATTGAGTTAGTTGCTTGCTGTTTTCCCATGGAAGATATCAGGTTAATAAGAGTTGTGTTAGGCAGGAATATACAGAAACTAAGGATAAGTTTTGAAGTTTACTCTTTCTTTCTCTGCTACCCACACTGATGAAAAATTCACTGTGTCTAAGAATTTATATAGATTAAAGGAAGTGATTGTATTTTACCAAACATACAACTTAATCTAAGCATATTAAATATTTTAGAATATGATATTAAATGGTATATTTAATATTAGGCACATATGTAATCCATATGTTTATGTTTATTTCTTTTTTTGTTATACACACATCTTTCAAAAATGAGTATAATCCATATTTACTTTTAAAACCAGTTATCCTTCTTTTATCATTAAAGAGCCTTATAAAATTATGATTAGCTACACGGCATTTCATGTTACATATATTCCATACTGTTCTTAGTAATCCCTTTATTATGGATTATAATTTTTCAATTTTCTCCAATAAAAGAAACTTTTTAATGAATTATCCTAAATATGCCTTAAATATGAGTCTTTGTGCTTAGCTATAATCTTTTTACAGGGAAAATTCCTAAAAATATAAAAACAAGGTTCTTAAGATGCTCTGAATTCTGCTCACCAGAAATACATATTAATTTATACATACAACCACAGGTGAATGAAGATACCCTTTTCAAAATGTGCTTACAAAAACTAAAATATTTTCTTTCTTTCCCCTTTTACGTTTATGATTGTCAGTTTTATAGTGGTAGAACTAGTTACTTTTAAAGAAATAAAAAACAAAACCTGCAATGGCTGCAGGTTCTGGAAATCCGCAAAGAAGGCATGGAAAAGGATCTGCAGGTAGGTCAATTAGGGCTAGCACCGGGCACTTACTGTTGGCAGCAGCAGAAAGTCAGGTAATAACTTTAATGGAAATGGAAGAGTCTGGGTACTGTCATCAGACTCAGAGATTGACCCAAGGCATCACAATCTAAGGAAATGCCTGCAGTGAGTTCAAAGATTCACTTTTTCCTTAGTTCTACTAGAGAACATATTTTAAGTAATGGTTGATAATAGCGTACATTTAATAAGTAAGTTTATGGAGGCATTTTTCTTTCCTTAAATGTTGAAAGTGTATACATTATCCACAAATACAAGCTGAAACAGTGTTTCTTCAATTTTGTGTCTGAAAATCATTCATAAATAATATCAAAACTTTATATTCTTGGTACATGTCAGTTGGAGATCCTACATGAATTATTTGGGGGAAGGTCAGGATAATGAACTACACAAAAAATGGTCAACAACTTTCCAAGATTAATAACACACAAACCCAGATACATATAAAGCAAAATAGACTAAAAATTATTGAACAATTAATTAATTAAATTACACTTTGGCATATCCTTTTGAACCGCAGAAAACAAAAAGACAAAGAAAATATTGAACAAAGTGAGACCAAAAAATTAAACAACCAAATAAATAAAAACTTTACCTACAGAGGAACAAGAATAATAATTATAGTAGACTTCTCATCAGAAACCTTGCAAGGAATGGCAGTACAATATTTAAAATGTTGAAAGAAGATAAACATCCTTTCACCTGAATTCTACACCCAGTGAAATTATCTTTTAAATGTAAAGGAAAAATGAAGACTCTTAGTTAAAAAATTCTGGGAATTCAGTGCCATCAGACAAGCTCCGCAAGAAATATTAAAATTAGTTTTTTAGGAAAAAAGAAAGAAAAATGATGTAGGTCGACACTTCAGTCTGCAAAAAATGGTTACAGCATTGAGTAAGAAATTGAAAGTAAACAAAAAAACCAACAACAAAAATGCTCCTTTTTACTTATTAATTGACCTAAGAAATAACTATGAAAGTAATAATAATAAAATATATTAATTAATTTATCCATATTTCATTTATGTAGATAAACGAAATAAACAACAATATCACAAGGGGCAGGAGGGAGGATTTGTTAAAGGGTGCCTGCGCTGCATGGGAATGTACATAGTGTTACTTGCAAACGGACTTACATTAATTAAAAATGTATACTGAAATCTCTAGGGCAACAACTAACAAATTTTTAAAATGTAGTTGATAGAATAATAAAACATACTCAGTTAAAACCAGAGAAGGCAAAAAAGAGAGGGATATAGAAACAAGGCACAAATATAGCAAATATAAACCAGTTACAGAAATGGTAATTATTGACCTATAGATATTTATGGTCACTTTAAATGTGAGTGGTATAAATGCTTCAATTGAATACAGATATCCTCAAAATGAATTTTTAAAAATATCTAATTACATGTTGTCTAAAAGAAACCTTCATTAAATATAAATGTTTGGATACATTAAAACTAAAGGGATGGAAAAATAGACACCATGCTATTATGGAATGAATATTCTTGCAAAATTCATACTCTGAAGTTTTTACCCCATGTGTGACTATGTTGGGAGATAGGGTTTCTAAGGAAGTAATTAAGGTCAAGTGACATCAAAAAGCTGGGGCCCAGATTTGATAGGAGTAGTGCTGTTTTAAGAGACATGGTCTATTCCCATGCACCAAGGAAAGGCAATGTGAAGACATAGTGAGAAAGTGACCATCTAAACCCAGGAATTTGTCAGCATCTTGACCATGGACTTGCAGCCTCCAAAACTGTGAAAAATTAAATGTATTTGCTTAAGCCATCAGTTTGTTTTATTTTGTTATAACAGCCTAAGCAGACTAAAACATACAGAAAAAACAGATTTCAGAACATGGAAACGTATCAAGGATCAAGG
This sequence comes from Homo sapiens, assembly GCF_000001405.40. Classification (NCBI taxonomy): domain Eukaryota; kingdom Metazoa; phylum Chordata; class Mammalia; order Primates; family Hominidae; genus Homo; species Homo sapiens. The sequence goes on from NC_000001.11 coordinate 194,324,839, forward strand.
AGGGCACTGCATGATGATAAACGGATGATTTCTGTAAGAAGACATAACAATCTTTAGCATGTATGCATCTAATAATAACACATTAAAATATATGAGGCTAAAACTGATAGAACTGTAAGGAAAAATAGCTAATGTCTGGGTAGTGGTGTTTTCTTACTATAATTTTTAAATCACCCAGGAATCCTTCGTAATAAATGGTGAACAATATGAACTATAAAGTTAGAAATTTTTTGGAAATAGCAACTTTATTCTCAAATACAACATTTTTAAATCTTAAAATCTGCCAAATAACACAAAGATGCTAGAAGCAATAAAAGTCATAATACATAAAGTCCCTCACTGAAAATGCATAAGAACATTTCACTGATGAAAGGGTATCCTGAAATTCGTTCATGACTTTGCTAAAAAAGAATTCCTTGCTAGTGTCGAAACGGAATTTCAAAACTCATTTATATACAAAAATTATTCAGACAAGTAACAGTAATTAGCTACTATTTTTAAAAATCTCCAACATTACATCAGAATCCAAATCTGGAAAACATTAATTATAAGACATACAGAAAATTTTAAGGATCAACTTTCATGCTTTCTATATCTTTTTACTTACAACATTAAACAGGCGCGCGCGCGCGCGCACACACACACACACACACTTGCCTTTCAGGGTCTGCTTTTTGTTCTTACACAAATAGATTTCAATCCTTTTTAGTATAGTAAATGCAGTTAGCCTCCTTGTCCTATTTTTTGTGCCTTTGTTCATTATTTTTATTATTAAAATAAAAGAACTTGACCTCCCAGCAGTTTCTGAGCAGACAAAATGTCTTCCTAGAAGGTGAGGAGACTTGTACTGATGATACCAGAGCTGGGAGGGAGGAAGTTGACCACAATGACAATAGCAAGCAACATGCAGCTTTTTATTATTTAAAATTGAAAGCAAGTTCAGTTGTCATTTTACAGAAAAATAAAGCATATTTTGTTCTTTAGTCTGAATGATGAATGCCTCCTAACTTTTCATACTAGAAAGAAAATACATTGTTTTTCTTTTTTCTTCTTTTCCTTTTGGCAAAAAAAAAAAATCATTCCAAAAAAGATATTGCTGGTCTTTCATACCCACATTTTCTCTTAACAATGGTAAATTATTGTAAACATTTTTTGTGTGAACATGTGAGGGCAAGAAATAATGTCAAATGGCATATTTTTAAGCATTTTATTTTATACTATGTTAATCAAATAATTTAACCCTTTCCTTCTCATCTCTGACTGTATTAAATCTCCATCTGCTCTTGTTCTCACCTTGAATTACATTCAATATACATGCATGCTTGTCCAACTCGAATACTTGGAGCTATTGTTTAGATGTGTATTCTTACAAACAGTTCTGAAATCAAGTCCTATTTGTAGAATTCTATCATTTATTAAGTTCCCAATGTTCTGAGGTGGGTTATGTCCTTAATATTAGTTTCTAATTCTCTAATTCTTTAAATTTGTAAAGTAGGTAAGGAAATATTGACCTCAGAATATACATCAACCCCCTACAGAATTATAACCTATTATAATTTGGTAATATGAGGAATAACATTCCTCAAGGTGGGTGGTGCTGCTCACTGGTTTTCTGGTGGTGATTGGTATTCTTTTTTTTTTTTTTTTTTGAGACAGAGTCTCACTCTGTCACCCAGGCTGGAGTGCAGTGGCGCAATCTTGGCTCACTGCAAGCTTCGCCTCCCGGGTTCACGCCATTCTCCTGCCTCAGCCTCCTGAGTAGCTGGGAATACAGGCTTCCGCCACCATGCCCGGCTAATTTTTTTTAACTTTTCAGTAGAGACGGGGTTTCACCATGTTAGCCAGGTTGGTCTCGATCTCCTGACCTCGTGATCCGCCCGCCTCGGCCTCCCAAAGTGCTGGGATTACAAGCATGAGCCACCACACCCAGCCAGTGATTGGTATTCTAACAGAATATGGGGACCACTTTCCTTCACTGCCACTCTCAATTAGACATTCCTTCCTAGTTTAACAACCCCAGGGGTTAAAAAATTATCTTTATTCTTCACATCAGGAGAAACTTTATAAGTCTTTCTTATATCACACGCCTAACCCTGAATCAAATCCAATTTAATACTAGAAGACTTAGCACTGATCTGGGAAAAAAAAATTAAGATAATTTGAAAGTATAATTTTACTAACTGTGTTCATCAGAATATAATGTTATGTGTCTAGTTTATTTATATCATGACTCAAATGCCATATGTTCTAATATAGATGAACAAAAGAACATACAAATTATTGCATCTTTGCATTGTCCAGTTAGGCCTCTGTTAATTATACCTTATGTCCTTTGATTCTAAAGAAACTGCATTTCAGTCATGACCCACTTTTTCCTCTGTTTTTAATTGGAACAGTGTTATTTTCTTTTAATTAAATTGCAGTCACAAAGTACCTGAGGTAGAAGCCTAAATAATTTGTGTTAACCTGATTATAGATGGTTATAATATTTTGATGGTGATTTTTATTATTTTATAATTTTGAATCATTAAAAAATGAGCAGAGCAACTTGATTATATACTGGAAAGATAGAAATATGTTCTCCTTATCACCTATCTCCATTAATTATCTTTCTCCATGCCTTCTCTCATGGGATGAAACACTACTAATACTGCAAGTATATACATCAAGTCAATGGAAGTAAAAGCATATTTACTCAGAAGACAAATATATCACAAAATGAACTAAATGTATTGAAAAGCAATTATAAAATACTGATATCTAGTAAACATGACAAAATATTTTCAAACACACTATAATTAAAAGTATGTCTACATAACCAGTGAGCAGGTTTTTTAATAAAATAAGTGGAGTGAATAAATACAAAATTAACACCCTCATTCATGGCTTAAGAAATGGTATATAGATACAAATTTTTCTGATAAAAAATTTAAAATATATATCAAAATGTTTCAAAGTAATAAATTATTTTGCTCAATAGTTTATGTTTATCATGAAAAATTAATTGACGTATAATTAAATATACTTGAATAATACTTTTTTCCATGCCGTATATACATACAAAACACTCATACAACATGTATATACATATACATGTAAAGGGAAATAGATGAAAAACTAGAGAAAAGGTTGAATCAATCAGAATACACCTACAGATAGGACACTATATGGCTACTTACAATAGAATTTTCTGACAAGAGTCACAGGAAAACTTTCTTGGTTAAATTTAATTACCACTTTCAAGCTGCAAATCATTCCAACATACGATCTCAGTTAAAAGATATTTGTATTCACATATTTTGATGGAGGAAAATGGTAGGAAATACATATGCATTGTATCAGTGTCTATCCCTAAATGAACAGCTTTTTTTTGGATGCTTTAAAAAATTGTTCTTATAAACTCATAGATTATGAAGTACTTTAAGAAGCCGACATTAAAATTGTTAAAGAAAGTTAATAAAATATCGATAGGCTAGTAACATAGTCAGGGCCTTGCTTTCTGAACATCTTGAACTTTTGCTTCAATTAATGACAACCCTATCAAATGTATGCTTTGTTAACTTTTTTAGTTTTTATTTAGAACTTATAAGGTCTTTCAGGATATGTATATAACAATAGCATTACATACCTTTAGAAGAATAACAGCATTATATAGTACAGTAATTAAAGAGTTGGCGTTGATTATTTAAAAGAGAATTAAAATCCTTTCTATGACCTCCAGTATCTTGTTGAAACTTTCCAAGTCAGGTTAAAGTTAAACAACAGCACAGATCTCATCTCTTATGTTATTTATAAGATACACCAAAGCATTGGGTAAAAAAATTAAAAAAAGACATCCTATATAGCCTAAGTAGTATTTAATTTCTGTTACAACAGCCTATGTTTGTTTTTCAAACCATGGTTCTCTGGTTCCATATATATGCTATTCAACTAACAAATTAACTTAAGGATGAATACATATGTATGAATAAATATATGTAGTAATCACTTTGGCATTCTCAATACAGCTTTAATATATTAAAACAGGTACAGGGCTATTTGAAACTATCTACTAAATGATAGTCCAAGTTTTCAGACATAAAGACCTATTTAAGTTACAAATAAAGTGGGATGTTTTATAACTACATTTCTAGGCCTCACAAAATGATTACTAATTGAATTTTATAACTCCAGGGATTTTATATGCTTTGTTTTATAATGAACATGTGGTACATATTATTTATATTTCATTCATGTCAGTGGCTCATTTCAAGTTACAAGAATCTCCTAAAACTATTGCTATTCTTACAAAATGATGTTTAAGCATAGTAAATAATTAATTTTAAAGCTATCTTTAAAATACATAGCTACAACTTAATAACAGTTTAGCAAGACATATTTTTTCTCTCCTTGATCTGTATGGACAAATTTTATTTATTATTAAAATTTTGTGTTTTAGAGTGTGATTCTTAAAAATAACCCACATAACATCTAATTCATGAAAACCATTATTGTTAGAAAGAGAGTATTTCTGATGCAAGTTTGACAATTAATAATATATCTTAGATAAGGGTTTTAAAGGAACAATTAAAAAGATACAACATAATTTTCTTTAACAATTTTCATCTTTAAAATATGCACCAGAAGAAAAGAAAACAGAGTGAGAAGTAAACCTTCATATTTACTGATGCTTGTGAGTAGTGTAAGTGATAAGCTGACTGAACCAAGGCTGGAGGACAGCAAAAGAGGGTCCTGCCTCAATAGATCCTGGGGCAAAGTCAGCAGAAATGAGAACTCTGTCGCCAACACTAATTAAGCAGTTCTTCATATGAAAAAGAAAATACATATAGTCTTTCTGGTATGATGGAAAAACAGAGACTCAAGAGCTGAAGAGAAATAAAAGTGAGGACCCTTTAGATTAAAGGAATTGCTAATGCTGATAATCATTGTTGAAAATGTAGTCTAAGACTTAAAAGACAAGCTTAAGAATATGAAGCAAAATAAAATGTAAGAAGGAATCAAATTGAAAATAGTATACATGGAAACAAGACAGATAGAAAAGATACAAAAATAATGTTCCAGAAAATGTTAAGAGCAAACATTTTTAAACTATAAAATCAAATACAAAATTCAAGAAAAAATTATAGTAAAATACTAAAACCTAGTCACATGTAAAGGAAAATATTGCTGCGGATTGAGTTACACTCTAGAGTCACAAAGGACTGCAAAAATAAAGACATCTACTGGTATCTAGACAGAAAGTCACCTCTAAGAGGAAAAATTAGCCTCATATCTTATGTTTTCTCAAAACAAACTATGGAAATAATGTCTTCAAATTCCTCAAGGCAAGTTAAGTGTGACCTAAGAAACTGTTGTCCAAGAATAGGCAAAATTAAATATTTTTTGTTATTCTAAAACATAGAAGGTACTATATGTGTGTAGATTTCCTCTTTTTGCATAATAGAAGATAAATAGCTATTTTTAAAAGTTGATAAACCCAGTAACAGAATTATATAATTTAAAGATACAAAGTTGGGCTGGGCGCAGTGGCTCACGCCTGTAATCTCAGCACTTTGGGAGGCCAAGGTGGGTGGATCACGAGGTCAGGAGATCGAGACCATCCTGGCTAACACGGTGAAACCCCATCTCTACTAAAAATACAAAAAATTAGCCGGGCGTGGTGGCAGGCGCCTGTATTCCCAGCTACTCAGGAGGCTGAGGCAGGAGAATGGCGTGAATCCAGGGGGTGGAGCTTGCAGTGAACCGAGATCACGCCACTGCACTCCAGCCTGGAAGACAGGGCGAGACTCTGTCTCAAAAAAAAAAAAAAGATATAAACTTGCCTACCATTTTAGAATCATAATAATATTACTCAAGTTAGAACTATAAATGGAGGAGTGAGGAGTGGAGGAAATAAGAAATAGAAGTGCTCTATTTTCTCTTCTTTTATCACAGCAATTTAGCAATTAAAATCCTATAAGGTTATAACATTTCTAAATATTCCAAATAACTACAGGAACATTGATAAATTTATATTGCATAAATTTACAAAGGTAAACAGTATAAGAACTAAGCGGTTTATAATTATTCCAAATTACTACATGGAGAACTTCTACTAGCACATACGAAAATAAACCATATGGCTAAATATATAATAACAATGGTTTCAAAATATAAATCATTACATAAAATAGGATTCAGAATTAAGAACATATATTTTATATCAATAAATAAATGTAGATCTCCACAATCAAAAGTCATGTCATAATGATTCAATGAACAGAATCCAAGCACAGGTGCTATTCAAGAATTAGGTAAACCAAAGTCATTTAGCAACAATGAAACTCAACCGTGAGATGAAACATGTCAGGTACACATTGAAGGAAAGGAAAGGAAAAGAGAGGAGAGGAGGAGAGGAGAGGGGAGAAGAGAAGAGAGGAGAGAGGAGGGGAGATAGGAGGGGAGGGGCAAGAGGAAGGGAGAGAGGAGGGAAGGAAGCCAGGAAGAGAAAGAAAAAAGAAATCTTTTTTTTTTTTTTTTTTTTTAAGCAGAACAAGAAATTTATTAGCTCATCTAGCTGGGAAAAATGTTATGTTATGTTATGTTATGTTATGTTATGTTATGTTATGTTATGTTATGTTATGTTATGTTATATTATGTTCTGTTATGTTATGTTATGTTATGTCATGTTACGTTATTTTGAGACGGAGTCTTGTTCTGTCGCCCAGGCAGAAGTGCAGTGGTGCGATCTCGGCTCACTGCAACCTCTGCCGAAAAAAGAAATCTTTAAAACAATAACAGCCAAAAGTGATTTTAGGGTCAACATTTTTGTGACCAAATAAATGCAATTTTCATTTTATATACTATATACTCCTCATGAAGTTCTTTCAAGAATATGTATGAAAGAACAGCAGAACATTGCTTTTAAGAAACAAAATCTATGAGGAAATATACATTCTTCTCATTGAAGAGGCAATATTTTTTCATACTTTTTTTAGTTCTACTTCTATGTATGTGGGACTCAGTATGTTAAAGTTTTATTTAAAATTCAGGAAAACATTTTTTCTCTCTTGACAATCTGTAGAATAATTGTTTTTTCTTGCCAGGGTTAATGAGTCAACTTTAAGAATCAAATGAGTCATAAATTTGTTGCTCTAGTTTGGACTTAGCTGGTTCATTTTGAAAGCAATAAGCAAGGATACTTGAACATACATTTCTTTAATATATCCAAAGTACTCTCTTGGTTCCAATTAAGAACCTTACAACTTGAGAACAGTTGAATAATAACTCCTTACGAATTGAAAGATATATATCATTTAGTAATGTACGTGAAAATATGAAATGACTTTCAGTCAAATGAAAAGTTGATTAAAAACTTTCATAATGGTCAATATTAGAAAGAGTTAGAAACAAAGAGAAATTCACATATTGTAAGTGCAATAGGAAATCAGTATGAAATTTGATCACTGAATCATAATTTGCTGATATTATTTTGCATTTATTTGACTCTGAAATCCACTTCAAGTATTTTCTCACAAACATATATGCACAAAGATGGATGATGTGTATGTTTTTGCAATATGGACCCTGAAGCAACTTAGTGTCCATCACTAACACTAAATAATGGTCTAACAATGAAGTACACTATTATGTGGCTAACAAAAAGAATAAAATAGATCTAAATATGCAGAAATGAAAGAATCTTCAAGATATAAGTGAAAGAATGGTTCAAAAGAATGTTATTTTTCTCTTATTTCTATGTAAACATTGCATGTTTCTGGAAGGATGCATACAAAACAAGGATAAGTAGTTGTCTCTCATAGGAGAAACTGCAGATCTTGGGTGGGAAGGAGACTTACTTTCCTCATTTTAACTATGAATACTATTTGTGTGATTGTATGTGTATATACACACATACACATACATACATCGGGGAAAATGAATATATATTTCAATTAATTTAACAAGGTAAAAAGTAAGTGCTTGACAAGAAACTATGAAGAATATTAAGTTACTTTATGATGTTTGAATATGAGTTTATATTCTTATAATCAACTATTAGCATATCACCATGGTCTTGAGGATAGTTGTATTTATTTTAAACATTACATGAGACTCAGCCTTAGAATCATAAAATACCCCTTATATTATAAAATAATTTTAAGTAGATTGATTTGACAAGCTCTGATTATATTCTTTGTGCTAAAGCTGATCATAATCAGCTTTCTGAGACATTTCATACTAATTTGAAATGTAAAAAAGACACTCACATTTTTTCCTAATTTTTACATGTTTCCAAATTGAATGGAGTTGTATAATGTAATATTTATTATTCTACATTTTGAAAAACAGAAAACTCTATTTAATTTGTAATTTATTTTTTATTTCCCATTGTAGCAATGTGCTAGCTAATTAAAAATAATAAAGAGTAACATTTTTTCACTCAACAATCAGCTTTCCGGCTATCTAATTGTCTCTCCACAATTTCACCCTTTTATAAGAAGTAGTTTTTAAAAATTTACCACTCAGAATAATTCCCAGTTGACAATAGCTTTTACTGCGTAAGAGACAGAAAATACTGGGTATACAGTGTTAACTCTTAAAAGCAGGAATGGTGATGGCTGGAGACATGAGGATGACAATTTGACAAACAGATCAGAGATGAAAAATGTTGAAAGTAGTTACACAGTCAGTTCACTGAAAACTACAGTGACGAATGTTCCTAAGGAAGGCTAAAATATTGAATATGCCATTAAATCAGTCTTGATGGCTGTATTTAGAAAGAACACTACCTATAAAATTTGTGATGTATGTATAGCATAATAATTATTTTTAAAAGGGCTTAGTGTTTGTAGAGATAAATGGTAGTTATCTGTGGTATTATATGGAATTTTTCCTAATATTAAAAGGATACTATTGTAAATAGAGACATTCAACCCCCAAAATGTAGCTTAAGTCACAATAGTAAAATAGAAATGTGCTTTAGAAGACTCAAAATTTAAATACTTGAAATAAACTGAAATACTAAAATGATTAAAGAAAAAAAACTTCTCAAAGAGCAATACTAGAGATGAATATAATCAGAATGTGCGTATATCCAAAGACTTTTATTATGAATTATGTGATATGACAACTAAAATCACACGATTTCTCTCTTATCTGCCCACACGTAGCAATATCACTTTATGTTGTTCTGTCTATGTATAGAGTTTTTACCTTTCTCTTCACTTCTTTTGTGGGTGAATTTCTGTATGTATCAGCTTTTGGAATTACCTCTTTATCTTTTTTCCTCTTGCTAACAGAGAAGGGATCTGTGGACTTTCCCTTTAAAACAAGAAATAACTCCTTTTCATAGCTATGCCCAAGTTTATATCTTTTACTAATATTTTCCCTCCTTGAATCATGAGTGACAGCAGTAAAGGGTCTTAGCCTTTCTGTTACCTCTGCAATGTCCGCTTACAATTTGAAGGCTGTGTGAAGAATAGCAATTATGACCTTCTTGATCTTGGCCATATATCCTCCCCTTGGTTTGCTAGATATTACCTAAGTGTGCTGAAGTTATATTTTTCTAAAGAAAAGTATTTCTTTGTTATCAAGTCAAAAAAAGATCTTTAAAAAATATGAGATGATAACCACACAAAACTGGGTAAGAATGTGGATATCTTAGATTACAAAATATTTTTTAAAACTCAAACCATAACATAAGTATATATACCATTAAATTGTACAAGGTTGGTGGGAAAGACTTATTTAGAATTTTGAAAATACTCATATTAAATAACATTAATGTAATTATATGTAATCATAATATAAAATATAACAATATACAATGTATATAATATATACTTATCTATATTATATATACTTGTTTAATATTACTTATAATTATAATTATTTAATATTATTTATATATAATATCTATCACATATATATTACTTATATATTATTATATATAATATAACATATTAAATATTTTGGCTTATCTAGCAAGAAAATAAATTGGTTTTTAACTGTAAACTTATGAGGGGGTGTGTATGTGTTATAACTAGGATTATCCACAAACTTGAATGGGTATCCTAATGAGGTAGATAATTCCATCACATAAAGCTTTTTGTAATCATATATATGGGATATTGTAAAACGCACTTCCATTTAGGGTTGAAAGTTTGGTAAGGACCTAATATCTTGCTCTGTTTCTGAAATTATATTTTCTTGTGAAATATTTGGAAAGATGTCATAAGTAAGCGAGTGTAAATCTGAATGAGGCTGAGACTCAAGTAATAACTTACTAGAAATGAAGCACAACTTTCTGGGACTCAATAAGCATGTGTCAAAGAAAGGGAGTTAGACTACTCAATAATTATTAAATTAATACAATACTAAAAACTAACACAAATTACATTCAAATAGCTATATTTTATATAGCACCTTGTATGTACCAGTCATTGTTCTAAACATGTAAGTTATATGTTGCGTATAACCTAAACCTCCCAACATCCACAAAATAAGTATTCCTGATATTATAATAATTTTAAAATGAGGGGAATTAATTGCAGAGAGGCTAATATGCAGAAAAGCTTGGATTCAAACCCCTGCTGTTGGGCTCCTTATTCCCCAGTTTTAACCACTACAACCACTACTAACTCACTCCTTTGCTTTCTTCTCCTCTACTTCCTGGAGTGAAATCCCTTTGTACCAGTTGAAGCCTTTCGTAAAAAATGAATACACTTATTACTGCTACGCATGCTCCACTTCCAAACTTTTCATTTTAGACTTTAAAACTTCCATATTTTATGTTCCATCTGGACATTTCCAATGTTAGTGCATATAGACATTTATTTCTATATATAAAATACTTTAAATGTGTTATTCTACCATCAAATTAAAAAAGTTAATATTTTGTAATCAAAATTGCTTTAATAAATTAAAAAAATTCTAAAATTACATATTTAAAATCATCTAAAGAAAAGTTTTAAAAGACTTTCAATAATCACCAGTCTTAGAAATACATTAGTAAGTTTTTCAACATACTTGTGTCTTTGAGAAAGTGGGTTGTTATAGAAATTTCAATAGTATTATATACTTTAAAATTATTATAGGAAAATGTAAAGTCCTTGCAATGCACTAATATATTAAAGACTATTATTAAGTAAATCTGCACACAGTATTTATTATAACTCTCGCTAGCAAACATAGTTTAAAAATGAGTTGTTCTTTGGAAATAAATACTCTGAAATACATCCACCAGGACACCAATATTGCCTACTTTATTTTAATCATGAATATCACATAAAAATGTCTACAAAGTATTTAAAATAATGTATTGGATCAAAATATATATGCATACCAATTACTAGCAATAAGATTGTCACCTCTGTGAATGGTCTGCATTAAACAGTCATTTGTATATTCTGTTTGTTTTTTTCTTTGATTTTCACTTCATTGATGACTGGTGTGTTAATAAATTTTGCATTGCTGTAAAGGAATACTGAGGCTGGCTAATTTATAAAGAAAACAGGTTTATTTGGCTCACAGTTCTGCAGACTGTACAACAAGCATAGTGCCAGCATCTGCTTCTGGTGAGGCCTCAAAAAGCTTTTACTGATGGTGCAAGGTGAAGGGGTGACAGGTGTGTCACATGGCAAGAGAAGGAGCAAGAGAGAAGAGGGGGTGTACAGCTCCTTTAAACTATCATCTCTCTCACCATCTAACACAGTGAAAACTTGCTTATTACCAAGGGGATGGCCCCAAGCCATTTAGGGGAAATCTGTTCCCATGACCCAAACACCTCCCACTAGGCCCCACCTTCGATATTGGGGATCAAATCTCCACACCCATGAGATATGGAGGGGACAAATATCCAAACCATATCACTTGGTAAAATTAAAAACATTTTTATATGTTTTTTGACAATATATGTTCCCTTTCTTTCAAATTCCTATTTATGTGTTTTGCTTCCGTATCTCTTGTGAATTTTTGTCTATTTCCAAATTGTAATTTATCATCTTATTTTTTCCACTGGATTATAATTTTGTAATACACCTTTGATAAACAAAAGGTTTTACTCTTAATGTGGCAAACATATAAATAACGTGTCCACTGTTTCGTAAAGAGAAAGAGAAGATTGCCATTATCAAGTCTTGGAAAATGTTGTAAATTGATATTTGATATAGCCATTTGGGAAATCCTTTTGAGAAAATATTTAAAAATTTGATCTTCTAATACCCTAAAGCCCTTAACATCCAAGATGATGTTCAAAATCAACTCTTACACATTTATACTGGGAAACATCTACAAGAATGTGTACAAAAATCCTGTTCAAAATCACAATGTTGTATATCCCCTCAAAAAATATATTACAGCTCTAAAAATTAATTAGCTGGAGCTACACACAAAACATGGATGAATCTTAGCAACATATTATTGAGCGAAAATCATTAGCACAATACGATTTTTAAAGGTTTTAAAGTAAAGATGACCAAGGACAGTCCCTAACTGATGATGCTGAATTTAGGATTTTTTTTACTTTATAATGTTTCAAACCCATCACAATTTCAACATAATGTATGGTATTCAAATAATTACAAAAGATATTCAACACCTTATTTTAAAATAATCTTGGTGTTAGATGATAGGCTAATGTAAATGTTCTGAGAACATATAAGGTAAAATGGGAAAGAGCAAGAATTTACAATTGCAAGTTTTCTAAAGCAAATGCTCTGAGGAAGGAATGTCAGTGGCCTATAGTCAAGATCAAACTTATCTGAAGCTTTCTAAAGCTAAAGCAATATGATATAACTATTATATTAAGATATACATAAGTGCAATAAAAGATGAGAGTTCCATGAACTAATGACAACAATGAATCATAAACCATGGATTATAATTATTATGTAATATATTATATATTACTATTTTATGCACTTGAGATGCACAAAAATACATACAAGAGGATTTTAATATATTTATATAAGTCACTTTACTTATCTATTCAAATTAGATAAAAAAATTGCATTTGTCAAATAACTTATGGGCATTTTTTAAAGTAAAGGAAAAGTTGTGTATAATTGCTAGACTATTAAAAATTTTGAAGGAAATCTGTTATACACCCAACAATGATAGAGGAAAATGCCACTTTATATGTAATTTCATTATAGTTGAAAGAAACCTTTATACATAGACATTGTAGAAACAAATTTGTCGTAAGGATCTGAGTAAGTCACAATTTATAAAATATAACTCCTCATTGATTTTAGCAATATTTATCTCCCCGAGAGTGTTCTTAAATACAGCTATATATATTGTTTTCCTAATAGTCTTTACTTGTGATATCCCTCTTATACACAAATACTCGGCTACCTCCTGAATCTAGGAATGTGCATTTTGTTTAGCACTGATATTTCATCTTTTAATCAGAGACCTACTTGCTCTTCTTTCTGCCCTAATTGCCATCCATTTAGAGGCTAAATATTGTTTGGGTGGAGTGGAGCTGGAGCCCTCCAACAGACATGACAAAGTAGCTTGCAATTTGCTCCAATTTTCAGTCCTTATCAAAATAATCTCCTATAGTAAGGGTAAATGTAAATCACTTTTTGTAAGTTCAGACAAACATGGAATGTCAATCAAGAAAAATTTAGCCCTGCCATTGTTTGTTGAAAGATAATAAACTACATTGAGACAAATCAGACCTTATTAAACAGACCATATGATTTAAGCAGTTGCAAGTCTGTGGTTTTTCAAATAGATCATTTTCTTTCTGCCTTTTCTGGGCTGTCATCCACTTCATTTATATAAATTCTTGTGGGAGGATGGGTATCACAACAAAATTGATCATCAAGTTTCAATGAAAATAGTCTGTGGCTATAACCTTTTTCAACAATGCTTGAGAAACATGTCTAATAAAAGATCATTGAAACACTGCTTTTCATGCTGAGGCAGTGTTTCCAAAAAGGGAGAAATTACTCATCACTGCCAGTGTCAACTCATTATGAGTTTTCTTGTCCAATATGACCTAAGAACTTCTATAAACACATAGAAGAGCGTTGCATGCAGACTACCTTTTCTTAAAGGAAAATAAACACTCTCTTCATAGGTATTTAGCACTCAATGTATTTAATAATCCTATATTGTTGGAAAAGTAGTTTATGTTTCACACTATTACGTTATACCAATCACTATGTCTTTATAATACTACAAAGTTTGAAAGTTGAGAAAAAATCCAAAGAGAAAAACATCCAAGATTGAAAATTTGTCCGTAAAAGTACCAGAGAAGTATATGTATTATGTGAAAAGTAATTATAAAATTTCTTTTTACTGATAGGCAAGTAAGACTTAAGTAAAACAGTTTCCTCTTATCATACAATATTGCCTTAAGTCTACTTCAATCAAATTATTTCCTTGAAATTAATATTTAAGCAAAATCATTTCAGATTTTAAAATGTTCTTTAAATTCTTTAATTTTTCTAAAGTAATCAAAAAAGGAGAAGAAAGCTTGTTTTGGCTTATGGGCTCTCAATACCTTTTAATCACAAAGCAGCTCTGTAGAAATACCGCAATCCATTATTCAGAGAAGAGAGGAAGGCATGTTACATTTTTAAAGGTTGAATCTAATCTAAATATTTGTTGAGAATACAGAGGAAGCAGAAGGATAAATCTTTGTCATCAATTTTCATGTATCTTGGAAAGATATACACCTGGCAGATTTTTTTCTTAGATAAAAGTATTTAGTTTGCAAAGTAAACTCCAGAGGAAAGCAGACACATTTAGAAGGGGGAATGTGATAAGCATCCAATTGGACCTAACAGAGACAGAAGGAGAAATCAACACAGGGAAGGACAAAATGCATCTTAAAGCAATTATCCGCAAAATGGCAGCAGATGTTCAAGCTTTTGGATGATTGGGATTCTGAGAAGTCCAGATAGAAACATATGGTGTAGTTCATCACAAAACGATTTAAAGCTATTATTGTTCATGTTATATCTTTATGTTATTCTCAATGACAGTTAATAGGTACATAGATTTTTCTCTGGTATATCATGAATGTGTGATGTGTCTGAGGTCCACATTCATTTAACTGTGTCAGAGATAGGTTGTTCCTTAATAGTTCTATGCAAAAAATAAATTTAATCGACATGCACATAAAATAAGCCTATAATTTATATTAATATTTCATATGTATATACTACATATATCTATATGGCAGAGCATAAAGATTTATGCCATTACTTGTGGTCGTTCATGTAAAATTCAGTTAGTAAGAAGAGAAACCACTAAGTTTTAAAAAGCCATGTGGCATTTTTTTCTAAAAAAATATACATGCACTGCATTCAGGAAAAAATAAGAAGTGTCCATTAGCACCTCCCACTTATTTGTGTGGGCCCAACAAAATTTTAACACTTACAAAAGGAAGTGTTAATGGTGACATTTAAAAACACTGCTTTCAAGAGGTGGGGAGACTTTATTTTAAAAAAAATTAGAACAAATACCTTTTTCTAGTTTGTGGAAAAGAAAAAATATATGTATAAGACAACATTATCATTTATTAGAATAAAGAAATTATTGAAGTTATACTGAAAATTTACAAGGTGAATTTAAGTTAACTTGATATATATAATACAATCTGTTATGAATAAAGATTTCTACATAGTTTTTAATACTTAAGGCCCCACTAACTTTCTAATCAATTAGAAGTGTTTAAGGCAACATTGTGCAATTTAGATAAAGGTTATTAAAACCATTTTTTTACACCTACAGTATAAGTCATTTTTGTTCGTTTTGCTACTTGGGCTTCAGTTAAAAAATTAGGGTAAATTTTCGGAGTGAAGTTAAAAAGTAGAGAGAAGCATTTTGAATAGAAAAATGGGATGACCCACTGTGTGTGGAGATTTTCTTTATGGTCCCAGTTTTCCAGTGAGGAAATTCAACTTTAAATCATTTACATACTTAAAAGGAAATAATAAATAATGACTTTGTTGCTAATATTTTATGAAAATGAATAATATGTAAAATGGCAATCATTTGTAGGTTTGAAAGATTTGTAATGAATTCACTCTTAAACTGGAGTGGGGGCTATATAGGTTATATAACAATAATTTATTAAAAATCCTAATGATTCACTCCTCATTCAAAAGTCTCACAGGATCTAATACTTCAAAACTAATTTCTAAACGTGTCAAAGCTGTTAAATTTCAAAACAATGCGGAAAATGAGGTATGCTAACATGAGCACAGATTTTGAGGAACAAGACCCTGCATAGTTTAAGTCAGAGTTCAATATTTTACAGGCTCAGTGACTTCATTGACTTTATTAATCAATTTCTGTGTTTCAGATTTTGGGGATATAAAATTAAGAAAGTAATAATGTCCACCCCATTAATTCGTAATAGGAAAAAAGAAAATAATTTATTCTAAATTATTTTTTAAACTGTAAATCCCCTTTATTATTGTTTTTCTGCATAGTTTCTAATACTTAAGGTCCCACTAACTTTCTACATCAGTTGTAAGTATTTAAGGCAACACTGTACAATTTAAAGATTGTTAAAACCATTTTTACACCTACAGTATAAGTCATTATACAGTACACATTTGAAATCCAGAACCACATAAGTAATTAAACTTCAATAAACTGAGTAACAGATGTTCAGCTAATGGGCAATTAAATCTATAGCCATTTTACCTAAAGTGAAGGAAGTTGATACAACGTGAAGTTTTACAAAGCCATACAAGCCTCTTACAACACTTATATTCAGCATTTATTGAATAGACAAGATCTACAGATTTAGAATACAAATTGTAGAAATTAATGTATAAATATGGAATATATGTGTATATATATATTTTTTCTATCTCTTTCTCTACTTTAATTCTACTAGAAGCCTAAAAACACCCATACAATTGGCTGGGTCACATTTGTAAGAGGGCTGAAACCTGAGGGCCATCTGACTGTACTTCCTGCCAAGATACTAGGCTGCTTGTAAGAGGTGGTGGCTGGGATAAACATCACAGCTATGGCTTCTAGGTTTGACTCTTGAGTCCTTTCATTCTATATTTTGATGTCTCACAGAAATGGTTCTAGTGATTTGTATGCGCAAGAAATTATTATAGAAAAGACATTTGTTTCCTTTGTGAAATTTCAGAAATTCAGTTAGCTAGAAACAAAATTAATGAGTCACAATATGATAAATAATGTTTAAACATCTTACTTGACATAGTCAAACAAAATACAAAATTAATCAAACTTATTTTAAAAATATTACATTTTCTAAATCTAAATCTGGCCGATGAAAAATCTAATTTGTATTTATAATCCATTGTCTGTTACTATATAACTAATGTATCTATTCAAGCATTTACTCAACATAGAATTTCACTAAATATATATAATTATATATATTTAAATAAAATGCCTTTTATATATGTAATGTATATTATACAATAACTATATTATATATGTATTATATAATATATATTTAAAATATATGTAAAATATATTTATATAAAACAATGTATTATATATTTATGTATTATTATATAAAATAAGATTTATATACAATTATATATTATTGATACAGGAGGGTGGCAGGGAAGTGCTGTGTAGAGAAGGGCATGGTCCCTGGCTAGGGCTCCATCCCCAGGCCTGTGCCCATGAACCTAGGTGAGGACAGGCATTTCTGTTTTTGTGCCAAATGTTGCATTTATCAAGACCACCCTAGCCTGCCATGAACCAATCCTGTGCCTATAAAAGCCCCGAGACCCTAGCGGGCAGAGACACAGTTGGCTGAACGTTGACAGGAACACACCGATGGAAGAAGACAGCAGCAGACCCCAGCAGATGCTGGCAGGCCATCTACGGCAAGGCGACACAGATGTCAGTCAGAGCTGGTCGGAGGAATGCCCAGCCGCTGAGCAGCCTGACTCCAGGGGAAAACCACCTTATCACTCCATCCCCCTTCTGTCTCCCGATCCATCTACTAAGAGCTACTTCCACCATTCTATAAAAACTTGCACTCATTCTTCAAGCTCAGGTGTGATCCGACTTTTCTGGTACACCAATGCAAGTACCGGGGGTACAGAAAGCCCTCTGTCCTTGTAATAAGGCAGAGGGTCTAATTGAGCTTATTAACACAAGCCGCCTATATACGGCTAAACTAAAAGAGCACACTGCAACATGCCCACTGGGGCTTCAGGAAGCATTCACCCCTAGAGGCTGCTGTGGGGTCGGAGCCACACAGCCTGCCCGTCTGCATGCTCCCCCTAGAGGTTTGAGCAGTGGGACCTCAAAAGAGTAAGTAGCATCCCCATCACATGACCTACCGGGGGATAAAGGAAGTTTTCCCATTTCATTATTATACAGAAATATTACTTGAATTACGTAATATATTATATTACAAATATATATAAAAGGCATTTCATTTAAATATTTTTAAGAGCCCATATAACATATACGATCTTCCAAAATTTTTATGAAAATAAAATGTCCTGTTTATACAAAATCTTCATAATTTGTAAAATGTAATTACTTAGTTTCTCAATCCTAAGAACTCTAATAAATTCTCCTTGTTTTTGGCTGTTGACTGGTCAGGATTGACTGATTGGTTGCTGAAGGGTGGTGTGGCTGTGGCAATTTCTTAAAATAAGACAACAATGAAATTGGCCGCATTGATAGACTTTTCCTTTCATGAACAATTTTATTCATAATAGAACTTCTTTCAAAATTGGAGTCTATCTTTTCAAACTACTGGAGCTTTATTAATTAACTTGATATACTATTCTAAATTTATTTGTTCTCATTTCAACAATGTTAATGGCAACTTCAGCTGAAGTAGGTTCCATTTCAAGAAACCACTTTATTTTTTTCATCCACAAGAAGCCTTTTCTCATCTGATGTGGTTTTATCATGAGATTGCCACAATCCAGTCCCTTATTCAGGCTGCACTTCTCTTTCTATTTCTCTTGCCATTTCCATCACATCGTCAGTTACTGTCTTCACTGAAGTCTTAAACCCCTCAAAGCGATCCATGAGGGCTGGAATCAACTTGTTCCAAACTCTTTTTAATATTGATATTTTCACCTTATCTAATGAATCATAAATGTTCTTAATGAGATGTAGAATGGTGTATCTTTTCAAGATTTTCAATTTACTTAACACAAATCTGTGGTAAGACTCTAAATAAGACAAACAAGACTCGAAAGTCAAAATTACTCCTTGATCTGTGGGCTACATAGAGGATCTTCTGTTAGCAGGCATGAAAATAGCATTAGTCTCCGTGTTCATCAGAGCTCTTGGCTGACTGGGTGTACAGATTATTGTTAAAGAACAATAATCTTTTCAAGGGAATATTCTTTTCTAAGCAATAGGTCTCAAAAGTGGGTTTAAAATGTTCAGTAAACAGTACTGTAAATAGATATACTGTTATCCAGTCTTTGTTTTTCCATTTTTAGAGCACAGGCAGAATAGATTCAGCATAACTATTTAGGGCCCTAGGCTTCTTGCCATGGTAAATGAACATTGGCTTCAACTTAGTGATCAGCTACATTAGCCCCTACCAATAAAGTCCACCTGTCCTTTGAATGTTTGAAGCCAATAATTCACTTCTTTCAAGCTATGAAAGTCATATTCTTCCAATAGAAGATGTCATATTCTTCCAATAGAAGGCTGTTTTGTCTACATTGAAAATCTATTGTTTTATTGTAGCCCTCTTCATCAGTGATCTAAGCTAGATCGTCTGGCTAACGTGCTGCAGCTTCTCCATCAGCACTTACTGCTTCACCTTGCATGTTTATGTTATGGATCTGGCTCCTTTTCCTAAACCTCATGAACCAGCCTCTGCTAGTTTTCAACTTTTCTTCTATAGCTTCCTTACCACTCTCAGCTCTCAGCTGTCATAAAATTAAAGAG
Source organism: Homo sapiens (assembly GCF_000001405.40). Classification (NCBI taxonomy): domain Eukaryota; kingdom Metazoa; phylum Chordata; class Mammalia; order Primates; family Hominidae; genus Homo; species Homo sapiens. The sequence continues at coordinate 194,344,714 of NC_000001.11, forward strand.
AGTTAGGGCCTTGAGCTGGGTTAGGCTTTGGCTTAAGGGAATGTGAGGGCTGGTTCTTCTATCCAGACAACTCAAAAGTTTTCCATATTACAATTAGGCTGTGTCCCTTTCTTATTATTTGCTTGTTCATTAGACTAGCACTTTTAATTCCCTTCAAGAACTTTCCCTTTGCATTCACAATGCAGCTAACTGTTTAGCAGAAGATGCTTAACTTTTGGCCTACCTTGCTTTTTGACATGCCTTCCTCAGTAAACTGAATAATTTCTAGATTTAATTCGAGAGACAGGAGGATCTTCTCTTCACTTGAACACTTAGAGGTCCTTGTAGGGTTATTAATTTGCCTAATTTTAATAATGTTGTGTCTCAGAGAATAGGAAGGCCCAAAGAGAAGGAATATAAGATGTGGAAATGATTGGTGAGTGGAGCACTGAGAACATACAAAACATTTGTTGATTAAGTTTGTCATCTAATGTGGGCATGATTTGTAGCATCTCAAAACATTTACAATAGTAACATCAAAGATCACTGATCAACGATCACCAAAACAGAGTAATAATGACAGTTTGAAATATTGCGAGAATTACAAAAATGAGGCAAAAAGACACAAAATGAGCTTGTGCTATTGAAAAATAAAATGTTACCAGTAGACTTTCCCCCAACCTTCAATTTGTAAAATGGCAGTATCGGTGAAGTACAATAAAATGATATATGCCTATACATTGGAAAAATTCACTTGTCCTAATTCCATTCTTGATTTTTTCCTATCCTATGTTACTCAACTTAGATTCCCAGACATGATAATGTAATGTAATGAGCAAATGTAATGACACAATTACATAATGAGTAATCCATCGTCTACTTCTATTAGCCGAGCTAGTATTTGATTGAGCACTTAATGTACATTAAGTACCTGATCTTATTTAATCTCCCCTGTAAAAGAAGCAATTTTAGAATAACCATTGTTGTAAACTGAATTAAGACAGTGAGATAAACACAACCTTGAAGCTACTTTTGGTTTAAAGTATAGTCATCAAAACTTTTGGTCCCATTAACATGTTACATATATCCAGCCATTTATTAAATGTGCATTCCTTAGTAAGGACACACATTACAGTTCATTCAGCTTCTCTTGGCTCTTTGTCTTGCTAGGTAGTCCAATCAAATTTTGACCAAAATGTTTGCTCAAAGAGGATGCAATCATACTCTAGGAGCAGGGTTTTAGAATCTTATTTTTAGACAAATAACCCACTCCAACTTTCTCTCTCCCCATAATGGAACACAAGACCATTTAAAGATTAAACTTGGATTTCCTTGCTAAAGAGTACAAACTACAGGGCTTACCTTGTATAACAAAGTGTAAGGAATAATGTTAAAATATTCCAGTCAATCAATTTTCTTAAATACTGCTTATTTTACCCATAAAGTATCATTTTAAATCTTTCAATATGCAAATCAACAAGTTACTAAATTTACCAGTGAAAATCTAAATTTTAATATTTATATTTCTTATGTTAAATAGAATGTCCTCAAATGTTGATTGCTAATAAAGATAGCTGAGCTGTTTCAATAACTGCCTTTGGAGAGGCCCTATAATGAAAGACTATCTGAATATATCTGAGGAATGAACTTCTAACCAGAACAAATAATGTTCCTTAGAATAAGGGCTTAAGACAATTAAAATACACATTGGTATCACGTTATAATACCCATCATAGCACCTATCTTAGAGATGAGAAGAGAGATATAGAGAAGTTTAGTAACTAGCTTGCTGTCACAAGTCTAATAAATACCAGAACCGTGAATTAGACCTAGAGCTCCTCGACTCAAGCTTGTACCAATTCCATTCAATCAGAGCGCCTTGTAGCAGCATAATCCAACTAATTTAAAAGTATGAAATTGTAAAAATACGAACTTCTTTTATTGGCAGGCTTCTGTAGAAATATATTTCTTCTCTTTAATAACAAACTTAAAACTGGACCACTAAACAAATTTTTAGTAAACTTAGAAACTGTAGGCCATATATCTGCCTTCTGCAATTTTCCTTTCATACTCAGCTAAGTGTCAGTTATGGTTAAATTCCATCTTTAGAACCTGATAAAATTATATTTAATACCTTGACAGCCAGAAAAAAAAAAGAAAGAATTGAATTTCAAACCTTTCATGCAAAAGAAACTGGAAACATTTTCTAAGTTCCAGGACACTAAACAGATTTACAGGATTGTTATATTTATAGTTTAAATTCCAAAAAGTTCTGGGGACAAAGTGATCTATAACAGTATCTTCTCCCATGAAAGAGATAATACCTACATTTATAATGCAGATAAGTTAACTAGGGAGGGGGTGTATAGGCATATTCTAGGGGAAGTAAAAGAAAAAACAATTTTTGTTTTAATGTTAGAAGATAATATTAAATCTAGGTCATGTAGCTATAGTCAATTGCCTGTAACATAAACACAAATTTGTGATATCTCTCTCTCTCAGCAATAAAATGGGACATTATGTTCCCCATGGCCTTGTCAAAAATATCGGCTTTTTCTTAGATTGACACCTATCTTAGGGAAAAGCTCTTGTAATACTAGTGTTTTAGAGCAAAATTTACAAGTTGTATCTCGTAGATGGAAAAGGCATTCTTCTGCTCTGACATCAGGTCTGTATTCACAGATCTATATATAGATCATTGATATATGAATTAGAGCCCATTGTGTGACTCACACTCCAGGGAATCCTTTTGTATTATTGTGCTCCTTGCATGATTTTCTTAAAACCTGAGGTGAGAAAGTAACATATTTTGTCCTGACCCTACTTCTCCATATTCAGGGATAGAAAATGCCACAGAATTCTAGCAATATTCACTAAAGTAACTTGGATATTCCTACTCACTTTATCTTCAACATCTGTTTATCCTTAATACACATTTGTTAGTTATAGATGTCAGAACATAACAATCCAAATGCATTTATATATAGTAAATATAAGGTTAATATTTTTGCTCACGTAAGTAAAAAGACCAGTGAGATGGTTTGGCTGTGTCCCCACCGAAATCTCAACTTGAATTGTATCTCCCAGAATTCCCACGTGTTGTGGCAGGGACCCAGTAGGAGGTAACTGAATCATGAAGGCCGGTCTTTCCCATGCTATTCTCGTGCTAGTGAGTAAGTCTCATGAGAGCTAATGGGTTTATCACGGGTTTCTGCCTTTGCTTCTTCCTCATTTTCTCGTTTCTGCCATGTAAGAAGTGTCTTTCACCTCTCGCCATGATTCTGAGGCCTCCTCATCCATGTGGATCTGTAAGTCCAATTAAACTTCTTTTTCTTTCCAATCTCAGGTATGTCTTTATCAGCAGCATGACAACAGACTAATACAGTAAATTGGTACCAGTAAGGTGGGGCATTGCTGAAAAGATACCCAAAAATGTGGAAGCAACTTTGCAACTGAGTAACAGGCAGAGACTGGAACAGTTTTGAGGACTCAGAAGAAGACAGGAAAATGTGGGAAAGTTTGGAACTTCCTAGAGACTTGTTGAATGGCTTTGCCCAAAATGCTGATAGCGATATGGAAAATAAGATCCAGGCTGAGGTGGTCTCAGGTGAATATGAGGAATTGTTGGGAACTGGAACAAAGGTGACTCTGGTTATGTTTTAGCAAAGAGAATTGTGGCATTTTTCCCCTGCCCTGGAGATTTGTGGAAATTTGAACTTGAGAAAGATGATTTAGGGTATCTGGGGGAAGAAATTTCTAAGCAGCAAAGCATTCAAGAGGTGACTTGGGTGTTGTTAGAGGCATTCAGTTTTAAAAGGGAAACAGAGCATAAACTTTCAGATAATTTGCAGCCTGACTATGCTATAGAAAAGAAAAACCCATTTTCTCGGGAGAAATTCAAGCTGGCTGCAGAAATATGTATAAGTAGCAAGGAACCTAATGTTAATCCCTAAGACCAAGGGGAAAATGTCTCCAGAGCATGTCAGAGATTCTCACAGCAGCCCCTCCCATCACAGGCCCAGAGGCCCAGGAGGAAGAAGCAGTTTCACGGGCTGGGCCCAGGGTCCCTGAGCTGTGTGCAGCCTAGGGACTTGGTGCCCTGTGTCCCAGCTGCTCCAGCCATGGCTGAAAGGGGCCAACAGGGAGCCCGGGCTATGGCTTCAGAGGGTGGAAGCCCCAAGTCTTGGCAGCTTCCATTTGTTGCTGAGCCTGCGGGTGCAGAGAAGTCAAGAATTGAGGTTTGGGAACCTCTGCCTATATTTCAGAAGATTTATGGAAATGCCTGGATGCTCAGGCAAAAGTTTGATGCAGGGGCGGGGCCCTCATACAGAACCTCTACTAGGGCAACGTGGAAGGGAGATGTAGGGTTGGAGCCCCTACAAAGAGTTCCTACTGGGGCACCACCTAGTAGAGCTGTGAGAAGAGGGCCACCATTCTCCTGACCCCAGAATGGTAGATCCACCAACACCATGTGCCTGGAAAAGCCACAGACACTCAAGGCCAGCTGGTAAAAGCAGCTGGGTGGGAGGCTGTACAAAGCCACAGGGGTGGAGCTGCCCAAGACCATGGGAACCCACCGCTTACATCAGCGTGACCTGGATGTGAGATCTGGAGTCAAAGGAGATCATTTTGGAGCTTTAAGACTTGACTGCCCTGCCAGATTTCAGACTTGCATGGGCCCTGCAACCCCTTTGTTTTGGCCAATTTCTCCCATTTGAAATGGCTGTATTTACCCAATACCTGTACCGCCATTGTATTTAGGAAATAACTAACTTGCTTTTGATTTTACAGGCTCGTAGGCTAAAGGAACTTGGCTTGTCTCAGATGAGACTTTGGGCTGTGGACTTTTAGGTTAATGCTGAAATGAGTTAAGACTTTGGCGGACTGTTGAGAAGACATGATTGGTTTTGAAATGTGAGGCCATGAAATATGGAGGAGCCAGGTTGAAATGATATGGATTGGCTGAGTCCCCACCCAAATTTCAACTTGAATTTTATCTCCCAGAATTCCCATGTGTTGTGGGAGGGACACAGGAGGAGGTAATTGAATCATGGGGGCTGGTCTTTCCTGTGCTATTCTCATGATAGTAAATAAGTCTTATGAGATCTGATGGGTTTATCAGGGGTTTCCACTTTTCCTTTTTCCCCATTTTCTCTTGCTGCAATCATGTAAGAAGTGCCTTTCACCTCCCACTGTGATTCTGAGGCCTTCCCAGCCATGTGGAACTGAAAGTCCAATTAAACCTCTTTTTCTTCCCAGTCTCAGATATGTCTTTATCAGCAGGGTGAAAAAGGACTCATACAATCAGGAATAATAATGTTTCAGGCATCCCAAAATTTTATCACCAGGAATAGGTTTCTCTATTATAATCCCATAATTCTTTATTCTCCCTTTCAGGCCATATAGCCAAAAACCAAGGTAAAAAAATAAAAATGTAAATTATGACCAAACTTCAAAATAGCTGTGGTTAATATGTTCAAGAAAATAGAAGAATTACAGAAATAAAGGTATATAAATTTTTAATAAATGTTAGAATCTAGAAAACAGGATAAAATTGGTATTCTAGGATTGACAAATAAAATACCTGCTATTAATACCTCAGTAGATGGTTTCAAAAGTGTATTAGATACAACAGAAAAGATTACTGAGCTTGAAGATAGTCAATATCCAATATCAAAATAAAGCAGAGAGAATTAAGAGAAAGACAATACAGAAAGAAGTGTCTGAGTCATGTGAACACAAAGGATTATTTATCGTATGTTCAACCAGAATTCCAGAATTAGAGAAGACAAACAATGGGACATATATGATAGCTAAACAGTTAACCAGCAAAAAAATGAGAAATCCTTAAAAGACATCAAATTTTCAATAAGCTGAGAGAATCACATGCAGTAGAAATACAATAACGAGGCAAAAAATACCAATTTAAAAATTCCACCATGACCCATTTTAATCAAATTATAATGGCAATAATAATAATAATCCCAAAAGTAGCAAGAGAAAAGAAGCATAGTACCTTCAAAGCAGCAAAAGAAGACAGCTGACTTTTCAACAAAATTGACAATGGTCTAAAAACAACTGAAAAACATTTAAAAGATGCTGAAATGTAAAAATAGAAATAAAAAGTCTTTTCTAGAATTCTAAATCAAGCAAAAATGTCATTGAGTACTCAGACTGAATAGGCATTTTCAGAAAAAAACGACAACTTATTTTATTTTGTTTTAACCCACAGAACCTGCACTGGAAAGATACTAAAGCAAGCTCTTCAAGGAAAGTAAAAATAGTCAACGGGAGTACAAGAGAAATACAGGAATAAACCTTGGCGTATTTTCCCGAGCATTAATGGGTTGACAGTGAAGATGAATCACCTGTCTCTAACATTCTACTATCAAAACCTGAGATCAGAAGTTCCATGTAAAAATATATCAGCTGGCCGCGGTGGCTCACGCCTATAATCCCAGCACTTTGGGAAGCTGAGGCAGGCAGATCACTTGAGGTCAGGAGTTCAAGACCAGCCAGACATTATCCTTACACATAGGTGAAAAAGTAAGGTAAAAAATTAGTAAGAAAATTGTCACTGGTTTATACAAAGTTAGTATTGGTGAGATAAGACTTAAGACCTCCCTATTTTCCCTTATTTCACTGATAATGGAATAGCTGATTGCTACCTATAACCAAATTGTGTCCTTGTTATATCAGTAAGTGTAATATTTTGTGTGTATTTTTCATATAAATATGTTCATCTTCTTAATTCATTTCACACAGGTATTACACTAGACTATAAACACAATATTAGAGAGTCATTTGAAAGTTTGCATAGAAGAATCAAGATCAAAATGCAGAAGTACTGATTCCTTGCAAAGAAATCATTTTGTCCTCTCCCAAAATAGGAGAATGTAAAGTAAAATAGAAATAAGCTGAAAGAGTTAATTATTACTTGGATTAAGTGCCTGAGATACTCCAAATTATCTCATATGTTGTGATAATATATCTCTACACCTATAACTTATCTCCACCCTCTGATTCCATAGTTATGCCTGAATTGCTCCAAAGAACATTACAGTTTATGTCAGTACCAGAAGACTTCCAAATGTAATTTGGCAAAAGAAGATAGAACATTTTCATTCAGGAAATTGTTCTTCTTAATTGCTGTCTCATTTTATGTGTAATATCTTCTTCTGAAGAAATAATAGGCATTCCTTTATAGGAACATGCAAACCATCAAGGCTTATGAAGTCCCAAGTTTTTGAATTTCCTGAAGATGATAAAGTAAAAGTTATTTCTTGTTACATGTAGTTTTGAATATATTTATATTACAAATCTGTTTCAAGGCTTTAAAAAAATATTTTAGCACTAAATTAAAATGTGTTAAGTAGAGAATGGATTTTATCCTTATTAAATGGGGACTGTACCATTTCGAGATAAGAGACCAGAGATGTTGATATTTTAACTACTGGGAACTTATTACAGTAACTAGTAGCATGGAAGGTAAGTATCTAACTAATAAAACAGAGCGTAGTGGAAACATATGAACTCTGAGTTTGACTGGTTTTTGTTTGTTTGTTTGTTTTGTTTTGTTTCGTTTTTGAGACCGAGTTCAGTGGCGCGATCTTGGCTTACTGTAACCTCTGCCTCCCAGGTTCAAGCGATTCTCCTGCCTCAGCCTCCAGAGTAGCTGGGATTAACCTGCCTCAGCCTCCCAAAGTGCTGAAATTACAGGCATGAGCCACCACGCCTGGCTGAGTTTTGACACTTCAGCACTAAAACAGAAGTTGTACAAATATAAATGAATCTTGCCAAGGATGGAGAGAATTGCAACAAGCAAACATACAGAAAACTAAGTTATTTTTCTGTTGGGAGCAAGCCCCCCAAAATCCGGCCATAAACTGGCCCCAAGACTGGCCATAAACAAAATCTCTGCAGCACTGTAACATGTTCATAATGGCCCTAACGCCCAAGCTGGTAAGTTGTGGGTTTACGGGAATGAGGGCAAGGAACACCTGGCCCGTCCATGGCGGAAAACCACTTAAACGCATTCTTAAGCCATAAACAATGGCATGAATGATCTGTGTCTTAAGTGCATGTTCCTGCTGCAGTTAACCAGCCTAACCTATTCCTTTAATTCAGCCCATCCCTTCATTTCCCTTAAGGGATACTTTTAGTTAATTTAATATCTATAGACACAATTATAACGACTGGTTTGCTGTTAACAAACATGTGGGTAAATCTCTGTTTGTGGCTCTCAGCTCTGAAGGCTGTGAGACCCCTGATTTCCCACTTCACACCTCTATATTTCTGTGTGTGTCTTTAATTCCTCTAGCGCTGCTGGATTAGGGTCTCCCCAACCAAGCTGGTCTGAGCATTTTTCACCCGACCGAGCTGGTCTCAGCATTTTTCACATTTATTTGGTATGTCGCTTTATTTTCTTTCATTTCCTTGCCAGTCACTGCTAACTTTGATCTCAACGTACTTGATTCAGATTTTACACTTTCATATTGCTCAAATTTGGTGACTCTATTATTCCTCTAGCAGTTTCCCCAGATCAGCACATAGACACAACCCTTACCATTCACCATCACCACATACATCACACATGTTATCAGGCTGGAGTATTATCTTCCATTTTGCTATTTGCATATTATGACACAAACCAGACACTACCTCAATTATTGGGTCATGAATTTTTTTCCAATATAAGAAGCACATTAAAAGAAAACATAAAAACTCCTTCAAATGAATAATTGACAAAACTCTACACTCTTAACCTGTCAGGAGATAAAAAGCCGAGATATCGCTTTGAAAGGCACTCTGGAAGTTCTATCCCTAAGGTGACTGAGATTTTTATCACAAGTAAAAAAATATGAACTCATATACGCCAGAATTTTTCAGATGAAATATAAATATTTCAAGAATTAACTTATATCGGTTAACTAGAGTTAACAAAGTTTATAAGGCAAAGATGAAAATCATTACTTTTAATCTGAGCGTGGCCCCATAGCAAGCAGAATCAAAGTTGTAATGGTAAGGAATAAGGAATAAGGAATTTTTAATAGTTTTGTCTATTCTGAAAGTATAGGTAGTCTATGGAATCAATAGCTTGGAGGCTGACACCATTGAGCAATTATGAACATCACGACTCTCTACTCTTCATCCTCTGACACACACCACTCCATGGGAAATTAGAGTGGCACTTCATTACTGCCAGGTTGGTGAGGTAACCTAAGTTTTCCCTCTTGTTTCCACTGGCATTGCAACGGGGAAATGCTTGTAAGCAACCAGTGAAGATGAAAACTCTGGATCTCTTTTTGGCCTCCTCTGACATCAGAGTTGGGTGCCTTGGTATAGCCTGGTAAGGGCGGAAGTCCAGGCTCACCACCTGGCTTTTGCCAGCACGAATGGAGGTAGTCTCACAGTTTCTGCTGTGGAGTTTTGCTAGAGTAGACCTGTTATTGTCCAGAAGATTTTCTGTCTTGCTAGACTGCTCCTTCTCTAGATAGAGTGGATTTTGTTGAGACTTTATTTTGCCTGTGCCTATTGGTATTTTTATGTTGCTGACTTCTTCTGTTCCAAGACTGGGTTATATGAGAACAAAAGGAAACCCAGGGATCTTACCTTCCTGTCCTTCTTCAGGCTGCAAGGTCCCTGGCTGGTCTGCCTGCTTTTCTTCATCTCTCAAAGTCCTCTTAAACTTGTTTCATATGTAATTTGCAGGGGTTTTAATTGTTCCTAGTGGGAAGAATAGTGAAAAGTACATACTTCAACTTCTCAGAAGTTGAAATTCCCTGCAGTCGTTTTAACTTTCTTAGAACTAAAAAGTGCTTATTTGTGTATCAGCCAAATGGAAAATATATTATTTCCTCCCTGAAGTTATTATTTCTACTATCCTTGTTCTACTAGCACAGAAAAAATTTATATTAAAAAATAAAAACTCTATGTTATATTGACATAATTTCTCTATGTATCTACTTGGATTAATTAGTATTATAGAAACATATGTGGTAACAAAAGTCTAGCTTTTTTTTTTTTTTCCATTCACTGGCTTAATACTTACTTACTTTAAGTTTTCACTACTTATTCCCAGGGATATTCAAAGGGGAAGTTTTATAAATGTTAATAGGATTAAGACCTTCTGATGCATTGCTCTTATAATACATTTTAAAACAGAAGAAACTGCATCATTTTTCTCCTACATAGATCAACAACTATATTCTTGGTGTTGGATTAGTTAATTACTATCAAAGTAATTACTTTCAATGGCAAAAACATCAATTACGTTTGCACCAACCTATAGTTACACTGCGAAAAGTGACTATGGTATATCATGATGGGGTATTCTAGAGTTCAGGAAATCTGTTTCCTCATCTGGAGTCTCATTGCATATGGTTGTTTAATATTATATGTAAATATTCATAAAAATGTGCATTTATGTTTTTGCACCACTTTTTTGTAAAGGTTAGACTTCATTAAAGGAATTACCAGATTATAATGAAGGTGTATCCCTGGGGAGCAGATGTGTGATGGGCTTAAATGACAACCAGCTAAAAGAGAATGAGATAAAAAAATGTGAATTGTTTTCAAGTGAAAAAAGCTAAGAAATGGTTAACTAAAGTTTATAAAACCTAATGTCATGTAAGAAATGCACTGTAGTCTTATGTTTCTGTACAGCTCAGCTTTGCTATTTATATAACCATCATAATATAAATGCAGAACATTGCTTGAATAAAATGATAACACTAAAATGGGAATATTAGAAGAGAAGTTCAGTGTGAACGTAGTTACAAAAGGCAAGAAATTCCCATTTTTTAAAATAAGAATGTAATACATAATTTCTAAAACTGAAAAATAAAAAAATAGGTATATGCTGTGGAGGAAAGTTCTCAAAAAGAATTAAGTGTATTAAAAATGAACTGAGAGAGACTATAATACCACGAAAGTGCATAATAGTGAAGAAAAAAATAAAGTTTCCTCAGCTGTCAGGTGTACGCAAATCTTTTGATCTGAATGTAGAAATACTCACAAAAACTACCAGGAGACCATTTCTGAAAGTAGTCAATTATGTTTAAACATTTATCTCCTTAAAATATGCAAACCACCAAACTGGAGTTATGTTTTTAGTTGGTAATTGATTTTTTTTTTTTTTTGAGATGTCGCTTCACTCTTGTCCAGGCTGGAGTGCAGTGGCGCGATCCCGGCCCACCGCAACCTCTGCCTCCCAGGTTCAAGGGATTTACCTGCCCCCGCCTCCAGAGCAGCTGGGACCACAGGCGTGTACCACCATGCCTGGACAGTTTGTTTGTTTGTTTGTTTGTTTTTGTATTTTTAGTAGAGACTGGGCTTTGCCACCTTGTCCAGGCTAGTCTCGAATCCCCGACTTCAGGCTATCCGCCAGCCTTGGCCTCCCAAAGTTCTGGGACCACAGGCATGACCCACCATGCCTGGCAATAATTGGTATCTCTTAACTCTCATTCTAGTTTTCTAGAATCAAAATTGTTAAGAATAAGGAGTTGAGACAAAGGTAGAAGAATCCACACTATAGTGTTCCAAACTGTTTTCAAAACTAACTCATTCCTTTGGTTCAAAGAGAAAAAAGGTTACCTCCTTTTAAAATCTAATATGAGTATGGCTGATGGAAATTAGACCAGTCTTACAAATTATAAACCTACAGTAGCAACCATAAAATTTATGCTGTGCTAGGAAATGATAGAGCTATCCCTAGTGTGCTGTTTAGCATACAGAAAGTACTCCAAAATAATGACTGGGGCTGGGCGTGGTGGATCACACCTGCAATCCCAGCACCTCGGGAGGCCGAGGCAGGTGGATTATTTGAGTCAGGAGTTCGAGACCAGCCTGGCCAATACAGCAAAACCTCGTCTCTACTAAAAATGTAAAAATTAGCCAGGTGTGGTGGCGTGAGCCTGCAATCCCAGCCACTTGGGAGGCTGAGACAAGAGAATTGTCCAAACCCGGGAGGCAGAGGCTGCAGCAAGCCAAGACCACGCCACTGCACTCCCGCCTGTCGGACAGAGCGAGACTGTGTCTCAATAAATAAATAAATAAAAATTAGTGGGTGAATGAAAAGGGATTTTGCAAAATTAGGCCTTGCAGAATGTTAGAAGTCATCCAGTCCAACTCATTCACAGCACTCCCTCCCCTGCAGTCCCATTTTAAAGACAGGAAACCCCAACCTGTAGTACTCACAGATTCTGCTGAGATCCATCTCCACCCACTAACTGGAAGCAATCACTTATTTTGGAGTGTATGTGTGTGAATGTGTGTGTGTGTCTGACCAAAAGGTATAAATGAGTAACATTTCTACACTGTTTATTCTGTACTTTTCTTTGGAGTTAATGCAACAACTCCTGTCACTTCGATTAGATTTAAAAGGAAACAGGAGAAATATGTCTAGTCACAATGGGGTTGCTGTTAGGAAGTCAGACTTAAGATTGTGGATCTAAGAGTAGAATCCACTTCTCAGAGACTGGGAGTGTAAAATGACCACTCAGGTTAGAGTTTCTAACTGACAGCCAGGAGGAAAACTTATTCTAAAATTTTGTTTTGCCTAGTTTAAGTTACATTTTAAGTCACTGTTTAAGCTGTTACAGGATTACTGTAAAAAGTTTCAAAGTAATTTTTAGTCATTACCTACCCTAAAATTTGAAAGTCAAGTCAATAGCATGCTTTATTCTAACTACCGTTAAAGCTCAAACTATTTTTTAACAGATTATAATATTCCTCTTAGCTTTTCTTCTGGGCACTTACACCTCTTCCTACTTTGTCTAGTATTTCTCCAGCACATGTACCTTTGTGTTTCTCTGCCCATGTACATACCTCTGAAAGTTCAACAAAAAAAGTTATGAAAAAGCAGAGAGAACCCAAAATATTTCTTATACTGCCAAGTTCCCTTTAAGCCTTGAGTACTTGTTACACTACATGGTTGTATTAATGCTTACTGTGTCCGGAATTGGTGGGTTCTTGGTCTCACTGACTTCAAGAATGAAGCCGCAGACCCTCGCGGTGAGTGTTACAGCTCTTAAGGTGGCGCGTCTGGAGTTTCTTCCTTCTGGTGTTCCCGCCCAGTTCGTGGTCTCCCTGGCTCAAGAGTGAAACTGCAGACCTTCGCCATATTACAGCACTTAAGGCAGCGCGTCTGGAGTTGTTCGTTCCTCCCGGTAGGCTCGTGGTCTCGATGGCTTCAGGAGTGAAGCTGCAGACCTTCGCGGTGAGTGTTACAGCTCATAAAAGCAGCGTGGACCCAAAGAGTGAGCAGTAGCAAGATTTATTGCAAAGAGCGAAAGAACAAACCTTACACACCAGAGAAAGGGAACGGAGCGGGCTGACGCTGCTGGCTCGGGCAGCCTGCATTTATTCACTTATCTGGCCCCACCCACATCCTGCTGATTGGTAGAGCCGAGTAGTCTGTTTTGACAGGGAGCTGATTGGTGCGTTTACAATCCCTGAGCTAGACACAAAGGTTCTCCACTTCCCCACCAGACTCAGGAGTCCAGTTGGCTTCACCCAGTGGATGCCACACCAGGGCTGCAGGTGGACCTGCCTGCCAGTCCCGGTGCCGTGCGCACGCACTCCTCAGCCCGTGGGTGGTCGATGGGACTGGGCGCCGTGGAGCAGGTGGCGGCGCTCATCCGGGAGGCTCGGGCGGCAAAGGAGCCCACGGACGGGGTGGGAGGCTCAGGCATGGTGGCCTGCAGGTCCCAAGCCCTGCCCAGCGGGAAGGCAGCTAAGGCCCAGTGAGAAATCGAGCGCAGCGCCGTGGGCTGGCACTGTTGGGGGACCCAGTACACCCTCTGCAGCCGCTGGCCCGGGTGCTAAGCCCCTCATTGCCCGGGGCCGGCATGGCAGGCAGGCAGCTCCGAGTGTGGGGCCCGCCAAGTCCACGCCCACCCGGAACTCCAGCTGGCCCGCAAGCGCAGCGCGCAGCCCTGGTTCCCGCTCGCGCCTCTCCCTCCACACCTCCCTGCAAGCTGAGGGAGCCGGCTCCGGCCTTGGCCAGCCCAGAAAGGGGTTCCCACAGTGCAGCGGTGGGCTGAAGGGCTCCTCAAGTGCCACCAAAGTGGGAGCCCAGGCAGAGGAGGCACCGAGAGCGAGCGAGGGCTGTGAGGACTGCTAGCACTCTGTCACCTCTCATTACAACTAAGCTTTTGATGAATTAGACCAATGTGTTCCATATTTTAAATGAAATTTAGGTATCTGAATCCTTCTGTTACAGGCAACAATAAAAACAGTTATTGAAAATGTTGAAAAGTATAAAATAGTAATTATAAAGTAGCAAATACCCAATTTAAAAAGGCAGTTTTCCTTATACAGTACAAGCAACGGTAATTTGAATATTATTCACTTTCAGCCACCATTTGCCCTAGATGTACTTTACTTATGACAAGTTTTTAAGCTTGTGTTTTTGGAGTGAAAATTTATATGGATACTAACAATTCTAATTTTTGTTATTTAACAGCATCTTTAATATAATAGCACAGAAAACATATTTTCTGAAATTTTCAGTTAAAGCCTTTGAATTATTTATCTTTGATTTAATATACAGCCAGCATTTTGCCCCATTCTAAATAATATTTAGCTGAACTGATTCATACGTATTTTAATGACCATTATAGCAAGGGCCTACAAATGGTGTGGGAATCAGGGAAAAGCTGCCTCTTTGGTATCTCAACTGGTGTTGATTATTGCTATCAACTATTCGGTGAAAAAAATCAAAATTAAGCCCCGTCAAATCTTATAAGTACTAGCTTTGGTCCTTCAAACACTTGAACATTTGTGAAAATGATGAGTTCATATCCTTTGTAGGGACATGGATGAAGCTGGAAACCATCATTCTCAGCAAACTATCACAGGGACAAAAAACCAAACACCGCATGTTCTCACTCACAGGTGGGAATTGAACAATGAGAACACATGAACACAGGAAGGGGAACATCACGCACCAGGGACTGTTGTGTAGTGGGCGGGGGGGGGGTGGGATAGCATTAGGAGATATACCTAATGCTAAATGACGAGTTAATGGGTGCAGCACACAAATATAGCACATGTATACATATGTAACAAACCTGCATGTTGTGCACATGTACCCTAAAACTTAAAGTATAATAATAATAATTTAAAAAAAGAAAAATAAAGTTGAAGTTCAGGTCTTGCCATTGCCATTAAAAACAAATCAGACTGGAGACTTAGTTTACCTGGGAACAAATTTACTTGAATATTCAGTACCTGAAACTATGCCAAACCAAAGAGCAGCTGCAGTACATTAGTTATTTTAAATGTACAAGTTTACAAAGTTTATTTTCATCTTTACATAAGGATGATTTTTTTAAAAACCGTTTTTACATATTAGTGGTTATGATCCAATATGTCATGAGTGAATTTAGCTGTAAGGTGGCTTAAATCAAATATGCACTGTTTACTTGAATTGTATTTCTACTAGAAAGCAGATTTTGACTATGTTTACTGGACTGTTTAAATTAAGGATTATCAGGCATGTAAGATCTCCTTTCGGTTATCTTTAAAGCAGTTGTATATTAAGGGCTTAGATTTAGGGTCTACATATTCTGGGCATTGAATAGGCAGTATCTTACAAATAAGTTTTGCTTACCTTTTGTTCCAGGGGCTAGCACTGCTATCAGTGGAAAGTAATTTTAACTAATCTGTTATTAAGAAATTCATATTTTTGCATTTCAGCCAAAATAAAGACCGTATCTAATAATCTGTTAGAAACAGATAATATATGTCTGAAGTCCATATGTTTCATATGATCTAAACTGTATTTTCTGATTTAAATTAAAAATGTAATATAGATTCAGAAAGTTTCATATTTTTATAATGACTTCATTTTATATTATTTTGTTGGGTTGCATAAAGAAACAAGGAATTGTATTAAAAGATGAAGAAAGTTATTAGGTATATCTGTGCATGAGTGCAAATGAGTTTATGCCTGTTTAAAAGAAAAGATGAACACTATTTTAAAGTGAGCTTTAATATGCTTTTATATAAAAATATTTGAAGTGCAATTTAGTTTGGTTGTGTTTATCTAACAAGTACCATACCCTTGTATTTATTCTCATTTGTATAATCCTAGCCCATGACTTAATGTTGACGCTTTGCTTTGTCTTTTGGATGGCCTAACCTACATTAACATGTATGCAGAACATTTTGAAACTTATTTTTTCAAAAATCATTATGAACTACTTTATTAATAAACAAAGATAAAAATGTATTAAAAATGATATTATGTAAAGAGCAGGAATTTATATTCAAGAACGATTAGACAGTGAACTGCTATTTTTCAGCCTAGCAGTAGTTATTAATCTCTAAATGATCTGTATGTATTACCTTTTTAAATAAATAGGAATGTATAAGACATATATCTACAGAGAAGTCTAGTTGAATTATAAATTTAAAGTAACTCTTTAATCTATAATTTATTATGATTTTCAAAAATACTCTTCATGTTAAAATATTGTCATATTTGTTCTATCACAGCAATTAGCCCGAGTATGAGCTTTTTAAGAGGCTAGGGCAAAGATGTGCATGTACTGTAAAAGTCAGTGAATGTAGATGTTTATTTCACTGGATTTGAGCTTTTTGAGAAAACAAAACTTACATAATGCTTGTTTTAAAAAGATAAGTAACATTTTAAATTGTGACCATAATTTTGCTGTCCCCAAGTAGTGTTAGAAGGGTGGCTAAAATCTGTATGGATTTTTAAGACATGTTTTCATGTAGAAACATATAAATTGTATATTGTGTGTATTTATTTATAGATATCTGATAACGTGAGTTTTTTGGCATGCCAGAAGTTATGATGAAATAGTTATTTATGGAAGGTAGATTCTTTTGTTTTGATGAATTGATAAATATCTGTTACATATTGGAAATAGTACATATGTTGCAATAATGTCTGAAAGGTACAAGATATTTTTATTACCAATATGCATACCATATTTAATGTACACATTCTATACTATATGTGTTTCGAATTATTATAGTAATATTCAGTCAAAAAGTAAAAATGAATACATAAATCCTTTGTTAAATAACTCATGCCTCGAGATAAAAGTTACATTATATTATTCTTAATTCAAAGCCTACATTTGGTTAGAAGGAAAGCAGTAAGGCAGGATTGGCTTTAAGAAATACTGTGGTTGTTAAAATAAATGACTTGGAATCGAGTTTCCAGTAGCTTCATACAGGCTCTTGAGCCAGTTTGCTAAATATAGACACTTAATTCTGTTGCCTCTGCTAAAGGGCAATCTAGAGATAGCTAGGGGATTGTTTAAAAAATACTGCTTCTGTGCAGCCAAAATGGTCTAGTTAATTTTCACATACAGAGGAGCAGATTTTATACGTATATATGTGTGTACCCATAGGTAGATATGGATATGGATATAGATATGGTATCACTGGTATTTGTTCATTCTATTTACTGTTTCTCAAATTGCTGAAATTGGACCAGTCATTGTATGAGACAAAAACAAAAACGAAACACAACACAACAGAAAAGATGAATAAGGCATGACTTCACCTGACCTCAAGGAATTCACAAATTTAGGAGGGCAGAAAGAAATATAGATGCCCCAAATCACTGTATAGTTTTAATAAGATGAATTAAAAACATCCTATGAATGTACCAAAAAGAAGTGATTTAATACTAAATAATAGACCTGGTGAATTATTGAAACCGAAAAAAGTTTTCTGAAAAAGTAAAGGTAGCCCTGATTTTTAAAGGAAGAACTTTTTTTTTTTTTTCTGGAAACTTTGAAAGAACAGAAACACATCAGGCACATGAGCACTCCAGGGGAACGCATGAGCATAGTCCTGTGGTAGAGGGTTTTGTCTGTGTGTGTTTGTAGGAGCAGAAGTAGAAAGTCGTAGTTTACTATTAATATTTCTTGTCCATAGAGCTCAGTAATTAGGAAGTGGCAGAAAACAAAGCTGAAAACGAGATAGGGGACAGTTCACAGATGTTCTTGAATTCATGGCTATTTTTTATTTTATCCTATGGGCACCTGCAAAGAGGACAATTCTGGCAGCAATAGAGAAGCTAATTTTGAGCACCACAAAACAAGCACAGAGAGCAATAGATGAGAGCTGTATCAAGAGCAATAGCAATAAGAATGGAGAGGATGGGGCAATTTGAGAAAGCTCTGAAGGACTATAGTTGATAAGATATGGGAACTAAAAAAGAATAAGAGAATACAAGATAACTTTCAGGTGACTGGATCAGGCTGCTAACTGATGAAACAGACAAAAATAATAATAATGAAAAAAAGATGTTTAAAATATGGAAATTGCAAGTTCAATTTTGAACATATGAAGTTTTCTGGAAGAGGTTTTCAGCAGTCAACTCAGAAAAATGGTATAAGCTACAGGCATATCTATGTAGATCAGTTTATGAGTAAAATCGTATGCTAGATATGTTAAATCTATAAAAAGTGGATAAACTTTCATGTTGGGCAGATCCTAGAGAAATAAGCACTTTTTGGAAGATAAGACATACCCTTTTAATAAGGGATGAATAATCAGAAAAAAATATGAGTAGAATTAGAGGATGAAAGGTTGCAGAGAGCAAGGGAAATTTTTAAATAGAATGGCATGATCAAAATATCTCATGAAACAGAAAGGTACAGTAATGCAGGAATGGAAAATTGTTTAACAATCAGAAGCTCAATATTAGTGTAAGTGAGAGCTGTTTAAATAAAGGTGTGAGAGGAGAAGGCAGGTTACATGTTATCCCTAGAAAACTGTAAATGCCTCCTACTGAAATTTAGTGTCTGCTTTATATTTGCCTTATTTATAACATTTAGAGCCCTCAATTTGCTCTTGACTATTGACATATTCTATCTATTACAGCAAATATGGCCTCCTCTTTTTCTCTGTAGGAAATAATAGGTTATATTGGGTGTCAACAACTGTGAGAGCTCTGAGTTTTTACCACACTGTAAGCTAGCAAGTTAGTCTGCCTCAATTATTTGGAAAATTGAAGAATATATATCACTCTCCATGGTCAGAGAAAAAGGACTGCATTATTCTCACAGCAAGAGAAGTGGTCAGAGTATCAGCACTTTTAGAGAGTTTCCCCAAGCCTCAGTAAGATGCATGATAGGAAAAGACACACAAGCTTAGGGGCCCACATATTTTATAATGGGTAGTAAGCCTGCCTGACCCTAGCTCTAGGGGAGATATTATATTTATTACATTGGATAGTAAGTAAACTCGTCCTTTGTTTTGAAGAGAGACACTATCTCTGTATGTCAAGGCTGCTTGTTATAAAATCATCCTTAGAAAGATAGTCTGGAACAAAGGCAACAAGTGTCTCTGCTCACAAGTTTGGAGATGTAACCGACAATGAAGAATTTTTGTTCAACAATATCTACTTCTTGTATCTACACTGTCTTGTTTTATGGTGAATATTTCCATAAATATGCCACTTCATTGGCCACTCAATCTGACCAACGAAATCTGAAACAAATCCACTTATGTTTCCTTATACAGTAGATAATTAAGGCTACTATCAACAGAATTTCAAGGAGCAACAGAAAGTCATTCTGAAGTATTGACCTCACCATGCCTCCAGGTTCCTGAATACAAATGTCAACTTTTGAACAAATGATTTAAACTTTTAAAATCTACCTTAGAAAGCCAGGCGGATTTCTCCAAAAGGTCTAGTATTAACCTTTATCTTCGCCTGAGGCTTTTGTTTAGGTACTGCATGATGTATCATGATGTATTATAGACTTACACATTGCACATTGTCCCACAAGGAGAAAGCCTAAGGTGATTCTATTATCCAGAACTAACTTATCCAATGAGTTGAGAATGATCTGAATGCCTCTCATGGCTGAAATGATTAGCTGATTATTTCAGCTAAAGTCAGAAACAATTCAAGATTTCACAAAGCATTTGGTTGTCATGTCTTCTTAGACTCCCTGAATAAGTAACCATTCCTCAGTCTTTCCTTGCTTATTACAGACTTGAAACTTTTTAAAGAGTACTATCCAGTTATTTTAGAGTTTCTGTCAATTTTTAGTTTGACAATATTTTCATAACTATATGGAAGTCATGCATTATTGGGTAGAATACCACAAAAGTAATGAGTCTTTCTCAGTGCATGAGGCCAAAGGGAAATGATGCTAAGTCATTTTCTGGATAATGCAAACTTTGATCACTCAGTTGAGATGTTGAGTGTCAGCTTTCTCCATCATATTGTAACTACTATTCTCTTGGTAATTGTATTAGTCCATTTTCATGCTGCTGATAAAGACATACCCAAGACTGGGCTTCTTACAAAAGAAAAAGGTTTAATGGACTCACAGTTCCACAGGGCTGGGGAGGCATCACTATTATGGTGGAAGGTGAAAATACATCTCACATGGTGGCAGACAAGAGGAGAGAGCTTGTGTAGGGAAATGCCCCTTTATAAAACCATTGGATCTTGTGAGACCAATTCACTATCATGAGAACAGCATGGGAAAGACCCACCCCCATGATCAATTAACTTCCACCAGGTTCCTCCCACAGCATATGGGAATTGTGGGACCTACAGTTCAAGATGAGATTTGGGTGGGAACACAGCCAAACCATATCAGTAATTTAAAAATATCTATTTGGGTGGAGATGTTTTGAGAAGATGCACATATTCCCTTTTTTCTCTAACTTATGCTCACTGTTTTATTGCACAATGTTGATTCTTGCCTGCAGGAAATATTGCTATAGAGTTCTAATGGTGATTTTATATTCCCTTTATTCTTTATATATTTATTAATTGGAATTATTTTCTAAAAATTGTGCCTTCTCTTCATTTATATTATTCATTTATTATTTCTACCAGTATGGAGTCATGGAAATTTATTTTATTATCTGGGTAATAATCTAACACTATCTATTATTAATTCTAAGGTTGGTAAAATTGTTTCAGATATGGGGAGTACTTTAGATTAGCTCTTGTGCTCTTTTAAGAGGCACCAATACATTTTCCTTTCCTTCTACCCTTTGTTTCCCCATTGGTACCCTCCTATCCTCAGCCATAAAATTTGATAGCACCAAACTTGCCCCCATCCGCTACGTGAATTAAGCTAATCAAATAATGTAACTCCTTGGTAGTAGTTTTTGGTTGAGGGATGAGAACTTAACCCAACTTTTTCCAATTCAAAGGAATGAAATGCAGAACTTCTACTTTATCTCTCAAAAGATACCCTCTATCTTCCCTTAGAAGATATAATGTTAATATATGATGTGTCAGAACAGTAAATATACTTATCTAATCACAAAGGAACATTTTAGCCACACTAAGTGGGGAAACAGTCACTCTGTTAAGCCTGATGATTTAATTGAAATATCAAAATGCAAAATATTTATGTGTGGGACTGAGGGAGCCCATGATGAGATCTATGTCTTCTCCAAAGTCAATGAATGTATTTTATAGTTGGGCCACATTGGAATTAATGCTTCTGTGTCCCTTTTAACTAAATCATTATTTCCTTAAATCAAGCAATATATCGATCCACCTGTTGAGTTACCATTCAGATGACTAGTGACTAGAAAGAATGCACTGACACTAGGACATGTTTTCATACTACATATCTTGCAGGCAATTTTTCAGCTCTTAATATCTTCCAGTTTTAATCATCATTATATCATTTCATTACATTTCTCCCCTAGCCATACAATTAAATAGCAGAAATGTTTTCTGTTGTTGTTATTTCCCTACCCCATGATCCATTCTCATGCTATGGCTGATCAATAGATGATCTTTAGAGTAAACTCCAATAGCGATGTGTTATATGTTCCTTTTATCAAGGAGCAAAATTATATATATATATACACATACATACACAAGAATAGACAATGGGTAACAAGAGATAAGTCTGAATTGAATCTGTCTTCTGGTTTATCTTTGAGCATGTTCCGATCGCAGTCCTCAATTCTACCCATTGCCAGGCCTTCAGTTAATCAAATGAGGCAGTAAGAAATAGGTGACATAAAGCATTACTCCTCCATCTGTTTAGTCATATGGATGGCAAAAAGCTTATTACTCTGAGGACTTAAATGATTCCTCATTCTTTGAAAGCTGATTGACCATCATATATTGACTCATCTCCATAAAAAACTATGTTCATTCCAGAGGCTGCACCCACTCACTCATCTCTACCCTTTCCCATTTTATAACTTTGCATTGCTTATTTGCATTGAAAGGGACTGAAAAATCCCAAGTCATCATTCTTGCTAACCTCTAGATTCCTATTAGGCATAATCATCTTGCCTTTCAGGGCTTTAATAAATAAGAAGGTAACCAAATGTACAACATTATGACTCCTATTACTGCTGTCTACGCAGGTTTGCCCTGTCTTCCTCAAGCTTTCCTGTCATTGTGATATGGAGGATATAGTGGCAAAGAACTGAAAATATATAAAAGCAAGACTAACATTGTCATAAAGAGAATGAGAACAGCAGATAAACATCTGTGAACCAAAACCCAACCCCTAAAAAATAATCCACAGTATGCCAGGACTTTCTACTAGGAGAACCTGGGAAATTCTAGGCACCTAAAGGGTAGCCTAAGAGAAGACCGTGGTCCTTCATACCTTTTACCAGCAGCATTCCCCAAATACTTTACTGCCTATTCACCTCATAAAAGAAACTACAGCAAATATCATTTTCAGTTTAATTCCTCTAGACAACATTCACCACGCTTCTTGCAAAGTGTTTAGCTTTGATTCAATTTTCAGCTGCTCTGGATTCTTGACTCTGTGATGACCTTGAACTCAGAGGTTTTTAGGTCCTCTATCCAAGTTAAGTGTTTGAAATAATGGTTCGATAACATCAAGATACATTTTTAAGTTGATCTATCTGTTTTATCTTATAACAAAGCAAAATTTTTGACAACTTAGAGTATGAGAAACATCATAATGGCAATGATAACATTTTATGTGCCTGCAAATTGAGAATAATACTAAATTTCACAGAACATTTTGGCATAGATTTTCATCAAATGACATAACTTCATTTTTTCCTACAACTAATTAGGATGACAAATGAGATCTTTGTTTTGTAATGTAATTATCATAATCAGGAGGTGACAGAGTGGTAGTTTTTTGTTTGTTCTAGTCTCAAAACATTTCAAACTAATGTAAGTATAGCAGCACATGTGTCCAGAATGATTTGACATGCTCCCTAGCTTTAATGGGTGTGAAATCTATTTCAGTAAAATTTCATTTAGCATAGGTTCTGACAAACCATGATCTTTTTTCCCATGTGCATATGAAAAGTATGACTCCATTTTCTCTATTATGATTTATAAGAAGTAGAAATAGCACTTCAATTATTACTGCAACACTGATTCAGCATATCATTCCCATCAATGATGATTTGATTACAGCAGATACCTTGTAGTCACACACATAGGAAACTACATAAATATCTTCATCAGAAGAGAATGATATTCTGGTTAGGTCATTTCAGCTTTTTAAAATTCAAATAATGTTCCCCGAAAACATTATATAATAAGAACCTGAGTTAAAGACATTTTAAAATTAATTTTATTACTTCTGTGTTTTACTTTATTTTATTTTATTTTTTGAGACGGAGTCTCGCTCTGTCGCCCAGGCTGGAGTGTAGTGGCGCGATCTCAGCTCACCGCAACCTCCACCTCCCAGGTTCAAGCAATTCTCCTGCCTCAGCCTCCCAAATAGCTGGGACTACAGGCACGCGCCACCACACCCAGCTAATTTTTGTATTTTCAGTAGAGACGGGGTTTCACCATGTTGGCCAGGATGGTCTGGATCTCTTGACCTCGTGATCCACCCACCTCAGCCTCCCAAAGTCCTGGGATTACAGGCGTGAGCCACCACGCCCGGCCTAGGACAGGATACAATTTTACCAAGGTCTGTAAGTTAAAACTTAATGTAAAAATCAGTAATGTAAATTTAACCTTTTAAACTGAACAAGTAAGTGGCATTTCGTACAATAATAATATCGTACTGTTGTAGAACCACCTCTATCTAGTTCCAAAATGTGTTCATCACTCCAAAATAAAACCCTGTATTTATTATAAAGTCACTCCCTGTTTTCCCTTCCTCTATTACCTGGCAACTCCCAATCTGTGTTTTGTCTTTATGGATGTATCTATTCTGGATATTTTATGTAAACAGAATCATAGAAAATGTCATCTCTAATGTCTGGTTTGTTTCATTTAGCATAGTAATTTTAAGGGATATCCACATTTTAGTATGTATCACTGTCATTCCTTTTTATGGGTAAATAATGTTCTGTTGTGTGTATGTACCACAATTTGTTTATCCTTTCATCCATTCATGGACGTTTGTGTTGTTTCCACTTTTGTCAGTTTTCAATAGTGCTGCTATGAACATTCATATTCAAGATTCTGTTTGAATATCTGTTTTCAATTATTTTGTGTGTGTACCTAGTCATGGAATTGCTGGGAACATGGTAGTTTTTTGAGGAATCACCAAATTATTTTCCACAGAGGCTGACCTATTTTACATTCCCACTAACAATGATCAGCATTCCAATTTCTTCTCCACATTCCTGCCTAGACTTGTTAGTTTCCAGTGGGTGGGAAATGGTATTTCACTGTACTTTTGGTTTGCAGTTGCCTAATGACTAATGATGCAGAGCATCTTTTCATGAGTTCATTGAACATTTGCATATCTTTAAAGATGTGTCTGTCTAAGTCCTTACCTATTTTAAAATTGGCTTGTCATTTTGTTGTTGATAAGTGTCCTTTTTAGATTCTGAATACTAGACCACTCTCAGGTATATAATTTCCAATATTTTCTCACATTCGGTAGGTTGTCTTTTCATTTTGTTAATAATGTCCATTGATGCACTTTTTTATTTTGATGAATTCTAATCTATCGTTTTCCTTTGTTATTCATGCTTTTGATGCCCTTTGTAAGAATCCATTGTCAAAGCAAGATCACAAGGATTTTCTGTTTTCTTCTGAGAATTTTATCGTTTACACTTATATTTAGGTTGTTGATTAAATTTTAGTTGACTTTTTATATGTTGTGCAAGATAAGTGTCTTCTTCCAGTCTTTGCAGATTGGCCTTGTGCCAAGACACATCTCCAACACCTAACAGTGGTTACACTGAAACTAGAGGTCAGTCAGTAGTGAAAACTCAAGTCTTCTCAAGTCTTATCTGTGCATGTGACTTGTCCTAGGTATATGTGCTGTCTTTCTAAATTTCCCTATACACATAGCTGTATTTGATGGTCCAAATTCCTGGAAGGTATTTTATGCAGCTTTTGCTCCCAGAATTTAGGCAGTCTATCATACACTTTGACTGTATGTTTTGAAAACTTGAATAACAAAAAAGACTTTCTAGAAAAATATCAATTACTTTTAAAAATGACACTAAAAGAGATAGAAAATGTAGGCAAATAATTCTCATGCAAAATGTTGATTATTAATTCACCCAATTTAGCTATCTGAAGAATTATTTGCGGAAGGAATCACAGAAGAATATTATAAGTTAATTTAAACACAGATTGCATCAATTCTAAATTCCTAATTGCAGAATTTAATGGAAATAAGAAAGCCACGCCGGGCGCGGTAACTCATGTCTGTAATCCCAGCACTTTGGGAGGCTGAGGCCGGTGGATCACCTGAGGTCAGGAATTTGAGATCAGTCAGACCAACATGGTGAAACCTGGTGTCTACTAAAAATACAAAATTAGCTGGGGGTGGTGGCGCATGCCTATAATCCCAGCTGCTTGGGAAGCTGAGACTGGAGAATTGCTTAAACCCGGGAGGCAGAGGTTGCAGTGAACTGAGATTGTGCCATCGCACTGCAGCCTGGACTACAAGAGCAAAACTCAATCTCAAACAAAGAAAAGAAAAGAGAGGAGAGGGGAGGGGAGGGGAGGAGAGGGGAGGGGAGGGGAGGGGAGGAGAGGAGAGGGGAGGGAAGGGGAGGGGAGGGGAGGGGGAGAGGAAAGAGCCATAATAGATATGAAACCAACGCCACAATATTGATTCCCTAATTCAAGTAAGGAGTACAAAATAAGGGCAGCTGCATACCAACTCACTTTAGCTATCAATACAAAAATATAAGTTACATCACAGAAAATAGATTCATTCCGGTTATACTAAGCAAGGTTAATATAACAATAAGTAGCATTCAAACATATTTTATACTCATGTACATGACTGAATATATTAATAGGTCAAAAAAAAGGCTCTTTAACAAATACCAGAGAAACAGAAATAGCCTTTAATAAAGTTCAGCATCGACTACTTGCAAATACTTTTACAAAGAATACTAGATTTATATATGCATGTGTACTTATATATATACACAAACACAAACATACATATGTAAAAATTTATATATGTGTGAGTGCTTTTATATATCTATAATCAAATTATGTATATTATATATAATCAAACTAAAGGTTTTATTCAAATAATAAGCAATAAAATTCAACACAAATTACTTCCAAAACTTTAACTACAATAGTGTGACATGCACATATGTATGTACATAAAGTATATTTATATAAGATGCATATGTTATTATATAATCCTATCTATCCTCATGAAAAGTTATAACAAAATGGTAATAAATTTATTCCTTCTTGTTAAATTCATGCAATAGTAGAAACAGCTAAAATTTATGTCAGTTGGTTAAAAATTAATATGCAAAACTCAATAGGTTACTTATATACAATGATTAAAAAAGCTTAGAAATGTACTTAACAATAAATATGTAGATAGCCCCTTTATGAGAAAATTATTTAAATTTTACATCAATCATGTACATATGCAGACTCATACTGTCTTAAAATGGTTCAACATTGTGAAGATGCAAATTTGACACAAATTCACATATAGATTTAATACAATTGCAATAAAAATATGCACAAGTTTTTATCTGTTTTGTTTTGGTATCCCATAAGTTGTTTTTTAATTTCTAAGTAAACAACAATAAACAAGCAAAAATACTAGGAAAAAACCTTTAAAGAGAATAATTATAGAAAGAAGTAGCCTTGCCTTTATGAAAATATACTGTTAGACTACAGTAAAATAAAGTGATTAGTACTGGAATATAAAGACATTAACGAAGCAGGTTAGATAGCCTAAATATAGATAGAGATACATACAACAATTTATGGCATATGAATATGGCATATCTTTTCAGAGACAAATAATGTTTTGACAGATTAACATAATCTTGGAAAGAAGGGAAGGAAGGAAAAATAAAGAGAAAGAAAGAAAGAAAGAAAGAAAAAGAAAGAAAGAAAGAAAGAAAGAAAGAAAGAAAGAAAGAAAGAAAGAAAGCAAGGAAGGAAGGAAGGAAGGAAGAAAGAAAGAAAGAACCAGACCTAACAACGAAATAAATTCCAAATATACCAACATTTTAGTATATGCACAGAAAAATTGTGTGGGTCCTAGAAAATAGGTCCAACCTTAATTGTTATGCTTTTCTTTCTAAAATGTCATAATTACAATATATGTTAGGCAATATTTTGCAGAAAACTACAAAATTATTAGAGAAAATTTGATAACTAGAGTAAGTTTAACATGTCCACATAACAAGAGTTAAACAGAAAAAAGTCGAAGCCATAAAATAAATCAAAACATCATAATTCATGAGACAAACAATAACAGAAACATGAAACAAACAATGGGCATAATAAACACAAGGAAAAATATAAATGGGCTGTATATGTATAGAAGAAGCTTTAGCCTGGTTCATAATGAAAGAGATGCAGACCCAAATAACAATGGCAAATCATTGTTCAGCTATTACAGATGTTTTTGGTGTCCACAATAGAGTCCCTGTTCATAAAATCTTGGTGTGCATTTAAAAATTAGTGCAAATTATTTTTAATTTTTTTAACTTTTATATTAAGTTCATGGGCACATGTGTAGGTTTGTTACATAGGTAAACTTGTGTTATAGAGATTATTTTATTACGCAGGTATTAAGCCTAGTACCCATGATTTATTTTTGTTGCTTTTTCCTGATCCTCTTCCTCCTGCCACCCTCCACTCTCCCATAGGCCCCAGTGTGTGTTGTTTCCTTCTATGTTATCAAGTCAATTTAACGTCACTCAGCATTTAAAATTTCTTCCTATGTTATCAAGTCAATTTATTAACATCACTCAGCATTTAAAATACATGTATGCGTTTAACCAATTCCACTGCCACAGCCATGGGATATACTAGCAAAAGCATTGAAGACATGATGTTAATAGTTGCAAAATCCCTGAAATTATAGCCACTTACGTAGTAGAGAGAATAACTCAAATAAACAACTACATAGTTGTTAATAAGAATGAGATCTGTGGAAGATACTCAAGTGAGTTCCATATTACTAACAATATGAAACTTGGCTCATCTTCCAAAATAGTAAATGCTGTTGACTGTCTCACCTCACTTTCCCTTAAATTCCTTTTTAAAATTCAGGGAGAGAAAGACCGAGTGTGATTTTCTTGGACCACTCTTTAATTCACCAAAATAAGGAGGGAAAAGAAAGAAATTCACAGCAAATTAAAGTATTTCCTGCTGCTTCCCCAATGACAGTCTTAATTTTCTCATTCTCTTGAGAAAGAAAAACTCTAGTTTTATCACTGCCAGGTGTTTGGATTTTATTGGAAGTATCATTTGAACTAATTGTTTTCTCTCATTGAAATTTCTAGATGTGCCAGATTCAAACTTATCCAGACCCACAAAACAGGTGTTGAGATTTTGGAGTAACAGCAGGAACTTTCTTGGGCTCGTTAAAAGAGGGCCTTAATTACAATAGCTATTTACACTTATGGTCCCTCAAGAGTAGAACCTGTTCTCCCTTTTTTGGGAACTGATTGGTGTATTCCAGCATACTGCTTAGGAGACCAGGGCACAGTGAAATCTTCATTCAGATGAGTGCAAGTAAGGCTTATTTAAGTTGCCTATTGCCTTTAGTCATTCCATTAATAAATACAGAGGTAAAAAGTCTTCAAAACATGGAAGAAAACATACATCAGAGTAAGCCATCTTCTGGAAAAACATTCTTAAACTCATTTGTTTACAAGAAAAAAAGCAAAACTAGACAAGTAGGAGTTAATGATATCAATAGTAAAGGGCACATTGATGTTTTTTTCTAGCAAGTTGACAGTCAAAATATGGTGCCTGGAACAGGAACATTAAGATCACCTGGGAGCATTAAGAAACATAGAATCTCAGGCCCAAATCTGAATTATCTAAACCAGAATCTACATTTTATGAAGACCACCAGGTTATTCTATGCATCTTAAGGGCCAAGAAGGATATAGCGTTCATTCAGCTTTCATTATTACTTTACTTAAGACAAGTGAGGAAAGGATTTCTATATTAAAAAAAAAGCATGTTAGGACATTTGGTAGGATAAGAAAAAGTGACTGGGATGGGACAAAAACAGGGCTTGGAGATGTTTCCAATATTCAATTGATTGACTTGGGTGGTTCACACAGATGTTTTATTTGTGATAATCCACTAAAATATACATGTATGCCCAGTTAAAGTATTATTGTGTAGTTTGTACTAATTTAAAATGGTGGCATTGGAAGTTAAATAATAAATTTTAAAAGAAACAAAAAATTGTATGTTATACTATCAGAACCATAACAACTTTTATTGCTATGTTTTGATACCAGGTTGATAGGTGCAGCCAACACCATGGCACAAGTGTGCCTTTGTAACAAACCTGCATATTCAGCACATATATCACAGAACTTAAACTAAAATTTTTAAAAAATAGTTGGAAATTTAAAGTACAGTCTTGCATCACATAATGTTTTGGTCAATGACAGATCACATACAGACAATGGTCCCATGAGATTATGATGAAGCTAAAAAGTTTCTATCATCTAGTGATATTTTAACCAAGGCAACGTCCTAGTGCTAGGCATTACCTTTTCTGTATTTAGATACACAGATATCATTTTGTTACAGTTGCCTACGGTATTCAGTTACAGTAAAATGCTTTAACCACTTGAAGCCAAGAAGCAATAGGATATACCATATAGCCTATGTGTGTACTAGGCCACACCATTTAGGTTTGTGGAAAGAAACTCTATGATGTTTGCTGAGTGACAAAATCACCTAAAGACATATTTCTCCGAATGTGTCTTCGTTGTTAAGCAACGCATGACTGTATATGACGTGACATGTCACAATATCAGAAGGTAAGAAACACTATAGAACAGTAAGAATAGTAGAAAGAAGTGGTAGATGCTAGAAGTATTTTTCACGCCCTAGCAGAGCACCCAGAGAAAAACTTTCTAATCTCAGGACTATAGTATTTGTATTAAAAATATAGAGTTTTAAAATTTTAGAAAAAACACTTATTTTCCAAAGACATGTATTTTTCTCTTACGAAGAAAGGTCCTCCAAGACAATTAGCAAATCAGAATTTGGACCTCAGTCACAACAAATTACAACATTTATAAATGAAATGAATTAATATTTATGCCATATGGTAGTGCTTACATAAAAACCTAAAATGTCAGCGATATAGTATACAAAAATATTTTAAAATGTAGAAATATGTGCCAGCCTTATTAGGTATTAAGAAAAAAGAGAGCTGTTTTGAATCTTTTTCTTAGTAATAAAGTCATTTTGATTAAATAAAATATTGTTTGCTCCTCTGGTTAAGCATTTAGTAAGATCATAATATCCTAAAATTAATTTCTGCAGATTTTGAATGTTTTGTGTGCATAATGAACTCAGACAATTTTTTTCTTTTTTAGAAGAAACGTATAAATAAGTCAAGAGTATCAGCATTAAATACACTGTGAGGATAGCATTACTACCTGTGAGACAAAGGATGGTTTCTGAAATATCAATGTAACATTTAGGTTTTGAAAGAGGCAATGTTTCAAATGTTGATATGCTACCCATAAAGACAAGAGATATTCTATCCCAAGATTAATTTATACAGAACAGTTATGGGTTTGTGTCATCTGAGCTCAAAAATCTTAAAAAGGAATAAAAATCAAATAATTAAAATAGATTGTCTTACACTGTGTCTCAATTTTTTTAGGGAGGAATGTGTCATTATTCTGACACAAATAAAATTTATTTCCATTGCCTTCTTGACAAACATATATTTGCTCTGCCAAAGCCTTTTTTGTCTACAAAACTATTTTCATTACTAGTTTAAGTCATCAGCCTTAATAAATTTCAATTTTAGATATCTGTTTCATGTTAATCTTCTATATCTTAACTTTGAGAACTTCTATCAACAAGTTTTCCTGTAATTCTTTTAAATGATTAGTTTCACCATTATTTATTGCCATAAAAAATTAAATGGAAGGAGAATTAAATATATTAAATGAACTCTAGTATTTTTATGTGATTCTGAACTTAAAGTGAAATATTTGTCTTTAGTCATACAGCTAAGTAGCAAGGTTTGAATCAGAAAAATTATATGTCGATAACTTATTCACCCATTGGTTAAGTTGAGCCAAGTAAGGTATTACAATTTACTTAAGTCTCACTCTTTTTCAAACTGTCTGAGTAACTATAATTCTGGTGTTACGATGACAGTTGAATGTCATCAGACAATATGAATTTTTGACAAATCCAGAAGACAGCAAATAATCCATTATTTACAAATCATCTTCTCATTGTTGATCAGAAAGACATTGTTTCTTTAAATCAAATCTATCCAAAAACTCAATTCACATAAGCCCTCTGCATTTTACACAAAAATATACACCAAAAATAAAATAGTTAAGAGTAGATCTTAAGTGCTAATTCAATTAGGGAAACAACATCTACAGCTACTTTTATGACAGAAATTATTCCATGTACTAAAATGCTGAGAAAGGTAGGAAAATGCCCCTGACTTCAGGAGCTTACATTTTAATCAATGAATCAGCTATTTTTGCAGAAGAAAAAAAAAACAAAGTCAATGATATGAATGAACCTCACTAAAATAAAGTAAATGAATGTTCAGGCACCACATTCAGAATACACCGAATCCTAAGGGTAGGAGGGAACCCTGCATTAAGCAATGCCTTTTATTTATTATTGTTCTGGTTTAAGAGCCTATTACCAAGATAATCAAGTTAGGCTTAAAATGGGAGATTATTTTTGTTTAATTTTTTCTCTCTCTTTAAAAAAATAAATTTTATATTAAGCACCTCTACTGCTATCTTCTTAAAGGCTCTGTCAACTCCAAATATCCTGATTATGTATGTCTTATTAAATAGGGTCCTATTAATCAGAGAAGATAAAAAGATTTTACTGAAAGGGGAAGTACTACATTATTGATTAGTGTAAAAATCCTTCATTCTTAACAGAAAGTCGTCAACATAATTTAGAGACTATTTGGTGGAATATTCAGAGTTTGTCACATCACAAATTCAATTAAGTAGTGAAAGTTAATTTCTTAGAATGAGATTTTGAAAAGAACTGCCTCTTTATATTATGGAACACAATAAAAGAGTAACTCGGCTTTATCACCACAAAAATATTAAGATGTTTATGCCAATATCCATTTTGTTTGAGCATATTCATTTTGGAAGAAATAATGTATTCACTGGCCTGAACAGTATTTTTTTGTTCTAAATGAATTTTGTAAAAGGAACATGTCTAAGGGTATTGGGGAATATGAATTTCTTCTTGTAAAAATTTAAATACAATTAAACTACTAATAAATGATTTGAGCTATGATTTTAAACTTTTGTAAACATTTAATTATTAACTACAATATATTAGTGAAGAATTAATGACTGCAGCTCTGTCAGTCCTAATGTATAGAATACTAATATAGAGGGCTGAATATTTTATATGACTATGAACACTACTGTGTAATGAATACAGAACACAGAGACACACATATGCACACTAGAACCACACACATATATATACACATACACTGCACACATTTTCCAATCTTCAAATACCAAATGTCACTGAACCAACACAAATCCCAGGGGAACATGAAATAAGATGAACAGCTTAGGTAACAGGTGTTTCCTTGAAATATCCTATTTAAATTTCTGAACCTGGTAATTCCTTTACAATCATTCATTTGGTCTCCTGGAATTATAATTTCCAAATGTTTTAGAGCTTTGCATAAATCTCATACTTCACAGCGCTTTTTTTTTTTTTTTTTTTAAGGACCCAGCTGGTTGGTTACATACAGGGACTCTTTTTTCCCAACTACTTGCTGTGGAACTCTTTATATTGGCTACTGCTTGTAATTGTCCTGTAGGATTCCAGATCATACAGCTTATTTAATTAAAAAAAAAGATTTAAAGTGGTTAAGATGTGTGTTTGTGTTTTATAAAAGGGAAATAGCACAAACATTGTACAAAAAAATCCCTGTATAATTCTGCACCAAGGCTTAAAAGCAACTCAATTCTACCTCAGTTTTCTTCCTCCTTCTTTTTCCTTTTTCTTACTCTCTTCCTGTTCTTCTTCATCTTCTTCATCCTCTTCATCTTGGTTTTCTTATTCTTTTTCTGACTGTAGTAAAATAATCCAATAAAATGCTTCAAAATAAAAGGAAATTGTGTAGACTGGCTCACTAGAACGATCTTTCAGTTCTGCTGGGGCTAGAAAAACATGGTATTTCTAAAGCCAGTAAGTGTAAAATCATAACATTTGAACAATGAAAATAAGCAAAAAAAAAAAAAAAAATCAGTCTGCTGTACGGATTTACTTTCCCATTTTCCAAACATGTATTTGTTTTGTATAGATATATCTCTTACCAGAGTGAATATAGACAAGAATATAGACAAGAATATCAATATTCAGCATAAGAGAGAACATAATAATATATCCATAACCAGGAAAATGTGGTAATTATCTATTGCTTATAAAAAAAATCTCAAAACTTAGTGACTAACAACAGTTATTTTTCCACATATTTTGGGTCAGGAATTCTGGAGTAGCTTTAGTTGGTGGTTCTAGCTAAGAGTCTCACTGTAACTCTAATCAAGGTGTCAGCCAGGGTTGCAGTCAGTTCATGAGTCAACTGAGAGAGAATCCACTATGAAGCTTGTTTACATTCAGATCTCAAGCTCTTTCTGGTTGCTGATTGGAAACACTAGTTCCTGTTCACACTGACCTCTCCACTAGGCTGCTTGCAAGATAGTAGCTTGCTTGTCCCAGAACTATTGATCCAAGATGGAAACACACAGCCTCCCCAAGTTGAATAACCTTGCTGTTTTTGCCACCTAATTTATAAACAATTGTGCTATCTCTTCTATAATACTCTATTCATTATGAGCCAGTACGTCCAACTGGAATACCAGAAGGCTGGGGTAATTACAAGAACGACTTAAGAGGAGCATAATACAAAACAAAAAGAAAGATAGCAGTCGTTATAACGTATTGGGGTTTTTCAATTGTATTATTCAGAGTTTTTCCAGAAACAGCACCAATAAGATAGATAGATGATGATAGATAGATAGATAGACAGATAAATAGATGATAGATCAATAAATGGATGGATAGACAGATAAATGAATGGATAGATTGATGATAGATAATAGAGACATAAATATAGGGATATCTAAATAAGAAGTTTTATTATGAGGGATTGGCTCATGCAATTATAGAGGATGAGAAGTCTTATGATCTACCATCTGCAAGCTGGGGTCCCAGGAGAGTCAGTGGTGTATTGCCAATCTAAGTCCAATATCGTGAGAACCAAGGTACCCAGTAAGTCACGGTTCAATTTGAAGCCTGAAGGCCTGAGGAACAAGAGCACTGATGAACAAAAGTAGAAGAGAATAAATGTTCCATCTCAAGAAAAGAGAGCTTCTTCCTCTAACTTTTGGTTCTGTTCTGACCCTCAATACATTGGGTGGTGCCTATCCACAAGGAGAGGGTGCTCTTCTTTACTCAGTCTACTGATTAAAATGCTAATTTCTTCTGGAGATATCCTCATGGACACATAAAAATAATGTTGTACCACATATTATCCCAGTCAAGTGGCACCTAAAATTAACCATTCCAACCATGCTCTATAAATTTTTCAGGTGCTTTATGTGTATTAATCCATTTAATTCTCCCAATAAACTTTGTATCTGTGATTATGTAGCCTCTTTTTACAATGAGAAAAGTTAAAACGACTATAAAACCAAATAAATTATATAAAACAGCAATAAAAAAATAAGCAATACAGGGAAACTTTCGGGGAACAGGAAGTTAGTTACACATTGACTTTGGACTTTTCAAAAGAATATAATCCAAATCCTTTCACAAGAAAATAGAACAAAAGAAGTGGAGAAAGTATATTGCTTTGCCAAGGAGAAAATTGTCAGGTTTAAGGCTGGTTGTGAGAGGCAAAACCAAAAAGGAAGACACTGCAGAGAAGGAGCCCCAAAATCTAAGTAAACATTTCTATAAGTTATTGGCTAATTTCTTAACTATGCAACCCTGAAGGGTGAGACTACAAGAAACTCAAGAAGAAAAACGAGAGCTATTATCCTTCATATAAAAAGAGAATTTCTATTATAAGAAAATATCATCTTCTACAGCAACTGCAATTTTTCATGTTCAGAAAAAAAACCAAATGACTTAAGACCAATAGAAAAAGGAGGCATTAGAAACAAATTCACAGATAGTTCATATTTTAAATCTATAGATAGTTCATATTTTAAATCTATTTGGCAGGGACATTAAAATATTGTTATTTATATACATAAACATAAATTGTATATAAATTAATAAAGTATATACAATGTAATGTACTTAAAATATTAAGATTATTATTTTAATATAAACATGATTATTCAAATAATGGCAAGATGGAAAATCAAAAAAACAAAGAACAGAAGAAACATAGAAATCAAATAACAAAATTAAATTTAATAAGTCTAT
Source organism: Homo sapiens (assembly GCF_000001405.40). NCBI lineage: Eukaryota > Metazoa > Chordata > Mammalia > Primates > Hominidae > Homo > Homo sapiens. Next base: position 194,380,541 of record NC_000001.11, read on the forward strand.
ATTTATAATCATTTTAAATGAAAATAGCGTAACACAGAAATTAAAAGCAAATGAGCAAAAAATATATAAAATGTGATTGTATACTAAAAAGACACCTTTGACTATTTGAAGGTAAGAATTATTAGAATCAAAAAGTAATAATTATAAATTAATGTGAGGAATAATAAAATAAATATATTTCATATATTAAGAGGACCAATAAAATAAAATAATACAATAAAAGAAATAATAAAGTAATTGAATAATCAATTCAAGAGGAACAAATGTATAATCTCAAGCATGTATGCAACTAGTAACATAGCTGCAATATAAGTTAAGAAAATCCCACACAATGAAAGGGAGAAATACACCCACTGTCAATAATCTAGAAGGTTTTTAACACCTTTATCCTGCCTTACAGAACAAACAAACAACCAAAACAAAATCAGTAAGATACTACAATAATTAACCATATTTGGATACTGAGTTAAATTGTGTATATAAAATACTACACCAAAAGACCACAGAGTGCATATTTACTAAAGGAATTTCAAAATACAGATAGAAGTCTTAACAACAGACTAGATCAAGAAGAGGGAAAAATTTTCAGAGCTCAAAGACTTTGAACCAACCCAGTCAGAAAAAAAGAAAAAAAGAATTTAAAACAATAAACAAACACTCTAAGAAATATGGTTATGTATGGTGACCAAACCTATGATTCATTGACATTCCTGAGAGACAAGAAGAGAGAATAAGTAACTTGGAAAACATGTTTGAGGAGATATCCATGAGAATTTCCCCTATGACACTAGAGAGGTCAACATACAAACACGAATGCGTTCTTCAGAAGCCCCATCTTACATTTAATGGCACCAGTAGGCTCAATGTAAAGTGATGGAGAAAAATCTATCAAGCGAACAGAAAACAAAAAAGAGTGGAGGTCATTATTCTTACATTAGATGAAGCAGACTTTAAGCCAACAGTAGTTTAAAAATGACAAAGAATGTCATTACATAATGATAAAGGGTTCAATTCAATGAGAAGACTCAACTATCCCAGATATATATTCACCCAACATTGCAATACCCACTTTCATGCAACGAGAATTTCTAGATCTACAAAAAGACTGACACACCCACATAATAAGAATGGAGGACTTCAACACCTCACTGATAGCCTTAGATAGATTATTGAGGCAGAAAACTAACAAAAAAATATTGGATTTAAATTCAGACTTGACCTATGGGACCTAAATTCTTTCTGCACTGCTTTGCTTCAGACACATATATTTTCTACATTTTTTATACTTAAAATATATCTGGGAAACCACTGCCTCTCAGTATACAGAATATAGAAATCTTCCTTATTTCTCATTCAGCTGCTTGGAGCTCTACTAATTGTATGTGCCACAGTATATTTATCGTTAGTTTTTAAAAACCACAATACTAAATACCTTGTTAAGTCCTGATCAATTTGGTCTGGACATCCTAACTTTTCCATTTTACACCGCACAACAAATTCATACTTGTATAACACATTTGGCTAAATTGAAGCGAGTTTTGAAGTGTATTTATGGGCTTATTTTTATTTTTTATTTTTATTTTTTATTTATTTATTTATTTATTTTGAGACGGAGTCTCGCTGTCGCCCAGGTTGGAGTGCAGTGGCGCGATCTCGGCTCACTACAGGCTCCGCCCCCCGGGGTTCACGCCATTCTCCTGCCTCAGCCTCCCGAGTAGCTGGGACTACAGGTGCCCGCCACCTCGCCCGGCTAATTTTTTGTATTTTTAGTAGAGACGGGGTTTCACCGTGTTAGCCAGGATGGTCTCGATCTCCTGACCTCGTGATCCGCCCGCCTCGGCCTTCCAAAGTGCTGGGATTACAGACGTGAGCCACCGCGCCCAGCCTTATGGGCTTATTTTTAAAACTTGAATTCACCTTACACAAAGTAATTACATAGAATAAAAACAAATTAATGACAATGTATTACATGTTAAATGTGTTGAAAATAGTTTATACAAAATTTTAATAAAATACTTAACAATAATTTATATAGACTTTTGTAGTTAAAATGGCCACCTAAAATTCTTGATCAAAATATTAAATAGTGCTCTCTAAAATTCTTGATGTTCAGTTATCAATAAGAAATTTTATTTATGCAGATGTGTAAGAGCAAATTCCAAAGGAGATTTTACTGATTTTTCTCCTTTCTCACCATTTAACAAAATAGTTTCTCACAATTTAACAAAATTTGAAGTTTTTAATTTTTATTATATTTTATGTATGATTATTATTTTATCAACTCTTTTGTTTCTTCAGTAAATATTGAAAATACATATAATAATGTCAGTGATTTTTAAATCATACAGAACCTTTTCACACCAGGCATTTTGGAAAAATAATCGACATTTTTTTAAGCATACACAGATGCAGTTTTCCCAGTCATAAAAAAATTAATCTTTGGAATTCAGATTATACAAGAAAAAATATCACTAGAAATCTCTTTAAACATAATGCTTCCAAAATTGTTATTTTGTGTTTGAATCAGGGCTTAGAAAACTTTGTCACTAAAAATCTAGATAGGAAATACTTTAGGCCTTTTGGGCCAAGAGACAAAATTTAGGATATTATATAGCTACTTATAGAAAAAGAAAAAATCCACAACTTTCATTTTTAAAATTCAAGATATATTGATAATAATTGAGTACTTTTTTACTCAATGCGGATCTACCAATGAGGATAAAATTGTTTTTGAAGGAAAGAAAGCATTTTGCTTAATTGTGTTCAAAGTTAGCACATACTCTTACCAAAATTAATTGCAAATGATTATTTGCTAATGCTGTTTTATAAAAAAACTTCCCATATTTCACATTTTTAAAGGTTTTCTATGAAATAACTGCTGCCAAATGTCAATATGAGTCCTTAAGCATATAATTTGTGTTGAGTATATTAATCATTTAAAAGGCATTTGTAGAGCTCATATTATTCAATTGATATTAGCCTTTAGCATGTCAGTTTATTGCATATTTCTTACTTTCAACTGACGTTTATCTGGAAGTCCCTTAAATGCACAGTTCATTTCATTTTGAAATATGGCACTTTCATTTGTGTTTGCATTGTGTTACACAAAATAATGCTGGAATTGTAATTCAAGTTCACAAAATATAACTGCTGCTAATTTGTATGGGAAGAGAGATCTTGCTTCTACTTTTAACTTCTGATGTATCTGAAGTCTATAAATTAGCTTGATATAGTTTGTGATTCAAACTACACAAAATGACTTTGTCAGAGACTATGTTACTAATAGAAGTATTATTGTAGTTTTAGGTTGAATTCATTAAAAATAAGATGAAGTCTGTAGCAAAAACATTTCCAGAGACATTCAGTGATATATAATAGTAATTGAAGGTGATATTCTCATTCAGAAAATTTTAATATTGGCTCTTAATTTTAAAAATTACAATAAAATTTGATACTGCTAAGTATGACTATCTTTTATTATTACTATATATTACTTATGTATTATACTGCTAAGTATTACTAAATATTACTACTACCACATTGAATTATTATGTAGTAGAGAAACATCAAGATTTTCAGCTTTGATTTCTGATATAAATACATGAAACAGAAGATCATTAAGTCTACAATAGGGAAAGAAGTTCACTGTTGACACGGTTTGATAATATATGATACATTCAAATATTCTATAAAGTATCTCCTGATAAATAATATAACGAAAACCTATAACTGTAAAATTTATAATTTTATTAGAGTTGTAAACATTTTCAACTAAGCCATTTTCCATTCTACACATATGTTTACCATCAACAATTCTAACACATTTTTGCAAATTCCCCTTCAGGTTGTCCTGAATTTGTATTTTTTTCAGCTTTTCTTGTAGGGTTGATACTCTGAGCCGTGGAACCTGAGAGTGGAAAAGAAGCTTTTCTGTAATAAAAGTTAGGAATATAGTAGAAGCATGAAAAGAACCAGAGAAAAGAGGGAATAGTGCCCTGTTTGCATATGATTCCCTATATCTAACTGGGTTCTGCCCCTGCGTCTGTGAATTCATTCTCTGCTTTCTCAATATATTACAGCTTTATTCGTCTCTGTGGTTTGTAAATAGAGTCTTAGCTAACCTTACTTAAGACCGTAATACCACTCAATATCTTACTTTAGAAAAAATCTAAACTACATCTTAAAATTTAAAAGGACAAAGGACATGCCCTGACAGAAAAGTGAGAAGAAGATGTTAGACACAAGAAGACAAATACCAAAAAGGAGAAAGAAAAAATCATAAAATGGAAACCAATAGAATATATCCATGGAAAAGTAACTTTTCCGGAGGGGGAGAGAAATTTGAGTAAAATTATAGGGTAAATAGTCAAGTCTCCCAATAAATAATGAAAATTTCAAGTATTGGCAAAAGAGCCCATCTCCACATGTATAATTGAATTTGGAATATGGGTAGTTTTGGGGACTTTTTCTTTTAACATTTTTCCTGCACAGATGAATTCTTATGTGAATGATTGTGAGTAGTAAAATAGTATTAATTTAGACACACTGAAAAAACTCATTAAAATTAAAAATTAATTAGTAATTAAAGTTTAATTTAAATAATGAAGGTGAAGAAAACAGTAGATACATAGGTAGGTGAGCCCCAAAGTCTGTTCATCCAGAGTCTGCAATCCACAATGTTGGTTTTATTGCCATGAGATAATAAGACAAGTGCTGGAAATCACATGCAATGCATCTACAGGTCTCCCTTGGGAGTGAGGGAAACATTTACCAAAGCTCCACAGAAGATTCTCCTTCAAGTATCCTCACTCAGATTTGAGTGACATCACAGTTCCTAAGTAAGTCAGTAGCAAGGGTGATAGAATTATTATGCTTGGTCTAGACTAATGATCTAAAATATAGTAGATGCAGGTGTGGTTTTGTAACGGCACACACACACACAATGAACATTAAGAAACCTTTCAATATTGCCTTTTTATTAATTATTATACCGGCTTTGTTTTCCTTCTAAATACTATGTTTCAAAATGTTGTAAATGGCTAACATTCTGTCAGGTGTGTATAACATAATTCAGTTAATCATTTTATATAAAACACTTTTATGGTTTTAATATTTTGTAATTATAAATAATAAAGTAAGAAATAAACATATATACTTTTCCTCCTCCTTTAAATATTTCATCATGGTCTTATAAGTGAAAATATGAATTATTTAAAATCTACCAGATTTTGCTCAAGAGACACCCTTCTACTTAAATGCCCAGAAATAAATAAGAAATAATTAATCTCTCCAGAGCTGAGGAAAATACAGTCTTTTAATGCTTCTAACAATTTTATATGCAAAAAAAAATTAGAGTGTATTGCTAACATTGCACTTTTTGTTTTTGTTTAGTTCTATACATTTCTTTCATAAGCCAACTGTTTATTTCCATTGCCAATTTTTATAATCTATTCGTAATAAAGCTTGTATTATATATTTCTGGGTTTTCTTTATATTTTAATTATGTTTACTTTGATGTCACAATTGGTAAAATATTTTATATTTATTTAGTTTCTTCAAATACTGCTGTATTTGAATACAGGTGTATTTCCAACACCATTTTTTAAATTTTAGAAACATATTGTTAGGAACACATTCTTCGTTTTATCTATATACTTAGGAATTATAGAGTCTTTTAGATATTGTAGAGTGTATCGCAAAGCAAATTATCCTGATTCATTTCTCTGACAGTTCAGTGTTAATATCATCATTTTACCTGGTGAAAATCCATCATACATTGTGAAATATTTTCTGGCAAATACCTCTGTCAACTAAGCAGTAATAAAATAATAAAACCACTGGGTATGATTTTCATTAGATTTCTCTTGCCAATGAGCATGAAAGTATGAAGTGGTTTGTGAAACTATACTCACTGATCTTGGGGAATAATTACTAAGTAGAGAAAAGAATTAGTAACTATCTTTCATTGAAATTCTCTTCTCTTTCTGGCCCTTTACTGGGCTTTCTATATGCATTAACTAATTCTCAAAACAATCTGACATTATTGTTTTTATTATTCTCATTTCAAAAGATAAAATTGGTTCTGTGTTTAAGAGACTTACATAATCACAAAAGCTAATTGCGAAGATGAAACCAAAATCCACACCATTAAACCTTTGAACATATGCTTGTTCACGGTAAGCCAGTTATGCTGCATAGCAGTCCTCCAATGTCATAGGCATATTTGGGAGAGAGTGAGGGTGCCACAGGGACCACAGCTGGCTTAGACCTCTGGATCTCAGTAGAATTTGGGGTCAGTGGGACCATCTCTCCTCAGGTCTTTGTTCTCATTCAAAAGTGGGAGTTAGCTGGTTATCTAACCCTTGGCTAACTACACTTTCTAATCTGGCTTATGGGGCATAGTGTGAAATTTAAAAAGTATACAAGAGGGAAGTTGTACTGTGATACACTCTTTAAGTAGATTATTGCAACTTCTTTCATTTGCTAACCAGCTAACTTAGAGAGATGTTTGTTATTCAGCAGTAAACCAAGACTTGATAAAAACCAGCAAGAAAACCTCAAACCTTTACCTGTCCCATCCATACCAATGTCAGATATTACTGTCTTCGATCATATTTTGTTATCAAATGGTAGTAGAAATACAAAGCTATGCCCGATCACCTGGCTTGGATCTACTTACTATATGGCCTAGACTGTGTCAGATAAATCTGTTATATGCTTGTTTCTTGTGTAAAACAATGGATAGCAAGTTCTAACCCACAAACATAATAATCAGGTAAATGTTCTTTTTGTTCCAAATTATCCATAACCCCTCTTCCTTCTCTGTCAGTGAAGTTTGCATTACCTTTCAGGCTGGCATCTTCCTCTTGCTGTAATGCTCAATGGTTTTATTCTCCCACAGACTATCTGGTGTTTCATTCTAACTGCCTAGATCTGCCTATTAGCTCTACCAAGGAAATGAGGCTGAGGTCTTTGATCCTTTAATAAACTATGTCTTGTCACTTTATACACTTAGGTCTGTGTATTATTTTCCAAGTGTTCAAGTTCAATTAAATTTTTTCAGTTGCAGGTTACAAAAAAACCTAAATCAAGTATCCTTCAACCACAGATATGATTGGTAGAAGTTAAATAATGCTGAAAAACTAGTACTGGTGTTATTTATGCACACAGTTTGAAAAGATAGGCATGACATCATCTGATCTCAGGCTTTATTCCTGGTTTTCTGGTTTTCTTGGGTTTCTCCTCCTTCCTCCTCCAGCTAGTTCCCTTTATATCCAAGTTAGAGAAAGGATCTTGGTGAAGTAAACTTTTGAGATTCAATCTGATTGGATCAATTTAGGTCACTCTTGAAGCACTGTGGCCAAGAAGAAGGAATATGCAAGGTCACTAGTTTCACTTGGTAAGCCCAGGCTTTGTGTCAGATTTTCAATAGCACATGGATTCTCCACATAATTTCTGCATAATTTTCATTATATTTCTTTCAATGTATTTTAAGAATTACGTTACTTTTCTGAATGGGCCATTTTTTCATTGCCTATTATAACTGGTATTGCTGACACAAAAAAATCTACTAAACTTTATGTATTTTTGCCTAGTTATTTCATTGATATTTTTATAATATACTGTTTTCTTTAGGAATTATAATCAGCTGCTATTAAGAGGACTGAGAAACAACGGTGAATTAAAGGAGATAAAAGTTGCTTTCGTTTTCATGCCAACAAGTCTGTAATTTGAAGTTCAGGATTTATATCAATAATTAAGCTTCTATTTTTTTCCTCCACAATACTTATCATGTGGCTTCCAGACTCATGTTTCTGTCTGCATGGCCCAAATTGAGTTGCTGAATATCCATTTATCATACCTTTATTCCAGGGATTCAGTATGACAGTAAATGTAAGCACCCCGGCTACCTAGAACACTCTTCCCCTCTCTTTTATGGAGTCATCCACAAAGTATTCAAAGGTTCAACTTGTACCTTATGTGTGAAATAATAGTTACATAACCAAACTTACCTGCAATGATTACTGGGAAATATCCTCCAAAGGGGATAACATGAGTAAGAAAAAAGTAAAGGGTAGTAGGGTAGAAAACAAACTGTCTCTTCCACAAATTCAGATATTCAGATATTTTGTCAAATTATTATTTAATCTTAATACATTGACTTTTTTGCTATTTTTAATGTTCTTAACTGATATTTTTAATACTTAAAGGTTATAAAATGGTAATAATAGCAATGATAAAAGTAATGATAATAATTTAGTGATTTTTTTAGTATATACATTTTGCTAGGCCTATGATAAGCAATATTAAAATGTTTTAAATTGACAGAGAGTTCTAAGGAACCAACTAGAGAACAACAGCTTTCCCTTTATATTTGACGTCATGTAATTTGAAGCCTAAATATTTCCAACTGTATATTTTTTTAATTTTAATGTCCATTTTACAATTTTTAAAAGTTTCAATTTTACCTTGCTTTCTAGTTTGTCTGAAATTAACATTGTTATGCCAGTTTTCATTACTAATTTCCATCATAATTTTGTTTGAACTTTTCTAATCAGTATTATATAGTCTTTTTATTTGGGAGTTATTGTCTCCTATTACCTAAATTTTAAATGGAAACAGTTTGTCCATTCAGCAAATATTTAATGAAGGCTTAATATATTAGCCCGGGTACTATTCTTGATATTTCCCATGAAAAATAACTTTGTATTCAATCTGACATTACTTCTATTCGAAGTGATGAGTTTAAAATATGTATATATATATATATATATATATATATGTATATGTATATATATATATGTATATGTGTATATATGTGTATATATATAACTGATTGATTTTTTTTCTATTATCTTGCTTTATGACTTTAGTTTTATCTCAATTCCTCATCTTATGGAGGTGCATTTTTTATTTTTTACTTATTTAAAAGTAATGCTTCCTATTTGTATTGTATTAGCAAGTATTATTACATACATAAAAACATTAAAACTGCATTTCCTAGCTAAGTCAAGAATAAAAGCATATGATTTTTCTCACCCAGTAACATCATTCCTTCTTTTTTTTTTTAATGTGAAAAACAAGGGGCCAGGTAATTATAAAGGAGATTATAGTGCTATTTAAGTTGTGGGCACACGCATTACATTTATAAAGGGAGCTTCTCTCATCTAGAGAATGCTCTTCCCAGAGTGAAATATGAGGCACACAGGATAACTGAATAAACATTAAATAATGAAAGTGGGTGCCTATAGAGGCAGGAGACACATATTTAACTAACTACTGAGAGACACAAGAACTCCTCCAGATGCCATCTCCCAATATTTCAAACTGGGTAATGCATATTTTTTATTTAGCTGACCATTATCCAAATTCCCAACTTGAGAGACTCCAAAGATACATGGGAAGCAGGATGCCATCTCGCACTAAAAATAAGTAAAGTAGCCAGAAATTCCTGCTCCTTGAACTTATCTACCAGATGACAAATGTCTGTCTAGTAGGGTAACAGCATACCGAGAGGCTTTACCACTTTCTGGATGTGTGATCTTGGCATAGTTACTTTTATCTTCCGCCTCATCTTCCTCAAATATACAGTGGGGATAAAATGGACATAATAACACTCTCTAGCTTCTTGGGTTATTATGAGTTTTAATTAAAATATGTAAAGAACTTAGAACAGCCAGTAGCACATGGTGAGCAGTGTATTTGGTAAATAGATAAAAATATACCTGCTACAGGACTTTGAATTTTAATGTAGTGATTCAATGTTACAGAACCCTTTAGATAGCTTTAATTGGCACCTTCAGAGTCAAGACAATGTAAGCATCCTTAGAAACCAGTCCTAGTGGCTGAATGTTGGCTATGCCTTCCCTTCTTGGTTCCTATTTGAGCCTGGTGCTGCAGGTTTCCCTTAGATTCTCTGAGCTACTCAATACCTTCCAAAAGAATTTCCCTCAGACTACCGCACACTTAAAATGGAATTGAAGACTAAGAGAGTAGCTCAAAACCGTATAATTCCATGCAAATTGAGTAACCTGCTACTGAATGACTTTTAGGTAAATAATGCAATTCAGGCAGAAATCAAGAAGTTCTTGGAAACTAATGAGAGCAAAGATACAACATCCCAGAATCTCTGGGACATAGCTAAGGCAGTATTAAGAGGGAAACATATAGCACTAAACACCCACATAAAAAAAGTTTTAAAAAGCTCAATTTAACAACCTAGCATCACAACTAAAAGAACTAGAGAACCAAGAGCAAACCAACACCAATGGTAGTAGAAGACAAGATATAACAAAAAATCGAAGTTCAACTAAAAGGAGATTAAGACACAAGAAAATACCTTCTTAGTGATGAGTTAAACTAACTTATTTATAACTGATATAATTTTATATCAAAGCACTATTTTGATCTTATTTGATCAAAAGACCAAAGAACACAGAAGTTTGTTTTTTAAAAAATATTAGTGAAATAGACTGCTCACTAGACAAATAGAGAGAAGATCCAAATAAACACAATTAGAAACAACAAAGGAGATGTTACCCCTGACCCCACAGAAATACAAATAATCATCAGAGAATGTTATGAACACCTATATGCATACAAACTAGAAAATCTAGAGGAAATGGAAAAATTCTGGACAAATACACCATCCCAAAATGGAACAAAGAAGAAATTGACCAGCCAGGTGTGGTGGCTCATGCCTGTAATCCCAGCACTTTGGGAGGCAGAGGTGAGTGGACCACTTGAGGTCAGAAGTTCAAAAACAGCCTGGCCCACATGGTGAAATCCCATCTCTACTAAAAATACACAAATTAGCCAGGTGTGGTGGCACACACTTGTAATCCCAGCTACTCGGGAGGCTGAGGCGGGAGGATCGCTTGAACCCAGGTGGCAGAGGTTGCAGTGAACCTGAGATCATGCCACTGCACTACAGCCTGGGAAACAGAGCAAGATTCCATCTGAAAAAAAAAAAAAAGAAGAAGAAGAAGAAGAAAAGAAAGAAAAAGAAAGAAGATTGAATCCCTGAACAAACCAATAATGAGCTCTGAAATTAAATCAGTAATAAATGGCCTACCACCCAAGAAAAGCCCAGGACCAGATGAATTCACAGAAAAAAATGATACCAGATGTACAAAGAAGAGTTGATATTATTCTTGCTGAAACTATTAAAAAAAATTGAGGAGGGAAAACTCTTCCATAACTCATTCTATGAGGCCAGCATCACCCAGATACCAAAACCTGGCAAAGACACAACAAAAAAAAAGAAAACTTCAGGCCAATATCCTTGATAAACATAGATGCAAAAATCTTCAACAAAACATTGGCAGACCAAATTCAGCAGCATATCAAAAAGTTTATCTACCATGATCAAGTAGGCTTTATCCTTGTGATGCAAGGTTGATTAAACATGCAAATCAATTATTGTGATTCATCACATAAACAGAACTAAAGACAAAACCCAGGTAATTATCTCAATAGATGCAGAAATGGCTTTTGATAAAATTCAACAGCCCTTCATGTTAAAAACTCTCAATAAACTATGTATTGAAGGAACATATCCCAAAACAATGAGAGCCCTCTATGACAAACCCACAGCCAACATCACACGGAATGGGCAAAAGCTTGAAAGATTCCCCTTGAAAACCTATCCAACACAAGACAAGGATGCCCTCTCTCACCACTCCCATTCAACATAGTATGGGAAGTCCTGGCCAGAGCAATCAGGCAATAGGAATAAATAAAAAACATTCAAAGAGGAAGAGAGGAAGTCAAATTATCCCTGTTTGCAGATGACATGATTCTATACCTAGAAAACCCCATAGTCTCTGCCCAAAATCTCCTTGATCTGATAAACAACTTAGTGAAGTCAAGACACAAAATGAATGTGCAAAAATCACTAGTATTCCTGTACACTACCAAGAATCAAGCCAAGAGCCAAGTCAGGAATGCAATCCCATTCACTATTGCCACAAAAAGAGTAAAATACCTAGAAGTACAGCTAACCAGGTAGGTGAGCAATCTCTACAGGAAGAACTACAAAATAGGGTCAAATAAATCAGAGAAGAACAAACAAATGGAAATAATATCCATGCTCATGGATAGGAAGATTCTGCATCATTAAAGTGGCCATACTACCCAAAGCAATTTATAGATTCAACATTATTCTTATCAAACTACCAATGCTATTCTTCACAGACCTAGAAAAAATATTTTTAAAATTCACATGGAACCAAAAAAGAGGCTGAATAACCAAGGCAATTCTAAGCAAAAACAAAAACAAGAAAAATAGAAAAAAACAGACAAACAAAAAACAAAACTGGAGGCATCACATTACCCAACTTCAAACTATACTATAGGGCTATTGTAACAAAAACAGCATGGTACTGGCATAAAAGCTGACACATTGGCCAATGGAACAAAACGGAGAGCCCAGAAGTAAGGTTGCACACCTACAACCATCTGATCTTTGACAAAGCTGACAAAAAGAGAAAATGTGGAAAGAAATCCCTATTCAATAAATGGTGCCAAAATAACTGGACAGCCATATGCAGAAGATTGAAACTGGACTTCTTCCATATACCATATACAAAAATCAACTGAAAATGGATTAAAGACTTAAAAATAAAACCCCAAACTATAAAAACCCTGGAAGACAGCCTGGAAGGCAATACCATTCTGGACATAAGAATGGACAAAGATTTCATGTTGAAGATGCCAAAAGCATTTGCAACAAAAGCAAAAATAAACAAATGGGATCTAATTAAACTAAAGAGCTTCTGCACCAGAAAAGAAACTATTAAGAAACAGACAACCTACAGAATGGGAATAAATATTTGCAAACTATGCATCTGACAAAGGTTTAATATACAGTGTCTATAAGAAACTGTAACAAATTTACAAGCAAAAAAAAATCCCATTAAATATGGGCAAAGGACATGAACAGAGAGTTTTCCAAAGAAGACATACCTACAGTGAAGAAACATATGAAAAAAAAAAAAAACTCAACATCACTGATTGTTGGAAAAATGCAAATCAAATCCACAATGAGTTACCATCTTATACCAGACAGAATGGCTACTATTAAAAAGTCAGAAAATAACAGGTGCTAGTGAAGTTGCAAAGAAAAAGGAATACTTATATACTGTTGTTAGGAGTGTAAATTAGGTCAACCATTGTGGAAAGCAGTGTGGTGATTCCTCAAAGAGCTAAAAACAGAACTACCACTGGGCCCAGCAATCCCATTACTGGATACATACCCAAAAGGATGTAAATGGTTGTAGAGTTATATAATAAAGACACATGAGCACGTATATTCATTGAAGCCATATTCACAATAGCAACCATATGGAATCAACCTAAATGTCCATCAGTGGTGGACTGAATATAGAAAATGTGGTACATATACACCATGGAACACTATGCAGCCATTAACAAAAAGAATGTGATCATGTCTTTTGCAAGAACATGGATGAAGCAGGAAGCCATTACCCTAAGAGAACTAACGCAGGAACAGGAAAACAAATATAGCATGTTCTCACTTATAAGTGGGAGCTAAATGATGAGAACACATAGACACAAAGAGGGGAACAACAGGTAATGGTGCCTACTGGATGGTGGAGTCTGGGAGAAGGGAGAGGATCCAGAAAAATAACTGATGGGTACTAGGCTTAATACCTGGGTGACAAAATAATCTGTACAACAAACCTGCATGAAATGAGTTTACCTATATAACAAACCTATGTATGTACCCCTGAACTAAAAATTTTTTAAAAAAGAAAGAAATTTCTTTTCTACTTAAGTAAAAACGTTTCTGTTTTGCAAACAAGTACCCTGACTTACACTAGGCACCCTGTTATATGCTTCATAATACATTCTGTACACAATCTCAATTAAAATCTCATGGTTTAAATTTATCATCCAGCTTGTCAACTTAATGAAAAGAGGAGCTATTGTCAGTTCTATTTCCTGTAATGTTACTAATACTTAACACAGCTATTGAGACAAACTCTTAATAATTTAATACAGAAAGAGGTGGGACAAAGGAGTAGGAGAATGAACAAATATAGCTTTTGATAGGTAAAATGAAGAAAAAACAATCTAATGCCGTTACGCCAAATAGAAAATGCTGAGCTAAAGTGTATATTTTACTCCCTACTATAATGATAATGGAGAGGTTGATGAAAGGCTTGAACAAGAATTTCTCTTTTTAAAAGATTCTGGAAGTTTCAGAATGCTCACCAGCATACAAAAAAGCCTTGGAGTGCAAATGCAAATTAAGTGTCACTTAACCTTGCAAAAGGAATCTGAAAGTCCTTTGTGAATTGTGATAGCTTCTCAAAAATCTGCTATTCTAAGAGGACAAATTGTACCCAGTAGCAGATATCACAAGGGAATACTTAGTACAGCATGAACACACAGTGGTTTGTGGTGCCTTGGAGATAAGTTATTGTCACAAACATAAAAAGTAAACATAGCAATACATGGCCCACGGGATTTTTATTGATTTCAATTTAATTTTTCAAAATTTATAAAACCAATCTGAATATAATACTAGAAAGAGAAACTTGGCTGATGAGCTTGTTCCCTGTGCTTTTCAGAAGTTTAGCAATTCTTAAACTGCTTTGAATAGGCCGACGCAATTGAACTATTTGCATTTATTGTGGGGTAAAGGGGAATGACTTTCAATTTCTTCCAAATAATTTAACCTTCAAAAGAACAAGAAAAAAAAGGTATAAAATAAGAAAATTACCGGGCTTTTATCAAAAGGCAAGGGACTTGCTACATCTCTAAAATAATTTATTCATTATGACTTCATATATAATCCATGGATAAAGTTGAATTCCACACTCCCACACTCAGCTATGAAGGGACACCCTGCTTTTATAATGAGCCTAGTCTTTCATGTATTTTTACCACAACATGCTCAGATCTCTTTACTTATTCTTTTTTCTTCCCCTTGTTTCTGAAGTAAGGGTCAAGGAATGCAGGGAAGGGGGGCGTATTTAGGAACTAATTACAAATTCCCCATCTTTTCCCACTTCCCCACCACTGTTTTATCAAAGAATCTCTTTTATTGCTGCATCTTTAGTCATTATCCTCTCCTTCTTTACCTTTTTATTTTTACAGGTCTTCTCTGATATACTTAACCCTATTGTCATTTTTACCATTATTTATCAGACACTTCCTTTATATTACCAGCACAAATTTCTTGAGTAAATTGTCTTAGTCAAATACATTTCTACAATATTTAAGTTCCATAAATGTATGTTACTATGAAAAGCATGCCTCTGAAGTCATTACCTCTGGCTGTCTTTAATGGCTTGCTACATGCTTAATCCAAAGATCCTCTTTCATGATTTCTCTGTAGTATTTTTACATTTTTATCAGGTCCTTTTAAAATTTTCCCTCCTAGAATAGCAAGATTGTGTATTTTTCTAAATCCTCTAGTATTGACTATTTTCTCTCTCTGTCTCCTTATTGTATTCCTCCTTCTGCATCATAAAACGTGATTCTCAGTAAGAGTCGACCTTGTCAGAATCACACAGGAAACTTTTCCAGATTATACATATTCTTAGATGTTCTGAGATAACTGGCTTACCCTTCAGGTATCCAGCATAAACAGGTTTAAAAAAAATCATTGCTAACATCAATCAGTATTGCTGTTGGAAGTATGATGTTTTCATTAGGTGATGTACGCCATTTATTAAAAAGATTGAGAATTACTGTCAAGTTAAGGAAACATAAGACAAGCATATTGAAAATCTCAATGTTATGGACATATGAACACAAAGCACTTTCACTTTTCTCCAGTTATTCCCTTTAATTGTACTAAGTAACATTTTATTTCTACCCCTACATGCAGATATTTTCTATCTTGGGAAGATTCCATCATTCCCTAGTACTTTTTGGTTATTAAAAGTTCATCTAGGCTGGTGTGATGGCTCATGCCTGTTAATTCCAGCACTTTGGGAGGGCAAAGCGGGCAGATTACTTGAACTCAGGAGTTTGAGACCAGCCTGGGGAACATGGTGAAACCCTGTCTCTACAAAAAATAAATTTAAAAAAATTGTCTGGTGTGGTGGTGCACACAAGTAGCCCCAGCTACATTGGAGGCTGAGGTGGGAGAATCAACTGAGCCCTGAAGTCAGTGAGCTGTGATGACACTGTTGCACTCCAGCCTGGGTGACACAGTTAATACCATAATAAAGTGAGTCCACAAATTTTTTGGTTTCCCAGTGAATTCCAAAGTTATGTTTATACCATAGCATAGTCTATTAAGTGCATAATAGCATTGTGTCTAAAAATCAATGTGTAGACCCTTTATTTAAATTTTTTTATTGTTCTAAAATGCTAAAAATCATCTTTTCCTTCAGTGAGTCATAATCCTTTCGCTGGTGGAGGATCATGCTTAAAACTTAATGGCTGTAGACTGATTGGGACGGTGGTTGCTGAAGGTTGAAGTGGCTGCAGCAATTAGTTCAAGACAACAATAAAGTTTGTCACATTGATTGACTCTTCCATTCACATACAATTTCTCTGTAGCATTCAATGCTTTTTCTTAGCATTTACCCACAGTAGAACTTCTTTCAAATAGGAATAATCTTCTCAAATCCTTTAGGTACTTATCAAGTAAGTTTATGTAATATTCTGAATCATATGTTGTCCTTTCAACGACGTTCACAGCATCCTCATCAGGGTTGGATTCCATTTTAAGAAACCACATTTCTTGTTGATCCATAAAAGCAACACTTCATCTGGTCAAGTTTTATTATGAGATTGCAGGAATTCAGTCACACCTAACTGGCACAAGAGGTCAAGTTTTTAGCCTGTCATGACCTTTGACATGTCATCCACACTAGGCATAATCATTTCAAGCTTTTGATTTAAAATGAAAGGTATAAAACTTTTCCTTACCCTTGAATACTTAGCATCTAGAATGGTGAATACTTAATAGCATCTATAATGGGTTATTAATTGGCCTAATTTCAATATCTTTATATCTCAGGAAATAGGGAGACCCCGGACAAGGGAAAGAGATTGGGAATAACTGGTTGTTGAGCAGTCAGAACACACAAAACATTTATCAGTTCAGTTCACTGTGTTATCTGGACATGGTTTGTGGTATCCCCAAACAATTATAATAGTAACATCAAAGATCACTGACCACAAATCATCATTAGTGATATTATAATAATGAAAGAGTTTGGAATATTATGGGGATTACCAAAATGAAATACAAAGACATGAAGTGAGCATATGTTGTTGGAAAAATGAGGCTAATTAACTTCCTTGCTGGTTGCAGAGTTACCACAAACAATTTGTAAAAAATGCAATATTCAGCCGTGCACGGTGGCTTAGGCCTGTAATCCTAGCACTTTGGGAGGCCAAGGCGGGCAGATCACGAGGTCAGGAGATTGAAACCATCCTGGCTAACACGGTGAAACCCCGTCTCTACTAAAAATACAAAAAATTAGCCAGGCGTGGTGGCGGGCGCCTGTGGTCCCAGCTACTGGGGAGGCTGAGGCAGGAGAATGGCGTGAACATGGGAGGTGGAGCTGACAGTGAGCCGAGATCGCGCCACTGCACTCCAGCCTGGTTGAAAGAGCAAGACTCCGTCTCAAAACAAAAAAAAAAAAAAAAGAAAGAAAAGAAAAAAAAGCAATATTCAATTAGGAAAAAGTGTATATATGCAAAGCACAATAAAGCACAGTGCAATAAAATATGCCATGCTTCTATTTTGAAACAGGAATGGTGGTGATGCTTCCAACTTTTTTTTTCTTTTTCTTTTTCCTCTGTATTGCTTTGACTACTTGGGGTTTCTTTTTTGGTTCCATAAGAATTTTAGCATTTTTTTTCTATTTCTGTGAAGAATACCATTGGAATTTTCATAGGGATTGTGTTAAATTTGTATATTGTTTTAAGTATTATTAACATTTTAGCAATTTGAGTTCTCAGCCATAAACCCAGTATATATTTACATTTTTTGTGTCTTTTTCAATGTTTTTCATCAATGCTTTATAGCTTTCTGTGTACAAATCTCTCATTTCCTAGATTAAATTTATTCCTAGGTATTTGTTTTGATGCTACCATAAATGGGATTATTTTCCTTATTTTCTTCAGGTAGGCTGTTATTTGTATATAAAAATGCTATTAATTTTTGTATGTTGATTTTTTGTTCCTGCAACTTTACTGAATTTTTTAGTTCTAACAGTTTCTCTCTCTTTCTCTCTCTCTGTGTGTGTGTGTGTGTGTCTGTGTGTGTGTGTGTGTGTGTGTGTGTGTGCATGTGAAATCTTTGGGGTTTTCTATATATAGGATCATGTCATCTACAAATAAACTATTTTATTTATTCCTTTCCAATTTGAATGCTTTTTTTTCTGGCCTGATTGCTATTGTTAGCACTGCTAGTTCTTTGTTGACTAGAAGTGGTGATAGTGGACATACTTCTTTTTATATAAAATTTTAAAATTTTCTTCTTAATTTCTTCCTTGACTCATTGGTCATGTTGTTTCATTTCCACATGTTTGCATATTTTCTAAGGTTCCTCTTGTTATTCATTTGTAGTTTTATTCAACTGTGGTCAGAAAAGTCATTTGATATGATTTCTATTGTTTTAAAAATTTGTTGAGTCTTGTTTTGCAGCCAATATGTGGTCTATTCTAGAAGATGTTCCGTATGCCCATGAAAATAATGTGTGCATGTGTATATATATAAAAAATATAATATATAATATATATTAATATGTAATAAATAATTATATATATAATATAATATATATTATATTATATATATAGTATCTACATATATATATACACACACACACACATACATAGGATACAGTGAGAGACATAACATGGCTAAAAGATTAATGATGACTAAAAGGCCCATGCAAACATCTTGCAGCATGGACATATTGTGTCACTTAGTCTTGATCACAACACTGAGCTAATCTTAAAAGGAAAAAAGAAGCCTTCAGGAAAATACATTTTGATTTCTGAGCTGAAATTACTAGACATTTCTAGAATTGTAAATGGAAGAATTTTTTATTCTAGTAGAAGAGACATTGACAAAGCCAAGGAAATTCTTTAAGTCAGTATCTGAATTAATCTGAATTAGACTATCTGTGGTGGGTTGTACTGGCTTGGTCTAGAACTGGCTTATAGGTGGTCCACGTATTTTCCCAAGTCCACTGTCACATTGCTAGCTTGAGACCAGCCATGGTAGGGATATGTAGACCAAGAAATCAGTGCAAGGTCACTTTTAGAACATTCTGTAAGGAGAAGGATTATGCAATATGTGATGAGAAAGGATGTGAGAAGGTCTATGAGGTCATAATTCAAATAAGGTATGATTTAAATTTAGATTAAAAATTGATGGGGGAAATTAGGTTAATTAGACAGTTGTGAGAAGTATTTAGGAAGTTGATATAGTAATTGTTGATTGGAGTTGAGAATTGAAGGGGAGAAAATGGCAAAAGATACCTACATTTCTGGCTTCAGCAATTGAGAGAGTAGTTCCATTTTTGAAAGACATAAAAATATTTTACCAAGAAAAGGCAATGGATCTCCACCATGTAACTCTAATAAACTAAAAAAAAAACCTGATAGATATTATTTCCACTTTGTCTAAGATATGTAATTCTAACAAACAATTATTCCTTTCACCTTCAATTTGTAGAGTGGGTAAAAACAATCTGAAGTAGCTGTGCAAGGGAGCTCTATTTTATGTGCAAAGAGAAATGCTCTTTGTCCAGGTTAGTTAGTGACTATGAAAAGAGTAAAGTTAGTAATAGGCTTAAGCAAACAAACAGAAAGATTGGTGTGGCTTTATGGAGAGACAGCTCAAACAAGGGGACAATGTTGAACTAAATGTGGGCTGCTCAA
Organism: Homo sapiens; assembly: GCF_000001405.40. Lineage (NCBI taxonomy): Eukaryota > Metazoa > Chordata > Mammalia > Primates > Hominidae > Homo > Homo sapiens. The sequence continues at coordinate 194,400,424 of NC_000001.11, forward strand.
GTTCTTTTGACCACCAGGGATAGGAGACAAGTATACAGCTGGGGTTTGACCAAAAAGAGAAACTGAGCATGTTCCAGTGTGGATTCCCTAGCATGAAGCCATCAGGCTTAAAGTAGTAATTTCATGCTAAAGAAGACACATTGCAGATGAAATACCTTGTATTTCTGGACATGACACTTCATGACAATATTTAAAGAAGAGTTTGGGAATAATTTATACCAAAAGGATAAAGACACAAAAGGAAAAAGCAAAGCATTTTTTTGACTGATTTAGTCACAGTCCGTGCCAGTAAGTGAAATAGTGAATGGATGTCATGTCTTCTCACAAGTTATAAACATTGACATTTCTGCCTACAAAACAATGTTATTATTCTCCTAGTGACTTATTTAAAGTCGTTAGACATTTTCACATTAAAGTCATTCAAATTTATTTTTTAAAATATATTTTAAAGATAATGAAATCATAGGTAATAATGATCTTAAAACCATCTTGCTACCAAATTAAATCATTTTTACAAACAAAAATTACAACAAAATACATTTCCGCATACATTTTGGCTTGATGAGCTGAAAATGTGTGTGTGTGTGTGTGTGTGTGTGTGTGTGTATAAGCCAGTCTGCTATGGTTTAGAGTCAACTTAAGAAATATATTTTTGAGATTTCTCCATATTCCTTATAGGTTTCTAATTCATAAACTCTATTAGTGAAAAGAAACCGTAAACTATTAGATAATATCCCAACCCACGAACGAGGTATGTAAAGGAGTATCTGTGGCTCTGAATTCAATTTAACTACTTGCTGGGCTCTTTAACGTAGAAAAATTGTGTGAATCATTTTGATTTGAAAGTGGATTTTGTTTTGTTTTGTCTTTTTAGACTGCTTTTCAAAACTTACCAGAACAATTCTGGTACTTTGTACACATAGGCACTCTCGATTTTAAATCAAAGGACTGCTGCTTTGGAGAATTAAATGAAGGGAAGTATTGGTTGTGTTCCTGTTTTGCTTTCACAAGAATGAAATGAAGGAAACAACAGCAAAGAACATTTGTTCATTAAAACTGCCTAAAACTTAAGTGAAAAAAAAAGGAATTACTTCCATTCTTCTGGTCAGACTCCAAATTGATTAATTGCATTGTTGTCTTCTTACAGTTTCTTTCTAGCTTCAGCTATAGCTGTTATTTTTCTCTATCCCTCTGCTGAACTACAGTGCAGTTTCTGTATGCATAATGTGAGATGGTGAATTGTTTTACACTCCAGAGTGAGGAGAGGAAAGGAGGAGGGAAAGGAGATGGGCTCTACTCTTTTCTCTAATTCTAAGAATACTATATAATTTAATCTTTGCCTAGTTTATAACAAAACAAAAGTGCTATTGTTTATGTGATATCATTTTCTCTATGATAAAATTATTTGCCTCCAGACACTCCCTATGATAAAAAGATATGATATAATACTAAACTTATGATCGAATACATCTTCAACAAAATGATCGAGTACATATTTAGTTAATCCATAGAAGGCCAGGAAGGCAAATAATTAAATATGTTATAAAGTGTTTACATAAGTGCTTCTTATGCAAGGTTTTAAGTCATTTTCTTTAGCCTGTAGGGGCTCCTTAACTATGAGAATTGGAAGACCCTGCAGTGTATGGACATAATTTTTTTTCTTCACATAGAGAATAGTGTTATAGAAAACCTTAGTCAACTTCAGTCTACCAAATGATTTGCAATGTTGTAACATCATTCTATAAATATACTAAAGATAAAAATATATATACCAATGCCTCAACAGAAATATATACATAAGTGCACCAAAAAGGTATATGGATGTTCATAGCAATAGAAAACACTATAATTACATGTAACAAAAGTAAAACAAACAATTCCAGTTTTATAATTCCAATTAATAAATAGTTCAAAAGAGATAATACTAATTTAAGGTGTTGTAAGGATGAGATGGTGATTGAAAGCAGGCTTGAGAGGGGCTTCTGAAGCTCCTATTAATATAATATAATGTAATATAATATAATATAATATAATATAATATAATATAATGTGTGTATGTATGCATCTGGCTTTTGGTTACTTGGCTATATTCACTGTGTGAAAATGCATTCATCTATATAAATATGATTTGTGGCACTTTCTGTACATATATTATTAACAACAACATATTGATTAAAATCATTAATATATTCACTAATGCCAGCCGATCAGTTAAAATGGCTTTTATCCAAAAGTCAGGCAATAACTAATGCTGGTGAGGATGTGGAAAAGAGGGAATCATTGTACACTGTTGGTAGAAATAGAAATTAGTACAGCCACTATGGAGAACAGTGTGGAGGTTTTTCTAAAAACTAAAAATAGAACCATCATATGATCTAGTAACGTCCCTGTTAGGTGTATACCCAAAAGAAAGGAAATCAGTATATCAAAGATACATCTGCACTTCCATGTTTATTACAGTCCTATTAACAATAGTCAAGATTTCAAAGCAACCTAAGTGTCATCAACAGAAGAATTGATTAAGAAAATGTGGTGCATATTCAAAATAGAGCACTATCCAGCCATGATGAGATCCTGTCATTTGCAACAATATGGAGGGAACTGAAGGACATTATGTAAGTGAAATAAGCCAAGTACAGAAAGACAAACTTTGAGTGTTCTCATTCATTTGCAGGAGCTAAAAATTAAAACAATTGAATTCTTGGAGACAGAGAGCAGAAGGATGTTTACTAGAGGCTGGGAAAGTTAGCGAGGAGGGGGTGGAAGACGGTATGGTTAAGGGGAACAAAAATGTAGTTAGATAGAATGAATAAGATCTGGTATTTGATAGTACCACAAAGTGACTACAGTCTATGATAATTCATTTAAAAATAAATGCAAAGGTATAATTGGAATGTTTATAATATTATAATATTGCAAAACATGTAATATCTGCAAAGCAAAAGAAAGCAAAGTGAAATAAAATGATGTATACTTGTATATTACTGTGGATATTACTAAATTTATTAGCTGATAAAACTGGATGTCTATTTGAAGCTAGAATGTATAGAAAGAAAAGTGGTAAAACATGTGTTTCATGTATGGAAGAGCTTCAGATTTGAGTTCCTACTATGACTCCAGAGTGTGCAATGTCACTAAAGTTAACAAATCACTCCCACCCTCAATATTCCCATGTTTTAATAGAACTGATTATTCAAGTCACATACGGTTAATTTGAGGAATGGTTCACATAAAAAATTGATAATTGAACAATCTCTTCTGTTATAGTTAAAAACACAATAAAGCAATATTGGAGCTTAATAAATGTAATTAGATGCTAAATATTTATCTCCCTTTGATATTCCCCTTTATGGGCATTAGGTTTTTCTGAACACATACATTCTATTTTGCTATAAATGTTTATGACATAGATTCATATACTCCAGGAGATAGTAAGTAGAATGAATACACTCACACAGTAGATCAAGTTTGTTTATCCCCTATATTTAAAGATATTTTCAGGATCTTGAGGCAAGAGACCCAGAAAAATAACAGGATCACATTTCTCAAGGAAGAATTGTGAATATAACATTGCTGAATGGGTCAGTAACATATTGGCCACATTTGATAGAATGAGCAGAACTAGAAATTACTTTATAAATGCAGAAGTAAAATGTCAATTTATTAAGAAAACTGGAGCTACAAAAGCAAGGAAACATGAAAACATATGGTAGGCATAAGAATTATAAAATATGAATATGGATAAGCTTCTTGTCACCACTGTACATTTTTAGCTTAATTCAGTTTTATAATAACAGCAAAGAATATCTGGGTAAAATTATTTAATAATCTTCTTCGAGAAACAGGTATAAATAGATCCTATGTAGATGGATATTATACAGCATAATTATTTGACTATATAATAAAAATATATATGTCTTTTAAAAAATATATGTACAAATCTGTCCTTCTATATTACTTTCTTTTTACTCCTTTAAATTAGAGATACACATTATTTTCAGGTTGTGTAATGTTGGGGGTTTTTTTGTAATTATTTTTAATACAAATATTTTAGTCAACATAAACAAAATATTGGATTCTAATTGTATTTAATTTTCTTCTGAATATAGAGTTCATTTTATACTGAAGATACTTGTACCTATATACCAGCTTCTACTTGGAGGCACTAAGGCATTTCACATCACTGTCATTGTTATATTTAAAAAAAAAAAAACTGCTGAATCTGAGTTTCCTATTCAGAGTCAGTACGACATAAGAATTAAATAATAAAATATATTTTTAGAGTTTCCCTATATATTGTGATTATATTCTTTCAATGAAACTTTTAAAATGTGTACTAAGTATAGCATAGCTCTGAAAATTTTGAATTCAGCAAAGATTAAGAAATCTCCCAACCCTTAAATGCTGGAAAATAGCTTATTTCTAACGAGCACTTTTTCCTATAGGATTTATTAAAATGGATGTATGTGCCTTTTGTTTACCTATGGCAGGTTCAGACAAAGACCCTCTACAATCCCACTCTTTGTTTCATAAATGATACACTGAACTGCTTGTTCCCATTGATCGGTTGGCACACATGCTTACTAACTAAACTTTGATTAAGATACACTCTGTCTTCGAAATTCCTGAACTTCTGGCCCACCCTCATCCTGAGCCATCATACAACCCCTCCTCAACAGACCCTTCTTGAAAATAGGCTAGCTTTAGGGTAAAACATTCTCTGACCCACCATCTCTTCACATTGCCCTTTCTTTCCACTTCCGCAGACAGATTTTTAGTCTTATTTACCTGGCTCTGTAAAATAAAACCCCCCTTTTTTTTGCCTAACACTTGAGACTCTAGATCTCTTGATGTTTTTATAGTCAGAAAACACTCTCACTGAAATAAGTCTCCTTCCCCTATTACAAAAGTCAGTTTTGTCACACTGCAAAAAAATCCTTTGAAATAGTCTCTCTCCTTATTAGCTTTGGATTTTTTTTAATCTGAAAGTACTATCATTGACTCAGTTTAACTTAAATGAATAGATTATATCTCGACTGAAGTTTCTCTTAAAATGTACATTTTATTTTTGAAAGTTTGGGTGACTATTTTTTAATATACGAGATAGAATGTACATTCCCAGAACTAATACACATAATAAAACTATCCTTGAACGTTTCATAGCGCTCAAGTATTCTCTTATCCAACCATTACAAACCCCAAATCAAAATTGAGGGAAATAAACAAAAGAACTTAAATAGATGGATTAGAACTATAGAACTATGCTACTCAAATTGGTACATATACACCATAGAATACTATGCAGCCATAAAAAAGAATGAGGTCATGTTCTTTGCAGGACATGGATGGAGTTAGAGGCCATTATTCTTAGTAAACTAACACAGGAACAGAAAATCAAATACTGCAACTTCTCACAATAGGGAGCTAAATGATGAGAACACATGGACACATAGAGGGGAACAACACACACTGAGGCTTTTCAGGGAGTGGAGGGTGGGAGGAGGGAGAGGATTAGAAAAAAATTACTAATGAGCACATGCACATGTATGTTTATTGCAACACTGTTCACAATAGCAAAGATTTGGAACCAACCCAAATGCCCATCAATGATAGACTGGATAAAGAAAATATGGCACATATACACCATGGAATACTATGCAGCCATAAAAAAGGACGAGTTCATGTCCTTTGCTGGGACACAGTTGAAGCTGGAAACCATCATTCTCAGAAAACTAACACAGAAACAGAAAACCAAACACTGCATGTTCTCACTCATAAGTGGGAGTTGAACAATGAGAACACATGGACACAGGGAGGGGAATATCACACACCAGAGACTGTTGGGGGGTGGGGGGGCTGGGGGAGGGATAGCATTAGGTGAAATACCTAATGTAGATGATGGGCTGATGGGTTCAGCAAACCACCATGGCACATGTATACCTATGTAACAAACCTGCACGTTCTGCACATGTATCCCAGAACTTAAAGTATAATAATAAAAAAATGAAAAAAATTACTAATGGGCACTGGGCTTAATACCTGGGTGATGAAATAATCTGTACAACACACCCCCATGACACAAGTTTACCTAGGTAACTAGCCTACACATGTACACCTGAAATTAAAATGAAAGTAAAAAAGAAAAAAAAGACTCCTTAGAACTCAATTCTAAATATATATTACAGATAGGTAGTCTGAGAGTATAGAGATGCTATGGTTTCAATGTGGCCCCCAAAGTTTACAAGTTGGAATATTAATCTCCAGTGCCACAGTGTTGAAGTAGAACCTTTAAAAGGTGACTAGTTCCTGAAGACTTTACTCCCATTAATGGATTATCATGAGAGTGGGTTAGTTCTTGATAAAAGGATGAGTTTGGCCCCCTTTCTCTCTCTCACTCTCTCTCCTTCCACTATGGAATGTTGCAGCAAGAAGGCCTTCACTAGATGCCGGACAGATCCCTTCCCAGCCTCCAGAACTGTGAGCCAAATACATTTATTATCCTTATAAATGTATAAATTGCTCAGTCCTTGGTACTCTGTTATAGCAGCACAAAACAAATATATTAAAGATGAAGTAATTTGAGACCCTAGAGATGAACTATTTCACCCACAATAATGTATTTAGTATGAAGTGAAACCTTGGAGAAGACTTTGGTAAACAGGCAAAAGATTGTTATGTATCATATCTGACAATAAAAATGACCTGACTTGTTTCAGAATCTGTTAGGCAGATTTACTCAACCTCAAAGTTCTCATTCAGTTTTTAAAGCTTCATACTAAAGTATAAAATACATTCAGTATAAAATACATTCAGGCAAGTGTACATATCAGAATTGTATAGCTAGTTGAATTTGCACAAACTGAGTACACTTGTGTATAAAAGCATCCTCTAATTTCATTGTATGCCATGAATGTTAAAGTCACATCTTGAGATTGTCAACTTATAAAGCCTACAGAAGAGCAAAAGAACATAAACTAAGCAAACTTGCAGTTGAATCAGGACATAATACTTGTGACTCTACCACATTGGAATGTTGATTAATCTTTCCAAGCTCGGAGTAGCCACTTTTAAAAGAGGGCTGTTGGCCAGGCACAGTGGCTCACACCTGTAATCCCAGCACTTTGGGAGACCAAGGCAGGCAGATCATGAGGTCAAGAGTTCAAGACCAGCCTGGCCAATATGGTGAAACACCGTCTCTACTAAAAATACAAAAATTAGCTGTGCGTGGTGGCATGTACAGGTGGGACCTGTAGTCCCAGCTACTCAGGAGACTGAGGCAGGAGGATTGCTTGAACCCAGGAGGTGGAGGTTGCAGTGAGCCAAGATCACATCACTGCACTCCAGCCTGGGCAACAAAGCAAGACTCCGTTTCAAGAGACTCCATTTCAAAAAAAAAAAAAAAAAAGAAAAGAAAAGATGGGAGTTAACCCTTTACAGATTTCTTAACAGATAAAAGAGATCACATGAAATGTGAAACATAAGCATAACATATAGTGGATACTTCTTAAAAACTCATAGTTTTTAATATTAATCTAAAGACCCTCTAAAATGCTTGAAGAACAATTTAAGGCACTAATAGTGTAACTTAAAACAGCCTCTCATACTTTCCCTTTTTGTATTCTTTCATTATCACTGAATGCCCCTTCATCAGGTTAATGTCCCCGCCCCTGGGCAGTCAAGGCTTAATAGAGAGAAATCACATAACACTGTTAATTGCCTCATCAAAATTTATGATTGCTAACCTTGGCTGGATATTCAGCTCTACTCAGCAATCTTTTTATTTACGTTTAATTGGCTTCTTTTCACGTTTTCTGGAGTGCCAATTACTTTTTTTTTCTTAAATTCCCCTCAAACCTTTCATCTTCTTTCAGCCACCTTCACACAGAGGATGTTCTTGCCTCACAGGTTACTTAGAAGTTCAATACCAGCAGCTCTTCGAATTCCTTTAACTCCTTTTGGTCCCACCTATTTGAGGACCTAGACCCTTCCTAATGGTTTCCCAACCTCACTGCCTGATCTTCTGTTTCGAATTGCCTTTAAATTCATATTATTGTGCATTTCTCAACTCTTCCTTTAATCAACCCTGCAAGTTTCCAAAGACTCATATATTCTTATATTCGATGTGTCAAACTTTTCCAATTTGGCTTGACTCACAAATGCCTGCCTCTGATTTTGACTTTCTTTTTCTTTTCTTGTTGTTTTTGTTTGTTTGTTTTTGTTTTGTTGTGTTTATTTTTGTTTTTGTAGGATGGATTTAAACCTATGGAATTATATCCACAACACTTGGAACAGAGGCAGGACACTAAAAAAAGAAAAAATTGAGCAGGTCGCAGTGGCTCACACCTGTAATCCCAGCACTTTGGGAGGCCAAGGCGGGCGGATCACAAGGTCAGGAGATCAAGACCAGCCTGGCCAATATGCTGAAACCACGTCTGTAGTTAAAATACAAAAATTAGCCGGTCGTGGTGGCAGACGCCTGTGGTCCCAGTTACTGGGGAGGCTGAGGCAGGAGAATCACTTGAACCTAGGAGGTGGAGGTTGCAGTGAGCCAAGATTGCACCACTGCACTCCAGCCCATGCAACAGAGCGAGGGTCTATCTGGAAAGAAAGAGAGAGAGAGAGAAAGAGAGAAAGAGAAGAAAAAAAATGTAAAGGCCCCTTAGGACTTTCAGTAGCTACTCTTTAACAGATAATAATATAGCTGTTTGTTTCACTTGTCTATATAAATATTATGTGTAAGGAACAGTTTGGAGTTTTATGTTTGCTTGAATAAAAATATACAGTTCTGAAGCAAATACTATGATGGTTCTTTGGAATTTTGAAGTTGCTGCTGAGTGATCTGAGACTAGAAAGTAATTTGCTATTTCAATTTCTCAGACGTTGCAAGAGCAGAATATTTTGCTGGTGTCATACAACTTCAGAGTGAAAACTGATAAAAGTGCCAGTGGTCTCTGTGGCTCTCCTTATTATTATTATACTCTAAAGATATTATTAGAACATTCTCGTACTACGTGTGAAGTATATTTTTCTAACAAGGAAAGAAAAAAATTAAAAGTGAGTTGTTGAAGAGGTTAAAGCTTCATGAAATCATGATTGAGAATTTAATTTTCTAAATGTGTACAGAAACTAAGCATGCTTCAATAATATAGAAAAGAATTTTCAGTCATCTATCTGTGACTGCCAAAGTGAGCAGATAAGGATAATAAGAAAGTTTCAGGAAAAACTGAGGGTGTGTGAGAGAGATGAACAGAACTGAAAATGATAAGGAGATCTCTGACAATCATAGGTAATATCTGTAGTGCCTTTCAGAAAGGAGTGAGACAGGGAACTTAGAGATTCATATGCAGGCTATGCACAAAGCAAATTGAAAACCACATTTGGACATATTATTTAAGGTAGGAGAAATAGTTGGTTTAATCACGTGGATTTTTTTTTTTTTTTTTTTTTTTTTGAGACAGAGTCTTGCTCTGTGACCCAGGCTGTAGTGCAATGGCGCCATCTCGGCTCACTGCAACCTCTGCCTCCCAGGTTCTGGCAATTCTCCTGCCTCAGCCTCCCACATAGCTGAGATTACAGGCACACACCACCATGCCCAGCTAATTTTGGGTATTTTTAGTAGAGATGGGGTTTTGCCCTGTTGGCCAGGCTGGTCTCGAACTCATGACCTCAAATGATCTTCCTGCCTCAGCCTCCCAAAGTGCTGGGATTACAGGTGTGAACCACCAAGCCCAACCATCCTTTTTGGATAAATACATGTGTTACAAATCCCACCTGGGTTTGAACACCATATCTAATAAATTATTTGCAATTGGAAGATGTAGAATTTATTTTGTTATACATAATAACACACTTTTGAAAATGGTGCAACATATGTAGTTTAAAACAAATCATTCTTACATAGATTTAATATAAATTGTTTTTAAAATTGATATGCAAAACCTGTGTATATTTTGCTATAATTAATGTGTTTTCCTCAATATGTTGAAGGGGAGCTTGGCTTACTCTGTCTTACCCTGAAGGCCTGTACTTGAATCAATGAGAACAAATTTTTCTGGAGTTAGAGATAAGATTTGGTGAAATATTTTATTTTCTTCTCTTAGGACACTACAGAAAAAAAATTCATGTTTGGCATAAAGTTGAATCAGATTTTCTCCATATTCTTCTCAAAGATAGAGATGTTATAAAAAATTAACAGTAAAAATATTTCAAAACTTCTATTTAATGTATGGATGGACTAGCTAAATTTTAATCATCAAATTGCCCTGTTTTATTTTAAATAACATGATTAAATGAGGTCATTCTCTTTAACAAAATGCTTTAGAGTATTGTTTATTCCTGATAAGTAAGTTCTTACATATAACTAAAACATAAAAATTTTAAACTATTTTTGATTTAAAAAATTTAGTTGCACTTCATAATCCTCCATCATTTGGAATGGGTGAGAAAAAAGTTTAAAGTTATTCCTGTTGATTTACTGCTAACAATATCACAGTAAATAATTTTAATTCTCAGTGCCAAGCCTGTCTTTCTTTATGTCTACAACTTCCAAAATGTAAGCTTTTTTTCTTTTTTATGTGCCGACTACCAAAAGCAATCAATTCAGTTAAAATGCAGATGGCCTTGAGAGAACTGAAATAAGCATTCTGGGAATTACTAACTCTAATTGAGAAGGTACCTTTGAAAATATATACATGGACAAGACCTGTCTACCAATTTAAAATTTATCAAATAACAGCAGCATTCTCGTTGGGTAGATTGGAGTTTGAAGGTTATATAAGCTAAGTAGGACTTTCATTGTTAGAATAATTTTTCCCCTGGAAGAATTTTCCTGGCCTGTCATATTTCCTGTGCCTGGCTGGATCAAAGGGGCTTGGTTTACAGTTTATTTAATGGTCCAAGTCACTTTTATTCATATCCTGAAATGAAGGTCAGACTCTTGTTGCACAACACCATGATATATTCTGTGTAAGCACATACAACAACTCTGACAGCATTAGTTCGCGAATGCTGCTAATTGCCCATCAAAACATATCATGCTAAAGCCTTCTCTATGTAGCATGAAGCACCAAAAGGGTATTAAAATAAAAAAAAATGTTGATTGACCTATGTGCAATATCTAATCCATTATACTTAGGGAGTTATTTTTTCATATTTTATAATTTTCCATTTTCTGTATTTTTTCTCTGATATTTTATAGTAATTTTGCAGTTATAACAATTGCCAGTTCTTATGGATATAGCAGCACTTTGATTTGAATGTGACATGAAATTGGTAAAGAGTAACATTTGTTAGCTAGTGTCATGTGGAAATGATGCTGTTTTATGGAATGATTAATCATAAGTACAATGGAAAATTAATTTTCAGTATAAATATTAACTAGTAAGTTTTCCTTTTCTGCAAAAGGAACCACATGCAAAATCCTCTTCACCCTAGTAGAACATAGAATTGAATAGGTGAAAATATTACTTTTTCTCAGATAAAAATTTGGTACAAACAAAACCTTTGAAAATAGATAAAGAAAAAAGGCTTTTATGGGTTAACCATTCATGTGTATTATCAGTTTTGGGCCGATCATGTTTGAGTTTAACAAAATATTTATAGAAGTTATAATTTTATATAAATTATAAAGTGTTTAGTTTACAGTGAATCTTCAAATTTGTTGATGAAAATATAGTGTAGCAATCTGTTCTTATGATGCTATGAAGAAATACCCCAAGACTGGGTAATTTATAAAGGAAAGAGGTTTAATTGGCTCACAGTTCTGCATTGCGTGGGAGACCTCAGGAAACTTACAATCCTGGTGGAAGGCAAAGGAGAAGAAAGCACCTTCTTCACAGAAAAGCAGGACAGAGTGAGTGCAAGCAGGGGAAATGCCAAATGCTTATATAACCATCAGATCTCATGAGACTCACTCATCACGAGAACAGCATGGGAGAAACGGCCCCCATGATCTGATTAACCTCACCTGTTCCTGCCGTTGGTATGTGGGGATTATGGGGATTACAATTCAAGATGATTTTTGGATGGGGACACAGCCAAATCACATCACATAGTAATAATAGCTCTCAAGACCTTCCAACAAAAATGGCAATAACAGCATCAAATGGTATGAGTATATTCACACACATGTGAATTTGCATAACTGAGACATCACAAGAATGAAGAGAGCTAAAAATTGGGACAAAACTTGGAGTATCCTCTTGTTTAAAATTTTTATTTCATCATTGCTTATCAGCAGATTTTTCCTGCATAAAATTGAGATGCTACATAAGAAACTAAAAGTAATACTTTAGAGTTGCTTTGTATTGTACTTAATATAAAGTATGCATAAATGTAGATAGCTAGAGAAAGTGGGTTAAGTAAATAAATCAATTTAACTCCCCATATTTATATAAACATTATTAAAGTGGTTTATGTATACAATTTAATGAGTTTTGTCAAATGCATATGACTGTGAATCAACTCCTACAAAAGTTGTACTTGAAAATTTCTTTCATAAAAGGGTCGAATGTAATATTTATATTTGAGAAGTAGAAAGTAATTATTAATGGAAAATTTGCAAGAATCAGATGTAGACCTTGGCATGTATATGTATGTTTGAAGCTTCCACATGGAGGTTTTTAACGATTGTGAATATTTAAATCATATATCTTATACGAGACTCATTTCCAGAAAAATGGTAGGAAGAGCTCTACTGACCCGCTCTCTAGTGAAACAAATATTGCTGGTACAAATTATTAAATAAATATATCTCACACACACACACACACACACACACAAACACAGGCACATATAGGTAGAGAGAAATTAGAAATTGTCCTCAGGGCAGCAAATGAAGGAACATTTATTCGTTTAATCTACTGCATATCAGAAAATGAAAGAGCTAGAATGTGGGCAATTGAGCCATAATTTACTCTCTTATTCCCTTCTAGGTCAACACAATGGAAGCTTCACTCCAGGCAATTACAGCCAAGAAAATAGATCTCCCTTATCTTGCTCTTGGTCAAGGGATGCAACATTTCTCATTCTGCACAGCTGTTTGTTGAAGACCAATATATCCAGGTGAATGAGGCTGAGAAGTCTGGGAGCTCCTGTTCTCCACCCAGCATTTAAAATAAAAATCTACTTCAGGCATGGCAGACTGAGAATACTGATACCTGATCACCTTTACCCAAACTTGCCAGAAGGTTGAAGTTTCCATGTTAGGAGAGGTAAGCTAAGAACAGACTACCATTTTCATCCAACTCCCATCTCATAAGGAAGGAATATTACTCCAAGAGAGATTGATTACTTCTGAGTTCTAGAGAAGTAGCTCAGATACTATGACCTTAAAAGGAGGCAGGCCATATAGCGGAGAGATCCAAAGTTCCCCTCAAAGGAATTGACTTTCTTTATAACAGTATGTGAAGTGGTTTAAGTCAAAGGACACTCTTAAAAACAATGGAGATATGGTGGTACCTTATTTAGAGAAGAATGATACTGTCCTCAGAACAATAAGCTAATCCATATACCAGGAAGTTTACGAAGAAAACCCAAGATAAGTGAGAGCTAAAAGGAGATCTCTTGGAGTCAGACAACCTTCAAAATATAACCTCAAAACTACCCAGGCAAAGAGACCCAGATTTAGTTGTATCAGACTGTGAAGCAAATTATGCTTCAGATTGTACAGTTAAGGCAACTGTCTGAAGATAAGTGAAATCTAAGAAATTGGTATGATAGCAAGAGAGATGAGGGAAAGCTACGGTGAGAGAGAGTCTTGCTAAAACCACTGTCATCCCATGGTCACTGTGGATATGCCTAGGGCTGTGTGACCTCTAAGCAGCAACATCAGAACCTTCACACTGTAGGGGAAATCCATTACTAAAACAGTCCAGCTGAGTCATCAAACAAGTAAACAAGCAACAAACAATAGCAGCAACAATATAAGCTCCATAAATAAAGGGTGGAAAATATTCAGAGTTACTAAAATATTTCCTCTAAAATGTCCAATTTCAACAAAAATTTATGGATCTGAATTTTTTTTAATGTGACAAATCACATGGGAAAAGAATCAGACAACAGAAATTGCCTGCAAGAATACCAAGATACCAGAATTATGAGACAAATGGTTCAATGCAGCCATTATAAATATCTTCAAAGAAACTATGAAACCCTGCTCAGAAAAGTAAAGAAGATATTATGGCAATTCATCAATAGAGAATATTACTAAAAAATAGAAATTATAAATAAATAATCAAATGGAAATTCTGGAATTGAAATATTCAATAACTGAAATGAAAAATTCACTAAAGGGACACAACAAATTTGAACTGGCAGAAGAAAGAATCAATTAACTTACAAATAGATGTAGCCAGATTATGCAATCTCAACGACCAATAAAAAAAAGAATGAATAAAAATAAGAAGAGCTTCAGAAGAATGCAGGACAACACAGCAACTAACATATAATGAAAGTACAAGAGGGGAGGAATGAAAGAAAAAAATCTATTGAAAGAAAAACTGTCAGAAAACTTTTCAACATTTCTGAAAGACATTAACATACACATCCAAGAAGCTAAATGAAGCCCAAATGGGATAAATATAAAGAGATCCACAAATCATGTCAAAAATGTTGAAAAAAATCGAAAAAACAACTATGGAAAAGGCCAAGAAAAAGTAACTTGTCATGTACTAGAAAATTCCAGGAAGAAGGAACAGTTAGTTTAACATCAAAAACAAATGTAATATATCATATCAATTGAATCTAGGGGAAAAAACACAAGATTTTTTAAATACATGCAGAAAAAGCATTTGCAAAAATCCAGTACCCTGCATGATAAAAATTTTTAAAAAACTAGGAATAAAAGGGAAATTCTTCAATGTGATGAAGGGAATCTATGAAAAACTCACACTTAATATCATACTTATTAGAAAGAATCAATGCTTTTTCCTTAAGACATGACAAGAATGTCTGTTCTTGCTGCTTCTATTCAATGTTATACTGGTTGAATACTCAAGGTTCTAGCCAAGACTGTTAGGAAAGAAAATGAAATAGAAGGCATTCCAATTAGAAAGGAAGAAGTTAAATTATCTCAATTTGCATATCACATGCTCTTATATAAATTCTTAAGGATTCCACTGAAACCTATTGAACTAATAAAGAAGTTCAACATGGCTGAAATGTACAAAATTATTATAGGAAATAATTATTTTTCTATAGGAAAGCAATGAACAATTCAAAACTGAAACTAAGATGACTTCATTTACAATTGCATCTAGAAGAATACAATAATTCGCAATTTCAAAATTTAGTTTGAAGCTATAGAATTAAGACATTATGGTACTAATATCACAAGTAAACCCTTACATTCATGCTCAATTGATTTTTAACAAGTGTGACAAGACAATTCAATGGAGAAAAACAGTATTTTCCACACCTAGAGCTGGAACAACTAGATATCCAGAGACAAAGGTGTAGGGAGACCCCCTGAAACTATTGCTACAGAATAAAAGATGAAATGCTCCTGATTATTGTAAATACAAAATTGCATGCAGGATTGTGTAAAGACAATGCCAGGTTGGACTGCCAGACGAGCCAACAGTGTGTGATGTGCTTCCCCCTGCAGAGAGCCTATGAATGAACATGCAGTCAGGGAGGTTTCCCATCACCAAGATTCCTATCACAGAAAAGCAGATGTTCATAGCTCTGGGAATGGAATGCGACCCTTGTGGAGAGCCTATAAACGGATGTATGGGGGGAGCCTGTCCTTACAGATAAGATAGGGCTATAAATGCCCTCGTCTTGCCACGGCTCTTCTAGGCCACTTTAGGGTTAAGGCATACTCCCTTCTGAGAATTTCTGGTCTAAACGGTTGTCTAGCTTCATGTCCTGTTTCTGTGGATTGTTCGTAACCAGCTTTTGCTGCAACTGTTACTGCTGATTAATATCTTGCTAATCATAGGTTATGGAAAGACTGTGTTTCTGTTTTAAGGCTCTGTTAGAAATTACTAATGCACACACTATATTGTAAATTCTTATCTCTGTATACTGTACGTCTGCATACAAATGTTATGTTAAAGAATTACTTCATCCCCATGTGACTGTCTCACCTCATAATCAAATGACCCTAAATCCCTCACTAACCTACCCCTGCCCTCACTAAACTTGATAATAAATGCTGATATATCCAGTGCATTGTTAGCACCGCAGGACCAGAAGGCGGTGACCCCCGCTGCACCCAGCTTTCACTATCTTGTGTGTGTCTATTATTTATTGACAAGCTGATCCACCTAGGAACAAAGAGAGAACCCCATTGCATTGCGGGCTGCTAGCCAGATCCCGCAATACAGAGGAATGAAGTTGGACCCTTTCTTTACATCATACACAAATCTTAATTGAAAAGGAATCATAGACCTAAATACATAAGCTAAAGTCTAAGCTCTTTTAGGAAAATATAAGATTAAGTCATTGTGACTTTGATTTAGGCAAATCCTTCTTACATATAACAGCAAAAAAAAAAAAAAAAAAAAAAAACGGAAGCAAAAAATAAAGGCTGGGCATGGTGGCTCATGACTGTAATCCCAGCACTTTAGGAGGCCAAGGTGGGCAGATCACCTGAGGTCAGGAGTTCGAGACCAGCCTGGCCAACATGGCAAAACCTCATCTCTACTAAAAATACAAAAATTAGCTGGGCATGGTGGCACATGCCTATAGTCCCAGCTACTCAAGAGGCTAAGGCAGGAGAATAGCTTGAACTCAGGAGGCGGAGGTTGCAGTGAGCCAAGATTGCGCCACTGCACTCAACCCTGGGCAACAGAGAGAGACTCCCTCTCAAAAATTAATTAATTAGTTAATTAAAATATAGGTAAAGTGGCCTTCATTAGAATTAAATATGTTTGCAAGTCTATGGATGCCATGAAGAAAGTGGAGGGACAACCCACAGAATAGAAGAAAACATTTGAAAATTATGTACCTGATAAAAAACTTATATCTAACATATAAAGAACTGATACTGCTGAATAAAAAATACTAAAAATGGGCAAAAATCTAGACATTTTTTCCAAAGAAGGCATACAATTGGCCAATAAGTACATGAAAACATGTTCACCATCATTAGCCATCACAGAATTGCAAATAAAAGCTACTTGGATGTCTATAAATTAAAAAAAAAAGTAGTGACAAGAGTTAGCAAAGATTTGGATACACTGGAACACACATACACTGTTAGTGGTAATGCAAAATGCTGTAGCTTCTTCAGAAAAAGAGTCAGGCAGCAAAAAAGATAGGTGCAGTAAATCACAATGGCACAGTTTACCTGTGTAACAAAACTGCACACCCTACACATGTATCCTGGGACTTAAAATAAAAGAAAATAAGCTTAAAAAATGAGATAGCCATGCTTTCTGTAACAGCTAAAATTAAAATATATTTTAAAGTATATTGAGAAGATTTGAAAGAACTGCAACTCTGAAACACTGCTAGTGGGCAGAAATTTTAATTCATGCAATGAGTTTGGAAAAGTGTTGGGAGATTCCCAATTAAGCTGAATTTATCAAATGTAAATGCAGAAATACCATTATTAATAATATATCTAATAAAAATATATAAATCATCACCAAAATGTATATGTAAATTTAAATTGCAAAATTTCTCGATTCCCCAAACTGCAATGTTCATTAATTGCAGAATGGATAAATACATATTTGCTTATTCATACAATATAGCATTACAGAACAATGAAAATGAACAGGCAATTGCTGTAAGTAGTGATATGAAGGAATCTCACAGAAATAATGCTTAGGGAAAGAAAGCCAGATATAAAAGAGCTATTATTGCATTAATCTATTCATATGAGACTAAAACATAGATAAAATTAGTCTAGAGGTCAAATAGTGTTTACCTTTGTAGATAATGACTGAGAAGAGACTGGAGGGAGATTTCTGACATACTTAAATTTATTGTATTGTTCTGGATGGTGATAGTATAAGGTGTGTGCATTTCTTAAAATTTCATTTGGCCAGGTGCGGTGGCTAACGCTTGTAATCCCAACACTTTGGGAGGCCAAGGCACCTCTATCACCTGAGGTCAGGAGTTTGAGACCAGCCTGGTCAACATGGTGAAACATCATCTATAATAAATATTCAAAAATTAGCCAGGCATGGTGGTGGGCACCTGTAATCCCAGCTACTCAGGAGACTGAGGCAGGAGAATGGCTTGAACTTGGGAGCCAGAGGCTGCAGTGAGCTGAGATGGCACCACCACACTCCAGCCTAGGTGACACTGTGAGACTCCATCTCAGAAAAAATAATAATAATAATTTGACTGCTTATTTAAGATTCGTGTATTCAGATTTAATATTTCCAGAAGACTCTATGCTTTCCATTTATTCCAAATTTGAAGTAAAACTTTATGACTATAAAACATCAAGTTATATATTATGAACATTTTTAAGGTAGAAAGTGATTTGCTGGATATAAACTCTCAAATATATGAAAGAGACTTTCTTTACATGGCAAAGAGGCAAAAACAGTTATCCAATACTGAAAATTAAAGCCATAACTTAAGAAGTCCTCTCTTCTCATTACACCTCCTTCTCTGCTACATTTTTTTGGTTAAAAATATCAGGTAGAATTTTTCTTTTTATTTGAGACCTTAAAACATTATTTTAAGTTTAACTAAATTAAGAAGTCCTAAACTAACAATAAAATTTAGAAAGTCAGTGTTTTACTATAAACATTTCTTTAATGAGAGTAGCTCCCATTTAAAAGTGTAAACCATTTTTGCACATTTTTATATTAACACTATTTTATTAAATAATACTAGTTCATATATTTATAACACAATAATAACCAATATTAATATGATTATTATAAAATGTTCTTATTAAAGATACATTTTGTGAGCTTCAATCTATTAAAGAAAATTTTCAATTCTTTTTTAATTGTAAAATTATGGAGTTCAATATTAAGGCTTTAGATTAAAAATGTATATATGCAATTGAAAATATAGATTTTTCAATAAAACCTTACTTGATCATAATTTATTAATTTCTGTCATAGATATGTGGAAATAAAACAGCTCTGCAGCTTTGGCAGTGTTGCTTTTAAATCTTTATAATAGTGCTGGGAGGTAAGTAAAAGTTATATGAATATAGAAGCTTCTTGTGTGCTCTGACCAAATGTAATTTTTGTCTACACTTTATTTCAGTTGAACTTCTCTCATTTCTATGGTATTCTTAGCCCTGTTTTTTAAAGATAACCTAATTGTCACAGGAACATTAGGGTGTCACTTTCCCACATGGAAATCTCTGTGTTCAGTGGTGACTTGCCCAAGTTTTACTCAGCCTGCTGGGCTTGTTCTGCCCACTCAGCCTGGCAGGCTCCTGGCCTGCAATATGGCAACCAGGGGTCATGTTTCAGCCCTGTTCATGTTACCACTTTTTCAGTCCTGCCATTCAGCAAGTCCCAAGTGGGTTCTTGTCCCACGTCCAGGAAGAATGAGGTATACAGACAACTGTGTGTGTCAGCAAGGCAAAAAGGGTCAGCAAGGCAAAGAGGAGCTTCATTGAGCAACAGAACAGTTCTCAGGAAATCTGAAGTGGGTAGCTCCTTTCTGCAGACAGGTCATCCCAATGAGTATTCACTTCTCAATGGAGAGGATGCCAGTTTGGGTAGCTCCTTTCTGCAGACAGGTAGTCCTGACAAGTGCAGCCCTCAATGGAGAAAAGATCTGGAGGTGAGTTGCTCTTATCTGCAGGGAGGTCATCCTGATGAGTGGAGGAGACCCAAAGTGGATAGCTCCTTCCCACAGCTGGTAGTTCTGACATCTCTGTGAGTCTGGCTGAGTCCTGGGGATTTTATGGGCTTCAGAAGGAAGGAAGTGTGTGCTGATTGGTCCATGGGCAGCCATGGGCAGGTCCAGAAAAAGCACCATAAGTTGTCACACCCAGCTGTGGACTCCACCCAGAACTGACAGCCCGGCCACCATGCTTCAGGCTTCCCAGGTTTGAAGGTGGGGCTTCACAAGGGACCCACCCCTTTTTGCCCAGGTGCTTGTTTGCCTCCTGACACCATCAATTATGTCATCCACTGCACCCAGGCTGTTCCTGAGAAAGAGCACCTGCAGGCCTGCAAGGAGATATCCTCAGCAACCCCTCTGCCTCCCTCCCATGCTTGTTGGCACCCAAAGTTCAGAGGAGGCCAAAGTTGCAAGGGGCTGATGTGTCAGTGCTGACCCAAGGGTGCACACACCTACCCAGGTCACAACAGCACCTGGGCTTAGCCTCAACTTTGCTCTGAAGTCAGAGCAAGCACTGGGATTAGGAGGAGGCCAAGCAGTGGGGGCAGGCGCTTCCGAGCCTACAGAGGCAGAGGAGATTTCTGCCCTTGAGAAGGCAGGGATGCCAGGTCTGCAGATGCAGCTGGGTGGCTGCAGCTGCATCCAGGAGGGCTGGGCTCCTGCCTTGCCAACTTGGAAGTGAGCAGGGCTCCTGCCGGTTTCCAGCTTCCATCAGCACATTCGAGTGCACAGTCCCAGCCTCCCCTTCCCCACTGCAGCTTGCATCTTTGCAGCAACCTCTCCAGACAGGCTGCCACTGCCATATGGGAATTTTTCCTCAAGTTCTTACCTTGCTTATGATACATGTATATGCACTCTCACTCATATACACCCACAGATCTACTAAGCAATTTTTAAAAATACACCATTTCCATCACCTACCTCTCATTTCTTGCTGTCACCAGTGACAGTATAATCATTCCCTGTCACTAATAATTTTTCCTGAATAAGAGATAGTACTAGCTTCTTTGTTTCTAAAATGCCAAAGTCCACTTACCAAGCTCTTCGTGTAGTTCTACTTAGATAAAGTTTAGGATCTGTTTTTCTTGTTGATCCAGTTGACCAGGCTGAGAAGTCAAACCTTTTGAAAATCTCTTAAGTACTGATATCTTCAATTGCTAATCACTTCCTTCTGTAACAGTGAAAATAAATAAATAATTGAACAGTTCAATAGCAATTAAGCAAAGAATATTATGGTTAACTCATCCAGGAATAAATTTAATTGTCTAAAAGCTGTGTTTTATAAATGAAATATAATCAGCCTCATAAAATAACAAAACTATTTTCAGCCTGGTGTGGTGCAGGTTACATGGAAATTGGTACAAACACTATTGGCAGGAGACAATTTGATATTACCTTAATATAGGTGACTTTTTCAAAAATTTTCAAGTTTGAAAATGAGTACATTGAATAGTCTAACTATTAGTTTCAGAAGTATACAGTTAAAGATAATTGTTCAGGTTTGGAAAAAAAAAATATATATATATATATGTGCATGAAATTTTTCTCAACTATGTTTTTGTTATAAAACAAAAAGAAAGCTGATTGTTTATCACCATAAAAGTAAGATACATTGGTTGGGCTCAGTGGTTCATGCCTGTAATCCCAGCAATTTGGGAGGTTGAGGTGGGTGGATCACTTGAGGTCAGGAGTTCGAGACCAGGCTGGCCAACATGGTGAAACTCTGTCTCTACTAAAAATACAAAAATTAGCTAGGCATGGTGGCACATGCCTGTAATCTCGGCTACACAGGAGGCTGAGGCAGGAGAATCACTTGGACCCAGGAGGCAGAGGTTGCAGTGAGCTGAGATCGCGCCACTGCATTCCAGTCTGGGTGATAGAGTGAGACTCCATCCCCCTCCCCACAAAAAGTAAGATATATCCATATAACAGACTAGTAAATGAGAGGTGAAGCCAGCTGGACTTCCTGGGTCGAGTGGGGACTTGGAGAACTTTTCTGTCTTACATGAGGATTGTAAAATGTACAAATCAGTGCTCTGTAAAAATGCACCAATCAGTGCTCTGTAGCTAGCTAGAGGTTTGTAAAATGGACTAATCAGCACTCTGTAAAATGGACCAATCAGCAGGACAAGGGTGGAGACAAATAAGGGAATAAAAGCTGGCCACCCCAGCCAGCAGTGGCAACCCACTTGGGTCCCCTTCCATGCTGGGGAAGCTTTGTTATTTTGCTCTTCACAATAAATCTTGCTGCTGCTAACTCTTTGGGTGTATGCCACCTTTAAGACCTGTAACATTCACTAGGAAGGTCTGTGACTTCATTCTTGAAGTCAGCAAGACCAAGATCCCACATGAAGGAAGGAACTCCAGACACATCTTGGTGACCACAAAGGGACTATTGCCAAGTGGTGAGTACCATTGGACCTCTTTTGCTTGGTATTCTGTCCCATTTTTTCTTAGAATTTGGGGACTAAACACTGGGCATCTCTTGGCCAGTTAAAAGTGACTAGTGCAGCCACCAGACTAAGGACATGGGTGTCAGGCTTTCTGGGAAAGTGTTCGCTAATTCTTCCCCAACTGTTCGGAACAGGGAGCATTGGTTTACCTAGAACCAGCTTCCACATTTCCTGTACTTCTGGGCTGAGCCAAGGGTTGACAGAGAGGAAAGCCATTCAGCTCCAGGGTCCCAGTAAAAAGTTGGTTGACTCTGTAGCCATGATCAGAACTCTCAAAGTCATGTCACCTATGTGAGACTTGCCCATCTGTCCTATCTATCCTGACGCTTGCCTCCTGGGTCCTAACACCTGTCAGACAAACTTCCTCCTGCCTCTCTTCTCTGAGGCTAGTCCCACTTCTAAAAACCACTCCCTGTTTCTGGTGCTTTTCTAGTTTCTCCTATAAGAATGATTACTAGTATAAATTTCGGGACTCTGTTCCCTTGTTTAGGCACCCAGGCTCACCAATTAGACATAATTTTTGCCCAAAGCCCCATCATTTTAGGATACCTCTTCAGACTAGCAGGCCTAACAAAGGCTATTCCTGAAGCTAGGATTTGGGGAGCTTCAGAAATGATATCCTTCCTATCCATATGACGAGAAGTGAGGACAAAAGGCTTCATTTTTCCAACCCTGGAGATCTCTTCCCTCCCTCATTGTATAGCCCTCCACTCCATTGTTGGGACATATCATGCTTACAGGACAGGGATAAGGTCCCAACACTAATAGGAGAAAATGCTTAGGACCCTAACAGGTATTCGAGAATGCATTGGTAATGACCACTAAATCTGATTTGTCTTGGTCCTGTTTGTGGTCTAAGAGAGCCAAGGGAGCAGGTTTTCAAGAATGCGTTGGTAAGGGCCATTAAATCCAACCTTCCTCAGTCCTCATTGTGGTCTAGGATGAAAACTAGTGTTTCTGCTGCTGCGTTGGTGAGTGCAACTATTCTGATCAGTAGGCTCCAGGGACCGTTGTGGCTTCTTGGGTAGGGTGGGGGGGGGGGGTAAACGAAAAGACCAGAACCGTGGGTGGTTTTTTCTTTCAGATGGGAAACACTCAGACATCAACAGGCTCACCCTTGAAATGCATCCTAAGCCATTAGGACCAATTTGACCCACAAATCCTGAAAAAGAGGCAGCTCATTTTTTTCTGCATTACAGCCTGGCCCCAATATTCTCTCTCTGATGGGGAAAAATGGCCACCTGAGGGAAGTATAAATTACAATACTATCCTGCAGCTTGACCTTTTCTGTAAGAAGGAAGGCAAATGGAGTGAAATACCTTATGTCCAAGCTTTCTTTTCATTGAAGGAGAATCCACAACTATGCAAAGCCTGTAATTTACATCCCACAAGAGGACCTCTCAGCATACCTCCATATCCTAGCCTCCCTATGGTTCCCCTTCCTATTGATGATAAGCCTCCTTTAATCTCCCTCACCCAGAAGGAAACAAGCAAAGAAATCTCCAAAGGACCACAAAACCACCCTGGCTATCGGTTATGTCCCCTTCAAGCTGTAGAGGGAGGGGAATTTGCCCCAACCTAGGTACATGTCCTCTTCTCCCTCTCTGATTTAAAGCAGATCAAGGTAGACCTGGGGAAGTTTTCAGATGATCCTGATAAGTACATAGATGTTCTACAGGGCCTAGGGCAAACCTTCGACCTCACTTGGAGAGATGTCATGCTATTGTTAGATGAAACCCTGGCCTTTAATGAAAAAAATGCGGCTTTAGCTGCAGCCCGAGAGTTTGGAGATACCCAGTATCTTAGTCAAGTAAATGATAGAATGACAGCTGAAGAAAGGGACAAATTCCCTACCGATCAGCAAGCCATTCCATTTGGATCCCCACTGGGACCTCGACTCATATCATGAGGACTGGAGTCGTAAACATCTGTTGACTTATGTTCTAGAAGGACTAAGGAGAATTAGGAAAAAGCCCGTGATTATTCAATGATGTCTGCCATAACTCAGGGGAAGGAAGAAAATCCTTCTGCCTTTCTTGAGCAGCTACAGGAGGCTTCAAGAAAATAAATTTCCATGTCACCCGACTCCCTTGAGGGTGAATTGATCCTAAAAGATAAGTTTATTACCCAGTCAGCCACAGATATGAGGAGAAAGCTCCGAAAGCAAGCCCTGGACCTTGAAGAAAATCTGGAGGCATTATTAAACCTGGCAACCTCAGTGTTCTATAATAGGGACCAAGAGGAACAGGCCAAAAAGGAAAAGTGAGATCAGAGAAAGGCTGCAGCCTTAGTCATGGCCCTCATACAAAGAAACCCTGGTGGTTCAGAGAGGACAGAAAATGGAGCAGGCCAATCACCCGGTAGGGCTTGTTATCAATGTGGTTTGCAATGACACTTTAAAAAAGATTGTCCAACGAGAAACAAGCCACCCCTTTGTCCATGTCCGCTATGCCAAGGCAATCACTGGAAGGTGCACTGCCCCAGAGTGCAATGGTTCTCTGGGCCAGAAGCCCCTAACTAGATGATCCAACAACAGGACTGAGGGTGCCTGGGGCAAGCACCAGCTCATGTCATCACCCTCCCTGTGCCCGGGGTATGTTTAACCATTGAGGGCCAGGAAATTGACTTCCTCTTGAACACTGGTGCGGCTTTCTCAGTTTTAATCTCCTGTTGTGGATGACTGTCCTCAAGGTCCGTTACAATCCGAGGAATCCTGGGACAGCCTGTAACCAGGTATTTCTCCCACCTCCTCAGTTGTAATTGGGAGACTTTGCTCTTTTCACATGCCTTTCTTGTTTTGCCTGAAAGTCCCACACCCTTATTAGGCAGGGACATATTAGACAAAGCTGGAGCTATTGTCTACATGAATATGGGGAACAAGTTACCCATTTGTTGTCCCCTGCTTAACGAGGGAATCAACCCTGAATTCTGGGCATTGGAACGACAATCTGGAACAGCAAAAATGCCTGCCCAGTCCAAATCAGGCTAAAAGACCCCACCGCTTTTCCTTTTCAAAGGCAATATCCCTTAAGGCCTGAAGCTCATAAAGGATTACAGGATATTGTTAGACATTTAAAAGCTCAAGGCTTAGTAAGAAAATGCAGCAGTCCCTGCAACACCCCAATTCTAGGAGTAAAAATACTGAACACTCAGTGGAGACTAGTGTAAGATCTTAGACTCATCAATGAGGCAGTGATTCCTCTATATCTAGTTGTACCCAACCCCTATACCCTTCTCTCTCAACTACTAGAGGAAGCAGAATGGTTCATGGTTCTGGACCTGAAGGATGCCTTCTTCTGTATTCCCCTGTACTCTGACTCCCAGTTTCTCTTTGCCTTGGAGGATCCCACAGACCGCACATCCCAACTTACGTGGATGGTCTTGCCCCAAGGGTTTAGGGATAGCCCTCATCTGTTTGGTCAGGCACTGGCCCAAGATCTAGGCCACTGCTCAAGTCCAGGCACTCTGGTCCTTCCACATGTGGATGATTTACTGTTGGCTACCAGTTCGGAAGCCTCATACCAGCAGGCTACTCTAGATCTCTTGAACTTTCTAGCTAATCAATGGTACAAGGCATCTAAATTGAAGGCCCAGCTCTGCCTACCACAAGTCAAATATCTAGGCCTAATCTTAGCCAGAGGAACCAGGGCCCTCAGCAAGGAACGAATACAGACTATACTGGCTTACCGTCTCCCAAAGACATTAAAACAGTTGTGGAGGTTCCTTGGAATCACCGGCTTTTGCCGACTATGGATCCCCAGATACAGTGACATAGCCAAGCCCCTCGCTACTCTAATCAAGGAGACCCAGAGGGCAAATACTCATCTAGTAGAATGGGAACCAGAGGCAGAAACAGCCTTCAAAACCTTGAAGCAGGCCCTAGTACAAGCTCCAGCCTTAAGCCTTCCTACAGGACAAAACTTCTCTATACGCATCACAGAGAGAGCAGGAATAGCTCTTGGAGTCCTTACTCAGACTTGTGGGACAACCCCACAACCAGTGGCATACCCAAGTAAGGAAATTGATATATTAGCAAAAGGCTGGCCTCACTGTTTACTGCTAGTTGCAGCGGTGGCCATCTTAGTATCAGAGGCTATCAAAATAATACAAGGAAAGGATCTCACTGTCTGGACTACTAATGATGTAAATGGCATACTAGGTGCCAAAGGAAGTTTATGGCTATCAGACAACTGCCTGCTCAGATACCAAGCACTACTCCTTGAGGGACCAGTGCTTCAAATACGTATGTGTGTGGCTCTCAATCCTGCCACTTTTCTCCCAGAGGATGGGGAACCAATCAAGCATGACTGCCAACAAATTATAGTCCAGACTTATGCCACCTGAGAGAATCTCTTAGAAGTCCCCTTAGCTAATCCTGACCTTAACCTATATACCAATGAAAGTTCATTTGTGGAGAATGGGATATGAAGGACAGGTTATGCCACAGTTAGTGATATAACAGTACTTGAAAGTAAGCCTCTTCCCCCAGGGACCAGCACCCAGTTAGCAGAACTCGTGGCACTTACCCAAGCCTCGGAACTGAGAAAGGGAAAAAGAACAAACGTGTATATAGATAGCAAGTATGCTTATCTAATCCTACATGCCCATGCTGCAATATGGAAAGATAGGAAGTTCCGAACCTCTGGCAGAATCCGCATTAAATTCCACAAGGAAATCATGGAGTTATTGCACATAGTGCAAAAACCCAAGGAGGTGGCAGTCTTACACAGCCGAAGCCATCAAAAAGGGGAAGGAGAGGGGAGAACAGCAGCATAAGTGGCTGGCAGAGGCAGGGAAAGACCAGCAGAGAAAGACAGAAAGAGAGAGAGAGAGAGAGAGGGGTAAGACAAAGTCAAAGAGAAAAGGAAAGAGAGACAGAGAGAGGAAGAGACAGAGTGACAAAGAGGGAGTCAGAGAGAGAGAGGAAGAGACAGAGACAAAGAAGGAGTCAAAGAGAAAGAGACAGAAAGCCAAAGAGAAAGAAAGAGAGAAATAGTAAAGAAAAAACACTGGACCCTATTCCTTTAAAAGCCAGGGTAAATTTAAAACCTATAATTGATAATTGAAGGTCTTCTCTGTAACTCTATAACACTCCAGTATCACCTTGTTGTCAGTGTAAATAAGGGCGTAGCCCGAAAGCACTGAGGCCACTGACAACCCATAACGGTGTTTAAAGCTGATTGTTTCTCACCATAAAAGTAAGGTATATTGGCTTGGCTCAGTGGCTCATGCTTGTAAGCCCAGCATTTTGGGAGATTGAGGCAGGTGGATCACTGGAGGTCAGGAGTTCTAGACCAGGCTGGCCAAAATGGTGAAACTCTGTCTCTACTAAAAATACAAAAATTAGCTGGGCGTGGTGGTGCATGCCTGTAATCCCAGCTACACGGGAGTCTGAGGCAGGAGAATTACTTGAACCTCGGGGGGCGGAGGTTGCAGTGAGCAGAGATCGCGCCACTGCATTCCAGTCGGGGCAATAGAATGAGACTCCATCTCAGAAAAAAAAAAAGGAAGATATAACCATATAACAGACTAGTAAACATCATGAATATTACGATAGCTAAATGAGTTTAATTAACAAGTTTTTCATATGCTGCTGAAAATATTAACTTGATTACTAAATCACAAACATTTTCTAATGTATTAATTGTGAAGTAAGTTTTCCTCAATTTGTGTGTGTATGAATTTCGCAAAAAAGATGGTCTGTTTCTCTCTTTCTCTTGTCTTTCAACAGTTATGAAATCTCTGTGTACAGAGCCTCTCCAACACTATATAGATGCTCATTTCTGTAAGTCATTGTAAATCTGGTAGGCTATTCATCTCTGTTATTTCTGTGCTTCTTCAGGAAGTGTTGTCTGTTCTTTGATATATTAAGCCATTGCTTATTGCATGTGTTACACATATTATTTCCCAATATGCAACATTCTTTCTAACTGAAATATTGATATTTACTACATATATCTCTATATTTACTGCATAATAAATAAAAATACTTCTCTCAGGAAAAAAATCAATCAGGCTTATCCCCTGGGGGTACTATTACACATTTTTTCCAGGAAAATACATAATAATGGTGAAATAAACATGCTATATTTTCTTTGATTGTTTTATAGCTTTTAAGTCTTTGTTTCTGTAAGCTGTTAAGTAAAATCTCAATAAAATTATACAAATGAAAACAAAATATATGGATTTGTAGGTTCACAAATTACTGAGATTATCTTGAGAAAAATGTACAAAAGACTAACATAAAGACTACTGAAAAGACCACTATATTCAGTATAAATCAACTCTCTGTGTGTCACCTTTTCTAACCAGAAAAGTGCAATATTGGAATAGATGAGCTCTGAGGTCCTTTGTGGTTCAAAGTGTTTCATGTACTACATTTTTTATAGTATCAGCCTATTAATAGATTCTAAAGATCATGAGCTCTTCAAATACAGGTACAACATCTAATTTGTATCCCCCAACATCTAGTACAGTGCCTGACATATTTAATTATTAAAAGTCCTGTTAATTTTTTTCTTTTAATAAGTGTAAGCTGAAAAGTTGCTAAATGTATTAGAAACTGAATCTCATGCAACAAGAAATAAATGTTAGGAAATCTCAACCTGTACCATTTGGTTCTTTTTATCATATTGGTTAGAAGGTAAGGAAAAACAATCACATGAACTTTCCCAGAACAATTAACAGCAGAGGGTCTGAAGGATAAAGGAACAGAAACAGTTACTGAAATCAGGAGAGATTATTTTGGCCAGTAATTTAACAGAGGAATGCAGTTAAACATGGTGACTATGCAGGGAATGACAAAATGTAGCAAGTACTCCTAATTTCCCAGCCTCATATCCTCCAGTTTCCTGGAGGATGTTTCCATTGCTGAAATCTAACCAGAGAACAGAGACTTTGGAGTACATGAATACAATTCAAATGAAATAGGCTTGCTGGAAATAAAACAGGGTAAAGAACAATGGTGTGTCTGTGTGTGTTGGGAGGAATCAGAAGATACCTACAACACCACTTCAAAATATTTTATTAATAAAGCTGTAACATTTCATTTTCCAAAGTTTTAATTTCAGAACAGTATTTTGAAGTCACCTTAATGTGTGAGATATTTGAATAGATTATTTGCTGTTTTCAAAATTTAATTTTTCGAAGTATAGTGTAATAAACATATTTTCAAATTTGTACATACCCTGCCTAAATATCGTTTTTGCTTTTGTAGGCAACTTCTTAATTACCTTAGGAAATTGACACATAATGACAGATGGGTATGACAGAGGGAATAGCAAGTGTAGACCCCACTAAGGAAAGGCTCATTAAAATAAACTATTTGATTATGATTAAGCTAAAAGAGATGATCTCTTAAAATTGTGTGTAATTGTGCAGAAATGACTCTTTTTTTTCACATTTTTGCAAGATTGGTAATTTTCAAAACTCTGGCTCTCTTCTAAATCTCACATGCTATGAATAATAACTTCTGATTTTCATATTTAAAATATTACTACAAATATAAATTAAAAGATAATGTAGTTGGTTTTACTGCTGAAAAGCATGCTGTAATTTCCTTACCATACTGAAAAAAAAAAAGAAATAACAGTAGGAAAAACAATTCAGTGTATATATATATATATACACACACACACACAGATATATATATATTCAAATATATATATATTTGAATGTGTTTATTTGTGTACAGACACATAGTAGTTTAAAACTCAAAACAATTCTATGAGTACTATTGTGTCTGGAATTGGTGGGTTCTTGGTGTCGCTGACTTCAAGAATGAAGCCGCAGACCCTCGCAGTGAGTGTTACAGTTCTTAAGGATGGTGTGTCCGGAGTTTGTCCCCTCAGATGTTCAGATGTGTCTGGAGTTTCTTCCTTCTGGTAGGTTCATGGTATTACTGACTTCAGGAGTGAAGCTGCAGACCTTTGCAGTGAGTGTTACAGTTCTTAAAGGTGGTCTGCAGTTTTTCATTCCTCCCGGTGGGTTCGTGGTCTCCCTGACTTCAGGAGTGAAGCTGCACACCTTCGTGGTGAGTGTTACAGCTCATAAAGGTGGCGGGCACTCAAAGTGTGAGCAGCAGCAAGATTTATTGCAAAGAGTGAAACAACAAATCTTCCTCACTGCAAGAGGCCCAAGCCAGTTGCTGCTGTTGGCACAGGTGGCCTGCTTGTATTCCCTTATCTGGCCCCACCCACATCCTGCTGATTGGTCCATTTTAAAGAGAGCTGATTGGTCCATTTTACAGAGAGCTGATTAGTCCGTTTTACAGAGAACTGATTGGTCCATTTGGACAGAGTGCTGATTGGTGCATTTACAAACCTTTAGCTAGACACAGAGTGCTGACTGGTGCATTTACAATCCTTGAGCTAGACAGAAAAGTTCTCCAAGTCCCCACCCATCCCAGAAGCCCCACAGGCTTCACTTCTCAATGGTACTCACCGGGCAGGACTTTGCGGCACCTAGCCCGGGCACTCCTCCCGGACAACCAAGAGGAAAAGAGGGGAAGCTAGAAAGAGAAGGAGACTTGCCATCATCACCAACGACCCCGCAAAGAGGGAACAGCAGTCCACGTGCGGGACCCAGCCTCCGATCAAACCCAGCAGGCGTTGGCCTGCCATGCGGAGGCACTGGGCCCACCTGGAACCCGAGCCGCCAGCCTGCCAGCAGTGTGCACAGCCCTGGCTGCCGCCAGCATCTCTCCCTCCACACCTCCCTGCAAGCAGAGGGAACAGGCTCCGGCCTTGGCCAGCCCCAGAGAGGGGGCCCCCACAGCGCAGCGGCGAGCTGAAGGGCTCCTGGAGCACGGCCAGAGCAGACAACAAGGCCGAGGAGGCACCTAGAGCGAGCGAGGGCTGCTAGCACGTTGTCACGTCACACTATTATTATTTCTCTTATAAAGAAGAACAATTTAAGGCACGAATAGCTAAGGAAACCTGCCCTACAGCTGGTTAACATTTGAACATGGGGCCAGGCATGGTAGCTTACGCCTGTAATCCCAGCACTTTGGGAGACTGAGGCAGGTGGATCACCTGAGGTTGGGAGTTCGAGACAAGCCTGACCAACATGGAGAAACGCTGTCTCTACTAAAAATACAAAATTAGAGGTGCGTGGAGGCTCATGCCTGTAATCCCAACTACTCGGAAGGCTGAGGCTGGAGAATCACTTCGACCCCGGAGGCAGAGGTTGCAGTGATCCGAGATTGTGCCATTCCACTCCAGCCTGGGCAACAAGAGCAAAACTCTGTCTCAAAACAAAACAAAACAAAACAAAAAACAGTTGAGCAAGGATGGAATGAAATGGAACCTTGGAATCTACAAAAACTTGGTACTGAGGCCGGGAACAGTGGCTCACGTCTGTCATCCCAGCACTTTGGGAGGCCGAGGTGGGTGGATCACAAGGTCAGGAGTTCAAGAACAGCCTGGCTAAGATGGTGAAACCCCTTCTGTACTAAAAATACAAAAATTAGCCAGGCGTGGTGGCAGGTGCCTGTAATCCTAGCTACTCGGGAGCTTGAGGCAGAGAATTGCTTGAACCCTGGAGGTGGAGGTTGCAGTGGGCTGAGATCATGCCACTGCACTCCAGCCTGGGTAACAGAGTGAGACTCTTCCTCAAAAAAAAGAAAAAAAAAATTGGTACTGAAGCAGTGTAGTATACTGCTTCACGTTCGAATATAAATGAAATATAATCTACAATGTAGAAAAGGCATAAATTATAAGGAAGTAAAAAAGATTAAACATTTGTTCTATGACATCGCATGAAATGCATGCATTAAGGTTTTTAACAACTCAAAAGTACCAAGCTGTAGAGGGTCTTAACTAGAAACTTCAAGTAGCAGATCCCAAGTATAATTTGAAGACCACTAGTGGTGCCAAAAATATTTCAGGGAATATGCATGGGTCCCCCTTTTCCTGTTGCATTTTTGTGTAAAACTGATTTTCCTCATATACTCAACCAAAACAGCAGATTGTAACAGAACAAATGTAGAAGTAAAAGTAAATAGGTTATTCTATTTGTCTGCTGTAAAGCCAGAAATTAAGGTTTGCAAATATAAAACACTGACACTCCTTCCACTATTTTAAAAATATATGCTTGTTTTTACAGCATTATTTTATTTGTTAAACATATAGTAGGTTAATATTGTTTTGTGTAATTTCATTAATAAATATTTTTTATCTTTAACTTCAAAAATTATATATATATCATTACATAAAATCTCTATAAACAAAAGGTTTTAGGAGTCGTGAAACAAAAAAGGTTGAGGATGTAAGGATTTAAATAACCAGATAATAGGCAGTGGTTACACAAGACTAAAGCAAGAAAAAATAGTAAAGACAGGAGTGAACATGACAAATGGTGATCCCATTGAGGATGCTGAACTGAGAAAATTACTAGAATGGATGGCTTATGTTTGACAAAAAGGGGAAATAAAATTCAAAGAAATTTCTGAAGTATCTAAGCAGGATTAGCAGTTTAAATATAACTTATTATATTTTAGGCTGGAAAATGCCATGATTTAAATTTATTGAAAAACTGACTTTACTGTGCTTAAAGGGGAGCTTATAAAAACTACCATCAAGAAAGCCTGTTACATGGATTGTGCTATGGAAATCAAGATACATACTGACTTCAAATAGGATTAGGGTGATGGTGATGGGATTATAGAAATCAGGCATAGTTTCAGACATATGAAAAGGCAAAATTTGCTGAAATTCGCTTGAACATAGAAGATGCAAGCGACGAAAGATCAAAAGTGAATACAGGATTCTGAATATTGACGATTGGAATAGACATAAGTTAATTTTTCTTACTCTGGGTGTAACTTCTAACATACCTCACAGATTTTACATTTATTAATTCCAGAGCTACCATTGAACATTTCCTTTGATCTTTTATTACACATTTTAGAATTCTTCTTGCCTAAGGATATAAAAGTTCAAGCAAATTGTTGATTAAAATATTCTTGTCAAAGAGCAACACATTTACATTTTATACAGCTAGTATATGATATTTTGGTATATGAAAATTCAGCATGTAACAGTAATGTAAAATTTCTGGATTATTGGTGTTAAGCCTAGGATTGCATTAAAAAATGTTTACTAATGTGTAGAGCAGAGATACTGAACAAAGAGCACAGAATTGCCTTAAGAAACCTGCACATCCATGCCAGAGTCAGTGGTTGCAATTTAAACCGTGGTCTCCAGATGGTTCTCTGTATCATCAACTTGAGGTTACACATATTTCTAAAGGCTACAAACAGGTTTTTAATGACCCTGTCATTGAGCTTATAGCCATTAATTGCCTTTCACTCCATTGGAGTAAGAACAGAATGATGCTCTGTGTTCAAATGTATGTATAGAAGTTAACTTAGTTTTGGTGATGTAAAAAAAATGAAAACTCTTACTAAAACAATAACAAGAATGTTTTTGCTTATGTTAATGTATAAAAGGAGATCAAGTTGAAAAATATTTAACTTCATTTTTCAGCCTTTATCTAAGAAATAATGTTGTATGTTGCTAAAATTCAAACTGCTGTTCATCTCTGTCCAATGGAGAAAAATTCTGGTACTAATTTCATTTTCTGCCACTAACTCTTTGAGATCAGAACTACTTATTAATTTTATAGCAGACAGCTATAATAATTGGTTACATAATTTCAGAGTCTACTGGAATTAAGTACACATGGTTAATCTGGTTTAGTATTTTTAGTTAAGATGGTTTAATATTGAGAGACAATAATAGCATAGATTTTAAAGATAGAGATGCTTTACCAATATAGCCTGAGGTTAAAGTCCAGCAATACTGTAAGTAAGTCCTTGAGGACATCACCTAAACTCTCTGAACCCCACTACCTTCATCTATAAAATAAAAATGACAGTAGCACCTACCTCTTAAGATTATATCTAACAGTATCTACATTTATACTGTAAGTAAAT